>NC_000003.12:6260000-7510000 GCF_000001405.40 Homo sapiens | reverse complement strand
AACAAATAAATATTACAGATAACACTGGCTTATGTTCCAAGTTTTCCAGGTTTAGCTCTCTTTTTCCAAGATGACAGGTAATTAAAAAGGCAAAATCAGAGTTCTTACTTTTCAAGCCTTCACTGGTGATTCTATATCCTTCCTCTCCTCTGTTATTTTTTCAATCCCCTGATACTTAGATTTTGGAGGTCTGTCCTAATATTAAAAAAAAAATTTCCCCAGCTGAAAATATAAGCCTTGGCCCCGCTTGTCACGTACTCAGAGAAAATGAGTTGTGGCTGCCTTCTCTACCATGGCTTTCTAAAGTGCTACTAAAGAAACATTGTTACTGGGTTGACCCTAAGACTGTCTTTTCTAGGCTTGACTCACTTGGGTGAATGCACCTCTTCCTAGAGGAATTATAGTGAAAGTTCACTATGAAGTGGCTTATCAGATTGGATCTTACTTAGTTCCTCTTTATCTTCAGGGGATACATATATCTGCAGAGGATGTATACATACATACAATACATCTTATTAGTTCCTCCTTATCTGCAGAGGATACATTCCAAGACCCCAGTAGACGCCAGATAGTACCCATCCTATGTAGCCCCGTTAGATTCCATGTCAGGGATTGGCAAATGTCTACTATGTTTTTTCAAACTGTATGTGAATACCTAAGATGAAGTTTAATTTATAAATTAGGTGCAGAGATTAATAACAACTAATCATAAAATAGAACAATTATGACAAAATACTGTAACAAAAGTTACATAAATGTGGTCTCTCTTTTGTTCTCTCTCTCTCTCAAAATATCTTATTAGACTGTACTCACCCTCTTCTCCCTGTGATTTGTTGATATGATAACTGAGATCGTTACTAAGTGATGAATGGGTGGGTAGCATACCTGGTGTGGCACATTGGACAAAGGAATGATTCACATCCTGGGTGGGATGAAGCAGTACAGCCCAAGATTTTGCCATAATATT
Source organism: Homo sapiens (assembly GCF_000001405.40). NCBI lineage: Eukaryota > Metazoa > Chordata > Mammalia > Primates > Hominidae > Homo > Homo sapiens. Next base: position 7,509,033 of record NC_000003.12, on the reverse strand, counting down.
CAGAATATGTGCAACTTAAAACTTATTATTTCTGAAATTTTCCATGGGTCATTGAAACTTTGAAAAGTGAAACCACAGATAAGGAGAAACAACTGTCATATGGAGCAGAGAGTTCCAAACTTCTGCCTCTTCTAGTCTTCGCTTGCCAATGCAGATGGACTTAGGAATGCCTATTTCATCAAATGAAGATGGTGCTGGACTCATAGCAAGAACTCAAGAAATGCATGGTAAATAAAAATATCTTGAGCTGACTCTAATAGGACATTGATACCTTCCCAAAGTTTTTATGAATGCTGAACCTCTTATTTCATCTTCCTTAATTTTCTTGCAGGAAATGCCGTAAGAACCGTTTTTCCAAAAACAATTTTTCAATGCCCTAAAGTGAAAACAAACTAGCTTAAATGATTGCTAAAGATACCCTTGGGAATATATTCCAGACTCACCATGATATTGCTCATTAATGGAATTACACATCTGTAAGAAAATCATTCATGAGTATTTAGCAGGTCATATAACCAATTAACCTCTTTTTTATTGTGACATATATATTCATATGTGTGTGCATGTGTATATAATTATACACTAATATTATTTACTCTATAAATGTTTATTGACAAAAAATTATTTTTGTTTTTAAATATAAGGTAAAATATCACTTGAAGGAGCATGAAGAAACTTAAATTTAAGGCACAGATTGGTGCCTTCTCTCAAAAATCTCAACTATTATTTACCACTCCCTGGCTTAATCTTTATTTTCTATTTTTTCTCACATGGCTAATTATAAATCTGATTTTCACCTCTAATGGTATTTTATCACTAAACCCTAGCCCATATATTCTGGTTTTGATAGGTTCACTACAGCTATTACCCTCATCATCTCTATTCACAGAATCAACCAGCACTAAAAAATTGGCAAGTATCTGAAGAAAACTATCTAGACCAGAGCTTTCAGCACACAGACATTGAAAATGTGACTTTAGTTTTTAATTCTCCAGGTAAAAGAAACAATATTATAGATTATCTTTTTCTGCTCTCAGAAGCCACATATTTATTCTTGGAGTAAGCATAGAGGAAGAGGAGTGATTGCCCAAAGAAAAAACTCAAGGTGCAGTTATCGGAAGAATGGAAATAAGTGTTGAACAAGCAAAAGCTAACCAGAACTTGTATATATTTTCAGACCACATTAAGGCATAAAAATATGTAAGCATTCTGTCTTGTTTGAAATAAAACTGAGCCCCAAATTTTACAGTGCAAATTATTTAAAAGAGAAATAAAATACACTGAATTATAAAAATAAGCAGTATTTTATAAAAGCACAACAGCTAGAATAATCTAGTTCTTCCTCAATCATAACTACCAGTTAATAATCAACTCAGGTCTATTCACTGTGTCTTGAATATCAAAAGTTAGTAGAACTATACCTGTTCTAAAATTGGACTATGCATTAAGAGAGGACTTGGCCTCGGCTTTTATCTGCTGATAGGTTAATTGGTTTTAATTAGCTTGCATACCTTATCAGAACCAAAATAGTTTCTTTAGTCTGACAAATCTTTGGAGCATAGAGAATACTTTTTTAGAAGAAACGTTTTCCATTAGTTACAAAATGCTATAGCTTCTTTCCTTCTCAGGACTCAGTTTGACTCCCATCTGTTTACACTTCTCTATGTGGAAACAATTCCAGAAGTTTCCAAAATATATAGTTGGTATTTGCTTGTCCCAGTAGCTGTGTCCTGACCAGACACTCTGCAATAAGCCCACTGCTGTGGCTCCTCTTTCCAAGTTGTCTAGACTGGATTTTTCCCTGCCTCTTTCTCAGCCTGGTTCTCTAGGCTCAAAAGAGAAAATTCCATTTAATCCCCTTTTCTGAAATTAACCAGAGTCAATTTCTGCTGTTTACAATAAAATATCCCTATCTGAAAAGCATTTATCCAACTAATGTTTTTTAAATGCCCACAATCTGTCAGGCATTTGTGATTCACTGTTGGGTAAACAATAGGTCTATGCTTGTAGAAGCTCACACTGAAGACATAATTATAAAAATGGTGATATGAAGGCTGTCTGATAAAAGATGGTAGGTGTGAGAGCTATGGTATGTTTCTTTAAATATGGTACAGTGGTTTGAATGTTTCCCCCAAAAGCTCATGTACTGGAAACTTAATCCCTCATCTCTCACTAATGGATTAATGTTGGCTCTGCCCTCATGAGTAGATTAGTGGATTAATGAGGGTTCTGCCCTCATTCATGTTGTCTTCACAGGACAGGGTTTATTATCTGGGAAATAGATTTGTTGTAAAAATAAACTGTATCTGACTCTCCTGCTCCTGCCTTTTTGCCAAGAGCCTTTATGCCCTGACATGTTATGACACAAGAAGAAGGCCCGTATGAGGTACAGGCACCGTGTTCTTAGACTTCTCAGCCTCTAGAACTGTGGGCTAAATAAACATTTTTCCTTTATAAATTACCCAATCTGTAATTTCTTATAGCAACAGAAAACAAATTAAGACAGAAAATTCTACTAAGAAGTGGGATTGTTGGTATAACAAATACCTAGTAATGTGGACATGGCTTTGGAACTGGGTAATGGGCAGAAGCTGGAAGAATTTGGAGGAGTAGGCTAGAAAAAGTCTTTATTATCATGAATGGGGCATCAAGAGTGATTCGAGTGAAAGCTGGGAATAAGAGAAGACTAGGGAATGTCTGGACCTTAGAGATTACTTAAGTAGTTATGACTAGAATGTTGATAGAAATATGGACAGAAAAGGCTATTCTGATAAGGTCTCAGATGGAAATGAGAAAGGAGGTGTTGGAAACTGGAATTAAGACCCCCTCCTCCACCTTGTTATTAGGTAACAATGAACTGTGCCTGTGCCTGAGGGTTTTATAGAAGGCAGAATTTAAGAGTGATAAATTAGGATATCTGGTCAAAGAAAATAGCTAAGCTACAAACCATGCAGGCTGCTTAATGGCTATTTTTAACCACTTACAGTAAAATATAGAAGAAAGAGTTGATTTAAAGACAGAATTTATAATTACAAGGGAAGCAGAGTGCAAAGATTTGGAAAACTAGCAGCCTGGTGATGCGGTAGAGAATGAAACAACATGGAACCCATTGAGAAGGAAATTAGTATGGATCAAAGAAAGCCAGAGGCTATTAATCAAGACATTGGGAGAAAAACTTGGAAGACATTTTAGAGATCTTTGAGGCTGCCTTTCCCATCACAGGCCCAGACCTCCAAGAAGGCAGAATGGTTAAGGGGTTGGGCAGCTGGCAAGGGCCACCTCAGGTCTCTGCTCTCTGCATTCCAGCACATGGTGGCCTCTCCAGCTATGGCTCAAATGGTCCCAGTGCTTCAGAAGGTATAAACTATAGAAGGTATAAGTCATCGAAGGCATAAGTCACATGCCTTGGCAGTGTTCATGTGGCTCTAATTGTGCAGGCATGCAGAAAGCAAGAGCTGTGAACACATGACTTCCTCCAATTAGATTTCAAAGGATATCACAAAAGTCTAGGGGCCTAGACATAGACCACACGGTGGTTTGTCACACAAGTAGAGTTACTGCAGAGAGACCACAGTCAGCCAAAGCTGAGCTAAAATTTGGGATTGAAGTCAAAGCTGCTGCTAAGAGCTCCCTCTAGGGCAATGCCCAGTAAAGCCATAGGGTCAGGGTCACCCTCAAGACTCAAGAATTGTAGAGCCACCAGTGTGTAACACCAACCTGTGACAACTGCAGGCAAGGGACTCAGTCTGTGAGAACTGCTACATAGGCGGAGCCCTCCAAAGTCATAGGGGTGGGGCTGCCAGAAATTTTGTGGAGGAGGGGGTCCAAATCCCCACTGTGTCCTGGAGGCAACACAGAGTGAAAAATCATTCTGAAGCTTCAATGAATAATATTGTTTCTCCTGTTAGATTTTTGACTTACTTGGAACCAGTTATGCCTTTTTTCTTGCTTCCTTTCCCTCTCCTGGAATGTGAATGTTTATCTTGTGTCTGTCCCACCATTGTATTTTGAAAGTAGATAACTTGTTTTGATTTCACAAGTTCACAGCTGGAGGAAATTTGCCATGGGATGAATCATACCTTGAGTCACTCATATCTGATTTAAATGAGACTCTGGACTTTGGACTTTGAGTTGATACTGGAATGGTTAAGACTGTGGGGCTATTAGGATGGAATTAATTATTTTGCATGTAAGAAGGACATTAATTTTGGGGGCTAGAGACAGAATGCTATGGCTAAAATGTGTATTCCAAAGTTTATTTGTTGAAAATTGAATCCCTCTATTCCCATGAATGAATAAATTAATGAATTAATGAGGCTCTGCCCTCATGAATGGATTAATGTTGCTATCATGGGATTGAATTCATTATCGTGGGAGTGCCTTTATTATAAAAAGCAACCTCTTTCTGGTTCTTTTGCTCTTGCCTTTTCTTATCATGTGATGCTCTCTGCCATGTTATGGCAAGCAAGAAGGCCCTTACCAGATGCAGACACCATGCTATTGAACTTCCCAGTCTCCAGAACTGTGAGCTAAATAAACTTCTTTTCTTTATAAACTACTCGGTCTGTGGTATTCTTTTATAGTAAGAGAAAGTAAACTAAGATATATGTTGATAGAGGAATTACTCTAAGATGGGGGAGTATAATCTTAGAGCTCAGATCTATCTAAAGAGAAGGAGGCAGCTGATTGGAGAACTGAGGCATGAATATGCTACCTAGAGGGAAGAAGAAGTACAAAGAAGCAGGAAAAAGCTTGGCAATTTCAAGAAAAGTGGTTCAGCCATCTGACCTATTAATGTGCCCTGGTCTCTCCTTATTCTCGTTCTTCTCAGTCACTTGTGATAATAAAATCCTTATGAGGTAATCCTACTCCAAAAATGATATTATCTTTCTCTAAAAGTATTATACCACAAAATTTTTTATTGAGTCTCAACTTTTTTTCATACATTTGAGGCTTGTTACCCAAGATAATTTTAAATCTTTTCAGAGTTGCAAACATGTCAGATATTTTGTTTATATTCTCATATATTAGGTACATGGGTAGGTATTCTATAAAAGTGCATCTGTTGATATTCCCAGTGTCCATCCACAGAGAACAGATTATTGTTAGTTTGGTAGCATGTGAGGCAATAATGCTATAACAATGTTGCAGCATTTTGACCTATAAGTTGCCTTAGCTCTGCATTCATTAATTAAAGCAGTTAGGATGAAAATCTTTATATATCTCGTCTGGCCTGAAAAAGCTGACAGTTCAATTGGAGTTATTGGTTAAGTCCCTAAAGTTACAAGCTTTTATAATTAGCAATTGACTTCAGAGGATTTAAAAAACAACAGTGACAAACATGCCGACATTTCCAATCCCTTCTAACATACAGAAGTAATCATCTATCATACACCACATTAGCACCATCTACAGACAGTGCATGTACAGAGTGGGCGATCCACTCTGTACTGAATGATTAGAAGATACTGTTTTCAGCAGAATCGATTTGAAAAGAAGGAATAATCACCAGAGAAGTGCCAAATAGTGGGTATGCAATCTGCCTGGAATAATCCTAGAAGTCAAAAGAACTGAAATATATTGCATTTGATGTGATACATAAGGAGGACTCAGGCAAATCCTGAGAAAGTGTGTGTGTGTGTGCATGTGCGTGCACATTTTATTCTCTTGGTGGAAAGGTCACTGTCATCTAGAAAAGAGCCATTCCCTGGACTTGTTCCCATGACACTAAGAATCTGGAAAGGAGAGATATGACAGAGGAAAACAAAGAGGAGAAACATTATCTGGTCTCTCTTTTATCAGGAATTTTTAATTTTCAATAAATTTTGAAATCCTTTAGAACATGTGATTTTGCCAGAAATACTGATATGGGGGATTTTCTTGCTGCTGGGGAAGCAATCACATCATCCTATATGGTTTTCCTCTGCCCAGCTTTCTAGGCGCTCCTTGTGATTGTAAGTAGACACAGTATAGTGACAGGGACAGTCATATCCCATAGAGCAAATTACATGTATAAGTTATTACTAAGTCTATTGTATACGCAAAGAAGTGGGGCAGAAATTTAAACTGAGATTCCTAAGTCACATTTTAAAACTCAATGGAAATCATCTAGGCACTTGGACTCACAGTTTCTTATCTGTAAAATGGAATTTATCACTCTTCAGGGTTGCGTTAGAATTAAAATGATGTTGATGAATATGCAAACAACAGCAACAACATAAACTACAACCTATTATCACTAATATCCTCATCCACTTAGGAAACAGTAGCTACTTATTGACCAGTAGAGAAGGATTTTAGTGTATGCTGGTTAATTGCCAAATTACAATCCATTTTCTCTGAGTTTCTCAGGACACAGAACACACAGAACATTCTGTGGGACAGAAAAAATAGTGAATCTATTAAGTAGGGCAATCATACATCTGTGCGTGTGTGTGCACACACACACATACACACACACACGAGAATTAACATTTGCCCAGATTTTTCATCTTCGAATTATGCTTTTATTTTTTTTGCCAGTTTTGCTATTGATTTTGTTCTTAGACTTGGAAGAAATCAAAAGTTTCTGATACCCAAATGTCTCATTTTAATGTTAGGAAACTGAGACCTAGGGAGAGAAAACAGACTTATTTTGTGTCTTGTGTACTTTCAACTGGTATTGAAAATCAACTAGAAGAAGGTGTTCAATTCTAAGTGTGATATTTTTAGGAGTAATATATTAAAACAGGAATATATCCAAATATAAATGAACATAATGTTGAGGGAACTGGACACAATTCCTTTTAAGAGTTGTTGTTGTTATATGACTTATTGACTGTTTATTGTGGCAGTCACTGAGATGAGGGCTTTAATACATTTCACCCTCTGCTCTGCAAGAGTGCGATGTTAGTTCTACACTTAGGATTTTATAGATAAGGATAGTGAAGCTTAGCAAGGTGACATAGCTAAGTGAAATTTATACGCAGCAGGCAGAAGGGCCAGAATTTCAGTCCAGTTTTGATTGAGTCCAAAGCCAACTTTTTTTACAAAGTGAAAAAGAACCACTATGTAAGGCTGCATTATCCATCAAATGAGGCAATAAATTCTTGCGTAGGATAGAAAACTCAACTGCAGGTTTTATATGACATCCCTTATGCTCTTATGCTGTATGACTGTGGGACAGCAGAACCTGGATTTTCTGACACTCAGTTCCAAACTGTTTCCAATTGTTTATTTCCATTGCATTGCACAGTGCCTTGAACATAGTGCCTTGTATCAATCTGTAATTGCAAAAGCTGTTCAAATAGCTCAAATATGAAATATATGCTTCCTACAAAGAAAATGGTTATGAACAACCTATAGGAATCATGGTAAATTGTGCAGCAAAGAAATAAGTACCATAATAGGTAGCTTAGTGTAGTCGATAAGAAGTCAAGTCCTGTGTTAGAATTCTAGATGAATCAGCTGCAATCTGTGTGACCTTAAACACATAGGCTAACCTCTCCAAACCTCAGCTGTCCGTCTATAATATAAGCTGATAAAACTAGTGCCAAACTCAGATGGCTATTGTCCATTAAATGTCATGATCAAAGCATAGAGTCTGACTCACGTAGTCAATAAATGGCAGCCTTAATCATGTCATGCCTACATGACAATGGCAAAATAAATTCTTAAAAAGCAGAAGCTGCAAGTGTTCCTCAAGAATTTCAGAAACACCTGCTTTTCTGATCTTAATAAGAATATCCAAATTCCACTTTTGTGCCATGTTCAAAAGGGTGAGTTTTGATAAATTATTTGAATCATTTTCATCAAAGGCAAAAACTTAAGCCTCTGAAATGAGGATAATGATATTATCTACTTTATGGGCTTGTTTTAGAATCAGAAGAAGTAATGCATGGAACATGCTTAGACAGTATCTGGCATTATATTTTAGGTACTCAATAATAAAGTCAACACTCTATATAGTCAATAAAGATCAGCTGTTACATTAGTTATCTTTTTACTTCATTGATACTGTGCAATAAAAGCCTAAAATCCTCAGTGTCTTGCATAGATGAACATTTCTTCTCACCCTCACAGATCTGCAGTTTGACTGATTTGGTTGAGGCAGGTTGCTCAGCAGGACAACTGCTTCATGATGTGGGATATCTGGATTCGGAAGTAGGCTGCAGCCTGGGCTTGAGTCTGTACCAAGTATTTCTCATCCTCCTTGTATCCCCAGTGCACGTCTGTCACATGGTGAATGTCAGGAGAGTAGACTTCAGCCAAACTATGCCTCTGCCCTAGTCATGCTTGATAAAGGTTCACTGACCAAAAGAAGTCATGTGGCTCAACTCATGTCAGCAGGAAGTGAAGTACATCTGCCCAAGGGGCTGAGGGATGTGAGTGAAGATTTGACAAACAACAATCCAATCCATCATAGTTGGATTTCAAGTGTTCATGAGCTAGATAAACAAATTTAATCAGTATCGTCCAATATCACATGAAGTTCCCTCCAGGCCTCTGGGCAACCAAACCATTAGGAATGGAGATGACTGGATAAGGTCAGGTTCAATGCTCCTTCAAGATCTTTTCCTGCAGACCAAGTTGAAGAAACTGGCCCCCTGGCAGAAGAGCTGAATTTGGAATTCCAAGTAAAGAAAGCTACAGCTTAGGGCAATGCATTGTGAAGCAAACACCGACTCTGAATTCTTATCATCATTGAAGGGGATGACACCTCTAATACATCTCAAACAAAAATAATTTTCTTCCAAATTTGATGATGGTTGATATATGAATAGAATGCATTTGATGCAATAGACTATTTTATATACAGTGGACCAAAAGGAAGCTAAAAACCAAAGAGACAAGAGCTTTTATGAGCTTCATAGTGAATTCAAGAAGATACCTTAACCTGGTATGTCAAAACAAATTTGGAAAAATAGCTCATAAGTAATAATGTAGAGTTAAAGACAAAAAGATGCTATGGTGGAGGAGAATTAGAAAGAATGGTGTCCATGCCTGTAATCCCAGCACTTTGGGAGGCCAAGGCGGGTAGATCACAAGGTCAGGAGATTGAGACCATTCTGGCTAACACGGTGAAACCCCGTCTCCACTAAAAATACAAAAAATTAGCCGGGCGTGGTGACGGGCACCTGTAGTCCCAGCTATTTGGGAGGCTGAGGCAGGAGAATGGTGTGAATCTGGGAGGCGGAGCTTGCAGTGAGCCGAGATTGAAACACTGCACTCCAGCCTGGGCGACAGAGCAAGACTCCATCTCAAAAAAAAAAAAAAGAATGGTGTCTAGGCCAACTCTACAATTAAACTGTGAGGTTTTTGCTGGATCACTGCTTTTTCCACTTCAACAGTTTTATCTTGGGAGTGTTCAAGAGTTGAACTTTAATTGCCAACTCTGCCTTTATACTCTGTGTAATCTGGAAGCATTTTCATCTTCCGTGACCCAGTTTCCTCATCTGAAAATAAGTCCCTACTCAGAGAATTTTGTGAGAATAAACATGTAAAGCATTTAAAATAGAGCCTACCAGAAAGTAATCTCCAAGTAAACATTAGCTTTTATTGATGTCAGCAGCATTATCATCATTAAGCATTATAAATGAAGTTACTCTATCAGGGATCTCTAGATTACAGCGTTTGATGGTTTTGTAAAGGTCTGCAAATTCATTGACTATCAGGAGGCAGTATCTGTGCCATCTCCGTTTAAAACTGGGTGGGCCTTTGAGACTACCCAGAGGAACAGAACATTGTGGAAACTCCATGTATCTCCCAAGGCTAGGTTAGGAAAGGCCTGAATCTTCTGCTGGTTTCTGCTGGGACACTTTCTGGGTGCCTGCAAGTGCCAGAAAAGAAGCCCAGAGATTTTGAGGCCACCATGCAGAAAGACTATCTATGGGAAGTTAGAGATATCCAAGGCATCCCCGTTCTTCCCATCTAGACAGACATGGAGCAAAGAAGCCTTTGAGATCTCCAGTCCCAGCCACCAAGTGATTGCAACTACGTGGCAAAATCTGAGCAAGAACTGCCTAGCAGAGCCTAGTCAACTCCCAAATTTAGGGCAAAATCAGCAATTTTTAGTGTTCCCAGTCACTGTTTTCCCATTATTTGTTACATAGCAATAAATAACCAGATTGCAGCAACTCTGCACAGATGACTCTGCATTCACCCCAGTGGAAGGAGGCAGCCAAGGACAACAGAAAGTGGAGGGCTCTGGCCTCATCCGCTTTAAGTTAATCAGAACAGGTCTCTTTTACAGATTGAAATTTTATATACATTTTTATATGGGGCAAAAAACTTCTTATAGCTAAAAGGAAATGTTTGAAACCACTGAACTAGGCGATGTCTCAAATGCCTTCTAGAGATACAGTTTCATAAAAGAAATTTATGTTAAAAACACTGAGAATCTACTGCTGGTCACACACACTGATCAAGTGCTTTATGTACACTGAATCTTTAAATCCTCATCATGTCCCATCAACCTAATATCAACCAAATGTGAAATACCAGAATCCGGATTCAACCCTAGGGAATCTGGCCTCAGAGCTCACACTCCTAATTATTAGAACACAAGAGCTAAACTAAGGTATTTTGCTTAACAAGAAACAATGTTCATGCTTCTCAAGGACAGTCGTGAATGAGGGTCCAGTCTACTTGTAAGTTGAGTGTCAGCCACATGGCACAATCGGCTTTTAAAACATTGCCCAACCCAAATTACTGTGCCCAACCCAAATTACTGTCCCCAACTCTAAACCCTGTAGGGTAAATGCATTGTAGGCTATTGCCCCTTGGGAGAGGTCATTCAATAAGTCACTTTCATACATTAACTTCTCTAGTGGACAAACAATTATCTGTGGGGACTTCGATAATAAAAAAAAAGGGAGGCAAGGTTTACTTGTGGGAAATGCTAGGGAAATATTTTCTCTGAGCAAGCTATAGAACCCCAACAGGCTATTTTTGTATATACTTGAAGAGAGGATACTTCTTTTGTGTTGAAGAAACTACATGATGAGGAAATCTGGGACTAATGGAATTAGAAAAGTTCTTTGAACAAAATTTCCTTATTGATTGTTTTCAAAAGATTGGACTTCCTGGAAGAAGAATCAATAATACAATTATTATTGATTGTTAGTAATATCTGTTGAGTTCCTATCACATCCCACAATTTTAAATATATGATCTTTAATCTTTACAGTCACCCTGTGATATGGGCATTAGTATTTTCATTATGCATGAGAGGAAACTGAGGCTCAGAAAAGTTAAACCTTTGCCCAGGCTACAGAGCTAATAAATGGTGAAGTTAGGACTTAAATTCAAGAATCAGTGACTGATTTCAAATTTATGCTCTTTTCTTAGAGATACCAAGAGTGAGATTATCTCTATTTAATTATACAAATGAGGCTCATGTATATGCCAGACACCCAACTCTCCTATCTCTTCTTATTAAAGGGCACAAAAGAATTACATGAAAAAGAACATGCAGACATTCTTTGCAAAGTGGAAGTGCTAACATGTAATCTGTAAGAAAACATAAATCTGAGAGAAAAAATAAATAAATCGAGCCACGCACTGAAACCTCCCATGTTGGTAGAGACTGTAGTAAATCTAGATAATTCTAGGATCAAAACCAGTTGCTTTTGATCATGGAAGGAAGAATTCATGGAACATAATGGGTGGGCTTATACTCCATGAGAGAAGTATATGTGGTTTCCAAAACCCCATGGGAAACGTTGCCACTTTTAGTCATGGCCTAATGTGACAGCTTGGCTGTGATGTGGTCACCTCTAAAACATCTCACTGCTTATTTATTGAGATGACATAAATTGTAGGTTTACACATGACTGAAAGTAGCTCATATCCCTATCCAGGGCTCTCAGACTTCCAAAGCCTGGCCCTAATCATGATGGCCACTTCATGACCAAGAGAGCCACTTCATGACCATGCTAGACATGGCCACAAGTTCTAAATAACCTGATGGCCTTCTCTAGTGGCTGGTAAATCTTAAGTGGACAAAGCAAGGGCCAGAATTCCTATTCCTAGATTTTTCTATAGTATCTATGAGAATAGATGTATTAGTATTAACCCTATTTTTATTCTTTAATTTTTATTTTTCGATATTTTAAAACTTACATAAAAGTTGCAAAAATAATACAGAAAACTTCATATATCCTTTCACCAATTAACATTTTGTCACATTTTTTAACACATTCTCCTTCTCTGTCTCTTTCTGAGTGTGTGTGGGTATAATCACACACACATACATCTATATCTATATATTTTTATATCTATAATTATATTTTTCTTAATTCGATGCAGTTGCTTCTCTTTATCCCTTTATATTTCAGTGTATTTTTCTTGGAAACAAGGGCATTATATTATATAACCACAGTAAAGTTACTAAATCAGAAACTTCAACAGTGACACTCCATGTTAATCTACTTCCATGTTACGAATATTTTATTTGTCCCAATAATGCAATGATGTACTTCTTAGCAATTTTTTTCATTATAAGATCTAATCCAGGACTGTGTTTTGCTTTTAGATGTAATGCCTCTTCAGTCTCTTTCACTCAGGAAAAGTTTCTCAGCTTGTTTGTGTTTTTTTATGACATCATTTTTTAAAAAATATATAGGCTCATGTCTAAAAGAATCATTTGTCCCTCATTTTGACTTTGTTCTAGTGTTTTCTGATGATAAGATTACAATTAAGCATTCCTGATCAGAGCACTATGCAGGTATTCTCAGCATATCATGTCCAGAGGCTCACAGTGTCTAGTTGTCCCCATTGATAATGATAACTGAGTCAAGATGTTGTTGGGTTTCTTCACTAGGTAGATGATGTTTTACTCATGCAATGAATACATGGTCTATGGAGAGATACTTTAGCACTGCTGACTTTTGAGTACAAGATTAAAGGTCAGACCACCTCCCCACAATATACACATCAGCTGCTTACAGGTCTCTGCCCAGAAGCTTCCACATTCTACTACTGATAAGAGGGACGCAGGATGAGTTTCATGGATAAAATATTGGGCATCACTTGATAGAGGAAAAAGGTGGCCATAAAAATATGTTTTATACTTTCTCTCTGGACAAGTGGACATAGACCCATTTTTCTCAGGTCTTCCTCATTAAGCACAGCTATAAACCCTTCAGGAGGTGCAATCAAATAACTTTAAAGGGTGGTAAAAGAAGGTGATCTGTTTTGGGAACCAAGGACTAGAGGAACAGCCAAAGGGCAGGCTACTTGTGTTCCCCTATCCAACAGAAGGTGACCCAGACTCAGTATGTCTAGACTCACAACCTAGCAACAGAAGACGTTCAAGGTAGGTTTATGCTTTCCTCATGCAGGAATCCCTCTGACAACATCAAGTGAGACTAACATCTTTCAAGGAAGACCTACTGGGAATCACATCAGAAATAAGCAATCGGGAGAGGGACTTTTTTTCCTTGCTGGCCCTGAGATTCTTTTTTTCTCTTGAGAGATACTGAGATGGGCAGGGAAGGCCAAACCAGTAAGAGAGACCCAGCTGTAGCAAGAGTTTGGTCCAGGAAGCCTCTTTGTCACCACGGGTCTGAGCCTTTTCTCCCTAATCCAGGGACACTAAGAAGGGTGAGTGAGGGGCCCAGCAATAGCAAGAAGCCTGGCCCCTTTGTCCCTGAGCCTCTTTTAACTTCTTTGTCCCTGCAGGCCCATGACTGTTGTATTTCTTTCATCCATTACCTAGAGAAACCAGGGTTTGAGGAGAAATAGGAAGATACCACCACAGTGCTCCTCCACCAAGCAGGCTGACCTGGGAAACTGCTCTTCTCCTCTCTTGGGTAGCACCATCAGGAACCCATGGGAGCCTGAGCAGCAACTTATAAACAAACCTAGCAAAAATAGCTCTGCAAAGACTCCAGAAATTAAACTGCCATTGGAATGGCAGTCCACAGAAGCAGGCCAACACCCACATGCCAAATTTTAACAGTGGCTACCTCCTGCTAAAATAAAACATATATATAAGACACAATGCCTCCTAACACAATAAATAAAATTTCAAGGATGCAAGTGAAAATCACCTGTCATACTAAGAACCAAGAAAATCACAACTTGATTGAGAAAAGATAACCAACTGATGCCAATACTGAAACAAATCAGATGTTGGAATTATTTGACCAAGGTTTTAAAACAGCCATCATAAAAATGATTTAACAATTAATTATGAGTTCTCTTGGACAAATGAACAAACTGCAGACTTTCATCAAGGGAAATAATATTATGAAAAAGAACCCAGTGAAAACAATATTGCTTAAAATTACAATGATAACAATAAAAATATTGGCTGGATGGGCTCAAGAGTATAGATGACAGAGATTAGAATCTGTAAAGTAGAGGACACATCAGAACTTACCTAATGTAAAAACAGACAACAGACTGATAAAAACGAAGAGAGCTTCAGTCACCTGTGTAATAACAAAAGATTCAATATTTGTATTATCAGAATCCCAGAAGGAGAAGAGAAAGAGAGTGAAGCTAAAGGGTAGTACAAGAAATAATGGCTGGACACTTTCCAAATTTTACAGACACAAACCTATAGGCTAAAGAAGCTGAACTAATCTCCAAAAGGATAAATCTAAAGAAACATGTGAAGATATACCACAATTAAACTTCTGAAAACTAATAAAGGAAGTATCTTGAAAGCAAAGATAAATGATGCAACCTGTAGGGAACATCAATTTACTTGACAGTATATTTCCTCATTGAAACCACACAGGCTAGAAGGACAACACTTTTCAAGTTCTGAAAGAAGATAACTGCTCACTGTAAAGTCTATATCCAGCGCAACTACCCTTCAAGGATAAAGGAGACATGGAAACCTTCTAAGACAAATAATAATAATAATGTATTGCTAGTATATCTCTGAAAGAGAGCTCTTTAAACAGAAAGGAAATAACAAAAGAAGGAATCTTGGAGCATCAGGAAATAAGTAACAACAAAGTAGAAATATGGGCACATAAAATAGTCTATCATTTTTATCATAAGTTTCTAAATCACATTTGATGACTGAGACAAAATGGTAACACCATCTGACACCCAAGATAATGATATTTAAAGTGGAGAAAAGAAAGGGACCTAAATGGAAGGTTTCCAAGTTTCACAAAAATAATAAAATGTAGACTTTAGTAGACTATTAAAGGTCATGTACATATATTTTAATACCCAGAACAACTATTATGAGAAATACAGATACACTCACAAACACTGTAAATAAATCAAGATGGAATCCTAAAAAATGTTCAAGTAACACAAAGGATGACATAAAAGAAACAAAAGAGCAAGTACCAGAGAAAACTATAAATACATAATAAAATGGCAGAATAAAGCACTAATATATTAATTACCTGAAATTTAAATGGTCTAAATATGCCAATCAAAAAACAGAGCTTAGTAAAATGGATAAAAAATATGACCCACTTATATGCTACTTAAAAAATGGAAACTCACTTCAAATTCAACTTACTAGTTAGGTTGAAGGTAAACAAGATGCAAAAAGATATACCATGTAAACATTATTTTTTAAAAACAGCAAGAGTGGCTATATTAATATTTGATAAAATGGACTTCAGAGCAAAGGCAATTACTAGAGACACAGAAAAATGTTACAATAATGAGAAAAAAAAAGGATCAATCAACCAAGAAACATTATGATCTTAAATGTGTATTCACTAAAACACAGAACCTCAGAATACATGAAATAAACACCAATGGAGCTGAAAAGAATAATAGACAAATCCACAATTACAGCTGAAGAGTTCAACATTTCCTGTTCAGTATTAAACAACTAGACACAACTCAGCAAGAATATAAACAACATGAACAATATAGTCAACCAAAAAGATGTAATTGACATATACAGAATACTTCACCCAATAAGAGAAACATACACATTTTTTCCCAAGTGCTCATAGAACATTCACCATGATAGAACATGTTTATCATAAACATACTTCATCAAATTTAAAAGAAATAAAATCATGCAGAGTGCTCTAGAACAGCAATGAAATCAAACAGAAAAATCAGTAACAGGAAACAGGAAAATCTCTCAATGTGTAGCAATTAAACAATACACTTGTAAATAATTAATGAATTAAAGAAGATTCTCAAGGAAAAAAAATATCATGGAAGTGAATGAAAACCAACAACATATCAAAATTTGTGGGATGCAGCTAAAGCCCAGCTGAGAGGGATATTTATATGATTAAATGACTACATTAAAGTGAGGAAAGTTGTCAAAATAATACTCTGAGTTGCTACCTCAAGAAATGAGAAAAAGAACAGAATAAACCCAAAGCACACAGAAGAAATATTAAGAGCAGAAATCAAATGAACCGAAAATAAAGATCTATAGGAAAAAAGATCAATGAAATAAAAGGTCAGCTCTTAAAAAATATAAAATAGATAGAATTATCACAAAACTCATATAGAAAAGACATACCAAATCACCAACATCAATAATTTACTATATTGCTATAGATTCAGCGGTCATTAAAAGATAGGTAAATAGAACAACAACCAACCAACAGCTTCATTCTCATAAATACAGCAACTGAAAAGAAACACACCAATTCCCTGAAAGCCATAGACTACCTAAACTCAATCAAGATTAAGTAGACAAACTGAACAGTTCTATAACTATCAAATAAATTAAATATGCAATTAAAAACTACAAAAAAAGTGAACTTTTAGGTGCAGATGGCTTCATGGGGAAATTCTACCAAAGATATAAATAAGAATTAATACCAATTTTGCCTGTTTTAGAAAGTGGAAGACAGGGAAGCACTCCCCAACTCATTTTATGAAAGCTCGTTTTACTCTGATACTAAAACCCAGCAAAGACAGTACACAAAACAATAACCACAGACCAATATCTCTTATTAGTTTACGTAAAAAATCCTCAGCGCATATTTGTAAATGAAATCTGACAATATATAAAGAGAATTATACACCATGACTATGTGGGATTCCTTCTAGGTATGCAAGGCTGGTTCAGCATTAAAAAATAAATCAATGCAGTCTACCATATCAATAAGCCACAGAAGAAAAACCATATGATTTCATCGTCACTCCTTGGTGCCTGGGTCCTTGCCGGGTAGAACAGGGCAACGCAAGAGACTTGCTGGAAAAGGGCATGTTCTGTTATATATGTAGCAGAATCTGTGAAATGCTGCTTCTCCTTCAGGTATTTATTATATACTCACCATGTACTAAGAACCATATCCAGTGTTTCCATGCTTTATCTTATTTAATCCTTCCTATTGTCTTTTCAAATGAAGAAAACAATTCAAAGAGGAGAAAATGATTTGCCTACGGACGTACAGCTGTTGTGTAGAGGAGCTGGCATCCAACTCCAACTGCCACATGAATCACAAGCTAACATATCATCTGGTAAGTTTAAAAGCTGAAAGGACATGTAGAGTTTAAGAGGCCCACCTCCCTCACCTTGTCAATGAGAGGCGGAAGCAAAGTCCCATGGCTTCCTTCCTGGGAGCCCAGGGCAATGCCATACACACAGAATGAACAAATATTTTATGCAAATTACAAACCAGAGGATCTTACTTTTAAAGGCCAATGTCCTAATAATCTCACTATATATATATATATATATACCATCTAAATCATTTTCCTTAATATTTTATTATGCAAATAGAACTATAAGAACTAGATAAATGGAAAAGTATAAAATAATCCATCAGTTGAGAGCTCCAACAAAAAGCTAACAAATCATCTCTCTTTATTTTTTGTATTTATTTCCACTCCTGATTTATCTAACTATACCATTTTTGTAAAAATTTTTGCTCATTTGATACATTTTAACTGAATACCTAATATAAGCAAATAATTTGCTGGACTTTAGGAATATAATAAAAAGCAAAAATAGATAACCTCTACCCTCATGAAACTTAGTGATAAGTAGATTTTTATTATTATATTATAGAAATGTTTTTATTTGTATACATGATTAATTTTGAACCATCAAAACATATTCCATTCAGGTAAAACAATTTTCTTGCTTATTTGTAATGTAAAATATTTTAATTATTTTCAGATTTTTTCTATTTTAGATAATACAATTTTTTTCTTGTTTTTCTTTTGTTTTAGATTATTTATTTACCTTAAACTCCAAGGAGTAAGGCTGTGGAATTTCAAGACTCTCAGTATCTTTATGGCATTTACATATATTGCCAAGTTTATTTCTGAAATACTTGTTCATACTTTACACAGCTACCAGGAAGATATATTGAGTCTTATCATATCTGTAGCAACTTTTGGTATTTTTGAAATTTCTCAAAACTTTTTTAACAGGACTTTTTAAAATATAAACAAATATAGATCGTCTAATAGATCCTCATGTATAAGACATTCAACTTCAACAATGATTAATAGCACTTTTTGAATGATTTCTTTTATATCGAGGGGCACTAAGGGGATACCATTTTTCCCCACTCAAATCACAATAAATATGCTACAACAAGTGATATTTCAACATTATAGTTTCAGGCTAACACAAGTGCAACCATTTACTCAAGAAGTCAGTTTCCAGTTAGAGAATATCACATGGAGAACATTTGAATTGCATCCCATTCTGGATGAATCTGAAATGGTGCTATGCTTATGTATGCCCCGGGGGGAGGTTTAAAGGAGAATAATGTGTGCCTCTTCAGTTCATATATTTCAGACTGTTCTTGTGTGTAGCTCATATTTTGCCCTAAAGCCTATACATTTTGTGCTATAACTTTATTTTTAAGTGACGTTTAAGTGCCAGATGGCTATGTTACCCCAAAGGTAAAAAACACTGGGAAATAAAATGGTTCAGAAAAAAGAAAAATAATAAATTTGTATTATATTATCTTTCATGTATAACTTTTGTATACTAAATTCCAATGGGCAGTTTATCAGTTATGTAAACTTGGATTTTAAAATTCAATTGATATCTTTTCTGTTATAATTGTATAAGTGTTCGAGAATTTTTAGTTAGGATGGATTTCAGCATATTTTTGTCAGATTTTCACCTGTTAATTTTATAGGGTATATAATTTTAGAGGGTATATACATATTTTAATTAATAATATGGAGTATATAGTGTTATGCTCCATTTAATATTATATGGTATATAATATCATAAATTAATGAATCTGTTATATGTCATATATTTATTATTTATAATATGCTGTTTTCTGCTGCCTGTATTTTGTCCTGAAGGTTGTGCATTCTTTGCTATAACTTTAAGTAAAGCTTAAATTTAAGAAAGCTGTGACCTCATTATATGAATATATGAAGAGCATATATTCATACTATATATACCTAATAAATTAATCAATGTATAATATTGTATTGTAAGCAATATTATGCATACACACAAAATGATGAGTCATGCTACTGTGCAACCATATCGTCTACTTAAAGAATCTGACTAAATCACAGGAACATTACACACAAGCTACGTAGTCACCTGAAGCACCACCCTTACAGATAGATGTCATGTCTGTCATGGCTTTACAATGCAGGATGAAAGAACCAGTGTTTTGAAATGGACAGATCTGGGTCTAAATCCTAACACTGCCTCCTATTAGCTGGTCAGTACTTGTGTGAGATTTAAATTAGTATTCAGAGCTACACTTGTAAAATGGAAATAACAATGTGTATCCCAAGGATACTGTGGATACTAAATTAGATGATGTAAACTGGTTTCAACATATGGTGATATCAGTGGAGGGGGAGGAAACGGAAGGAGAAGAAAGGGATAACATTTTCTAGTTCATAAAAAAATTTTTAAAATGAAAAAGAAGAGAAAATACTTTTCTTCTGATGTGTGTATTTGGGTCATGTTGTAAAATATATTTCTTATGGTGAACCACAGTCAAATACGTTTTTAAAAATATGTATCCATAGAGGCACTTTAATACTCTGAGGAGGGTAGATGTATCTCCCTCACAGAGTGGTTATTAAATGAATTTAACCAGTTGAAGTATTCAAAGCAACACCTGCACAGGGCAGATAACCAAAAAGAGTTAAGTAAGAATTACTACTTGTTGTGGACGGTGTTGGTATTAGTGACATCTATCACCCTGTCACCATCTATGTAAAAAGTGTCATTTGATACACAGTCTATGTAGTAGTGTCTTCTTCCAAAAATAAATAAATAAATAAATAAATAAATAAGACCTTACTAGATCAGTGGTTTCCAGAATGTGGAACAAAAAATAGTGAGGAGGAGCATCTGAAATAGACAACCAACTTTTTATATGACCCATAACACTGAGTTAGTCAGCTTAATGTTGTAATAACAGAACATCCGAGGCTGGGTAATTCATAAAGAAAAGAGATAATTTCTGTCATGATTCTGGGGAGTGGGAAGTCTAAGAAGTAACACACCAGCATCTGCTTGCCTGTTGGCGGGGGCCTCATGCTGCATTACAATGTCATGGAGAAGCGGAAGATGAAGCAGGAATGTGTAAAGAGAGCAAATACGAGGGCCAGCCTTAATTTGCTCTGCAGAAATGAATTCAGTCCTGTAGAAGTGAGGACTCACTCACTCCTGTGAGACTGTTAATCCCTTCATGAGAGTAGATCCCTCATGACTCAAACGTCTTTTAAAGCACCACCTCCCAACACTGTCACATTAGGGAGCAAACTTTAACTTGAGTTTTGATGGAGACAAACCATATCCAAACCGTTGCATTCTGCCCCTTGCCCTCCACTGTGAGGAAATTCACATTCTCCTCATAGTGCAAAATACAGTTATTCCATCTGAATAGTCCCCAAAGTCTTAACATGGTCTAGCATCAACCCAAAGGGTCCAAAGTCCAGGTGTGGGCCTGTGAAATGAAAAATAAGTTATCTAATTCCAAAATATGATCATGAAACAGGCATAGGGTAAATATTCCCATTTCAAAAAGGAAAGATAGGAATAAAGAAAGGAGCAACTGGAACAAAGTAAGTCCAAAACCCAGCAGGGCAAACATTAGCTCTTAAAGCTCCAGAATAATCTTTCACTCCATGTGCCACCTTCTGGACACATTGCTACAAGTGTGGATCCCCTAGGAATCAGACAGCTCCTCCCCTGTGGCTTTGCTGGGTACAGCCCATATGGCTGCTCTCAAAGGTTAGGGTTGTACACTAGAGCCTGTGGTTTTCTCAGACTAGCATTACGGGCTGCCAAGAGCTCTACAATTCTGGGGTTGTGAGGGTGACTCTGGCTTCAGCCTCACATATCCATTCAGCATTGTTTTAGTGAAGGCTCTCTGGGGTGGCTCTGCCCCAGCCACAAGTCTCTGCCTGGGCCCCCAGTCTTCCGGATACATCCTTTGAAATTTGGACAGAAGTGCTATGCCTCCACTTCTCTTGCATTCTGCACATGTGCAGAGTTAGCACCACTTGGTAGTGAATGGCAACAAGGCCTACACTTGTGCCCTCTGGAGCAGTGGCCTGAGTCACACCTGGGACCACTTGAGCCAAGACTGAAGTGTCTTGGATGTGAGTTGGACGTGAGGAGCAGCAACTAGAGGTGGTCCTGGGCAGCAGATTCATGGAGAACATTCCAAACCTGTCCCCTGAAACCATTTTGTTCTCCTAGGTCTCTGGGCCTTTTTCCCATTGTCCTGATGCACAACAACTGAATCCCTTTTATCCATGCTAATATCTAGCAACTTGTTGCTGGGCCACACCCACCCTCAGCATTCTCTTCAGGACATGCGTTTTTACTATTTACATGGTTAAGTCTGCAAATTTTCCAAATTTTCAGACTCTGCTTTCCTTTTAATTATAAACTTTGTCTTTAAATTACTCTTTTGCTCCTGAATCTCAGCTTAAGCAGCCAAAAGTAGCCACACAGTTCCTTCTATATTTTGCTTAGAAATCTCTTCCAGAAATCCTAATTCATCACTCTTACGTTCTGCCTTCCATAAAGCCCTAGGACAGGGAGGCAATGGTGCCAAGTTCTTCACAACTGTATTTTACTTCAAATCCCAATAAGATACTCCTTATTTTTATCTAAGACTTCATTAGAATGACCTTCACTGTCTATATTCCTATCTACATTTCAGTCACCACAACTTAACTAATCTCTAAGAAGTTCCAAACTTTCCCTAGTATTCTCGTCTTCTATGTCCTCACAAGAATCTAGGCTTTTTCTAGTCTGCTCCTTCAAACTCTTTAAATCTCTGCCAGGTACCCAGTTCCAGAGCTACTTCTACATTTTCAGGCATAGCAACAACTCCACTTCCCAGCATCCATTTTCTTAGTTTCTTTGGTGTTGCTGTAGTAGAATACCTGAGGCTGCATAAATTATTTTAAAAAACAGCCTTATTTGTCTCATCATTCTGGTGGCTGGGAAGTCCAAGAAGCATGGTGCCAACATCTGCTCTGCTTCTGGGGAGGGTCTTGTGCTGTGTCAACATGGCAGAGAAGTGAAAGAAGCAGGTGTGTGCAGAGAGAACAAACTTGTGAGGCAGACTTGCTGTATAGCACCCCACTTTTCTGGCAAATAATCCAGTCCAGGAAAGCAAAAACTCACTCACTCTCCCAGTGACTGCATTAATCCCTTCATAAAGGAGTACGCTTTATGACCCAATTGCCTCTCAATGGTATCATCTCCCAACACTGCCACATTGGAGACCAAGCCTCAACAGCAAAACTTGTCCTCAGTTTTGCTGAGGACAAGTCATATTCAAATCATAGCAGAGATAGAAACAAATAAAATAGTCTTCCTACCTTTTATCACCATCATCGCCATTATCATTACCATCATTTCTTGGGAAGCAAAAACACTTAAATACAAATAAAACAAGGGGAAATAGAAGGAACCAAAAAATTATGAAAACTCATGACATTTTACTTGTTCTTTTCTACTTTTAGAGCAAAATGAAATATATTCTAAGATCAGAGTCAGTTCAAGAAGCAGTATTTAAAATCCATATTTTATCTCATCCTTTGACTCTTTGAAGAACTTTAAAGTTTATCTCAACTTCTATAAGATGTGGTATGTAAATAAATACACATTTACTGTATTTGTTTATATATGTGCCCTTACACATTCATTTATGTCTTAATATGTTAAAGGCACCTTAAGTTACAGCTTCTGTCAGCTACTTTTTAATTGCTGGGGAAAAATTCAGTATTTAAGTACTTCAACTTTTCAGCTTGACTCTTACATGTGAACAGAGTTTGTGAACATGAATTATTAATCCATGCCATTAACTTCCATGCAGTGGCATCAGCGATTCTCTTGGTTTGCTCCAAAAGATAAGCAATATAAATGTTTTCTATGGTTTCTGTAAAAGCAAAAATTAAGACAGCAGAAAGGCCCTCTGGGAAAACAAGGGCTACTGCCACAACAATTGGAAGAATCACAAATTCCTGAACTTCCTTAAGTACCTTCTGATATTTTGGGAGGATTTGATGTTTATCTTGACTTTGAGTGTGAATTTAAATCTTTTGTGTTTAAATTTCTTGAAATTAATTTTTCCAACTTATTTCAAAAGGAAAAGGTATGTATAACGTGAATGACAGAATAAAGCTATTATCAACAGATCTATCTCCCAGAAACTTAGGGACTTGTGGTATTAGAACTGATGAGGTCCCTCAACCTATTTACACTGCATACTTCTCCAACTTGATGAATCTAATAGATATGGCCAGGTACTTTCAGTAGGTGAGTTGAGAAACTCCTTAAGGAACATTTCACTGATAAGCTCTAATTCTCCTGAGTGTATGCATTAAAGACAGTTAACTTAAATGAAGGCATATTAGTTATTGACTGCTGTGTAACAAATTACCCCAACACATAGTGACTCAACAAGCACTTATCTTCTCTCATTTTCTGGAGATTAAAAATCTGGACACATTTTAGTTGGGTTCTCTGGTTCACAGTCTCTTTTATGGTTATAGTCAAGGTGTCAGTGAGGTCTAAGTTTCATTTCATGGAACAAATGGGGAAAGATTGACTTGCAAGCTCACCATGTGGTTGTTGGCAGGATATAGTTTCCCACGCCTATTGGAATAAGTGCCTCAGTTCCTTGCCATGCAGATCTCTCCATAGGGCAAGTCACAATCTGGCAGCTAACTTCTTTCAAAGCAAGCAAGAAACAGTATAAGAGAAAGCACCAAAGACAGACACCACAGTCTTTTTGTAACCTAATTTCAGAAAGGAACATCCTACCACCTTTGTCTATTTCATTTGTTAAGAATGAGTCACTAGCTTTGGCAGACACACAAAAAGAAGGGAATGCACATGGGCATGCATCCCAGGAGGTAAGGAGCACTCAACACCATTTTAGAGGCTAAATCAGAAAAGGAGTTTAATGAGGAAATTATACACACATACTAATACCAGGCACATTTTATTTTCTGTTTTATTTACTATTGTATTCCAGTTCTAAGAACTGTGCCTGGCACAAAACTGAATAAAGGAATGCATGGAGGATGTACCAAGCCATATCCCCTATCTAGCCTCCCTTTCTTTGATTATCTTTACAATCAGGGGTTTAGAGTGATGTAATTTCTACTCCATGGTTCTTACAGCTCTGAGCATTGGAAGAAACATACTCTCACACTTTATGGGTATTGACACATATTCTACTCACAGTATTGATATTATCCAGTATAAATTAATCCCCACAGTATGAAGGAATGGATTTTTAGAAGATAGCCACAGTGGAACCTTGGAAATAAGAAAATATTACTACTGGCACAAGTGAACAATTAGAAGTGGCAGAGCCTCCACTTCTCTCATTTCTTCTCCAGCCTCATTGAAGAGTATATTCTGTCCAACAAGACCTGACAAAGTCTACCAAAAAACAAACCCACGTATGTATCAGAAATTGGAGACACAGATTGCTCCACTCTTGTTAAATGCACCTTACCATAAGTCTTTATTTTATATTTACAGATTGTTTCTTTAGGAGATGCTTTCTCAGTTGTGACAACTATTCAAAACTATTCTGGAAATAAACTAATTATAGAATCAGATCTTTGAATCTTTGCATCAAAAAGTGTGAAGCCAAATTTTTTTTAACAGAAGCATATTCAATTATATTAATCTCACTAAAATATTAATAGCACTTTCAATAGTAACACATTAAGCACACTTTTTTCTTTTAATGTGATAAATCATGTAGAGTGTGTTTTCTCTTTAGTTGACAATTTTTAATGTCCATTTTGCGTGTTTTATAATATTCCTAAATAATATAGTATTCCATATACAATATATAACAATATATATAACATATATACATAGATACAGATACATAATCATATCTATCTATATCTATCTCTCATCTGGAATAATAAAACCAACTGGCCTAACTGGCTTTCTTGCAGTTGCTTTCACCCCCATAGCTCAACCTCCATCCTCAAAACCACAGATTTAACTGAGATCATATTGCTTCCCTAATTATAATCACTACACGGCTTTCTATTGTCCTTTTAATAAAACCCAAACTCTTCTCCAGGCCCAAGACAGACTGGCCTTTGTCTATCTCTGAGTTTGTGACCTGTCCTCCTACCTCCTATTCACCTTCTACTGTCAATCACATTGGCTTCTTTCACTTCCACTCCCTAGGACATGCCAGGCCTCGAGGGTTCTGCTCCTCTGTTGCTTTCTGTTCCTTCCAACAAGTTCATTCTGTCCCCAGATCAGTATGGCTGGCTTCTTGTTACCCACATGTCAAATCAACCGTCATGTTCATAAAGGAGCCTGGCCTTCCAATCCAAAGTATCCTTTGGTATCACATCACCTTATTTTGTTTTCCTCACAGCACCTATGGCTATCTCTTTATTTATTTATTAGTTTATCACTGTTTTGTACACTCAAATATTATCCTCCATATGATCAGAAACCTCATGTCCAAGGTTGCATCCTCAGTATTTACAATACAACTTGGCATAGAGTAGTTGTTCAATGAATATCCATTGGGTGAATGGATGACTCATTGGATATGCTGAAAAGATACTCATTCTTCACCTCTTGTTACTTCTTTCCTTATTTGCAAAACGGGAATTCCAGAAAAACACACAGCTTAAAATTGTTAGGAGTATTGAACAAGACCATATAAGTAATTTTAAATAGTAGGAAAATAAATGTTAGCTCTTTCTTTTCTCTCCCCAAGGAATGTGGAATTTATTTAATGTCACTTATTTTAAAATTCACCAAATGACGCAACACAGCACATGAATCCTCAGAATCAGAAGAAGCACATCCTTAGTCTTTCCCTAGAACACTTCTGAAAGCTCCTTGCTTAACCTCACCCTAGTAAAGGCAGCTCATTCTCCCACTTTTCCTACTTAAAATTTTTCTTAAAAAACCTTTATCTCTAGATCAACTTTCTTCCAGGAAAGAACAGAGTCACCCACATTTGCTATAGAGGGTCTTTCACAATAGGGCTCAGAGCTGACCTATACATACCATTGCCTCCTTTATATCTTATAGCCTCTCATACCACTTGCTTTTCCACAAATCCGGGGGCACTTTATAACTCGCTCTCTAAGGACATGCCTCCTGGCATTGTCTCCCTTCAAAAAATATACCTCACATTGACTTGCCATGTACCTCCCTAGGTCCACCAGAGTTAAATTACTGGTACCTTAATGGGACATGGTTACCTACATATCAGTTTTTCCTCCTATCTGCAGCTACACTGAGGTAGGTACCTTTCTTCAGGTTATGTCAGTTTATTTGGAAGCAATCAAGTGGCAGATTCTTTGTCTAGAGTAGGGTTAATGTCTATGGGATTGAGACGCATGTAATCAAACTTACAGGGTTTATAGGATTTGACTTGCCTGCCATGGTGTGAAATATTCATTTCTGTTTTTTGTTTTTGTTTTCGTTTTTGTTTGAGATGGAGTCTCACTCTGTCACCCAGGCTGGAGTGCAGTGGTGCCATCTCGGCTCACTGCAACCTCCGCCTCCTGGGTTCACGCCATTCTCCTGCCTCAGCCTCCCAGGTAGCTGGGACTACAGGTGTCCACAACCACACCTGGCTAATTTTTTGTATTTTTAGTAGAGACAGGGTTTCACCATGTTAGCCAGGATGGTCTCGATCTCCTGACTTTGTGATCCACTCGCCTCAGCCTCCCAAAGTGCTGGGGATTACAGGCGTGAGTCACTGCACCCGGCTGAAATACTCATTTCTAATTAGCAAAATGCTTTGACCTCTGAGGTACATTCACACCTTCTATGCTTTCTGCAGTGCACAGCAGGACAGTTTGCATCGTTGAGGACAGATGCCCAGCTACATTGAGAATATCTCTATGTTCGCTAAGAACTTTACATAGGCATTGTGTACATTTAATATCCACATTAATAGGCAAGAGTTCTTTTACTTTCCTGAGAGAGGATTCTTCCCCCAAATTATCATAAAATGTACTGAGGGCTTGGCCACACATAGCAATAAGAGTTATCATTATCCTTAAAATAATCCTGCCAGCTAGGTCTTATTTCTCCTTTCTCAGCAGAGGAAACTGAGGCCCAGAGAGGCCACATAATTTGCTTCAGGCCTAATAGTCATTATTTAACAAATCTGGAATTCAACTCAAGCTTATCTTACTTGCTGCCTACCATTTGCATCAGATTAAAGGATGCATTGAACTTGCCTTGAGAATTATGGAGGCTGATATATAAAGACTTTATTGGCCAGGTGCAGTGTTTCATGCATATAATCCCAGCACTTTGGGAGGCCGAGGCGGGAGCCCAGGAGTTCAAGAGCCCACTTGAGCACAGGAGTTCAAGACTAGCCTAGGTAACATAGGGAGATCCTGTCTCTACAAAAAAATTTAAAAAAATCAAGCATGGTGGCGCATGCCTGTAGTCCCAGCTACTTGAGAGGTTGAGGCAGGAGGATCACTTCAGCCTGGGAGATTGATGCTGCAATAAGCTGTGACCATACCACTGCATTCCAGCCTGGGTAATAGAGCAAGATCCTGTCTCAAAAAAGAAAAAAAAAAAACCAATAAAGACTTTGTATTTACAATAAAATCTTGTAGCCCAATGGCCCTGTCCGTGTTTGCCCACCCACTTGCATACTTTCATATTACTCTCCTCTAGGTACTTATGTTGGACTCTAATATACTCCCATTTTTAAATATCTCCTTTTAAATATATTTTGTTTTTCCATGGGTAAGCACTTATTTCAAGATTATTAGCTGTATGTAGCTTAATTCTCAAAGTGTGGTCCACAACTCATCTGAACGAGGTTGCTTCAATAGAATCAGAATGTTAGCGGTGGTGGTAGGCTCTGGTAACTTCCACTTCAACACGTATCCCAATGATCTGAATGTACAGCAAAGTTTGAAACCCATAGCTTGAAGCCCTACATTAAACACTAGCAATACCCACAATTCAAATCTGCAATAGTAATACTCAACAATTTAACTCTGCAATACTTACAATGAATCACTACTCACAAGTGCATGCAAAGAAAGAGATATAATATGTATAAATATTGTATACCATTTTGCTCATTTACTTTTTATTTAATGTTTAAACACACTGGTGGGGTGGATATTATGGGGCCGATGCCAGACTTTGATGGTAAATCTCAGAGTGCTTCAGTCAACTTTAACACAGTTCTAAACCCAAAGTCTCAATTTTATTCCAATTGCTTTGAGGCTAGTTTACATATAACTAACTTTCCCTTCTGCAAGTGGGGAGCTTGGTCCCTTCCTTTTTCTATATATCACTCCCCTTAAGACTTCTTTTTCCTAAGACATTGCTCTAAATCTGCATTTCTACCAGCTAGAACCTGGAAAATACATTGCAGGAGAGAAGGAAGTCCCCAACTCTTCTATCTTGAGGGGCCTAGCGGAGTTGTGCATGCTTAGTTCTTATCTTTGCCACCTAGGTAGATAATTGTGAGCATCTTTCTTGTCTGGTTAGACTCTGTGATGGATAGGACTGTCTCCCCCACTTCTTCTGTGTCTCTCAACAGCTCTGAGAACAAAGCAGTGCACACAGGAGACCTTCACTAACTGTTCTTGACTAATGACTGCATCTTTGTCTGACAAGTGCGGTATCCATTGTGCACTAAAAATGAATGAGTTGATTTAAATTAAGAAAATGTCAGGTTGTTCCTGGGGTCATATAAGTTGCCACAGTAGCAAGGTAAAAACAAGAGTTAGAGTTAGTTAACTTTTATGTGAATTTAAAAATCTTTCCAGCCTTTTTTTTCTGTTACAGATGGAGAGTCAGCATGCATAGCAGTTATGACTGTGAACTACAGAGCCAGACAAACTGGGTTTATTCACCACTCCACTTATTTATTGCCTATAAACCTTGACCAATAGCATAGTTGGGGACCTCTGGTTTCTCATCTGTAAAATGGGAATAAAAATAGCACCGACCTCATAAGTGAGCTGTGAGAGCGACCTAATAAGTAAGCTGTGAGACAGCATAGTGACTGGCATACAGTGAGTGATTAAAAAGTTAACTCTTTTCACTTATTGTTCATCAATATATATTTAGAAGGCCCTATAGGTTAGACATCAAGCAGGCTCCTTTGGATACTTTAACACAGAAACTCTGGGAGGGAAGTATCTGTAGCAGGTGCTGTCATCTGGCAGGCATTTTCTATACAGGTCAACATACTCAGCATACGTGCTAACGTGGCGCACTCTTTGCCTCTCTGCTTGAGAGTGGTCTCTTGCTATTGTTAGGTATAAGTGCTGGGGAGATAACCTCCAAGGAGTATCCCTCAAACAGTGAGGCATGAGAGTTGTAGATGAGTACCGAAGCTTCCTCACCACCATTTTGAGGCTTTTCTAGACATTCCCTGTGAGTCACCAGTGAGATGTAGCTCTAGATGCCCAGAGTGATAGCCTCCTCATCCCCATGCTCTGTCCTGGCCTCTTTCCCTTTCTTGCCTGACTCGCCTACTCCCTTACATGTTTGCCAGGATCATCTGCCAAATTCTTGCCTTGGAATCTTCTTTTGGGGAAAAGCAGACTAGGACAGTATAAATGTCCCCACTTTACATATGGGTACACTGAGGTCCAGAGACTTCCAAGCCGGACTTCTGAGGCCACACTCTTTCCATCTCTGTACTATAATTGTCTTCTGGTTCTCAGCTTATACTCTTGAGTACTATAAAGTCATGTTTAGAGTGCTCTGGGGACACTGCATAGGGACCAATTAAGAATTAGGGAAGGTTTTATGGAGTCAGTAAAACAAAAGCTAACCCGTCAAAGATGTGCAGGTGACTGCATGCCTGGGGGGAGATGGGCCAAGACAGGAATAATAACTAGTCATGTACACAAGAATGACCTTTGAGTACTAAAATGCCTTCACACTAGTTGATAGCTAGGACTACTCATCCCTCTCCAGTGTTCCCTACTGTTCTACATACCCAACCTTTCCCTGGGATGCCCATGGCCTGCCCATGATCCAGTAACTTATGGGTTAATAAGACAGGAGGCTTCAGGACCCTATTTCATCAAGAGCTGTTGACCATACTCATTGATTGCTCCCTAACTCTCACTGATTATTAAATATTTGAAATGTAATGCTCTTGGCAAAAAGAAAGAGGACTAGCAAAGATATTTGCTGATTAAATTCCATGCTTTTTTCTCTCTCCTTCCTTTGCAAAATGTTCCAGTCGTCTCTCAGCTGAAAAATAAATGTCTACTTGATACGTGGGCCAACATAAATTTTTAATGGCATGAGCAATTACCCAGTGAGTACCTTGCCCATATCACAAGAAGTGATAAAACAGAGCCCAGCGCTCAGTGGGAAAGATTTCCACCTAAGACAGCAAGAACATACGGTTTTTCAACAGGTCAGTGGGTCCCCAGATTTCCCTCCAGTTGGCATGAGAAAGACTAAGCCTGTAAATTCACGGTTCCTGAAATGTGCTGTTAGCATGAGGTTCAGTGAGCAGAAGAAAGAAAAATCCCTATAAGGAAGTCATAATCACCACAGAGAAACAAGGACAGCCAAGTTCATGTTTCAAGCTGGGAGATAGAAGGGTCATTATTGGAGCTTTTAAAAACACCTCTGGTAGAAATTCAAAAAAATCCACTCACATTGATAAAGTTATCTTATTGAACTTGCTCTTCAGGAAGAGCAGGAAGATTGGATCATGATTAAGGACAAAGACAGTGTCACTTATAACCGGTCCTTATAACATGCAATTTCAAAGGGTCTTTGATACCATGCTTTAGAACAGAAATTGACATGGACCAAGGTATGCTGAATACATGCGTGTGTGATTTTACTTTTTAACTGGAGATACAGGCTTCACAAGGAGAGAGGGAAATTAACAATCCCATGAGAAATGGCTAGAAGAAAGGGTACAAAAACATTCAAATGATATTTCAAAAGACATATTTTAAAAAGAAACATATGGTGATGTTTCTTCGCGTTGATCACATCAAAGAGAAACAACAAAAGAATAAAGACGCACATCTCAGAAAGAAACAAAGTGAGATGCAGCCCCAAAGTCTGGTACTTGGTGGAGCCTTCACTCTTGAAGAAGTCACCTAACACAACTAAATCTGTTACCTCTGGTCACATACTCATGAATGTCTTTTTGAAAATAATTATCTTGGGTAGTAATTGATCTCTGCCTATTCATTCTGGAAGCCAGTTTGCGTCAGGGTTGAAGAGCTAAGATTTCTTAAGTATACACCAGAGTTGGGAAGGGTGAGAGAGGTGTGGTTAGTGCTTCCTTAGTATCTGTCTAAAGAAGACTTTAGACAAGATGGAGCTTTAGTAAGATCTAGTAAGACTTTGGTAAGATTGAGCTGTGAGGTCCTGATGAATGAATGCACCCTAGGCAGCTGAGTATCTTGCTCTTTTGAGTGCATTTAAAAAAAAATTCCACCAGAAATGCTTTTGAAATCTCTAATAATGTCTCTTCTCTCTCAACTGTAGTTGCAAAGCTCTCTGGAAAAGAAAAGTTAGTACCAAATAAGAGATTCAAGTTTTTACCACTTTACATTTTCATTTTCAAGCATCAGTTTGATGTCTAACACTTTGCTAGGCCCTGGAAGAGACAGTGCTCTGAAGAGCTTCAGGGAAGTGGTTAAAAAATAATGTTGACCTAGCAAGATGGAAATTTCCACTAAGGGGGTTAAGGAAGAGGCAGTGCTTTTGTGAGTCTTCACAAGTAAGGTGAAATGTGTCCAGTGGCCAGTATTCAGTTTGGTGGTGGAATATTGCATTTCAGATGGTGTGTACAAGACACAGAACTGTCAGACAGAATGTGACAGATTCAAGACAGTCAGAGAGGTCTTTGAGACAGAAGTGTGGGTATGAGCAGCAGAATAAGGGCAGAGAGGTATGAGGAGAAGCAGGAGCTGGGAATGGCCATCTGATTCTGGAAGGAGGGAAAACTGGTGTGAAGTTTTGACATAGAAGAGTGACATGGTCTTATTTGTGTTTCAGAAAAAGTAGCAACAACAATAATAGTAGTCCTAGCAAATATTTATTGTATCAGCCACTGTCCTAGTCACTTTTCTTTTTTTAAATTTTTTCTTATTTTTTGAGGTGGAGTCTCGAACTGTCACCAGGCTGGAGTGAAGTAGTGTGATCTTGGCTCACTGCAACCTCTGCTTCCTGGGTTCAAGCGATTCTCCTGCCTTGGCCTCCCAAGTAGCTAAGACTACAGGCGCTTGCCACCATGCCCAGCTAATTTTTTGTATTTTTAGTAGAGACGGGTTTTCATCATGTTAGCCAGGATGGTCTTGATCTCCTGACCTTGTTATCCTCCCGCTTCAGCCTCCCAAAGTACTGGGATTACAGGCGTGAGCCACGGCGCCCAGCCCCTAGTCACTTTTCGTGTTGTTAACTCTCACAATAATCCTGTGGGTTAGGTCCCAATATTACTCCCATTTTGCAGATGGGGGGATGAAGCCTGGAGAAGGGAAGCAAGTTAACTGGTAGAACCAATAGGTGGTGAAACATGGGATTTAAACCCAGGCAGCCTGCCTCCACAGCCCATGCTTTGTAACACCCCCATATGACCTCTTCTGAAATAAGTGTCAGTCTACACGTGTGAATACTGATCTACTAATTCCTCTCCATTTTTTTCAGAAAATAAAATGTAGGCAAAGAAAGCAGATTTGACTCGGGAAATTTTCACAGAAGGATCAATAGTATTTTCTGTTTTAAAATAATCCTACCAGCCCCATAGTAGCTCCAGATGGTTTTAAAACAAATTTAAATATAGAGCAGAGACCAGTGAAAGAAGGCATTTCAACAGGGTACCTAAATCTTGAATACTCCATGATAGAAATGCCCACAATACCGGATATGCCTAATAAGATGCTTGACAGTGAAATCTGCAAGGCTTCCAGAAAATCTTCAATGGTTTTGCCATAATGTTGTCAGGTAATGACTATAAAGCAAATCAGTTAGTCTTCTGCTCAAGCCTCCTCTCGTTATAGACAATCACCTCAAGTGGTGATGACACTCATTTGTGTAACAATAACAGTGACGAGAAAGTGAAGAGCTATGAATTCCACTCCTTCTCCCCAGACTCCTGACATTGTAATCTGCCATCCTTAATTGAATCCTGTAAACGGCACTTAAAGCCAAGGTGATCTATACTGTTAATGGAAAAAAAAAATAATTATCAGGAAATATGCACACGAATCGGGTAACTGACTACCAACATCAATGATAGCTTCTTATTGAAGCATAAATGATTTCAGGGCAATTTCCAAAAGCCAGTTACCTTTCCAATGCATACCCATCAATGTGTTAAAGCTCGCTTTCAGAGTGTGATTTCAAATGGCAGGCATCAAGTTCCCTGCTAAGATAAAGGTGCTGGTTTCCTATTCAGTCATTGTGAAGGCTCCCTTACAGTATCACCACACAATAAATCAAGAACACATTTGTTATAGATGAGAAACGTAGACTTCTTTGTATTTACCCACTACATCCTTTCTGTCTTCCTTGTTCAAAGCTTGTTACTTCTTTCTCATTGTCATCCTCAGGAAGACTTTTACGTAGGGCAATTGAAAACAGGCCCCTACAACTGAATAGTTGTGTATTTGTTGAGGAGTTTGTAAGGAATCCACACCTATTGGCCAGAAAGCTGTGTTTAAATGTGGGGCTAACTTCAATATACAAGACCAGTCACCACTTTGTATTTAACAATTTACAAAATCATTCCTAAGTATACGACTGGTTATTAGTTCTATCTCTGCCTGCTTTCCTGCAGGCATATAATTGCCTATACATCTTTTAAGGAGCAGCTCTTATTTCACTTACTCTGTAAAATCTTCCCGAAACATTCCCAATTGGTCCCTACTCATGTCCCTAGAATACTGTAAACGTGACATCATGACATTCAAAATTATATGTGAACCCATCTTTTAGCAGGACAGATACTACATTTTAGGCTCCACAATCAGTCAAATGCAAGAGTTTAAGATTTAGCTTAAAAAAAACTCTGATACCACTTTTGTGCTTAGCAAAGGGAAGTTAGCTGTACAGCTGTGCAAAGATTAGCTGGAACTTGTTTCCAGGAATGGGAGACTCATTTATGTATGTGCACAACTGAGGGATCAAGGGGGACTTTTCTCATTTCAGTTGTTTTTGGTGGGGGGTTACTACTCTCAATTGTCAATTTTTTTTTTTTTTTTGAGAAAAGCTATTTGTACACATGATGCCACATAAAATGGTAGAAAGAAAGGTGGACTGATCAAAGCATGCCTAAGAATAGTAGGGTCTACTTGAGAGGACAGGGTATAGGGTAGGGGATTCCAGCTACGGTAATGAGAAAAATGAATTCTTTCAGACTAAAGCCCCTACTTAGGACATGAACACTGTAATTTCAACAGAAGAATGTTGATAGCACCAATTATGGAATTGTCTTGCTTAAGCAACAACAGTATATTAGGATGACATGGAGCTCAGTGGTTGTGCTATTTTGGTTCTGAAAGTTATAGTACAAAAGACAGATAAATTTGACTTTTTATCATGGCCATAAGTGATGACACCAAACAGCCCCTCACTAGGTGTCAGAGAACTCTGTAGAAGCTGACCCTTCACAGAGCTGGTATCATAGATTAAAAGATTCTAACTTGGTCCATATCCTCAGAACAAATCCCCTGCAATCACCCAGCTAAATAGCATGAAGGAAACTAAAACTGTCTGCACTAACAGGATTTTACTATTGTAAGAAATTCTTACCCAAGAAGATAAAGTTACAAATAATTTAATGGTTTGTTGTTGGTCCTGAAAATCCATCTATTTGAATAATCAGTCATGAAAATAAGTTACCATAGGGATAAATAGTCCCTTTTCTGAAATACTGATCACTCAACTGGGCCAAGCTCTCTAATCAAACAATGGTTTACTCAAAACAACTTGTTTCAAAATCCTCTTTGCTGTATTCACCCATACAAAACTATAACATCACAGGCTTTGCACAATTCTGATCAAACTTCCCTCATTGAAAGAAGTGCCTTAATTTAAACCCCCAAATCTTAAAAAATATCTGCCCTTGACCTCCCTTTTCTGAGATGTTACAAAAACTCTGTCAAGGTGTTTCTCTCTCTCTCTCTCTCTCTCTCTCTCTCTCTCTCTCTCTCCCTCTCGTTTTTAAGAGACAGAGTCTTGCTCTGTTGCGTAGGTTGGAGTGCAGCAGTGCAGTCATAGCTCATTGCTTTCTCGAACTCCTGGGCTCAAAGGATCTTCCTGCCCAGCCTCCTGAGTAGCTAGGACTACAAGCATGTGCCATCACACCCATCCATATTTTTATTTTTTTAAAATTTTTGTATAGATGGGGTTTTGCTTTGTTGTCCAGGCTGGTCTCAAACTCCTGGCCCCAAGTGATCCTCCTGCCTTGGCTTCCCAAAGTGCTAGGATTACAGGTGTGAGCCACTACCCTGGGCCTAGTGTTCTCTCTTACTGCAGTAAGCAATCAATGTGACTTTGTTTTATCAATAGGAAAATTTGGTAGCTTTCTCAGGAAGTCAGCAATCGAAAGTCCAAATCCCAAGCTATTAGCTACTGTGTGCTACTGCTTCATTGCCTTTCGCAGCCAGAGAATGTGAGAGCTGGGTATATACCTAGAAGTGGAACTGCTAACTCATGTGGTCACCTTATGTTTACCTTTTTGAGATACTTTTTGAGGAAACGGTCTGCACGTATGCTTTGTCATTGAAAGAGATCTAATGCAACAAAAACAAAATATTGAGGAATCTGGGGACTAAAGGAGGAATAAAAGATCATAAGTGGGGGTAGGGGGATTGAAAAACATTAGTTAGCACGACTAAGTTATTATTCCACTTTAAATGGAAGAAGTAAATGAATTCACATAAGGTGGGATCAGGAAGAGAGATGAGTGAGTAGTGTTACATTGTCCTCCTGATTTTGACCAGATTTCTGGAAGTGGTGAGTTTGTTGCCTCATCTCTCACTACCCTCTTGGGAGCTCTACTCACTTTCAGTGGATGGGGCTATGCCATCTGCAAGGACCCTGAAAAACAGCTGGAGTCAACAGTCCTCTCTCCTCAAGCTCATCTAACTCTCCTATGATGTTAGCATCACTTACTCTTCCTATTAATCTTCCATCTTGCCCTGCTACTCAGTGGGGGATTCTATATGTTTATCGTTGAATCTAGAGTTCTTTCCAAGCTTCCCAGAAATGTGAGAGAGACATTTATCAAACAGACTAGCTCAATTACAGACCAAAAGTGTTTAAGTATAAAACTTAACATTCCTATTTACACATTCATAACATTCCTATTTACACAATTATGTGAACTCTCTTAGTCCATTTTATGTTTCTATAGAGGAATATCTGAGGCTGAGTAATTTATAAATTAGAAAGATTTGGCTCATGATTGTGATATATGGAAAAATCAAGACTGGGCATGTGGCAAGAGCCTCAGGCTGCCTGCACTCATGGCAGAAGGTGATGAGAAGCCAGTGTGTGCAGAGATCACACAGTGAGAGAGGAAGCAAGAGAGAAGGAGAGGGGAGGGAGTTTTTGGGCTTTTTAACACCCAGCTCTTTTGGGAACTAATAGAGCAAAAACTCACTCACCTCCGAGGTAGGGCATGAATCCATTCATGAGGGGTTTGCACCCATGACTCAAACACCTCCCTTTAGGTCCCCCTCCCAACACCACCACACTGGGAATTAAATTGCACCATGAGGTTTGGAGGGGGCAAACATTCAAACGATAGCAGTCCCCATTTAAGAATAATGGGAATTTAATATGGATGTTACAGACTTCCCAGAAAAACAAAGTTATTAAATACAGTAAAGAACTATGGTAGGCAAAATAATCCATTCTTCTCAACTCCCCAGAAAGATGTCTATGTTCTAATTTTTGGAACCTATAAATATGTTACATTATATGGCAAAAGGGACTTTGCAGTTGGAATACGGTTACCTACCTCAAAGTAGAGAGATTATCTTGAATTATCTAGGTGGACCCAATACAATCATATGGGCCTTTCAAAGTGGAAGAGGAAGACAGGAGAATCAATGAAACAAATGCATTGACAGAAAAAAAGGCAGAAGAGACTGGATGCTCAGAGGAACTTGACCTGCCATTGCCAGCTTTGAGGACAGAGGAAAGGGGTCACAGGTCAAGGTGCCAGAAGCTGGGATCCACCCACCACTGTCAGCAGAGAAACAGGGACCTCAGTCCCAAAACCAAACAGGACTAAATTTTTCCAGCAACGTGAATGAGCAGAAATAGATTCTCCCTAAGAAAAGGGAAACAAAGAAAGAAGCATAGCCCTGGTGCCGCCTTGATATTAGTCCTGTGAGACCTATGTTGGACTTCTAACCTAAAGAACTGTGAGATAATAAACTTGTACCATTTTAAGCCACTAAATTAGCGGTAATTTTTTTTTTTACAGCAGCAATAAAAAACTAATACAAGAAACATGACCACAAATATCATATGCATTCTTGTATCAGGGAAGTTTTCACTATTCATTTTCAAAGTGTTCTTATGAGGTGGGTATTTTGCTTGATTTGACTTTATTTTATTTTACTTTTTTTAAATAAAGAAGGGAATTGCGGTTCAGGAATGTTAAATGATTTCCTCAAGCAACAAGCAGAAAAGGCAGGACTCAAACAGGGGCATTCTGACGATGCCCCACTTCATGAGAGTTTCTCCCAATTGGATGGAAGCACTTTAAATCTACTTCCTGTATTTTCATTTGAACATAACCAGGTCATTCTAGAATTTTTTGGCTTCCCAAAGCAAAAAAGTTAGGCAGATCGTACATTAGTTGACTTTCTTTCTTTTCATAATTTTGGTTTGATGATAATGAGTTGAGTCCCTCTTACAAGAGTCCAGCTCTTTAAACTCATTTATCTTGTTGTATTTCTTTTTTCATATATATTTTGCCTGAGCCCAAAATGCAGATAGTAATGGCATTCAACAATTTCCACAGAGAATCTGGAGTCTATTATTAAACATGAAGTGATTTGCTTGAATGCCCAGAATGCAAACAAGAATTTATGGAGGTTTAGGCTCTCTAATGTACATGTTTGTGGAACCATATTGATAATTATAAATATTATTAATCTTGCAGACATTCATAGAAAGAACACAGTTATACACCATTGATTCCTAGGAGAGATGCTGACAAAAGGAAAATCTCTGTTTCTTTAATTTCCAATATGTTTCTGAATACACACAAGTACATGTTTCCACACAAAAGCATTTTCTTTACTAAGGCAGTCCTCTCTTTCAGACTGCATTTATCAACCCTTTTAAGAAAGTATTATTACATATTATGGAATGTTTTGGGATATTAACGGTATTGACATATTATTGCTGATTTTTAGAAACCAATTTCCAGAGACTATCAATAAAAAGTTAAGCATACATTGAAACTAATTTCTGAATTAGTGGAAATAAGTTAGAATCTACTCTAAGTCTAGATTAGGTGAATGAAATAAAATGCTAGTGGGAGTTAGGGGGATTATGTAAGAGAGTGGTAGGAGGAGGGGGATGTGTTGTAACATAGAGAGCGCACACCTTGTATCAAGTGGAAAGCTGCTCCTTTGATTTAGCCAGCTTTTGCTGCATGGGGAGTAAGGACACATCATTGCCAGATCTGATCTTTTAAAGATAAGTCAAAAACATTCTTATGTCATTTCCTGACATTTAAAATATTGGCAAGTAATTAATTTTTGAACCACACCTGCTGTCTGTAATCAGTTTGGGGTCTCGCATCTCAAGTTAACTGACAAATGGGAAGCAGTACTTAATTTTGATTTACAAATCAAAATAACAGTACTATTTTTGATTTATAAATATATTTTGTAAAATATCACAGATTCAGAGATGCTGACAAATAAAAATAACTCTTGTTACTGTGGTGTCAGGTTAAATGCCATCTTTTCAGAGAGACCTTCCTCATCCTGGTTCACAGATATGATCAGAAACAGGCAGGGTGTGATTAGAGACCCAATCCTAAGTCCTTTCCTGTTTTGATGCTTCCTGTAATGTAGCATTAAAGTGTAGAGAAGTAGGTGGCAGATGCAACTAGCTTCAATGGTTTGATGATTAGTTAACTTTAACTTTAGCAAATAAATGGCCAATGATAACTTCAACTTCATTCCTCAAGAGCAGCAATTTCACCTCATGCTCTCAAATAGCCACTGGTAGGTGTCTAAAATAAAAAAATCAACTGAAATAAAACAAAAACTAACTCTTCTATTTCTTTCCCTCCTTTTCTTCTGACTGGCCTTAACATAACAAACACCAAAATCATCTAACTTTGCACTTGGAACAAGCTTACAGAGCACTTAGGGAACCCTTGAGGAACCTATTTGGTAAACCAAGTTCTCAAATGAATCCCTGAATCATGTAGAATTGCTAACTTGGGTAGAAGTCTGGTTGCATCCTCTGATCCATTCATCCAATAGGCACTGGGACGCTAAGTCAACAATGACCTAGTCCCTGTCCTTAAGTAATGTGTATAGTTTAACTGTTGGTCTGTTTACCTAGTTATCCTTTTAATATTTAACAAGCCATTTCTATATGCTCAGCACTACGCTTGGTGCTTGGGGGTGCAGAAAAATAACCCAGCTAAATGCTAGTAATTGACGTTTTGAGCAATTATGGATCATGTGTATTAGTCTGTTTTCACACTGCTCTAAAGAAATACCTGAGAATGGATAATTTATAAAAGAAAGAGGTTTAATTGACTCACAGTTCCACATGGCTAGGGAGGCCTCAGAAAATTCACAGTCGTGAAGGGGTAGCAAGGACCTTCTTTGTATGGTGGCAGGAGAAAGGAGTGAAAGCAGTGGAAATGCCAGACACTTACAAAAGCATCAGATCTCATGAAAACTCACTCACTACCATGAGATCAGCATGTGGGAAACCACCCCAATGACCCAATCACCTCCCTGCCTTGACATGTGGGTATTACAGATGCCCCCTCAACACATGGGGATTATAATTTAAGATGAGATTTGGGTGGGGGCACAGGCAAACCATATCATCATGGGACAAACTAAGGATGTGAAATTATTGTTATTTTTGTTGCTGTTGCGGCTAACATTTGCTGAACATTTACTACATGCCAGACACTGTTTTTAGCATGTTATATATATTATTTATTAATATGTAATGCTAACCATAACTCAGTGAAATAGGTACTACCATAAGCCTGCTTTACAGCTAGTAATGGTAGAACTGAGACTCAGATCCATTTAATCAGTTCAGCTTTAAAGCCTACTGTTCTAATTACTAACAATAAAACTATAAATTACAAGAAAAGAGCTGATAATTATGATGGGCAGAAAGGTGGTTCCACAAAAGAAGCCTTCAAGTTGAAGCTGAAGAAGTACTAGATTTTGACACCTTACATATTTTTCTCTTTGTCAACATTGCCTTGATTGCTGCTATTACATACCTCATGTAATACATTGTAAATTATGAGTATAATAAGATTTCTAAAACATTTTTACTGTTGTAATTATGAAACAATAGAGTGATTAGCAGTTTTATAGGCAGGTATAAGTCCATATTGATTTGGAAACATTTAATTGTATTAAACAGATTTTGGCAATCAACTGCTTTTCTTATGTCTTAGGTGTCTGTGACAGCCAAAATTCTAATAAGTGTGAAAGATTCAATATGGAACAAACATTACAACTTTTGAAATTAATTTGAATCACCTCAGTTTAATAAAATCTAAAAAATTTCTGCTTAATAATGGATGGCTGATTTTTTTTTCTTTTCCATCCTGGGCACACTAAAACAAAAACCAATTCTTTTTTCTTTTTTTCCATTTTTGATTACTATGGTGAATAAGATTGTAAAGAAAGAGTATGTTACATAAATTGTCTTAATTTATTGATAACTAAACAATCCAGAGAGCATTATAAATGGCTTGTGGTAAGGATTTCCTAGGGCACAAACAATATGACCTAGATCTAGTTTTTCTTTTCAAGTTTTGAGTTCTCTTCCCTGAAGCTCCTACATGGTGGCCTCAGAATGACTCCCTAGGAAGCAACCGCCTCCAAGAAGAGCATGTTGATGTCTCAGATTGGCCAGCAGACATCCAGTGATGTCTTGATTAGGGAGACGTAGTACGGGTACCCATCCCTATCACTATGGCTACAGTGATTGGCTTAAACTGAATTACTTGACTTTCCTGGACTTGGGAAACACCCAGGGCAAACCACATGGCTAAAAAGGAAAACTTGGCGCCCGGCGTGGTGGCTCACGCCTGTAATCCCAGCACTTTGGGAGGCTCAGGCGGACTGATTACAAGGTCAGCAGATCAAGACCATCCTGGCTAACACAGTGAAACCCCATCTCTACTAAAAATACAAAAAATTAGCTGGGTGTGGTGGCACGTGCCTGTAGTCCCAGATACTCAGGAGGCTGAGGCATGAGAGTCGTTTGAACCTGGGAGGCGGAGGTTGCAGTGAGCCAAGATCGCGCCACTGCACTCCAGCCCGGGCGACAGAGCGACTCCGTCTCAAAAAACAAGAAAGAGAAACTTGTGTGCCCTTCTCAGAAGGAGGAAGAGGGACTAATGGCTGCAGATAACGTCCATCATTTTAAAAAGTACAGGTTCATTATACATGATTTTATATATTAACAAAAAAATAACAAATGCCTGCTGTGTGCTAGGTACCCTGTTTACAGGCATCCAAGCAATGACTAAAACATGGATTCTACCTTCAAGGAGTTTTTAGTCTATAGGTGTGAAGTGTAAGTTTTAACAGAGAAAACAAATCACCAGAAAAAGTCAAGAAACCCCATATACCTCAGAAGATCAGAAAGTTGGTCTATCGTAACCAATGGCAGAAAATTGAGGTTTGTAGAACTTCAGTTATCCAGAAAAGAGGAAATAATATTCATTCAGTCTTCTATTTAAGAGAATATGCAGTTCACTGTAGGAAGCTGCTATTAAGAATAGTTCCTTTCTAAAAATGCTTTAATTGACATTTTGGCATATTAGAGAATTTTGGTTATCTGGAAAATTAACATTTTTAACATTTCTGAACTTCCTAATTTCAGATAAAAGATGACAAAGTAACCATCATGGTTTCTATCACACATAATATATTTTACTTACAACATCGATTTAGAATTTTTTAAGCATCCACATTCCATTTCTTGCCTTTTTCAGAAATATACTCCTACCCTAATTTTTAAATATTACTGCATTATTTATTCTAAAGCAATTCTTTTCCACTTCCTCTTGGGAACTACTACTTAACCTTCAAAAGATCCAGTTCGAATATAACTTTGTGGTGGGTGTCTCTAAACCAGTGCCTGTCTGTAGCCCTAAAATGCCATATATCTACTACAGAGCCCTTACCCTACCTAGACTGTGAACTTGGGGTGCATGGATCTGCCTCTTGTTTATTCTAATATCTCCATGAGCTATCACCTCTCCTGACACACTGCACATAGACAATCATGTTTGTTGCATTGTCCCTTCTTCTCTCCCCCAGGAAGAGTATTTCATAAAGTTTCTTGGTAGAATAGAAACCTAAGAAATTAAATTAGGGTTGTTTCTGTAGAGGTTACAATCAGAAGAGTGAATGGTTTTGTTGGTTATGATTCCCTTCCACAGAATTCTTGTTCAGCAGAAATATCCTGGTAGCTAACCATGCAGTCATCTCTTGGGCCACAGAGGAGACAGAGTGTAGTGAGGGTACATGAGACATTTTACCGCAGACAGCACACTGCTAAGCACTTAAATTCCAGAAATTGCACAGGGAACAGCAGAGCAGTCTGATCTACAGAGCTGGGATTCTAAAAACCTAAAACTCTGATTTCTTGGCTCAGAAATTCATTTGCAATTACTGACCACAGAGAAAGCCGCCCTCGAAAATTTCATTTGCTTGAGATGATGTAACTGAGAATTGAAAAAGTACCCATGAATCTTTGTGAGGAGACATACACTTTTTACTTGAAATACTTTATTTTGTTCCATTGACTAGAGGAAAGCAAACCTACAAAACCGTTTGCCCAAATTCCACTCTCACAGAACATTTAATAGAATAATTACAGCAAAAGGAACTTCAAGGGCAGGATGATGTTGGAGAGAAACCAATCATTGGATAGGGCAACTGGGCTGTGGCTCTGGGAACCCAGGTGAGAGGGGTAGGGTGCCTCTGGGTACTCTACTTAACTTTTATTTTCTTTTTTAATCCCCCTGAACACAATTCAAATTAAATCTCACAATAAAAGGTGTCAACAGGGTGACATCCTACCAAGTCCCGTTATCTCAGTAGCCACACTAATTGAATTAAACCCAGCCTCTTTTCCCCCTAAAAATGACTCCCTTCATGGTTGTCATTCGCTCTTTTAGGTCCCATGCAATACCAAGTATAAACTACTGCATCCACCTGAGCGTGCCTGTTTTTCCTAACACATCACTCTTAGCATGACAAAGTAGAATAAAGAATGCTCCCACTTAGTTCCAAGCCAAGAACAAACCCCTGATTTAGCTAGCATAAACTCAAACAAAAATCGAAAGTATATGGTTAGCCCAATTCTCTGGACAAATTAAACAGAATATTTTAAACTGAGTGCTATTTGGAGTAGACGGAATGGAATTGTGTCATTTTCTTTTCTGAGACAGAGTCTCGCACTCTCGCCAGGGCTGGAGTGCAGTGGCATGATCTCGGCTCACTGCAACCTCCGCCTCCTGGGTTCAAGCGATTATCCTGCCTCAGCCTCCCAAGTAGTTGGGATTACAGGTGTGCGCCACCATGCTCAGTTAATTTTTTTTTTTTTTTTTTTGAGACAGAGTCTTGCTCTGTCACCCAGGCTGGAGTGCAGTGGCACAATCTTGGCTCACTGTAAGCTCCACCTCCTGGGTTCATGCCATTCTCCTGCCTCAGCCTCCCGAGTAGCTGGGACTACAGGCGCCCGCCACCATGCCCGGCTAATTTTTTTGTATTTTTAGAGACGGGGTTTCACAGTGTTAGCCAGGATGGTCTTGATCTCCTGACCTCGTGATCTGCCCACCTCAGCCTCCCAAAGTGCTGGGATTACAGGCATGAGCCACTGCACCTGGCTGGAATTGTGTCATTTTCTAGGAGGTTTTCAAGGCCTTGGGTTCTCTGCTCTTCTCTTATCTCTCTTTGTAATGAATTTAAAGACCATTTATAGGTTGTTTACATTGTTTTATAATTATGATTCACAACTGTTGTCTGAGCTTCAGACCTATACCCATTTCATTTTGGCTGTAGTATATTTAAGAAGTCTCACATATATAATAATCCCAATTGGGATTCTTGATTTTCTCCCTTCTACTCCCAGCTGCCTCCCTCATCTCATGTGTTGCCATCATCCACACAGTGCCTCACGTTACATATGTATCCCATTCATTTGGCTTCATCTTCACTATCACACA
The DNA here is from genome assembly GCF_000001405.40 of Homo sapiens. Classification (NCBI taxonomy): domain Eukaryota; kingdom Metazoa; phylum Chordata; class Mammalia; order Primates; family Hominidae; genus Homo; species Homo sapiens. The sequence goes on along the minus strand of NC_000003.12, from coordinate 7,464,211 downwards.
TGTCCCTGAGCCAGTGGTTCTCAAAGTGTCATCAACATTGCCCAATGACTTCTGATAAAAAGCAAATATTGAGGCTTCCCGCACCTCTAGTTCTTCTGAATCAGGTTATCTGAGAGCAGGGCCCGGTAATATGTGCTGTTACAAGCCCTCCAGATGGCTCTGAGGCACACTGAAGTTTGAGAACCACCTCACTTAGCTCCCCTATTCTAGCTAGACACCTGCAAAAGAATCATAATTGGTCTTTCTGCTGCTACTTTTGCCCCCTCCATTATCTTCCCAGCAGCCAAAGTAATTTTATTCCTAAATCTGATGCAGCCACTCCCTCACTTCCTTGCTTAGTACTTCTTAGTGGCTTTTAAATGCACTCAGAATAAAATGTTTAAAATGTATCATGACATACAAGGGGTTGCATGAGTATGGCTCTTACCTATTGCTCCAACATCTCCTCTTACCCTTCCTCTCATTTTCCTTGCTGATTAAATCATCATCACATCAGCCATCTGACCTGCTGGTCACTCTAGTTTTCACTTTGCTGGCTTCTCTTGTAGTAGGTCCTTCCTTTTCTACCTCCATTATCCTCTCTACCACCTTTTCCATTATCACACCTCAGAATTTCCATGTACATATCTGTTTGCTGAGTACCATGTAACTCCATCCTAGATGCTGAATTGTGAAAGAACAGGGACCACATTTGTTTCACCTCCACTGTGTACCTACACATTGACTCTTGCAGTGCTTCTAACTTGATAGGTATTTAAAACCAAAACCAAACAAACAACAAAAACTTGTTGAATAGCTAATCAAATGCAGTTCTTACAAAGGATAAAATACAAACCAAACAAATAAAAATAAAATCAGTGTTAATGTTTGTTCTTAAAATAGTGTGCTTAAGAACCCCCATGTAAGACCCCATCTGAAGTTGGTGAATGCTACTTGGGAACTCTTACGGATATTGGACAAATTATATGTGCCAGAAATTTAACAAGAGTGCAGGGTTTATGCTGGAAAAGATTAATGAACCTATTTAATCCACTGGATCTTACAATAAGCCCTGAGCACTTCACCTATGTACCATAGACCTTGATTCTCTTACCTTTATTTGAGGCTGACCCATCTTCATATCACATGGCAGCACCCAGTAAAAACACACTTTGAGTGTGTCATCCAGGTTATACTGCTTTGATTCTGCTTTTGATTACTACTCCCCCACCTTGAGTTTACCTTTTAGGTTTTTGTTTGTGTTGTTTTTATTTTCTCCTTTCACTTGCAAGTTTAGTGTGCCTTGGATTCAGAATAATCTTAGCTTCTTTTTTGATCTTGGCCGTTTGCATTTATATAAGCCATGGACGGTACCTGTTGATTCCAACCATTCCCAAATGCCAGAGCATAATCTTTTGGACCCAATTTTAGTGCCAGTTCATGTGTATGGTGCACCTCACAATGGGGAGAACTGGACAGGTGCAAGCAGATCTAGGCTAAGGCTCTGTGCAAATGAGGTAACTGGCCTGTAGTGGCTTCACGGCTCCCTATGTGAATAACCCTTTCTTCATAGAAACCATGACATAACCTTCCACTTCCCAAGAAATGGATTTGCTTCCCACACCCAAGAAGCCTTGTTCTCAATAATTCCAAAAGTGCCTCCTAAGGTATAGATTAATAAAGGCTAATGGCATAATTTGTTGCTTTACAAAGGACATTAAAGGATTTTTCTAGGAGAGAGACTGTGATGGTTAATCTCATATTCTACTTTGCCATGCAGTGCCCTGATAGTTGGTCGAATATTCTAGGTGTGTCTGTGAGGTTTCTGGATTAGATGAACATTTGAATCAGTGGGTGAGTAAAGTAAATTGCCCTCCCCAATGTGGATGAGTCTTACCCAATTATTTCAAGGCCTAAATAGAACAAAAAGGCTAAGAGAGAATTTTTGGATTGTTTTGGAGCTGGGACATTGGCTGATGGATTTGACATAATCTTGTGAAGGAAAGTGGCTGCTTACTTAGGTCACATTTTATAGAAAGTGGGAGAGGTTACAGAAATGGAAGCACTGCAATTACTCAGATAATCCCATTACAAATCTCACATAAATACACTCAAATGTCTCAAAATAATAATAAAAATATCAGTACCATCAAATAAAGAAGAAAAAGGAAGGAATGGGGGGAGGCAGAAGAAATAAAAAGTTTAACCAAGAGAAGGATCTTGTGAAATTGCTAAGTAGTAACCTGTTTGCTAAGTAACCCCAGTCTCAGATTAAATGAGATAATTCGCACAGGTCATGAATATAATGCACAAAACTCAATGCACATTTCCCATCATCGTCATCACCATCATTATTATTGGATATCAGTTCCTGCTGATGCCCACAACAAATTGCATGCTCACTTGTATATGCACACAAACATTAAACAAGAAACATTTGTATAACTGAGCAAATTAAAAGTCTGTTCATTCATCTCAACAAGGGAAGAAGAGAAGCAAGCAGAACTCACATTGAGCTGAAGTTCGTCTGTCCACTGCCCGATCAGACGGTAACCCGGGTTGCTGGTGTTTGTGGTCTGGTACTGAAAGATGTCATAACGCCCAGGTGCATCCCCGTTCTTGTTAAACATCACTGGAGTGCCAGCACTACCTAAGGAAGACAGAAAAAATGAAAGATTCTAAAGTTAAACAAGATTCCTTATATCTCTTGTACTATGGGTGACAGGCTAGAGACTTAACGAGGAGAAAGGTAGTTACTAGATATCCCCTTTAATAGGTCCCCCCAAAACGGCCCCTGCAATTCATAGGCAAGTTATCACTATGGCCTATGAATTTTAATTATAGAAGGTGGAAGACTACTTCCCCTTTTGAATAGTTTCACTGTTTCTCAATATTTCTTAAAATTTTATTCTAGTATTTTCCCCTTTCTGAGGAATAAAACCTATATGCATTAATTTTAAGAGACAGCCTTAAGTTTTATTATGCTCCTGATGATGATGCTTTTAACTATTATTTTAGTTTCCATCTAACACTAAATTTTCGTCAGTAAAGAACAATTTCAAAAACAACAAATTAATGTTAAAAGAGAAATGCAATTTAGAAAACAAGAAGTAAATAAGAAAAATGTATTTAAATGTACTTTTCTACTCATTGTATTTAAAATGTTTTTGCTGGTTATTTCTAATTTATATCATAAGCAGGTAAAAGGTTTAGCAGTGTATTTGTCAGGTATTCAGTAAATATTGGTTTCTTTCTCAATCTCTCATTTGGATCTTCCTAAAATGTCTATCTTAAGACACAACCAATTATTCTGGCAGAATTAGACTTTGGAGTGAATTTTAAAGAACGAATATATTTATTAAGCGTATATACCTATATCTATATCTGTATCTATCTGTCCATACTTAATATATAACTGTGTATGGTTGGATGAGTAAAGAATCCTTAATATTAACCACATAGAACAACTGGAAAACTATGTACAAATAATGCAAGACATGAGTTTTTGTTAGTTTCAGCAATAGTTACAAACGAATCACAAAACATTCAGTAACTGAGTTCTGTTTATTTCATGATCCTCTGGATCTAGGAAAAAATACCACTGGCCACATGATAATATGATATATGACTGCTATCTGTCTATAGGCTAATACTGGACCAATATTCCCAGCGGAAAACAATGCTCTATTTCATGCCATTTACAAACTCAAATGGTGCTTTGGCCACACACAGATTCAGCCATTGACCCAAATTGATGGCACCAAAGCAATGCTGCTCTGAGAATATCAGTACCCTCTCCCAATGTGAGCCCCAGCTTGCTGTTTGGAAAATAAAAAAAAAAATTGTTTATAGTGACAGAGAAATTAAAATTAGATATCAGTTAGAAGAGGGCAACTTTGGTGCAATGAAAAATACATTTGTCTGGGGAGCTGAAAGCATTGTTAAGTCTGGTTTTGAGGTATAAGCAAATAAAACAATGATAAAAACTATAAAAAATCATTACCATCTATTGAACACATATTTTAGCGTCATTCTTGTGTTGAGTTAGTTGTTTGTGTGGGGACGTTCTCAACATCATGGCTGCTTCCTCAAGGTTTGGCATCTTTTTTTTTTTTTTTTTTTTTTTTTTTTTTACTATTTTAAGCATACTTTTCCCTGTCTGGTTAAGATGCTGTCATAACTCTCATTTGAATATGAATATTCAAATTGCCTCGGTATCCATCTCATCCTGTCTCTGTCTTGTCACTCTTGATCTATGTATTTGAAGGCAGTCTTCATCCATTTCCTGTTTTTGGGTTCTAGACAAACAAGGCTGTATAACCTGAACCACTTGAGTGGCTTACTCTGCTCCTGGAACTACCAAGAACGGGCTTACTGAGTTCCCTTGCTTATACTCACACACTCTTCAAGTTAACAAATCCAACTCTGTCACAGGAAACATATCCAGGTAATGCCCTGATACGGTTTGGCTGTTTCCCCACTCAAATCTCATCTTGAATTGTAGCTCCCATAATTCCTATGTGTTGTGGGAGGGACCCAGTGGGACATAATTGAATCATGCGGGCAGTTTCCCCCATACTGTTCTTGTGGTAGTGAATGAGTCTCACCAGATCTGATGTCTTTAAAAGGGGTTTCCCCTTTCACTTGGCTCTCATTCTCTTTTGCCCGCCACCATGTAAAGACGTGCCTTTTGTCTTCCACCCTAATTGTGAGGCTTCCCCAGCCTCATGGAACTGTGAGTCCATTAAACCCCCTTTTCTTTATAAATTACCCAGTATTAGGCAAGTCTTTATCAGCAGTGCAGCAGTGTGAAAATGGATTAATACATGCCCTGAACCCCAATAAAGGCTTTGGCACACTGGCTCCTTCCTCCCTCTCTGCTCCCCACCTGCTGGTTAAGTGTTCATACTTAACTGGTATCTAATTTAAATTTCTCCATCACTATAAACATTTTTTTAATTTTCCAAACAGCAAGCTGGAGCTCTGGGAGTGGACACCGATCTCCTGTGAGCAACACTGCTTTGGTCCCACCAATTTGAGTCAACAGCTGAATCTGTGTGTGGCCAAAGCACCATTTCAATTTGTTTTTTTCTGTCTTTTACCTAGACACTACCCCCATAGACCACAAAGGCACCCACTTTATCATAATAGGGATCTCTTAAGCCTGCTGTGTGTAAGAATCAACACAAGTCTTTCCAGTATAGGAAGAAAATAATGACAACAAAAACATCAATAACAACAAAAGATTTTTAATATTGGCTTTCTGATTTCAACAAGTCTTGCGAGCATATAAGAAGAAGAAATAAAATCTGGATTTCACATGTTATTAGCAAAGAAATGAGAATCCTGTCAGTTTGCATGAAGACATTATTATTGAGATACTCACCTTTTTCTTTCACATTGGATACTAGCATTCATGTGCTTTACTGTAATTCTATAGCTTCTATTCATTAAACAACATGATTTGAGATTTTCATAGTCTTTGAGAGGAGAAAGGAAGAATATGGGAGGCCTGGGGCTCCAGAGGAACTCAAGTGCACCAGCTACATATTCATCAGAATGGGCCCCATCACCTAATCTTTTTCCCTTCTTGCAATCTTAGTTAGAAGAAACGGTCTTGTCACGCCCTTTCCATTCTCATTAAAGTTCCGGTTTTAAAAAAATTAAGGCAGAAGAGCTGCATACTTTATCTAAGTGATGACTTGTAATAGCACATTGTGTGGGTTTGGCCTTTTTGATGGATTCTCTAATGCAGCTGTCTTATTATTTCCAGTTTTTAATCCCCACATCTCCTTTTTAACAGCATCCATGAACTTCTTAAAACAGAATAAGAAGCATTGTGTTCAATGAACTCTATATTTTAAAAAAGTCCAGAGGAGATAAAGAATTCACCAAAGGGGAAATGATTCCCCACAGAGATGCCCACAAGGCATTAGAGCCAAGATGCAGGTACACTAGGGCAAAAGAAATAGGGTCACCTGACAAGATGGGTAACAGACAGTAAAGGACAGATAACAGATTGTACTGAAGCCCGAAATCTCCCCTACTGGATGAGAGTATCTGAGTTTCTTTCTTCTTGGACAGAGAAGGAATAGAGATTCAGATAGCCCAGATAATAAACCAGTCTTCTGCATCAACGTATTTACTAGACACATTTTCTGTTCTCATTTTACCACGCCATGCACAGATTCCAGGAACGTTGCATTTGTTCGGGTTCCTGATATCTCTTTCTGCCCAAGAAACCACTCTGAATATTAGTACTCAAAACAGTGGCAACATATATTTTGTAATTTGGTCAGAGCTCTGTGGGGACAGCAGCTCTCTGGTCCACTCATGTCAGCTGGGGCAATTCGAGGCTCTCATGTCTGACAGTTGATATTGGCTAACCGGTGGGATACTCAACTGGGGTTGTAGCCAGAATATGTGGCTACATGTGGCCCATCAGTGGGGCATCTAAGCTTCTTCCCAGCATGGTAGCCATGCTTATAGTCCAAATGTTCTAACAAAACTAGACAAAAACATTTTGCCTTAGAAGTCACAGTGCTACTTCCAAATTAGTCACAGGCTCACTCAAAGGGAGGAAAAATAAATCTCACCTCTTGATGAAGGAAAGCTAACATCATATTGCAAAAAAAGCATGTGAGATCTGCCATCTCTACAAAATATAACCTACTCCAATTTGTTTTCTAGAAACTAGTAAATTGAAGTACAGACATGCTTCAGATGAAATCCTTCTTTCTATAGCTATTATTTGAGATTTTACAATCAAGACACCAAATTACTTAAATTTATATTTGATGGGCCAACATAAAGATAACTAAAATGAATTTAGGCTTGGGACTTTGCTTTGATTTGGGATGCAGGAAAAATATCTAGGCATGATAAAAACTAAATTACCCATTTCTTTCCTCAATGCATAAGAGGAGGCTAAATACTTGATGAAACTGTATCAATGCCTTTAGGGTACGATATTATCATTTCTTAAATTGCTACTTTGGCAAATGTGAAGACCAGAATTATTAAATTATACTCTGCTATCTGGAACAGAACTCCTACCTATACAGCAAATTTTGTACTAATGTAACAGTGAAACATAATCTCAAGCTTCTTGAAACAAAGAAAAATCAATATCCTCCTAAAACATGCGATATAAAGTTTAAATTTTTCACAATGGATTGGAAAAAGACTTGAGTTCTAGATCTGTCTCTGTCCTTTGCTAGCTATGGAGTCTTGGACAAATATTTTCTTTTCTCTAGGATTTGATTTTTTAACCGAAAGTCAGAAAATTGAATGAGTAAAACATGTCAAGTTTTTTTCCCCTCTAAGCTTTGCTCCCGTAAAGTGACATAGGACCCACTGATTAAATTTAGCACAGCTTCTTTGCTTTACAAAACTTTTGAGCACTGTCATCCATGAATACTGCAGTGTCTTGGGAGCCAGAAGTCTCTGAGCTGTCATATGGAAGAAAAATATATCCTCAGAGAAAGAAGATTTTGTTGACCATAGAGTGTGATTACAATGATGACAAAAAAAAAAAGAGAGAGAGAAAATTAGCCCTTCCTGAAATTCCCATGCAACCTCAGATCTAAGAGGAGGCAGCAGGAATGATGCAGGAAGCCCTTCCTCTCAGCAACTTGAAGAATAACATTCCAGGAAGCAGATTGTGGACTTAGTTGTCCTGTGTCTCAAGTATAACATCATCGCTACCTAGCTGTATGGATTTGAATATCGTAATTCTTAAATTCCCCATGAATCAGTTTCCTTATCTGTTAAAAAAAAAAAGGAAAAAAAAATAGCATCCTAAACCATTATGAGGTTTTAAAGATAAAATAAGCCAATGCATAAAATGTTTAGCAGTTTCTGGCACACAATAACCACTTAATAAACATAAGCCCTATGGATAGCTCAGTCATTTTGGCTTGTCAACAGACAAGACCATCTAGACAAAATGGTCTATAATCATTCTCTAAAAGAAGAATCAGGGAAGAACCATCAAGAAAACTCACCTAACAAATTTTATTTTTGTCGCTAGTGTAAGAATGTTCATACATATCCATGAACCAGAATAAAAAATCCAGAAACTGACCTCAGCAAATGAAATATGATGCTTGAAAAAAATAAAATTTATATTGTTTGACTCTGGGAAAATTGGTTATACAAGTATTAGGAAATTCTGCAACATCAAGAAAAAAATACAGAAAGAACATAACTTGTAGTTGACCTTCTTTCTCTCCATCAAAATTAGGAAACTAATGATCCCCATATTGAATGTGGTGCCTCTTCATTCAGATACTAGGCAACTCCTGAAGATTGATACAATGTTGTGCGTTTTAAATGAGTTGTTATTAAGAGAAAAAAGTAAAGAGTTTTTTAAAATCATACTATATCTAAACCAGTAAGTTAACACTGATGGAATGCTACTAAAATTAATCTGTAAATGTTATTAAAATTCCTCCACCTTCCCATTAGTGTTTTTTCTAGCATAAGATTAATCAGTATTTCCCCATTACATTTGACAGTAGTACTTCCTTGGTCTCTTTGAGTCAGAAACAGTTCCTTTATCTATTATTCTCATGACCTGGACACTTTTGAAAAGTACTTGCCAGTGATTTTATAGAACATCTTTTAATTTGGATTTGTTTGATGTTTCCTTAAAATTAGATTTAAGGTAGGCTTTTTGGCAGTAAAACCTCAGAAGCGATGCTGTAAGCATGCCAGTGTATCATATCAAAAGGCACACAATGTTCATGAGTCTCATAAGTGATGATGTCCACCTTGATTACCTCTTTTACGTGCTATCTCCCAGTTTTCTCCACCACAGAGCTACTATTTTGTTTTTGGTTATTCATATGTATCTTGGTGAAAGGTACTTTGAGGGCTATGCAAATATCTTGTTTCTCATCATACTGTAACCCAATACTTTTAGCATCCCATGATTCTTGCCTAAAAAAATTACTACTTAGGTCTTTACAAAAGGGCGACTTTGTATTTCCATCTTAACTTTATTCCATCATGCTGCCTATTCTCTTGTATTTGTTTAATTAGTTCAAGTGTTTACTGATATCAGTATGGACTCATGGTTATTTATTTTATGAGTTATAATCCACTGGGGTCCCAGAGTTGGCCAATGGGATCTCTTCCAATTTGGTTTCTGTGCCCTTTCAACATGACCACTTCAGTTTTTGAGAACTTTCTTATATTCTGGTACAGCATGTCTCCAGCTTATATTGGACTTTCCCTGCCCTAGCCCTGGTCCCAACCATTTTCTAAGGGTTCTTTTAACCTTTTTAATTTAACAATGGTATTTATAAATAAGATATGTGTGCTACATGTGCTCATTTTTACCAGTGTACCATTGCTCTCAGGCCCTCTCAGGGAACAGAGCCAGGCAGAATTGGTATATATAATATACATGTAAAATTTACTTCTATATTTACCCATTGCATGTATATTAAAAACCATACATATTGTAATCCAACACAACAGGGTTCATTCTATATTTCTCTCATTCCTTGTTAGGGATTTTTATCTTGGATAATGAGAAACCTGGCTCTCATTATCCGCAATATATATAATTATTTTCTCAGTCCCATTATATACATAGATTAGCTTCAGAATTGTGAGAAAAATACAGATTTACTAGATATTGTCTAATATATGTGTACAGTTATTTTGTCTTCAGCCTTATATAGTCAGATACTATTTTCCAAAATTACTTGCATTCATTATTTCTTCCTCACCCTCCTTCACTTCAGTTACACAATTTGTTTATAATATAATTATGATTATTTGTTACTGTCTGTGTTGAATGTTGCATTGCTCATACATTCAAGTTTACTTATTTAGCTGTTGGCATGTGAAACATTAAGATGTTGTAAGAGTTGAGACTATTCAAACAGACATTATCAGAGTGTGCTTTCTCCTATGTCTTTTATCCTATTGGCCCATTTTTTCACTTATCTCTACCCACCTCTTTTAGGAAACCTATCAATTTATAAAAGAGTTTTGTACTTTGAGAAATATGTTTAAAACTTGAAATATGGTTGATGTGGCAAATTACAAATATTATCCCAATTAACTTGAGTATTGTGATGTTAGTTTATGAGAGAGAGAGAGAGAGAGAGAGAGAGAGAGAGAGAGAGTGTGTGTGTAGCTTTTCATGTATGGTTCTTGGCTCATAATTACCATAGCCCTTGTTATAATGTTGGGGCACTTTAGGCCTCAGAAAACAATTTCTCTTTCTGACCTTACCCTGCCCTCCTTTTACCAGCCCAAGGCAGCATTCTAACCTTCCTCCACCTTTTTGTTAATACGCTATCAGCCCGTCATTTTAGAAGGGTCCTGCCCCATATCCTGGAGGAAGAAATGTTGCACAGATAGACCAAGAAGGATCTGGACAGACAGGCCTCACCAGGTATTCCCGCTTAGCCTATTAGTATTAGATTATACCCTTTGTGTACAGTCACATTTCTTCGTGGTTGTCGATCATGCCTATTCCAATGAAATCTTCATAAAAGGCCCAAGAGGACAAGGTTCAGAGTTGAACACATGGAGGCTGACAGGAAAGTGAGCAAGAACTCATCTTTGTGCAGGGGAGGCCAGCACACCCCAAATCCCTGAGGACAGAAACTCCTACTCTCAGGACCCTTTCAGACTTTGCCCTAGGATCTCTTCATCTGGAGGTTTATTTGTGTCCTTTAAAATACCTTTTGTAATAAATTTAAGTAAGTGTTTTACTGAGTTTTGTGAGTTGCTCTAGCAAATTAATCAAACCTGAGGAGGAGATTGTGAAAATTCCAGTTTATAGCCGGACCATCAGAAGCCCAGACAAAACAACCTAGGGTTTGCCACTGTCATTGCAAGTGGCAAGGGGAAGAGTCTTGGGAACTAAGCCTCCAACTTGTGGGGTTTCACAGCATGCCAGATAGATCATGTAGGAATTGAAGTAGAGGACAGTCAGCTTGTGTCCACTGCAGAATTTATTGCTAGCTTGGTGTGTGGGGGAAACCTCTCCACTGACATTTGGTCACAGAAGTCTTCTGTGTGAATTCCTGTTGTGGTATGAGAGCAGAGGAAAAATGACTTCAGTTTTTCCATATTCAGAGGTACCTACAGCAACTGCTCCTTTCCCTTCCTCTTCCATCCTATACCCACCTAAATTCACCAAAGAAGAATTTGGCATAGTGCAAAAAAAAAAAAAAAATCTCTATTTCAAGAAAATGAGACCAAACCATAACCCCCAAATATATCTTAACTCATTCTTACATTCATTTGCTCATTCATGCATTGATTCAATCATTTAAAGTTTTATAATCAAGCAAGTTTTGACACATATTTTAAAGTAAATAATAATAGACATTTAAAACTTATGAAACAGAATGCCAACACTTAGGATTCCAAAAAGGATGGATTTTTGGAGACTCACCATTGAAATTAACATTGCGTATATACTTCAGCAACTTCTTGCCTCCAGCTTGCTCCATCTCTGGGCAGACACCCCGGTAGTCAGCACAGAGATCCTTGTTCATGTGGTGAAGGGCGTGAGCCATAGCATAGACTGCGTCAATCACGAACTGGACTTTACCCTCCTGCTCATAGTTGGAATCTTTTCCAATTCTCTCCTGTCCTGCACATTAAAACAAGAAACACACACACACACACACACACACACACAAATTGGCATTGAGTAGAATGTCCAAATTTAAAAGTAAACTTTCAATTATGCTTAAAGAAAACACTGCTTCGATAAATACAGTAATTCAAGCCACATTTGCCTACCACGTGATAGCCAGTTGGTATCCATATCCAGCTACCATGTTAGGTTTCTCTAATAGCTTGTAGTATTTTACTTTGTGACACCTTACATACTATTCAAAATATAGTGGTCCCTTAGAATAAAAGGATCTTTGAGATCAGAAGCTGGGTTGCCACATTCGAACCTGAAAAGCTCGCTTACTCTAGAAAGGTCAAATGGATAATGACAGAAAACAAACTAAATTCCACACCTGAATTCATTACTTTCTACACACCTATTGTACCGTCTCTGTTGCCTGTCTCGATTGTTAGTATTACTGGAGATTCAGATGCTCAGGCTAGAAACACTGATGTCCGTTTTCTTTCTCTTCCCTTTCACAATCCCAGCTCTCACATATGTAAGTCTAATGAATTCTAGCAGTCCTACCTGTGAAGTACTGAACAGTGTCAAACACTCCACCAATGGCCTCTTTATGCCTCCCACCATTTTCCATCACGTGCAATGCTCAATGTCTCCTTTCATCCATTCATTCCTCCACGTTCACCTTTGCAAACTACAGAGCTAGTCACATCATTCCTACACTAAGAGTCCCTCAATGGCTGTCTGCTGACTACAGATTAAATCCAGATCCCTTTCACTGGTCACAGTAGATATTTACCATTTTGCTCCCATCTGCCTAATAATGATAACAACTGATATTGACTAAGTGCCCACACTGTGTTGAAAGCTGTGGATGTGGGATTTTTATGTCATCATCACTTTGTGAGGTAATTTTTTTTATCCTTATGATACCAGTGGGAAAGCTGAGCCTTATAGAGGTTAAATCACCTTCCAAAGGTCATTTACAGGTAGAGCAATGATGATGGCCCAGGCTTGTCAGACCCCAAAGCCCACATTCTTTTCATTACCTGGACCCTGCCTACCCTCTCACATTTATTTTCCTTTATTCTTCCAGATAGGTGTGACTATTGTTGCTGTTAAACTATCTTTGCTCATGCTGTTTACTTTGCCAGGGAGATCCTTCCTCTTTGCTTTCACCATCATACTTAATTCCCAACTGTTTGTCACACCGAGGCGCTCAGTCGCAATTCAACATTCCCGTAAAACATTTCAAATCTTGCTTATAGCACTGTCAATATAGAATCATATTTTAATGCTCTACCAGGTGTCCAAGACATTTTTCTTGTTTTTACCTTTGGATCCCCACCATTGAACATAGCCTTTAGCATCCAGTAGATACTAAATAACACTTGTTGCATTAAATTATGCATTCATTAAGTACACGACACCAGTAGCTCTCTCTAGACCTCTTGTCCCTCTATGAAGAAGAATTATCCACAAATTGCATTTCACTTTCACAGCAATATTTTCCAAATTGTTTCCTACGGCACATTTGTGTAGTGAAGAAACAATAAGAGTTCTACAACCTCACAATAAGAGTTCTACAACCTCAACCCCTTTTCCTGCAAAACACACAAAGGGTTCCGGACAGCCACTGTGCTAAAATGTTTTAGGTTGCTTCACTGACTTTTCCAGAACATTTAACATATAACATAAAATGTAACCTCCAAGAGGGAAATTCAGAATTTCCCAAATTTACTTGAATTTGTATTTTTCCATTTCAGAGCACCATTAATATCTCATATGCCAGAGAGTTGTGTTTTATATGTATCTCATTTAAATACCAAATCAACTTTATGCTCACTGCCTGTCACGGGATCTAGGGTTTTTCAGTGTATATAGTATAGGATTTTTTTTTAAAGATAAAATTTATCATGAATTTATGCAGCTATTTCCCATTCAAATTCAGGACTACAGAGTTTTTGCTTAACCTTGACACTCTTAAATCTCTACTTCCTTTCTCTCATGAGGACAATCTTGGTTCTTAATGATACTGTTATGATTATTCATTTGCTTTATCCCATAATATACAGATAACATTCTTAGAATAACAATCATGTCTAACAGTCTAAAAAGTATAGAACAGCCTTCTGCATATGCCTGTATGTGTTTTTCATGTTCTGCCTGAGTATTTTGGGGAAGAATTTTGAGAAGTGGAGGAGTTTTGTCAAAGGGTAAATTCATGTGTATTTTTTATATATATTGGCAAATTCCACTCTAAAAGGGTTGTGTCATTTTGCTGTCCCACCAGCAATGGATTTGAATGTTTGTTTCCCTGCAACCTCAGCAACAGAGTATGCTGTCGAACTTTAATTTGTGTCAATCAGGTACGTGAGAAAGGCTACCACAGTGTATTTTTATTTGCATTTTTCTTGTTATAAAGGAAAATGAGCTTCTTTCATGTGGAAAGATGAAACTTGTTTCTTTTTTTGTAAACTGTTCATAAATAAGCCATTCTGATAAAAAGTTATTGGCCATTCTCTTCTCTTTTTAAATTTAATTAGATATATTAACTCTTTGAGATTAAGTTGCAAATATTTTTCCCAGTTTGTCATTATTCTTTTACCTCCTTTAGGTATCTTTTTCCAAATAAAAATTTATTCATTTCTTTCTAATAAAATGCATTGATTTAATTTTCTGTTAATACTTCTGGATTTTGAATCATGGTTAGAAAAAAATGAGCCCACTTCCAGAGTACAGAAGTTTTCATCCATGTTTTCTCTTAGTACTCTATAATTTTTTAAGTTAAATATTTGACTCACTTGGAACGTATTTTGTTATGCAATGTGAGAAATGAATCAAAATTTTATCTCTTACCATATAGCTATGCAGTTATTGTAATACATGACAGTTTACCTTCTCTTGCTGATTTGAGGTTCTGCCTTTACTATATGTCAAATTTCCATATGCGACTGGGTCAAATTTCTGGATATTTTAAAATCTGTTTCATGGTTTACTTTCTCTATCCATGCACCAAACTAGAGTTTCAATTATAAAGGCTTTATAACATATTTTAATAACTGACAGAGCAAGCCCCTCTGTGCCAGATTTGTTGATTTTTAAAGATTTTTCTGAATAATTTATTTCTTCCAATAAAATTTATTAACCATTATCTTCAGAAAGAAAATCTAGCAACTTGGTGGTCCATTTATTGGGTTTCTGTTGTATTTAAAAATAAACTCACCTAGAACAGAAGCCTTGCTGAAGTTGAATCTTCCTATCTGTATCTTCGTTTGCTCAAGTCTACTTTTGCTTCTCTCAATAGTGTTTAAAGTTTTTCTCACATAGGTTTTGAATGTTTCTTGCAAAGTTAGCCAAGATGTTTTATTCATTTTTGCTATTATAAGTATGGTGTTATTTTTCATGAATCATTTTACTGGTATTTCATCTATATATAAAAGCTATTTTTTGCTACGTTGTGGCTGTTTTACTGTTTTCCAACTTTCTATTATGAAAAATTTCAAACATTGAGCAATGTTAAAAGAACTTTAGAGTGAACCCACTAACTAAATTCTAACATTACCATTTTACTATATTTATTTTTTAAGGCTATTCATTTTTAATATGAATTTTATAACCTGCTACTTTATAAATTTCTCTTATTTTTTATAGAACTTAGAAAAGGCAATCTCGGAGGCATTTCGACCATTATAAAATATATACTATGAAATAGGTTCAGACTAATAATTGAGGGGACCCATTTCTAAACTACACTAATAAAGACAATCATCCTGGAGAGAATGCCTTGAAAAATAATTGCATTATTTTACATAATAAAATATTTTATTATCTGTGAAACATTGCAGGCTTTATCCCTCTCTCAGAGAGTCTCCAGGTATGTTAACATATTAAAGGCTCTGAGAAGACTTACGTATTAAATTTGTCTTTGGAGCTAATAGGACTTGAAAATGTAGCCTTATATCAACAAAATCAGAAGTGACAAGTTTATGTTTTATAAAAAGGACTTAGGCTTTATTTTCCCTAGTGTGGCAGTCACAATTATTTGCCAACCTCTGAGTCTTTGACTACTCATATACCATCCCTACTCCTCCTCTCCCAACTGAAATCTGATTCTGTTCAGATATTGGAGGCCACCAATGTGAGTAAGGATTTCTGGACTTTTCACTGAGTTAATCCTGATTTGTCTAAGCCAATCCAATCTCCTCTGCAAGAACTGGTTTAGGAACAAGGGATAGGATACAATTCTAGCCAATGAGATATAAGGAAAGAGTTTGCCATTGTGGAAGTCAGTGTGGCGATTCCTCAGGGATCTAGAACTAGAAATACCATTTGACCCAGCCATCCCATTACTGGGTATATACCCAAAGGACTATAAATCATGCTGCTATAAAGACACATGCACATGTATGTTTATTGCGGCATTATTCACAATAGCAATGACTTGGAACCAACCCAAGTGTCCAACAATGATAGACCGGATTAAGAAAATGTGGCACATATACACCATGGAATACTATGCGGCCATAAAAAATGATGAGTTCATGTCCTTTGTAGGGACATGGATGAAACTGGAAATCATCATTCTCAGTAAACTATCGCAAGGACAAAAAACCAAACACCGCATGTTCTCACTCATAGGTGGGAACTGAACAATGAGAACACATGGACACAGGAAGGGGAACATCACATTCCGGGGACTGTTGTGGGGTGGGGGGAGGGGGGAGGGATAGCATTAGGAGATATATGTAATGCTAAATGATGAGTTAATGGGTGCAGCACACCAGCATGGCACATGTATACATATGTAACTAACCTGCACATTATGCACATGTACCCTAAAACTTAAAGTATAATAATAAAATAAATAAAATAAATATTAAAAAAAAAAGAGTTTGCTGGGGAACTTCTGAGAAAGTTTATTTATTCTTACAAAGAGATTAGTCAATTGTGTCAAAAATCCCCCACACCACACCCGGCCCACGCACCCCGCAACTACTCCAGTCATTTTGTAGTCCTGAGGAGACCATAGCATACCAGTGACAAAGGATAAATTCTTGATAGGGAAGTGAAAATGCAACTGAGCTGTGAGTTAGCCAAGCTTGAAATCACCCTCCACATGGTCTTCCGAGTAATACATGAAATGGTTCACCCATTTACTAAAGCTTGATCGTCAGTATTTTCCAGGTTTATTTAACTACTACACTTCTTATTCATATACCCATTTACAAAATTCTAAGGGACTAGCATTAAACACACCCACACACACACTGAAATACAATGTTAAGAGATATTTTCAACAACATAGCTTGAAGTGGACCAAAGAAAAATCAGCTTTTTTTTCAATTAATTCTTCATTAACAGGACGTTCTTTTGATCTCTGTGATTTAATAAGACATTATTATATTCTTTATTTGGAGGAGGTTCATCCTTTTCATCACGTTTTCTAGGAAAGAGTCTGCGGTTTAGATAAAATGAGAACTCTGAAGCATTATCTTTTACCTCTCTAGTATGCAAAGCTTAACTTTTCACGTCTCCCGATTTTCTTCTCATTATTACTTTTACCCAGAGTCCAGTATTTATCTTTAAAAGGCACACTCTTTTAACCTTCTGTTGAATAAATTGTCAGTTGCATTACACAAGAATAACCCATAAATTCTTTCACTCTCAGAATTTCTAATGGTCATGCTATGGGGAAGATCTTTTCTTTGAAAGACCTGTTTAATTTGCCCATTCAGCATACTGCTCCCTCAGAATATATGCCTTAGTTAAAATGTATCAGCAAATTATTAGGATAAAAAAGATATGGAAAATGAAAGATATAATGGATTTGAAATTGTTAATATAAAAAAAAATCCTGGCCGGGCAAGGTAGCTCACGCCAGTAATCCCAGCACTTTGGGAGGCCGAAGTGGGCAGATCACCTGAGGTCAGGAGTTCAAGACCAGCCTGGCCAACATGGTGAAACCTCGTCTGTACCAAATACACAAAAATTAGCCGGGCTGTGGCGTGTGCCTGAAATCCCAGCTACTCGAGAGGCTGAGACAGGAGAATTGCCTTGAACCCAGGAGGTAGAGGCTGCAGTGAGCTGAGATCGCGCCACTACACTTCAGCCTGGGCTACAGAATGAGACTCCGTCTCAAAAAAAAAAAAAACAAAAAAAAAAAAACAAGACCAAAAACAACAACAACAAAATCGTGTTTCAAAAGGAAAACCAAAAGAAAGAGATGGAGTTATGAGAAAACAAATCAAAGATGTTTACTAATGTAGACTGAGACACACAGATGCCAGAAAGATTCAGCAGATCTGAACAACCAGCATAAGGCTTCTCATGTGGTTTTAAGGGAGTGAATAATTGAAATTTTTATTTCAAACATTAATTGAAGTGATTTGCTTTGGAAAGTCTGATCTGAAGCTGTGTACACTTGTGCTGGCAGTGCTTTTAGACTTTGCATTACACAATTTTATTGAATGTAAAGCCTCAAACTTAAATATTTCTTGAGGCTGAAGTCCTGAGTAGTAACAGCATACAATTAACTTAAATATTGATGTTTGGATCTATTGTAAGTGATAAATGCTTCAATAAATAGTAAATGAATGTATTACAAGAGCTTTGAAAAAGAGAGTCAGGGCATATTTGATTTGTGACAAACTGCTATATTCTGGGTGAAGGGGACACAGGGACAGCAGGGTGAATATCCTGGAGTGTTACAGAATGTTGCTGGGTTCTGAAAGTGCTACAGTAACCCAGCAAGCCTTATTACAAAGCTGCTGCAGCTTTGTAATATTTAAAGATAAACAGATAAATAACTCTGTCAACTGGGTATTGTTCCCCCTCAAGGGTATGCATTTCTCTGTATAAAATGAATATTAATGTGAAACTAAGATTCTGTGTTATATTGAAGTTGACTTTGGTGCATCTTTCATAGTGTCCACATTTAGAGAATCCCAGAGTAAAATCCTATGGCCTTGTGAGAATTATCAGTAGAAGCAAAGTCAGGTCTGGAATGAGCCAAAATGTCTGCAGTATTGCTGTGCCTCTATTTGCAGGTGAAGATAAGTGAGAATTGAATGTGATGAGCGACTCCTGAAAAGAATGCTGGGGTTCACAGGGGGTCACAGCACCACCCGCAGCACGTGTTAATTGCGAACTTTCTGTGCACCAGGTCCTGTGGAAGCACTTTTCATGATTTGACTTTTTAACCCTCACAGCACACTTCTGGGATAAGTACTATTAATATTATTTTCTCCATTTGTCTTCCGTTTCTTGCCTCTCTGTTACTTCATTGCCCATTATAAAAAATGAGCCAAATGGTTTCTTCCCTATCCACACAGGGAAAAGGGACAGTCTTGTCCTCCTTTAATTCTTTTCATTTTCAATATTAGTTTAGAGCCATAAGTAATCTAAAAGTTCATGCGGGCCATGATTTTTATTTACATCCTCTTATACCTACTGAATGTTTCAGCAGAATTTCCTGCAAGGAGGAAATGGATGGTTTTGACAACCACCATTGTATTCTTGCTTGACTTCCCTTTGGGTGGAAAAGTTAACGCCCAGAACAACTGACACAAGGCCAGCAGAGGAAGGAAGAAAACAACGCAGAAAGGCCAGATGACTTACCCATTGATCGTCCAGCTTAAATGACCAAAATTTGATTGCAATTGAACCATTAACATCCTAATGTTCTGCAGAAGTACTGAGTGCTCTGTTAAAGACTCAAAAAGAATTACAGCAAAGGAGAAAAACTGTCTAGCCAAAACCCATTATTTCTAAGCATTTTTCAACTAGGATGCTTCCTGGGGGGCTATTCATCTTCACTTAAAACTGTGTTTTCTTCTGCAATTCCATTTTCAATTTTCAGGTAAGTGCAAGGAAAGATACATGCAGTGAATAAATGTGTGTTGGGAGCAGGGGGTGGATGGTGGGGATATGTTTAGGTACAATGCACACAGGGACTGAGGTTGAAAGGAGGAATGTTTCAGTCTCAATGTTTACACACTCCAAACATGTGAAAGGTGTCCTGAGAGACTCCACCAAGGACTTTATGGCCAAGAGCAATTTGTTGTGGGTAATGCCAATCTGTTCAGTAAAGGTAAAAACACCGTTTGTCACTAAAACTGACATAAGAAAACTTAATATACCTTGTTACCAGACAAACAAACAAAAAGATATGGTTTCCTAAAGAAGCACAGAGATTCAGTTTCAATGTCTTACATAGATTTCCTTCTCCTAAGCTTTCTTAAGCCAAATTTCTACTTCAACAATTTTGATTGCTCCTCTTCTATAAGCCATAGAATCATTGAAAAAGTATTCTTTCTAGAACAGACTTAAAGAAATGTCTCTATAGATGCCTGTCCTCTTAGCTCATTCCTCAACCAAACCTCCTTCAATAAGGAGGTTGTACCACTCTGAAACTCTGTTTATGCCATCCCAGGAGTTGTATTCAGGTTGAACTTTCAGGACATTCATGAATCTGTTTATTCACAAATGCATTAAGAAGCCAGATGAAAAACGAATCTGTGCAATTACCATCAATCGTTGCTAAAAGCATGAGATAAAAGGATGATGTGAACTTTGCAGTGAATAGATCAGGTTGACAACACTGGAACCATAGCTTAATCTTTTTTCCTCCTCCTGTTTTGTTCTTGACATTAGCAAGTTTTTTGTTTGTTAGTTTGGAAAATGGCATTGCATACGTATGTAGGCATGTAAAAAAACAATTAACAAAAATCTTCACAAAAACATAAATTTTCAGAGTAGAAAGGAAAATGTCACCTTGTAGTCTTGCCCCTAGAATAGTCCCTCTTCTAAATATAACTACTCTCATTTCTTATGTTAATAACACACAAAATTAAGAAACAGATTCTATGTGTTTTCTAAAGTGTTGCAATACTAAATGTATACCACCAAGTGGTAGAAATTCTGTCAAATACATAACCAAATCAACACAGAAAGAGAGAGAGAGACATAAACCTGATCAAGCTCTGGATCTATGTATTAATTTACAGGAAATGCAGAAAATAAAGAAAATGTCAATCAAAAGTAAAATTCAGTTCCCAATAATAAGCTGTTTTGACAAATGGCAAGAAGTAAAAGAACGGAGGGAAACATATTTAGATTACAAAAAAATTGAGAAACATATCAAATAAAGGTGGGATGTGCAATGTATTTAGATCCTGATGTGAAAAAAAAAATTTTATAAAGACATTTATGAGAGAAGGGAGAGACTAGCTATTCCATGATGATAATGAACTATTGTCTTTTGTGTGTATTGTACATTTTTTGAGAGCAATTATATCTTAAAGTTGCATGCTGAAGTGTTTAAAATAAAACCATATGTAGAGGTTTACTTTGAATTGGCCAATGGTGAGGAAAAAAATATGTATAGGGTATCTGTAAAAATAAATTGGCCAGATTATGACAGCTGTTGGGGTTCAGTGATGGATACATGGTGATTCATTACACTACTCTTTCTGCTTTTGTGTTGGTCTGAAGGATCACATGATGCTCATGAAAATAAAAACAGAAGAGGGAGAAGACCAGAAAAAGAGAAGGAAGTAGAATAAAAAGAGGAGGAGGAGGAGGATGGAAAAGAAAATGAGGAAAATAAAAAAGAAGATCAAGATGATATAAGGGGGAAACAGGGAGGGTATGGGGGGGAGGCAAGAGAGGAGATGAAGTTAGTTGCATCTAAGGATATCTACCATGTACCAGACAGAGACACTCTACTAAAGATGAGGGATACAGATATAAATAATTATACAACATGTTGTCAGCTTTCACAGTTCTACTCAAATACTTCTGCTGAAAACCAGGGTTTCCACTCTCATGTCAAGTCTTACAGATGCTCTTGGATTAATGTGCTTCCCATGTATCTAATTAAGGGGCACACATATTGCAGAAGCTATGCTATATGGGAAGGTTCATCTAACTCCCAAGGGACTTTAGTCCCTTCCTGGATGAAACCTAGGCATGTTGTGGGGATGGAATGATTGCATCTCACTGCTACCATGCCCCTTCACCTCCTTAAGCACACAGAGAAGACATAAGGGAATTAATCTCACTTCAGAATTTGAAAGGACATTTCAGAACCATCAGTTTTATCAAAGTTTATTTTTACAAAAGTCATAATCGCAAGTTCTAGTTAGAGCAGTCAGGCAAGAGAAAGAAACAAAAGGCATCTAAATAGGAAACAAAGTCAAACTATCTCTGTTTGAAGATGCTGTGAATTCATTCCTATAAGACCCATAGTCTCAGCCCAAAAGCTCCCAGAACAATTTCAGCAAAGTTTCTGGATACAAAATCAATATATGAAAATTAGTAGCATTTCTATATACCAATAGCATCCAAACTGAGTACCAAATCAAGAATGCAATGTCATTCACAATAGCCACAAAAACTCAGGAATATAGCTAACCAGGGAGGTGAAAGATATCTAAAACAACTACAAAACACTGCTGAAAGAAATAAGAGATGACACAAACAAACAGAAAAGTATTCTATGTCCATGAATAGGAAGAATCAATATTGTTAAAATGGCCATACTGCCCAAAGCAATTTGCAAATTAAATGCTATTTCTACCCAACTACCAACTACATTCTTCACAGAATTAGAAAAAAAAAAGCTATTCTAAAAGTCATATGGAACCAAAAAGAACCCAAATAGCCAAAGCAATCCTAAGCAAAAAGAACAAAACTGAAGGCATTATATTACCCAACTTCAAGCTATACTATAAGGCTACAGTAAACAAAACAGCATGGTACTGACACAAAAACAGACACATAGACCAATGGAATAGCTTAGAGAGCCCAAAAATAAAGCTGCACACTTACAGCCATCTGATCTTTGACAAAGGTGACAAAAATGACCAATGGGAAAAGGATTCACTCAATAAATGGTGCTGGGATAACTGGTTAGCCATATGCAGAAGACTGAAACTGTACCACCTCCTTACACCATATACAAAAATTAACCCAAGATATATTAAAAACTTAAATGTAAAACTTAAAACTATACAAACTCTTTAAGAAAATTTGGAAATATCATTCTAGATATAGGCCCTGGCAAAGATTTTATGAAGATAACAAAAGCAACTGCAACAAAAATTGACAAATGTGACCTATTTATACTAAAGAGCTTCTACACAGCAAAAGAAACCATCAATGGAGTAAACAGACAACCCAAAAAATTGGAGAAAATATTTTCAATGTATGCATCCAACAAAGGTCTAATATCCAGAATCTATAATGAACTTAAATAAATTAACAAGCAAAAACCAAATAATCTTATTAAAAAGTGGGCAAAGGACACGAACAGACACTTCTTTTCAAAAGAAGACATATTCATGACCAAAACACATGAAAAAAATGCTCAACATCACTAATCATTAGAGAAATGTAAATCAAAACCATAATTAGATACCATCTCACACCAGTCAGAATGGCTATTATTAAATGGTCAGATGCTGGTGAGGTTGCAGAAAAAAAAGGAATGCTTATACACTGCTGGTGGGAATGTAAACTAGTTCAGCCACTGTGGAAAGCAGTTTGGTCATTTCTCAAAGAGCTTAAAACAGAATTACCATTTGACCAAACAATCCCATTACCGAGTATATACCCAAAGGAACATAAATTGTTCTAACATAAAGGCACATGCACACACATGTTCATGGCAGCGCTATTCACAATAGCAAAGACATGGCATTGACTTGTATTTCCATCAATGGTAGACTGGATAAAGAAAATGTAGTACATATACACCATGGAATACTGTACATCCATAAAAAAAGAATGAGATAATATCTTTTGCAGCAACAAGGATGGAACTGAAGGCCACTATTCTAAGCACACTAAAACAGGAACAGAAAACCAAACATTAAACTTTCTCACTTATAAGGGGGAGCTACACATTGAGCACACATAGACACAAAGAAGGGGACAATAGAGGCTGGGGCCTATTTGAGGCTAGAAGATGAGAACTGAAAAACTACCTGTCGGATACTACGTTTATCACCTGTGTGACAACATAATATGTACACCAAGCCCCGACGACACTCAATTTGTCTACAGAACCAAGCTGCATATGTACTCTTGAAACTAAACTCAAATTAAAATTAAAAAGCCATGATTTCACTCCATTTTATCTCTAGTTGTATGTCTTATGGGTATATTGGACTAGCTCTAGTGATTGCAACTGTAAATAGGAAGGAAAAATAGTCATCCCCAAAGAGAAACATTATTTTCTCTGTGTGACTAGATGCTGTAAGAAATGTTGCGTTACTTCCAGTGTCTCCAAGCCCACAGTCAGAAATAAATTACCAAAATAAGGGCCAGATGTGTTTCACTATTGCTAGAGTTGATAGCTTTACACTTGAATTCACTTCCAAAGTTCACCTGCATTTTCCTAGGCTCAAGTGACTTCCCTCCTCTAGAACATTCTCAGAAATAAATCATTCATGCCTCCCTTTGAAGCTTTACTGCCCACTGGACAAGCCTCTCTGATCCTGTATCTGCTAAGCTCTCATCCCTGTGTGCCAATTCTCTATTGTTTAACAACCAGCTCCCTCCAGCTTTCCAAATACTTTGTGCTCTCTGGAACTCCAAATCCACACCGAGTACTCCTCAATGCAACTTTATCCCAGTTTTCACATACTTCCTTAACTAAAACCTGGAGGTTTGCTGAGAACACTTCTTCCCCTAAGGCTCTATTAAGCAGAAGTAATAGCCAGCTCCCTCTGTCTTTCCAAATACTTTGTGCTCTCTGGAACTCCAAATCCACATTGACTACTCCTCAATGCAACCTTATCCCAGTTTTCAAATACTTCCTTAACTAAAACCTGGAGGTTTGCTGAGAACACTGCTTCCCCCAGGGCTCTATTAAGCAGAAGTATTTTCCCCCTTGCATAGCCCCATGTATCAGTGTCCTTCTTACTTCCCAATGCCACTTGCATTCTCTAATTTGTTTCTCCCTGTGCAAAACAACAAAGAATAATACAGGGGTTATTCCTAACCCCTGTATGTCTTGACTTGTTTGTCACAAACTGTGAAGGGTCTGGGATTTTACCATATCTGCAGCCCACAAGTTAGCCTGCCACAGTTTTGGGTGTTGGCGGAAGACAGAAGCAGCATGGGCAGGGACAAAAGGTGTTATCTTTCACAGAAACAGTAGTAGCCAGAGTATCAACCTTTTCTGGCTCTGGTTCCTTGAGCTGCAATTCACATAGGCTGACAGAAAAAGTGCCAAGTGACACCATGGGCTACGTTACAGGAGAGGACTCCGACCTTAGAAAGCCTGGTCTTTGATTCCAGACAGTAAATATTGCTGACCTTTGCTCTAAAGAGAAACACTATCTCCAGCTTCCAAAGATTTTTTCTATACAAATGCCCTTGGAAAGGTAGTCTGGAAAAAAAGTGGTCATTGTCTCTGCTCACAAGATGTACAGAAACATGAGAGACCTATGGACAATTTTATTCCAACAGTGTTCACGTCCCTCCTTATGAGTCTCAGGGTTTGGGATCCATATTTTCCTTCTCACACTCACTCCTTCCTGGGCAATTTTATTCATTTTAATGACATTAACTATCAACCACTGATGAACTTATGCTTTGTATCTGCGATATAGACTTCCGAATTCTACATCTATACATTGAGTTGCCTTCATAACCCTTCTAGTTGGATGTCTTATGGGTATATTGGATTCAACATGTCTACAATTAAACTCTTGCCCCTTCCACCCCCGATATCTTGCTCACATAAATATGTGGCAGCTCCTGTGCTGTATATATTGTGTGTGTCCCCCAGATGAATCTGGCACCATTCTCTACACCTTGAGAAACTTACTCTGATGAACAAATACAGAGCTCTCTTACCTTTTGACATCTGGTTAATTTGGTCAATGGGAGCCACAGGCAGAAGACTGAAGGGCAGGAGGGTGGTTTGGTGTTGCTGTTTATTGGTCTGGCTACCTCCGTGTTAGGTAGCCTCTCCTTACATTTGTTCTCCCAGGTTTCTGGTAACCACTCTGTCTGCTTGCCCCTTCTGGTTTGGAGTGGTGTTTCTCTATGTTATTTGCCCAGAGGTACTGCACTGTCCTTCACTGCCTTAAGAAACTCTTCTGGCACTTTTGGACATCATCCCTTTGTGAGATTCTGTTTAAGTAATTCCTTTTGAATGAGCCATCATTTCTGCTTGGATTCTCACTGATACATTCAGCTGTGTACGCCAGAAATGGGGGTGTCATGATTGCTCTCATTTCCCCATATCTCACCCATGACCAAATTACAGAGATTCTGATTCCCAAATGCTTAGCACAGTTGTCTCCTTCTCTCCATCTCCACAACCACTGCCCTTCTCCAAGTTATTATCCTATCTCACCTGGACTGCTGTATGGCCTCCTCACTGGTCTCACAATGTCTATCCTGGCACCTCTTTAACACGATTTTCATACAGTAGTCAACTTACCACTAAATTGCAAACTAGGCCATGCCACTCCCCTGATTGAAACCCCTCACCTGTTCCCCACTTCATTTACTTGGAAATCAGAACCTCAGCATAGTCTACGAGGCTCAGTGTAATCTGACTCCCTTCAGTCACATCTTAGAGCCGTATTCCTTCTCATTATATTTAATGTTCTGTGACCTTTTTTTTTTAAACAAATTTCAAGCATATTCTAATTTCCTCTTTCTTCTATTTGAAAAAGTCTCATTCTGGCTAACTACTACTCTCAAATTCTAGCTTAAATGTTATATTATTAGAGACTTCTACTAATTCTCAAAGTTTGGTCTCTCTGTACAATTTCCCTACTTGCCCCTAGCCTAGCCTTAGGCTATGCAAAGATACAAAGAATTATATAGTTATATTATGGCTGTTGAGAGAGGCGGGCTGGATGTAGGATGGGGAACACACGAAGAGAAAGAAAAGGAAAGAAGAAGCAAAAGAAGGAAACCAGGCAGACGTGAATCAGCTATAAAAAAGAACATAAAGCCAGGCAAGATGCAATTTTAGAAAAAAAGAAATAATAGAGACAATAAACATTATGAGTTAAGAAATGAAGAAGACCATAAATTTATATATTTAATTAATTTAGGGTCTAGGACTGGAGGCAATAACTCTAGTTAGTACTA
This sequence comes from Homo sapiens, assembly GCF_000001405.40. Lineage (NCBI taxonomy): Eukaryota > Metazoa > Chordata > Mammalia > Primates > Hominidae > Homo > Homo sapiens. Next base: position 7,437,495 of record NC_000003.12, on the reverse strand, counting down.
TCTAAAAAACTGAGGCATGTGGTGAGGATGTCTTGGACTGCAGCGGTAGCAGTGAGGATTATCTGTTCCCCACAGAGTCTAGCACAATAAATAACTGATTTATGAGTTAGATTATTTTGTAGAAAGCTAAGTAGGACTTAGTGACAGAGTGGATAGGAGAGAGAAGTGGATAGAGAAAGGAGGGTGCAAAAACATTTTTAAAAATCTACTAAGAGAAGGCACCAAATTTGGAACTTTAAAATTGAACTCACTTAACTCATACAACAGCACTATGAAATAGACTGCACTATCTCACTCTTTTAAAAATAGGAAATAAAAGCTTAAAGTAGAAGAGATAGGCTTTGCAGTTAGTCTCAAATTTTGGTTCTGCCACTTATCAGCTGTGTGGCTAGTTATCTAGAAAACAAAAATGAATAATAAAAGTCATGCTACAGGGTTGGTGTGAAAGGAAATAACAGTTGTAAGGAGTATACATTGGACTTGATGTCTATTGTATCCAAAGAAACCATGAAGTGATCTCCAAAAACTAAAGCAAATAACATATATAAAGAGTGAAATGATGATGATGATGATGATAAAAGACCTGAGGCCAGAATATAGATTCCAAAGTCAACAGAGAAACTGGAAATAAGGGGTATTTCTGCAAGCAAGGAAACAACACAGAAGGTGAGCCCCATGTGTGCCCAAATACTTGACTGACTGCAAAGTTCATAGGCACAGGGGAGGGCCAGAGAAGTCCAGGCTGAAAAAAGCAGAAGTGTGAAATGGCAAGAGTTGGAGAGATATATAAGTAGCTGTAGACTGCAGGAGAGGCAAGTTTGCAGTTTGATTGTAGGTAACTGTCTTCTAGAAAACAGCACAATATTCAGAGGAGCATGACAGAATTCAGAGTTGCTTTAGCCACATCCCGTATCTTTTGATAATGAAAACAGGAAAATTTGTAGCATTAGTTGTTATATAATGAAAAAATGAAGGCTGCAAATCAATGAGCTAAGCCAGAGGTAGACAAAGTATGGCCCACGACATGTTTTTCTATGTCCTACAAACTAAGAATGGCTTTTAAATTTTAAACAATATGGTTAAAAAATAGAAGAAAAAGAAAAGAAGGTAAGACAAAGACTGTATGTGACCCTAATCCTAAACTGTTTATTATCTAGTTCAGAAAAAGTCTGCTGAACCCTAATCTAAGCCTGTTCTTAACAACCTGGAAAAGAAGAAGAAAAAAACTATAAACAAAAAGTTACCAGAAAGAGGGATATAAAGACAACAGTAGAAATAGATGAAATAGAAAACAACACAGACAAGAAAGAAAACAAAGGTTATTTTTATAAGGTTAATAAAATTGATAAGGCCAGATGCAGTGGCTCACGCCTGTAATCCCGGCACTTTGGGAGGCCAAGGCAGGTGGATCACCTGAGCTCAGGAGTTTGAGACCAGCCTGGCCAACATGGTGAAACTTCGTCTCTACTAAAAATACAAAAATTAGTCGGGCATGGCTGGGCCTGGTGGCTCACGCCTGTAATCCCAGCACTTTAAGAAGCCGAGGTGGGTGGATCACAAGGTCAGGAGATGGAGACCATCCTGGCTAACATGGCAAAACCCCATCTTTACTAAAAATACAAAAAAAAAAAAAAAAAAAAAAAAGATGGGTGTGGTGGCGGGCGCCTGTAGTCCCAGCTACTCCAGAGGCTGAGGAAAGAGAATGGCATGAACCCGGCAGGCAGATCTTGCAGTGAGCCAAGATCGTGCCACTGCACTCCAGCCTGGGGGAGAGAGCGAGACTCTGTCTCAAAAAAAAAAAAAAAAAAAAAAAAAACTAGCCGGATGTGGTGGCAAGGGCCTGTAATCCTAGCTACTCGGTAGGCTGAGGCAGGAGAATTTCTTGGAGCCGGGAGGCTGAGGTTGCAGCGAGCTGAGATCGTGCCATTGTACTCCAGCCTGGGTGACAAGAGTGAAACTCCATCTCTAAAAACAAAACAAAAAATTGATAAATCTCTAGGACAAACTAATCAAGAAGTAAAGAAAGAAAATAGAAGGCATAGCTGGGCACAATGGCTCATACCTGTAATCCCAGCACTTTGGGAGGCCACGGTGGGTGGATCTCTTGAGCTCAGGTGTTTGAGATCAGCCTGTGAAAACCCGTCTCTACTAAAAATATAAAAAAACTACCCAGGGGTGGTGGCACACACCTGTAGTCCTAGCTACCAGGGAGGCTAAGGTGGGAGAATTGCTTGAGCCCTGGAAGTCAAGGCCACAGTGAGCCGAGATCAAGGCACTGTACTCCAGCCAAGGCAACAAAGTGAGACACTGTCCCCCGCCCAAAAAAAAAAAGAAAATATAGAGAATGAAGGAAACCTCATCACTACAGATGCAACAGACACTAAATAAATAATAAGAAACATTATGAACAAGTTTTTGCTTGCCAATAAATTAATTTAGGTAAAATGAAAAAAAATTTAAGAGATATAAACTACAAAGCTCACTTAAGAACTAATATATACTCTGAATGTCCTTGTATATGTTAAATAAATTGAATATACATTCGAAAATCTCCCCAGAAAGTAAAGTCCAGGCTCAGATGATTATCTTTGTGAATTCTACTAAATATTTTAAGAATATATAACATTACTAAAATATGCATGAACTCTTTCAGAGAGTAGAAGAGGTGGGGACATTTTCTAACTCATTTTTTTGTGTCCAGCATTAATCTGATACCAATGCCAGAAAAAGACACTACCAGAGAAGAAAACTATAAACCAATACTCATGATTAAAAATAGGTATAATATTCCTTAGCAAAATATTATCCAATGAAATGTAGCATTATATAAAAAATAGATACATCATGATCAGGTATGGTTTATCCTAGGACTGCAAACTTAATATTTGAAAATGAATCAATATACTTTGTGATATCAACTAAAAAATAAAAATAGTATTATCATCTCAACAGATACAAACATATCCTTTGACACATTCATCCATTTGACACATTCACCCATAACAAAACTCAGCAAAGAAAATGGAAAGAAACTCCTTCAACATTATACAGAAAGTCTATAAACATTTGCAAAATCTCTACAGCTGTGATCATATTCACCGATGCCAGACTGATTTACGTTATGATTGGGAACAAAGTAAGGTACTCCCATTATTACTTCTACTCAATATTGTATTAGGAAGTCCTCATCAGTGCAATAAAGCAAGACAAAATGCACTGAAATAAGAAAGCACTGTGTCAGATGATGTGATCATCTATATAAAAATTCTAAGAAATCTACAAATGAGCTACTATAAGTAATAAACATTGAAAATTTATAATATTCAAGGTCTACATACAGAGTTAATTCTATTTCAGTAATGGTAGCGTTAACAATCGAAAAAGAATTACGATGATACTATTTTTACAATGACATGACAACATGAAAAACTTAGGGTTGAATTTAACAAAAATATATACACAATCTATATAATGAAATAAGAAAACAAGAGAGAAATCAAAGATTTAAATAAACAGAGAGGTATATGATGTTGATGAATTTAAAGTCTCCAATATTAAGATGTCCATTTTCTCCATATTGGTATAGAGATTGGATGCAATTGAAATAAAACTGCTGCTTCTCTCATTTGGGTGTGTACTAAAGAATTCACAGATGAGACAGGATGAGAGCATTTTTATCACAATACAGACAAAATTCTATTTTCAATCCCATTTTTTGTAAGCCTTCTACAGATATTCAACATTCCTTAGGGAATATATTTTAGTTGTGTCAATGAATTTGGCATGGATATCTTTTATCAAGAATAGTCCTGGAAGAAAACTGCTCAGCAGAAGAGATTGGAAAAGATACTTGGATCATGACCTATAGAATTACTTATGCTTCAATCACTTTCATGACATCATTCACATTATTTTTCACCATATAACCTTTATACTGAAACAAAGTAAGGCGATATGACAGGATTCACTGGTCTGTCTCACCACATACCCTTCTACCTGGCCTAACAAAAATGACAGGATAGCTTACTGAAGACTCAGTTATTGTGCCAGCTAGTAGACAACACATTGCAAAGTGGGGACAACATCCCACAAGAGGTGGTATGTGCTTTTAACAGGAACCAATATATAGTGCTGTTTCTCCATCAGAAAGAACACGGAGCTCTGGGAAGGAATGGAAGTGTAAACACGTGCATCACTATTATGCCAAATAACTCATGTGCAAACACAATGTTTTCCATGGGTGCACCTTTGATCTCTGCTTATGTAGACTTCTTGATTCTCAAGATAAGAATGTTTGAACCAGGCTACATAAAAATGATTCCAGTGAACTGGAAGATGAGACTGCCACCTGGCCATAATAAAATATTCTCTTTGTCTTCAGAGTCATGCATTTTCACCATTATTGTGTCCATAGAAGGTTTCTTCCTTCCTCTCTACTTTCCTTCTTTATTTTTTAATTCTGGTTGGCATAGTCTGGCTTTCCTTGATCTATGGATTATTGTCTTTCTTCAGTTGTGAAAATTCTTCAGTCATTATCTGTTTATAAATTCCTTCTTTTCCATTCTCATTATTCACTTCTGGGATCCAGGGCTGATTAGTGTTGCATTAACTCCCTTATCCTCCATACACTTCCATATTTGCTGTCCTTTATTGTCCTGTGCTGCATTTTCTTTCAGATATATGTTCCAGTTCAAGCATTCTCTCTTTGACTGTGTCTAATCTTTTTTAACCCATCCATTCAGTGTTTTATCATTTTTGATAGCCTTCGTTTGATAGAACACATTGGTAGGATTCCACATTTATTCATCTATTTCATGCATGGTTTTATTCTAAATCTATTATTTCTATTTTTTTTTTTTTTAAACTAGATGCCCGGCTGGGCATGGTGGCTCACATCTGTAATCCTAGCACTTTGGGAGGCACAGGCGGGAAGATTGCCTGAGGTTAGGAGTTTGAGACCAGCCTGGCTAACATGGTAAAACCTCATCTCTACTAAAAATACAAAAAGTTAGCAGGGCGTGGTGGCACATGCCTGTAGTCCCAGCTACTCGGGAGGCTGAGGCAGGAGAATCACTTGAACCCAGGAGGCAGAGGTTGCAGTGAGCCAAGATTGTGCCACTGCACTCCAGCCTGGGCAACAGAGCAAGAATCGGTTTCCAAAACAAACAAACAAAAACAACTAGATGCCTTGGTTTACTTACATATATTATGTTTGTTTACACTGGCGTTCACTCCTAGTGTTTTCTTTGCGTTTTATCAGCTTTAATTATCAGGTAATAAGGGTTGATTAATTTTAATTTAAAATTTTTGACTCAGGCCTAAAGAAGACATTCTTTTCTTGAAAATAATTCCTGCTGGAATCCAGAAGGCAAAACCCACCTGCTGCTACTTTATTTCTCCCAAAGCAGTTCCAGCTTCATGCTTGAGTCTCAGATTTAGCAACTCTACCTTGTAGCTTGTTCGGGGCCCTTTGGAGTATCTGGGAAGCCACACTGCTCAAAGTCAAGTCAGTCCCCTAACCTAACTTTATGGCCCATCAGGCTTCTTCTCAGGACTAAAGAAAAATAAAAAAACATCCTGCTAGGTATTTAAACCTTAATAGTTAGCATTTGAATGCATATTTATTTCTCTACAACGGAGTCTACATATTGCTCCACATACATCTGTTGGTACTCCCATAACTACCAAATTCAGGTTGTCCAATATTCATAGAGTGTACTGCGGTGAACAACAGTTCACATTCATGCAATGTTTTCTACACTCCCAAAACTGTCCTCACCACGTTACATTCATTATCTCACTTAATGAAATAACCATCCAATGAGGTGTTTGCTATTACTATTATTGACCCTTTATGGGCAAGAAAACTGAGACTTGATTTAAATAACTTACCCAAAGTTATACAGATAACAAGTGGCTAGTCAAGTTACCGAACTCCAGCTGTTTGGCTCTCAGTCCAATGTGTGAATATTTTTAATAGAAGTACATTCTGCATACAGCGTATGCCGTTCAGAAGTGAACTGTTTAATCAGTTTTGACAAATACATATCAATATGAAGAATATTTCATCCCCCAGAAATCTCCCCCCACTAAGAAGGAACTATTGCTTTGTTATCTAGCACTATAAATTAGTTTTGTCTATTCAAGACTTTCAAATAAATAGGATCATACAATATGTAGGTTGGGGGTCTGGATTCTTTCACTCAGACAAAAATTTTTGAGATTTATTCATTTTGTTGCATATATCAACAATCCATTCTTTTTTTAAATGATAGATATTATTCTACTGATTGTACAGACTAGAGTTTGATAATTCACTTTCTTTTTGATGCACATCTGGGTGATTTCCAGTTTGGGGTACGTGTGTCAAGTTAGCCCGACATAGTTTCATGAGTGCCGGCTGAAGATGTGGAACCCCTGGTTCAGAGCCAAGCACGGCAACAAGCACAGTCATTATGTTCGCACTGGGCCCCTCCCCACAACTCCCTCAAGTCCAGTGGGGGTAATGCAGAGTGGTCTAGGTGGATGCAGAAGGCATAATGGGTCTGTGTTACATCAGTCAAACTCTGGGCTTCAGAAACTCAAATCTTTTATAAAGGACTTTAAGCAAGCCTATTTGACCTTTGCTCCAGAGAGGATATTATCTTTATTATATTTGTTAGTAAGCAAACTTCCCTATACTCCATAGGGATACCCTATCTGTATCTTCTGAGACTATTTGCTACAGAAACATCTCGAAAAGATAATCAGTGCTTCTATTTGCAAAATAAGCAGAAACAAGAGAGGCCAATGGAGGACTGTCCCCCCAACTGGGCTATTATGAATAAGCCGATGTGAACATTTCTGCACAAGAGTTTTGTAGACATATGTTTTCATTTCTCTTGGATAAATGCTTAGGAGTAGAGCTGTATAGCACAGATCGGTATGTGCCTAACTTCTAAAGAAGTGTTCTAAAGTACTTATAGCATTTACATTCTAACAGCGACGCATAAAGTGCTGGCTCCTCCATATCTTCTCTGATGTTAGATGTTATCTATATTTTTCATTTTATGTCTGTGTAGTAGAATTTCATTGTGGTTTAATTTGGATTTCTCTGGTGAATTACAACAATGAACATTTTTCTTGTATGCCTACTGGCCCATTGTATGAAATCTAACAGCTCTCCTTGCCAAACATCTTAGAAGCTGAACATCCCAGGTGACCTCAATTTTCCACTGGAAGAACACAGAAGTTCAGAAGGCCACAGGAATATGGCCAAAATCTACTTATTTATTCAAAAAAGATTCTATAGGCTGCAACCATTAAATTATACTTTATAAGATCACAACTACTTCCAAGTAGTTTTTCATTTTTAATTTTATATTTACTTATTTATTTGAGATAAGGTCTCTCTATAGTATCCATGCTGGCCTTGAATTTCTGGGCTCAAAGTAATCCTGTCTCAGCCTCTGAGTAGCTGGAACTACAGGCATGCACCACCATGCCCATCTCACTACTTCCAAGTTGTAAACTGCAGCTAATTCTGTGCCATTTAATACATATTTTAAGGAGCCAGTTAGAGCATAATTTTTCTTTTGTGGTTTCTAAATGAGCTAAAGGAAACAGCTTATAAGATGTTTAAATCGTATTTCCCTAAGGGTTTAAACTTTTTACAAGGAAAAATTAGGCATTGCTTATGTTTTATTTTTAAATTGTGTTAACTCTTTAATGCCAGGGAGATGCCACTTCTATGTATAATTGTTTATTATTTACAAGAGTAGAGTAAAATACTTTGGTTCAAATTCCAGTGCTGCCAGATGCTAGCCAAGTGACTTTTCGGCAAGCCACTTAACAAACCTCCGAGAACTTTACTTTTATCTTTCTTTGTAGTCGATTGTAAATATTACCAGCTCTGCCAACTCTACTGAGTTGTAGGGAGGATCAAATGACACAGGGGTATTAAAAACAATTTGAAGACTCTCAAGTGCATCTCATAAAAAAGATAAATCTATACCCAAACATATGGAAAAATATTCAACCTTGCAAGTTTTCCAAGAAATACAAATCAAAATAGAGATAACATTTTAGTAGTTTTGCCAATGGCTGAATAAATTAGTAGAGTGCTTTCAGAAAACGGCTTAGCAATATATTTCAATTGTCCAAAAATGTTTGTACTCTGAATCAGTAATGATAAAAATAGGTAATGTGCATTTTATTGTCATTTACCACAGGCTTCCTATGTCAGGCATTGGACTAAGCACTTTACATGTAGTAACTCATTTAGTGCTTCTCCTTAAAACATAAAACAAAACAAAAAAAAACAAAACTCTATCATCATTATTATTATCGTCAACATTTTAGAAATTAGAAAACAGGCACAGAGATGCAAAGTCACTTGTGTCAGGCTTCATAGCTAATGAGGCAGGAATTGAAATTGATTTAAGGCAACTTAGTTTCCAAGTCTTTGTTCTTTACTACTCCATTTAACAACTTCTAGAAATGCATCCCAAGAAAGCAATTCCCCTCAAAAAGAAGAAGCAAGAGCTACTGAGTTATGTCCTGATGTGTTTTAAACATACCTGCAAACTTCATAAATAATTTTAGTGAAATTTCTGCAAACGATAGGATACGAAGTCACTGGCTTATCATATAATATTTTAATGAAGAAAATTAACAACAGATATAGTGTGTATGTTTCATAAGATAAAAAATACAGTTTAAAGGTACCTGAATTTCTTATTATTATTCTGGGGTCACAGAATTACCAGAATTGGGGGTTCTGCCTGTGCTAGCATTGTAAGTTCTCCCCTTTTGTGCTGAAGTGTATAGAAATCATTAGGACAAGTAGTTATTGGACACCTTATGTCTGACTGTGTGGCTGTTAAGGACCACACAGGACTATAAATGGTAGGCAAACATCTTCCCATGAGTGACAAGACCAGGACCACAACCCAAGTGATATCATGAGCAGTTCTTTCTTTTCATGAGTAAGCACTCATGAATGTACACTTTTCAAGAGTAAGCACTCATTAATAGTACAGAGTGAATGAGATCTCATTCACCATTTTAATGAAAGAACACACACTATTGTGTTGAAATCACAAGAACATTAAAAGCAGGTGAACAATCAAACAGGCTGTCCCAGGAGAAAAAAAGTTGAGCCACAGTTAGGCACTCTCCCAGATTTACGACCTCTGCAAATTTTCTCCACCAGAGAAGTGAAAGCTCTTTTTCAAGGACAGTCTTTTCTTTGCCCACATTCTTTCCCTACACTTGGATAACAAAATAACTAGTCATTGAATGGCAGAGACACACTCCTTGGTGGACCAACTCAAAAAAGCACAAAGCCTAGAGTAATGAGCTCCTTTTAGAAACAATGGTATAAGCTCCTTTCAGAAACCCGTGTTTTCTGTCCCAAAACACAGAAGCCTACAGACATATAGGTCACTCCGTATCTTTTCTTTGCTTCTGTAGTGGCTGGTGCTGGGTCCTAAATGTTTTGCACATCATTTTCCCTATGAGGGGTCTCAACCCAGGTGGACAGTTTGGAACAAAAGAAACAAAAAGAAACATAAGGTTTTGAAGTCTGCCAGACCTTGTTTTGGATTCTGGCTCTGCCATTTTCTAATCAGCGACTGACCATGAGCCTGTCATGTCATTAACCTCGCTGACCCTGAGCTGCCATTTTGTGCTGTGTGACCTTGTGCAGATTGCTATGTCTTCCTGCGCTTCCATTTACTCACTTATAAAATAGCAAAAATGATCTCAGAGGGGAGTAAAAAAGATCAATTGGGGTTTTACCTTTCTCAACTAAAACTGGTGGATAAAAGTGGGACTTTTGAAGATCACTATCATCTGTGCAAAGTGCTCAAGTGAGTGACCAATGCATAGCAAAGTGTTCAACAAATATTGCTTACTGTACTTTTTAAAAAGATGGACAAAATTAAAATCTTCAGTGTAAAACTTCCAAAAATATAAAAATTTTTATTTATTTCGATTTGTATTCACCTACAGGAATAGGTATTTGCAGGAAGAGACATCATCATTTAAGAAAGTACCCAGTAAGCATGGGTTATTTTATTATTTTTACTATTAGGGTTTTAACCCTTTATGCAATTTCTTCTTCATAACACATAAAATGCAATAATTCTTCATAACATAAGAGCATAAGAGCATAACATAAGAGCACTGAACGTAACAATGATCAATGCAGAGAAGATGTGGTCAAAGCTGAGAGACCAATACATTTCTTAGTTCTCTATTCCTGTCAATTCATTTTAAAGAACAAATGGCTAATATATTACAGTTTATTGAATTTTGGGATTTTCACATTTTTCCTTAAAGTGGGAACACTTGTCAATTCAAATATATGCAGATGTTGCTAATTTCCTTTTGTGTCTTGTGGAAAACAACATAATGGGCTTCTGAAACATTTATCACATGCAGCCCAAAAGATCCTACAAAGTCTCTGATTCAATCCATTTGCCCAGGATAGTCTTCCAGCAAAAGATGCTGCTTCAGTGTTCTAAGTGCAGCAAGCTGAGCACCTTTAGGGAAACACAAGCACAAATCATCTCCTTCTTCTCCTCCAATCTGATCAATTGCATTGAAATGTTTTATGCAAAGCAGATTTTTGGTTTTAAGCCTGGAAAGTAAAATTAGTAGTTTCTCAACAACCACTTGTAGTTCCAAAACAAGTAGTTCCTCAACAACTACTTGTTAAACTCCTACTGTAAGCCTGATACTGGCCTAGGGCTGGGGATGTGAAGATGGGGATCCACAGATATGTGAGCAGCTGGTTTTATGGAGCTTGAAGCCAAGTACGAGAGAGACATTCACCTCATATGCACACTGAGGAGCACAGTGTCACAAACAGGCAAGTGTCTCTCAGAAGGACAGGAAGGTGGCAGAGCAGACAGTAAAGAACCTGCCCTAGATCGTGATGGGAGCTTCAGTGGAGACTCCCTTAAAGAGGTGACACTGAGATGTGAAGAGTGAGTGATTGTCAAAAGTTGTATTGGGGGAAAAAAAAAATCCAGGCAGAGAAACAGCATATACAAAGGCCCTGTGGCAAGAAAAATGCAGACACCTCTAGAGAACTAGAACATCAGAGTCCCAGGAGTATGAGATAGGGCCTTGCTACCAGGTGCCCTACAGACCATGCTGAGGTTTTAGTCTTGTAGAAACCTGACCAACATAGAGAAACCCTGTCTCTACTAAAAATACAAAATTAGCAGGGCGTGGTGGCGCATGCCTGTAATCCCAGCTACTCGGGAGGCTGAGGCAAGAGAATCACTTGAACCCGGGAGACAGAGGTTGTGGTGAGCCGAGATCGCACCATTGCATTCCAGCCTGGGAAACAAGAGCAAAACTCCATCTCAAAAAAAAAAGAAAAAGAAAAAGAAAGAAAGAAAGAAAGAACGTATGATATGGCCACTGAAATGTCTTAAATGTTGAGGAATTAGTTTTACATGTTAAAAATAGCACCAATCTATACTTTTAGTGCCTCTTAAAGCTCAGTAACACTTATTTGGCAATCTCAAAACTCATCCAAGGAAAGAAAGAATCTATTGATATATACTCGGTGCTGGAAGCGTGATTTATAGTCATGTTAACAGCCACACAGGCAGACATTAGAAGTCCAATAACTACTTGTCATAGTGATTTCTGTACACTTCAGCACAAAAGGAGAACCATTTCAGCTTGGTTCTTGGCATCTTTTTCTTTGTATTCTTTTTTGTATTTTTTTAAATTTAATTTTAAAATGTAACTATTTATTATAAACTTGACCAGAACCTGTGTGTAACCATTGCATTTTTTCTCTAATAAAAAAGCAATAGCATCTTGTAATCCAACATTTTCCTTCCATAGTAAATTGCCCACTTCTGCCAGTGTGTTGGACCACTTTGGTAGCTCAATTTACAACTGCTACTCCAAAAGTCCTTTGAGTTTCTTAAAGGTATTATTTTGTACCACCTTGGTTTCACACTATTTCAGTCTCCACCATCTGCTTTAACAAGGCTGCCGACTTGTGTTTGGCCTACCCTAAATGGACAGAAGGTCCCAAGCAAATGAGATATATTCAGAGAGAATTTTATAGTCAGGGCTACAATTCCCTCTTGTGTAACTATGCTGCCTCTGAACAAGGAGTTTGAGCTCTGTCTTTTCTCTTTGTACAGACTGCTAGCTTTTTATCATTATAACAAAGTTTGAACATAAACTGGAAAATACTGCCCTATTTTAATTTCAAGAAAGGAGAAAAGAAACAAGGTCAGCTCACTTCTCCACTACAGCTGTTTATCAGTGCGGACCAAAAGGGATCAATCCAGGATCATTATCAAACATGTTCTACTACGAGCCCTTATGTGCCTGGGTGTCACAGACTGAGGAAATTGCTATAGAAGCAAAACTACGAAGTTACCGAAAAATGAGAAAGTATCTATTTGTGTTCAGTTTTCCAAGGGTCTTGGGAGGCAACTAGGCATGAGAGGAGAAACAGCATAGGGAGAAATAAGCTCTATGTACCATTGGGTTGATCCATCTGAACCACAATTTCATCACGTGTATAATGGAAATAATAACCTCTCATGGACAGTCAGGGCTGTTGTGATCATCTCTGCTGACTACACATTCCTGGAAAAATTGTCTACTGTTATTTTCTAGCTCAGCGTCTTACTTGTTTCTTTCACAGCACTAATCACAACTTGTAATTATTTTCCATATCTGCTTTTGGTTTTCTTTCTGCCTCCTGTACTGGAATAAAAGCTCCCTGAAAGCAAAGACCTTGCCTGTGTTCTCTGGCTCAGCACAGAAACTGGCCCAGTGCAGCTCACTTGTCATTCACTTGTTGAGTAATTAAATGAGTGACAGAGTACATGATTAAATGAGTGTATGTACTTAGTTGTTGAGATTATTAAATTTTTCTCGTTGGTAGCTATACTCTCAGAGAAGTCACAAAGTGTCTCCAAGGTTCTGGTCTTTTGTATTAACCTGTAAAAACAGGGCATTACTTACCCTGACTATCTCACAAGGCTGATATGGGGATCAACTAGAATAACGTAAACACATACAAGTTTTTGTTATGTGCCTAGCATGATATAAGGCAACAGGTATTTAAGGTAAAGGAAGAATAATGCTTTATATGAAAATAAAGGAAAGATGGGCTACTTAAGTCATGGAGGAGCCCTGACTTTTCTTTTTTCTTTTTCCTTTTTTTTTTGGTTTTAAACGAAGGCCAAAAGTAGGATCAATCACCACTATCAACAAAGACAACCACAACAATGGCACCTAAACCGGTTGAGCGCCCTCTATCCCTACCAGGTATTGCTCTATTTAATTCTTGTGAATGAGCCCATATAGTAGGGACTGTTGTTATCCCTCCTTTACAGATGAGGGGATGGGAAAGGCCGTTGGGAATGTCTGAGTAACTTGCCCATGGTGACACAGTAACAGAAACAGCTGGGATTCAAACCCAGGGAATCTGACTCAAGTCTTAACTTCTTTTATGAACAAATTAGTGAGACTGAAGCAGGCAGCTTGAATATTGTGTTTCTACAGCAGTGAGGCTGTACTTAAAGCCAGCACCCAGCTTTCAGTGCCCAGGATGGTAAACAATAAATACTATTTAAAGATGAGAATGAAAAAATTAGCAGCCTCCATATGTGTTCGCCCACATACCTGGATCTCCTCTTCACAGAATCAGGGGGACAAAGTTAGAATAGCTCTAGAAAGTTTTTATCTGGAGATATATATATAGTTGATATTTATTTTGTGATCACATTTTATTCTGTAGAAAAATAAATATGATGCTATACATCCCATAAAAACCTAAAATGCTTTTTGTATCCATATTTCTCTTTGGTGGGTGGGGGTGGGGGGCAGAAAGCCTCTATTACTAGAAACTCTTCTAAGGAAGGCTATATTCTACTGTAACTTGCTTGATGATACTTGATAAGTCATTCCACAACCCTTTCTTCTACCTACTAAAATGACTCTAAGCATCCGATTTATAATACTTCTATTGCTTATAAGGGCACTTTGTTTACGAGAATTGTTGCTGAGAAGATGCATATGAATTAATTTCCCTAGTTCAGGAATTCCTTCTCATTAACAGGCAAGCCTGACAGACTTTCTGAATATGGAAAGGCCATAACTCCCAATTTTAAAGACGTTGCCTGTTGGAGTTAATGAGAAAGAAATGACACACAGCTCAAATAATTATGGCTTCTAGCATTTATGGAAAGAGCTTTGCCTGAATACTCCCGGGATTTCAAGTTGGTGTTTCACTGTTTGGCTTGCTTCTGCACAGAATTAAACACAGTTGCTATGGGTGACTTAAAGTGCTGTATGGTAGGAAAAAAACTGAGGGAGTGTGCTCTGAATTAAAATGGCATTCAGTAGAGACCCCTTTTTATGCTTTGAAGAGTTGGTGGCTGAAGGAAAAATTTATTTACTGCAGGGTCCATCTATACACCTCTATTTCATAAGGCTGAAGATATTCAGCCTCCACTTGGGCATCTGGTCAAGATTTGGGAAAATGAGGTTTGTGAGTAAAATCAAAGATCTGGGTTGCCATCCATCTACTTTGCTTGTACTTCGGTTAGTGTCATATGGTAATATTCTAACATATTAATATATCAACAAATGTGCCTTTTATTTCCTCTCCACCATTTATTTTCTAACCATGGTAGTTTCAGAACTCTTCTTCATTGCTTTTGGGAAGGATGGTTATAATAAAACACAGAAGAACAATGGAAGTAAAAAAGAAAATAATAATAATAAATAAAGGACTGACCTTTGTGTTCTAAAAGCCAGTGTTATATGGTCAGTACTTGGCTCTGTGCTTCAAAAATACTGAAGTATTAAGGACATGAAACATATGCCATATACAAAAAATAATGGAAGGATATGAATGGATCTAAATTAGTCTCCTCGCCCAGCCTGTAATCAAGACATTCAGGAGTGACAGATGAGAAGGGAGAAACTAACGGGATATGTAAAAGTTAAATGCTGGTATAAGCTCCTGAAGAGCTCCTAGGCTCTGCAGAGCCGGTCAGTACAGTTGCCACTAGGCACATGTGGCTGTTTACGTTTTAAATAATTTTAAAAGTCAGCTCCTTAGTTGCATTAGTCATGTTTCAAATGCTCAGTAGTCAGAAAATAAAATATGTCCGTCATTGTAAAAGGTTCCATTGGTCAACGCTGGTCTAAAGCAAGGGATCATTTGTTTATTGTCCATTTGTTTACATATATTGTGGTTGCCTTGTGTTATGGGAACAGAGTAGTTGTGTCAGAAACAGCCTGACCCATAATGCCTAAAATATTTACTACCTGCCCTTGAGAGGAAAAGTTCACTGCCCTGATCTAAAGGGATAGAACACTGAGCAAAAGTTTACTGCTATGGCCCTGTTTTTTGAGTGTTTGAGGCAAGGTCTCACTCTGTCACCTAGGCTAGAGTGCAGTGGCATGATCACAGCTCACTGCAGCCTCAACTACCTGGGCTCAAGTGATCCTCCCACCTCAGCCTCCCAATGTAAGCAGCTGGGACCACAGATGTGTGTCACCACTTCTGGCTATTTTTTTTTTTTTTTTTTTTTTTTTACTGTTTGTAGAGACAGGGTCTTGCTATGTTGCCTGGGATTTGGCCCTATTTTTTAAAAATACAGTATTAAAAATGTATTTTACTCCTTTAAAACAAAAACGAAAACAAAAAACTGAAGAGCTCCTAGGCTCTAGAACCTCCAGCAACCATGGTCACAGGAAGGACCTGGAGTCATCAAAACCACAGTTGTACCTGGAGAAGCCCTGAGGTCAGGACCAAGAGTCCATGCTGCAGTAGCCTTCACATCTTCACTACTAAGGGCAGGAATGGACAAGGTGCATTCCTGAAGATGGATTCATGGCTAGTGAAAAATCATGCACGCCGAAGGATCAGAGCAAAGCCTCACAAATAATTTTCAAGTCCTGGGCTTTAAAAAAAAATCTCTTTGTAACTAAGGTCCAGGCCTGTGGACCATGTGGGATAAGGGGTTTTAAAAAGATTGAATTTCTACAAAACAATAGGATGGAGATTTGAAAAACAAAGTGAAGTTATAGAAAACAACCAAAAGTTCATTTTTTTGCACTAGCAATTTTATGATCTGAGATTTGTACCTATTACAATACACAACCATACAGAAGGCTATGCTAATTATTGCCCTCAGAATCAAGCATTGCCTAATCATCTTGCTTATCTTCTGTCAGATTTATCCAGTGGAATAATTGGCAATTAACATAGGTGGCGCTATGCTTCCCTTGAAAAGAGGTTAAATTTTTGTTCTTAAATGCCTTTACAAAATTTATTGATTTTTAAATAATACAAGAAGATAAACTTTCATATTTAAGTGACTTAAAAGCAAACCCATAGAGTTAGCATGACACTTACTATGATTTAATGTTACACTAAAGTCTATTTTTAACAATTACACATGAAAAACTGAAGTCTAGAAATATAATTACCTTTTATGGGCATGGCATTTTTATTCAATACCTTACATTCCAAAAAGGATTTAAAGAGGTGTCCCAAAAACAATGAGGATTTTAGATGTGACATTCAGACCATTTTAACTTGAAGAATCCTATATTAATTGGTATTCCATGTATCTAAATGTTATTAGCAAACTTACCCAAACAGTTGCTAGAGAATGCCTTACTAAATCCTCAAAGTTATATACCTTAGCCTTTCTGTAAGGATTTAGTATTTAACATTCATTTTTAAATAAATGAATTAATTAACCAGCAAAGATTCTTAATAATTTGATACATTTCCAGTTCCCACAATTAGAAACAAGCCATTTATAGAGGTAGGTAGGGGAAGATTTAAGGGTGATGGAAGCAAGAGAGATGTCAACCAAGACTCCGATATTTAGAGATGAGTCAGAGAACCAAAAATTTAACAAAGAACCACATTAACACATAATCCTATGCATGCTCACAGAGATGAAATCATCATTAATCTGTGGCAAGCCTCTGTTTAAGAAAGCACAAAGGTGTAAAAATGCATTTGACATTGCTTCTCATCAAAACGGTTTCAAAAAAAGTCTTAGAGTACCAAAGAGTTAGACACTATTTATCTATAACATTTTGTTGTGGATTCCTCAATCATGTTAAGTAAATTAGGTGCTGCAATAAAACATCTTTGTGACAATTAAAGGTCAATTCAGAATAGAATAATAAAATGACAGTGAGTATAAAAAAACTAATCAGTATAATCATCAATTATTTCTGCACATATATTCTGAGCACTTGACTTTAAGCGTAATTCCTTTGTCTTGACAGTCTTGTTAACGAATTATATAGGCTCTAATGAGCCTGGGTCCTGGTAAAAATAAAAGACTTAAGAAATACATGGTTTATTCATTAACAGCGTTTATCAACAGGCTTTTTGTTAGCTCCACTGAAAAGAGGACTTAAACTATTAGCTCTGAGAAGTGAGGTGTAAAGAAAAACACAGCTTAAGAATTCTGACCTTCCAAAATGTAGACATTTATCAGAGTACGCTCTTTAGCCCTTGATATCTTTCCACAGTAAACAGGGGCTGATTAGGGACACAAATCAAAACTGAATTTGCTTATTGTGTGACTTGAAAGCACTAGCAATGAAATATGAAGGCTTGTTACAAAAAATATATGTCACCAATTTATTCATCTTCTGTCATCGCGAAAGAAAAACAAATCTCTGAATGTTAAATTGTCCCATCATCAGATGATGGATTTGTAAATGCTGAGTTCCTGCTTTTCAGCAAGGAGGTAACTCTAATGAATCAGTATTCACCAAGTGGTATTTCATAGAACAGTGATATTAGTTAGACAAATGTTCTGGGTAAGTCACGAGTTATGACTGATAAGCCATAAGATGTTGCCCAGTCATAGGCAAACATATTCAGGTTCTCAGAACCTCCTTCTGAGTTTAAAAAATGCATTTGGGAGCTAAGATATTTGATGCTATTAGACATGTAAGGATACAGCTTCTCGGAAGAAGATGAGCAAATGTTGGGATATGAGATGTTGAGTGTTACACTCTTGGGGATGCCATTAGCTATGTAAGGACACAGCTCCTCAGGAGAAAATGAGAAAACTTTGGGATATGATGCTCTCTATAATGCACAGTGTGTGTCCAAATGTCACTGGGCCTTGGATACACACTCTGTGTCCAAATGTCATTGGGCCTTGGACACACACTCTGTGTTAAAGCACCGAAATTTCTTAAGCCTTGCGCTTCATGTTTCACTCATAGCATAACATTGCATGACGCCTGTCTGCAAACTCTTTGATACTCAATATATCACCCTATATAGTGTGCACCCCAGTAAAAATTCTTGTCTATACTTACGTACTTGTTTTCTGATTGGAGTTGATATACATCCTGATCTCTAAGGACTGACACAGACAAAAAGATCTTCATGAATTCCTCACAGGCCACTGAATTCAGCCCAGAAGAGCAGAAAATTTCCATTGTTAGCTACGACTATGTGCTAGTAAAATTTCAGACCCTTTATTTAAATTAACTGATTTAATCCACTCAACAATTTTGAATGTAAGGTTTTACTATTCTCACTTCAAAAATAAGAAATGGCTTTGAGAGGTTAAAAACATGTTATCCAAGCTCTCACAGGCATGTGTGGTTATGGATGTCCTTAGAACAGAAGCTTAGATCTTTTTGATTCCAAAACCAATGGTTTCTTAACCACTGTGGTATAATGTTCCTGACCCCAAGATGGCCTCAATCTCTTTTTGCAGAGATGTCACTTCATTTGTGTAATGTTCCTTCTTTCATTGACCCTTAGTATCTCCATTGAAACATATTATTCCCAAAGAGGTCATACTCTAAACTGGTCTTTGTGCCAGCAGCATCCTGGCAAGTCTCAAGGGTGAACACACTCAGCTGGTGGGCTGTGGGTAGGGGAACATAAATACAACGCAGAAAAAAATCACATCTGATCTTTCTGCCTGCAAATGAAAATGGTATGTGGTAAACTCTCTAGAAGAGATGACTATGTGTATATCTAGCATTGTCTCCATGAGAAAACATAGCTCTTCTATGAAGCAGCATGAATGGCATTAATCCTGTCAAATGGAAGTTGTGTTTTCTGTGATAGCTTGGACAACCACATACTTGCTGAACTGCATTTCACGCTGAGTGATTACACCCAATATATCCCATGAGCAGGATGGCTCACTGCGAATGCCTGATCTATATCAACGGTTATTAGGCTACTCTGAAGGAAGGTAAGAGGAAGAATGTCTAGCTCTCAGATTGTCACATCTTGGGATTTGGTATCAAGGAAAGTGGAAATGTTCTTGAAATACTAAAGAATGCGGTAAGATCCCTTTCTTTAAGACTTTAGGTGGACATGGATAATTTACAGAAATAAAGATTACATAGTTGTTCAGGTCATTTTCTATAAGAATTCATGCACATCTAGCCCCAAGTAAAATTATGAAGTATGAACAGCTTATCTCATGTTTCTTAATGAATATTTTTCAATAATTATTATTCCTCTCATGACTTTGCATTTTCTTGTGATTTTAGAACTCATTGCTATACTCTGACCTCAGTAATTTGCTCTCTCCAAATAGTATGGGTCTCATCCCTCATCTTTAAAACTTGTCAAATGGCTGATTCAGTGTTGGTCTACTTGCAGCTAATATATAACAAATATTGTTTAGTATGGCTAAGGAGGCTACCCAGCCCAAAAGAAAAAAAAATGGCCTACATTTTAATTTGTGCTCACATCTTAAGAGTGAATGTTATATTAATAAGACTTCCTTTTTCTTTAGCAGAGCCAAGTCACAGAGAGAGCTCTGTGAAGGGGGCTATGTTCTACAGTCCTCAGATAAAAACATTCATTGTATTCACAGCGCAGATCTTCAGTGTCAGACTACTCAGCTAGCCTGCTCATCTGGGTGCCCTTTCTAACATGCCTGTTCTAGTGTTTTAAAATCTAGTCACCAAAGCATGCAACCAGGTTACCTTTCCCACTGATTCTTCACTTCCAAATTGAAGTATACTTACATGTAAAGATTTTTTAAATAGTATTTTTTGGAATACTATCAAAGAAAGATGTACATATGGTTGGATTTGGAAAAAGGAAGGACAAGGAAAACAAACAAAATATGACCACCATATCAATAGGTGGAAGAGTAAGAGATACGGTAATGGTAACAGTATCTACCTCCATTCCATATGGTACAGCTCATCACAAAGAAAGTGATGAGGAAGGAAAAAGGAAGGTGAGAATATACGAATATTTTGGGTACACTTATAATTTAGTGAATGTGATTATAAATATTCACATGGAAGAAACATATTAGTTAGGAAGACACAAACACTTCTATTTCCATTTTTGTAAGGTAGAGGCTTGCATAATGACCTTACTAGTTTGTATAAGCCCAAATTCTCAATGATCAGCCTGAAGCATGGCTCCACATAAAACAGCCTGTGTTTAAGCTCATAGAAGTCAGAGGTGTGGCCTCAGAGTGGGACAATCCTAACGTCCATCAACCGATTCCACCTTCCAGACACTCTACAGAACACAAAATGTCAGAAAGAACCCAGGAAAACTGTCTTCAATCATCTACATACTTCCGGTGCACTTGAATGTACCCTGTCATAGAGACAAATTATCCAGATGTCAAGCTAATTTTTTTCAGTTTCCACTTGAAAGCTTTGTGTCGCCTAGGTCTAGTCAATATTAAATTAATATTTTCCCTTTTCCCCCACTATTCTAGGGACCATATCTCAGAACTATTGTTATATAGCATGATCTGGAGAATGTGGTGAATCCGATAGTCCAGTTGACTGAATGATACCTTTAATATATGCATCATACTTATTTTATATCATTATTGTTATTCATGTTTCTGGTCATATGTTGTACATTTCTCCTTTTTCACAGAAAACTTCTTGAGACTACATTTAAGCACCCCCAAAGACTTCATGGTGTTCCTGATACCATGTATTACCTGATTAACAGATGATGGTTGAGTGGATTAATCTACAACATGTGGGTGACCGGTATTCAAACAGCTACATTACAAAGAGAGACTAGAGGCAGAACTGTGTCCCACATGAATGTGTCTTTCTTGATCATATATAAAACATTTAGCCTTATTACATTAGTATACCTGAAGGTCATCACTACAAATTGTAAAGGCTGATGTTTAAAGAGGTCTAGTTGATAAGATGGTAGATCATGTCATCCGCTTGTGTAACACCCTTCCATGGTTACCACTGCTCTTAGGATAAAAGCCAAGTCCCACGTACATCCTAAAATGACTTAGTTCTGGACCATCTCTCTACACCTGCAGCCTTGGCTCACACATTCTCTCTGTTCTGTGTACTTCAGTCATGTTTTTTCTGTTTTTCACAACCTCAGAAACACAAAAACTCCTCCTACTGCAAGCCATTTACCGTGTTTAATCAGAATTCTCCAACCTATTTTCCTTCCCTAACCAGCCAATGTCCATTTCTTCATTTTATCTTGACTCAAGCATCATTCTCCCAAAAGGGTCTTTTGAGACAGCTTCTACCTTCAACATTAGTAAACTTCCTTAGTTATATGCCCTCATAACACTCAGAACATGGATTACAGTTTGTAATTATGAATTCGTTCGTGAGATCACTGGAATAAAGTCAAATTCCTTCCACCAGACTCTGGGCAACATAGAGGGAGGATTCTCACTTAGTTTGCTCACCACCAGATCCCCAGTGCCTAGCACAGTGCATAGCAGAAAGGAGTCACTCAGTAAATATTTGTGAGTGAATAAATGAATGAATGTGTGATTTTTCTTCTCACTTATTCACAGATATTTTTCATTTACAAGGTTACATATAAGGAGCCGTGAATATTTTAAATAATAGGTAACTCATTAACTTAGACATTAATGAAAATCATTTGGATTTTCATTATTCTAAACCCAATCACTCTGTTTCCTTAATCAAGTATACTGTCCATGGTAACAGTTAAATCCGACAATGGCATGGGATTTGTCAGAGAATTTTGTCTATGTGAAAATGACTTCATACTCCTGGCTGGAACTGAACAAGAGGATTCAAAGCAACATGACCCCTTCTGAATTCAAAGAATCACTGAAAATGTCAATTACTGCTAGATAGGCAGAAAAGAATACATTCTTGTCTGTATGTCTTTTGTCCTGCAAGACGTATGCTCCTGTTCCATTTTCTGAACAATCTAGTAAAATTTAATTTACTTTTTCAATTTGTCTCCAGCCAAGCTTCCTTCTGTCAGCTATGCAGACATGTCAGTGCTAGCCACGTAGAGTAATAGGAGAAGGACAACGAGAATTAAATTACCTGTGCATTTGCGATCTGTGTCTTCTTTTTTTGACCCACTAATCGTCAACTTGCAGTTGAAGTTTTCCTCCCAGTATTCGGCAAACCATACATTTCTTCTGTTGTTTTCAAGTGTACGGGACGTAAAGTAGGCATCAAACCCTAAACAGAGTTAAATGAAAAGGTCATTGCTTGCGGGGCACTGCTGGCACATTCAGAAATAAAAATAAAAGTGACTTTTTTTTTCTTTGTTTCAGTGAATTGGATCCTCTTGTGTGTCGACCGAAAAAAAAAAAAATTAACAGAAGGAGGAAAAATATTCTAATTGCATTAATCCATGACTAAATTCCTAGTTCAATCTGACAGGTAGGTAGTTACTAGCATAATTTCCATTTGTAGGTGAGAAAACAGAGTTATAAGAAATAGTAACATGCCTAAGGTCAACCATTATGCCACATTCTGCATCCCTAACCATGTCAGCTCCTGATCCATGAATATTATTTTAAGAACCTCCTTTCACTTAGCAATATCCCATTATGTAATTGACTTTCTAGTCAAATTAGAAGGAAAAGTTTTTGAAGAGGTTGTAGGTGAACTGAGTCCAATATAAACCTCAATCCAATGTATAAAGAGTGTCCAGATGAGCAGGGACGAGGACGCCAGGAACTCTCTAGCTTCCTCTTTAGGACAGTGTGACTTTAAATGTTCGTATGGGGTCATAAGATCTTGCAAGAGAGTCAGAGTGGAAAAAGATACGGGATTCAGTGTCCCAAGGCCTAGGCTCAAATCCCAAATCTATGAATCTCACTCAGTCATGGAACCATGAGCAGGTACATACTTAACCTATACGATTTTCTTTCAATCCACCTGCAACAATGAAGACTACACCATCTCCTTCCCCCACAGTATCTTGTTTGTGGCAATGGAAAAACTTTGGAAACTTATAAAGTTGAGTTCTATGATCAAGAACCATAGGAGAAAAAATGGACTTACTTCCCAAATACTTAAATTATTCAAAGTTTTCCCTTACCTGTAAGGCCATAAAAATGGAATAATCATTACAATTACAAAAATAAGAAGTATTTTATGTACATTTTCTCATAAAATGTCACATCAACCAAAGGAAGTAGGTAGTCTCAGATCCATACTCTAAAGTTAAAAATGAAGGCTTAGAGAAGAATTTGGACCTACATCTGCCTAATTCCAGACCCTGGTTTCTGACACCCATCCTATAGGGCAGTGAGTTTCACATTTTGGTGGGAATTGCATCATTTGGAGAGTTGATAAAGAATACAGAGTCCAGCTCATTGAGGTAGGCAGTATCTGAGTCTTATTATTATTATTATTTTCAAGTTCCCTAGCAGATTGTCTTAGTCACCAACAGTCAACAACTACTGCTATGAAGCTCTTCCATGGCCCACTTACCAAGCCATTTCCTCTCTTTCTCTACTAGACGCTCCATCACCAACTTACTGTATCAGCTATTGATTCCACAGGGCAACTGGGTGGTTCGACAGGTAGAAGAGCAAAACAATCATGTGTTCAGGTATTGGAATGGATAAGTCAATCAAAACGGTAAAACCCACTACACAGTCTGATAGTCCTGAGCCAAAGCCAGTTTCAAAAATGGAGCTCCTCTCAGACAATTCAAAGCAGCAGAAGCAGAGGTCAAATGGATATTATTCCATTTAGTTACTTCTTGCTGACTTGCCTCCTCTTAGCTGAGTCAGATTCTTTCAGGATCTAAGAGTCTGTTTATTCTTATAGCTAGGGCAAAAAATAAATTAAGTCTTGAAGTTTGCCTCTATTCAATTTCGCTCACAAGGAATAAAATTGTCCACGAGAGACTTAAGTTTTTAAGAGAGATCTTGTTGTAGCCATGTATTTACAATGCCTTGGAATATACTTGGCAGCTCTCTGGGTTAGGCACACACTATAGCTCTTCTTTATTAATGGCTATGGAGCTTCTGATACAGAATGGTTTAAAGTTTTCCCTCTGGCTGAAGTCATCAAGCCGTCACTCTTGGTCTGTCATTGTAGTTCCTGCAACCTAAAGATTCTACCTATCTTGTTTTAGGAATAGGCTGTCCAATACAAGACATACAGTTACCAAGGTGGAACAGAGGGAAAGTCAGGGGTAGAAGCAGAAATTAGAATAACTCTATTAATATAATTATGTGTGTGTGTGTGTGTGTGTGTCATAGTGAATTGAGGTTTTTTTCTAAACTTTCTACTAGAGCCAAGAAGAAAAGTAATCTGAACACATATAGCATTACTATTAGTTAAATTGTCAGGTATTTAAATATAAACCAAGGCACCAAGGCCAGAGTTTTGGTTCGCTGGAAACAGAATCAGAGTCATGTTAAAGGAAAAAGATCATTCTTTTATAAGGGGCAGATGGTATTTTTATTATGAAATTGTTCCTTTTATTAGACAGATAAATTTAATTTCAAAAATTAATCTCCAGGTGCTTCTGAAGCAAATGCCCCATTGGTTACATGTTGAGCAATATTCCTGTAATCTTGAAAGCAAACTTAGAACAACATAGAGAAAATGAAATGGACTTTAGCTGGTGTGAAGACCACACCAATCTGGTTCTTTCCTCTTTTAACTGGGTTGCTGCCCTCAAACACCCCTTGAAATTGGTGGCTGAGACAAGAGACTGCAAAACAAGAGAAACATTATTATCCCAGGCGTCTCATTTGGGAAGTGACCTTTCCAGGTGAGAGAGAGTAAAAGCTCTTGCAAGTGTGTGGTATGAAGGGAAACCTATCAGAATGTCAAGAGGGGGTCAGAGGACACAGCTGTCTGCTCTGCCAGGATAATGGGAGCTAACAGATATTGATGGCGCTTCCTGTGGCAACCAGAAAGTGACCAGGAGTCCTGATGGCTGCCTTCTCAACACTAGTCATGTATTGGAGATTAGAACATCTCTGTTGGCCGAGGTGCCAGGGGGCACCCAAGGCTTCATTTCAACCAGCCTATAAACAGAGGGTCTGCTTCCTTCTTAGTAAGAATGGCCCAATGATTCAGAAAAATAAAGCTCCTGGCACATCATAGGCATATGACACTAACAGAATCAGTGAATGAAGCAATTAATAAAAAGAACAAAAGGAAATGACAAGAGGGAGAGAGGGAGAGAGAGAGAGAGGAGAGAGGAGAGAGCAAAAAGAGAAAAGGGAAAAGAGGTGATGTTGGGAAGGGGAGGGGAGGGGAGAGAAGAGAGAAGAGAGAGGCATTGATTAGGGTGAGAAACAGGAATTCCCTGTTGCTGAGAGTGCAAATAAGTACAAAAATTTTAAAAAATAGGCCAGCATTATCTACTAACATTGCTAATATGCATTCTTCAAAAACCAGCCATTCTACTGCTAGGTACATGCACTAGAGAAAGTTTACACACATGTACCACAATATACATTCAAGAATGTGTAGTGTGGTAATACCTGTAATAACTACAATCTGAAACAACCCAAATGCCTATGAAATACACAGAAAAAAATGCTGTTCACAAAAACATGTATGAATCTCATAACAAATGTGCAAACCAGAAAATAAAGAATGCATTCGGTATCATTTATGTCACATAAAGTTCAAAATTGGGCAGAAATAAGCCACATTGTTTAATGAGGCAGTCATATGTGGTTCAACTACAAAGAAAAACATTGAAATTATTACAGTAAAAGTAGGATATTCTAAAAAAAATTAGATTATTTCTGGTGGTACAAGAGAGGAGACAGACATATGGTGGACAGAAACAGAGTGTTGGGGCATCTATCCTTCTGCTAGTATTCTTGATTGGGTGGTAATGTTATAACTATTTTTAAACCCTACATAGTTGTGTCATGCCCTTTTATATTTCTATAATATAACCTATGGCAGTGGTTTAAATTTGGCTCTTAAAAAATGTCCATGTCCTAACCCCCTAAACTTGTGAATTATTTGGAAAATATATTAATATTGTATTGCAATAAGTTACATCACAAATAAAATTAATTTAGGGATCTCTTGACAGGATGATCCTGGATTATTCGTGAGGGCTGTAAATCCAATGACAAGAGTCCTTATAAGATACATACAGAAGAGAGACACACAGGAGAAGGCGAGAAGGAGATGTGAAGAAGAACACAGATGGGGTATTGCAGCCACAAGCCTAGGAATGCTTGGAACCAGCAGAACCTGGAAGAAACAGGAAAGGCTACTCCGCCTAGAGCCTTCAGAGGGCAGTGGCACCAGCTGAAACCTTGACTTTGGATTTCTGGCCCCCAGAACCGTAAGAGAATAAATTTCTGTTGTTTTAAAGCACCAAATTTGTAGCCATTTTTTATGTTATCCTTAGGAAAGGAATACACCTTAGTAAATAAAAAATCCTGTTGTGGTATATACCTTACTAGCTTCTCTTTGGTCCAAATGATAACATTGTTCTCAGATGTCACAAAGTGGTGGCTTGTAGGGCATATTTAACATATAGACTTGTCTTGTCCTTTCTCTTTTGCCACAAAATGTGCGTGTGTGTGTGTGTGTGTGTGTGGTGGTGGTGGTTTTGTGTGTATGTGTGTATTTGTGTGTGTGTGTGTGTGTGTGTGTGTATATATATATATATATTTTGTTTTTTTGAGACAGGGTCTTTCTCTGTCCCCAGGCTGGAGTGCAGTGGCTCAAACATGGCACAATGCAGCCTCAACCCACCAGGCTCAAGTGATCCTCCCACCTCAGCCTCCTGGGTAGCTGGGACCACAGGTGGGCACCACCATGCCTGGATAATTTTTGTATTTTTTTTGTAGAGATAGGATCTCACCATGTTTCACAGGCTAGTCTCAAACCCTTGGGTTCAAACAATCCACCTGCTTCGGCCTCCCAAAGTGTTGGGATTACAGGCGTGAGCCACCATGCCCAGCCCCAAAATACTTTTAAAATCAGCTTCAAAGCCAGAAGATTTTACTTGAAAGTCCAGATTTCTAGTTTTGCTTATTAAGTTAGAAGATCTAGTAACACCGAACCCCAACTCCATGTGTTCACAAAATAGATATTCCTTTTAGGTAGGCCTGAGCTCTTCAGCTTACAGTATTTCCTCACCACCCGACTGCCTTTAACCTAGGCTACATTTCTCATTTTTGAGCTGTATGTGGTTGTCAGGGTGGACACAAGCTTCCCACCACTGAGAAATGCATCTCTCTCATGTGCTGTTGAGGCAATTTGAGGAATCTAAAAACTTCACTGAAATGAGAAATACTATTTCAGGCCTCTAAGAATATATCCTTGAAAAAGCAACTAAAAACAGGGAAGTTGGCCAGGCACAGTGGCTCACGCCTGTAATCCCAGCAGTTTGGGAGGCTGAGGTGGGCAGATCACAAGGTCAGGAGATCGAGACCATCCTGGCCAACATGGTGAAACCCTACCTCTACTAAAAATACAAAAAATTCGCCGGGCGTGGTGGCATGTGCCTGTAGTCCCAGCTACTTGGGAGGCTGAGGCAGGAGAACTGCTTGAACCCAGGAGGCAGAGGTTGCAGTGAGCCAAGATCCCGCCACTGTACTCCAGCCTGGGCGACAGAGCGGGACTCCATCTCAAAAACAAAACAAAACAAAACAAAACAAAACAAAACAAAACAAACACAAAACAGAGAAGTTGGGAAAGCAGCAGGATATAAAATTTACACAGAGAGATCATCCATCTTTATATACACAAACAATAACCACTTAGAGACACAGTGAAAAAGAGCACAATTAAAATAGCTACCCCCCACCCCCCAAAAAAAGAGAGAGAACATCTATCCAAGAACAAGTGATATCTTTCCATTTATCAGGGCTTTTGTCTTTCAGGAAAAGTTGAAGCTTTCACTTATGTCAATTCCGTTCAAGTTAATTTATAGATTTTGTGTGATCTCAATAAAAATACAAACTTTTCTTGCCTAGAGATAGACAAGTTGCTTTTAAAGTTCATACAGAAAAATATCAGAACCAAGAGAATGCTGAAAAAGAAGAGCAAGTATACCTGAGTGTTTGGTAGTTTGGGGGAAGGAAGTGAAAAAAACGAGAGCAAGCTCCAGGTTTTAAATTCAGATTTTAAATTCACTATTATTGAAAAACAGTAGTCTTGGCACATAAATAAACAGATCAATTTATCATTGGAACAGAACAGAAAGTCCAGAACTAGACCCAATTGCACATGAGAATTTAATGTAGTGGAGAATAAAGGTAGTATTTCAAATCACTAGCAAAACAATGCGTTTTAATAATTGTCTAATAAACAGCAACCAGTTGGATATTTGGAAAATGATCAAGTTGAATCTTAGTTAGGAATTTAACATATAATCCCACAAGAAATATGAGGAAGCACTGCATGGATTCAACCACAGCAAGTGCATTTGGGTTTTCTGTCTGCAAAATGGGGAATTTTGCATGGTTGTAGGAACTAGCTGTCCTGCACCCTCGACTCTATGCCATGTGCTGCGCTCTCAGGACATGTTCCGCAGGTAGCCCCGCTAGCATTTGCGCAGTGTTACAGGTGTCAGTTTCTTGTCTGCCTCTCTTGAGAATCTTTGAGGTCCTGGAGGCCAGGGACTCAGTTCTCCTTCCCCATTCCAGTTCCTATCAATATTAACTGATGTAAATTGAAGTTAAAGACATGTAAATCGGCTTGGCTAGATCATTATTGATCTAATGAGAGGAGTCTAGGCTCTCAGATGCACCCACAAATTATTTGGTGTGTCTATTGATGAGAGAGGTGGAAACCAGCCATTATTTTTGAGAAAACAAATAAGAATTATTGCAACGAAAATTATTCCACAAAGAACAAAAATCTCACGGGAAGTGTTTATGGATGAGGTAGAGGAAATAATGTCTGCAATGTTATTGCACAAAATGTCTCCAAAGGGCTGTTGCATATTATATAACACCAGAGTGCCTGTCATTTTTTATCCCTTTAAACTGCTTGGGAAACAGAAGGGCATTTATGTAATCCGAATATACTTATATGGGAATAAATATAGATATAAACAATACATATTAAATTGATAGTTTAACGGCTAAAAGCAGACTCTGAAACTAGAATTGTAGGGTTCAATTCCTAGCTTCGACACTTACTAGCTAGATGACCTTGAGCAAATGAGCTAACCGGTCGAAGTTTCTCAATTGATAAAATGGGGACGATGATAATATAGACTTCATAGGATTGTTCTAACTATCGGATGTGCTAATATATGTAGTTTTTAGAACAGTGTCCAGCATGTAAGTGTGTAAATGTAAGCTAACTTAATAGAAAATTATCTCAGACACACATATAAGGTGAGGAAAAGAGAGAACAATAACAAAAAATTTAAGAAACTTTGTACTTTAACACTAGGAACTATGCATGAAAAGCCTCGCTTTGCAGTCAGATAGACCTGAATTTGAATCCTGCCTCTGCCAACTACTGGCTATGTTATTTAACTTGACTTATGCTAAGTCTATCACTTACATTTCTGCCACTTTTGTTTTGCTATCAAACTATACTTTTTAATTTGCTTATTATTTCATTCATTCATTCATTTCTTCACATATTCCAAATGCGACTTAAAGCGGCACCTACTTTTCCTCATCTATAAATTAAGGATAGTAGGATACCTTACAGATGATTTTTAAAATTTTCAGTATGAAGGATAAACCAACATTTTAAAATGGTTCAGTAAATGCAGGTTCCTTTCCTTTTGTTAAGGTAAGCAGTTTTAATATCAGTTCGAGGCACTGTAAAGTAACAACCCTCTACCCTTGAAAGCCTCTTATCATTTTCCTATGCTATGTGCAGTCATGTGAGCTTAATGGCCCACATACATATTGTTTTGAGGCTGCTCAAGATGCACAAGGTCAGTAGAATGAAACATAAAATGACCATCCCTCTAGAGGATGATTTAGGAGGTGAGACTTGAAGAGGCATCTACCTGGAGGCCACAGGCTGCTTCCACAGGGCGTGGAACGGGTGATAAATAAGCGCACAGTGGAGGCTCCTGCTATCCTTCCTTCTACCCTACCTCATGGCAATGCCAACTTGAACCCCTGCCTTAGTGATTAAATGTTCTGTGCAGAAATGTGGTAAGGGTTTTACTCAAGAGCACTGGTCCCTCACAGGTATTACAACATTACTTCCAGGCTTGGGTTTTTATTGTTGTTGGTAGAATTTCTTGCCTTTCTAATCTCTTGCCTTTCTACCCTTCCTCCTTCCACACTATGCTGTATTAATGACATCCCATATTTTTATATCTTTTTTCCCTCTACTAACAGTGAGTGTAATTGTCACACTAAATTGTGCAATCTTGACTGCAATACATATTGGCACTTGCCAACCTATATCCAAAGCTATAAAAAATGTGCAAATTTTTTGATCTAGCAACATGTTTCAAGGTATTTATCCTAATGGAAAAAGGATATGCATTTTTGAAAAGGCATTTAAAGCACTAGGTGATTTTAAAAATTATTAGTTTTACCAGATATGTGAATAGCAATGTGAGATGCATTCTAAAATATTTTAGTTAAGAAGACATAATGTCTCAGCTTTGATTTAAAATGCCCCATCACAACAAAAATTCAGGAGAGAAAGTTAAAGCCTGATAGCAAAATATTGATAATGTTTGAAACTGGGTTTTCAATTCATTTGATTTGATTGTATCATTCTATTTTTATGTATGTTTAATAATTTTTATGATTTTTTTTTGAGACAGAGTCTTGCTCTGTTGCCCAGGCTGGAGTGCAGTGGTGTGATCTCGGCTCACTGCAAGCTCCGTCCCCCGGGTTCACGCCATTCTCCTGCCTCAGCCTCTGGAGTAGCTGGGATTACAGGCGCCCGCCACTATGCCTGGCTAATTTTTTGTATTTTTAGTAGAGACGGGGTTGCACCTTGTTAGCCAGGATGGTCTCCATCTCCTGACCTCGTGATCCACCCACCTCAGCCTCCCAAAGTGCTGGGATTACAGGCATGAGCCACCACGCCCGGCCGATAGATTCTTTTAAAAGTAGTTATTAAAGATAATCATTTGAGCACTATCTAGAACAATGAAAATGTAAAACCACTGCAAATGTCCCCAAAACACATGATTAAATACATGTGTTGAAGTAGTATGCAGCCATCAGACTACAGAAAGTATTCAGAAGTGTATTCTAGGAGCCAAAAAAATGTGTGTTTTTATGTTATATTTTAAAAGTTAAAAATACTTTGATAGTATTACCATTATATATATAATATTACATATATAATATTCACTACATTATCTAATATCAATGTCAATAGTAACAATGAATGTCAGTGTCAATAGTAATAACACACTGTTGACATATTAGATGATGTGATAACCTACTGTTGATATTAGATGATGTGATGAATAGATGATGAGTGATATTTTATTTTTAGCTCATTCACGTTTTTTAATTCCTTATACATCTATAAAGCAAAACACAGACACATGCCACATAAAACAAAAAATATGTATATAAAATATTATCTCTCCAAAATAAATGCTCATTCAATAGAATATTCAGTCTTTTGCAAATAGTAAAATTTTGTACAAGAGCCGTTCTCCAAGATAAGTTAATTCCTATTTCTAAACACACCTAATTTTTACAAATGTAATCTATAAATCTATTATTTATAACTATCCGAAGTAGGTATAGTAAATATACTCATGTCACCGCTCCCTACAACCATAGCAGACATCAATAATCAATTTTGAATCTTCCCAACACAAAGAGATGATACATGTTTGAGTGGATGAATATGCTAATTACTGATTGATCACTACATATAATGTGTATCAAAATATCACTATGTACCCCAAAATATGTACAAGTATTATGTGTCAATTATAAAAATAAATAAAATAATAATCAATCATAATACTCAGTCTTAACAAACCTGGTCTCCAGCCTCTTTCTAGCTTGGTGCTTTAAAAAGCTAATATTCTTCTGACTTTTTAAAACATACAACTTATATACTATCCTTGATATGACATATTTTCAAGAAATTATTCCTGAAAATTTACTGTATATAAAGTGGTATTCTCAGATAGAAACATTTAAATTAATTAATAGTAACAAAATCTCCCACTGTGTAGGTGACTACTATGCCCAGAGCTTTGGTTTAAGTGTTTTGCATGGATTTTAGCTACTGAACATAAATGTACTGTTCTCTGGTTCTCATAGAAGTTCCGGTTCAATATGCTCTCTTGGAAGACACCAAAGAAAAACACATGGTGCTTTAGCTTGATATAATATGTTCAGTATCTTCATAAAAGAAATATGGTAGGTGTTAGAGATTGTCTATCAAGAAAACCAAGACCAATAGGGTGTATTGCAAACATTTTTTATTGATTATATATAGAGTGTCTTTGGCTTAATCTTGTTTGCATTATTATTATTTTTTTTTTTTATGTAGGACTCAAAAGAGTTCAGAACTTTCTATGATCTCCAACTGGACCAACAAGATGCTTCCTGTTGGAAGAGATGGACAAGATCTTAAAGGGACAGTATCTGGAACACACAGTTGTTATTTCCCTATGCTAAATTCCAGGGAGCACACATCTTGGTATTGTGCTCCTGCTGCCAACCATGGCTGAACACTTACCGTAGGATTGGTAGATTCCAAGGCATTATATTTTTAAACTCCTTTTTATAAAAGCCAGGCCTCAAAGGATCAGTCATCCACCAGAATTTCTTTTCTCTGTTCCCTGAACTCCAATATGTCATCTTAATTTCTATTTCTTTCTCAACTTCCAGGAAGAAGCCTGATGGTTAGTTCTCAGAAAGGCTGTCAGCCTAATTAACTAGCTGGGGAAGACCATGGGAAATCTAAACCAATCACCAAGAATCTACCAGGGAATTCCCAAGTGAGATCTGCCTTTCTTAGAAGACAGCCTTTAGATTACAAGAGGAGTGCTTGCCAAGACCTGATGCCTACCTACAAATGCTCCTCTCCAGGAGAGTGCTGTAACAATCCACAACTACTGATTTGTATAGAGCCCCTCTTTCTAGGAAGTTATCCCTGACATAGAGGAAGTATATGCAGAATACTTATGTTTACAACAGTTTACACCCTGGTCTACACACTGGAATTAAGTATAGAATTTTTTAAATTACGTTTGCTTGGACTCCAAACCAGACCAGCTGAATCAAAGATTCTACTGTTGGGCCTGAGCATCCATGTTTTTAGCTTCCCAGGTGATTCAGATATGCTGTCAGGGTTAAGAATATCTACTCTATACGATTGTGCAATTTCATCGCTCAT
The DNA here is from genome assembly GCF_000001405.40 of Homo sapiens. Taxonomy (NCBI): domain Eukaryota; kingdom Metazoa; phylum Chordata; class Mammalia; order Primates; family Hominidae; genus Homo; species Homo sapiens. The sequence continues at coordinate 7,403,937 of NC_000003.12, read as the reverse complement.
ATATCCATTTTACAGCCCTGGACGAGCTATCCAAGGAGTACCAGAAACATGAGAGACAAGGTCCCCTTAATTTGAGCATATCTATCTATCTATCTATCTATCTATCCATCCATCCACACACACATATTCTTATATATATACATATATTCACATATATACACATGTATATTCTTATATATACAAATATATTCACATATATACACAGATATTCTCATCTATACATTCTTTTGTGTATATATACACATATATATGTGTGTATATATATGTAAAAATGTGTGTGTATGTACATATATATATATATATATATATATATATCAGAATTACTCAGATAATATCACATGTTCACGTCTTTGGAAACATCAAATAACGGACGTACATTTGCCATAGTTGACCGAATCTTGTTGCCATTCTTTGAATGTCATCATTTATTGTATGAAAGCTTTCCAAGATTTAATGAGTAATATTCTGCTACATAGAGATTATACATATGATTATTTCAGCTTGATGTCATCCTAATGAATGTAGGGTGAAATTTATGTTTCCACAGATCGTGGATATTGTATCTATTACAATACATACAATTATACATTTATAATATATAATTTTTTTAGAAATGTCTAAGCAAGTTTTTTTAGGAATTATAGCAAATTATCATAATCACTTTCATGTGTATATAACTGTCCAAGAATCATAATCTTACAGAATAATGTATTTAGCACATATCAATTATTAATCAATTCAGCAAATGGCACCTACCCATTTCTCCAGGCAATGACAGAAAGAAAGCCAGACAAACTTGTCAGAAAATTATTGTGCATTGTAGAAGCTTCACGTTTTATTTTTAATAACTATAGAAGAACCATGTTGCCTGGTTACCATCTTCATTTTGTACTCTGGTCTAAAAATGTCTCAGCAGCCAGAAGTTTTCAGTGAGCTCAACATCTAAACTTATATAATCAAACATCTATAACAATTCAAAAGGAATTTTACCAAAATGATATTTCATTTTCTTCCTAATCACAGATTCAGCCACCACCTAATGATTGAGGGGAAAAGAAAGCAACCTTTTGAAGGAAAGACTTTTCATATGCAAGTCTGAGAGGGGAAAAAGAATCTTAAAAAAAAAAAAAAAGGAAAACAACACTCAAAGAAAATAATACCAGTGTCCCGAATGCATGACCACTTAGTATTTGAATTCCTATGAAAATATAAATCAAAAGAAGAAATGTTTTGGACACCTAGAGAAGCTTAAATTAATATTTACAATATTTTTCAATTTCACATCAAAGGTCACTTTTATATGCAGGTATTTTCAGGTTTGAGAAGAACTGTCCAACGTTCTAAAACATGCTATTTTGATGTATGTTATTTCTCCATGTCTTTCTGGCATATTAAGACATCATATGTGCAGAAGTGTAAAAATGAGAATAGATGGCTCGTAAACAAATGTCTTCATGCAGGATCAAGTTCAAGCAGCAAACTCAGATTATATTCATTCTCTCACCACCTGAGTTACTAAGATATTCCTGAGAGGGAGACATTGCATTAGGTGCAGTAATAGGAAAGGTGAATTGTCCTCACCTCTGACCTCTTACACTTTTAGACAACTACATCTTGTTTTCTAGGAAATCACTTCCACATTTATAGGTTTGTAATGGTTACCAACTGACTGGGTTGGCAGTGAGCACGTAACCTTATCTGTGCCAACCAGATTCTCTTCCTTGGTAACCTGAAACTGGGAATAACCAATTCCTGTCAACCAGGACTGCTCACTTTATAGAAGAGATGTAAACTCAGGAGTTGCTGATAGCAGCCACATAGGCTGAGAAGTAGAAAAATTCAGTTTGCCTGGGGAGATGAGTCAATTAGAGTCCTAGAAAAAAAAGACATGGAGGGAGAAAAGAGTCTTACATTTTTAACAATGTTCAAGTACCTGATTCCAATCTATTTCTAAGGCCTTGATATATTCCTTGCTCTTGGATTCTATAGGACATCCATTTATTCTTATAATAAATCAACACCCCTCCTTTTTTACCTTAGGCAAATCCCAGTGTTTGTCTGTCATTGGCAACTGTAAGGGTCATAACTAATATTGACGTGGGGATAAGTCAGATATGGATCCTGTTCTCAAGGAGATGGCCAAGAAGTAGGACATACACATATAATTTTCACAGAAAGGGAAGAGATTCAGAAGTTAGAGAGATGCAATGATGGAAGTTTCACATTAAGAAGCAAACATTCCTGACTCTGAATAAGGTGAGTTCAAAAAGTTTTTGGAGGCAGTGATATTCAGTATATTTGGAAATGTTTAAAATGATGACTAATGCTTTATTTTTTTTTCAAAGTTTTTTCTAGGTAATTGGTGTTGCAGAAATATAACTTCAATCTGCCGCCAGATTGGTTCAGACACAGAAATCATTGCTTTTATCTCAATGTGGAGTGCTATTAGTAGGAGTACTTCATGCTCTGTATTTTAGAGAGAGCAATGGGATGAACTTGGTATTCAAGCCATATGGCAACATTATAAATATGGTCTTGCCTTGGACATGATGTTTCCAACAACAAAACGTGGTCAACACTGTTTGCACTACAGCCCTACTGACAACTTTCTGCTCCTCTAAGGAGCAGGCAGCACTCTGAGTGCCAGATGAGAGTTTTATGACAGTTACTGGCAGGGCCTGTGCTTGCTACCTGGGTCAGCGACAGTATCGAAAGAAAATGCAATCTCATTTTAGTCACCAGGGATTGCTTCTTCGTCATATACATTTAGAGTGTGTCTTGGATGAAATCAGAAAATGGCATAATAGAGCAATTAATTATAGCAGAAATTAATTAAAGCAAAAGGCCCCATGGTAGAGAGATTCTGAAAGTATGTAATATACAACTTCTGCTCCAAGACACTTTCAATGTTTGAGGGTAGATAAGAAAATAAAAACAATACCAATGATTCCAGCTAATGCTTACTAAAAAAAAAATTTAAATGATTATACTGGGCTAAGAATGATATATTATTTCAATTCTCACAAACATCCTAGGAGTTAACCATTATTATTATCCACATTTGGTGAATGTGCACACTGAAACTCATACAGAATAAGTAATTTGCCCAAAGGCTCATAGCTAAAAAGCAGAATCTGAATACAGTCTACCTGATTCCAAATGGTAAACCACAATACAAGAAGAAATAACGAAGCCATCTAAAAACTCAAAGATAGCCTATGAAAGTTACAGGATTTCAGAGATGAAGAAAAATGCCAGGATAGAATGATACACATTTATGCCATGGAAGAGCTGTGATTTGAGTTCAGCCTAGAAAATGCAGAGCTCATACAGATAGGAAGGACTGGAGAGAGTGGAGAATTACAGCAAGCACAAAGGGTGAGGTGGTTGTATCACTTGTGTTTCCAGGTGATGAATAGACTGATTTGACTACAATGGGTGTTTGATGTACAGAACATCTTTATAGAAAGGTATAATGGAGCCAGATTGTAGAGGGTCTGCCGTATAAAGAGTCAGGATGTTATCTCACAGGCATTGTGAAGTCATTGAGGGTTGGTTCTTAGAATGCATACTGTGATAATAGCTGCATTTGAGGAAGAATATACTAGCAGAATGGGGAGGAAGATTCCTATTTGTTGAGTGACATTGCTATAGAAGTATTCATGTATGAAGCTTTTCATAATCCTTACAACACTTGGAAATGTAAAACTACCATGTCCATGCTTAGATGAATGAACTGAGGTTCTGCCAGGGAAGATGCCTGTCTCAGGTTCACCAGATGGGAAAGATGGACACAATATTTTGTCCTAGTCTGTTTACTTCAAAGCCTATATTCTTAACAATTCAATGTGAAAAACAAAAGTAGTAAAGAGATGTTGCAAATATTGAGCCTTAACGATTTCTAGGTTCTAAGTAACCTTCATGTAATAACTTATGTAAACCTTCTAATACCTCTGAGGTAGGTACTTGTCTTCGTGCGTTTTTGTGTTGCTGTAAAGGAATACCTGAGGCTGCGCAAGTGATAAAGAAAAAAGGCTTATTTGGCTCATGGTTCTTCAGCCTGTACAAAAAGCACGGCTCACAGCATTTGCTTCTGGTGATGGCTTCAGTCTGCTTCTACTCACAGCAGGAAGGGACGGGGAGCTGGTATGCAGAGATTACAAGTGGTGGGGAGGAGGAGTGGAAAGATGCCTAGTTCTTTTTAACAACTCAGCTCTTGTGAGAATTCTGAGGGAACTAATGGAGCAAGAATTCATTCATTACAGTAAGGATGCCACCTAGCCACTCATGAGGGATCCGCCCCTGTGACTTAAACACCTCCCATTAGGCCCCATCTCCGACACTGAGGATCAAATTTCAACATGAGACTTGGTGGAGCCAAACAAACCATATCTAAACCATAGCAGTACTACCTTATCCCCATTTCACAGATGGGAAAAATGAGGCAGAAACAGCAGGGGTCATTTGCTCATTACCGGAGGAAATGAGATTTCATTCAGATCTTTGGCTCCAGAGCCTGGGCTCATGGTTCTGCTGTGAGGCCCTCAATTATAGCAGCAGTTGACTAAGAAGTAATAAGTGTGACATCTACAGTCTAGTTGAAAGTTTTACAGAACAGACCAAAAATGAGGACCTTGATAAAGAAAAAACTGAGATGGGGTGATTGGATCTAGAGCTTAGAGAACAAGGTAGAGGGTGGATTCCAGAAAATGTTGAGGACATTTTATTATTATTATTATTATTATTATTATTATTATTGTTCTTGTTGTTTTTTAAATAGGAAGATGTGTGATTTCCAAATCACTAAGCTTAAGTGGAAGGTGGAAGCATGAAGGAAAATGCTCTGAAGGGTAAAGCTGTAGATTCAGAAGCCAAGAAAATGCCTATGATGCTGGGAATTAAAAGGATGAAATCATCAATAGAAAATATATAAAGAAAGAATGGTGTGTGAAGGGAAGAGCTATTGGGAAATGCCCGCATTTGAAGGTGTCAAAGACAAACAAAGAAGCCATCAATGGAGATAGAAAGGAATTGTCAGAGAAGTAGAAAGAGGGAGGAAGGTACAGAATCATAGAATCTCAAAGCTTAGTAACAACCAGGGTTGGCTTCATGGCCATGGGACCTGAGCACTCAAACAGGGCCCCAAGTTCAGAAAATCCCCTGGATGTAGGTTTAAGGCTCTTATGTCATTCTTGAAACTCTTAATTTTTGAACAAATCAAATACCCTCATGCTTTTCTTTTGCACTGATCCCCCCAACACCGACACAAAAACAAGTGTGTGTGTATATATGCATATATATACATATATATACACACAAAAAACCCACCCACAGTCCTCCCAAGATTTAAGAGTCACCTTTTCTCCAATTGCCTTTAAAATTTTTCCATACGTAGGCTACCAAATTTCTCTATATGTGTATCTAGTACAAGAAACTTGCCATATCTTAGGGATAGCCCATTGCATTATCAGATCTAAACTTTAGGAAGCTCTTCCTGTAGTAAGCTAAGGTTTGTTTCTCTAATTTCTGTGCATTCATCCTGGTTCCCCTCTTGATGATAACAAAGAGTTAAGTATAATTGTACTGCTATGTTCTCTATAACTTCCATAAATTATCTGATTTCAAACCTTTCGTTTCATGGAACTGATAAACTGTTCACTGCCACATGCGAAAAATGTGGTTAGCACATAGTAGGCCGTCAGTGAATACTGATGTTTTGAAGCAATTCTGAGCCATATTTCCTAAGTGCTTTCTCACCTTCAGAAAAGACATTTTAAAATTTACTTATAGTCCCTCAACTCAATAATTCTGACTATGCAGTCATTTTAAAAGTCATTCCCACATGGCAACCATGAAAACTTTTAGAAGTTATGCCTACACTGAATCTTCTTTCTTTTCGTCTTTTACTAAAATTATAAGTTTTTGGTGGGGGGTTGGTGTTTCGTTTATATCACATGGGTCAATTTTAACTTGGGTGCATCCACGTTTTGGCTCCCTTTAAAGCAGTGTTTCTCAACCTCAGCACTATTAACACTGTGGCCAGAAAACTCTGTTCTGGGGATGCATTAAGGATGTTTAGCAGCATTTCTGGCCTCCACCTACTAGATTCCCTAACTGTACCACCACCAGCCCCCAAGTTGTGACAATGAAAAGTATCTTCATACATTGCCAAGTGTCTACTTAGAGGAAAATCTCCCTTAAGTGAGAACAACTGATTTAATGCTTTTTAATTTTTAGTTATTATGAGTACATAATAGTTGAATATATTTATGGGGTACATGTGATGTGATATGGGCATGCAATGTGCAATGATCAAATTAGGGTAATTGGAGTGTGCATTACCTTAAGCATTTATCATTTTTGGTGCATATTAAAAACACTCAAATTCCACTCCTTTAGTTATTTCAAAATATACAACAAATTATTAACTATAGTCACTCTATTATGCTACTGAATATTAGGTCTTATTCATTTTATTTGTATTTTTATACCCATTAATTATCCCTACTTCATCTCTGCCTCCCCGCTACCCTTTTCACCCTCTAGTAAAGCAACTCTACATAATGGCTTTGAGTCAAGGGATGATGTTTCCTTTATTGAATTACAGAACTTTCTTCTAATGGTGAAAAATTGATGCAAAAATTCATGTAAATTGTATGACACACTGTTCCTTAAGTTGTGTATGAGTATTAAGATGTCTGGATGACGAGTCACCAAAATTTCAATATGATAAACTTCCCTGGGTGATAAGTTTGTTTCTTCTTTATCTTGTTTTGTTTATTTAGTTACTCATTCACACTTTTCAAACTCTTTCCATTATTAACAATCAGAATGAATACTTTTTATAATCATAGTAAAATGGTGTTTTCAATCTGAAATCAAACAATGCACATGTGAGTAGTAGGAAAATGGAACCCATGGGCACAGAATGGGTCCATCTTCCTTGAATGTTCAAGGAAGATTCACAAGAAAGGCTCCTGGGGTACTTTTGTTTTCTTCCTTAAAAACCCATATCTTATAATTTATAGGAAAGGAGAATAATATTAGATGCCATAAAGTTCTTCTATTTTATGGTACGAAACTATTTTAATACACCATATAAGCCAGAGGTAGCACTTTAAAATGAAGTGGCTAAAACCAAGCACAGTTATTCCTAAGGAAGAATAATGATGGCACCACTTGCATCAGATAACATGCACAAAGAGGGTTTATGCATTCCTCATGAAACAGATCACCAGACTGAGCTCATTTTATACTCCCAGCTACCCATCCATCCCAAATGCGATTCTTAAATAACTACATTTCCAGTCTTAATGATACAAAGAAGAGAAAAATTGCATGAAACACTATTCATGCACATCCCAAAGCTTCCTTTAGGCAGTCATACTAAAATAATAGCAATAAAAATATAAAACATGGGCAAATCAGAATGTTTCCAACATATGTTAATTTAAGATGCAGAAGATGAAAACTTATTGAATTTTAGGGTAGGCTAACTGGAGAGGATTTAACAGATGTCTTTTTTAATTTGTAAAGTATTTCTTAAAAAGGAAGTAAAAATAAAATAGGAAGGGAGTTAAAGGGATACTTTTTTTTTGCTACCTCAGAAACCTCTCTTCAGATTCACCTTTTTAGTGTGTGTAGTTGCACTTTCACTTTATTTATTACAGCTTGAAAATGTAGGTCACGATAAACTCAACATGTCATTAGGAGGATTTTTTAAAGGTTCTTACTGGGAAATTTTTTGTTTTGTCCAAAATTTTCTCCCAGGTGTACTTGGGTCTCATTGATGATTTTGATATAATTTTGACAAAATGAACCCTCTCAGAGATAAAAATCATGAATTAAGAGAGAATATAAAATATTGGTTTTAATTTTTTCAATTTAAAAAAATTGGCAAATAATAATTATACAGATTCATGGGGTCCATAGTGATGTTTTGATACATGTAATATATAATTGTCAGATCAGGGTAATTGGCATATCCATCATCCCAAACATGTATCATTTATCTGCGTGAGAAGATTGAATATTCTCCTCCTAGATATTTGAAACTGAAAATATATTATCATTAACTACAGTCTTCCTACAATGGTATATGTATTAGTTCATTCTCACGCTGCTGATAAAGACATACCTGAGACTAGGTAATTTATAAAGGAAAGAGGTTTAACTGACTCACAATTCCATATGACTGGGGAGGCCTCATAATCATGGTGGAAAGCGAATAAGAAGCAAAGTCATATCTTACATGGCAGCAGGCAAGAGAGCTTGTGAGGGGAATTCCCATTTATAAAACCATCAGATCTTTTGAGACTTATTCACTACCATGAGGACAGTATGAAGAAAATTGCCCCTAGGATTCAATTATCTCCACCTGGCCCCACCCTTGACATGTGGGGATTATTACAATTCAAGGTGAGATTTGGGTGGGGACACAGCCAAACCATATTATTATATAACAATAGAAATTATTCCTCCTCTCTAGTAGAAATGGTGAGATGACATGCTATCTGAAGTGGAACTCCATACTAGAGTTGGAAAAGCAAATTAGTAATGTAAAACAGTTATTTTAAATTTATTATGAGAAAAAATGCCTATCCAACTTGAATACATGATCATAGATACATGTGAATGTAGATACATGTGAATCATCATAGATACATCATCATAGATACATGTGAATACATAGATACAATTTGGTGAATACATCATAGATGTAACTCAAATGGCTGATAGAATAAATGGAGCTGTTCAAAGTCTATTTTGGATCCATATTTTGGCTCTATAAACATATTTAAAGCGGAAAAGAAGAAAATAATCGTAACATGGGAACTGAATCTCCAGCTATAATTTGTAAGTTATAAGATACGCTTATAACTTTTTTTTTTTTTTTTTTGAGACAGAGTTTCACTGTTGTTGCTCAGGCTGGAGTGCAATGGCGCAATTTCAGCTCACTGCAACCTCCACCTCCTGGGTTCAAGCAACTCTCCTGCCTCAGCCTCCTGAGTAGCTGGGATTATGGGTGCCCGCCACCACGCCTGGCTAATTTTTGTATTTTTAGTAGAGACAGGATTTCACCATATTGGTCAGAATGGTCTTGAACTCCAGTCCTCAGGTGACCTGCCCGCCTTGGCCTCCCAAAGTGCTGGGATTACAGGCATGAGCCACCACATCTGCTGCCCTTATAATTTTTAATGAATTCAAACTCAGGTCTAGACCAATTATACTATGAATAAGACAATACGAAGTTGCTGAAAAATCATAAGAATTTGAGTGCTGCCTGCAAGATCCCACGTGGAAAAGTATTTTCCCTATTTTTAAAAGGGGAGGAAAAAAGAAGATGAAATATGGAAAAATCTTTATATCACCCTCAAAAAATTTCTATATATTTGTATAACAATTAGTATATGAGCACAAGTAAAATATGTAATAAACACTCAACGAGAACTATATGTCTTTAGAAAAACAAGGTGACATGAAGTTTCTCTTTCAGTGGCAAACAAGGTGACATCAAGTTTCTCTTTCAGTGGCCAGGCCAGATGATCTCACAAAAGATCGAGAACACTTTACATGTCCTCTCTGTATGTTTACTTCTCTGCAATCTTTTACAGTATCTTTGTGAACGAGCAGAAGAAATGCTGTGTGAATCTACCATTTGGAGATATCTGAGTAGGTGGATTTATAGCAGAACCAACTGAAGTCTGCTGAATAATGGTTCAAAACAGAGCAAGAAGTTAGGACAAGAGAGAGGAAGGAGAGCAGTTTTTGGAATCAGACATATCTGGGTTCACTTTCAGATTCTAGTCTCTTATAGCTGTGTGGACTTGGGCGTGTTATTTAAATTTTCTAAGCTGAGGTTTATCTCTAAGATGCGAAGAATGATAATGACTTAAAAAGGATTTAACATAATAATTGTATGGTAAAGATTATAAAAGATGACATAGGTAAAATACATACAGAGTGCCTAAGGTGCGAAAACTGTACCACTTAATTGTTATAATTACTACTGGTAATGCTACCACTTCAACAAGAATCTGATGGGAAGTCTCTACATGGACCACGTGGTGCTGGTCTCTTCAAGATTCTAATTAACAGCTTATTGAATGAAGACTTACTTGATACACTTACCAGTTTCCTACAAACTCAAAATTTGGGAAAAAAGCTACTAGTGTGATAAGAGACACATAAGAGTCTGAAATAAATGAGATGAAATTTATTGGAGCAATTGTGTGCATACATAAAACCATTTTTATTGGGAAGAGACAATCAAGATGGCTGACTACAAGCAAGTAGTATGTTCCTCCTCCACAGAAAACAGCCAGAATATAAGTAGATACTCATATTTCGAACACATTGTATAGGAGAGAATCCTCAGATTCACCAGAGAAAAGACAGGAAGCACCAGAAATAAGTAAGGAGAGGTTCCAGGTAGCTTGTCCAGCCAGAAACCGATTTGAGACCTGGGAGAGACCCCTGGACACAGGGAAACAGTGAGAGAGAAACATCCAGAGCTCTGACATGGGCTTTTACAATCTTGGCAATGGGAGAAACCCTCGACTCACTAGGGCCTCATGCCTGGTATACAAAGCCACCTGAAGCTCACACAGAGATGATGCTCCAGAAAGGGAACCCACACAGAATTCCGCAGGCACTTGAGCCTGGAGTAGCCTCAGCTGGGAGCCATTTTGAGAGCTGAGACACTGGGAACCTATAGACACAGCTGCAGTTGCTGCACTGCCCCGAGGAGAGACAGGGGAGAAGGGGCATGGCCATGCGTTCCTGGGAGGGTACTTGCTACATTTCTATGAGGTGCTCTTGAGAATGAGATATGTGTGGACCTCACTCCCCACCCCACAGCTTTGTGCTCACTCTACTTGCCTGAGTGGTAGCCTGCCCTCTCTGGTCTCGGCCCAAGGTGCATACTGAGAGTTTAACTCTGGGCTGCATCCTGACCTTGGCCTGAGTTCAGGCTGATGTGTCTGCAGCCGCTGCCCAGCCAAGGACCCATGTGGAAACCTGGCTACCCCGTATATGTCTAGGATAATGCCCACTGCCCTGTAACAGGCTGTGGTGAGACTAAGATGCAACTAGACTGCACTTCTCACAGCTTTTCACCCACAAAGTTTGCCCAGGTAGCACCCTGCCTTTCTGAGTCCTAGGCCCAAGACATATTTTGATAGTTTAATGCTAAGTTCCTCTTATCCTTGGCATGAGTCAGACTGACACAGATGCAGCCACCACTCAACCAAAAAGGAGTGGGGAAACCAGGCTCTTCTACACATATCTAGGACAATACCTGACACCTTGCTACCAGCTGCTGGGAGACCAAGACTCAGGCAGAATGCACTTGCCACAGTGCCTTGCCCATGTTTCTCACCTGAGAGGGATTCCACCCACCTCTGGTCACAAGCCCACAGCTGGCACCATTTTGGGAGTTTAGAGACATTATTTAGAAACCTGGCAGCAGTGGCCACAGCAGGCATTTTAGTCTTAGATCAGACATTGAAGGGCTTGCTCTGGAGCGTGGGAAGGGCCTCCATAGCCAAAACTGGGCAGCAAGCATGGAGAACACCCACAGCAGTAGGTGCTGGAATTAGACTCTTCCCTGTCTCAGGACTAGAGTGGGAGGAGAGTTGCTGAAGCCAAGGTTTCTTCTGTGTGGCCAGACATGCAGCCAGAGACAGCTTTGGGACCTGGAACTGGTCTGTGAGTGTCATTGCTCAGTGTTCTAGTCTGCTCCCTTGGTCAGTTGGGGGACAGTGCCCACCAGGTCTGAGAGGCAGAAGGGAAGCACAGTCCACTTACCTGGAGATCTACTCCTCAGTTCAAACCACACCAAAGGAGGGGATAGCACAGTCTGCCAAAGGCCCTCTTGGGTCAAAGAAAACGTGAAACTGCACCAGCTACTGAAGGTGGCACCACCAAAACTCAAGAATAGATGTAGAGAGGGGGTTATCTCTTGCCAACCCCCTCAGTGCATTGTCACAGACTTGGTAGTGCCTCTTCCCATCAGGGCCTGGGGAGCCTGGGCTAAGATGGTTGAGTTTGCTTTTCCAGCTTCTCGAGAGGCTCCACCCCCACTGAAGGCAAACATGCTCTGGGGGAGGGCATTTTTCATCGTTCTTCATTACCTCTCCCCTGACCTCTACCTGCCAGCTCTTGTTTTTTTTCCATGCACACCTTTTCATTCCCTTCTTAGCTCATTTCTTTTTTATATTTTTTTATTATTATACTTTAAGTTCTAGGGTACATGTGCACAATGTGCAGGTTTGTTACATATGTATACATTTGCCATGTTGGTGTGCTGCACCTGTTAACTCATCATTTACATTAGGTATATCTCCTAATGTTATCCCTCCCCACTTCCCCCGCCCCACGACAGGCCCCGGTGTGTGATGTTCTCCACCCTGTGTCCAAGTGTTCTCATTGTTCAGTTCCCACCTATGAGTGAGAACATGCAGTGTTTGGTTTTCTGTCCTTGTGATAGTTTGCTCAGAATGATGGTTTCCAGCTTCATCCATGTCCCTACAAAGTACATGAACTCATCCTTTTTTATGGCTGCATAGTATTCCATGGTGTGTATGTGCCACATTTTCTTAATCCAGTCTATCATTGATGGACATTTGGGTTGGTTCCAAGTCTTTGCTATTGTGAATAATGCTGCAATAAACAAGCTCTTACTCCTAAGTGCCATCTACTGGACTGCAGCCTGAATTATATCACTAAACAAAATTAAATCATAACAAGCAATATCTGAGAAAGCCACTGCCAAACCTATCTGCAACCAAGGAACCTGTACAGAGTCTTGGCACCCTGAAGGCACCCAGAATTGAAACCAATAGATCATATACAATATACACCACAATCATACCTCCAAGGGAAAAAAAAAGAAAAAAAAATCAAGAAGCCACATCCAAATGATAGCCAATTCAAAACAACAACAACAACAAAAAGTGTCAGCTCACTCAGATGAAAAGAAACCAACACAAGAATGCTGGCAATTAAAAAAATAGCCAGAGTGTTTTGTCACCTCCAAAGGATCCCAGTAGCTCTCAAGTAATGGATCCTAATCAGAATAAAATGTCTGGAATGACAGATATAGAACTTAGAATTTGGAAGGCAAAAAAAAACTCAACCAGACCCAAGAAAAAGTTGAAATCTAACACAAAGAGGACAGAAAAAGATCCAAGATTTGAAAGATGACATAGCTATATTAAGAAAGAGCTAAACAGAACTTCTGGAATTAAAAAATTCACTACAGGAATTTAAAAATACAATTGGACGCCTTAACAGACTAAGTGAAACAGAAGAAATAATTTTAGAGCTCAAAGACCAGTCTTTCAAATCAACCCAATTAGACCAAAATACTAAAAAAAGAAAAATAAAAAAGAATTTTAAAAGATGAGTAAAGCCTTCAAGAAATATAAAATTATATAAGGTGACCGAATCTATGATTTATTGGCATTCCTGAATGAGAAAAGAAACAACTTAGAAACAATATGTGAGGATATAATTTAAGAAAACTTCTCCAATCTTGCTATAGAAGTCAACATGCAGATATAAAATATCCAGAGAACCCCTGTGAGATACAAGACAATCAACCCCAAGGCACATAATGATCAAACTATCCAAGGTCAACACACAAAAAAACCTTAAAGCAGCTGGAGAAAATGGTCATGTTACCTATAAACATAAACCCATCAGAATAACGGTGGACTTCTCAGCAGAAACCTTACAATCCAGAAGAGATTGGGGGCGCATTTTTAGCATTCTTAAAGAAAAAAATGCCAGCTGAGAATTTAATATCCCACCAAATTAAGCTTCATAAATGAAGGAGAAATAAAATATTTCCCAGACAAGCAATCACTAGGGGAATTAATCACCACCAGACCCATCCAACAAGAGATGCTTAAGAAACTTATAAACATGAAAATGTAAAAACAGTACTAGCTACATGCAGGCACATAGCCCATGGAAGCCAACTGCACAAGCAATCAATACTGAAAAGTAACCACATGATCAATGCTATGAAACAAGTACTAACAACACCATGACAAGAACAAAGCCTCACATATCAATATTAACTTTGAATGCAAACAATCAAAACACTCCCCTTAAAAATAGAGTGGCAAATTGGATTAAAAAAAAAACAAGATTCATGCCCCTTCAAGACATCCATCTCACATATAATGACACTCATAGACTCAGAGTAAAGGGATGAAGATTTATCATGCAAATATAAAACAAAAACAGTAGGGGTTGTGATTCTTTTATCATATAAAATAGACTTTAAACCAATAACAGAAAAAAAGGACAAAGAAGGGTATTATAATAAACTCTGTAATTCAACAAGAAGACTTAACTATCCAAAATGTACACACATCCAACATTGGAGCACCTGGACTTATAAAACAATTATGTTTATACCTAAGAAAAGACTTCCATAGCCACAAAATAAGAGTGGGAAACTTCAACACACCCATCAAAGCATTAGACAAATAATCAAAGCAGAGAACTAACAAATTCTAAATTTCTCACTTGACCAATTGAACCTAATAAATACCTACAGAATATTCCACCCAACAACCAGAATATAACTTCTCATCTGCACATAAAACATATTCTAATATTTACCATTTTCTCAGTCATAAAGCAATTCTCAATAAGTTCAAAAAATCAAAATCCCATCAAGCATCTTTTCAGACCACAATGCAATAAATACCAAAATCAATACCAAGAGGAACTCTCAAAACCACACAAATTCATAGAAACTAAATAGCTTGCTATTGAATGACTTATGGGTAAACAAGGAAATTAAGGCAGAGATAAAAATTGTTTAAGACAAATGAAAATAGAAACACAACACACTGAAACCTCTGGTATGTGGCAAAAGTGGCATTAAGAGGAAAGTTTACAGCACTAAAAGCCTACATTAAGAATATAGAAATATCTCAAACTGACAACCTAAATTCACATTTAAAGGAACTGGAAAAATAGAACAAACTAATCCCAAAGCTAGCAAAAGAAAAGAAATAACTACCATCAGAAGAGAACTAAATGGAATTGTGACCATACAAAGGATCAATAAAATGAAAAATTGCTTCTTTAAAAGTATAAACAAGATTGATAGCCTGATTAACAAAGAAAAAAGAATACTCAAAAAGCACACAAAGAAATATAAAAGGTCTTCAGAGACTACTATGAACATCTCTATGTACACAAAGAAAATCTAAAGGAAATAGATAAATATCTAGAAACACACAACCTCTTAAAATTGAACCAGGAATAAACAGAAATCCCGAACAGATCAACGAGTAATAAAATTGAAGCAGTACTAAAAAATCTATGAACCAAAAAAAGCCTTGGACCAGACAGATTCATAGCCAAATTCTATGAGATGTCCATAGAAGAATTGGTACCATCCCTACTGAAAATAATCCAAAAAATTGAGAAGGAGAGACTTCTCCCTAACTCATTTTACAAAACTAGTGTCATTCTGATACCAAAATTTGGCAAGAAAACAACAAAAAGTTAAACTACAGGCCAATGTCACTGATGAACATAAACCCAAAAATCCTTAACAAAATACTAGCAAACTGAACCCAGCAGCACATCCGGAAGTCCCAGCCAGAGTGATCAGGCAAGAGAAAGAAACAAAAGGCATCCAAGTAGGAAAAGGAGGAAGTCAAACTCTTTCTCTTCACTGATGATATGATTCTATGCCTAGAAAACCCTTAAGACTGTGCCAAAAGGCTCTTAGACCTGATAAATGACTTCAGTAATCTCTCAGAATACAATATCAACATACAAAAAGTAGTAGAATTTCTATCCACCAATAACATTCAAGCTGAGAAAGACATCAAGAACACAATTCCATTTATAATGGCCACGAAAACAATAAGATACCTAGGAATATATCTAAGAAAGGAGATAAAAGATCTATATGAGGAAAACTATAAAACACTGCTTAAGGAAATCATAGATGACACAAACAAATGGAAAATCATTCCATGCTCATAGGTTGTAAGAATCAATATTGTTAAAATCTCCTAACTGCCCAAAGCAATCTACAAATTTACCATAGTTCCTACCAATTTATCAACATCATTTTTCACAGAATTAGGAAAAAAACTATCCTAAAATTCATATAAAACCAAAAAAGAGCCTGAATAGCCACGGCAATCCTAAGCAAAAAGAATAAAGCTGTAGGCATCACATTAACTGGCTTCAAGTTATCCTACAAGGCTACAGTAACCAAAACAGCATGGTACTGGTACAAAAATAAACACTTAGACCAATGGAACAGAATACAGACCCCCGAAATAAAGCTGCACACCTACAACTAATTGATCTTTGACAAAGTCAGCAAATAAACAATAGAGAAAATATATCCTAGTCAATTAATGGTACAAGGGAAAGTGAATAACCAAATGTAGCAGAATGAAACTTGATCCCTATCTCTCACCATCACAAAAATTAACTCAAGATGAATTAAAGACTTAAAAGTAAGACTTAAATCTATAAAAATCTAAGAGAGTAACCTAGGGAAAACTCTTCTAGGCATTGGCCTAGGCCAAGAATTCATGATGAAAACCCCAAAAGGAAATGGAACAAAATTTAAAAATAGACAAATGGGACTTAATTAAACTAAAGAGCTTCTGCCCCACAAAAGAAACTATCAACAGAGTAAACAGGCAACCTATAAAATGGGAGAAAATATTTGGAAACTATGCATCGAACAGAGGACTAATATCCAGAATGTATGAGGAACTTAAATAAATCAACAAGAAAAAAACAAATAACCATTAAATGGTGACCTTTAAAAAGAAGTCAAAGGACTTCTTTTGAGAAATGTCTGTTTCTCAAAGGAAGA
The DNA here is from genome assembly GCF_000001405.40 of Homo sapiens. Classification (NCBI taxonomy): domain Eukaryota; kingdom Metazoa; phylum Chordata; class Mammalia; order Primates; family Hominidae; genus Homo; species Homo sapiens. The sequence goes on along the minus strand of NC_000003.12, from coordinate 7,387,061 downwards.
CATAAACATGGCCAATAAACTTATAAAAAATGCTCAAAATCAGTAATCATTAGATAAATGCAAATAAAAACCACAATGAAATACAATCTCACACCCATCAGAATGACTTTTATTGAAAAATCAAAACATAACAGATGTTAGCGAGGTTGCAGAGAAAAGGGAACACTTACGCACCATTGGTGAGAATGTAAATTAGCTCAGCCACTGTGGAAAGTAGCTTGAAAATCTCAAAGGACAAGAAACAGAATTACCATTTGACCAAATAGTCCCAATTACTGGGTGTATGCCCAAAGGAAAATAAATCGTTCAACCCAAAAGACACCCGCACTTGAATGTTTATCACAGCATTATTAACAATAGCAGGGTCATGCAATCTGTATAGGTTCCCATTAATGGTGAATTGGATGATGTGGTACATATACACCATGGAATACTATGTAGCCATAAAGAAGAATGAAATCATGTCCTTTGCAGTAACATGAATGCAGTTGGAGGCCAGTATCCTAAGCGAATTAATACAGAAACAGAAAACCAAATACCACATATTCTCACTTATAAGTGGGAGCTAAACATTGGGTAAACATGAACAGAAAGATGAGAACAATAGACACTGGAGATTCCAAAAGCGGGGAGGATGGAAATGGGACAAGGGTTGAACATCTAACTATTGGCTACTATGCATGCTACTTTGGCGACAGGTACATTAGAAGCCCAAACCTAAGCATCACGTAATATACCCATGCAACAAACCTGCAAAGGAACTCCCGAATCTAAAATTTTTTAAAAACATTAAAAAAGAACTTTAAAAATTGAAAATTACATACAATTTAGTTGCTGGTATAATTAATAAGTTTTTAAAAGCATCCATGTAACAAACATCTAGATCAAAAAAATAGATTTCTACACAAGAGCTATCCCCTTTACCATCAAATTCCTGCCTCAATCATTATTTTGGCTTGCATGGTAATCAGCTCCATGTTTTGTTTTGTTTTGTTTTTTCCTTTATACTTTAAGCCCATTGTATACATTGCTAAACAGTATAGTACATTTGTTGACTTAGTGTAAATGCAATCAGACTGTATGCACGTTTTGCTTTGCATCTCTTGGTCAACACTTTGTTTCAGTATGAAGCATCATTCCTATGAATGCATTCCATTAGAATTCATTCATTGTCATTGCTGGTAGTTTTCAAGATACGAATATACCACAATATCTTTAACCATTCTGTCACTGATGAAATATTAGGTTACTGTTAATATTTGGCTTCTGCCAACAAGAATGCTAAGAATGTCTTTATTCATGTCTTGCAATGCATTTGTGTACACATGGAAGAGTATTCTCAAAATATGTTAAAGTTACTACTTATTTTTCTATATTCCACTTTGCCAAGTACATATAATTTAATTTATACAAGTTAAATCTATTGCTTTGATACTTCTGTATTTAAAAATCCACATAGAGGGGCCGGGTGCAGTGGCTCACACCTGTAATCCCAGCACTTTCGGAGGCCGAGGTGCGTGGATCACGAGGTCAGGAGATCGAGACCATCCTGCATAACATGGTGAAACCCTGTCTCTACTAGCAATACAAAAAATTAGCTGGGTGTGGTGGTGAGCGCCTGTAATCCCAGCTACTCAAGAGGCTGAGGCAGGAGAATGGCGTGAACCGAGGAGGCAGAGCTTGCAGTGAGCCAAGATCACGCCACTGCACTCCAGCCTGTGCGACAGAGCGAGACTCTGTCTTAAAAAAAAAAAAAAAAAAAAAAAAAAAAATCCATATAGAAATAAGATTCCACAAATAAGTGCTTTTTTATCAATATGTCTAAAATACTCCTTTAAATAAATATAAATTATATTAAGAGAAATAAGTCACATTCTATATTGTCAAATATAATGACTTAATCTCCCGGAAATGCATTTTCCCTTATTTTGATGAGAAAGGCTTATCAAGTTATTGTTCGCACATTTTAAAAGGAGGCTTTAATTTCTTTCTTTAGCCCTAAGGGAAAATGTGAACACTGGATATTATTTGGAGTTTTTCACATGAAATATGTTTCATTTAAAGGCAGTTTACAAAGGAAAGTAAAATTGTTATCTTTTTTCCAGTATTACATCTATTGTTTAAAATGTATTTGTAAGATATTTGATCTCCATAGCACATTTCTTAAGTTTCTGTCACTTTTTGGAGGAAAGAGAGAGGGGAAGTGTGGCCAGTTTTTTTGATCAGGCAAAGCTGATAGATGCCCTTGTAAAAGCTCCCCAATCTCTCTGTAGCCAGGTAGAGCTAAACTGATTTGTGACTGTGTGTACACCTGCTGTATTCGACTTGATAGCCACCAGCCCCGTGTGGCTGTTGAACAACTGAAACGTGTCTTGATCAACTTAAGGTGCTCTAAATGTAGAAGACATCCAAGATTTTGAAGACTTAGTATGAAAAAAAGAATGTAAAGTATCTCATTCATAATGTTATTTGATTATATGTTGAGATGATATTTGGGATACATTGGGTTAAATAAAATATATTATAAACTTAATTTCACCTATTTATTTTTACCTTTTTAAAATATGGCTACTAGAAAATACTAATTTGTATGTATTATTGGATTATATTTCTATTGGACAGCATTGGCACAAACTTCAACAATTAAAAGATTCCAAATGTTGGTGGATGTTTTTTCAATTATCCAAATATTTAATTTATATTACTCCAAAAATTGATACAAATGTATTATTCGGCCAGGTGCAGTACCTCATGCCTGTAATCCCAGCACTTTGGGGGGTCAAGGTGGGCAGGTCACCAGAGGTCAGGAGTTTGAGACCAGCCTGGCTGACATGGCGAAACCCTGTCTCTACTAAAAATGTAAAAATTAGCCAGGCACAGTGGCGTGTGCCTACTGTCCCAGCTACTCAGGAGGCTGAGGCACGAGAATCGCTTGAACCCGGGAGGTGGAGGTTGTGGTGAGCCAAAATTGCGCCACTGCACTCCAGCCTGGCCAAGAGAGTGGGACTCTGTCTCCTAAATAAAGAAATAAATACATGTATTATTTATTTTTGGCCTAAAATGTCATTAAAATTTCATTTTACCCTTAGAGTAGGGTCCAGATGACTTAGATGGCTTGTTTCTACCTAGTGAGAATTTTAAATATACTTAGGTTAAAAAGGTAAACTCCACGAAGCTGAAGAGGGACAAGGAAAATTATAGTTCTACGTAAAAAAGTAAACATTAACGTTAATTAAAATAACTTTAGATAGATTTCATATACCCCAGGGTGGTATGGATCAATTTTTATATATTTCCTTGGCTTAATATTTGAATGACTTGAATGCAGATGTTTCTGTTTTTATATCCTTGCCTTCCAGTGTAGCAGGGAAAGCCAGAAGATTAGTTTAAGTGGACTGTTGCGGGGGTGGAATCTATGACATTTCCTTTGAAGGGCCTCTTAATGGTGTATCTCAATGTTATATACTAAAGTTTGTTAGTCTTTAGGGCATCTTATCTGATAGGTAAATATTACTCTGTAATAATTCAATAGAGAAGTATGTATATAAACAGAACTGATTTTGTGTCATTTTTTGGCATGGCTATGTATACAAGGTATTATTTCCTAATAACATGAAACTGCTCTACAAGTTTCATTTTTAAATATCTGTTTGGATCACAAAGCTTAATTTCTATCCCTCCATAAACCATCTTTATGTCCATCCCCACTTTCATTATCTCCTTTCAGATACCACAGTTCTATAAACCTAAAAGCCAGAAACAAAGATGAAACACAGGTACCCACTCAATAGTCTGAGCACTTCTTAGGTGTAAGAAACTGCAACAGCAATTGTAGGGATCCAGATATTTATTGTATCTAAATTAAACATCTTAAATCATTTTCCATGAGAACCTATGAAAAAGAAGAGAATACGATATTTCCTGCAGGATCAATGTCTTGACACCCAACAGCTTCACTCTGAAATTTGGATGTGGGGGCTAGAGTGTGGATCTGGGTTGTAAGGATATTCAGGATCACTCGCTAAGGAGCACGAGAAAAATCAATACAAACACATGGCCCACTTGGTACGGTTGAAAAAAATCTCAATTTCCTCTCCTTGAAGTCACAGTCTGTGGATAGCAAGGGTACAGCCTCCAGTGTATTAAGCAAAGTATGTGTGAAATGAGATGTAAATGATCTGTTCCAAAGTCCAGAGCCTACTGAGATTGTGCAATGTAGTTTGGCATTCAGACTCATTAATTTCTGCCATCTCCAAGGTCTGCTTCCTTAATATAACTAAGAGGGCAGTTTGCCCAACTTTCTTCAAATGTTGTTTTAGGTTACCCATATCTCAACTAATTAAACAAGATATATAAACACACTATCAGACTACTTTATTTTTTTCCTTTCAATCCTTACTCTTCCTATGTATTCTATTGTTTTCCCTTTTTATTCAACAAGCTTTTATGAAGTGTCTTCAGTGTTCCAGTTATTATTCAGAGTGAACTCAAACATGAGGGAACAAAACATGAACATTTATGCCTTGCAGAGTTTACATTCCCATAATGAGTCAGAAATGGGTTTTGTTACTTGCTGTAATAAAACTCTGATGGTTTGAGGAGCATTCCCAGTAAATTTCAGGAATAAAGCCAAGATACACACCATCGCAGCCCTGTTCTGCACAATGATGAAGAGCTTCTCTATCAAAACAAAAGAAGAAAAAGTAACAAGAGACATGGAATAGAAATGAAGATACAAAATCTTCATGCTTCCCATTTAATAGGCCTATATACATGGAAAATCTCTGATAATCTAAAGGCAATCAAAGCTCATAAGATTACCTGATAATTATCATCAACTTGGTACAGAAATAAACAGCTTTCACTCATAGTAAGAAGACTCTAAATCCACCAAAAGATCCAATAAAAAAGCCATAAGGTAAGCAGAATTTTTTTTAGAGACAGAGAGAAAAGAAGGATCATTATAAAGAATTTCATAAAATATTATTGATGAATGGCTGTTGGTTTTTTTTATCTGGTACAGCATTTGATAGTGACTTAACTCATTTTGGGTCATGGACTTTAAATAAAACAAACATGATTTTTATGTAACCCATGGGTCATCATCCTAGAAATAAATGCACACACATAAAACACTGTGGTGTGTGAGAGTGTTTGCCTAACACATGAAGGCCACTTACCCTGAGCTAGGTAACCTTAAATGTGCCTTCAACTCAGAAATGATTGATTCTCCCATTATTATCACTTTAAGATCACATTGATAGGATATAATCAAAACCAAAATAATAAATGTTTAAATTAATGAGATCCTACAATTTTCAAGGCACTCTGCTAAGCACGTTATTTACATTATCACATTTAATGTTCACAACAAACCAATAGTGTAGTCACTATTATTATTCCCACTGTATAGATGAGGAAATGGAGGCTCATAGAGGTCAACTAATCCCATACTTCAATACGGTCAGGCGGCTCTTTGGATATACATCTTTTCATAGAACCAACTGATGTATCATATTTTGCTTTTTTCTAGAAAACTTAGTTTATATTTATATACACCTTAGTATAAATGTTTAATGCTTGCCTCCCCAATGATCCATAAACCCCAAGAATAGAGACCTTGATGAGTTTCATTCACCAATGTAACCCCCATTACCTGCACATGATATAGGACTTAATTATCACTCAATAAATACTGGCAGAATATATTAATGAGTAGGGAAAAGAATGAATGAATAATGAATAAACTGTGCAAAATTGTGTAGCTTTTGAGTAGAAAAGCCTGGATTTTTGTCCAGATTTGCATGCCTTCAGAGCCCCACATAATGTAAATGAAGTTATACAACAAATAAAAAGAATAAAAATATTTTAAAATAGAGTTGAACATCAAAAAAAAACTAACTAAATAATAGCATAAAGTCAAGGAAGTAGATGATACTCAAATGTACTTGAGAAAGGTAGTACTGGCTTTGAGCCCTCTACTGACGAAACTAAGAGAAGAATGATAAATTTCTTCTGCTTCCAAATTTGACTTCCTCCACCCCATAATGCCTCTCTTATCATAATTCCTTATTTTTGCTTGACTTATGACTTCAAAACACACGGTCTTCCTTTTATAGTCTCCATTTTAATAGAAATTTTTCAGAGACTTGGATGTTACAATGAAAAACACCAGTTTCTCCAGGGTTATATACTGGAAGGAATATGTAAACAGAGGAGCAGAAATTGATTTGGCTAAGCAGTTCTAATGGGGTTTAGGGAATTCTTTTCTCAGTGCTGAACCTTCATGACCTGGCAGAGTGCAGAGGACACATTCCTTGAGTTTTAACTTTGCTACCTTCAGGATAGTTAGAATGTTCAAAATTGGGCAGGTCTTAAAAGGCTGTATTTTACCACCTGGTAGGCTAGGAGGGCCTGGAGCCCTCATCACCTCCTTCTTGCTCACCTTGCTTCAGTTTCTGATAGCCAAACAGTTAATTCATTGATTTCCAAAGAAGCTGTTTAGACTGCTAATATGTGCTCAATCTCAAGCCAAAGAATAAGGTTGAGAGAGAATAAATGTGTACAGAATCAACCAATGATGCACTCATTCACTCTCCCTCAGGAAATGCAACATTTCAACTCTAGTTGAAATATTGTGGTGACACAATAGATTGGTGTCACAAAATATCTTATGAACAGAAAGCAAATTTTGGTCCTCTGAACTAAATATGATGCGCAGAGGATAACTTCTGTGTTTTCTTATTGTTCTAAATTAATCTCATTGCCTTAATAACACAGATATTCCAAAATGGAATGTTAAAACTACTTGAGGGCATGGCCAAACTAGGTCACTCAAACCATTTTATTCATTCATGAAAGACACACTCAAGACTTCTCTGAACAATTCTTTATTTCTCCTGAAATGTCACCAGCATTTTTTTTTCTAGCAACTAAATATGGACCTCCCATATTTCAAGCCAAGCCAAGCCATTCTACAACTGCCTATTGTTCCAGTGCTTTCAATAGTTTTGAAATATCATTTCGAAATGGAGTAGAACCAACAAAAACACATCCAAGTTACCTTGCTACAGGGTTATCTGTCAGAGGAAAATAAAGGTAGTAAGAAGGTTTGGAGAATTGGAGACCCAGGGTGATGATGAAGGGAAGGCGGCAGAGTTTGAGATGACCCTGAGGAAGCAGGTAAGGAAGAATAATCAGCTTCACCCTCTGTGGGAATACTGCACCCTGGGCAACTAAAAATACAGATGGCAAGAAGGAGCCAAGCAAGGATGTAGGACAACATCATATTCCTACAAACAGAAGGAACATATGTAAAACATGTTCCCAAAAGTGGTTGGTTTTATATTTAAAATATCCACTAAGGGTATATTTTTTCCCCTGAAAATTAACATACTTGCATTCTTTATAGATTTATAAAAACATTTGTCAATTTTACACCAAAAAGATAAGAAAAAATATATAGGGAAAACCAAACATTCTCATGATTTCATAATTTTTAAGAAATTAAAGAATACAGATTTTACTAATAAAGGTTTAGGAAGAAATGAGGTGTTATTGTTAGCATACTAAGGCTCAGGATATTTAGTTTGGTAAGTCTTAGGCAAGTCATTAAACATCTCTGATCTTTAGAGGTGGTTATGATGTCGCTTGTAAAATTCACAGAAGAGTCTGGGCATGGTGGCTCGCACCTGTAATCCTAGCACTTTGGGAGGCCTAGGCGGTTGAAGTGCCTGTGCTCAGGAGTTTGAGACCAGCATGGGCAAGCTGGGCAACCTGGGCAACATGGTGAAACCCAGTCTCTACTAAAATACAAAAAAAATTAGCTTGGCATGGCCGTAGGTGCCTATAGTTACAGCTACTTGGGAGACTAAGGCAGGAGAATTGCTTGAACCTGAGAGGCAGAGGTTGCAGTGAGCCAACATCACGCCACTGCACTCCAGCCCGAGCAACAGAGCGAGACTCCATCTTCAAAAAAAGTAAAAATAAAAATTAATAAAATGCCCAGAAGACGCCTGGCACTTAATATGTGTTATTTAAAGCTGACGTTATAAAGGTATTTTCTAGCCACTCAAGGAAATTTGATAATGGGCTGGATAGTGTTTCTGTTAGATGTGATAATGGCATTGCAGTCATGCATTGCATGACATTGTTGATTCTTGGAGAAGCTGACTGAAACATGTGAGGGAGAAAAAGTAGGATGTCTGGGATTCTCTTTCAAACGCTTAAAGAAAATTTTAAAAGATAGATGAATCAAATGTGGCAAAATCCTGATAAGTGTTGAAAGCAGGTATTGTAGACATGGGGGTCTTCATAATAAAAATCAGAAGTTTAGATATTAATGTATATATTTTAAGATTTTATTATATTAATATCTAATGTTAGTTAATACAATATTATCCAAACACACAACTGGTTTTTAAAAGTCTCTAAAATATAACCTCTCTTGTCACAAAAAGTATTCTAACATAACATGAATTTTCTCATGGCATTTTGTATAAAGAGAAGTTCAAGAAGAGGCCGTCTTAGTAGTTGCTCCATCTGAATGACAGAGTAGTCCCTTAACTCCCAAGACTGTTGTAATACTTAGGACTTCTTTCTTTCAAGTGGTAGAAAATCTGACCCAGTTTAGCTTATGCAAGTAGAAAAATATTACTTCATATTAGTATACATATCTAGATGTCCAATTATTTTCAGGCTTGGTAGATTCTAGACACAAAATATCTTAAAACATCAGTGTTTCTTTATTTTTCATCTCTGCCTTTTTCTTTCAAATTTCAGACTCAGACCTCATGTGGTACCAAAATCAAGGTAGCCATTCCAGCCCCTACAACTTCTTCTTTGAGGACTAGAAGCTAAGAATATTTTTCTCTAGAAATCTAGGAGTGTATTGTCTCTTCCCGGGCTGTGCAGCCATCCCACACCGAGTCACCAAGAGGCTGTGTGGAGTGGCTTAGCTTTGAAGTCATATAATTTTGTCTAGAAATGAGATTAGAGTCAGCTCCAATAAAACTACATGAATTGGGATGGGGTCAGGGAGACTTCCTAGCGGGGGACAGATGTTGGTGACTACATTCTGGGAAATGAAAGGCACAGAAGTTCCATGTGACTGAGAACCACCGTGTCAGCTTCCACAGATACATGGAAAGATCAGGGATCTTTTTGCAAAGGCTTTTTAGCACTGATTAGTTAACTAAGTGGTAACCTCCAATAACTTTAAGACTAAATACATGATTTTTATGTTCTATGAACACTAGTATTCAGTATTTTGAACTCATATAATTTCCCATTATGTAAATATTTTTATGTTCTTTCCAAGTTGCTGCTTGAAGAATTGGTGTCTTTTACTAATAGATTTAGTTCATGTCTTGCAGGGACTAGAAGCCCAACAATCCCTGCAGGAGACAGCACAAAGATATCAACATCTGAGGTCACCTTAATGGTTTTTCAACCTTAACACATTATGATTTTAATGTTTCTTTCTAACACTCCACAGGGTGCTTTGTGAATATCAGTTTCTTATTTCTCTCCCCTTTCTTCTTCCTTCCCACCTCCATCACCACCACTCTCATCACTGATATCCCGTAAGCACCCACTATTGATTCCAGACGCTGTCTTAAGCAGTTTAGAAGAACAATGCTCTCACTTAATTCTAACATTTTACAAAAGAGAAGATTCAGTTTCAGATAAACAAAATAGTGTGCCCACACTTACAGAGTAGCATGTTGACAAGTCTCAGAGTTACCCTTAGTTCAGGCAAGTGTCACACAGGCTGTGCTCAACACCCCTGTGGTCACACTTCCACTCTACACATTTGACTTGAATTTATGGTGGAAAAAAAATATTAGGAACCCAGCCAATAAATCTCAATATGTTCTCCCCTCCTGACCATGCAGATTGAACAGTATTACATTTAGGTCAGTGAAATCTGTGCAATGAGTTTGCCAAAGAAAAATAAGTAGTTAGTGCATCTGACATCTTCATGTTTTTCAATAATTGATTTTTTTCTTACTTTCTTCTAAAGTGTATTTGGGTCTACTTTGTCTCCAGCAGTGGTTCTCAACTGAAAGTGATTTCGTCCCCCAGGGGACGTTTGGCATTGTCTAGTGACATTTTTGGTTGTCACAAATGGGGAGGTGGTACTACTGTAGATGCACTGGTAGGCAGAGGCATGGGATGCTGCCAAATATCCCATATTGTACAGAAAAACCCTCTTTGTCCCCTTACCCAGCAAAGAATTCTCCCGCTCCTAATGGCAGTAGTTCTGCCTCAGAACAGAGGTCAGCAATTTTCTTTTCTGTAAAGAGCCACATAGTAAATATTTTAGGCATTACAAGCCACACGGTCTCTTGTACAATATTGTAGGGCAAAAGTAGCCATAAGCAATACATAAGCAAAAGAGCATGGTTCAATAAAACTTATTGACATACACATGCATTCAGGGCAGCGGGTCACATGCATCCTGAGAGCTGCACATTGCAAAATTCTGGTCTAGAGTGCCCCTGAAGCTGCTTAACCTCAACCCACAGATTGTTGAAGGCTCCATATATGTGTTCTCAGGAAGACTTATATTTTGTGGTAAATAACCAGGTAGTCTCTACGGAGCAGGTCTCCTAGCTTGTTCCTCACCTGTTTTCCTTAAGGAACTCAAAGGTATTTTGCATAGGTGTGGGGTAGGTGCATAGCATTCACGAGGAGAACAGCTCGGTGTGAGGATTATAGCATCTATAAGAGTGGACAGTCAGCAGAGTACTTGCAGCCACAGAGCAGAAACTAGCAAGTGAGAATACAGAGAGGAGAGGCAACATCCAGTTTGAAATGAAGATGTCTGGCCCACATGGTGAGAAACATGCAGTCAGCGAGAACCATGGGTGTAAGAACACTGCTTGTCATAAAGTTGGTCAGCATGATGCAGACACTAAGTCAGCAGAAAAATTTAATTAAAACATCGCCACTTTATATCTCGGGAGTACTTTGCCATTTTGAAAATGCTTTCACCTACATGATTTCATGGTATACCTGGGACAATATCATCTACTCAATAAGGCTCTCTGAGCTGTAACTCATAGTCACTTGGGTTATAAAGCAAGTGAAATATATGCTTTCCTCTCAGGGAGATGTTGGTCTAGTAGGGAACGCAGATATAAGGAAGAAGAAAAGCCCAACATCAGCATGTGTTCAGTAAAAGAGCTGCACCTGGGAGAGGCTGGAGACTCACTCTGGTTTGGGAATTAGGCTAAAGGAAGTCATAGGCAAGGACATTTTTCTGAGGTTATTTTGCTTGAGTGAGTGCTAAAATAGAGGAGGATGAACCTAGAATTAGGGGCAAGGGTGTAGTTTTGCAGGGAGGGGCATATGAAGAATTAATCAATCCAGAGATTGGGGTTGGATGGAGGTGGAGCAAAAGAGAAAAGTGCAGGCACAGGAACAGCAAAGCCCATGGAGGTGAGAAAGAGCAGGGCATGGGCATGTGATAGGGGAATGACATGAAGTCTGGGGAAGCCCAAGAGTAAATTCAGAGAAGGAAACATATGTAAAGAAGGGGGCCGGGCACGGTGGCTCACGCCTGTAATCCCAGCACTTTGGGAGGCTGATGTGGGTGGATCACAAGGTCAGGAGTTCGAGACCAGCCTGGCCAATATGGTAAAACCCCATCTCTACTAAAAAATACAAAAATTAGCGGGGCATGGAAGCGCACGCCTGTAGTCCCAGCCACTCAGGAGGCTGAGGCAGGAGAATAGCTTGAACCTGGGAGGCAGAGGTTGCGGTGAGCCGAGATCATACTACTGCACTTTGGCCTGGGTGACCAGAGTGAGACTCCATCTCAAAAAAAAAAAAAAAAAAAAAGGGGATGTTTAAATGAGAGCCAGTTTATGGTTTGGCCTTGGTTACCATTCTGAGCAGTATGGACTTGATTGTTTAGTGATAGAGAATATGGAAATCACATTTCAAATTCAAGTCATGATGCACAGTTCATATTTGAGAAGAGTGAAGGCAAGGAGATCTGCTAGGAAGCTGATGTATCATCCACCTGAAAAATGAGGCAGTCACTGTGGGTGAAGAAAAGGAAATAAACTAAAGAAACACTTAGGAGGTCACAGTTTCAGAGTTTGGCAACATCCTAAAATAGGCAGGGCAGGAATTATAATCTCCATTTTACAAATGAGGTCACAAACTCAGAAAGCTGAAATCATTAGTTCACTATCTCACTTAAGGAAGCTTAGGTTTACTCCAAATTCTCTATGTCATGCTCATTAAAATAGCTCATACCGGCTGGGCATGGTGGCTCAAGCCTGTAATCCCAGCACTTTGGGAGGCCGAGGCAGGCGGATCACCTGAGGTTAGGAGTTCGAGACCACCCTGGCCAACATGGTGAAACCCTGTCTCTACTAAAAATACAAAAAAAAAAAAAAAAAATGGCCAGGTATGGTGGCGGGCACCTGTAATCCTAGCTACTTGGGAGACTGAGGCAGAAGAATCGCTTGAACCCTGGAGGCAGAGGTTGCAGTGAGCCGAGATCGCACCATTGCACTCCAGCCTGGGCAACAAGAATGAAACTCCATCTCAAAATAATAATAATAATAATGATAATAAATAGCTCACATCTGTAATCCCAGTGCTCTGGGAGGCTGAGGTGGGATGATTGCTAGAGGCCAGGAGTTCTAGACCAGCCTGGGCAACAAAGCGAGGTGTGGCCTCAATAAAAATATTAATATTAGCCAGGGATGGTACATGGGCCTGTAGATCTAGCTAGAGTAGAGACTGAGGTGGGAAAATCGCTTGAACAGCATAAAACATATATAATAAAAAATATATATGTACATATATATATGTTTAACTAATAGTCATAGAGTATCTATAAGTGCTGGACCTTGAGAAAGCCTGTTTCACTCATGTTATATCTTACTAATATTTCATGCAAGTAAGTTTTGTTACTTGGACTTTGTTTTGTGTGGAAACTGAGGCACAGAGACTTGTCTAACAAAGCTAAGATCCCAGCGATCATAATGGGAGAGGTTGGATTTCCACGACACTATGCTGCCTCTCCCATGGAACATGTCCTTGACATAATCACTATTCAGAGCTGCACTTCCCCAACATGGTAGCCACTAGTCACAGACGGTTATTTAAATCTAATTAAAATTAAGGTTAAATAAAAATGCAGTTCCTCTATCATACAAGCGACATTTCCAAGGTTTGATAGCTACACATGGCTGGTAGCTACCATATTGCCCAGCACAGATATTGACTATTCACCATCACAGAACGGTCTGTTGAACAGACTACTTCAGAATACTAAATCCCAGAGATGCTGGCCACATTCCAAAACTATCAAAGTAGAAACTTGGAGCAGAATTTTCTGTCACAAGCCCAGAACAATGGAGATCAGCTGTCATTTTATTTTCTTTCTCCTTATGCCTCAGTGGCTATTCCAGACCCATTTGTGGATACAAAAGTTCCACCTTAAAACAAGGAGAAAGAATGGGAGAAATAAGTAAGGGCTTACTTTTCCTCATGGAGGACTGGCTTCTTGGTGCTGCGTTTATTAATGTAGTTTAATACAAACTGGAGATTAACTGGAGAAGACTGATAAAGAAGCTAGACCTAGCAGGCACCAGAAGGGGGATTAAAGCTTAGCCTAAACATCCACATAATCTGATTTATTTATATGTCCACATGTAGAGAAATAAAATAAAATAAAATTAGCCAAGATTAAAATCATGTGGAATATCACAAATAAACTTGGGCTAACTAAATTAGGCAGTTCTAGAAAATCAGTGACCCAACTGTTGGGTACTGATTATAAAATAAACTTGTGATTCTAAAAGAAAAACTTAGTAAATAGGATTTAGGGAGCAGTGTATATCAGTGGTAACCAAGATAAGGTACCACAAATAATTAAGGTATTAAGCAGATAGTGGTAGCTTTCCTTTGAACTGTGTAACTTCATACTGAGTGTCCTTGAAAGAGAATAAAACAGTTTGAGTGCCTTCAAATTTTTCAATAAGTGGATCATAATTCCACATTTCAAAAAGATTTCAAATATGCTGTTCTAATTATGCTTTCTAAATGGCAACTTGAACTATGCTGGCTTAGTGGTATATTACATGAGGTTTCTCGTTTTTCAAGAAAAAATAAAGAGAGAAAATATACTGCTTTCCACTACCAAAGATAAGATTCTTGTAAAAGACCAATTAAAAAAAAAGCTTTCTGCTTTTTTCTTTCCTTACCCCCTTTCTCTTCCTTGACACACCCCTGTCACATACACCACATATAAAATTTGATGTTGTTCAAATTCCTGTGATAAGATATAACATGGCTTAAAATAAAATGATGAATTGTTCATTGTCCTTGACAAAGATGACAAGTATCGATCTGATACCTGTTTGGTGCTAAAGTACAAAATTCTAAAACACCTGCTACTTTTAGGGATCTTTTATTCTGAGTCCTCCTGCAACAGACTATAAATAAGATCAGAGGTTGAAATATCACAGTGTCTAAACTGTGGTCAAAGTGAATGGCGTACAATTAAGGCCTACAAAGTTGTCTGTACATCTGTAGACCCAAGAGTAATTGGGAGAATATTTTATGCATACAGACTGCCCTCTACAATTCTGGTTCTAAAATCCAGCATGTCTTAAGTGTTCTTCACTTAAGACTTCACACCTGAGTTTTCCAGTGTTTGCTCAGTGTTATAAGATTGTACACAACTGAGGACACAAAATGGATACTGCCAACACCTAGCACTGCCTGCCACAATTAAGGGTTCCAGAAAATACACACAAACGTCTTTACGTGATTGTTTTGCTAACATCTAAAACTCAACAAATCTCAATGTGAATGCCATCTTCTGCCACAAACCGTTCCTCCTTCCCTAGTTATTTCTTAACTAGTTGGCAGGAGCTCCTTCCCACAGTGCCCAGACTTCCACCCACCTCTCCCGCCCTACTTCCATAACTTAGAATGTAGCAATAGTTGAGGCCCTCATCTGTAGGTACAGAATGTCTGACTGGACCTCTCTCCTATCAGGCCCTGCTGTCTCTGCACATGGCTCCTCCTCCAGCAAACTTAATCCATCTCTCTCCCTTTGAGCATCTTTTACTGCTTTAAGATTATCTCCAACTGTATCTTTAGGGTCCCCTGTTCCGGAACACTGGTCTACACCCACCACGCCCACCCACTCACTGACTCACACCTCTGTTCATTCTGTTTGCTGTGCCTGTTAGAAAAGTATTCCCTTTTTACAGTTGGATTCTTCTTTCAAATCATTAGAGGAAAGAAAGGGATTAAACTCATGGGCTGTTCAAGTCACAAACCTGAGTGCAAATCCCAGCTCTACTACTTAATGCATATGTCCATAGAGGAGGAGAAAGGGGGTGTCAGAGAGACAGAAACAGAAAAGAGACTGAGCAAAGTGCTTATTCACAGAACGTACATCATTGTGCATTGCTCAGAATTAAATTACTTTATACTTGCAGAAAGCACTCAGTATTGGCCCTAGCACATTATAAACAATCAAGAATTATTAGCTATAACTATTAATAACATCTAGATTAACCAACCTCCATTTTGTTGCCTTTTTTCATCCTCATGCTTCTTTTATCCTAAGTTTTGTAAACCATCTATTACAATTATTATCTATTTTGGTTATAAATTAATTATGCCTAAGTCTCTCACCAAGCTATAAGGTATTTGAGAGGTGAAATATTTTACTTTTTACGTCTCCTAGGTTAGTGCTTTCTAAGTGTAGTCTGTCTGCAAACTGCCTGCTACAGTTGTCCATGGCCAGCTAACTTCAGAATTTGAGCCAGTTTTCAGAAGCTTCCATAGCAATCTGCCACGGCTACAACACTTTTCTTCTACGTCACTCTATTGTGGTCTGCAATCTATGTTTTTTTAAAATGGTCCTTTACTACAGAATTTGAGTTACACTGTCTTAGAATATATAGCCTGGGCAGTGACCTACAGTAGATTCCACTGAACATTCAATAGTCTCTGTACAAAGAAAAAATACTGAAAATAGTGTTTTACTGGGAACTTTTGCACTTGTTCAAGTTAGCAACATATACAGATAACCAACAAATCAGGCTCCTAAAATCAAATTCAAGACTTGAGGAAATGTAAGCATAGATTAATTTACTGAATCCTGAATTTCAGAAACTTTTAAGTAGTTCTAAATCATCTTCTACCACAGTTCAGGCACATTACCACACTGCTGCCTGAGGAATGGAAGAGGAAACATGAATTCTGATTTTTAATTTATCTTGCACCAAACATATTAAAGTACCAACCCTGACACTGATGTACACGATTTCTTCTATGAGGGAGGGTGAGGTCTGAAGGCAGGGAAGGAGGGGAGTCGTTTCTAGTCATATTTTTTAGACATTATTCTTTTTGTCCTTCAGTTTCTGGATATTTCTGGAGACATCTTTATCCATTTCCTTTTGTATTAGTCCATTTTCATGCTGCTGATAAAGATATACCTGAACCTTCATGAGTAATTTATAAAGAAAAAGAGGTTTAATGGACTCACAGTTCCGCATGGCTGTGGAGGACTCACAATCATGGCAGAAAGTGAAAGGCACATCTTACATGACAGCAGACAAGAGAGAATGACAGCCAAGTCACTCACACAACATGTGGGAATTATGGGAACTACAATTCAAGATGAGATTTGGGTGAAGACACTACGAAATCATATCGACTTTTCTCCAATCTGGATCCATATCATCCAAGCCTGTGGGGTACATGGATAAGAGAAAAGGGTCTAAGGAGGAATCACATCAACACTTAATACTGATGGGCATTGGGGATCTTATGAAAAGACTTTTAATTTACTAGTTTGTAGTAAAAAAAATTCTCAGTATCATTTATTTAAGTCTTGGCTTCAGATACCCAAAAAAACCTTTTAGTATTCTGAGAAAGCTAATTGAAAATTTTTATTTTTAACCCTGGAAAGCAAGTGCTTTTGACAGGATTCATTTCATATATTATGAAGTTACCCAATGGCCTGGGTGAGGCAAAGTGGCTGGAATCAACACTTGCCTTGCTGTTATTTTTTCCCAGAGAGATTTCCCATGAGGGATGCTTGCATCTTCTTAGCTATTTCTGTTACCTGTGGGATCCTCGACTAGATCGGAATAGAAGAAAAATAATAGAAAAATACTGTAAACCAGAATACGGTTATGCTATTCAAAAGAATCTTATTTTGCCACATTTCTCCAAGTGATCCACATGGATTCTGGGATTTCATGCATTTAACAATTATTAACTGAATACCTGTTCTGTGTCAGGGAGTATGATCAGTATTAGTAATAGAATGATGAATGAAACATATTTACTGCCTTCAAAAACTTCAGACTTTAGTTGGAAAAAGAACAAAATAAATTGACAATGACTCTTCTTGGAGAACAGTCTTACAAGAAAAAATTATGAAAACTCATATGACAATAATTGCTTATTGCTCTCTACCATCCATTCCCCTTCTTTCATAATAGAACTCCAAAGTTTTAGCTACAGACATGTCTAACCAGCTAAAAGTTACAGTTCTCAGCTTCCCTTGCAACTGATTGTGTCCATTTGGCAAAGTTATAGCCAAAGGAACATGAAGAGAAGTGAGACTCATCTTTCTGGGAAAAAAAAAAAAAATGAATGTGTGCCCTCACCTCCCTGGCCTAGGCCTCTGTTCTCCCTCCTCCTGACTCAGCATGAGACCTGCCTAGATATGGAAGACACGTGGTGACAACATCAGAGTCATCTCTTTAGGATCGCTTGAGGCCATGAGTTCAAGAACAGCTTGGAAAACATAATGAGATCGTGTCTGTATGAAAAATTTAAAAAGTTGTTTGTGTAGTAGCATGCACCTGTAGTTCTGGCTACTCCGGAGGCTGTGTCAGGAGGATCACTTGAGCCCAGGAGTTCAAAGCTGTAGTGAACTATGATCGTGCCACCATACTCCAGGGTGACAGAGAAAGACCCTGCCTCTTAAAAAAGATAAAGAAAGATTTCTCAGGTTGTGATGTGCCATAGAAAGGGAGAACAGTGTGACAGCAACAACAACTGAAGAATTAAAGGTGACTGGAATTGAATAAAATTTTTGAAAAGTAATGGGATCAAATAGGTGGATTTAGAGTGTGCATGAAAAACACTGATTTTAACCATCACTCATTTTTAAAAATTCAACATGTTTGTAACAGGCCACTATTATGTGCTAAGCGCTAAATTTGATGTTAGAGATACGATGGGAATCAAGAACAGATGTAGTCCCTGATGGTATAGGCTAGGAGATTAAGGGACTACTATACCAAGAACAGTTCAGCCCTCTGTGCTGTCCATCTGATCTTCACCACAACCAAACAGTAGTGTTCACTAGGAGACTAAGGCTCAGATAATTTTAAGTAAATTGATCTAAATCTGGCTTATCTGCTGTTAAAACTCATGCTCTCTCAACTAAATCATGCAGCTCCCTAAGGAATACCATAAAACAAATAAAACACACACTTCCTATTTTCAACAGTGAATGCTAAAGCAATCCCAAGGCATGAATTACATTTTCAATAGAAAAAAATGAATTATATAAAGTAAATTATCCATTACCATCAATGAAATTATGTGAGTCTCATTTTACCTATCGCCTAAGGCATAATCTCTAAGAATTTTACTACTGAAAAACACTTATAATAAAAAATAAACTTGACATTTAAATAGTGTTTAAAGAAAAAAATGGCTCATTTTGTGATGTGGTGAGGAAAGATAATAATATATCATTCCAGTTTTTAAAATTGCCTTCATTTTTTAATTAGTGGCACAATTATTAGTTCTAGCTTGATGATCTCACCTCTGTAACCCAGGAAACAAGTTCCAGAAATGCCTTTGTAGTCTTTGTAAACCAATCTCCCGGGCAGATAAGAAGTCCACACAGCTTAAATATTTTCCTAAGGTGTGATGGTCTTATACTTTATATGCATCTCTTACACTTGTTCTATGTCCTCTAAATAGACATTATTTCTTGGATTCTTCTCATAAGACTTCTTAGAATTTTTTCTTAAGGATTTGTATCATTGTATTTTTCATTGTCTGTGTAGTTGTTGTTGTTGTTGATTTTTTCTTTTTTTTTTTTTTTGAGGATTAATGTTTCTTTTCCCTTAATAGTCAGGTTTGGGGAATACTTATGGCAAAGGGAAGAATGTGGAATGTAAGGTTTCAGATGAATGCTTGGATCAGCTGTCCACAGGACCCCGTCTAGATGGTTGACAGCAAGATCACAAGGGAATTTTATTCTCTGGACTCTTTTCAGAACATTTTTCAATGGTCAGTACTAGTTTTTCCTTTTTTTTTCTCCTTCTCTCCTAGAACTACCATTCCACACTACACTGTTAAAACATATGAGTTTCTTAATAAGATATTGGAAGAATTATTTTTTGGAGGGTCAGATATTATTATTATGCAGGGCCCTCAACCCTCCCATGTTTATTCTCCTACAGCAGTTCAACTTGGTATAAAGAAAATAAGAGGAAAAGGGAAATAACAAATAATATTCATATTTTACCAAATATCCAAACATGTCCTTTCTAGTATCTTGTCAATAATTCTAACTATATTTTGTTTATTAAGGGAGTTGGAATATAAGAAATATTGCTTCTTGTTGGATTTATTTAGGTTTTAGACCATTACCATTCTTACAAACAAAATACCCTCCAACAAAAAGAATTCAATGATATTAAAATCCATTGTCAAGATAAACTAAAGGCAAAAAAAAATCACTGGAAATATAGCAATGGTGTCGTACATACAGAATAAGCAAGCTGAGAAAAAAGTGGGAAGGGGAAAAAAGGCACTACATTTTATTCTTGATCCTTCTCTAACAAAATTTTAGATGATTTTAGGATTCCCATCTAGAAAGAATATGGAACCCATACATCAATATTTCTGAAGTAAAGAAATAAATGATGTAAAAATTGACAAACCAACTCTAAGAAAACCTTAACTAGCACAACTTCAGAGAAGACCAGTAACCCATTGAGAACATAACTTTATTATATTCCTACAAGAATCCTTAGGGTAATTAATAGTCAGAGTATAGACAAAAGTACTTCCAAGATAATTTTAAGATTCATTAAATAATTCATTAAAAAGTATAACCATGACCAAGAATTATAATTTATCTCTACCAGTTCCTATTAAAACTTTATTTCTTATTAAATAGAAGTTTCAATGGCCCATGCCTTTTCATAATATATTACTTTTATAAGAAAAACTGATAAGAGAGTAGAGTGATAATTAATATACAGAAATCCTAGTTGCTGTGATTCAGAATTCATACAGCCAGCTCTCACATAGTTTTCTCAATCTCTTCTTTCTTTTAATATAGTGAGATATTGCAAATGGTATATAAGTGACACTGTAGGAACTTTCAATACCAGAGAAAGATTCAGGGTATTAAATTCAGGGTATGCACTTACAGAAAAATAAAGACAATCATTTAAATAATTTCTAACCATATTAAGTACTAGAAATTAATAAGAAAATACCAATTTCCAATTTATTTCTTAAATCTTAATTAAAGGTATTAATATACTTCACTCAAAAAGTATAAAGACATTGAGAGGACCTCTGCTTCTATTTGCAGCAAAATGGTGGACTGAGGAAATGCAAACTTTCCAATGATTATAATTTTAAAAACCTGGAAAGTGTCGATGACAAAAAATTCAACATTCTTTAAATACATACATAATCTTGAGAGAGTAAATGGAAAGTGTCAAGGTGTTAAAAATAAAGAGGAAAATTAAAGACAGGCTTGTAATTCTGCAGAGGACAGAAAAGAGTTACAGAAGATAGTAGAATCCAGATCTAGGCTATTACACATGAGGGTTGGCTGTTAAAGTCCTTTTGGGGATGGAAGGTATGATTTTAGATCTACAGGAAGTAAGGAGATCTCTGCATAAAGTTAGGACTCAGGAAAGGTAGCTCCCTCCATTCCAATGAAACAAAACAATTTGATCTCACAGTCCACAAAAGTAGGAATGGAAAAATGGACCATACATGGTTTTATAGTCTAAATGCACTTTATTAGTATAGTATGGGATTGTCACACTGAAAATTTAACATAAAGCTGGCCCCAGAATGTTGAAACTTCCAGTCTCTTGGAAAATTAAATATTAATCTGCTTTGTAGCCACAATTCCACAGAGAAGGGCATCCAGATCCTTTAGAGAAAGAGCTACCTCCTCCAAAGAGAAGTTTGCAAGCCAAATTATAAACCGCAAGTGTGAAAGAAGCTATAAAATATTGTGAAAGAGGCTATAAATTACTGAACTAAAATGATTAAAGAGATAAAGTATAAATTATATATACCCATATATATGTGTATATATATGTGTGTGTGTGTGCGTGTGTGTATATATATATATATATACACACACGCACACACACATGCATATTAAATCAGACTACTGTATGGACCATGAAAGACAGATTTTTATAAAGTTGATTATTGAAATGACAAATATAGGAAATAAAGTTTATTTGAATGAAGGAATCTATTAAAAAGAATTAAAAATCAGATTGGATATACGTAAAGAGATAATCAGTGAACTGGAAGACCATTTGAGAACACTTCATAGAATTTAGCACAAAGTGGTAAACAGAAGAGAAAATCAAAGTTATGTAACTAGGCATGGAGATGGAGAGACTGTGAGGACTTCCTGAAGAACAGATGAGAGAGAAGAGTGTGAGTTAACATTCAAAGATAACATAGCTGAGCCTTACTCTTAAATTTATACAATATGTCAATTTCAATATCAGCTATGTGTCTTTCTTATAGAGAAATCACAAAGAACAAAAGGGGAAGAGGGAGTGCCTTAAACAATCAGAAAGAAGAGCAAGTTACTCTAAAATAAATCTTTAAAAAATTCGTTTGGCAGCAAATCAAGTATTGGCAACAGAAAAACCAGAAAACTGTGGGAAAGTATCCTGAAAGGTATTGAGAGGCAAATACTGTCATCTGTTAACACTGATTTGTATGTCTAACTTAACTGTCAATCAAGAATAAGGGCAATTTTAGACAAAAGTTGCCACCTATGTATCCTTATTGAAATTAATGCTAAAAGCTTTACTTCAGGAGAAAAGAGAGCGAACCAGGTAAGTGAGTAGGATGCAAAAAGGAATGATGAGCAAGGAAATTTATTATCATGTGGGTTAATCTAAATTAACATAGCTATAAACACTAACCACAATTAGGACAAATAGTAAGCGATTTATAAGCACTTGCATTAAAAATAAGGAGAAAAAACTGTGAAATTTGGAACTCAGTGAGCAGGATTACAGCATTCCACAAAATCTGGTATTCTCCAAGATAAGAATAACACCAAACAACTTTTAATTTTTAAGTCAAACATGGATATTAAAATTTCAGAATTATCAGTATAAAAGAGGAAATAAAATGTATATTTCCTGGTAGAAGAAAAGGAATAAAAACAAAAAGTCAGTCTGATAGGAGGAAAAATGAGTAAAAAGCTAAATGAAAATATTAAAATATAGAAAAAAAGCAAATTATATAAATAAATACAAATATGTCAATTTTTGCAACAAAGAGAACATAATAAAACTCACCACTAGAAGATCAGAGATTCTCAAATACATTTTTTAGACATCCAGATAGGCACTGCTTATAAGACACTCATCATAAACTTAAAAAACAAACAAACATATTTATAAATGCCTCAAACCAAAACTGTGAGAGCCTGTATATAAAACAAAATCAAATTTAAGACAAAAATTCTTAATGGGGTAAAGGAGTCATTGAAACATTAAGAAAGGGAAAACTCAGGAAGAAAGATACCAATTCTGAATGTGATATATATATACATCTAACAAGGAAATTCTTTTTCTCACAACTTGATAAAATTATATAGAGGAATAAAACAAAAAACAAACATAATCAAGGTAGAACATTTTAATACACCTTTCTTAAAAACATGTAGATTAAATAGAATTATATCTATTAAGGGTAAAGAAGTGGCACAGTTTACAGGATATACCCATAATATACATAGCACCCAACTCTTAACAGTTGGAGAATAAACTTTCTTTTTAATCAGAAATAGCTAATCCATCAACAGAAAAATTGACAAAGAATGTAAACAGTAAATTTGCAGAAGAGAAAATTAGAATAACAAACAAAGATGGAAACTGATCATGCAATGCAAACTAAAATGGTAATAATTTTACCCATCAGAATGGTAAAAATATAAAAATCTAATGATATCAAGGGTTGAAGATGTAGAATTCGAGGAGCTCTTGTTAACTGCCGGTGGAGTGAATCATTTGACAGGGTCAATTAAGTTGAAGATGCTCATATTGGTGAAGGTGCTCATATTGGATGAGACCCAGTAATTTCCCTTTTATGTGACTTACCCTGGAGAAATTGTCCCATGTATATACATAGATGTTCATCATCTTTATAAGTGTTAAAATGAAATATTGGGGAATACATTATTCTTCCATTAAGGGTATAAACTTGTATATAATCATAAGCAATAATTGAAACGAGTAAAATAAAATAAATGGTCAGGTTTCCTAAGGTCTACCATGATTTTGGTTATTAAATAGTGTTCGTTATACTGCATGACCTGCTCTTTTGGTAATGCTGATTCAAATGGTAAATAACATAGATTTTTCTCTAACTTTGTTTTGTCTTGATCTCTGGATTGACTATTGTCAGGTGACTTCTTGTGATCTCATGATCTTTTCAGTGGTTAATGCAGAACAAATCATCTTAAAGCAACATAGCAACCATGGCTTTTGTGATTCACATAGACTGTTATTTAAATACGACAAAAATTCTGAGTGATACATTTTATCACTATTTATACTTAATTTTTATATTTATATATTTTATTTCAAAATTATTTATCATTTATTATATTTTATTTATTTTAGAGACAGAGTCTTACTCTATAGCCCAGGTTGAAGTGCAGTGGTGTGATCATATAGCTCACTGCATCCTCAAATGTCTGGGCTCAAGAGATCATCCTGCCTCAGCCTTCTGAATAGCTGGGACTACAGGCATGTACCACCATGCCTGGGTAACTTTTTATTTTTATTTTCTTGCAGACATGAGGTCTTGCTATGTTGCCCAGACTCTGGCTTCAAGCAATCCTTCCACCCTGGCCTCGCAAATTGCTGGGATTACAGCTGTGAGCCATCATGCCCAGCTGCAATCCCTACTTTTAAGAACAGGAACTAAAACTTGGAATGAAGTGGCATAATATTACTCAAGTATCAGGCAGTAGGACTGATATCTGAATTAACACCTCTTCACGCTACACCACACATAAACTTGAAAGTATAAGTCTAAGGTTATTATGCTTATTACACACAGTTTCAAAAGAAGCACGCATAAGGTATGTTTTTAATGAATCGTACAGCTAAAGAGCAGTTGTTATAGATCAGTTACTGTGGATCTCACCAATACCTATCAAGTAGACCAGATGCATAAGCTAACACGTGAAAGGCAGTCCATGTAGGAATCATACTTAACTTAAAATAACTAGCTGTGGGGAAAAAAAAAGATTTTTCTAATGTATCTTTAAAAATTTACATCTCATATCAATATTACCTTTAAATTCTGCTGAGATATTGACCAAATAATAATTATTTTCAAGAATAGTCATTTTCTCTCGTTTTGAATTTTGACAAAAGTGTGTGTGTGTGTGTGTGTATTCTTTAAAACATGAATACAGTTTTAATGGTGGAAATCTGCTATGCTGTGTTTCAAAATGTTCACACTATCATTAGTTTCTCCTCTCTTACTGGAGTGCTGATGATGTAGCTCAACTTTCACTCATCCATGTTCCCATGTACATTAATTACGCTGTTACAAATGACTAAAAAAATGACTATTATAAAGCAGCATTTCAATCACAATGACATGACATAACTCTTCATTTCTGGTTTCCACTTTTCATTTCCCAGGTCACTATGAGGCACAATAGTACTGACAAGGCTGAGACTTAAGACTTGAATAACCCAGTTATTAAACATTAGTCCAAGATGTGCCTGATGAATCAACATGGATCAAAGCCTTCTTATCCTTTAGAATCGGCAGAAATTATCCCTAGAGAGCCTCCAGTTCTATGGTTCCCAATCTTGAATTAATTGTACATTTCTAAGACTGCACATAAGTAATAGCTATCTAACTCTTTTCTCCTTCCTTAAATAAAAGGATTTGAGGAGCAACTTGGGGCCAGGAATGCATCAGCAGCCAGAAGAAAATACCCATTAGTTCTTACATTCAAGAGCTGCTTCACTTTCTGTCTTTGTGGAGTTTTTCTCTCACTTCTGTGAGCCATATATTTTCTATATAATTCATTTTCTTAAATTAGCATGTACTGGTTTCTTTTGCTTTCAACCAAAGAATCCTGAATGATATAGTATTCCTGAAGTGGCTCCAACTTCCACAAACAGGATAAGGTAATCTACAGGGGGTCTTCGGAACCACAGGAAAACACAAGTAACAAATAAAACAGAAATGTGAGTCTTAGCAAGAACTGTTTAGGAAACTGGAAAAGCAAACAGTTATGCCATGTAAAAAGAACAGGAATGAAACTATGTGCAGAAAATAGGCAGTAGGCTCAAGAGGACACTAGTTTGCAATAAAATATGGTTAGGACATAAAGCAAAGATGTCCCTGAGTGACCTTGTGTCTAGACTTGCTTTGTTCTTTTTTGCAGGCTGGTGTTCAGAATTCGGGATAATGTAAATGCATAGGGTAGAGGTGACTACAGATAAAATTCTGAGAAGGTACTTTCCACGTTAAAAATAATCTAGTTAAAAAAAAGAAACACTTATTGTTTGTAAATCTAACATGGCTTTTTGGAATGTCAAATCTCTTCTTGGATCCAGAAGACAGACAATAAATCAACGAATAAGAAAAGAAACACAAACATAAATAACTGTTAACACTGGTTAGACAATGGCACTTGGAAGTCCTAATTAATCACTACAATAATTCAAAGGGACTTTCTTTTTAGGAGATAATTTTTGGAATTAGGCATCAGTTCAAGAGCCACAGATTAGGCAGAGAATTTCAGAACCCCTGAAAAAGCATGTCCAAGATGGGACTGTCATTAAACATGAATGCAGGAAAACCTGACCTTTCAAAACGTAAGATTTCATGGGACAGGAAAAAAAGAGAATAAAGGAAGAAAGGAAGAAAAGAAGATCAAACTTGTGGGGACTAATGATTTAGTTCAACTCAGTATGCTACGCTTGAACATTCTTTATCACATTTTGATGATTATTTGCCCATAATCAGGCTACATCATCTAGCCATGACATGTGTCCCAACAGGAAACCTTACAGATTGATAAAACCAGCCTGAAATACAGTCCAAACCTTGCTAATTTATGTGGAGAAATAGTTAAACAAACTTCACTTATTTGGCTAGAATATTATTGGTCACAGCTGGACTGTAATTCCTGAAGCTGATAAATGAATAATAAAGATATTGATGAGCACAATACTTGAAAAATATTTTCCATCTACAACCAAAAAATACCGTTTTATAGAACCTTGGGGATAATTTACATAATCTTAATTGTTATGGTAACCCCAATTATTTTTTATCTGATGCATTATAGTTCAAAAGGTAATTATTTGCCATGTTTCATTTCCTTAGAGAATACGTTTTTATGACTTTTTACTAATTTTAATTGTCTTCCTTCTTTAAAAGTCCAAATTAAAAAAGACTTTTTAAATCATAGATTTCAATTTTCTGCATATTTGCTGATACTCTATTTCCTAATAAAAATGGCTTGCGAATAAACAAATTTAGGTTTATTCAAAGACCCATTTAGTCATTATTCTCTCTCTACACACATTTTCTTTCACACACACACACACACACACACACACACACACACAGAGGGAAAAAAAAGGGGGGGAGAAAGAGATACCCTTATGCTTGCCAAATTGCAAATTTGATATTTCAGGATAAAAATGAGTTTTCCCTAAAATCAGAGTGAAATAATCATGGTAAAACATTTCTCTATCAATAGCAAACTTTTGCTGGTAACTTATGTCTCCTAAAAAGCTTAGTAACTAATAGTCTTTACTTATCCTGCTGACTAATTTGCTTCTCAGTAATTAGAAACCTCAAGAACAATCTGTTTGAGACCCAATTCCTAAAATGAAATGACCGATAATGAGAAAACAAGAATTGTCGGTGTAAGCACTTTGCTTAACATTAAGTTTATACTTTGCTCAATACAATTCCACAAACGTTTTCTGCACACCTATCATGTGCCATGTGCTATACTCATTTACAATAATACAGAGTAAACTTTAAAACACTGGATCACAAAAATGAAAGAGAACAGAAAAGTCTGTTCCTTAGATAGAGACATTTAAAGGGAATAGGATTGACCTGGCATGGTGGCTCAGCGCTTTGGGTAATCCCAACACTTTGGGAGTCCAAGGCAGGTGGATCACTTGAGGTCAGGAGTTCAAGACCAGCCTGGCCAACATGGTGAAACCCCATCTCTACTAAAAATACAAAATTTACCCAGGCATTCTGGCACACTCCTGTAATCCCAGATACTCGGGAGACTGAGGCAGGAGAATCGCTTGAACCCAGAAGACGGAGGTTGCAGTGAGCCGAAATTGTGCCACTGCACTCCAGCCATGGGCAACAGAGCAAGACTGTCTCAAAAAAAAAAAAAAAAAAAAGAGGAGGAGGGGTGAATAGGATTCAGTTACTTTTTGTGAGGTGCCTAATGAAAGGGAAAACCTGAGTATAAAACCACAACACACACACACACACACACACACACACACACACAAACACAAACACCCTACCAAATGGTAAAGGCAAAGAAGTTATTTTAAAATAAAATACATAGACCTAGACCTAAGGCAATTCCTTTCTTTTTTTCTTTTTTTTTTTTTTTTGAGATGGAATCTCACTCTATCACTCAGGCTGGAGTGCAGTGGCATGATCTCGGCTCACCACAACTTCCTGGTTCAAGTGATCCTCCTGTCTCAGCTTCCAGAGTAGCTGGGATTATAGGCTTGTGCCACCTCGCCCAGGTAAGTTTGGGTATTTTTAGTAGAGACAGGGTTTCACCATGTTGCCCAGGCTGGTCTCAAACCCCTGACCTCAATTCATCTGCCTGCCTCAGCTTCCCAAAGTGCTGGGATTATAGGCGTGAGCCACTGTGCCCGTCCAGGAAATTCTCTAAGTTTATAAAATACTTACACACTATAGTGAGAGACAGGGTCACAAAAAATAAATTATGAAAAGGGGCAGTCACCTATAAAAAATAATATGTATTCAAAAGAGAAGCTTATCCCAAAAGGCATTCAGTGGAATATTAATTCCACAGGAAGTTAAACAGTTTTATTTGCAAAAAAGAGATCCCAGTAACATAAAGTTTGGAAGCACTGGATTAAAGTTAAATTGGTTCACTTATTTCGGGACTTCTCAGAACCTTTATGAGATTAAAATATATTGTGAATTTTTCAGAAAAAAATGATAGAATACATTTTCCAAATATATTTGGCCATGGGATACTTTTAATGCAGGACATTTTAACATTAGGGTTCCATGAAATATTATTAGGAAATTCTGGTTCACATGACCGTTTAATTTTGTCAACTTTTATGAATGTTTGTTATTTGTCAAATGACTATGGTTGATGATCTCCTGGGACTCAGTCCACGCCTTGTTGTTTGCTGGACCTAATTAACTGGATTTTTGTAATTTAGTCTGCCCTTGGCTTTAGTCTGCCCTTTCTTGCCTTACCATAACTTGGACTCTACAATCATAATTTCCTACAAAATAAAGGTCTCTCATTCTTACTTCTGGGATCTTTATAGACTTGCTTCCTTCTTCCAGCCTCCACATAGCATCCCTACATTGCTAACCTAATTTTCAACTACCAACCCCTCAGGAAAGTTGTTTGTCATGTGTATTCTTAGAATGGGTTGGAGGAGGAATGGAGCAACGGAGGAAAAGAGGGGATGAGAGGGAAGTAGCAAAATATTATGTTGCTCTATATTCAAGGTCATAATGTCACATGCCTGCAGGGACCAGGCAGGTAACTGACATGAGTTAAGCTCATGAGTCTGAGTATTGGGCTATTGGATTGGAAGTGGGTTTTTTTTTCCATAGCTAAAAATAATTGCTTATTTATTACAGGCAATCTTCTTGGTCAGTCTTTCCATTTCCCACTTTTGATAAAGACATGAATACAGAGAAATGTTTTTTTGAAGAAAATTATAGTGGAAATAGAGAATGCAAAAGCTATGACACATGGTGACCTGTCAGCCTGAGCATCAGGGAGGTCATAAAGGACAGGGAATGTGATGAGCTGCAAGGGGCATGCCCTGGCTAAACAGGGTAATTCCTTCTGCAGGAAGCTATTCGGGTCTGTCACCAGCTAGAAAGGTGGCAGTGTAATAAAACATTCTGATTTTGTTTTAAAATAGCCCAGCTATTTAGATTTTACAGGGTATCTTTTACTTTTAAATATTGTCTCAATATTTTTATAACAACCTAGAGGAAAAAATATGTCTGTAGGAACTGCCAGTTTGAGACATCAGGTATGACTATTGAAGGGGGTAAGAGGGGAAATGAGTTCTATGGTGCTGGGTTGCTGGGTAGGCAGTACATTCTTGGAAAAGTGATTGTAATTAAGAGGTTCTGAATTATTGGGGAGAAACAAAACTGGCAAGAAGGGAGAGAGAGTGGTGTCATGGAGCCTTACAAGCTGCTTTTCCTTGTATATCCTTTAAGGTCACGAGCAAAAAAAATACTTTTTTGTTTTTTTTGAAGTAGTAAAATTGGATTTGTCTTGGAGTTTAGATTATACAAATGCTTATGCTAGAAAACAGAACCTTTATAGTCCTAGTTGCCATTTAATAATTTTTTTGTTATTTATGTTTGCTTCCTTGGACAGTGTATAAGTCAGGGTTCTCTAGAGGGATAGAAACAATATTATATATATGAAAATGAACATATATATTATACAATTTATATCAAATATATATTATATGATATATAAAATATGTCACATTTGAAGTATATTACATATAACTGTGTGTGTGTGTGTGTGTGTGTGTGTGTGTGTGTGTGTGTGTGATCAAAAAGGCAAAGTTCCATGATAGGCTGTCTACAAGCTGGAGGATGAGAGAAGCCAGTAGGGTGGTTTTGGGAAAGTCAGTAGCATAGCTAAATCGAAGTTCAAAAGCCTTAAAACCAGGAAAGCTGACAATAGAGCCTCTAGTGTGAGGCCAAAGGCCTGAGACCCCTCAAAAAGCTGCTGGTACAAATTCCAGATTCCAAAGGCCAAAGAACAACATCAAAGACTCTGATAACATGGATGGCTGGGGAAAGAAGCTGAGTGGTATCTAAAAAAGGGTCAGCCTATCTACTTGATTATTAAAATCTTCCTCTGCTGGCCGGGAGTGGTGGCTTATGCCTGTAATCCTAGCACTTTGGGAGGCTGAAGTGGGAAGATGGTTTTGAGCTCAGGAGTTTGAGACCAGGCTAGGCAACATAGTGAAACCTCATCTGTACTAAAAATGCAAAAATTAACCAGGCGTGGTGGCACATGCCTGTAATCCCAGATAGTTGGGAGGCTGAGGCAGGAGAATCGCTTGAATTTGGGAGGTAGAGGCTGCAGCGAGCCGAGATCACACCACTATACACCAGCCTGGGCGACAGAGTGAGACTCTGTCTCAAAAAAAATAAAAAAAAAAAAATCCTCCTCTGCTGATGTCACCTTTTGATGAACATTCATGTGGACGCAAATACCTTCACATCTTTTGCCCACTCAGAGAAGTCTATTCATATACTTCTCCCAATTTCCTTGTCACCAATTTGCCCATCATGCTCCTTCTAAGTCCCTGACCATCCAGCTAAAGCATTAGCTACAGTCCATAAATCAGTATAAAATCACATGTGTCTGATCATTTCTCCTGCTAAGAAAAGTGCACAACCAGGTGCACTGGCTGAAGTTCTGCCTATGGGGAAGACTTCCCTTCACCAACATCCTTAGGGGATGTCACAGAAAGGGGCTATAGTGCTGCAGCGTTGACTTCTGGGTGGCACCTGCTTATCATGCAGAACCATCCCAAGTAAACAAGAAACCGAGTCTTCCCTTTCTCTGTCAGCTGATCTAGGAACCTCCCCATGAAACCACAGGTGCAGACTGGGAGAGAGAAGACAACATAGCAGGAATAAGAACTGTGGGCATTTGGGCCACTTCTTCATGTAACTTGCTTGTGCCTTCAGAACCTGCTCAGGCCTGATCACAGATACACGACTTCCATTTGATGATGGAGTCCTGCTGTACACATCCAACTTCATGTCTGTCTTGGGTGGGTCAGATAACACTCAGCTCATAACAGACAGCTCAGGTTTTATGGTAACTTGTTGGCCCACAGTCATGCGTTCAGTAAAAGACTTAGTAGAGTGCCAAAAGCTGTCTCTCTAAAGGAGAGTAGTTATGTGCAAATGACGGCAGTTCTTTGCTACGAAATTATAACAGCATCTGCTGCGATTCACCTACAGAAGCCTTCCAAATGCTCCAAGCAGCACCTCTATCTGGCACTGACACTACAAGCACCATGGGGTCTGGTGAATCATATGGACCAAGGGGCAGAACAGTTTGCACAGGTGCCTGGACCTATTGCAGAGATTTTTCTGTTCTGGGCCCCACTACAAACTAGCAGCTTTTCAGGTCACTTAATAAATAGGCTTAAGTAACACCCTCAAAGAAGCAATGTGTCTCCTCCAAAATCCAAATAGTCGTACTAGGCATTGTGCCTCTTCCTTGTTTGTAGGAGGGGCCAGATACAACAACTTATTCTTCACTTTATAGGAAATATCTAGGCAGGCTCCACACACCTGGACTCCTAGAAATTTGAGTGAAGTAAAAAACCCCTGATTTTTAGCCTGATTTATTTACCACCTTCTCATAAGCAAATGTTTTACCAATTAAGTCCACAGTGGCTGCTACTTCTTACTCACTAGGTCCAGTCAGCATGTCATTAATGTAATAGACTGTTGAGATATCTTGCGGAAGGGAAAAGCAATCAAGATCCCCGCAAACTAGACTATGACAGAGAGCTGAAGAGTTGATATACCCCTGTGTAGGACAGTAAAAGCATATTGCTGGCCTTGCCAGTTTAAAGCAAACTTCTCCTGATGCGCCTTATAGGCAGATATGGAGCAAACGGCATTTGTTAAATCAATAGTTACATACCAGGTACCAGAAGATGTGTTAACTTTTTCAAGCAATAAAACCACATCTGGTACAGAAGCTGCAATTGGAGTCGCCATGTGGTAAGGCTTTGACAATTCACTGCCATTCTTCAGGATCCATCTGTCTTCTTCACAGACCAAATAGGAAAATAGAATGGGGATGTGGGAATCACCACCCCTACATCTGTCAAGTCCTTGATGGTGACACTAATCTCTACTCTCCCTCCAGGGATGCAATATTGTTTCTGTCTTACGATTTTCCTAAGCAGAAGCAGCTCTAATGGCTTCCATTTGGCCTTTTCCATTATAACATCCCTCACTGTTAGGTGACCAATGTGGGGATTTTGCCAGCAGCTAAGAACATCTATTCCACTCATGCATCTGAACCTGGGAAAATAACCATAGGGTGGATTTAGGGACCCATGGGCCCATTGTAAGTCAGATATGAGGTAACACTCCATTAATCACCTGAACCCCATAAGCTCTACACTAATTAGAGGGCCATACTAACTTTTCAGGTCTCCTGGAATCAGTGTCAGTTCAGATCCAGTGTCTGGTAGTCCCCAAATGTCTGGTTATTTCCTTTTCCCCAGTACACAGTTATCCTGGTAAAAGGCAAGGTTTCCCTTTGAGGAACGATGGCAGGAGGATTGACAGCACAACTTTTTAGTATTATACAAAGGACTTTTCTCAAGGGAAACTGGCTTCTCTTTTATTCCAGGGATTCTGGGTCTATAAGCTGACTCAACACTAAAAATTCTCTGTTTTTATGATTTCAATTAGACTTTTGTTCACTTGACCTGGAAGTTTTCTGTGTATACAGATCAAGAAATAATGTAATAGCCTTCCTATCTTTTTCACTTATAGAAACACCATGATTAATTAGCCAATGCCACAGGTCTACACAAGTCACACTATTCTGATTGTTGCTTTGCCTCTGCTGTCCATTATAGTAACTATGTACACCTTGCTTTTGGTGGTGGAGTGCCACCACTTGGTGCCTGTCACCCCAGGATCCAATTCTTCTCATCGCATATATGTTTTCCAATTGAGTGACTGTGGTTCCCACCGTAAGGTCTGGAATGCAGACAAGAGCAATCACAGGGCTCTTCGAGAATGTTTGTGCTCTCTATTCAAATCTATTTCTCAGTGGATTGGTGAAAGGTATGTTTTCTGGAGCCTCCTAGTATGGGTGGTTTTATGTTACAAATCAACACTGTAATTCCAATCTTCTTAAGCCCGTGAATCCCTTTCTCTACAGTAAACCAAGGGAGATCAGGCATCTCCAGCTCATTCATGGTGGGACATCTTTTGATCCATGTTTCTGCCAACCCACTAAATAAACTAAGTTTTTTAACTTCCCCGGCTGCAACACTGATCCAGAATCTCTGTTTAGTGGGCCCATATCAATACATTTAGCCTGATCCAACTTTTGTTCCTTCCACTATTATCCCACACCCTTAATATTCATTCCTACCATTCCCACACAGGTTACATGTTTCCTGGATTTCTACCTGTATAAATTAGAAAAATCAAGTAGTTCTATTCGAGTATAGTATACTTCCTCATGAGTCACTCTTGGTACCTTACCTTTAGGGACCTGCTGCGTCTTGAGTCTAGTTAGAGGTCTGGAAGCAAAAAAGGCTGGTGGAGGTGGCTCCAGGGGACAATCAGCAGTGTCTTGCCTAGTGACCGCCTCAGAGGCAACCACTACTGCACATACACAGCCCAAAAGCTGCTAAGTATGTGCTAAAGAAGACCTTCTCTCCTGTAGCCATAGGATGGAAATTTCTGAAAATCAGACACAAGTCCTTATCAAGCCATTGGCTGGCTTACAATGAAGTTGAACTCTCAGCCCTCCAGGGTGTCTACTGTTAACGTGAGGACATTGATTGAGAAAGAATGGGATCCTGTAAGTTAGGACAGGGACATGTTGGAGGACCCTGATAAAGCCAGGAATATTGGCTTCAGGCAACACAAAGTTAATCCCCTCAGAGGTGAAAAGACTGATATCATATGGGTGGAGGTGCTGCTGCCACTAGGGGTGGGGAAGTCACTTCCCCAGGCAAAAACGACTCATCAGAATTTAAGAGCTCAATATTTATGACTTCATCAAGGTCCTCACACACATCCGTATTCTCTTGCAAGAGTCCATTCTTTCCCAATCAATGTCCTCTCTTTAACAGTAGAAACGCTTTGGGGCTAAGAGTTCACCTTTCCTTATAATCAGCCAATTGCATGATGAGGACTTGTGTTTGATTTTCAGTAATTTCAACATATAGTTACAGGAGCAGAGACTCGTCTTCAGGGCATACTTAGAAACATTTAGGCTATGTATGTGCATCTGGAGCCTGGAGTTCAAATCCCAGAGCTTATCCTTTTATTTTATTACTTTGTCCAGTGATGCTAGAAGCAACCAACTGACTTCATTATATTCCTTGGTTTTCCACAAATGTTTAAAAATGCCATGTATAGAGTCACTGAACTCCTTGCTTCTTATAAGTAGTGATTAGGAATATCAAATGCATTTGTTCTGTGTATCTCTATAAAGAGTTCATAACATGAACTATCAGTGCTCTCAGTACTATAAAAAGTAGAACCTTTTATATGTTAGGTCTAATCAGATTATAAAATCAATTCCAGAAACCCCAAATATTAGTCAGGGTTCTCCAGACAGACAAAATAGAATATGAGTGTGTGTGTGTGTGTGTGTGTGTGTGTGTGTGTGTGTGTGTGGTGTGTGTGTGTGTGTGAGAGAGAGAGAGAATGAACGAATGACTGAATGAATATATTTATCAGGGGGAATTGGCTCACATAATCGCAAAAGCAAAGTCCCATGATAGGCCATTCACAAGCTACAGAATGAGAAGCCAGTAATGTGTCTCCCAGAGAAGCTGTTAATATAGCTCAGTCCAAGTTTGAAAGCCTCAAAACCAAGGAACTCAGCCCTCAGTCTGAGGCTGAAGACCTGAGAGCCCCTGGGAGTCTGCTGGTGGAACTCTCAGAGTCCAAAGGCCAAAAAGCAACATGAAAGAGACTGATGTCTAAGGGAAGAAGGAGGAAAAAAAAAGGTATTCTGCTCCTGAAGAGAGAGCAGTAGTGCAAAACAGAAAGCCAAGCAAGCTGAATGCCCCACTTCTTCTGCCTGCTTTGTTCTAGCCATATCCACAGCCCATAGGATGGTATCCACTCATACTGAGGTCATGTCTTCCTTTCTTGGTCCACTCATTCATAAGTCAATCTCCTCTGGAGATACCCTCACAGACATACCCAGAAGCAATGCTGCATGCAACCTTCAATCCAGTCAAGTTGATACCTAAAATTAACCATCACAGACAATGTGACTTACAGCTTTTATAGGGCTGCAAGCATATGAAGATGATAGTTTTACAATGATGAAGGAGGGTTGGGTCAGTTTATAAGTCAGTTGTTTTTTTTTTTTTTTTTTTTTTTTCGCCTGTGGGAATAAGGCAACTGAGTGAATATTGGGAGAAAACAGCCTGAAAGTGGAGAGAGGGCAGCATGTAGCCCCTGCTATGTTTGTGTTCTCTGGGACACAAGATGCATGTCTTCCATCTACTCTGATATCCTTTGGCAATTATAGGGCACATCACTTTTGTCTGATGGGAACAAAGAACCTGTTTGCATTAAGAACTTCTTTCTATGAGAGAAGACAAATATCATTGGCTTCAGAGTGAGACCTGACTGGATCCTTTACTGGCAAAGCACTTTGGGAAACTCACTGTTTTAGGGTTTTAGCAACCTCGACAAATGCCCTTCTCACAGAAGTTTTGATATAAGAATAAACAAGTTTCAATGATGAAAGGAGATTTACTCTGATCTTCTACAGACCTCAGAGATCACCCCTCTGGTTGTATCATTTGGTCATATTGTCTTGCACTCTTATGCCTCATAACAGAGAAAGCTTGCTTATGATTTAATCCTCATGAAACTGTCCATGTGACAGGACGTTCTCTGGTTTACTTTGTTTGGAATATCAGAGCACCATCGGAGAAGACTCTAACCCAAAACAACCTCAATGGTAGTTTGCAGTATTACCAAGTTTCACTAAAAGGAGGAGAAAAAAAGATCCAAAGTAATATATAGTTATGGATTATCCTTGGTGGTATGACCTAAATTTTATAAGTATTAGTGCATTAGTCTATTCTCACACTGCTATAAAGAAATGCCTGAGAATGGGAAATTTATAAAGAAAAGAGGTTTAATTGGCTCACAGTTTTGCAGGCTATACAGGAAGCATAGTGGCTTCTGCTTCTGGGGAGGACTCAGGAAACTTGCAATCATGGAGGAAGGCAAAGGGGAAGCAGGCATGTTTTACATGGCCAGACCAGGAGGAAGAGAAGTGGGAGGTACCACGTATTATTAAACAACCAAATCAAGAACTCACTATCACTATGATAGCACCAAGAAGGATGGTGTTAAATCATGAGAAACCACCATCATGATCCAATCACCTCCCACCAGGCCCCACCTCCAATATTAGGCATTACAATTGATCATGAAATTTGGGTGGGGACACAGATCCAAACCATATCAATTAACAAGCTCAAAAACTTTTTCTCAGTAATTTTAGAAAACAATGCAGTATATGGTCATATATGTGGAGAAGCACCCTAAATACTTAAAGGATGAAGTAAAACTTGAAACAATACAAAACAACATTGTCCTTATGTTTTGTGATTAGGTACTTACGCAAGGGTCAATAATCCCAGCAATGACCTGCTACACGGATCAAGTGAGGCCTGTATTTCCAACAACACAGGTGGAAGTCAAGAAAATATGCTCTGGAAAACTACAAGATGATTCAAAAGCGGTGCTAGAGAAAAACAAAGGAATTGGGCTTAAAGATGCCTATCAAGCATTTGAATATAATTGCTTCATGAAAAGAAAAAAAAGAGGAGGAATCTAACCTAATATATGAATCCATATATAGTAAATACATATATGGAATAATTAGTAGTTTAAACTTCATGAATAGATATTTAATCATTTCATCTATACCCTTGACAATTACATATGCAATTGCTCAAATATAAACTTGTTTGAATCTTGTTATTGGTAAAAGGGAAGATTGCTTTATATCATGTAATAAATAATACACCTCGTTCCAGAATGATTTGGCCAGCCCGGTACTATCTAAAGTTCCCCAGGGGCTGCGCCCAGTCATGGTAATGAACATAACTTATTCAATTTTACACGACTAGGACACCCAGGGATGTTGCCCTTTATCTACTTCGACACCACAAGTTAAAATATATTCTCTTCCATCTATGAGTATCTTTGAGACTGAGTACCTACGAATTTCAGGGAAAAATACATGTGGAGAAGACAAATTCCAAATCAGAAATATTCATACTGTGCTTGAGGAACAGCTAGCCATTATATCCTGAGTTCTGCATGACAAGCCCATCAGCTGGGCCACTTTATGCTAATAGAAAATAAGCTGACATGTTACAGCAACCTGAAATGGAAAGTTTGCAGTGGCCAGTCTCTTAATGAATAGAGAAAGAAATTTATGTCAAGCTGTAAGTAAGTAAAATGAAGAGGAAAATCAAACTACAACGAGGAGGGAAAAGGAGTAAAAATGTTCATTGTGACGAGCTAAGCTGACAGAAGCACAGAAATCGACTGTAAGAGCCTGTCAGACTGCATGCTAAAGAAGTTTATGAAAACTAGGGAGGGAAGACAGTTTAAGAAAACAATGCTCTCATTTGTGTATCTATATATTATTGAAAGGAGGACCACAGGGACCACGTTTTATAACCCCTCCGTTGCATGAAGGCATGGCCCATCTAATTAGTATTCATCAATAAATTATGAATGAAAATGATGTACATCCCTCTTGATCAATGCTTAAAGAATTACATGTATGTTATTCATGTTCTCTTTGAATTTCCATAGGCTGGATATAGGGAACTAGGAGGCCACAGCATAGCAACTCTTAAACTTTAGTGTGCATCCGGATCACTTGGAGGGCTTGTACAAACACAGATTGCCAGGCCCTATTGCTATAGTTTCTGATTCAGTAGATCTGAGATGTAGCCTCATAATTTGCATCTCTGATCTGATAAGTTCCCAGGTGATGCCGATATTGCTGATGTGAGACTGAACCACTCTTTGAGGGATGTGGGAGCCATGTGATCAGAGGAGTCTGGGTCCTTGAATCATTGTGTGGACAAATGCCACCTGCTGATCATGGATGTACACTTCTACTATATTAGCAACTTTATGCACTTGGGGTCTATTTGGTAAAGCAGCTATCATTATCCCAAATAAAAGAGAGAGAAAATGAATAAGGAATATTCTGGGATAACATGAGCATTTAACTGGTACTTGAGAGAAAAATAAAAGAAATTTTCCTGGTGATATGGAGCAACAAATATAAGCAGGATATCAGTAGAAAGTGGGAAAAGGAGTAAATGAGATGTGACTATGGAAATTAGGATGCTGGAGCTGTTGGGGCATGCCAATAAGGCAACAGACCTAGTGGGAGAAAAAAATGGTATTAGCAAATAATGGAGATCAAAGTGTCAAGATACAAACTGAAGTCCATAGATATATGGCCTGGAATGCCAGATTGAGTAGAAAATTTAACCAAAAAGGCAGTTTCTAAGCAACAGATGACCTAGGCCGATAAAAGTCACTGCTTATGTTTGAGGGCTAAGGACACGGAAGGAGTCCATTACCATAACTCAGAAGCACACAGATTTTACCACTAGGCTGACCTTGGGATGAGTCATCTGCTAAGTGCCTCAGTTTCCCCTTCTATAAAATATAAATAATGGCCTTTCAGAGTTAGTATAATAATGAAATGGAATTGTGCATTCAGCACAATGCTTTGCTGTAAACTCACAATAACTATTAGATAAAAGATCAGAATTGAGGTGGAGGGAATCCAGAGAACCGACTGAAGTCCAAGGGACAATGTCAAAAAGCACTTTGAAGACCAATTATATGTGCTGGAGAAGAAACATGGAACTAAATTATATTTCTAACCTAGGATGCCTTGGAAGATTGGAATAGGAGAGATAAATGGTGAACATGGAAAGAATAATGAAGACGATAAAGTTTTTGCATTGTTTTTAATTTATGTATGCCTTACATTTGGTCAAAGGCAAATTTGGGAAAGCCTTAGAACAAAATTGAGTATTGAGATGCTGAGATACTGCAGATCTCCAAACAATTATGGCAAAAATATACTGTGGTCGTCAGTGAGTTTGAAAAAACTCAAACCCCGACAATCTGCACGGGTCCTGTGACAGAAACATTTTACTCCAAATTTAATTTGCAGCACTCAAAATAGAGTTTTCTAGTTAAACTGGCTCACTCTCATGAAAATCTTATTGGCATATCTGCAAATATCACAGGTGAACTAAAGCATTCGGAAAGTGGATCTTGTTGGATTTATCTATGGCTGGAGAGTAGGTTCCAAATATCCTTTTGCTCAAGAACATAAAATGTATAACAGAGGTCTAGGCATGTTTTCTCAAACTCTAAGGCATTATAAGGAGCAGCCTTGAAATAGTTTTAAGCATGTTGTGTTACCTCGGTAGTAACAACACTCTATTTAAATTTCGGAGCCATCTTTCTCTCTAAACATGCTTGAGGGCCTCTTTGGAACTGCGATGACATTTTATCGATTTCACTAAGTGACCTGGATTGATTGAAAAGTTGGAGAAGCTTAACACACTAAAAGTTCCTCAAGGGCATTTTTTTCCTGGTGGATGTTCTGTTTATATCTAATACAGTGTTTTCACTCCATAACCAATCTGCCTTACCATTTTATCTGTCTGGCTTCTTTTAGAAAGTGTAGGTATAGCACACGATCTCACTTGATCTGAAGTCAGAAGTCCCAAAGTAGGTATTAGAAGCTGTCTTACAGATACACAATCTTGTGGTAAGACTTATGGTATTTCTTGGTGCCAGAGCTCACTCAGAATTCTCATCTTATCATAAAGGATCAGAATAGATCTAATGGGTGCACTTCAAATGATGAGATCACAAAGAATTGGTAAAATATTTTTTAAAAACACGTATATTCTGTGACCTGAGTTCACTGGTAGTACGTTTTCCAGTGGGTGCTTTAATTGTTCACTTAGTACAATAGGAAGAATAAAGAAAATATGAATCTTATAATTACTCATTTCCAGAGGAAACACACATGAAAACATGGTTCTCTCATTTCTCCCACACCATTGCAGTTATAGCTAGGCATCCCTGGGAGTAATTGTTCTCTTTGCATCCCCCTGGAATATGATTCTTCTCACAAGGGAAATGATTCACTGGAGAAATCACAGAAGTGATCCCAATGAAATTCACTGGGTTTTCCTCAGTATTTCAGTAACTAGGTTAACTCTGAAGAAGAAATTCATGCCATCAGCTTTGTAAGCAGGCTGAAAACATGAAGACCTTCGGATGACTTTTGGAAATCACAAATTCCAGCATTCGGAAAACTGAGGTGGGTTATTAAAATTGATATAGGTCATGCTGGAACACATCAAATTGGTGAGCTGGTAACCACTTGGCTAATGTTGTTAAAATCTGAGATCAATACTTTTACAGTATTGAAATTACCTAGGTACACGGTAGACAAGTGCCCATGAATAATGAAACCATATAATAAGCATTTTCCTTCTCAATTATGGTTGCCGTCACCTAATTCAAATAAAACACAATAAGAGTATTTACCACAGGTCTCCTAGGTATATAAATAGCTTAATTAGAGACTAACTCTTAATTTGCACCATTTGCAATCTGAAATCAGTATATTTGGGGGAAAGAAATATAGTTTGATTCATAGTTTATGATTATTTTTCTGTATTGATATTGTTAATCATAACGTCTTTATACTCTGCTTGAAAGCTGCAACCATACCTAACTTACGTTACTACATCCACATTTTTAAAGCTTAAAAACATCTTCCAAATTGATTTTTTTTTTGAGGCTCTTTGAGTATGAACACACTTTACCCTCAGCTTCCTGCAGGTCTCAAGTTTACCCAAAGACTACAGGAATGAAAAATGGGGAGCATCTGTAAACAGGGTTAATATCCACCCATTGTAGTGACTGGCCAAGCACATTATAATCAGAGAGTTGACATTTATTCAAATATGTATTTATTATATGTGCCTAAAATAGGCTGCAAACAATTTCTGCCGGGCATCAGCAAGTCAGAATAATTGTTAAGAGGGCTGGGCACAGTGGCTCTTGCCTGTAATCCCAGCACTTTGGGAGGCCAAGGCTGACAGATCACTTGACGTCAGGAGTTCGAGACCAGCCTGGCCAACGTGATGAAACCCCGTCGTTACTAAAAATAAATAAATAAATAAGCCAGGCATGGTGGCGGGTGCCTGTAATCCCAGCTACCATTTGGGAGGCTAAGTCAGCAGAATTACTTAAACACCCAGGAAGTGGAGGTTGCAGTGAGCCGAAATCCCACCATTGCACTCCAGCCTGGGTGACAGAGTGAGACTCTGTCTCAAAGAAAAAAAAAAAAAAGGAATAATTGTTAAGATATGAGACAGAGTTAAAATCATTAACATTATTTTATAAACAACCCCATATAATGTGAGTTCAGATCAAGTTCAGACCAGGATATTTATAATGGAAAATTCAAACGTCATTTCTATAACAGGTCAGCTTCTTTCTATAAAAATCACACATTCTAGATTTTTCATCTTACCTTTTTTTAAAAAACATTTAAAAATTAGTTTTAATTGACACATAACTGCACATATTTATGGGGTACAGCATGCTACTTTAATACATGTGTATAATGTGTAATGATCAAATCAGAATAATTAGCATATCTATCACCTCAAACATTTAACATTTGTATAGGGAACATTCAAAAATCCTCTCGTCCAGTTTTTTTGAAAATATACAATGAATTGTTAACTACAGTAACCCTAAAGTGCAACAGAACACCAGAACTTGTTCCTCCTCTCTAGCTATAATTTTGCTTCCATTAACCAACCTCTTCCCTATTCTACCCTCCCCTAACCTTCTGAGCCTCAAGTATCCACTATTCTACTCCCTTCAGTGAAATCAACATTTTTAGTTTTCACATATGAGTGAGAACATGTGATATTTATCTTTCTGTGTATGGCTCATTTAACTTAATGTAATGCACTCCAGGTTCTTCCATGTTGCACGAATAACAGGCTTTTATATAATTTTTTACAACTAAATGGGCAAATTATCTGCATAGGCATTTCTGAAAAGCAGACATTACTTTTTATGAATTTTTATTATTTAAAAAAAATTTACATGCCCATAAATAACAGACTAGATAGAGAAAATGTGGTACATATACGCCATGGAATACTATGCAGCCATAAAAAGAACGAGATCATGTCCTTTGCTGGGACGTGGATGGAACTGGAGACCATTATCTTTAGCAAACTAACACAAGAATAGAAAACCAAATGCTGCATGTTCTCACTTATAAGTTGGAACTAAACAATGAGAACACATGGACACATAGAGGGTAACAACACACACTAGGTCCTGTCAGAGGGTAGAGGGTGGGAAGAGGGAGAACATCAGAAAAAATAACTAATAGATACTAGGCTTAGTACCCTGGTGATGGAATAATCTATACAACAAAACCCCATGTCACAAGTTTACCTATGTAATAAACCTGCGCTTGTACCCCTGAACTTAAAAGTTAAAAAAAAAAACATGATTTGATGAATACACAATTAAAGGTATGTATATCTTTTTATATGAATAATTTTACAAGTCAGAGAAAAGAAGTTTTTGCTGATTTGAGAGTTCTGATTTTAAGTTCAGACAAATAGTCAACCTTTTAGCTCTAGCCGCTACATCCAGGCACCAAACTCCTGGGCCTCATTCCCTACTTGCTGCAAGGAATTGCTAGCTGAAGGGCTCAGAAGAAATATGAAGGAATATCGTGGCAACTGCATGACTGTAGACACATGAAAGAACAATAAAAAGGGCAAAGTAATTCAGATGACAGATCTCAATCATCAGGAGAAACACCAGTCATAAAACCAAGCCACTGTCTGGTGACAACACAATTAATTCAAAGCTTTCTCAGTATTTCTAAAAAAGAAGCATTGTGTTGCAAAGTTAAAAAACATTGCTGAAGGAGATTCAGCAGTTTAGTCTTTCTTCACTATGACAAGTGTTGGCTTTTCTGAGCATCAATAACTGTGCAACAGTAGACCTCTGTGCATTAATTTAATAAAAAAATCAAGCAATTTGTACCATAGTATGCAAATAAATATTCTTACAGGCCAGGAGCAGTGGCTTATGCCTGTAATCCCAGCACTTTAGGATGCCAAGGTGTGAGGATTGCTTGAGCTCAGGAGTTTGATACCA
Organism: Homo sapiens; assembly: GCF_000001405.40. Taxonomy (NCBI): domain Eukaryota; kingdom Metazoa; phylum Chordata; class Mammalia; order Primates; family Hominidae; genus Homo; species Homo sapiens. Next base: position 7,343,426 of record NC_000003.12, on the reverse strand, counting down.
GCCTGGGCAACATAGTGAGACCCCGTCTCCACAAAAATAAAAATACATCCCTGTAGTCCCAGCTACTCAGGAGGCTGAGGCAGGAGGATTGCTTAAGCCTAGGAGGTCGAGGCTGCAGTGAGCCATGACCATGCTACCGCACTCCAGTCTGGGCAACAGAGTGAGACACTGTCTCAGAAAGAAGAAGAAGAAGAAAAAAAACACCTCTTAAAAGATCTGTAAACTGCTATTACCTCTTTAATCTTATCATCTTCTGCTGCTAAAGGGGGCCACATGTCAGACATGTTATTCTACGTCTGGGTGTTGAATCCCAATACACTGAGCATTTGGGTAGCTGCCATGTACATAGCTCTAAACTGAGTCAATAATAAGCAATATTAGTTAAATAAGTAATATTAGTAAACATTTTTGGGTGAAGCTTCTAAGTTCTAGGTCCTTTTTAAAGTACTTAACATCTGTGAACTCACTGGGTCCTCACAAGGATCTCCTAAGAGAGGTTAACTATACCGCATTTTACAGATGAGAGATTGCAGTCCCCCAAAAGTTCAATAACTTGTCCAAAGCTACAGACCACATAGGTGGTAGAGCTGGCATGTCAGCAGGCTGCCTGGATCTTGATTCTATTATCTCAACCACAATGGTACTAATTAAACAGCAGCGGTTCTCAAAGTGTGGTACCTGGTCCAGTCGAATCAGCATCACCTAGAAACGCTTTAGAAACAAAAATTCCATGACCCCAGACCAGATATGTTGAGTTAGATTCTCTGTCTGGGATGGAACCTAGGAACCTGCTTTAACTTAACATTCTGTAGGTAATTTTAAAGTAGGCTAAAGTTTGGAAATGATTAGTACAGGGTAGACAGACTTGAACAGGATAGGTTCTTCCCTCGGTGTACTCTGGAGATAAAAAATAAGTTTCATTTTCTATGCTGATGGTAAAAATTGTGTTGAGAGGAACTCTGAAGCCAAATCTAGATGCAGCAGGAAACAGCACAGTAATTGATTGGTCATGTCTAGCATGGGCTTGGAAGGATGAATGTGTAGTGTGCAGACTGCATGCCTTCCACCCTGTAGAGACATCAGAGAATCCAAACCCTAGAACTTTTGATGTTTCTTGACAAGTTTTGATGTCTGGATTGAGATGAGGGTACAGCTAAGAAAAACAGTTGAAGCCAGACTGAATAAAAGTCATAGTTTTGTCTTGAAAATGCAATGGAGTCAGAAAAAATATCATCTCTGGGTCCCTGAGTCATTGGGACATAAAACAATTAATTCCAGTGTCCCTCAAGAAAGTGAGGCACAGACCTAGCAGGGAATTGACTTGGGAGCTATGAATTCTAGAGAATGGTGCACATGAATGGAATGCTGTGTCTGTTACATCCTATACTCGTGAATATTTATTTTTTAGGAGAACTTGTCTGATGTCATCTACCTTTCCTAAAATTATCCTATAATATGATCTATAATGTTAACTTTGTATTCTATGGGTATAGCCTTGTCTTCTGAATGACAGCAGCAATAGATTAATGGTTTAGACCCCAGGTTCTGAACTCAGACTGAGTTCAGGTTCCAGCTCATTTTTCAACTTAGCATGAAACTTGAGCAAGTTATTAAACTTCTTCTAAGTTTTAGGTTCTTTAATGTGGGGTCCTATCCAAATAGTTTTGTCTAGAATTAAACACATGTAAAACACATAGTAAACACCCAATAATAGTTCATTACTGGGACAAACTATAAGTATCTTCTGTAACTTGCTAAGTGCTATTGGAAAACAGTTTAAAAAGACAAAAAGACTTTTGGTAAAGGCAGTTTTTGCTTATCTAATCAACATGCAGAGTGCACTGCTTACAAAGTTTACCTCTATATACTAGACTGCAAGCTCTTGTAAGAGAGGGACAATTTTCTCAGTGGTACTGAGTCAGGCCGTGTGTGGGATTGCAAAGGCTCATAAAATAGTAATACTCTATCTAGTAGTACATGACTTCTTCTTTATTTAACAAACATTTATTCAACAAACATTGAATAAATGTTTGCTAAATAAACAAAAAAAAAACATGAGTTGAATTTTACCGTTATTTGTAACATTATCTTCTCAACCCCTGCACACACACACAATCTCCTTTAAATAATAGTCTCCTATCATTGCTTAAAGTTACATTTGTTGAATTTTCATCCTCATGTAAACTCTAGAAAGTACTCTGAAATTTGAGAAGTATTCTTTTCCACAGCATCAGTTGACTGTGACCTTTGACTTTCACTCAGAAATATTTCATATCTTTCGGGTAAATGATTCTTCTCTAAAGCTCTGTTCTCTTCTCTGAGCCAAAAGTTGTGCCAAAATTAACAATGCTAAAGAACAAAGAGAAGCATTGTCTGTATGGCCTTTCTTCACTTATAGCCTTAAGATGTGTTTGATCTTGTTTCCTCTTAGCTACAGGAAGCTGTGAGAGGCAGAGCCTGTCTCTCTGCAGGTGCCAGGTACAAGCAGGGGAAGCAATAAATACCAGCCCTCACTACCAGTTCTAGACTTGATGCAGACACGTAATTCCTACCCTTGCACTGTTAGAACACATTGCAAAGATAATTCAAGCTGGCTTTTGTGACAGAACATTGATTTCACTTAAGGCTCCTGGTCAGAGATTTGCAATTACTAATTCTTTTGCTTCTCATGGATATTTATTTGTTCCTTTCTCTAGAATAAAGTGGCAAAAGTGATTAATCCAAAACTGAGGTATTATGGTTGAGGGCAAGGGCACTTTCTTCTGGGGATGCCCTCTTTCTAACGAAGACTGGATATCACGGAAACCCAGTAATAGATGTGATATGGTTAGGCGTCATGTCTTCACCCAAATCTCATCTTGAATTGTAATCCCCAGGTGTTGAAGGAGAGACCTGGTGGGAGGTGACTGGATCACAAGAGCCATTTCTCCCATACTGTTCTCATGATAGGGAGTGTGTTCTCACAAGATCTGATGGTTTTATAAGGGGCTCTCCTCTCTTTGCTTCCCATACACACTCTCTCACCTGCTGCCATGTAAGATGTGTCTGCTTCCCCTTCTGCCATGATTGTAAGTTTCCTAAGGCCTCACTGGCCATGCGGAACTGTGAATCAATTAAACCCCTTTTCTTTATAAATTGCCCAGTCTCGAGCAGTTCTTAATAGCAGTGTGAGAACGAACTAATACAATATGTTTATTGAAAATGTACTATATTCATGGACACACTGACCCCGGACACCATAACACATTCAAAGAAGATAAATATGACACAGTTCTTGTTTAAAAGAACCTTATTATTTCACAGAAATATTAAAACTATCCTAGTGACTGTGATGTGAGATCAAATATTCAACATATAAGAGCTCTTGAACTTTTGAGTGTTAGAAGAAATATAATAATATTACTATACTCTGAATATTTAAAATGATTTTTAGGAAAGTTATTTCTTAGCTATGCAAGGATTCAGACTCCTAGATAATTACATTTAAAGCCAAGAATTTATTGTTCCGTGGATTACTTGTATTTTTCTTCTTCTGCTCTCTAAATGAACACAGTCAGCGGTCACTGGAATCCTTTCATACTTGGTAGAATGTGTTTTTTGCAGTAGTTGAAACAATTCAACCATCCATTTAGGAAAAAAAATCACAAAGCTCATTCCTCCAAACACCCAGAGAGCATTCAGCAAAGCACTTCAGTTCACCCCTCCCATACTTAGATATGATTGACTTTGTTCCTTGCCATGAAGAAGCAGGATTTCCCTTGGATCAATTCCTTTAAAACAGGGAACCTGTGCACCAGGAATGCTGATCTTCCTAGCAACTTCTGCTTAACTATTGCTCTAAGCCAACTTTAATGGAGGGTGGAGCTCAGAGGTCGTAGGAGGCCACCCCAAAATCGTGTCAATGCCCTGTGCAAAGGAACACTGTCCGTACTCCACAGGGAGTGTTATAGATTCTATCAGAGACCAGAAACTCTAGATAAGCTGCTGAATTAACATAGGATGCCCATTGCAACGGAAAGTTTGAACCCTGTGGTCAATTGCTGTACTTGGCAACAGGGTGTATTTCCCATGTCTTAGGCTGGCTTGAGAAAGAAAAAGAGGGGCAAACCAGCAATGAAACAAAAGAGCTGGCACCTACTGTCTTGGTTTTTGTTTTTTTGATTGCTTTCCAATCTCTTGCAGGTATATATTCCATCCAAGCAAATTTTGAATGGCCACTGCTACTTAGGCAATTCAGAGAGGATAAAGTGGATTTCTCTAGAGCTTTTCTTTAAAGAGATTCCAAGTGTGTAATCATATCCCTACCTAGAACATATTTGGGACATGATCCTTTAATCCAATTTGAATTATCAAACTATTGCTAAATATAATACTTTGTGGCTTGATGATTTCTGGTTTTAAAAGTCTGACATTTTTATGAAAGACACAGATATGAAAAGGTGATATTGTCAGGTGCTGATGCCAGGTAGGAGTATTGTTTTTTTTTTTTTCCCCAGCCTGGAAAGTAGTCTCTGTTTATGAAACTACAGCTAGCCCAGAATTTACATGATAAAAGGCCAAGTTTATAGGCCTCAATTTATTTCTATTATCATGAAACCAAAGGGAGATAATTTGTTGGTTTCAACACTAGTGTACCCCAAATTTATACGCTTGTTTAGGAGACAATAAGCTACCTTTATTTCTACAATCATGACAGCAAATGAAGAGAATTTTCCAGTTTCAATACCAGTGGTCCAGTGATCTCAATACAGACATTTTCACAGAGCATCCATGGTGTGAACTTCAAAGGGCGAATGTCCCCCATGTGGTCATGAAATGCTGTTTGAACTTCCAGAGAACCAGCTACAGTTGCTTGTTGTACTTAACGATTCATGTAAGAGGAACATGTCTTTTTTTAAGGTTAGTATATTTTTAATTTTTATTTTATTTTTATTTCAATAGCTTCTGGGGAACAGGTGGTGTTCAGCTACATGAATAAGTTCTTTAGTGGTAATTTCTGAGATTTTAGTATACCCATCACCCCTACAGTGTACACTGCACCCAATGTGTAGTCTTTACCACTCACTACCCTCTCACACTTCCCCCCAAGTCCCCAGAGTCCATTATATTATTCTTATGCCTTTGCATCCTCATAACTTAGCTCCCTCTTATAGGTGAGAATATAGAATGTTTGGTTTTCCATTTCTGAGTTACTTCATGTAGAATAATGGTCTCCAACTCCATCCACGTTGTTGCAAATGCCATTATTTTATCCATCTTGATGGCTGAATAGTATTCCATGGGGTGTGTGTGTGTGTGTGTGTGTGTGTGTACATAAATATATATGTAGATGATATATAATATATAAATGTATGCTTTAAGGGGGGATATATATATTTATATATATCCCACATTTTCTTTATTTGCTCATTGTTTGATGGGCATTTAGGCTGGTTTCATATTTTTACAATTATGAATTTTGCTACTATAAACATGCATGTGCAACTGTCTTTTTCATATAATGACTTCTTCTGGGTAGATACCCAGTAGTGGGATTGCTGGATCAAATGGCAGTTCTATTCTTAGTTCTTTAAGAAATCTCCATACAGTTTTCTATAGTGGTTGTACTAGTTTACATTCCCACCAGCAATGTATAAGTGTTCCCTTTTCACCAAATCCATGTCAATATCTTTTTTTAATTTATTTTTTAATTATGGTCATTTTTGTAGGAGTAAGGTGGTATCACATTGTGGTTTTGATTTGCATTTCCCTGATAACTAATGATGTTTAGCATTTTTTTCATATGTTTATTGGCCATTTGTGTATCTTTTGAGAATTGTCTGTTCATGTCCTTAGCCCACTTTTTAATGGGATTATTTTTTTCCTGTTGATTTGAGTTCCTTATAGATTTTTGGATATTAGTCCTTTGTTGGATGCGTAGTTTGCGAATACTTTCTCCCACTCTGTGGGGTGTCTGTTTACTCTGCTGATTATTTCTTTTGCTGTGTAGAAGCTTTTTTGCTAAATTAAGTCCCATCTACTTATATTTGTCTTTGTTGCATTTGGTTGTGGGTTCTTGGTCACGAACTATTTGCCTAAGCTAACATCTAGAAGAGGTTTTCTTATGTTATCTTCTAGAATTTGTATGGTTAGAGGTCTTAGATTTAAGTCTTCGATTCATCTTGATTTTTGTATAAGGTGAGAGAGAAGGATCCAGCTTTATTCTTCGACGTGTGGCTTGCCAATTATCCCAGCACCATTTGTTGAATAGGGTGTCCTTTCTCCATTTTATGTTTGTTTGCTTTGTCAAAGAGCAGTTGGCTGTAAGTAAGTGGATTTATTTCTGAATTCTCTATTCTGTTCCATTGGTCTATGTGCCTATTTTTATACCAGTATCATGCTATTGTTTTTTCTAGTTCTGTGAAGAATGATGATGGTATTTTGATGGGAATTGCATTGAATTTATAGATTGCTTTTGGCAGTATGGTCATTTTCACAATATTGATTCTACCCATTCATGACCATGGAATGTGTTTTCATTTGTTTGTGTTGTCTATGATTTTTTTTCAGCAGTGTTTTGTAGTTTTCCTTGTAGAGATCTTTCGCCTCCTTGGTTAGGCATATTCCCAAATATTATATATAGATTTACAGCTGTTGTGAAAGAGGTTGAGCTCTTCATTTCATTCTCAGCTTGGTCGCTCTTGGTGTATAGCCGTACTACTGATTTGTGTACATTGATTTTGTATCCTGAAACTTTACTGAATTCATTTGTCAGATCTAGGAGATTTTTGGATGAGACTTTAGGGTTTTCTAGGTATGCAATCATATCATCAGTGAACAGAGACAGTTTGACTTCCTCTTTACTGACTTGGATGCTCTTTATTTCCTTCTCTTGTCTAATTGCTCTGGTGAGGACTTCCAGTATTATGTTGAATAAAAGTGGTGAAAGTGGGCATCCTTGTCTTGTTTCAGTTCTCAGGGGAAATGGTTTCAACTTTTCCCCATTCTGTATACTGTTGACTGTGGGTTTGTCACAGATGGCTTTTATTACCTTAAGGTATGTCCCTTCTATGCCAATTTTGCTGAGGGTTTTAGTTATAAAGGAATACTGGATTTTGCCAAGTGCTTTTTTTTTGCAATTGAGATGACCATATGAATTTTGTTTTTAATTCTGTTTATGTGCTATATCAAGTTTATTGACTTGCGTATGTTAAACCAACCCTGCATCCCAGGTATGAAATCCACTTGATCGTGGCATATTATCTTTTGGATATGCTGTTGGATTCAGTTCACAAGTATTTTGTTGAGAATTTTTGCATCTATCTTCATCAGGGATATTGGTCTGTGTTTTTTTTTGTTACGTTCTTTCCTGGTTTTGGTTTTATGGTGATACTGGTTTCATAGAATGATTTAGGGAGAATTCCCTCTTTATCATTTGGAATAGTTTCAATAGGATTGGTACCAATTCATCTTTGAATGTCTGATAGAATTCAGCTGTGAATCCATCTGGTCCTAGACCTTTTTTTGGCAATTTTTAAATTACCATTTCGGTATCACTGCTTGTTATTGGTCTGTTCAGTTTCTTTTTCTTTCTGATTTAATCTATGAGGGTTGTTTATTTCCAGGAATGTATCTATGTCCTCTAGGTTTTCTAGTTTGTGTGCATAAAGGTGTTCACAGTAGCCTTGAATGATCTTTAGTATTTCTGTGGTATTTGTTGTAATACCTCCCATTTCATTTCTAATTGAGCTTATTTGGATCTTCTCTCTTCTTTTTGTGGTTAATTTCACTAATGGTCTATTGATTTTGCTTATCTTTTCAAAGAAACAGCTTTTTGTTTCATTTATCTTTTGTATTTTTTTGTTTCAATTTCATTTAGTTCTACTCTGATCTTTGTTGTTTCTTTACTTCTGCTGGGTTGGGTTTTGGTTTGTTCTTGTTTCTCTAGTTCCTTGAGGTATGAGCTTAAATTGTCTACTTGTACTCTTTCAAACTTTTTATGTAAGCATTTAATGCTATAAACTTTCTTATTATCACCACTTTTGCTGTATCCCAGAGGTTTTGATAGGTTGTGTCACTATTATTCAATCCAAATAATTTTTAAATTTCCATCAAAATTTCTTTGTTGACCCAAAGATCATTCAGGAGCAGATTACTTAATTTGCATAATTTGCATAGTTTTAAAGGTTCCTCTTGGAGTTAGTTTCCAATTTTATTTCACTGTGGTCTGAGAGAGTACTTGATAAAATTTAGATTATCTTAAACTTATTGAGACTTGTTTTGTGGCCTATGATATGGTCTATCTTGGAGAATGTTTCACGTGCTGATGAAAAGAATGTATATTCTATAGTTGTTGAGTAGAATGTTCTGTAAATATCTGTTAAGTCCATTCATTCTAGTGTATAGCTTAAGCCCATTGTTTCTTTGTTGACTTTCTATCTTGATGACCTGTCTAGTGCTGTCAATGGTGTACTGAAGTCCCCCACAATTAATGTGTTGCTGTCTATCTCATTTCTTAGGTCTAGTAGTAATCGTTTGATAAATTTGGGAGCTCCAGTGTTAGGTGCATATATATTTATGTCATATTTTCCTGTTAGACTAGTCCTTTTATCATTAAATAATGTTCCTCTTTATCTAACTGTTGTTGCTTTAAAGTTTGTTTTGTCTGATATAAGAATAGCTACTTCTGCTCGCTTTTGGTTTCCATTTGCATGGAATATCTTTTTTTAACCCACTTACCTTAAGTTTATGTGAGTCCTTATGTGCTAGATGAGTCTCTTGAAGACAGCAGATACTTGGTTGATAGACTTTTAATCTGTTCTGCCATTCTGTATCTTTTAAGTGGAGCATTTAGGCCATTTACATTCAATGTTAGTATTGAGATATGAGGTACTGTTCTATTCATCATGCTAGTTGTTGCCTATGTATGTTGTGTTTTTGTTTTTGTTTTTGTTTTTCTATTTTTTTTGTGGGTCCCTGTGAGATTTATGCTTTGGGCGGATTCTATTTTGGTATATTTTCAGGTTTTATTTTAAGATTTAGAACCCTTTTTAGTAGATCTTGTAGGGCTGGCTTGGTAGCAGGCAAAATCTTTCAGCATTTGTTTGTCTGAGCTGACAGGCTGATAATTATTTTGTTTAAGGAGGCTAAAGATAGGACCCCAATCCCTTCCTGCTTGGAGGGTTTCTGCCGAGAAATCTGCTGTTAATCTGATAGGTTTTCCTTTACAGGTGATACTTTTTATCACAGTCCTTAAGATGCTTTCCTTTATCTTGAATTTAGATAATCTGATAACTATGTGCCTAGGTGATCATCTTTTTACAATGAATTTCCTGGGTGTTCTTTGAGCTATTTGTATTTGGATGTCTAGCTCCCTAGCAAGACCAAGGAAGTTTTCCTTGATTATTCCCTTAAATACATTTTCCAAACTTGCAGATTTCTCTTAAGGAACAACAATTATTCTTATGTTTGGTCATTTAACATAATCCCAAATTTCTTAGGGGCTTTGTTCATTTTTTAAATTCTTTATTCTTTGTCTTTGTCTGATTGGCTTAATTCAAAAGCCTTGTCTTCGAGCTCTGAAGTTCTTTCTTCTAATTGTTTGATTCTATTGCTGAAACTGTCCAGTGTATTTTGCATTTTTCTAAGTGTGTCTTTATTTTCCAGAAGTTTTGATTGTTTTTTCTTTATAATATTTATTTCTCTGGAGACTTTTTCATCCACATCCTGTATTTTTTTTTAATTTCTTTATGTTGGTTTTCAACTTGCTCTGGTATATCCTTGAGTAGCTTAATAATCAACCTTCTGAATTCTTTATCTGGCATTTCTTCTTGGTTTGGATCCATTGCTGGAGAGCTAGTGTGATCTTTTGGGGATGTTATAGAACCTCATTTTGTCATATTACCAGAATTACTTTTCTGGTTCAGTTGTTTCAGTGGAAAGATCTGTAACTCAAGGACTGCTGTTCAGATTCTTTTGCCCCATGGGGCGATCCCTCGATGTGGTGCTTTCCTCCTTCCCCTAGGAATGGGGCTTCTTAAGAGGCAGACTGCAGTGATTTTTATTGCCCTTCTGGGGGCTAGCCCTACAGTGGGGCTACCGGGCTCTGGGCTGGTGCTGGCGAATGTCTGCAAAGAGACTTGTAATTTGATCCCTCTTCAGGTCCAGCACCTGCTCAGGTGGAGGTAGCAGGGGAGTAAAGTGGACTCTGTGGGAGTCTTTGGGTGTAGTTTTGCTTAGTGCACTGGTTTTCTCAAATGTTGGTTATGCTAGCAGAGAAGTTGTCATGTGGGCAGACTCAGGTTAGCCAGGGTGTTGCAGGCAGTGGAATTAGCTGTTGTTTTTTCATTCTTTGGAGCAGGGTTGTTCTGTTATGAGTTGCTATAATGGCTTGACTTGATTGACCTCCAGCCAGGAGGTGGCACTTTCAAGAAAGCACCAGCTATGGTAGTAGAAGGGGGATATAAGCTTGCCCTGCATTGGCTAGGATAAGTACCTGTGTTTCTCAAGTGATGGGAGGAGCCATAGAGCTCCCAAAAGTTTATGTCTGTTGCCTTTAGCTACCAGGGCTGGTAGAAAAAACCATCCATCCAGTAGGGGCAGGGTTAGGCAGTTCAGAGCTCAGACTCTCGTTGGGTGGGGCTTGCTGAGGCCAAGTTTTTCAACTGTCTCACAGAGCTTGCAGCAGTAAGCTGTTTCTTTCAAAGGTTCTGTGAATTCTTTCAGTTTTCCTGGTATGTTCCTGTCGTGGTTCTTGGAGCATAAGTTCACAATGTGAGTCTCCACACGCTATTTCTGTTCATCTAAGTGGGAGCTGCATGTTACTCCTATCTCTTATCCACCATTTTCCCCCTTAGAGAAACATGTCTTTAACTCAAGGAAAAGATCTTTCAAGACTTGGTTGTTATTGATTCTGATATTCATTCATATATAAACCAGAGGGGAATTAGGCAAAGACATACTCCATGATTTCAAAGCTTATGTATGTATGCTACTTGGAAAAACGATTTGATATGGTGAATATATTTCATTGCCTTTCTCAACACAAATTTTCTTTGATCATAGCTGTATGGAAACAGAAGGCTGCAGCCAAAGTCCAACCCTCACTATTAACCAGGTATATGATCTTAGTTCTATTTCTTTCCCTAAGATAAATTGTCTATTCTCCTCCTCTCCCCACACAAAGTTGTTGGGAGAATCATATTAGATAATGAGGAGGAATTAGTTATGTAAGTTCCAAACATTTGTGCAAACTCAGAAAAGCAGTAACCCATGGGATGCTAGGCTGATGTTCACTTTCCTCGTTTAATATCCTGCTCAGGTGTGGTGTCACTGTTATTTTACTTAGTGCTGCAAGGATGTCAAGTCTACTCTAGACGAAAGGAAAATTCCTCTTGTATACACCTATAAAATATACCTATAACTTGACCGTTTCCTACCATTACTTCTGATCCTATCACAGTCTGAGTCACACTCCTCTCTCACCTCCTTTAAGTTTCAACATCCTTTTCCAGACACGCTCAATATAATTACTTCAGGTTTTGCTACTTCTCAGTGTCAAACTGCATGGGAACCTTTAAAAAATATAATTGACATTGAATCCCTTGATTCTTCTCTAATTCTTTAATAATGGTAGAGCCCTTAGAGAGCTACCTCTGTGCTGTTTACCTAGGGGGAAATTGAGGCTCCGCAGAAAAGAGACTGCTTTTATGCCATACAACAAGTATTAAGCACAAGACAGAGCTCCAACACATGAGATACTGTGCTATGATATAGGTTTTCCCAAAAGCTCCTGGAAATATGTGGAATAATGAGGCCTGCATGTCCATGACTCAAGCTTCAGGGTTTCAGGTGCTTTTGGCTATAGGGTCCATGCTGCTATCTCACAGAGATTAGCTAGATGACTAGAGAAGAAAAATTGAATTATGCTTTCAGAGTGGAATATTTGTGTCTTACACAGTAATTTGAGCCGTGGTATGTCCACTTGGAGTCTCTGCTTCTGCTGTATTTTAAAAACATCCTTCAAATTGTTTGATTATTTTATCTAACCTTTTGATCATTTAATTCTGCTCTTCAAGGAAATTCTCCAATCTTCCAGCTCTGTCTGTTAGGATTCCACCAAGTTCCTTCTCCATCATGACACTCTTTTGATCACCCTTTCAGACACGCTCACTCTACTCTATAATGTTTTTGAGATTTGGCCATAAGCCTTCATGCCTCCTCTTTATTCATTCATTTAAACATATTTATTTAGTATCTAATGTGTGCCAGCCTTTATTTTAAAAACTTTAGTATAGAGGGAATACAGTATTAACTAAGAGAGACATGGATCCCCGATCTTGTGGAGTTTTTGTTCTCCTGGGGAACACAGGTAACACATAAGGTGATTTTCAGATATTCATAAGTGTTGTAAAGAAAAATCAACAAGGTAAGTAAGATAGCAAGCTCTTACAGGGGCTCAGGGTGAGATGATGTGGTGTTCATGAGATGCCTCTCTGAAGGGTGACAATTCAGGTGAGATAAGGTAATTGGAATAAATCAGCCCTATGAAAATAAAGAGAAAGAAGATTCCAGATAGAAAGACCATCCTGTCTCTAGGTGTGAAAGTAGGAACAAACATGGTGCCCTGGAGGAAGGGGTATTAGTCTGTTTTTACACTACTGGTAAAGACACACCCAAGACTGGGTAATTTATAAAGAAAAAGAGTTTTAATGAACTCACGTTCCACGTGGCTGGGGAGGCCTCAGAATCATGGTGGAAGGTGAAATGCATGTCTTACATGGCGGCAGGCAGGAGATAATGACAGCCAAATGAAAGGGGAAAGCCCTTATAAAGCCATCAGATCTTCTGAGACTTATTCACTACCACAAGAACAGTATGGGGGATCCAACTCCATGATTCAATGATCTCCCACCAGGTCCCTCACACAACATGTGGGAATTACAGGATCTACAATTCAAGATAAGATTTGGGTGGGAACAGAGCCGAACCACATTAAAAAGGGAAAGAAAGGAAGTAAGCCTGTATGGCTGTTACAAGGGGGACAGAGAGAAGAGGGCTAAGACTTGAGGATGGAGGTCAGCTTGCAGTCCCTGTAAATCAACACAGAAATGGGTTTTCTTCCAGGGACAGAAAGTCACTGGAGGGTTTTGTGACAGACTTTTCCTTATACCATTATAGAATCACTGAAAACGTCAAGTATATCTTGAACATGTCTGTGCTGCTAACATATCAAGATGATGCCTTAAAAACAGCAGGAATTCAATATATATTTGACAAACTGACTGAAGTGTGCTTTTACGAGACCTTTTGGGTTCATTTAGAGAGAATTCCTTCTATCTTTTGAAGTGGATACCCCATGCCTCAACCTCTGTGATTGGGTAACATGAACATTACCTTCTGTGTTGTTTAATTACCTTTCTTCTTCTCACTGGCATTCTTAAGAGTTGAGCAAATCATACTATTGAGTGACTCCCAAACACTAGTCATTCATGTAACATCCTCAAAATGTTTGTTAAATCCATATGCCATCTACACAACTGGAAAATTAATATATTTCTCTATAATAAAACACTGTTTACTCAAATAAGTACATTTTAAAAGGAAATAGATGCATATATGTTATGCATATCTAAGTATACATACATCCATGCATATATACCCCCACTCACAGATATATGAACATAAGTTTAAAGGAAATATAAACACACACACGTATACACACACAATGCTACTGAACAGCCATGAAATCATAGATGAGACACACCAGGTATACTTTTAAGTTACATATAGAAATATAAGACTGTTGAAATTTTTTAAATATTCATTTATATATAGCTAAAAATCACCTTTTTTATAGTACACATATCACTCTTTCAGAAATTCCAGTCTAATCCATTCACCTGGCTTTGCTCTAAAAAGGCTGAGTCTCAACTCCTCAAAGCAGGGCAAGGAGAAGTGCAGCCCATCACTGGGCAGCTCCACATACCCATTCACAAAGAATAAATCAGGCTGCAACTTCTCAATTACCGGCAATGCAGTCTTGCTCATTGTGGACCAAGTAGCTTATCCAAGGTCCAATGCAAGTGGGTGGAAGGGTGAACCAATTTATGGCGAGGCACGGTTGAAAGGACCCTGCTTGTTAAATGATGGATGGAACAGTTTCCAGTCTAGCTGTCCTACTAGAATGAGCACCTTGGGAACCTGTTTCTCTCCTCCTGGAAGCAGTAGTGAAGTAACAAGGTTTAGGAGAAAATTTGTCATCGGAATGTTCCTCTAGTGATTTTGTGGCCTTGGTTCAAATACTTTGATGATGTCTTTCATGGCAGAAGGCAGGTTATGATTAACACTAATGTCACAGAACTAACATCCTTAACACAGGCCAGGTTTTAAACTAAGGGGTGGTGGGGGTGGGGGCTGAGATTTGCTTTTATTTATGGTTCTTTATCAAAGCTAACTCTCAGAAAACGTAAAGTTATGTTGAAAAGGAAGAGCACCTGCAAAGAGACTAACAAGTCTCATAAGGCGGAAGGTAGACATACTGAAATCCATCAAAATCCATCCCACATATACTCATCACCATGCAAACTTACTAGGGTTTCTACTATCTGCAAAACTCGGCCCTGGGCACCACAGAAATAAAGAAAAAAAATCACCTGTGAGGGGTTTATAGTGCAATTTGCTATGTCTAGGAAAATTCATGTCAGAGAGGAATGCATTTAGCTACAAGAAATAGAATTAGTGACTCACAGACCTTAAAGAGGTGCATTTGTCTTGCCTAACAAGTATTCCAAAAGCAGAAAGTCTAGGGCTGGCACTGAGGCTCAACAGTTACCAGATACACAGGTGCATTCTGAATTGCATTCTCTATTGTCCTTGCCAGGTTGACTTAGTGACTCACAGGCAAAGGCAGCTCCAGGTATCACATCTACCAGTAAGGTATAGAGAAGGGGTCAAGGTTCAAAGGGCTGTGCTATTGCTAGCATCCTATGGGCCAGAACTCAGACACCTGGCCATCTCAAAGCAGCAGGGAAGCTAAAATACTAATTGTTAAGTACCTAGCAGTGAAGAATCGGTTGGAAATGGTTTGGGGGCACACAAATCAATAGTTTCTCTTACATCAAACCTTTCTTCAAAGATTCTAAACCAGACTACATTATCAGGGTATCCACAGTGTCAAAAACTTTTTAATCAAATGGTATAGGACACAAAAGCCATGACGATGAGTTAGAAAATTTTTCCTAATCTGTTACCTTGGTAAATCAGCCTTTTAAAATATGTCTTTTCATGGGAAAAATCTTTGCTAATTCTAAAGTTGAAATAAGCCGCAGTCACTGAATTTTAGTGCCATAGTTGGTTTTGCAGTGGGATGAAAAAAGCAGGGATTTCAGCATTAGAGGGCCCTGTGTTCAATTTCTGGCTTTGGAACTTGGAAGCTAGTAGCCCTGACCAAAATCATCACCTCTCAAAGTGTTGTTTTCCTCATCTACACAAAGAAGTAAATATCACTTATATTTTCATAAGTTTTCTGTAGGACTTACAATGTTCTGATACATTATTTAGAATAGCATCCTGCTCAACGCAGATGTTCAATAAATGGTTGCTTTTGAAATTAGGTGAGTTTAAGGTCAGCTTTGATTATACATCAGGATCACCTGAAGGATTTGTTAAACATGCAAATATTATGACATCTCTTCCCACCTGGTCCACCTCGTGTTATAGGGCTCAGGAATGTTTATATCTTAATAAGCTTCATTAGAGATTAAAGAGCAAAAGTTGGTGTGAAAATCAAGTCATCCAACTGCCTTCCAATTTTAGGAATACTTTATACTAGGGAGTGGCAATGGGATTTTTGGAGGCAAATGTGGAAAGATAATTTTGCACTTAGATAACACTATAAAGGTCAAAATGTTAAATATATGAATAAATACAGATATATAAATATGAATATGTTAACTGGAGTTTAGAATCAATATTTCTTTGTTGACCCCAATTGGATTACATAATAGAATTTAAATTGAGGAAAAGGATAGCAATAGTTCTTTTCTTTCTTATGCTTTCTTTCCTCTCCTCTCCTTTTCCTTCCTTCTGATAGGAGGCAGAGGGGAGTCAGCAATATTTTAGATTGGTAGAATGATAATGGGGAAAGGTACACCCTGAGATCTGGCAATAAAGAAATTCATGAATATTCACTTGGAGCCCATGTTTAAAATACTCAATATAAGAATATTTTTTCCTGAGTTATAATTATTTGATAAAATGCAATTTGAGCAATAAACAATAACTTCACAGGCATGCTCAGGATGAGTGTTAGCTCCAGAGATACTGGGCAAATACAGAAAAGCACTTTAATTAACCAATTAACATCTTCAATAGTTTCTTCGAGCACCTGTTATGTGCCAGGCACCATGCTAGTGATGAACAAGAGAGATGCCATCTGTAGTCTCATAAAGCTTATATTCTGGGAACACAGATATTAAACAAATATTTATGTAAGTATTTAAATATAATTTTGATAAGTGTAGTGAGGAGAAAATACAGGTATCTTTAAGGAATTATAGTGGTGAGGATAGATTGTGGGCAAAATAATTGGGATAAACTTTTTTTTTTTTTTTTGAGACGGAGTTCCACTGTGTTGCCCAGGCTGGAGTGCAATGGCGTGATCTCGGCTCACTGCAACCTCCACCTCCCGGGTTCAAGCAATTCTCCTACCTCAGCCTCCTGAGTTGCTTGTGCCACCACACCTGGCTAATTTTATATTTTTACTAGAAATGGGGTTTCGCCATGTTGGTCAGGCTGGTCTCAAACTCCTGACCTCAGATGATCCACCCGCCTCGGCCCCCAAAAGTGCTGGGATTACAGGTGTGAGCCACTGTGCCCAGCCCCCAGTCTCCTTTTCTAAATGTCCTTTGCTTCTGCTCAATATCTTTTCCTTTCTCTTGATACGTAGGGTGCTTAATTAAACCCCATTAACTAATGATATGGCCATTAACAACAAATACCACCTGAGAACACTTTTAACTTTCAGCTCTTTAAAGAAAAAATGCTATAATCACTTGCTATGTAATGCATCACCATCTGCAGTTTAAAAGAACATAAAAGTAACTCACCTGCCGTCCCACCTAAGATGTTCTCAAGACAAAATTAGCCCAACACTGAAGAAGTGAGACACCTATTCAATAATTATAATTTGAACTTTAAAGAGGCCTCCTTGTATAAAACCACAATTAGGGTGTTGTTTTTCTCTCAAAATAATGTGTTTTTTTTTCTTTTTTTTTTGCCTACTGTTGTTCAACAGATGTTGATACCTTTAATTACTGTGGTTGTCACTTAAATCTAATTTCAAAGCTCTTTTCACTTTGCCAAGAATCAAGTAGTGTTCATGCTTTGGGGCCGGGGGCGGGGAGGTGTAGAAGGGGTAGTTTATTTTCTTAGACAAGTTGGATTTATTTTTATTATGGATGCTTCCTTAAGTAGTTACTCATTACGATGAAACACACATTCAGGTCTGGCTTTGGTGCTGTTTCTCGCTCATGATCTGATGTAGGCATGCATTTCTTCATTGTCGAGAGAGAGACAAAAAAACTGTAAACTAACAAATTTGGGAGGAAGCTCATAAATACCCAATGTTTTAATTGGTACATCAATTGGAAGAATAAAAGTATTCATATTAATTTTGTTAACACTACAAATATTTAAAAGACTCAATATATAGAGATGCATATAGACATGCTGTTCTGAAATGAATTACCTTTGACCAGAATGGTTATGTCAACACCATTTAGATTTATGTGGCACTGGTTGTGCTGGACAGTTTGGTACTCCGCTGGTCTCCTTTCCCAGGCTGGGATATCTATCCCTCAGTTGCTGAGTGTGTTGGCTGCTAAATGGCTCAGGACTGCCCCTTTCTCCAAAGCAGAGGTTCTCAAAGTGTGGTCCCTGAGCTGAGCCAGCTGCATCAGCATCACCTGGGAACTTGAATGCAAGACTTTTATCCTACTCCAGACATACCAAATCAGAAACTCTGGATTGAGGCCCAGCAATCTGTGTTTTAGTAAGTTCACCCAGCAAGTGATTCAGTAAATGCAAACATTTGAGAAGCTTTGCTCTAGAGAATCTTTGGTCCTTTGGTCAAAATTTCTTTGTATTTTTGTTCACAAAATAATTCCCTTTAGGTAAAACAAGACCTAACGAAGGAAGTAACCATCTCCCTCACCTCACTTAGCATGGTGACAGCTCGGTAAATATATTTGAGAACTTTCAATACCCAGAATCCCCTGAAACCTCTGGCCCACTCTTCATGTTAGAAGACAGTTGAGGGGCTCTTGTTTGAAGATTCTGGAAAAGCTTAGAAGGAAGCAGGTGGTCTGCAAGGCAATGAGGCTCTGTCTCTTCTCCCATCCTGGCGACTGAAAAAATCCACTGGGTTTAAATCTCTGTGTGGCCCAACTGAGAAAGTGCTAGCCTGCTAAGTGAGGAGATAAATTACACGTTGGAAAAGCTGCAGGACCTGGCTGATATATACTGGAAGAAACTAGGAGAGTATGTTTAAAAATAGATTCTACAGGTGCTGGGCCAAGGTTAGAAGAGGCCAGACTATAAAGCTGGATACAAGAGAATTTGCTGATATTGGAGATTTGTCTATGACTCAACACTTTGTCAAGGATTCTGAGGGCCCCTCTATGCAGGGTTGAGATGGTTCCCGGGAACTTGAAAAAAAAGCAACGGCTTTAAATGAAGTCGAGATGCCAGAATTCCTTAGCAGAAAGTGAAGGAAGAAATAACAATGCTCAGAGTAAAACAAACCAACAAACAAAAAGACTTGCTAGTATGTGACTATTATGTGAGAAAGGAAAACACAGAGACGAACTAGGTCACTTGAGGGGACCCGTAGGTACACCTTTTACTCTGGCATATGGGGAATCCATACTCACTGAAAAGGCCATAAGAGGCTGTTCTTTGTAAGCTGTGACTAACAGAAGATACTGTTATAGAACTGGGCTGAGGTCAGCAGGTCCAGGGAAAAGTCAGAATTCTTTGCCCAGTTTCCAGATTCAGAATTCATTGACTGAAGTTCCCCGTGAGGTAGGACCTTGCAACATTATAAGTAAATAGAGAAGTGATTCCTCCACTTCTTCCTTAAATGAACCTATGACATTAACTTTGAAAACTGTACACTAAGGAGAGTAACTAGATTTTTCAAGGAATCTTTCATACACCTGAGTTGAAGCTCATACGCAGGGATGAAAATCATGATGCTGACCACCATTGCCTGAAAACACACATGAGAATGGAAGTTCTGGATCAGGAAATAAATGGAGTCCTGGTCCAGGTTTGTTTCACAGGTGGTTCATGGATTCACACAGTACTGGTTTCCTTGGGTCCTAATATATAATTAGAATGAACTATATTACACCTTTGAGGGAAGGCATGAGAAATTGGTGCCACCCGTAAAGATTTAAAGAAAGCAAGGGTGGTAATATCCATCATATCCATGATCTTACTAGCTTGCTCCTTATAAAAAACAGCTTAATTTTGATAGATTATAGTGGGCAAAGTAAACCAACTAGTAGATCAAATTATAGCTCTAAAGTAGTTCTTACTTTCAAGATTACATTTCATAATACCTGGCATATTATAAGTGCCCACTAGAAGTTCACTACTGTCATTGTTGTAATCATTAACATTGTTTTAGAAATATTTCTGTAACAATGTGATTATATTTATAGAGAAGATTAACAAAACCATGACACGTTATGTGGCCATTGACTTGGCAAATTAGTTTTTTGTATTTTTCTAATATCTCAAAGAAAAGAGTATAAGAAGCAGCTTGCTTTCACATGAGAGGAACAACAGTATATGTAAGCTACAGTATATTTTAACATTGTGGCCATTTGGCAGAAAATCAGATGAAACCACTATATTGATGATATCATATTAATCAGACATGTTGAACGATAAGCAGCAAGTTCTCCAGATGCCTTAGTAAGACAGATGTGCACCAGATGGTGAGAAATACACATTACAAAGATTTAGGATCCTACTATGCCAGTTACAGTTTGTTTTTAGTTTTTGTTGGTGTTATGGGGTGGAGAGGGGCTGCTAGCCTGGGACATGTCAAGACTAACCTTTCAAAGTAAAAGTAGTTATTGTGCCTTTCCCCTCTTACTCCTAAAAAAGATGCACTATGTGGGATAGGCTGCTAATGATTCACAACTATCTCCCTCTCCTTTGGCTGAACAGGAGCTGACTCCAAAGTTATTTATAACTCATTCCTAGAGACAGCCTGTGGCTAATGAATGACTGACTCTGGAATACACATATCCATCCCTCTTGCCTTTCAGTGACCAATTCTCTTGTACAATTCATGCTCCAGAGATCACCGTGTGTTCAGGGGGAAGCGAGACTCCAGTGGCAAACATACTCTTGCTTACTTGTTTCCTTTGTTCCATAAGCAATGCCTCAATAATGTATGCCCCAGAATCCCTGAGTTCGACTCTGCTTCTAAGGAAGTCAATCAGAGACACTGATGCCATTACAAAAGGTACATTTCTAACGACCATACGCCACTTTCAGTACTTCCCCTAGCTCATTTTCAAAAGAGGATAACGAATTTTGTGCTTCAACTCGTACATCTCCCACTCCCTATATAGAGTATAAAGTAGTAAAGAAAGTAGTGGTAGGTGGCATACTACTCAGCCATAAAAAGGAATGAAATAATGGCATCGTCAGCAACCTGGATGGAGTTGGAGACCATTATTCTAAGTGAAGCAACTCAGGAATGGAAAAACAAATATCATATTTTCTCACTTATAAGTGAGAGCTAAGCTTTGAGGACACAAAGACATAGGAATGATTTAATGGACTTTGGGGACTGGGGTGGGGGAAGAGGGGTGAGGGGCAAGGGATAAAAGAATACACATTAGGTACAGTGTACACTGTTGGGGTGACAGGTACACCAGAATCTCAGAAATCACCACTAAAGAACGTATCCATGTAACAACAACAAAAAAAAACCTGTTCCCCAAAAACTACTGAAATAAGATACATACATACATAAAAGTTTAAAAAAACAAAAAGGTGGTGGGGATCAGATAGCTCTTATAATGAAATCCAAATTTCAGCAGATATATTCTTATGTAACTTTGGGCAAATGTTTAACCCAAGTATTCATTTTTTAATCTATGAAATATCAATAAAGTAGTTCTTACTTTCAAGATGGTATTTTGTATACCTGGCATATTATAAGCGTCCACTAGAAGTTCACTACTAATATCATTGCTATTGTCATCATTAACATTTTATGGAAATATCTCCATGTAGGTATCCAACAACTCTATTCATGAAGGAAAAATAATTAAAAACTTCATATATTCCATTTTTATTTTTTACCCAACTAATTTCAAGGGAATCCTGTTTTTATTTTACCATTGACGATGTTCATAATATTCTGGGGTTTTTCTTGGAATCACACACTAATTTGCCAGAGGCCATTCACACTGATGTTGACATATGGAGGCCAGGTGTAACCTAACCATAGCATAAGTCATAAGCATCTGCATGAATGATGTCGATAGTTGAAATAATCAATTTGAGACAAGAACACTTTTTAGAATTCCATGGTACTTAAAAGTAAGTGCCAATATGCTATGCTTCACTTGGCTTATGTAGAATAAATTCTGTAAAACTTTTTTTAAAACATCAGACAGAAATTTTAATGCTCATTTTATTCCTAAAAAGCAAATTCCCTGAGGTTAGAATAAATTAGTGCTCCAAATATCAGTGTCAGAGTGATTGACTTTAGGAAAACTGGTATTTGACTAGGAGAAAAAAAAAACAAACATAAAACTGCCACAAACCCAAGAGTGTTAAACTATGAAATAAAATAGAAAAAGATAAATTTTGTTCTACTGTGGTTTGTTGTATAAGAACAGGGAAAAAAACACACAGCAGAGAGATCAGAAATAGCTAAAAAACTACCTATTTCCTTAGGAGGAAATTTACATGATTAATTACACTACTTTTTGGGACTGGTCAGAGGTTAGTTTCTATATTCATTGATTTCATCAAATAATTGAACTCTGCTTACATATAATGCCATGCCTACACATAGGTCATAAGGCACTTAAGTTTATAGTTAGAAGTACAAATAGGATTCTTATCTAAATTTAAAACTTGCTAGTATCATTATTAGTATCAGAACCTTATGAACTGTATATTTGTGTGACAAGTCAGAACAAAAATAATTCATTTCTAACACTGGCTGCATTATATAGCTATATCTTTCTGCATTATCTAACTTTTCCACTGCCTTTTATCCATATATATTATTTTTCTTTGTGACTTTACTGTATGTCTGTATTGAAAGCTCATCTAGGGGACTCAATAGCAGTGAGGCCTAAAGAAGATGGAAAAAAGCACTAGGATACTTTGTCAAAATGGTACATTAGCTGAAAAAATTGTGCAAAAATGTGAATTTACCCAGTAAGACATCTTCTTCAAAAAGACAGGAATATTTGTGTCTTAATACAATCTTTCACTTTAAAATAGAAAGTATCAGAAATTACATCTACAGAGCCCTCATAAAACAAATGTTTATGATGTATCAATGGATAAATACATCACGGTATATTTGCACAATGGAATATTACACAGCAATAAAAAGAACTACTATTATATGCAACAGTAAGGATCCATTTCCAAAACATTATGTTGGGTGAAAGAAGTTGCACACACACACACACACACACACACACACACACACACACTGATCACCCACTGATGGTGTTCAGGATATGCTACCCCAAAATATGGTACCTTGTCATTTGAGGAAACAGAAGAAGCAGGAAGGTTACTCTCTGGCCTTTTCCTGTTCTTCTTCTCTGAAGCATGTTATACAACTCTCACTCAAGAAGGATCCTCTCTATATCTGGAGGACACAACTGCCCTTATCTCCAAAGACAGGGATAGAGAGAAGAGTCTGAACAAACAGACCTTGCTATGTTTTCCCAGTTTATTACCATTAGATCATACCCCCTTTGTCCAATCATACTTCTCCACAACTGTCCAGTTCTTTATCATACTTAGCATAAAATATACAGGTTTCCCTTTTTCTTTTGGTTTTCATCGCTAAAGGCTTGTGTGTCACATAAAACTTTTATTAAATAGATTTGTATGCTTTTCTCTTGTTAATTTGTCTTTTGTTATAGGCGTCTCAGCCATGAGTCTAGCAATAGATGAGAAAAAAATCTTTACTCCCCTACTATGCACATAGATACACACAAACACACACACAAACACAGGTACTGTACATTTCCATGCATACATAATTCTTTGAAGTGCAAGAATAGAAAAAAATGTATTTACTGTATGATAAATAAATAATTATATTTATATAAAGTGAAAGATAAGTCAACAGTAACCTCTATGAGGATGGTAGAATTAGTGACAGGAAATGGAACCCTGAGAATCTATCTGGTGTGATAGAAATATTTTATGTCTTGATTTGTGTAGTGGTTACCTTGGTGAATACATATATAAAATGCCATTGAGTGGTACATTTAAGACTTGCATATCTTAGTCTATGCTAATTATACTTCAAGAAAAAGTTTAACAATAATAATCAAAGGCAACAAGATACAAAAATAAGTGTCTTTAAATCAAGAAATATGTCTAAAGAACAGTTGAGAAAAACAAACAGTATCTTTTGTCAGTTTTTTTCTTTAGCCCTAATAAATTAAGGAACCTGTTGGCTTTTGTGTAAAGTTTACTAATGGTATCAGGCAGGCTGAACCTAAGTAGATATATTCAAATAGTAAATCAGTCCTAGACTCTTTTGCCATACTGTAGACATTCTGGTTTCTAGGCATTCTAAGATAAATTCTCTACTCCACTAGAAATCTCAGAAAGACCGGTTTCAGCACTAGGTTGATATCAAATGCTAGAACCCATATTCCAAAGGCTACAGGTCTCAAGAAGGCATGAATACAGACCATGATGTTGTTCCTGCCAAAATCTCCATCACATATCCATCACAAGTCTTTCATTTTCTCCAGCTTGTCCTAACAAACATGTTAACACACTGTTTGATACTTTTGGCTCTTTGTAAATTCTGTCCCCCTTAAATGAACCCTTCCACCCTTATTTCTTAGTTCAACTACTATGTGTTCTTTAAGGCCTCACTCTGATGTTGCCTACTTTTTTCAGCTAATGCACCCTCTATCTACTGGTGTACACACAACCCCCTAAGCTTATCTCTATTATCACGATCCATCCTCTGACATTATAATGGTCTGATGTTTTTTGTCTGATTCCCCAAATTAATCATGGGTTCCTTTAAAACACGCACAGTATCTTATATCTTTTTTGCTAGGACCTACTGGTATTTCTAGGTTGAACTCAATTAAAGTTTGTTGAAGGCAAGTTCAATGAAACAACCTCAAAAACTCACAAGTTGGACCACTCTATGTCTCTTGCCAAAACCTCCTAAAATCCAAACGACAAATTGGCATTTTTGTCTGAAATGTGAATTCAGAGAAAAAAGCAGTCAGCTCTTTTTGCAATATTAAAGAGGATGGAGTATTAAGAGGTTAAGGAAGTAATTTTCTCAGACAAATTACAAATAGTACAGTAAATTTAGTCTTGGAAACAGTATGTAAAACATCCTCCTTTTACAATTGACTAAGGAAAAAACAGTTTCTACTTAAAGTTAGAAGAAGGTCATTTTAACTTTAAAATTTCAATTAACCTACAGCACACACCTAATATCAGGAATATACTGAGCCTAAAAAATGCCCATCTTATTTAGAGGGTTTTTTCTTCCCTTTTCCAAATGAAAAGAGATTAACCAGCATCTGATTTTTGTTAAAGGACATTTAAAAAACCCCTTCAACCTTCCAAATTTATAAATGACTTTTCTTCCAGCCATCCATTTGGCTAACTTAATGGCCCTTTCAATTCCCTCTACTGATTTGCTTTCATATTAAGCCCTGTATTTAATAGTTTCAAGCACTTCTTTCTTATTGTTCTCACTCAATCCAAACTAATAATACTTTCTTACTGCACTAGGTACAGTTCTTCACAGCCCATAGGTGAGTTTGTGAGCTCCTGGCATGATCTACTGCTTGCAAGGAAGAGAAGTCTTAGCCCCAGCCTTTAATTCCTTCTCCCCAGTGATGCACCAAGTTCCTGCTTTCCTAAATGGTAAAAACAGATAAAAACTGTTTTCTTGTCCTTGTGATAAAAAAACAAATAAATTGCTGATGTCCTGAAAAAGGAAAAAAGTTAGATTTTGGACAAGTTTCAGAACAATTTGTTTTGGCAGCAGTTGATTCAAAAGATAGGACGTTTCAAAATGTTAAGACGCCTGTGATTTTTTTCTCCTTTTTCTTACTCGGTTTGTAGATTTATTTTTTTCAGTTTCAGATTTTAGACTTCACCTTTACTTGGCTCCCTTTCTTGTTCTTCTTCAAACTCTCCTCTAATAATGCCATTCATTGTTGTTTATCCTCTACATGAATAAAATAGAGAGGTATTTCAAGATCTTAAATTTGTTGTTTAATCATTTTAACTTTTGTACCCATAACTTCAAGAAGCCTGTAATTCCTTCTCTTTATTCCCTCACCTCTTCTTCTTGACAGCAGTCTTTCAAGTTCTTTTTGTCTACCTTGCACAGTTTTTTTTTTGTAGAAAATCAGAGAATTCTAGGGCTAAAAAACATTCTCAATAACCTCTTAATCCTGTCCACTCATTTTCTATATGAAAGCACTAGAATAGACTATCAAAAACATCTATCCATGCCTACTTAGCACCCTAGCTATTTTTTGTCACAACCAACACTGTAACTGATGTAGGTTAACTCCAGAACCAATCTGTTTTCTCTATTCTTAGCAATACAGAGTAATTGGTGGCGATTATAGGACTAGAAGTAAATTGAATCATGCTGTTAAGATAGCAAAATACCTGCCTCATTTAAGTTTCTCTTAAGTTATTGCTCAATCTGTATGTCTCAACATGACCTCATATGCAAAATCAACTTGGTATTCTAGAGGACAGTATTATTATTTATTCTACATAATTATGACTTTTTGTCACTTACAATGGCCTATTCTTCGAAGATACTCAAAAGTTCTATATGACTATAGTTCTCCTTAAGGTCTGTGGTATGCTCATATAAAAATTGGGAAGAGGTTGGTGGGAATTCTAGGGGATGGTATTCACTATAGACACATCACCACGTTCGTTTTTGTATTCACTTCACCAGACTTTTTCCAATCACTCAGACGCAATAAGTCTATGTAAAAAATCACCAATGATGTAGAGACATTGTCAAATTGAATGGTCAATTCTCAGTACTTCTGCCTAACTTCGCAGCAGTACATTGATGAAGCTGATGAAATCGCTCCACTCTAAAAACAGTTACGTTACCTGGTTTCCAATAAATTATACTCATATTATTTTTGTTCTTCCTCACTGGCCAGTCTGGCTTCTCTTTTCTTATCCTCGTGATGACAGAATATTCTAGCAAGTGACAGAATATTCTAGCAAGTGTCCTTTGGTCCCCTATTTTCTGTGTTACTTAAAATACCATCTATATTTCAATGGCTGCACAAAATTGAATTTTGTTTCCAGATGTCTCCCATAAACTCCAGGCTTATGTATCCGGTTGCTTACTTAATTGCAATTGCCTACCTTCAGATACTGAGATACTTGGATAGATACTTGGATGTCTAATAAGTATCTCAAACTTAACACCTCCAGAATTGGCATTGCTGTTTGTTCCCTTAAAACCTGCTCTAATGATAGTATTCTCCATCTCAGCTGATCATAATTCCATCTCTCTAGTTATGCAAGTAAAAAACCTTGCAGTCATTCTTATATATTTTTTCCTGTTCTAAATCCCTATTGACTTTAGCTTCAAAATATATTTTAAATCCAGACTTATTTCATTATCTTCAGCATTACACCCTGGTTCACCCTACTGTCATCTCTCATTTGTTTTTTGTTGCGGTGGTTGTTGTTTCTTTGTTTTGGGGGGAATAACCTCATTACCAGTCTCCTAGATATTATCCTTCTTACCCTATATTCTGCATTCAGCCTAATAGCCAATATGATCCTTTAAGTACATAAGACAGATCAGGTTATTCCTGTGCTCAAACCCTACAATGGTCTCTTACTTTACTCGTAATCAATAGCAAAGTCCATGCAATCACCTGCATGGTCCCATGAGATCTGATCCTCCTTTTATATCCTGACTTCATCTCCCTCTTCCTCACTGTGCTCCGGCTCACCAGTTTCTGTGCTGTTTCTCACCCATGCCCAGTGTGCTCCTTCATTAGGACCCTGGCAGTGTTTTCTATGCCCAGTACACTCTTTCCCTGATAGATACTTGGATAATTCCTTTATTTATTCAAATCACTTATCAAAAGACATCTTGATGAGAGTATCTTGACCACTCCATTTAAAATTGCAACACCCCTGACCACTGATGATTTCCCTTTTCCTGCTCTATTTTTTCTTACTTTATAGCACTTGTCAGGTGTGATGTTAGCAAAATGGCAGAGTAGGCAGCTCCAAGCTCCTGTCCCTCCACAGAAATATTGAAAAGCAAGTAGAAACTGTCAAAACCAATTTTGTCAGAATGCTGAAAACTCAAAGGTTTACAGCAACCAAGTGAACATTAAATCAAGAAAAAGACAAATAGGATGGGAAAGCTTTGTGACATTTTTACTTGTCTTTGTCCCACCTCTTACCAGGCTTAGCAGTGGCCCTGAGAACAGAGGTCAATGTGCCTATTGTGGGATCCTCATATAGGGTTCCAGAGGGAATAAAGACGAATTTATTCACAAATTATTGTATTTGTCTGTTCTAATTTGTCTGGGGGCTACCTGAAGGATGGACAAAGTTTATTTGTTTCTTTTTCACCTAACTCAGAACTTCTCAGGGTGGAGAATAGGGAGGCATTGCTAGAAAACACTGTGAGGTGAATGAAAAACCCACAGCCACCTGGGGCAAAGGATTAAAGTTGAGGCATGCAATATACAGCATTAAGCCTAGGAGAAAAAGCTGGAAAGAGTTCTTTTGAAAAATGAGGGCATTGAAAAGTACCTATGTAAAATAGAGAATTTAGAAACCCACGGGCATGTCCAGGGCAGGGTGTACACTCAGAAAAGACCTGAGAAGACCTTAAGCTTTCACTGGTGACTGACCTAGGTCAGGGCAAGCAGGAAGTGAAAGATAAGGCACAGTTATGAGGGGCCTAACTAAGGGTTGACAGAATGTCCCAGCACAGGACCAATCAGCAAAGACTGGGAGTGTTTTTTTGTTTTGTTTTGTTTTTGTTGTTGTTTTGTTTTCTTTCTAATAGTCCTGACATTTAGAGAAATCTCTGACAAGACACTGGCTGAATATAAGGTTAAAAAAAAAAACAGATTTCAGTAATCACACATGACAAAGAATACAATCTTTGCAGAAATAGTATGGAAAAGTCACTAAACAAACTTGATTGTAGCCTTCAACAATCAAGAACATTATACTAAGGGGAAAGTGGAAAATCCTATTTCTAGAGCTACTACATCATAAGATTCCAATGCCAAGGATTTGACAACAGAAATTTTAAAAAATACAAATAAATAGGAAGATATGGCTTATTCAAAGGGAGGAAAAATGGACAGAAACTGTCCATTAAGAAGCCCAGACATTGGACTTACTAAACAAAGAATTTAAATCAATTATCTTAAATATCTCAAAGAGCTACAGGAAACCATGGACAAAGAACTAAGTGAAAATAGGAAAAAAAGACATGACCAAAATAAAAAGTATCAATAAAGAGTAGAAATTACAGCTTTTACCACCCCTATTATTGTATATAATTTACTTACTTATTGTGCCTATTGATTATCATCTGTCTACTTCTGCTAGAGTGTAAATTCATACGTTAGCAAAGATCTCTGTTTTGTGGTCACCAGCAATTGGCCATAGTCAGTGTCTGACAAACAGCAGACAGTTAACACTTGAAAACTGGATGAATGTTATCTTCCATATCCAACAGCCCATTACTTATAACTTTGCAATATATAGAGATGCTAATGATGATGTGATGACAGTGAAATCAATTTTTAGGGGGGAGGGAGAAAGACGGGGGATGGAATATTACAATGTGGATACGATAACTTAGGGAGAAAGTTGCTGCTGACATAGTTAGATGAATCATTTTATAATCCTGAGCACACATTATACACATAATCAGTTCTCAATTGGGCAAGGGTCACATGAAATTCAAGATTTTAAGCTTTGAGGTATTAAATGATTTTAAAGGAAAAATCTACCCAGTGTCAGATGTGCTTATTCAATGAAACCCTCCAATAATATAATTGATGTCTAATTTCCTAGACCTGAGAAATGTTTTATCAAGACACTGGCGTTCTGCTTTTTTCTTTAGAATTAAAATTCAGGATATCAATATTTATACATTTCTAATTTCAACACAAAGGGTATTTGTTTAAAATATTAAATCTCTCTCTCTCTCTCTCTCTCCATTTTACAACTTTGCTGCCACTCATGAACCACAAGCTGTACTGACTTCATGATTGTAAGAGCATTCGTTAGTTTATATTTTCCCTTAGGGACAATTCTTGCATGGATATTTTCACAAAGTTCATAATTTCTATAAAAAACGCATGTGAAATAGCTTCACCTTATAATAGAAATTTACCAAAATATTATTTCCTGTGGTGATAAATATAGGGATATATATTAATAGCAAAGGTAACAATCTGTCTTGAAGCTATCTGAACTTTCACTCTACAGTAATGACTTATACTCCTTATTTTTAAAAAAATCATCATTTTGTAAGGCCCATTTATTCAACAGATATTTTGTAAGAGTCCATTAATTTACAGGTAATATTCAAGTGCTGGGTATACAGAGGTGAATAAGAAAGGTATTTTATTAAGAATACCTTAGGTTGCATATAACAAAATATATAGCTTAAAAGGGGCTTAAAGATAACAGTAATTTTTCTAACATAAGAACAAATACTAATGTAGATAATTCCAGGACTGGTTTGACAGCTTAAGTAAGGTCATCATGGGCCTAGGCTTTTTGCTTTTTCTATCTGTCTTTTCTGCCTTCCTCTGGTATTAATATTTCCTTTCTGTGAAGATGGCTATAGCAGCTCCAAGTATCCTGTCCTCACATGATAACATTAAAAACAGGAGGAGAGGCTGGGCGCAGTGGGTCACGCCTGTAATCCCAGCACTTTGGGGGGCTGAGGAGGGCGGATTGCCTGAGGTCAGGAGTTTGAGACCAGCCTGACCAACATGGTGAAACCCCATCTCTACTAAAAATACAAAAACTAGTTGGGCGTGGTGGCAGGCGCCTGTAATCCCAGCTACTTGGGAGGCTGAGGTAGAAGAATTGTTTGAACCCGGGAGATGGAGGGTGCAGTGAGCCGAGATCACATCACTGCATTCCAGCCTGGGTGACAGAGTGAGATAAAAAAAAAAAAAAAAAAGAAAAAAAGAAAAAAAAGGAGGAGAAGGCAGGAGTTTCTCATGTGAGAAGGGTCACTGCATACCCTGGTTTGGCTGGGACAATCACAGTTTATGGCCCTTTTACTTCTAAGGTGTTCTGGTTTGGATAAAATGTTATATAGTTGCCCTATTAACATGACATTTTTTTTTTCTAAGGGAGGGAAATATCTCTATGAAGTTCCCTCAGATAATGTCATCATCCATCCCAATGGTCAGGATTAAGTCACTTGTTCATCCTCTAACTGCAGGGAAGGTTGGGTAAGTCAGCATTTGGCATTTTAAACCAACATATTGGGAGAAGTTTTCTGCTTATCAAAAAGGCCAAGAGAATGTCAAGAACATCAGTCACAAATGACAAATCCACAGTCTCCTTGAGGTAACTGGAATTTCACCAAGCTACAGTCTGCAGGAATAAATGGAATAATATCACTCGACCCTACCAAGCCCCAGGGACACTTTCCCACATGGCTCTTGCAGTATGTCCCCAAAGGTTGTCCACCTACTTCTCTCATATGAGTCTACTGATTGCCTCCCTTCCTTTTGAGGAACTGCTCTCTTCTTCTGGGATCCTCTGGCCACAGTAGCACTGCCAAGACACTGCCAAGTAGCATGTTTTCTACTGACCCTGGAAGCCCCTCCTTTGCATTGCTGCCAAGACACCGCATGTGGTGTCAGAGCTGTTCAGACATCTGTGGCAAAGTAAGGGACAGGGCATCGCTCATCATTTATTGCCCGCTGTTAAAAAGTTCCAAAGCACTGCTCCTAGTGTCCTAAATGCTACCAAAGGTTTCAGTTAAACAGAGCTTGAGGGAGACAGGACTCAGATTCATCAATATTCAGCTCTCCTTTATTTTCATAAACAAGCTCCTTGAAAGGAAAATTTGCTATGACTTTGTTATTGGTTAATGATAGAGGAGGAGAAATCATGGACATTTCTTACAGGTAAAAGCATTTGTGAGTAGTGTATGTGAATCTACCACTCTCTTTCCAAAGCTGTACAGTGGTGAAAGAAGAATGTGTTGAGGCCGGGTGCAGTGGCTTATGCCTGTAATCCTAACACTTTGGGAGGCTGAGGCTGGCGGATGACTTGAGGTCAGGAATTCAAGAACAGCCTGGCCAACATGGTGAAACCCTGTCTCTACTAAAAATACAAATATTAGCCAGGTGTGGTAGCACATGCCTGCAGTCCCAGCTACTCAGGGAGGCTGAGGCAGGAGAATCACTTAAACCCGGGAGGCAGAGGTTGCAGTAAGCCAAGACTGCGCCACTGCATTCCAGCTTGGGTGACAAAGCGAGACTCCATCCCAAAAAAAAAAAAAATGTATTGAAACACAAGTGCCATAAGATTGAGACGGCCCAGATTGCAGAACAATACAGGGAGGATAAATGCCCTGGGAAGTCTCCTAGAACCACAGAAGACTTTACATGGGTGAGAAATATTCATGCATTCCATTAGTCCATTGAGAGTCTATCTGTTGCCACTATGTAGCTTAGCCTATCAGACTGAGATCCTTTCTTATGTATGGTCTGCCTGCCTGTTCCCTGTGGGATTTCACCTATGAGTCCAGTGGATGCTGGCCTTGGAAGAGGGAAGTTTGTCTTTTCCTTTTGACAATGAAAACTTATTTACTGGATCTGGCTCATTTTATCATTCTTCCTGTAGAAGAAGTTGTCTCTCAAAGCTCTTCTCAATTCTCAATTAGATTTCTGGAGAATGACCGCATAGTTCATCTACATTTCCCAGGTATATTTGAATCTATCTTTTTTAAAAAGATTTTTCTCTTTACTATTTTATTCTTGACCTCTAGAACTTGTTCATAAAGGATATATGTATCATTTTGATCCTACTTAATAACCTTGATATATACAAAGAATAACTAATTATATGTGACAGATGCTTCAAAGTGGAATAGACACAGCACACCTGAGGGGATGAGATGTGGAACAAGGCTGATGTGATGAGGAAAGGAAAGTATGGAAGGGTAGATGAGACTTATAATGGGGCTCAGAGAATGCAGAGATCTCATGCGAGAGGGATAAGGGAAGAGAGAAAAAAGAGAGTGGAATGATGTAGGCTAAATGGCACTTGGATAGGGTATAACTCAGAAACCATAAAAAGTGGAACAAAAGGCCCTGAAGAAGCTTTCAACCATATTTTCAAGTAGTTTGGGCTCAACTATATTTTTTCAAGTAGTCTGGGTTGCAAGTGACAGAAACCCACTCTGCCACAAATAGCAGGAGTACAGGTTTATCATGCAGTATCTCATTGCTCTCTTATCAAACAAGGTGATAGGGCCAAAAGACATACGCATTGCTTAGAAGCAGCATTGTGGTTCAAGGCAATATTTTCTTTCTCATTTTTTTTCCCCATTCACCTAGAGAAACCCTGTGACACAGGTAGACCATTGCAGGTAATCAAGAGAAGCTAAAGTAGGGCATATCTAAATTGGAGCCAGGAATATTTTAGTTCAGATCTTCACAGCTTTGTTCTTTCCAGTTTTAGGAAAAATAAAGAATTCATTCAAATCATAAGTAAAAATTACTATTATTTTTAAAAAGCTAGCTCTTTAATGCTGGGTCCAGAGTATGTTTTGTCTATTCCTACATACATTGCAGATTTAACTCATGAACCAAGCTGTTCTACAGTCCCATTTGAAAATCATCACCAATTGTGAGAGTCATTATAGTTAGTTTTGAAAATCTACCCTTCATTATACTAGCTTCCTAATGTTAATGAGTATGGAAGAGATGAAATTATGCTGGTCCATGACCCTTGTTGGCCATAATTAGAGGATGCCTAGGACAGCCTCCTTTCAGAGAAGCAGAGCACTTTGGAGGATGAAGAGTTGAAGGCAACGTAGGCCATTAGTACTCTGCAGATTCCTTGGAGGCTGCAGAGGATTATTAAGAGTCTAGTTAATGGGGCAACACATGAGTGAGGAAATGCCAGGGATTCCTTGGCTCATCAGACAATGCAGACACACTAAAAATTACAGAAGTGTTTTGGCTCAGGAGCTGGAGGAGTGCTGCCAAGTTCTAGAGACATTCCCCAGATTTCCCATAAACACTGGGCAGGCAGCGGGACCACAGCCACCCCTCCAGGAAACTGGCTCCTTTCATCATTAAATCGAAAGGGGGGAAATGACACCCTTGGCTAAGAAACACTAAAGTTCCCTTTTTCCACAAATGGAGAATAAGTACAGATAGAAGAGAAAGGCCACTTTCAAAGAGGCAATAAATCTGCCAGCATTTTGGCCTAACACAATTTCTGCTTATTTTGAATGCATACTCAGAAAAATGCCGGCCGAAAATCCAGATGTTTGCTGAACGTAGTCATGATATGGATCTAAAGGGAAAAAAAGGTAGATTACTGATTGGCTTTTCCCTTCCATCTGAGGGTATAGCATTATACAACACAAAGATATAGGAATGGAGCAGTATCATGAATATTTGAAAAATATTCTACCCCAGCATAATTCAATATGAAACATCTGCAAAACAGGAAAAAGATAAAAGGAAACAAACAAGAAAACAAGCAAATGACTGTAGGGAAGGACAGGAAAACTTACTTGCCCACATAGGCTCTGCTCCATTTATAGTTTTATCTTAGATTATTTCATAGTTTTGTTCAGAAGCTTTGGCATAACTGAATGCATTTCTTCTTTTTTAACTTTCATAGAAGTGACACTGTAAATGCATAGATGCTATCTTAATGTTCTGTCTGCTACGAAAGTGAACAAAACTTGATTGTTCTTTATAAGAAATGTACCTAGGCAATATGGCTAGATGGAAGCCACAGCATTTTTGTACATGGCCACAAAAAATCTTCACTCTTCTCTGGGTGAGATTAGAAAATTTCATATGAACTCTTGCTATTCCATCACATTCTAACATTGTTTTTAAAACAGTGCTCTCCAATTTCATTCTTTGGAATCTTAATTTTTACTTTGCTAGTTCATGATGCTGTTCTTTGTCTGATTTTGTAAATTTGTATATTTCTATATCTACATGAAAATAATATTTTACCTCAATAATTTGTTAAACCTTTGAGATAACCCAGTAAGTTCCCTAAAATATCAGGCATCAGGGGTTAATGGCCATGGAATATGTGCATTGTGTCTACATGGCATCCACAGCCTAGGAAGAGAGGACCTCAGTTGAAGCCCTGAAAGTTCTTCGTTTTCCTTGAATCTCACCCAACTCTTGCCCTTCACCCCTCCTTACAGTCACCTGAGTGAACTTCTAAACCTTCCAATGCCACCACAATCACATCTCACACATGCGGATGCTCTTCAGATTTTCAGCATAAAGTAACAAACTCCTTAGTACAGTTTTCAAGACCCTTTGCAATGCAACTTCTGGCCCACTTTCAAACTGATTTTGTGCCATGTCCTTATATGATCTGCGATTCCTCCATCCCTCCAGACACATAATCACTTAAGAATGTGTTTGAGCACCTACAACTTTCAGCAAAGAACCATGTGCTGGGGGTACGATGGTGCATAATAGGGATATTTCTAGACAGAGACAAGTAAAGAGGTAGTTCCAACAGTAGGAGATGTGTGGGATGCCATAGAAGGAATGGAAGGGGTTTCTAACCCACACTTGGTTGGGGTGAGATGGCCACAGATGGCTCCCATGAAAAATTAACATCTGAGACCCCCAAAATAAATAGAAGTCAATCAACCAAACAGTGTAGCAATGATTAGTACTCTAGAAGAGGAAAGGGTCTCCCCAGTGTCTTGTAAATAGGAACATTCTTAAAGAACTGGAAGGATTTTAAGAAGGCAGGAGTGCAGGACAGTGCTGCAGAATGAATTATTTGTATTTTCCCTAATGTGTCCTGTTCCTTCATTTCCCTGTATCTCTGAGGGAACTTTCATCCCAGTTATCACTTCTCGCATCCAACGATATCTTCCCCAACCATATCACCACCACCCTAGGAAAGCCTCCATGGTAACTCTCTGTGCCCTCCATACTGTACTTACAATGTTTCCCATGTAGTCTCTGCCTGTTCTGACACCTGCACTCAGCTCTGTATGCTTTGAGGGTGAGAATTTTGAGTCCTCATCTTTTGTTTTCCTGACTCCTAGCACTGAGCAAGGCACACAACAGATACACAGTTTTTCCAGTGCAAGGAATGGAGAAGGTTAAAATATCGTCCTTTATTCTTGCAACCCATCTGCAAATGCATTGGTCTGGGTTGTAAGATAGGCAATCTTTTCTGGATATGTACTGGGGAATGAAATTAATTCAAAGCCTCCCAGTGAAAACATGGGTGACTCATGAGATTTTTATCTCCTCCAGATAACAGAAAGGAAACAGTGACAGAACCACAACCTGATTTGTCTAAAAAGCCTACACAGAACATGCAGCCTTCTGAGGAGAATAATTAATTAGATTTGAGTGGAGAGAGAATAGAAAATGCAAATATTTGATCCCTTTTTGAGTGAGAGGATAGAGTTCTTTTTAATGCGCAAAGCATGTTTTAGAGAATCTTTGGAGACATGGCCCATCAGAAAAGGAACACAAAGCAGGCTATCAGCAGA
The DNA here is from genome assembly GCF_000001405.40 of Homo sapiens. Lineage (NCBI taxonomy): Eukaryota > Metazoa > Chordata > Mammalia > Primates > Hominidae > Homo > Homo sapiens. Next base: position 7,307,368 of record NC_000003.12, on the reverse strand, counting down.
GAAGCTCCTTTTACACAGCGTCTTCTTTTAGAAACAACTTTTCTTTCCAAATTAAAGAATAACATAACTTATAATCGGCAAATTTTGTCAGATTACAGGGTGGCAACAGACACTCTTTCCTACTTCTGCCTCTCAAAATATCTTTGCAGTAGCAAGGAAGGCAAAGAAAGAGGCATAAGTTTAGAAAGGCAAGAAAAGGAGAGAGTGAAAACAAAAGGGACCTAGGAAGGTGAGGGGATGCTGGTGCCTGAGAGAGGTGGTGTGCTGTATTACAGCCTCCCTGAGCTGGAAGGGACCTTGAGAGATAAGGGGGGAAAGGGTTCTTGTACTTCTTCTAATAAGGAAATAATGGATGCGTTACAAAGTGAAAGGATTCTCTTGGAAAACGTAGCTCACTTATACACACTTGGATGTGTATACTTTACTTATTAATGATAATGCTCTCCTCTCAGAAAGTTCCTATGGCATGAATGAAAAAGAAAGAATGTTTTTGCTAATCGTGATATTATGAAAATAATATGATCTCCTCAAAAGAGGAATTTCAACTAAAAGAACAGACCAGGTGTGTGGCCTCATTTGCATTTCATGGCTATAAGTTTGAAACAACCCCACATGAGTTTGGTAAAAATGCCAAACCCCTAAAAAGTCACATGCTTGGCCATTCAGCATGGCACCAGAACTTCTCTCAGCAAACCTACTGCTGATGAAACCCATACCTTCCACCGTGGCTCGCTTGGGCTGAATGGTGATGGCCCCTTCTGCGATATCTTCATGCTGGTGCAGTGGGTTTATTTTGGATCCCCAGCTGTCTGATCCCACCCAAAGAAAATGGCCAACTTGGTCAGCTCTTTTGGCTGCTGCAAGGATCTGCCTGTGGAAAGAAATATGGAAAGTTATATTAATGATAAAGAACGTCAGCTGAATCCGTGTAGATTGCAAGTCAGCAAAAGGAAAGGTACTATTCTTCCTCAAAAAGTAAATAATTGCAAAAAACTTGATAAAGAATTTATATCCCTAATATATAAAGATATTTTGTAAACCAATAATGAAAAAGCATCTTCAGAAACAAGAGCAAGTAATAGTAATTGTTAAAAGATAAAAAGATAAATACAAATGTCCAATAAGGTAAAGACACATATTTACATATGTTAGAAAGGATGGAAGTGCAAATTAGACAAAGATACCAAATTCATTTCACATATTGGCCAAAATGTTTGTTTTGTTTTAAGAGTTTTGGCTTGGGGCTGGAGAAATGAGCACTCTCATTTACTGCTGATGGTATACACTATCTCTGAAAAGCAATATGATTATGAATTAAAGATGTTAATTATTTATTAAAATAAACAGAACTCCATGTGAAACATGAAAAATTTATAACTTGTGTATGATTGAAAGTATTATATATACATAATCAGGACAATGGGAGCAAATAAAAGAAAAAAGGGAACTAGCTATTAATGAAAAAGTTATTGCAATAGTACTTTTGGAAGAGGGGATTGATGAGATGTAACTGCATTGGTAGATCAGAAAAAGCTACAACTGAAGCCCCTTTGGTGGGTAAGACCACAGGATAAGTGGTTTGTTTGTCTCTTGGGACTTGGGAGTATCAGGCACCACAGAGCTACATGGCTAAATGCAGGAAGATTGGGTCAAAGATTGTGAATAAGCTGACAAAGGCCAGTTCTACTTTTTTTTCTTCCAGGCAGGAAATGACAGTTTTCTAAAGAAAAAAATCATTCTCAGTAAACTATCGCAAGAACAAAAAACCAAACACTGCATATTCTCACTCATAGGTGGGAATTGAACAATGAGATCACATGGACACAGGAAGGGGAATATCACACTCTGGGGACTGTGGTGGGGTCGGGGGAGGGGGGAGGGATAGCATTGGGAGATATACCTAATGCTAGATGACACGTTAGTGGGTGCAGCGCACCAGCATGGCACATGTATACATATGTAACTAACCTGCACAATGTGCACATGTATCCTAAAACTTAAAGTATAATTAAAAAAAAAAAAAAAGAAAAAAAAAAAAGCAGCAGCATAGGAAATAGGTTCTGATATTGTAAACACCAAAATAGTAAAAGGTGGATAAGAGATGGTAACAAAAAAACACCAAAATAGTAAAAGGTAGATAAGAGGTGTTAAAACTGCAGATGGGGATGGGAGGGAATGACTAAAAGTCAGTATAATAGAAATTGAAATGTTAAGACACTCTAGGAATTTTAAACTTCTGCTCACAAAATGCTGGGAACTAGGGGTTTGTCACCCCAGGTAGAAAATAATTTTTCTGTAAAAATCTGATACATATCAGAAAGTAGACTCTAGATATTGTTATAAAGAAGTCCTCTGATGGAATGGCCAATCTGATTCCCTGGGAACCCCATCAGTTGTCATGCACTGCCCGTGGGCACAGAGCTTTTTACTGCCTTATTCATATGTGAATTGCCAGAAGACACTCATTATTGAGGAAAATCTCCATTGCCAAATAGAAATATTAACAAGGAAAAGGAAATGTGTGAGGTGGAGCAGAGATAATATATGGGAAAAAAAACAAAATAATAAACACATTTAAATGAGAATGATCATATCTTTAATCAAGAACATGATACGAAAAAATAACAAGAAACAGCTCTTTTTGAAAATATGAAATGAAAATTAAATTGGCATAGATATAAAGTGCAGAAAATTCTCTAGAAAGCAAAACAACAAAAAGTTGGAAAATAAGAAATAAGATTCTTCTTCCTCTTACCAATAATCAACCCAAGAAGACCTATATCCAGCTAACATTTAGAGAAAAAAGAACGTACAGAGAAAATAGAGTAAATCTTTAAATATTATTTTTAATAAATAAAGAATCAAAAAATTGAAAATACAAATTTTCAAGTTTAAAAACTTAGCCGCATAATGGGAGGAAAATCAAGCACATCACGAAATATAAGACCTCTGTAAATAATGAGAATGTTCTAAAAGCTCTTCAAGAGAAAATGAGAAGACATGCAAAAAAAAAAAAGAAATGATATTATTAACCTCTCAAGAGGCAAAAAAAAAAAAAAAGGATGGATGATGGATGATGGAGCAATGGCTTCAATATTCTGACAAAAAGACTTTAAAATTTTAACATTTAACACACAAAGAATCTCAATACAAATAGAACTTGCATATTTGTTCAGTAGCTCTATTAGATTTTTCCCTCCGCAATTAGAACCCTAAGTTCCCTATAAGTTAAGAGTTCTGCAACTCATTAGTCACAACAGCTATTTGTTGTAAATCACTTCTTTACCACGTATGATGCATTGATTAATAAAAATAAATATGAGGCCGCACATTACCACCCTAACTACTAATTAAGGGTAGAGGCAGAATGAGAACATTTTTTAGATGTAAAACACATGAAAAAGTTTTCCCTTAATTTACTCTTAAAAAAAAAAAGAAGCTACAGGATATGCTCCAGCAAAATGAGGAAATAATTCAAGAATAAAATTCAGTTAGGGTCCAGAAAAAAGGAAGTGGTAAAACAAAGAGAGAGTGAGAGGAAGAAACTCTTCAAATGATAATAACTGATCCAGATTAAAACAGAATAATGGAAATTTCAGGAAGAAATATTCGGGAAAAATAAGGCAACTCAGATAATCTTATATATGAACATATGGAGAAAAGTGAAAGGCCTATAACAACAACAGAAAAAATATTAAAGATAACAATGAAAGTATGAAGACTGTCATATTAACTCCAAAAAACAACAAAATGTTTTCCAAAAAAATAACTACCATAGAAAAAATACTTGATGCTGTAGTGCATCATATTTATATAATCACAATAATGTAAATACTGATTTTTGTCAAATTAAAACCTGATAGATTATGACTATAGAGATAGGAATAAGTTCTGTTTAACATAAGAATTAGATAATATTTAAAATTAATAATTTAAAAATTGTAACACGTACACATTATGCAGATAAAACCAGAAGAAACAGTTTAAAGAGTTAAAGTAACTGCCAAAAGAGAACAGAACCAGGAAGCATGGTGAGATGGAACAGGAGACTAATGTTTTGCATCAAAAGTACTTTAGTCATATTTTAGTTTTTTTATGTATTTATTATTTTCATAAAAATAGAATAATCAGCTGGGCACGGTGGCTCACGCCTGTAATCCCAGTACTTGGGGAGGCCAAGGCAGGTGGATCACAAGGTCAGGAGATCAAGACCATCCTGGCTAACATGGTGAAAGCCCGTCTCTACTAAAAATACAAAAAATTAGCTGGCCATGGTGGCGGGCACCTGTAGTCCCAGCTACTCAGGAGGCTGAGGCAGGAGAATGGCATGAACCCGGGAGGTGGAGCTTTCAGTGAGCTGAGATCGCGCCACTGCACTCCAGCCTGGGCAACAGAGCGAGACTCTGTCTCAACAAAAAAAAAAAAAAAAAAAAAAAATAGAACAATCAAATGTTAATACTTCTGGCCTAGAGATACCACTTTGATAATGTATCCAAAAATGATCAAAGATGCTATCAAAATGTCTGTTCATTACTGGAGTTAACCTAAGTACAGAGCAATGGGAAACTGGTTTAAAAAAAAAGACAATACATCCAAAGGATGAATTCTAGAGCAATTACAAATATACTTAGTTTGATTTCCACAAGGTATCAAACTAGATACTACACATTAAAAAAGAAAATTAAAATTAAATACATGATAAAAGATTATTTAATTTTCACAAAATAAAAGCTGACCAAAAATTGCCTGTATATGTGTATATATGCATAGTTAAAAGCATAGAATCATATCAAGGCACCAAAAATATAAAACGACATACAATTTTTATTAACATGTTTGGGGAGGTGCTGACGAAGTTTGAAGAGAAAGGTAGGGATAAGCCAAGTAAAACAGGAAAAGAAAGTAAAAACTGATACAAACACAAAAGTATGTTCAGTTTAGTATATTTATGTAAAATTTGGAGGTTATAAGAATATAATTAAAGCATTTAAAAGTACTTGTGATATGAAATGATTAATCTATAATATGAATTGTAAAAGATGACAAAATTCTATGTGATCTTTATTCTGTTGAGGAAAATTTGTGTATGTATAAAAAAACTTATTGCAAAAATTAAACCAGAATTGTATTAGCAGTTATCTCTGAGTGCTGGAATTGCAGGTTTTATAGAAGATTATTTAAAATTATTGTTTGTGATTATTCTCCTTAACCTTTAATTTTTCTAGCAAACTGGAGGCAAAGTAAAATGTAAGGGTTCCTTTTATTGAAAAAAAACAATAAAAAAACTTTTATTTTCCAGTGGATTTACAATGAGCATGTGTTCCTTTTATAATCAGAATAAATTATTTTAGAAAAAGAATCCACGCTTGTCTAAAATCCAAATCATCTATACCCATGACTGATTTAGCACTTATCTTAGCTTTAAAATCTAGATATTAATGTCTTCTCACTGCTAGCCTTTGACAAAGTATCTGAAGTTAACGTTCCAAGAAACCTCAAATTTTCCCATCTACAATGTAAATCTTCCGAAGAAAGAAATAACGTAACATTATGGGTTATCAGTACACTTCACACACTGTTTAAGATCATGTTTTAGAATAAATTTTTATATGCTGTTGGCTTTTAGTACTGTGCTCAAGAATAATTATTGTCATCACTATTATGAATGACAATATACAATAATGTTTAACACACAAACAAGTCCAATGCAAAAAGAATGGGTATAATTATTGAATATCATTATTGAATACAGTTTACATCCAAATATGAAAAACTCACATTACTTGCAAGTCAACAGTATTATAACCAATTAGTTACCAGAACTAATTGCCATACATCTTTTATGTGCCTTGTGCAATCTATTTAAAAACAAACATGAGACCATATTTTACCAAGGTATTACATATTTAGCAAAAGTGTAAAATGGGTGTTAAAAGGACTTATAAGATGAATAAGAAGGGTATTAGCAGATATTTTTTAAAGTACTGGAACAGAAAGAGTAATATTATGAAAACAAAATCTCATAGAAACCTAAAATACGAAGTGAGGAAAATAATGTTGTAAGATAATTTTGTAAGGAGAGAAATAATATATTTAAGGGATGATCAGAATCAGGATCAGTTCTCCGGAACTGGAGAAGGGAATGCTTGAAACAGACCTTGAAGAAGAGACGTAAGTTAGACAGATAGATAACGAGAGAAAAAAACATCGTGAGCAAAGACCATGATGGAGAAGTAATCAGAACAAATCGGAGGATAAGAGTTATGCATTTTGGATGGAGAACTGGATGAATGTAGATGAGGCCTAAACCGTAAAAATGAGACCATATATTGAATCACCAGGAAGTTCAGAAAAAAAAGAAGCTTATTGTTAAATTATTAAATATGAAGCATTAGGTTAGGAATTTCATTCACTTGTTCAACGCCATTTATTGAGCTACTATGTCCTGAGCCCTATAATAGTTATTGACAGTACAAAAGCAAGTCGAAAGAAGCATCATTTCTGCCCTAATTTTACGAACTAGTGAAGAATACAGACATTAATTAAACAATCCAACAATAAAAATGGCACCATTCACATAAACAATGAAACTGAGTGAGTATGAAGAATTTTCCAAAGTGACATTGATCAGAGAAATCTTCCCTGAGAGGACAGCACTAGAGATAGCATTGAGGTGATGAAGCAGGGAAGGAAACATGGGCCAGGGAGGGGGAAAGAATGCATGCAGAATTGGGAGGGAGATCATACCACGGCAGTGTGCCTACAGTAGCAAATCATGAGGGAATTTGGAATAGAATAAGACTAGAAAGGTGAAACAGCCAGATCTCCCGAAAAAGAACTCCGAAGGATGTTCATTTGATTGGTAGGAGACTTGAGGCCCAAAGAACCTGGAAGGCAGTGGGAGGAACTTGCCCAAGGTCAGACAGTGCTCATTATCTAAGAAGCAAGTAATCCTCATTTAAAAATTCAAAACTCTTTCCATTTAATAGCCCTGCCACCACACCTGTGGTCAGAGCTTTATACTAGGAGATGGATGGATTCAGGAGCAGTGTCTAGGATACACAAAGCAGGGAAAGAGACAGGTTTGAGACGCTGGTGGTAAAGACATTGAAAAATCCAAGCAGGAACTTAAGGGCCCAGGCCATTAAACCTTTACCCTGAATAAAAGATTCACCTTCAAAGTCAATGATATATTATTTTGAACTATAAGATAGACAAAGATTTAAAACACACATAAACAGCTCTTTCACATCAATGGAAGTGTAAATTGGCATGACTTCTCTGGGAGACAATATTTATATATTTTTAAGAAGGGACATATTTTTGTCTTAGAAATTTTTTAATAGGAATTTATTTTATAAATATTTATAATATATATAAAAAGTATATTTGCATGTTATGTTTTTATCACATTATAAATTTATACATTGCATAACACATTGTAGATTAACACTTGTCTATTTATATTTATACACACAGATTTGTGCAAAAGGAAGTTAATTACAGCATTATTTATAACTTCAATAGACTGTAATCCAAATTACATGTCAATTAATAAGGGAGCAGTTAGATAAATTACAGTACCTATGTAAAATAAAATTCTGCCTGGCTATTGAATACTGAGTAGAAGTATAGGTACTAATATTCAGTGATCTCCATGATAAAATGATAAATAAAATGCTGAACAGGAATGCACACAACATGCTACCATTTGTGTAAAAACAAGCAGCACATCCCTCTAGCATATATACAGAATATCTCCACAAGGATATACAAGAAACTTTTAATTAGTTATTGTACCTGGAGAGAACTTGTTAGCTATGCGACAAGATGGAGATTGTATGTTTACTTTAAATTTTGTAATCAGGTTTATTTACTGTTTATTCTAAAAATAAAGATTACAAAAATAAATATTCTAAAAATTCTAAAAATAAGGACTCCGGACCAGGTTGGTAGTGATCAGAAAAGAAAGCAACAGACATTTACATTGTGGAAACATGTCAAAGCTTGTTTCTATGTGGCTTGGCCAACAATACAAGGAACCAGGAAAAAAGCAAAGTCAAGATTACAAGCAGATTTTTGAGTCCAAGAAAGATCAAGTTCTGAAAAGAAAAAAGAAAGTGGATTGGAGAATGTAGAGTTAAGACAAGTTTTTGATTTGAACATATTGAAGTTAAAGCACTAGCAATAAAACCAGAATTTTAAGACATTTTTCTTTTACATTAAGAGAACCATTCTTTGGATAAAAATCTGTTATTAATATATTTGGAAAAATTTTTAAATAAAAGCACCTTTAAAAGATCTAGAGTTTTTTTTCTGTTTTTACAAATAATTGAATACATTTATTTTGCTAACAGAGGGAAAACACGTGACCATAACATGCTACCACTGTATGTGTTGGGTAGAGGCAAGCACAGACTTCGCCGCTGTATGATTACAGCTTTGATCTTATGCTATCTTTTCCTGTCTCAGCCAGCAGCCTAATCTTTCTCTCTCCTAAAATTGCAACATGCATATTAACAATTGTCACCAGTTATTCTTACTTTATATCCTCATCGTTGGCAAAAATCACGACGGCCCTGGAGTTGGGGGTGTCCAGGAGCTGTTTGATAATTCTATCAAAGTCAATGGTCCTGTCTTTGCGTTCCTGGGGGATTCTCACGGACTGGGCAATGCAGAGTCCACCTGTTTAAGAGAAGAAAACATAGTGTCAATAATGTTTCCACAGAGATGTCAAAGGAGCCAAGGAAGGTAGATGAGGAGGAGATTCTGAATCCCGGATATGCAATACTTCCTTGATGCTGTTGCTAAGCGAGGACAGCATAAGACACCATGCTGAGTCCTGAGATGTTGTTCATACCTAATGCACTTTCCATGGTATTACACGACATCCTCTTTATAGTACACGTACAAATATCTAATTATTCCCAGCAATACCAATGATATTACTTCAGAGGAGGCAGGTTTAGGTAGGAAGAAAAAGTGGCTGGGTTGAAGAAGGTTTTTAAAATGAATGCAATACCCCTTAATAACACTACAAAAAGTAAACCACAATAAAGAAACTTGAACAGGTAAAGCTCTGTGTATCTCTGTTACTTTTGTGGCGTTTGCATTCCCAGAATTTTTTCCCTTTATACCCATCTCTATTTTTAAAGATCAATTCCAGTGGAATAAGTGGAATAAAACTAAAACCAAGAACATCAACTATACTAAATCATAGCAACAAACACTTATTGACAACATACTATGTGCCTAAGCCATCATTAAGTGTTTTACAGATGTTACCTCATTTAGTCTTCTCAAAAATCTTATAAAGTATTTCGTATTGCTCATTTTATGTTAGGGAAAGGAAGGAATAGAGATATGTTAACTCCAAACTTGTCAGAGCCAGTATAATATTAATTGGCATTATGAATTTCAAGATGGAGAAACATGCATCAGTTTACTAAGCAATGCGTATACATCTTACTTCCCTGCTTCTTGCTTAGCAGCTGCTCCTGGATCTAGCATTTTATGAAACACACTTAAAAGCCAGCATCGATGAAAAGGGTAGAGGAAATATTTGTAGAAAAGTCCTAATGGCCGTCCAAGGGGCACAAGACCCAGGGGCAGAGACAGGTAAAAAACCTTACTCTAATGTGTAATGTGTTTAGGAGATATTTGTAATCAACAAGCTCACACCTAGAACATGGACAACTGGGTGGAAGCTTCTAGACTTCCACAAACATAGACAAATATAAAATCAAATACAAAATTAAGCCTTCATTACACTGGAATCCCAATTAGTGTTAGCTCACTCTAAGTGGCTCTCAACTTTCAGCATGCATGAAATCACCTGTGGTCCTTCTTTAAAATATAAACACCCAACAAAACTATCAATCATCTTGACCTAATTGACAACCCACACAACAGAAATGCATTTATTCTTTTCAAGCACAAATGCAATATTTATTAAGATAGACCATATTTTGAGCCATACAAATAACATTTTTAAAGCATAGAAATAATATAAAGTATTTTCTCAGTATAACAGAATCAAAGTAGAAATCAATGACAGAAAGATAAAAATATCTCCAAACACTTGGAAATTAAACAACACACTACCAAATAACCCATGCATCAAAGAGAAGTGTCAAGGTAAATTTTAAAATATTTTGAGCTAAATATAAATGAAAGTACAATATATCAATATTTGTAAGTTACAGATAAAGCAGTGTTTAGATGGAAACATAGCATTATATGTTTATATTCAAAAAGAAGAAACATCTAAAATCAGCAACGTAAACATTCACTTTAAGAGAAAATTACTGAGTAAATACCAAAAAAAAGCAGAAAGCACATAATAAAAGGTAAAGCAAAAATCAATGAGTTTGAAAACAAATATAATAGAGAAAAACAATGAAATCAAAAGCTGCATGTTTAGCAGAGCATGATTGTGAAAACCTACAGATCCATTACTCAAGAGACTGAGGAGGGAGAGTCACTTAAGCCCACGAGTTGGAGACCAGTCGGGGCAACATAGCAAGATCCCAGCTTTTTTTTTTTTTAAAAAAGCTGTTTTTGAAAATATAAATAAAATTGATATATATGAAATGTAGACTGAGACAAAAAGGGAGAACTAACAAATGACCCTATTTAGGAATGAAAGAAGGGTAACCCTGATGATCTCATGGATATCAAAATATAATATGAGGATATTAGTGATAACTCTACATTAATAAGTTCAGCTATGTAAATGATATGAAAGAATTTCTTGAAAGATACAAAGTACCAAAACTGAATGCATAGTAATCTGAATAGTCTTATGTAAATTAAAAATGCCAAATTGGTCGTTTAAAAATCTTTCAGAAAATAAAGATTCAGGCTCAGATGGTTTAACTGATGAATTCTATCAGTGAATGAATACATAAAACATGATCTACACAATCTCTTCCAGAAAATGGGAGAAGAGAGAACATAACTCATTTTATGAGGTATTACCTAATACCTAAACCAGGAAAAGATATTACCAAACAAAAATAAAATATAGACAATATTACTTGGAACATATTTGCAAATATTCTTAAAAATATGTTAACAAAACAAATCCAGCAACAATTTTTAAAAAGATAATACATTAGGATTGAGTGGGTTTTATTCAAAGAACAAAAGGCTAATTTATTATTTGAAAAATCAATCATTATTATTTACATATTGTCAGACTAAAAAAGAAAAACCATGAGCACCTTAATACATGCAGAGAAAGTACTTAACAAAATTCTCTCTCTCTATATATATATATTTATGATAACAATACTAAACTCTGTAAACTAGAATTAGAAGAGAATTTCCTTAGCCTAATAATAGGCATCTATAAAAAGCCTACAGCTAGCATCACATTTAATAGTAAGAGACCACAAGGCAAGGTTGCCCTATCCTGTTCAATACTGTACTATAAACCCTTGCCAAAATGAGGAGGGGAAAAGAAACAAACTATATACATGTTTCAAAGGAAAAAGTAAAATCAGTTCTATTTACATATGACAGAGAAATCCCCCCCCCAAAAAAAAGCTATCAAAAAATCTCCTAGAATAAGTGCCTTAAACAAGGTTGCAGGATATGAACTCAATAAACAATAGTCGATCATAGGAAGGAACTACTGAATTTTACATTGAAACACAACGCCATTTAATAGTATCACCGAAAAACCAGTCCTGCTTAGGCAACAAAATATGTACAAGGTCTGTGTGCTGAAAACTATAAAACATGGCTAAAATACATTTTTAAACGTGTAAGTAAATTCTTCCCAAATCTATCTATAGATTCAATGCTATCTAGAGCAAACTCTCAGTAAACATTTTATTTTATTTTATTTTTGTAGACCTCAACATCTAACTTAACATTTATATGGAAAGGTAAAGGAAATAGTCAAAACAATTCTGAAAAGTAAGAAAATTAGATATTCACACCACTTAAGTTTAAGACTTACTTTCAAGCTACAGGAATTAAGCAGTGTAATGCTGGTAAAAAGTATAGACTGTTGAATCAAGGGAAGAAAATAGAGGCTCAGAAGTATACCAACACAAATACAGTCAACTGATTGTTGGCTAACATGCAAAGGAACTCAAAGGAAAAAGAATAGTCTTTTCAACAAATGATGCCAAAATAATTGGATTTTCTTATGCAGAAATAATAAATCTTGCCTTATATAGAAATTAACTCTAAATGGATAATACACCCAAGTGTAAAATATAAAGCTAGAAAACTTTTAGAATAAAACAAAGGGAAAATCAATATGACCTTGGGTTTGGCAATGAGTTTTTGAATATAATATCCAAAGTACAATCTATAAAGAAAAACGTGATAAATTGGATTTTATGAAAATTCAAACCTTTTGTTCTGTGAAAGACAGCATTGAGAAAACGAAAGCACAAGCCAGACACTTGGTTAAAAGTATATGTTTGATAAAAGAATGTATCCAGTATATATAAATAACTCTTAAACTCAGCAATAAACACACAAACTTTCAAACAGAAAAGATCTGAATTCACTTACAGAAGAGCTTGTGAAGCACATTTCTGATCCTCACTTCTAGAGATTCTTAGTCAGTTTGTGTAAAGCCTGTGAATTTGTAATTGGAACAGGTTCCCAGGTGATGCTGATGCTGCTAGCTTAGGGCCCACGCTGCTCTAGGTGAAACTGCTGCAGGTGGTCAGATTTTGAGGCATATTCACCTGGGTGTCTCCATATTGGTTGTAGCCTACTCAGGTAGAAGTAGAATTTGTTCAATGATATTCTAGCCAAACATTTTTCTTTTTTTTTTTTAGGGAGCTCTTAGGAAGGTGGCATAGAGAAAAGGAAGGAAAGGGTAAATTATTGTGCTTTGTTATAAAGCTCACAATGGTACAGAGAGCCAGCAACAGACATATCCCTGGGCAATGGCGATGACAGTCTCAATGCCATGATTCCTCCAAGTCTGGAAAGCATTATGGAGGATAGAGGGATGAAACCATCTGCAAACTGTCCTGGGACTCCTGGGGAGAAGAAATGGCTACTTTACCATCTTCTCAGCAACAGAAGGGGTATAATTTTGGATGGAAACCCAGCTTCTCATCAGGATTCAATTACAGCTGAGTGATTAAGCAAATTGGAGCAAACTCCATTTGGCAACATGTCTAGTGGAGGGGCAGTCTGCAAACATGGATTGAGGGCTCACCCGGTGTACACTAGGGGAACGGATGTGTGGAGTTTCATGACTGCAGAATTGAGACGCTCATCCCCTCTTACGGGGAATTGCCCGCAGGTGAGCAAAATTAAACACCTCAACAGAAGAGAGAGATTGGCTATTAACGTGGTAATGGGGATAAACCTGTTCATAAAGCTAAAATGTAAAAATGAAAGAAAACTGGAAAACAGAGAAAGAGAAATAAACATACTGTTTTGATCATCAGTTCTTGGAAGGCTTGAATTGTACCTGCTGGAAAGACAATCCATCCCTTATTTGTCTCAGATCCATAAAAGAATGTGGCAGGTTTAAAATTTCACTTATATTGTAAGTAGATGACTTCAACATAAACATTCAAGCCATACCAAGTGTGTCACTGTGAGACAATAATGATGGTCCCATGTACCTACCAGCAAAAAATGGAATTTTTCATGGCCCACAGACACACACATACCTGGTATTTGAATATCAGTTAGTTTATTTCTCAGTAATGGTGATAATTCAGCACACTACATTCTCCCTCTGACACACGGAAAATCTAATCAGAGTTTGATGCTGCCCGTTGGTATTGCAATTGCCAAATTAATTCACACTTCTGTGGGGAGCGAACAAGTAGGGAGAACTGGAAAGTCTCATCGTAAATGTGGCAACTGAAGAGCCATGACAGATAGGACAACTCCATTCATAGCACCTCAGCTTTCACTGAGAATGTCCGCTGTCAAAGGCTTGAGAGAGTGATACATACAAGAGAGATACATACAAGCCACTGAAGTAACGAAAAGAATTTCAGAGTCCCAGAAATCAATCTGCTTCTTGATTTAGAGCTGAAAACTGGTCAGTTTTCTGTCTGCGCATGGTAGCTAGCAATCTTTAGCAACAAGAAGAATCTCAGGAATCACACCACAGATGCTTTCCAATAAAATACTTTTATCTCCCAAATGATTATGAATTATTTTTAATCTAATAAGCAGAAACAACAGAAAACAGTTTAAAGCCTGAAACTCAATCCCGAGAGAGCTGATACACAATGCAGCTCTATTGATGATTCTATTATTTAGATATGCCAATTTTATTTAGCAAATATTTATTGAGACTATTATAAGAAAAGCTCAATTTTTTTTTTTTTTTTTGAGACCAAGTCTCGCTCTTGTCCCCCAGGCTGCAGTGCGATGGTGCAATCTCATCTCACTGCAACCTCCGCCTCCTGGGTTCAAGCAATTCTCCTGCCTTGGCCCCCCGAGCAACTGGGATTACAGGCACACACCACCACGCCCGGCTAATTTTTGTATTTTTAGTAGAGATGGGGGGTTTCACTATGTTGGCCAGGCTGGTCTAGAACTCCTGACCTCAGGTGATCTGCCCACCTCAGCCTCCCAAAAGTGCTGGGATTACAGGCGTGAGCCACCGCGTCCAGCCTCAATGGTTTGTTTTTTTTTTTAAAAAAAAAAGAAATAATATATGTAAGCAGTAGAAGAAGCCTTAGAATACCCACATCCAATTCTCCATTACACATGGAGAAACTGAGATCCAAAGAGTTTCACAGAGATAATATTCATCATAGTTGAAGGACTGGGTCTCATGAGTTCTGTCTACATGTTGATGCTATTCTAAGTACTGCTTATCTATTAACACATTCAATGATTACAGCACCTCATGAGTCAGGAGAAAAACAGAGGCATTCTGAAGTTAAATAACTCACCCCAAATCACAACTTGAATGGCAGAGTAGTACTGAGGTTTTCATCTTTCAATACTTTAAGCTAAATGACAAGATAGTTATCTGTCCTCACATACTCCACAGATTAAGAGGAGAAGAGGATACATATTATAAAAGGAGATAAAGGTACATACAACACGTCTTGTTAGAGGAATCATCAAAGGTTTTATAAAAGAAATTCAATTTCAAATGAGATGTTAAATGTCTGTGAAAGGAAGGATACTTAATGGAGGCAACAGAGGGGTCAACTTTAAAAGGTCAAGGTCATTGTGAATAAGACTGTCCAACCCTCCTGTATTAGTGTGTTTTCATGCTGCTGACAAAAACATACCCAAGGTTGGGTAATTTATAAAGAAAAAGAGCTTTAATGAACTCACAGTTCCACATGGCTGTGGAGGCCTCACGATCATGGCAGAAGGCAGAAAGCACATATTACATGGCAGCACACAAGAGTGAAAATGAGAACCAAGCGAAATGGGTTTCCCTTTAAAAACCATCAGATCTCCTGAGACTTATTCACCACCATGAGAACAGTATGGGGGAACTGCCCCCATGATTCAGTTATCTCCCACTGGGCCCCTCCCACAACATGTGGGAATTATGGGAGCTACAATTCAAGAGGAGATTTGGGTGGGAACACAGCCAAACCATATCACCTCCATTCCCTCTCCCATCTTTGCTGATAGATTTCTGGTTTTAGGGTGGTGAGGTATCCAGTCCCATACAACCACTCACCACTGATCACAGTCAAAAGGGGTCAAGTGTGTTTCCCAATCTCCCAGCCTCTTTTCAAGTACAAATAATCACGTGACACACAAAACAGGCAGAAATCCCCTGAAGTCAGTTCTGGGAAAAGTTTTACTCCCTTGGTAAAAATAGACAGACGGAGGGATTGAGAGAGAGAGAGAGAGAGAGAGAGAGAGAGAGAGAGAGAGAGAGAGAGAGAGAGAGAGAGAGAGCTGGCATGACTTTTCCTCTAACCCTGTCTGTACTGTGATGTCTGCACTATTACTGTCCTCTTGGCACCACTAGGCCACAGCAAAAGGATGACCTACTCCTTAAAAGTGGTAAACCAGAAAAAGAGAGAGAACCAGAGTCCCTGATGTCATGCATCACTGAGCAGAATAAATACTGTTAGCACCCACCTACTTTCTGATATGGGAGAAAATGAAACACCTTTTCGTGTCAGCTCGCGGCAGTCAGTTTTCTCTTATTTGCAACTGTACATTGTCCTAAATGATCTTTGCCTCAAAACATTCCAAGCTCAGTATAGAAGGACGAGAAAATTCCTGAATATTAAAAAAAAAAAAGTCAAGAAAATTACAAAGCTAAAGAGTCCCAAGGAATCACTGCTGCAGTGAGGATGCTGGGAAGAGGGTGTGGCTGGCACCTGCATGGATTTGTGGACAAGATTGTTAGGTGAGAGAGGGAGACAGAGTGGAACAGTGTAAATGGCCACAAAGAAACTGGAACAGCACCTGGGGGTGGGGAGGGGTGGACAAAGATTTTGGTGATAGAGGTACTGAGAGTTAAGATACAGGGTTCTTGATCTTTCTTAGCCTCTAGCTCTCTGCGTGATCTTTGACACATCCATACCCCTTTCTAGATTGCCAAGGGAGAGAGAGGAAAGAAAGAAGGTAGGAAGCAAGGACAGATGAACACCCCCAGAAGTTTTCAGCAGCCAGAATGTAGAGAGCATTTTGGGGAACATGGAGAGATAAGCATGGTTGCAGTAAAGTGTAATAAATAGCAGAGGTTATGCTGCTGGGGTTGGGGTGGAAGTACACAAGACTTCCTAAGACAAACCACAGGAAACTGAATGCTTAGATAAAAAATTCTCTGTCCCCTGCCAGTGAGGACCACACCTCTCATTCTGAGCAGAATGCAAGTGCTATCTGCACATGCTAATGAGGTGTGAATCCATCATATCTTTCAGCCAAGAAATGTTGAACAGCAAGTCTCTATAAAATGTATTCAGGAATTTTATCATTTTATCTCAGGCACTATTTTGCCTGAGAAACATTTGCATTATACTTTGGGACATGTTGAGGTTTAAAGCAATCTTGGACAAAGCTATATGCATGCTAGCTGACTTAACCTTAAAATCTAGGAACTAAAAGAATACTTAGAACAACGCTTCCATTTTGCAGATGGTGAAATTGTTCCAGAAAGGGGAAATGATTGAGCAACTCTGCATCAGAGCTGAGGCTGCCATTAAGTTTGATTGATTTCTGATGTCATACTCCTTTACTTTGTGTTGATACTTTGTGAGTTACTTTCTTTGCCATTTTTAGATTCATGTATTCATTTAAAAAATATTTATTAAGCAACTTTCATATTTCAGGCATTCTTTTAGTTGCTGTGAGGGGGATATAGAAATTAACATAAAATACTAATAAGATAACTTTTCTTTTTTTATTTTTATTTTTATTTTATTTTTTATTATACTTTAAGTTCTAGGGTACATGTGCACAACGTGCAGGTTTGGTACATATGTATACATGTGCCATGTTGGTGTGCTGCACCCATTAACTCATCATTTACATTAGGTATTTCTCCTAATGCTATCCCTCTCCCCTCCCCCCACCCCACAACAGGCCATGGTGTGTGATGTTCCCCTTCCTGTGTCCATGTGTTCTCATTGTTCAATTCCCACCTATAAGTGAGAACATGTGGTGTTTGTTTTTTTGTCCCTGTGATAGTTTGCTGAGAATGATGGTTTCCAGTTTCATCCATGTCCCTACAAAGGACATGAACTCATTCTTTTTGATGGCTGCATAGTATTCCATGGTGTATATGTGCCACATTTTCTTAATCCAGTCTATCATTGATGGACATTTGGGTTGGTTCCAAGTCTTTGTTGTTGTGAATAGTGCCGCAATAAACATATATGTGCATGTGTCTTTATAGCAGCATGATTTATAATCCTTTGGGTATATACCCAGTAATGGGATGGCTGGGTCAAATGGTATTTCTAGTTCTAGATTCCTGAGGAATCACCACACTGTTTTCCACAATGGTTGAACCAGTTTACTTTTCTTTTTAATTCCCTTTCAAGACTACAATGACCTCTGCAAATGACCTAAGCTTAGATGACAAACAAAATCCCAATAAGAAACATCACGTTCTTTTCAACAGCTGGTATCTTGGCAGGTCATGAGCTGGTTACTCAAGTTTGTGCTCTAATTCAAGAAGTCTTTGCAAAGCAAGCTGTTCCTTTCCCTGAACAAGAACTAAAAATTGGTTGAATTTTACAGTCACTGGTTTTCCCTGTGATTTGAACAGGCTTGGCAGTCAGAATCAATTGTCACTGGTCTCCAAGCAGATTCTCTGTAAAAATGTCCCACTGTGCATCCTTGGACAATAAAAAGGAGGTCAATTCATGAGGTTAAAACATGGCAGGTATTTACAAGTGACGGTTCTCATTTCTTCAGTCTTACCTGCATGTATATGGGGAAAAAAGCAGGCATTTTTATCATTCATTTTAAGTCATGAAAATTAGAGGATGATAGGATAACATGTCCATGTGGGATCCATCCAGAAAACTTCAAATCAGTGGGATTTTAGAGCAGGCATATATATACGCTATTTCATTACACTTCTAAGACAGTGGTTCTCGGGATATTATCAGACCTTTGTGAATTATCTAGTAACTGGTGTGTACATTTCTTACAGTACTATACCACAGTAGTTTTAAAAATCATCTATATACTACTACTTTCCATTAATAATTTAATAAGTACTTGTGTCATTCTTCATTGCTTCTTTCACTAAAGTCACATCTCTCCCCAATAATAACTGCTTTTATTGGTTCCAAAGCATTTTTAATGCCTCCATTCTTATTTGAACACTGCCACGTAATGCCAGAGATAGACAGAAGTGGGGGTATGGGTCCACTTTACGGATGAGAAGACTGGAGCTTGGAACACAGATTTGTCCAATGCTACAGAGCCAAACGCAGGACCAGGGCAAAAATTGAGAAACATGACCCTCATCTAGAGCTAGGTTCCTACCAGTTCTTATAAATTCTGATATGATTTCCTTCACTTCCTACCCCTCGCTCTTTCCTGCATCACATTCCTATCAATGAGTCAATAAAACAGAATAAACGGAAAGCTTGTAACTCCAGTGTGGTATTCTAGGCTATCAAAGTCATCTAAATGGTAAAAAAAAAATTTAACTCCTTTGTAATAGCATCTTTTCATGTGGTGAATTAGTGCCAGATATTTTACCCCAACTCATCCAGTGAAACAAATACATCTTCCTTTGTATATCCTTAAAGGAGAAGGATTGAGTCTTCATCCTGTCAGTAGGAATGGGCATAACATATATTCAGATCTCTAGTCTTGTTACGTATGGTAAATGTAATGTTTAAATACACAGAATTTAACTTTGTAAATAAATATAAAGAAAACATTACTGTCATATGATTATAATATCAATTTGGATAACAGCTTGCCACATTAGATATCAAAATTAGAGTTATAAAACCTGATTAGTCTTCATTGAATTAGGGACCTCTGCATGCTAAATGATAAATTGAGCTTTAAGAATTGTGCTATTTTTCAGCATCTTTATCTGCAGCTCTTTTTCCTCTTACCTTTAGTGTCTCTGCTAAGATACATTAGTCCCGCAGCAAACTATTACCTCTCTTAAGACTTGAAAGAGTACACCTATCAATTAGAGCAATTTTTTTTTAAATTTGAGATTTATCATTGTTAAGGAAACCTTGCTATTTATCGGTATGTATGTCCCAACGCAAATAAGTGGAAACAAATAAATCCAGCTTTTAGTGGCTTAAAAAAATGTGTCACTCTCATCATTTTTCAGAAAGTCCAGAGAAAATTATTCCCCTTCTTACTCAGGAGTGAAATATTTAAGACTTTTATCAGCTATGCTTCTTAAGTACAACAGGTAAACAAAGATGCTAGTTAACATCACATTCTTCACCTCTGGGATCAAAGCAGATGACTTTGGGTAAATGCTTCCCAAGTCCCAGAAGATCGACTGAGTTGTTAACAATAGAGGGCAAAGAGTTCATTGAGTTTTCTAAGCGTATGAGATAAAACAAGACATTTGAAGCAGATTTCTCCAGCTTCCAATTTACTGGCCTTCTCTTGAAGTCTTGCTCATCCTCTTTCTGTTTTCTTTAGAGAATTCCAACAGAAGTCAAGTCACAAAAGGGGCTACCAAGCTTAAGAATTCAATACTTAGGTTCTTAGATCACACCTGAGAGTTTGAAAGATTTTTCTGCAGTAAATATCTCCAGATGACGTTAGTATACTTATTTGCAAAATAGATGTGAGCTTACTGGCAGAATTATTCTGAAAATAGCTTTCTTTATCTCTATCTATGGGATCAACCATGCCAGTTTTTGGGGGTGGAAGGGGAGCAATTTTTCTGTCCAGGAATCAGGAAACAGATTCAGCTCCAGCCATCGCCCAAGTAATTTACCCCAAACTGTGCCTGATAAAGCCAAAGTCCTATCTAAGATGATGCTAACTGTTCATTTTAAGCCAATGTAACATTATTTTTGCCACAGGATTTGCAAATATATTTGTCTTTTGTGGCATATTCAATGATATTGTGTTTTGATAATAGACATGAAAGATTTTTCATTCTCCAAAACAGAGTGTACTCAAAAGAGGAATAAATAAAATCATACCTTTAATGACCTCAATATAAATTTGATCAACCATTTGCAACAGTCTTGAAAGAAGAGAGGAAGAGACATGCATGCAGAGATCCTTAAATTCTAGAAAGAGACACAAGTGATTGAATAAAACATGACCAGTTTTTAAGGCCTTATGTTTGGGGTCACAAAAAAATTCAGAAAGAAAGAATAAGGGAGGATAAGACATTATTTTCACCTCTGTCATTACATATTCAAAGGGTTATTGAAATTTAGTAAATGAAATAAAAATTAATGAGAAGGCTATGTTCTATGCATAAAAATAAAACCAAAGCTTTTGAAGTAGCTGAATCCGCAAATCATTTGCTCCTGATAAACAGCATTTCACATTAGCATCAGAGCAATACCCACAAGAAAAGAATGTGAGAGGTGAATATTTGTGGATATCATATAATTTCTCTCCAGAGTATAACAAGTCAGAAATTACATGAAGCTCAGGTTTACCAACTGGCCCGACAAATACCAAATTACATTTTGAAATGTAATTCCTCAAAACTGTATGTTAAATGTTTAATGCAAAATATTAAGAAAAACATGTAATCTTGTAACAATGAATATGGGTTTTAATTTAGGTTACACTAAGCAATCACCTTTATGATTATGAGTTTTGAGCATTAAGCTAGCTCTGGCAAATTTCCTTCCCATGAGGGGAAAGTACAGGTTTCTTCTCATTCAAATATCTTAATTAGAGACTAGGATCATAGCTGGGTTGCTACCTATTTGACAATGCTGTGAGTTAAAGAAATCAAAGGAATGCACACAATCATCCAGATTTAAAGTGATTTGCTATATTCATATGTGGTGTGTGGACTCAACCCACATTATCTGCTAATGATGCCCCATGAACTTAAGCTCCAAAAACTCTATCCACTCACATTAAAATCACGTTGGGCTTCAGAAATTAAGAGATAAATTAGAAGGAAAAAAATCATAAATAAATATGATAAGTAGAACAGTGGAAAGGCATAAAGAACCAAGAACCTTCTTTTCCTCTCAGATCAAGGTTAGAGGTTACTTACCAATAGACAATTGGCATCACAGTGCCACCAAGAGGGCAAAAAACTATTTGGTAGGTAGAGGCATCCTAGAACGCACACATTCTGGCCTGGCCCTCAAGGAATAGAAGAGTTTCTATGGATGTTGAGAGTCTACATACACTGTAACATGCAACATTTTATCCCCAGTCTGGAGTTCCTCTGTTACCTGTACTTTTTGGACAACCACCCCTTATAATTTATCATTTTGCGCTCTCAAAAGAGAAGGCACACTAATTTGGGAGGTTTACTACGTATTAGGCCCTATTTGATTGTCATGTATGATCTTCATTCAATAAAACACACGATAACAACACAGGTTTGATTGGAGACACACTGGGATGGAGGTGGTTAGAATGATCAGGCAATAAACGGTGCACTGTCTGTAGGGGGTTTTAAAAAGAAATAACTAAAAGCCATCTGCCTTTTATCTTAATCATATAATAATAATTCTAAACAACATCAGGGAAAAAATACTATTCTTCTAAAAATCTTTTGTTGGTCTAAGTTAGGAGTCAGCAAACTTTTTCTGTAAAGTGGTAGGTAGTGAATATTTGAGACTTTGCAGTCTATGGGCTCTTTCACAGCTACTGAACTCTGTTGTAGCCCAAATCTGCCAACTGCCCTTGACAACACAGAAGCAAATGGTCATTTCAAAAAAATAAAATTTACAATGATAAGCAGCTGGACAAATGTAACCTGCTGGTCAAAGTTTGCTCATTTCTAATATAAGTTCTAAATAACTGCTGCAGTAACTATTAAGTTTTAGTAATATATGCATAAGCTTCAAATTAGCATCATTTTTATTGGGTATCCTTTAATAAGCATTATATTTTATAGGGAAGTGAACTCAGAGAACTCCAAAATGTTTCATTTCATGATTATTATTGAAAATACTTTTGTAATATAGAGGGGGGAGGTGATATAAAATGACTTTAGTTCATAGTATGCCCCTAAGTAAACAATAGTTTTGTTATATAAATGAACATAGGAAAGTGAAAAATGATTTGCCCAAGACCAAGCAGTAGATAAATTAAGCCTAATTTCAAAACTAGTTTTAATAATAAAATAAAAATATTTAACTCCCTCATGATAAACAAAATATAACAATAGTCATGGCTTGGAGTAAACCCGAATCAGAGAATGAAAATTTAGCCTTAGGTTTCTTACCCAGTGCTCTACTGAATGTTGATTAAATCTACATTGCGATAAAGAGGCAAGATAAATTTATAATTCATCCCATCTAAATTTCCCAAACTATTAATAGATCTCTCCATTCATAGCAGATGACATATTTCATCCTATTCATTATGTGATATTCTGTTGACATTTTGAATTGATCTATTTATCTTGATTGTTAGTATTGATTGTCTGTACTAGTGTGCAGATCCAAGAGAGCTCATGTATATACACACACACACACACACACACACACACGAGTGAGCATGCACACCCCACACACCCCTAACTCCTGAAGCCAAACACTCTGGTACTTTGGTAATCAGCATTTGTAACTACACATGTATCTGTGATTATGAGTATTGTGATTTCTACTTAGCTAATTAAATCTGAAAAATTAGTGTGTTTCTCTCAATTTCCTTCAAACCTTATTTTTCTATCACAATTTAATTGAGTTATTAGGCTGCAATTGAGACAAATTAAGATTCTTGATGATGTTTTCCTCTCTCAGTAAAGATATTGACACTGCTGTTCCAGTTATATTTGAACTGTCACTTTGCAAAGTTATAGACAGCACTTTTAATTAAAACACCTAATCTTCTGAATTGGTTTGACATATATGTTGTTTGAATCAGCTTTCAAATGAAATTGGATTTATTAGAATTTTAAAATAAAATGTCGGGCCAGAAACCCCATTTATTTTCTTTTTAAATGCCTGCTTAAGTGTTTTATGTATGTCAATAATTCTTCTTTGTGAATTTTTTAACTGCCCGTAAAGTCCATGTGTAGAACTTCAAAGAATTTTTCAATGATTTGGCTCAAGTAGGAAATAATTGTGTAGTGATTCCTCTGAAATGATATTCTTGATGAAAGTATTTTTGTGCTGTATAATGCCTCCAAAGTCTTTAAATTCAACTCTTCTTTATCCAATCAAAACCCCCTCCAAATCTTTCTCCTTGGTTTACATTGAACGGAAAATCTTAACTTATAATTCTTTCAATTGTTTAGTGTCTATTTCAAAAGCAGTCTTTCATATCCATTAAATCAACATTCCCATGAGAGGTCTTATCTTTTTATACTATTTGTGTGTCTGAACGGAACTTTGGTACTTGCAGTTATTTTTAATAATAATAATAATAATAACAGCAACCTCAATCAAAACCTTTAATGAGCATTTAGCATGCCAGGCTTTGCATCAGCTACTTTATACGCATTATCTAACTTAAACTCACAAAAATGTTTACAAGGTTGAAACTACTCTTGCCTTCATTTTAAGGATGAGAAAACCCAAGCACGAGGAGGTTAAATACCTTTCTCTCTGAGTCACACAGCTGGGAAGTGTCCAGTGCCAGCATTCTAACCTAGACTGTCTGACTCTAGACCCATGGTCTTCACCATTCCCTACAACTCAGAACTTCGAAACTAATGTTAGAGAGATTAAAATCGAGGTCATGTCACTAGCAAGCAGTAGACTCAAGATGTGAAAATAGGTTTCCCAATAAACCAAGCAGAACTGAAATAGAAGAGTAATCTCATCTGCCTAAATTAAAGTTACTTACTATTAGGCCCAGTGATAAAAACTTAGTCCTAAATCTCGAAGCCGAGGGCTCCACTGTTGGTTAATCCTTGGATAGAATGGAAAGGATAAATGTAAATTCCTCTGGTCCACATTTTTCAAATGAGTTCCTCTCTTCTGGGAGATCTTAATAAAAGGGTACTGCAATCTAACACATTTGGGGAACATCCCACGGTATATATCACTGCAGATGTTTCATAATACAGCTTTAATATATTAAACATTTTGAGAAGCACTGCAAAAAAAACACAATCTTAATTAGGTCTAATCAACATTACCTACATTTGTTAAGTCACAGATCCTATTTGTGGTAGGCAGAATAATGGCACCCTAATGATGCCCACTCCTTACTCCTCAGAATCTATAAGTGTGTTACCTTACATGACAAAGGGGAAATAAGGTTGCAAATGAAATTAAGGTTGCTAATCACCCTACTTTGACATGTGAGAGTATTCTGGATGATCTAGTGATGACAAGTGTCATTACAAGTGAGAGAGAAGCAAGAGGGTCAGAATCAGAGAGACAGATTTGAAGATGCTGCACTGCCAGGTTTGTGGATAGGCGAGAGCCATGAGCCAAGGCATGGCAGCAGCCTCTACAATCTGGAAAAGGCAAGAAAATAATTCTCAAGAGTTTCGAGGAGGAATGTAACCCCACCGACATGTTGATTTTAGACCACTGAGGCATATTTTAGACTTCTAACCTCCAGTATAGTAAGATAATGCATCTGTATTATTTTAAGCCATTGATTGTAAGTGAATCTGCTGTTTCAAGATACATCTTGACAGTTTGGAGAACATGGGATTCTAATGTTTTAACATAGCATTTCTGAGATTGTAATGTGCATAGGAATTATGTAGGTACCTGTTTTTTGTTTGTTTCGTAGAGATGGAGTCTCATCCTGTCGCCCAGGCTGGAGTGCAGTGGCGCAATCTCTGCTCACTGCAACCTCCGTCTCTTGGGTTCAAGCAATTATCCTGCCTCAGCCTCCCAAGTAGCTGGGACTACAGCCTCACGCTGCCACGCCCGGCTAATTTCTTCTGTATTTTAGTAGGGACGGGGTTTCACCCTGTTGCCCAGGCTTGTCTCGAACTCCTGAACTCAGGCAATCCTTCCGCCTTGGCCTCCCAAAGTACTAGGATTACAGGCGTGAGCCACTGCGCCCCGCCATTTTTAAAGTACAGACTCTGATTCAGTAGGTCTGGGGTGGGACCTGAAATTTACATTTCTAACAACCTCTTAGAAGATCCTGATGCTGCAGGGCTGATGTTTATATTGAGCATGACAAAATTTAAAGGGAACATTTGGGAAACACCCCACAGTATATATCACTGTTGATGTTTATTTAAAGGGAATATTTAAAAAAAAATCTGCTTTCTTAGGAAAACTGTAGTAAAAGGAATCCCATGAAGTTACAAAAGGAAAATGATTAGCTGCAGATAAATGATCATTGAAATAGATTAGCAAGTATTGTCTCATCTGTCAATGTGACACAGATAAATTTCTAGGGAAAAGGGGATAGAAGGAAAATTCACAATTTATTGAGATCTTCCAACTCTAACATTTTAGGCACAATCTCCCTCACTAATAAGACAGAAGACATATGAAACACAAATGGAGGTTTTATGAAATATTCTCAATGTAATCACAAAGTCATATAAAATACCTGTTTTAGCACTGCAAAAAAAATAGATTTACATAGAATAAAATACAATATTTAAAAAAAGAATCTGGAAATTTCTGCCTTGTTCTCTCTTTCAAATGATATTTTAACATACACTTTATTTCCTACGTTTCATACTTATTTTAGAAATACCCGAGTGCATGGAATCAGAAAGCCTCATCAATTATCTTATTTCTTACCTGCTTGGAGAAGGAGAAAGAGCTTAAGAAAACTTGAGAGCACCAAAGAGAACCATTCCTGACTACCTCTGCCAGCACGAAAGAACAGACACTTTTTATTTTTTTTCTTTTCAGAGTAAATTTAGTGTCCATGGAAGGTGCCAAGTTAAAATCCCTAGAAACACATGCATTTCTCCTGACCTGAAAGTCTCGGGATGATGATAAAAGCTTTTTCATATACCTGTTCAGTGCCACCATTTCTACTTATCTGGTCTTTAAAGAAGGAGATAGAAATTACAGAATAAGCCATTAGCAAGTTATCAATTGTAAGCACTTTGAGGATTAACTCGAAACATATCATTTTGTGCCTCAAGAAACTTTGTTTAAACAGGATCACGCGTGTATAGTGCTATAGAATTTTACAAAGCACTTTATGATTGTAAACACGTACTGCAAACACTTTTCTGAGCTTGTACTATATGCCAGCGCTACTGGGCTTTGTATCAAGTGCTTTATATGTTTAATGATATTTACTTCCCGTGACAGCCTATGAAATAGGTAGCACTGTGATTTCAGTCTTACAGATGCATTAGCTAAAGTGCAAAGTCATCACATACACTGCATATGTTGCCTAGGGTCACACAGCTAATAAGTAGAGGAGCTGGGATTTGAATCACAATCCTGGTTCCAGAACTTGCTCTAAAAATTTTATGACACATTTCTCATCATAATTTTAAGAAGTTGAAAACTGCATTTACCAAATGAGAAAACTGTTACCAGGGAACGTGATATGCCAAATGTCACACAAAAAGTATGACAAGAAGTAATATTTTAACTCAGGTGTACTGTTTTCAGAGACCAAGGACTTTCCATCTAGTCCTGGTATTCCAGCTCAACATGCTACCTTTTACTGAGTTTTGCTAATGTAGATAAATTAAAGTTTGCCCCAAACAATAAAGAAGGGGTAAGGCCTTTTTATGATTAATGAGGGTATGAAATGCTAAATATCCCTGACTTTTCAATTAAGCAGTAATTTCACTTTAATTTTAACAAAGCAAATATGCCTGTTTCTGATAGTAATGTATCCAGACACTGGAAATAACACTGGCAAGAAAGATTCTCCTGTGGTCACCAGTCTCCCTTCCTGACACCCAGCACACATGGCAAAGTTTTGAAAGGAAGGGAACAGGCTACTGTTTTCAAAACCAGGAGATAGCTGAATATGACCATAGCAGAAAAAATCTTAACCATAACTGGCCGGGCATTTCAGAATAGCAGTTCTTTTGGTTTCAATGACTGTAAGTGTCTCTTTCTCACACACACAGACATAAACACAGACCATGCCCACAAGCACACACACCAAATAGATATGAGTCCTTGAAGAGCATGTAATGCATAGAAACAGAGTTCAGCTGTGTCTTATGGAAGTAGAGCTGAGAAGGCATGAAGGTCTCAGGTAGCTCCTCACCAACTCTTTTATTGTAGGGCTGTTTGGTGTCTTGCCTCTGCTTACCTGCACACATTTATTGAATTCTACTATCCACAGAGAACTTCCTCTGCTTACTCATGGATTCTGCTCCCTTATAACTTCAGTTTGCCCACATCTACTGGTGGATGTGGTGTCAACTCTCAGAGCTGACTCCATGGCTAACTGGCTCAGGTTCTCATCTGCTCCATATGGTTTGGTCAAATGTCCAGTCTTCATGCAATCAGTTGTACAGAGATCTTTTCCTCTCTGTACATTCTTTTCAACAGATATTGGTATCTGGACTTTCTATATTTGGAATTATGGATGAAGCGAGAGGAGATGTGAGGAGTACTGTCATGCCAAAATTACTCTACCCCCACCACGTTGAAATGCATTCACGCATGTTCACACCTTTATTATGTAAAATAAATGGAGGTTTGCTTAGATTTTAAGGCTTTTAGAGAATAAGATTTTGATACCTCTACTTAACAAATCACTCCAGTATTTGGTGAACATCAACCCAGCCCTTATGTCAACTGTGAGTAAATCTGTAATATACCGTTTTCTTATCTATGTTGAAAAACTAAAGCATTATCTTATATTTTATTCAATATTCACACCAAAGTGGATATTAGAGTCATAAATTCTCAAGGTTGAAAAGGAATTACAGAAATCATCTATATTGGACCTGTCACTGTTTTCCCTTGAGAACAAAGCAATAAGATTTCAATAACATTTAAATTTATAATCTCCAACCTACCAAAAAGCTAAATGATGATTGTGTTTGATGTTTCTTCTCTGCTTTCAAATTACTTAGTTTGTATCTATCCATTCAGTGAAGACCTGAGAAGTCTCTGTATTCCAAGCAGTGTTAGAACTCAGGTCTTTTAATGTTGTTGCAGATTCACTCCTATACTTGATCATGGTTCTTATCATAATTTCTGAACTTGCTCATATGCTTGTCTTCTTGACATTGAGTACCCGATTCTAAGAATCACATCTTATGCATGATTATTGCCTTAACACAAGGTAAATACCAAGTATAAACAGATGCTCAATATAGATTTTTTAGATCAATGAATATATGAATCAATTGAAACACCTATCAATTAAATAATGAATGAATAAATTAAAAAGAAGAAAATGTACAAGAAAGGAAACAAGATAGTCTTTGCTCTTAAGGATAAGAACATGAATTAATAAAACAATGACATCTTTTTAAAAACGTGGGCATACTGCACAGTTATTAATTTAATAACATGTTTTCTTTCATTTATCTGAGCAGTGATTTGCTCAAATGAAACAGATTCTAGAGTTTGGGTTTTCTTAATTTTTTATTTTTATATTAGATTCAATTTAACAATGATAAAATTAAACTCAAGGACAAAATAAAACTTAGGACCCAATACTAATGCTTAATAAATTAAGATTTTTGAGTTCAGAAATTGCTTCAAGGCATCTTCTATTAAACATGTCTTTATAGTTTTGAGTATATCTTAGGTAAAGTCTTTGTGCATCTTATCACAGCTAAGAGTATTTTTATTATGCTAACTAAATCAAACTCCCTATAAAATAGAAGAAATGCTACTGTAGACTTAAAATAAGAATTAATATAATATTCAACCGCAATGGGAAAGCAAATATTGAAAAGAGAGCATATCAATTCAGTATTTGTTCTCAGCAATAATGTATGACTTCAGAATTCTTAACATCTTCAAAAATTATCAATTATTACTTAGTCTCATAGTGGCCTAAGGAAGAAATATATTCAAAATATAAATAGGTAAAACAAATATCTTTCTTAGCTAATAGCTATAAAAGATGTTAAACATGACATAGTACACTTTCCTGTTTATTTTTCCTTTGTCTTCACTTTATTCTCTATCTTTCATTTCCATTTTAACATACCGTAATCCAAAAACAACCTGTACAAATACAGACAATGCAAAAAAAATTCAAAATGTACAGGAACAACTGTTTCTTCTTAAGGTAGCTCCATGAGAATGAACAAATTAAAAAGAAGAAAATGTGTAAGAAAGGAAATAGGATGGTCTTTGCTCTTAAGGATAACAACATGAATTAATAAAACAATGACATCTTTTTAAAAACGTGGGTATACTGCACAGTTATTAATTTAATAACATGTTTTCTTTCATTTATCTGAGCAGTGATAAAAAAGTGGTAGCTCCAAACAACCAGATTTATATCATCTGAAGCTGTACCCCATGCCACTTCTGATTGGTTCAAAATGGACATCTTGATAAAATTTGACCATTAAGTGACAGTTCCCTTTTATGAAATAATGAGGATAAAATTGATTTTTCCAAAAATTGTCTTACTTGGTTAAAAAAAAAGCATTATTAATCTTACGTTAGTCTATATATTTTCATTTTCTTCAAAGGTTTTTTGGTCCATGAAATTCAACAGTCTAGAAATAACTTACCCAGTTAAGTGTGAAAGGATAAAGTCTTTGTGAGAAAGCAATCTGAGGTTAAAATTGGACTCCAGGGCAAAGTAGATCAGAGATGAGTTCCCACGTATCTCCAAATTCTTCCATGCTGAAACCATTTAAATGGTGGCTATGTGCAATAGTTCCATCATGTGATGAATAGAACACTTGCTTTGACTGGATTAACTACCAGCTACAACACTGCTTTTAACTGGTTCAAGTTGAAAACAACCAACCAACCCTCAATGCTGTATCTGACTCTAAGGTGGAAAACACTTGGACTTTCACAACAAATCAACTTTTGTTAAGCAAAATGATAGTAGTAACAACTAATATGTCTTATTGGCATGTGGTCATAATAAGACTAATATGTCTTACTGTACAACAACATGCCACCACCAAAAAGGAAGGAAGGAAGGAAGGAAGGAAGGAAGGAAGGAAGGGAGAAAGAGAGAAAGAAACAGAAAGAAACAGGAGTTGCTGATCCCTAAATGCTAAGGCTATATTTCACTTAGGTGAAAACATGAGTTAGTAATCATCTGACATCATTCTTGGTTTGGGATCATCTGAAAAATAACCCAAAAGGAACCTCACAATTAGGATTTTAAAAGTATATCCCTTAGTTTTTATATTAGTCATCGACACCACCGCCATTTTCATCTAAGATCATGAAGCATGCTATAGTACTAAATCCTAGGCTAGAAATGAAAGTAAACTGAAGAATAATTCCTAATTTGTACCTTACAGAGTTCCTGGGGTAGGGAGGATCGCCATGCAATGCTTCTTTAAGTGGCCGCTGCATATTTTATCAGGGTATCAAGGGATAAAGAAAACAAATTAGCCTTTTGCAATTAACTAGATTGGGGATGGAATTCATGACTTTGGAATACTAAAATCAAAACATTCATTTTACCTTAGATCAAAGCAATGTTTCTACATTGAGAGGACAATTATATATACACACACACACACACACACACACACACACACACACACACACATATATATATATATATAATTTAAAAAATAATGGTTAAGTTTTCTGATTTCTTCTCCAGCATTCATTCTATCCTAATAACAAGTTATAAACTGAAACAAAAAAGAATAATGAAATACCAACAGCTCTTTTTAGATCCATAAAGAAGTAAGGTCATGGGACAAACTGCTGCCCCTAACATGGAGGGACCAACAGGTGAATACAGAGAATCACAGCTTACCAGAGCAAAAACTCATGAGCTAAACCTTCTGAGGGAATCAATGCTGGGATAGGAAAACCTGAAGTGTAATTACTGAATTGCTGGAGGGTCAGTGTGGATAAATCTGAGAGACAGACACTCAGGGGGGCCTTGCTATATGCCCACACAGCCCCTACCTTTGTGGGTTTTACCTTCTGGAGCTCTGTTTGGTTCTTACAGTGAATATATGTGAGAAAAATCCCCTCATGTCTCCATCTGGGAGTGGGGGAAAGGAACCATTTGGAAATACCACTAGAGCATTCTGTTACTCTTAAATCTATTCTCAGAAGAAACTAGCTAAACAGAACCTAACTTGCCGGGGTTTTATTAGAACCTACCTCACCTAGTTGGGGAAGGAAAATCCCCAACTACCGCCAGCTCTAGCCTTGGGAAATACCCAACTGTAGCTCAGGCTAGTCATCTTCTACTTAATGAGGAAGGGCAGGAGATAATGGAGAGGTATGCATGAAGTTCACAGTGCAGAGGCACAGGCTTCCTGAAAAACTGAGACATAATCATAGGATTATAAAATTCTTTCCCTCCCCTCACACCTTACCAACATATTAGTAAAGGCCTATTTACAGCTGTTTCTCTTAGCAGGTACATCATGCCTAGCTATCAGGAGAAAGAATTATAAGACAAACTGAAAAGCAGAAAACACAGTCTGAAGACACAGAGTGACTATCAGAACCAGACTCAGGTATTTCATTGATGTTGGAATTATTGAAGCACGTATTTAAAACAGCTATAATTAACTGAAGGTGCTAATGGATAAGGTAAACAGCATATATAACAGATGGGTAATATAAATAGAGAGATGGGAATTTTAAGAATTTTTATGCTAAAGATCAAAAACACTATATTAGATATGAAGAATACCTTTGATGGGCTCACTAGTAGACTGGAAGTGGCTGAGGAAAGAATATTTGAGCGTAAGCATATCTCAATAGAGACTTCCAAAATGGAAAAGCAAACAGAAAAAATAGACTGAGAAGAGCAAAATAGAATATCCAGGAATCACAGGAAAACTACAGTAGATATGATATACACATAATGCAAATACCAGAAGGAGAAGAAAGAGAAACAGGAACACAAGAAATATTTGAAACAATATATAATTATTGAGAATTTCCTCAATTTAATATCAGACACAAAACCACAGATTCAGGAAGCTTAAACACCAACCAGAAAAAATGACAATACAAAACAACAACAACAACAAAACTACAACTAAACATACGATTTTCAAACTACAGAAAATTAAAAATAAATAGTAAATTATGAAAGAATCCATGGGTGAAAAACAGTGTACCTGTAGAGAAATAATGATAAGAATTACAGACAATCTCTCCTCAGAAACCATATAAGCAAGAAGAACATGGAGTTAAATACTTAATTTGTTGAGATAAAAACAAAAATAAAACATCAACCATCAACCTAGAATTTCATAACCTGTAAAATTACTCTTCAAAAGTGAAGGGCAAATGAAGACTTTCTCAGATAAAAATAAACTAAGGGAATTTATTTCCAGTAGGCCTGCCTTGTAAAAAATGTTAAAAGTTTTTTTAGAGAGAAGAAAGGTGATATAGGTCAGAAACTCATATCTACATGGAGGAAAAAAGATCACTGGAGAAGGACTAAAAGTGAAGGTAAAATAAAAACTTTTATTTTTCTTATTCTTTATTGATCTAACAGATGACAGTTCAAAATAATAGCAACAATGTATTCAAATGTTTATTTATGCTTGTGTATAAGTAAAATGAATGACAACAATGATACAAGGGACTAGAAGAAGGAATTAGAATTATTTTGATACTATGAGGTACTTGCACTACCTATGAAGAAATATTGATAGTAATAGTGTTATTTGAAAATCAACTTGGACTAGTTGAAAATGTATTTTGAAAATTCTAGGGCAATGACCAAAACCAAGTAAAAGGCAAAAATAATATAATCAATATACTAATAAAGAAAATTGAATCATATAAAATGTTCCATTAAAGCCACAAAAGACAAAAAAAGAAGATAAAAATAGGAATAAAAAACAAGGGCAACAAATAAAAAACAGTGGCAAGCATGGCAGCTATTACTCCAACTATATAAATATTCACTTTAAACATCAATGGTCTAAGTGTACCAACTAAAAGCCAGAGGTTGTCAGAATGGATCAAAAACAAGATTCAACTATATGTTGTACACAAGCACACACACACAAACACACAAAACCCACTTTAAAGACTCGTATAGATTAAAAAGTCCATGAAGAAAGATATACCATACTAACACTAATCAAAAGAAAAGAAGTAGCTATATTAATCTCAAGACAGAAAAGACTTCAGAGCAAGGAAAGTTATCAAGGACAAAAAGGGTATTTCATGATACAGGAATCAGCTCTCCATAAAGACATAACAATACATAATGTGTATGTACCTAATAACAGAGTATCAATCTATGTGAGGCAAAAAATGATAAAACTACAAGTAGAGATAGGTAAATTCCCAATTATAGTTGAAGATCTCAATAGCTGTCTATTAGAAATGGACATATTTAGCAGGCAGAAAATTAGTGAGGACATAGTTGAACTCAACAATGCCAACAGTCAACTACATAGAATCGGCATCTGTGGACTACTTTATTCGTTAGTAGCAAAATGTACATTCTTCTCAAGCTCACAAAGGACTTCAACTAAAATAGATCATATTTGGGCCATACAAACACATCTCAACACATTATTTTAAAATTAGAAATCATACAATGTCTGTCTGTGTATTTAGACCACAATAGAATCAAACTTGAAATCAATAACAGAAAAATAGCTGGAAAATACCAACATACATGGATATCATATAACACACTTCCAAATAACACATGGGTCAAAGGAGAAATCTCAGGAGAAACTTAAACATATTTTGACATAAATGAAAATGAAAACACAACTTATCAAATTTTGTGGGATGAAGCTAACACAGTCCATAGAGGAACGTTAACAGCATTTAATGCATGTATTAAAAAAATAAAAATCTAAAAGCAATTATCTAAAATTTTATCCTAGGAAACTAGAAAAAAAGAGGCAATTAATTCCAAAGTACATAGAAGAGAAAAATAATAAAAATTAGAGCAGAAATCAATGAAATTGAAAACATATCATTGCTAGAGAAAAAGCAACAAAACCAAGAGCTGGTTCTTTGAAAAGATAAACAAAATTAATTAACCTCTAACTGACTAAGAAAAAAAAAGACAAAGAACAGAAATTGCTAGTATCAGATATAAAAAAGAGCACATCACTACGAATCCCAAGAACATTCAAATAATAATAGAGAAATTCTATGAACAACTCTGTGCCTAGAAATTTAATAACATAAGGGGAATCTACCAACTCCTTGAAAGACACAATCTGCCAAAACTCCCACAAGAAGAAATGGACAATTTGAATATGTACACATTAAGGAAATTGAAACAATAATTAATAGCCTTACAAAACAGAAAGCACCAAGCCTAGATGGGTTTACCAATGATGTGTAATTTTCTGCAAACAATCACCTAAAACACGTATTCCTGTTTCCCATGTATTCCATATATTAACTCATGACACATACTCAGCACTGACTCATAGGGAGGTTAAACTCTTTATTTATAGAAAAAAGATCACTAAATTGAGTGTTATAAGCCTCAGTTACTCTTGTGGAAAATGAGCATGCATATTCTTTTACCTGCATTGTATGGCAGGTGAGAGCCCAAAAGAGATAGTATATATTACAAAATAAGGCTGTAAAAATGTCAAAGAACATGACATAAAGAAGGGGTGGGGTTACGGAGGGAGAGAGGAAAAACATGTAATAGAAGGACCAAAAAGATAGCAACTGAGAAGTAAGATGAAGTTGAAAAGTAAAAATATAATTGTATCTTAACCACGCAGAAATGGATTTTTTTTCAATAAAATATGTGTACGATTTGAAGCCTCCTGATAGGCCTTTTCCTCCAAGAATCTGTCACAATGTTTCAGATTTCTGTTTCCTTAATTCTTTCAGACTGGGCTTAGAAAGACCCCGTTAAAACAGAAACACGGATCTTAGAGAAAGGGCACACTAAGCAGTTATCAGCTGTCAAGAGTGCAACACAAATGTGTTGATAGATTCAATAGTCACTCAGTTGAGAAGTACTTGCTTGAGGAAACAGGAAGCAGCTTTCTCAAGTGGCTTTGGTTTTGTATTTTCTTTTCTTCCTATTATTGTTTTTAATCCAAAGATATCAGCCTGAGGACCCATTTAGGCTGACAAAGAGAGGAGTTTTTATTGAACTTTAAAATGCAGAGGAATCAGCTAGGGACCTTGTTAAAATCCAGGTTCTGATCCACTGAGTCTGGAGTAGGGCCTGAGATTCTGCATTTCTTTTTTTTTTTTTTTTTTTTTTTATTTGAGGCGGTCTCTCACTCTGTCGCCCAGGCTGGAGTGCAATGACGCGATTTCAGCTCACTGCAAGCTCCGCCTCCCGGGTTCACGCCATTCTCCTGCCTCAGCCTCCCGAGTAGCTGGGACTACAGGCGCCCGCCACCACGCCCGGCTAATTTTTTGTATTTTTAGTAGAGACGGGGTTTCACCGTGTTAGCCAGGATGGTCTCGATCTCCTGACCTCGTGATCCACCCGCCTCGGCCTCCCAAAGTGTTGGGATTACAGGCGTTAGCCACTGCGCCCGGCCGAGATTCTGCATTTCTAACGAGTTCCAGGTTATGTAACCAAGCAGCTTAACTTCAAACTGCATTTTAAAACTTTTTTTTCCTCTTTCTGTTGGGTTTCAACATATAACCTTGAGGCAAACTGCAGAAGCCTTTATTCTTAGCTTAAAAATAGACTTCATGTCCCTCCTTTTCTCACCATACATACTGCCTTCGCATTTCTTTAACTGTGTACTAGTATCTAATTATGTGTCGTCTTAGAAGTTTCAAGGGCTAATCTTGAGACAGACAGCCAAGTCTAGAGACCTGGCTGCAAAATTCCAGAGATTACTTCAAGGCAGCTAGTTAACAACTAGGTCATTGTTGAGATAACACCAGCCCAAGATCCAGGTGGACTGGGACCAAAATAGCTACCAGAAGACACATTGTATTCAGCCCGATTCTGGTATGCCTTTCTCTTCAAGTTTTCCCTTTTTAAACCACCGACTTCCACCTCCAAAATCGAAGTGGTTACTTTGGATAGAAATTGACCATTTCCTCTTCACTACTTTTGATTAATAAAGTCATTTTCTTTCTACTAAATCTCGCTCTTGTTAATGGGCTCTGCAAGTGGCGAGCATCCGTAACTGCGTTTGTTTACAGTTATGCTGAAGCTGCTGGTCTTCAAACTACACTTTGAGGATGAGAATATGTAACTGGGACAGGAAGCCATTTTTAAAGCCAATCTAAGGTATCATGGAGAAGATCCCTGGATAGTAAAAAGCAACATAATACATTCAATATTGAGAAAAAATAATAATAATTCAAAGAAAAGGGAGAAAGGCTAAAAAAAACTATACATTTTCAGATGAATGCTTAACAAGAAAAAGTTTATCGACTATTCAATACTTATGGCCCATCATCAATACCATATACTAAAGATACTATGGTATACAAAAGACAGAAAATCTTTGTCCTCAATGAAGTTACAGTCTAGCTAGACTCTAGTGGAGCACTAGTCAGTTATCAAAACCATCAAACATGTAAGTGTTAACATAATTATAAGTGCACAGATCAGAGGTCCCTGGTGTGATAAAAAACTGGAAAGAGAACACAGACGTGCTTCAAGAAAGAAATGACGACATGCTAAGATTTAAAGCATTGGTTCTCAAAGTGTGGCTTTCCCAGATCAGCAGCATCAGCATCCCAAGAGAACATCTTAGAAATGTAAATGCTATGGCCTTTCTCCAACATCTACTGAGTCAGAAACTCTGGGCGTGGGACCTAGCAATAGGTGTATTAACAAGCCTTCCATGTGATTCTGATGCATGCTAAAGTTTGAGAGATATTAATCTAAAGGACGTGTAGGAATTAAAACACAAAAGATTAGGGGACAGGGAGAGTTAGAATGACAGAGGTGAAAAGGTGTTTCTAGTTAAGAAAACAGCAGGAGTAAAAATGCCAGTAGGGAAAGGGGGAGCTGCAGAAGCCCTCAGAGTCAAAGAGTGAGACAAATATAAGAGAAGAAAATAACACCAGATAGCCTTCAAAATGACAGTTGCCAAATGAAAGTCCAGAGACTGGATTTGCTCATAGTCCTGTCTTCCTTACCCAGCAGAAAAATAAACTTTAATTTGAATGACTAGAAGGAGCAGAATCTTCATGCATGTACATCACCAGCCTGGCACCCTAAGGCCTTTGGTTTTGCAGCCTTTGCTAAAAATCATCAGAGGAGGCGTAGCTGGGAGGTAGTACATGGCCCTTCAGAGTAATAGTTCTCACCCTTGGCTGCATATTAGAATCACCAGGGGAGCTCTGAAAAATTAAGATGCAGGAAGCCAACCCAGAGCAATTAAACATGCTCTCTGGGGGGGGGGTTCAGGCATCAGAATATTTTAAACCTCTCCAGGCAATTCTAATGTGTAGCAAGGGTTGCTTGAGCACCACTCAGTTTGGAAAGTAAGAGATAGTGAGGTCATAGTTCAGGTGGAATTTCTCTGATGATGGTTCAGGCAGGAAAGAACAAGAGAGTGACCACTTTGGCTTTCTTGTTTAAATTTCGTCTGCTCACATTGGAAAGGGTATCTGTGAAATTATATATTTGTTTTCAGGGGCAGAACAAATTATGGATTCCCACCAGATAATGATAGGCAAAACAGTGCTTCGATGGAAAAGCATGCCTTGCTTTGAGCACAGCCTTCCAGGTCATGTGGTTCTGATTCTGTGGGTCTCTGTTTTTTTATTGCCCTTGAGCTATTTTATAACTCTGTAATTGTAGATCACGGACAGCAAAGGGAAATTATTCTTGTCTAAAGACATGCAAACACATTCTGTCTGATGGAGGGTCTACTGACTACGCTCTCCCTCCCCAAAACAATTCTATATCTGTTAAATGAAACTTATAGGAGGCCATTGGTTTGGACTGAGCTCCTGGACTCGGTCCACCAAATCAAACCAAAACAGCACTTCATGCTGAAGTTCCAAGTCACTAAGCCAAAACTAAGTTATTTATCTGATCTTCCAAGAAATGAGGAGAGAAACAGAGATTACCAAATCCCCAAATTGGCCAGTTTTAGCCAGCATGGTAAGTCCCTTCTGTTTTAACCCTATTAGGACGGGAAATCTGAAACAACCAATCCTCTTTTTGTTCACTGTTTCTGCTTTTCTAGGCCCTTTTCTCTCTACAAAGCCCAGCTTCTCTGCTCAGCTCATCAGAATAAAACAGAATGAGGTGTTCCCTGATTCTGGAGTAGCAAATGAAGGTCAGTTAGATCTTAAAACTAATTTTGTTGTAATTTTATCTATTGACACATCCATTGTGAGTTTATTTCAATATTCCTGATCTATAAATGTGTCCTTTTTTTTTAAGACAGGGTCTTGCTCAGTCACCCAGGCTGGAGTGCAGTGGCTCAATCATGGCTCACTGCAGCCTTGACCACCTGGACTCAACTAATCCTTCCACCTCAGCTTCACGAGGAGCTGGGACCACAGATGCACATCAACACACTCGTCTATTTTTTTTTTTTAAGTTTTTTGTAGAGATCCTCTCTCCTTGGCCCACCGAAGTGCTGGGATTACAGGCATAAGCCACCTCACCCAGCTGTGTCTCCCCTTTGGATTCTCTCTGAACCAGTTTTAACATCTGATTCCTTTATTAATAATTAGTTAAATAAACATTTTAGCATGTTAATTTTCTATCTGTATGGGAGTCACGGGTTTCCCTTTCTTGAAAAATTATATTTGAACACGACTTTTATTCTAAATGAGTGCTGAGGGCATTGAGATGCGGAGGCCTGATAGGTTCTCTCTACTGTGACCAGTGCAGAGCAGCAAGGTGCGTTTCTTTCTAACGGCACTAACTGGGCCTTCTGAAACTGAACCAATTATCCCATGGAAATCAGATTTCTGGGCTCCTGAAAAAAAACATAGAATTTGACTCTGTCTTAAAACTAGAAACTTAGATTTGTCACATCTGAGTTCCTCCTCAGGAAACCAACCCTCAGGCAAAGAGCCAAAACTCACCATGTTGTTGCATCCAGACAATGAGACACCAGCCCCTCATCCCTCATGATTCCTTTCTCATCCCTCCCTATTGCCCGTTTTCCGTCTTTCCCCGCTATATAAAATCCCCAATTTTACTCAGTGGGAAAGATGGATTCGAGACTTTATCTCCTAACCTTAGCATCAGCACCTGATGAAAGCCTTCTTCCCTGGTTATACTCATCTCAGTGATTGGCACTCCGGGCTGCAAGCAGCAGGACCTAGACCCAACCCCCGGTGTTTCAGTAAAACCTCTACTCTGTTCTCTATTCTTTCCCTGAGTCTCCAAAACTAAGCCCTCACAAAGGTACAATTCTAATCCCTGCTTCCCAACTCCTGATTAGAATACCAATTGCTACAACTTTCTCATTAATTCATTCCAATAAAACAACAGTTTCAAGAGGGTCTTGGGGTAACAACTATGTGATTTCACTAGGAAAAATGCTTTTTCTTATTAGCCTTTTTGTTATTGGAGATCCTTGTTCACATATCTTCAGCTTTCTGTTCTTGCAAACCAAAGACAGTGAGTTGGGCCTAATCAATAGTTGCCAAAATATATAACACTTTCTACTTGGAGCTTTTGATTTCCTGTAATCAGTATCAATCAGTGAACTTCGATTTTCTACAGAGAAGCAATTTCCACCTTCTTCTGTGTTTTTGACTCAAAAAAATAGTTAACTACAAATTCCAAATACACAGAAATAGTTATGGTAAGTTTCTTCAAAACAACATACAAAAGCACCAGATAGGAAGATCAGCAATTATCTTTACTTTGTAAGGAAAACTGCCAACCACTGTTGCAAATTAAGATAAATGGCCCTTTAAGACGCTAAGAGGTCTCCTTCCAACCCTGAAGTCAAAGGGCAAGTTCAGTGGATGTGAAATAAGTTAAAGTTACATTTAAATACAGAGTAAAACTTATTTGAGAATACTTGGTAGAAAACCAGAAACCTGTTGAAAAATATGAATTATCCAAATTTAAAAAGCAAATGTGATTTTGTAAGTTTAGGTTCAAGTACATTCAGCAACTCAAAATTTGATACAATGCCCAGTTTCTGTTTGGAATGCCATAAAATAAATGTTTTTCTGGGTTATAGTAAATTTATATCAAAAATTGTGAGCTGAATGCTTTGCCGAGTTGAAAAATAAAAGAGAAAACATTTTGTTTGGTTAAAAAAAAAGGCATTTTGTTTTCCCTATATAAGGTTTTCAAGGGTGAGTGATAACAGTATTCAGGCACTGCTCATTCACAGAGATTTGTTTGTTGCATGTAATTTCTGGGTACAACTCTGGTCACACACAAACAGTTCTTTCTGATGTCACTTGAGTGGCCTTGTAAAAAGCAATTTCCAGCAACCTCTACCTACGCTGAGTAACTCCACATACCATGACGTGATTTTACGTTTCAGGACCAGCTCTTGTAATTTCATGCAGTAATTTAGGTGACTGTCAAGCATGGTATATTCAAA
The DNA here is from genome assembly GCF_000001405.40 of Homo sapiens. NCBI lineage: Eukaryota > Metazoa > Chordata > Mammalia > Primates > Hominidae > Homo > Homo sapiens. The sequence continues at coordinate 7,266,312 of NC_000003.12, read as the reverse complement.
CTCAATGCTTTCTTTTGAACAGTAACACTTTACTATACTGAATCCAATTTCTAGCCATAAAAAGTGGGTTTTAATAGCACTGGCTTGAACCTGTACTTGGGATTTTTTTTTCCCTTGAACAATGAACTAGTATTTTTTACCCCTACTGTATTATTGTACCTTCATTTGTTCATTTCATCATGGTGAGAAATATCAGAGGTTTTCTCTCTCTCGCTCTCTTCTGTTCCTTTAACCCACTTTTCTACTTCATTGTTGTAGAGATGCACCGGGGACTCACAGGCTCATACATCTCCCCTGAAATCGGGATTAAGACACTGCCTGTGCCCAGCACTGACCACAGTCTTGCTGAGCTCTCAAAGAAGCATCAGATGGCTGGGTACCCTTCCGTGTAACCCCACCAGGCCTCCCAGGACACTTAGGAGGATTAAGAAGATTATGCCATCAAAAGATGTGCATTTCCTCAGCAGGGCCATTTGTGGAAACTGAAAAAGAAGAGGGTTGAGGCTACTTAGAAAGGAACAAAGAAAGGTGGCCTGTCATGTTTTGTACTGCAATAGCAGAGCAAAGTGCAGCCCTAACAGGATGGGAAACAAATAAGAGGACAGGCTCCCCTCATACTCTTTAATCTCTGTCCACCCTCCCCACATTCATTCTGCACAGCACCAGACTTGGTAGAATCTTCAGCTCAAACTATTCTCTCTCCATTTCCTTTGCTTGCATTTTTGTGGATGAAATTTTAAATTAAGCATTGCTGCTTTCTCTTGGGACCAAACACCTCTGGATGACAGAACTGTGACATCACTTACAGTCCTCTCTCAAGGTCATGAGACAGAATTGCTTTCCCTATGACAGGAAAACAAAGTTATTTAACATTTGTCACTGCCACTCAGGGGCAAGATGTGGATAATAATATTATCCAACTTAGAGAATTATTATGAATTATAATGAATAAAGTTCTTAGAAATGAACCTGGCATATAGTAGGCATTATATGCATTTTCAAATAAGCAAATTACATAAAGACATTCTTCAGATTTCTACAATTACCTTAAAGTCAAGTCAGATCAAAAGTTGAACTGAAAGGTTTCCATTCCAAATATGTCCAGAGATAGCTAGAACATTAGATGGAAGTAGGGAGGTTGTTGGGCTATATCATTTCTGAAACCCTGCTAACATAGCATGTGTTTGAATGTGTCCCTAGTCCTTGGGGAAGAAATTACAAAAATCTAGCTGCCCTCTTTGCACAGAAAATGTGCCTGCTAAGGGGTGTACAAGTGATTTGAAATGTAACTTTGAATATCTGTTCTTCTACCAACTGGTAAATACAACCTTTATTGAGAAAGATGCATATAGGTCCAATGAAAATAGAATTATTCAAAGCAAACTAGTAATGCAACTTTCATTGACTCTCAACTCTATAGCAGGAAGGTGTAATGCATCTGCTTTAAAGATATTTGCTCTCTCTAGGAGACCCGAGGTAACTCTGGTGTAGTCTTTGTGGCCTGTACTGGAAGTACCGCAGTACTGGAAGATACCATAGAGAGGATGCCAGGACACCCTGGAAGCTAGGAAATGAAAGCAGATGTGGAGAGGTAGGCAAGATGGTCAGCTAGACACAACCACGAGGAACATCTGGCACCAAGGGAGTGGGACATATGGAATACCGGTGCACTCCTAGCAGATATTCAGAGGGAAGACATTGAGAGTAGATGGAGGGAAGACACAGATGCTGGGCTGAAGGGGAAGAAGCTGGCAACTCCTGCATGGGGCTACCATGTATGGGGACTTATTCCTGGCCCTGAATGACTGTTGGGGAAAGGGTGAGTTGAACAGGCAAGGAGCAACCTGCTCTTACTACAGGCCTCTGGAATCCTGGCAGGAGGAGACCCCATGACTACCACAGACACTTCAGTTGGCAGGGAGAACTGCTTGGAGAAGTGGTAGGGGCAGAACTCCAGCCTGGTATGGAGCCCAGAGGATTTGGCGCAGGAGTGTCTGTAGTGGAGCACAGCCAGGAAAGCACATCCCCTTGGCTCCACTTGCTCCCATAAGAGACTTTAACCCTAGAGAAAGTGTCGGATCTGAATTCTGCAGGGCGGTCTTGCCCATGAGACGGGACCAGTCTGGCCTGAACACCCCTCGGTATGTTGGCCTTTTCCAGGATCCCAGCCTGGCTGCACTTGCTTGCAGTGCAGCCTGGGGTACCCAGAGGGGACAACTCCTGAGAGCCTGCATCATAGCTCCTGTGCTGGTGAATTATGGCTGAACTGTGGACAGCTCCAGTAGAGCAGCCCCTACAGACACACCAGCCTGCCTGCGCCCTCCCCACAATGCAGCCTCTCTCATACCACTTTGCCTGCATGCACTCGCCCACGGCCACCCCCCACATCACTTTGCTGGCACGTGTGTATGCAGGCAGACCTTGCCTTACCTTCCCCACCAGCATGCCTGTAGCACGCACCCTGCTATGCCACTGCTGCCAGCATGAATGAACCCCCAACCTACCCTACCGCCATTGCTGTGGGACTATTGGTGGGCATAGAGAGCACCAGCCCTGTCCCTGGCAGTGCCCCACCCCTGCCGTCACACTGCTACCAGCACGAAACTAGGCATGGAAAGCAGCAGACCCAACTCTGCTCTGAGTAGCCACTACCACCCACATGAATGCACACAGAGGGCGCACAGCAGAGGTCACACAGAGGCCTGTGCCCACCAGCGCCCCACCCTCATGCTAACATGACCATGCACAGTAGCTGGTGAGGTGGAGGTGGAGCCGCCCCTGACCCGTGTTGCCACCAACACTGCTGCAAATGCCCACACAGAGGCTGGCACCACATCACCTGCTAGCACCCTGTCACAGCCAATGAGGGTGCACCCTGCCATGCTGCTGCTGCCACTGCTGCTGGCATGTGTGAACAATAACATATCCCACTGCTACTGCCCTATGAAGTGCTTTGTCTGGCACCACCCATCTAAGTGTTGTGACCAGTGGTCCTGTTGCACCTCTCCCTCTCCAGCGCAGCAGGTTATACCAACCTTGAGGAGTCAAAAAACAAAGCCAGGGCCCAATACCAGTCCCCCAGAGTAAGAACAGGCAGTCCAGGAGTTCTGAGCTGAGGCTCAGTCTCCTAAAATCTTCCAGAAACAAAGCCAGTTGACCGAATCCACCTTATACCACAACTAAGCCCCCAAGGACATAAAATAGAATAAAATAAAATAGGGCATCTAAAAGACAGCAACTTCAAACCTTGTTGGAAAATCAGCCCACAAAAATGAGTAATAACTAGAACAAGAACTCTGACAACTCAAAAAGCCCAGGCCAGGTGCAGTGGCTCACGCCTGTAATTCTAGCATTTTGAGAGGCATGGTGGGTGGATCACCTGTAGGCAGGAGTTCAAGACCAGTCTGGCCAACATGGTGAAATCCCATCTCTACTATAAATACAAAAATTAGCTGGGTGCAGTGGCACATGCCTGTAGTCCCAGCTACTCAGGAGGCTGAGGCAGCACAATTGCTTGAACCCAGGAGGTGGAGGTTGCAGTGAGCCAAGACTGTGCCACTGCACTCCAGCCTGGTGTGACAAAGCGAGACTCCATCTCAAACAAACAAACCAACCAACAAACAAACCAAAAAGCCAGAATGCCATCTTTCTTCCAAACAACTACACCAGTTCTTTAGCAAAAATTCTTAACCAGGCTTAGATGGCTGACATGACAGAAATAGAATTCACAATGTGAAAATGTACAAAGATCATTGAGATTCAGGAGAACACTGAAACTCAATCCAGGGGAGCTAAGAATTGCAATAAAATGATACCGAAACTGACAGACAAAAAAGCCAGTATAGAAAAGAATGTAACTGACCTGATAGAGCTGAAAAACACACTGTAAGAATTTCATAATGCAATCACAAGTATTAACAACAGAATAGACCAAGCTGAAGAAGTAATCTCAAAGCTTGAAGACTGGCTTTCTGAAATAAGACAGTCAAACATGAATTTTAAAAAAAGAAGAATGAAAAGGAACAAAGAAAACCTCTGAGAAATGTGGGATTATGTAATTATGTCACTGAAAGAAATGGGGAGAATGAATCAACTTGGAAAATATATTTCAGGATATCATTCATGAGAACTTTCCCAACATTATTTCACAAGAAGATGATCCCTAAGACACATAACCATCAGATTCTCTAAGGTCAAAATGAAAAAAAAAAAAGTCAAAGGCAATAAGAGAGAAAGGTCAGGTAATCTACAAAGGGAAGCCCATCAGACTAACAGTGGACCTCTCAGCAGAAACCCTACAAACAGCAAGAGATTGGGGGCCTATATTCAGGAAAGAACGAAAGAAAGAAGAAAGAAAACAAAGAAAGGAAGGAGGGAAGGAGGGAAGGAAGGGAGGAAGGGAGGGAGGGAGGGAGGGAGGGAGGGAATTCTGACAGAGAACTTTGTATCCGGCCAAACTAACTTTCATAAATGAAGGAGAAATAAGATCCTTTTCCTACAAGCAAATGCTGAGGGAATTTGTTATCATCATACTTGCCTTGCAAGAGATCCTGAAAGAACTACTAAGTATGGAAAGGAAAGACCATTACCAACAACTGCAAGACACACGTAAGTACACAGACCAGTGACACTATAAAGCAACTACACAAACAAGTCTGTATACTAACCAGCTAACATAATGACAGGATCAAATCCACAGATATCAATAATAACCTTGAATATAAATAGGCTAAATGCCCCAATTAAAAGACACGCAGTGGCAAGCTGAATAAGGAAGCAAAACTCCATAGTATGCTGTCCTCAAGAGACCCATCTCACATGCAATGACACCCATACGTTGAGAGTAAAGGGATGGAGAAAAATCTACCAAGCAAATGGATAACAGAAAAAAGCATGGGTTGCAATCCTAATTTCAGGCAAAACAGACTTTAAACAAACCACTCTCTTGGACCATAGTGCAATAAAAATAGAAACCAAGACTAAGAAAATCACTCAAAACCATAAAATTACATGGAAATTAAATAACCTGATCTTGCAACACAATGATACAGGAAGGTTTAATGCAAGCTGTTTTAAATATGTTTGCTCTCTCCAGGAGACCCTAGGTAACTATGTTGCAGTCTTTGTGGCCCTGTGACCTGCAGGTACTGGGAGATCCACAAGGAGGATGCTAGGACACCCTGGAAGCTGGGAAATGAAAGCAGATGTGGAAAGATAGGCAAGCTGGCCAACTAGACACAGCCAAGAGAAACATCTGCCACCAAGGGACCGGGACACAGGGAAGACTGGCACCCCCCTAGCAGATATTCAGAGGGAAGGCATTGAATGACTTTTGGGCAAATAATAAAATTAAGACATAAATCAAGAAGTTCTTTGAAACTAATGAGAACAAAGATACAACATACCAGAATCTCTGGGACACAGCTAAGGTAGTATTAACAGGGAAATTTACAGCATTAAACACCCACGTTAAAAAGTTAGAAAGATCTCAATTTAGCAACCTATCATTACAACTGAAAGAACTAGAGAAGCAAGAACAAACCAATTGCAAAGCTAACAGAAGACAAGAAATAACAAAAATCAGAGCTGAACTGAATGAGACTGAGACACACACACACACACACACACACACACACACAATTCAAAAGAACAACAAATCCAGGAGTTTGTTTTTTGAAAAATTTATAAAATAGACCACTAGCTAGACTAATAAAGAAGAAAACAGGAAAGATCTAAATAAACACAATTAGAAATAACAAAGGGGACGTTACTACTGACCCCAGAAATACAAATAGCCATCAGATACTACTGTGAACACCTTTATGCACACAAACTAGAAAACTTAGAAGAAACGGATAAATTCCTGGACACCTACATCCTCCCAAGACTGAAACTGGAAGAAATTGAATCCCTGGAAGGCAACCTAGGCAATACCGTTCTGGACATAGGAACTGACAAAGATTTCATGACAAAGACACAAAAAAGAATTGCAACAGAAGCAAAAATGGACAAATTGAATCTAATTAAATGAAATAACTTCTACACAGCAAAATAAACTATCAACAGAGTAAACAGACCTACAGAATGGGAGACAATATTTGCAAACTATGCACCTGACAAAGGTCTAATATCCAGCATCTATGAGGAACTTACATAAATTTACAAGAAAAAAAAAACATTGAAAAGTGGGCAGAGGGCATGAACAGACACTTTTCAAAAGAAGACATACATGTGGCCAAAAAGCACATGAAAGAAGGCTCAATATCACTGATCACTGGAGAAATGCAAATAAAAACCACAATGAAATATCATCTCACACCCACCCAGATGGCTATTATTAAAACGTCAAAAAAAAAAAACAGATGCTGGTAAGGTTGCAGAGAAAAGGGAATGCTTATACACTGTTGGTGGGCACGTAGGTTAGTTCAACCATTGTGGAACGCAGTGTGGCGATTCCTCCAAGAGCTAAAAACAGAACTGCTATTCAATCCAGAAATCCCATTACTGGGTATATACCCAAAAAAATATAAATCATTCTATCATAAAGACACAAGCATGCTGCATATGTTCACTGCAGCTCTATTCACAATAGCAAAGACATGGAATCAACTTATATGCCCAATGATGGTATACTGAATAAAGAAACTGTTGTACATATACACCATCTAATACTATGCAGCCATAAAAAGAATGAGATCATGTCCTTTGCAGGAACATGGATGGAGCTAGAGGCCATCATTCTTAGCAAACTAACATAGAAATAGAAAATCAAATACCACATATTATCACTTATAAGTGGGGGCTAAATGATGAGAACACATGGACACAAAGAGGGGGACAACAGACACTGGGACCTACCTCCACTGGGTTGAAGTTGGGAGGAGGAAAAGAATCAGAAAAAAAATAACTATTGTGTACTAGGCTTAGTACCTGGATGATGAAATAATCTTTACAATAAACTCCCATGACATGAATTTACCTATATAGCAAACTTACACATGTATCCCAAAATCTAAAATAAAAGTATTTTTAAAATAAATAAATACACTTGCTCATTTGATCACCATCACTTTACAGATGGCAAAACTGAGCCCAAAGTAGTGAATTTATCAATCAGCCAATGTGAGCTTTGGAATGCCAATTTACCAGTGTTTGGCATGCTGGCCAAATGGTCGATCAAAAATGGATAGAAAAGAGATTCCAAATGAGTCTATGAAAGGCTGTGATCACAAATCATTTATACCAGCCTTTAAGTGCTCTATCTGGCTCCAACCTAGCAGTAGGCCAATGCCAGTGCATTAATTTGGAACATACTGCAGAATGCACACCTTGATTTTCATATGCATCTTAAGTTAGTCTTGTAAAGTAGTTTACAAAATCCTTAAGGTTTTCCACGCTCATCTTGGATTGCCACATTTACCTGTCCTTTCCTTCAGCACTTGTGTACCTGCTCAAGGTCCTCACTTTTGCTATCTTCTTTCCTTCTGATTTGTCACAAGTTATTAGGGTGGCATCGATGTCCTCAGAGTTCACAACACAGCTTTCCTTGAAACAAATCAGAAGGAGATGATGGATTGTGGAAAATATTCCTAGGCCTACTATTTAAACCAAAGGCATAAACTTCTGGCCCATGGTCCAAACCCAGCCTTCAGGAATCTTCTTTATACAATGTTTAAAAAGATTTAAATTATTATCTACTTTTTAAAAATTGGAAATATCTCATAAGAATCAAGATTTCTGGCTTACCTTGGAGGATCAGATAATTTAACCCCAATGAAACCATTTGTCTGTGGCTACTACTTTTAGACGGATGTGTATCTCTTTAACAAAGATGTGTGCTCTCTGGTACCCTTATTCCTACCACTCTCTTCCTCTCTTGTAGCCTATATGTTTTCTTCAGTAATGTTACCTCTTTACACCCCAGGCCGTAGGGTTTTCAAATGTTGGCATAAAGCCTACTTTCTCAACTTGATCACCCATTCCATAGACCCCTACACTCTAGGTTTAAGAATGCTTCTGTCTAGTCTCCAATCACTCTAGAAGACATGATACAAATGAAGTAAGAAAAAGGGAACTAGCCAAGAAATGGGGCAGTGGTAGAACACTGAAGGATCAAGAGAGAAAATAAGGTTTAAATTTAAAGAAAAAAGCTGCAAGAAACACTATAGTGTGATGGTTAAATCATAGACTTTGAAATCAGGCTGTGTCACTGGGTGCTACTGTACTTCTCTGGGCCTGAGTAGCCTGAATCAAAAAAAAATATGATGCAAATACTACCTCACTTTTAGAGTTGGGGTATAAGGATGAGAATAAGTGCTTAGCCTTGTGGCCCATGCATGGATGGCTCAATCAATCAAAACTCATACATATGAGTAACATGAAAGTGACTGGAAAATATTCCCTGCAATTTCTTGAGGCTAATCACCCATGTTCCTATAAAACAAGGAATAAAAATTTTACAAACATTAATTACTCAGTGTAGGAATATCTCAGAAGGACCAAGGAATAAAAGTTAAGGAAAGATTCACGAGATCATGTATAAACTGGAAGATGCTACAGGTGGAAAAGTAAGATGCTCAAGGTCTGATCCATGCTGTTAGGAAAGGTGTAGCAAAAGCAGTAATTATTTTTGTTAATTATGAGGTAGAAATAAAATTTACTTGCTACCGCTAGGTTTCTATCCAGAATTAGTTGGATATGAATAAATTGCATCCTGTGATAGATTTGAAGACTTTGTATTCATATTCATGGTTTTGCCCTTACAGTATACTTGTGGAGAGAAAGAGAAGCGAACAGAAGCCAAATCAGAGCAAAAACAGCTTCCATCTCTGAATACTGCCATCTGGTGAGAAATTGAGCTTCTTAAGGTATTTAGTATGGGGTAAGCAGATTGTAATGGCTATTCAGAAAGATTTGGCCTGCTTCTTAAAACTCTAAATTGCTTTTTATTAAAATAACTCTTTTGATCTTGAATGATCAAGATATCCTCCAAGAATAACTTTCTGGGTGGATGTTGGAGGATATAATGGACAACATGTAGACAATGATGTCATAAAAAGGATACTTCCTTCTAGGAACACACACCTGTTAGCAGAGAGGTCTTCCATAGAAAACACCCTTCTTATAAGGTCCCTCACCTAACTTACCTTTACTTGAAAAGCCTCCTTGGATTAGTGCTCCCTAAAAAGGGAGAATCTGAGGATTAACTAAGGGTTGACCTATTTTAGTGAGTGTACTGAACCTTAAAATTGGAGGCAGGAAATGGGAAAATCCCATATATAACCCCCACTTTCACTTCTGAGCCTTGGCTTAAGCAGATTCCTCTGTCTGAAATGAAATTCTCATCTTTTCTACCTAGCAAATTCTAGTAATCTTTCGAGACCTGGCTACCTAACCAAGGCTTCTCAAATACCTCTGAAAAAATTAATCACTTTATCTTAGGTTCTCTCAGCAATTTTTAACAGTCTCTATTGGAAAATTGATTAAATTGCAGCTTCTTTATTAAACTATCTCTGTTTCCCCACTAGATGATAAAATTCCCCCAGGATATACACCATACTTATTCATCTTTGCATTTCCAAGGCCTAGAATATAGCAGATGCTCAATAAATAGTGCCTTGAGCATTTCCCTTTAGGGACTTGGTCTCATTTTTTGTGTGTGTGTGTATGTGTGTGTGTGCATGTGTGTGTGTGTGCATAGGTAGCTAGGAAGTCTATAGTTTCACAGATAAAATAGCCATATTACTACCTCGAAGTGGTTCCTTCACTATAACAACTCCCTGAATTGTCTTACTGGAGCATAACAGAAAGCCACACAGATACTCCAGTCAGCATCCAGCCTTTTTTCTAATACAAAAGTGATAAAATTGTGGGCTGCCAAGCTATGCTGCTTTTTTAAATATGTTCCTTCAAACAAACTACAAACCAAAAATTAATTTTATTCTTTCACTTATTTAGTCAATAAATGTTTACTTATTGAACACCTAATGGACATTAGACAATGTTCTAGATGTCAGGATGAAAAATACAATCCTCTATAGTGATTTCCTTCAAGTAGGGGAAACTATAAACTTATAAATAAAATAGAGAATTTCCTAGGGTAGTAAGTGTTATGTGATAGTTGAGAAGAGCCCTGAAGAATAAGGAGACAAGTAAGCAAAGCTCTGGGGAAAGTTCATTGCAATGAGAGGAAACACCAGACAAGGGCTCTGGAAGGGGGAAAGTGTGGTATGTGGACAAAAAGGCCAGCATTATAAATAAGGGGCAGAGGGGTGAGAGGTCCTACGAGAGTCAGGCAGGGACATTTGCCTCAGGACTGTGGGCTGGTGAAAGGCATGTATTTTATCTAAGTGTTAATGGAGCAATTTAAGCAGAGAGTGGCATAGTTTGATGAATAGTTGTGTAAGCTGTGCTACTTCCTGGAGAAAGACTGTATTGGATATCCAAGAGTAGATAGACAGAAACTCCTGAGGAGGCTATTACAGTAATCCAGTTGAGTATGACATGTTATTGCTGGTTAGTGTGCTTTGTGGAATCCAGATAGAATTCGTGTCAATTATAAGGAAATTATTCAGTTCTCATCAACATTGTCTTCAAAAGCAGAAAGCAAGCTATTACCGCTAGAAATTTCACCCAACTCACTTCTCTCCTCCATGCCTTCTATAAATAGGAACATGGTTTACACACCTTGAATGAGCAGAATGATTGTTTTTAGGTCATTTTGGATTTTGTTCTTATCTGAAAATTTGGAAGCAAATAAATGCTGTTGCCAAAGCATATAATTAAAATGGGAATATTTCTGAGCAGTCTTTTGTAACACATCAGCTTTAATTCAAAGTCGTGTTTGGATTGTCAAAGCAATGTGCTCATTCCTTACTTTATGCATGAAGGATCCAAAAACTGAAAAGGAAGCGGGGAGGCCATTTACTTTAAAAGCTAGAAAGACAACAACCCTTGTGAGATCCACTGAGCGTCACAAAGCTGTTGATTAGTCAAGATGAGATTTAAAACCTAATGCAGTTCCAGAGTCTAAGAGCACAACATGTACACTATTTAGCCTTTCCAATTTGTAAAAGGATTTGACCATTATTCTAGTGCAACCTCTTTATTTCATAGATGGGAAACTGAGGTCAAAGATGATAGATTCCTTGAAGAGAATCTACTGGATCTTTTGATTCCTTGTTGACTAATTTCAGTGAACATAGATCCTGTATAAAGAACAAAACCAGTACTTTCTTACCATGAAATATTTGCAGAGGAAAATGGAAAAGTCACTTGGGATACTTAACAAAATCTTTGCTCATCCCTCAAAACCTGTCTAGCAATACAGCTGATGAAATTGTCTTATATATGTTAATTATCTGTAGACCTCTGAAAGTCAAGCCGTTCTTAGTGATTATAGAAGTAGTACCAACAGCAGTTGAAAGGGTTATAATGTGTTCAGCTGTTCTAGATGTCTTTTAAGCACTATCTCATTTAATCATCACCATTGCCCTATTAGGAAAGCACTTATATTATCCCAGTTTTCCAGAAAAATAAACTGAAGCTCAGAGAAGTTAAGCAACTTGCCTGAAGTCAAAGAAAATGGTGGAGCCAGGGTTGAATCTGAGCAGTATGACTCTGCAGCAGAGGTCAGCAAACTACAGCCTGCTGGCCAAATCCAGACCACTACCACTACCAGTAAAACTTCCAAAAGTTTTATTGGAAGAAAGTGACACTCATTCCTTTCTCTACAGTTATTGCTGTTTTTGAGCTGCAATGGCAGATTTGGGTAATTACGACAGAGACCCACTAGCAAAGAGGAAATATTTGCTACATGGCCCTGTACAGGAAACTTTGCTGACCTACAGCTTGTACGCTGAACATTCTTTAACAAATGTTTACTGAATGCTTACAATGTGGGAGCCACAATTCTGAGTGTTCAGTAAACAGGAGAGATAAAGTTCTCTGCCTTTCTGGAGCAATATGCTAAGACATGCTGCTTCCTGATTAGGACTGGTTACAAAATTGGTGGGACCCAGTGCAAAGTGAAAATGGGGGCAGTTTGTTTGAAAAAAATATTCATACTTTCAAGGTGGCAAGAGCAGAGCCTAAACCAAGCACGGGGCCTTTGTAAAGCACGGGTCCTGTTTAATGGACAGGCTGCAAACCCATGAAACTTGCCCTGCTTCTGACATGACCTTGCTGAAGTTAGCTGTGAAACAAGAGTGCCCAAGAAGGCCTGACATGGTAATCCTGATGTATAAAGAAGATACCCTACCTCTCCTTGCACTTCTAGTCCTGGGTGACCTCCAGGGTTGGAGGGAGAAAGCTGTGAAGCCATCCACGTGGAATGCATCCCACAGGGGCTCACAATACTCAATACTCAAAGCTGTGCTCCTTACACTCGGCAGCACTAACTCTTCTGTCAAGGACCCGGGAAAGGGGATATCTCATCAATTGACTCTGAAATGATGCGCAAAATCCATGCATATATGCATAAAAGATCATTCAGAACAGTTTAAAAGCCCCACCTCTGCAGTCTACCTGCTTGCATCAGAAGACTTACTACACCATACCCTAGCACTGTGAGCTTGGGAAAGCTCTTAAATTTCTCTGTGCCTCAGTTTCCTGAGCTATAAGGTGGGAAAACAAATAGTACCTACCTCATAAGGATGCTGTGAGAATTTAGTGATTTTTTTTTTTTTTTTTTTTTTTAGATGGAGTTTCACTCTTGTTGCCTGGGCTGGAGTGCAGTGGCACGATCTTGGCTCACTACAACCTCTGCCTCCTGGGTTCAAGTGATTCTCCTGCCTCAGCCTCCCCAGCAGCTAGGATTACAGGCACCCACCACCATGCCTGGCTAATTTTTTTGTATTTTTAGTAGAGACGGGGTTTCACCATATTGGCCAGGCTGGACTCCAACTCCTGACCACAGATGATCTGCCCACATCAGCCTCCCAAACTGCTGGGATTACAGGCGAGAATTAAGTGAACTTAAATATGTAAAATGCTTAGAATAATGTCTGGAAAATGTTAAATGCATACATTGGAATATTGTCATTGTTAGTATTTTTATTATGTGGAGAGGGTATAAGGAAGAGATGGTAAACTACTGAGGACAATGTAAGTTGACGAAGGGTTGATGTAAATGAACAAAGTTGGTATTTTAAAATAGAGAGTGCTGGAGAGCATGTGAACTGAGGAGTGCATGGTGTATCCATACAGCCATCTACCCCTCAACTGTAGCTCCTTGCTGCCATGTCCACCATTATTCCTGTGAAGTCAACTCTCTCCTTTTTTTTTTTTTTTTTTTTTTTTTAAGAAAAGCCAGAAATTGGTATTGGCCAGAGGCAGTGGCTCCTGTCTGTAATCCCAGCACTTTGGGAGGCTGAGGCAGGTGGATCACGAGGTCAAGAAATCAAGACCATATTGGCCTACATGGTGAAACTCCGTCTCTACTAAAAATACAAAAAAAATTAGCTGGGTGTGGTGGCGGGCGCCTATAGTCGCAGCTACTCTGGAGGCTGAGGCAGGAAAATCAGTTGAACCCGGGAGGCAGAGGTTGCAGTGAGCCGAGATCACACCACTGCACTCCAGCTGGGCAACACAGCAAAACTCCATCTCACAGTAAAGAAAAGAAAAGAAAAAAAGAAAAGAAAAGAAAAAAATAGAAAAGAGAAAAGCTAAGCTAAGCCAAGCCAAGCCAGAAATCTAGATTTTGTTAGGAAATCTCCCAAGTTTTCCATGTTGACAACTAATTCAAACTTTCTTTAAATATTCTGTCTGATCAAACAATCCCTAACTAAATCCTCCAATCAAGCATCTTATAAGCTTTGCTCTGTAGCACCCATCAGATTCTCAAAGGACCGTGAGCATCAGAAAAGGGGGAGAACTGCCACTTTAAAGAATCAACAGGCCATCAACATCCCCAGACCATGTGCAGACCACTCTATTTTGGATGGTCTTCTGAGAAGTTTTGGGGCTCTGCATCTGGAAGGACTTGAGGGCTATGAGCGGAACAGGCAGACAGGAAAATAAAACTTTTCCTCCTCAAGGCAGCCTCTTAATTGCCCATATCAGAGCATTTTCCAACCACCTTACAGCACAATGAGCTTAGAATTAAAGCACTTGCCTCTCGGTAACAAATTCTGTTCTCTCTGCCTGCCTTTCTATTGGGATCTTCTCCTCCCTCTTTCGCTATCAAAAGCTACCCCAGGAAAGAGTTATAATTTAATGTGAATGTAAGTTGGATATATTCTATTTCATGAGGATTTTTTGTTTAGTGGGGGAAGGTGGGTGAGGGAGACAGAGAATGGATTCCCTATGTCCCAATCCCCACTTTAAATATTACTCCTAATAATTGGAAAAAAGGCTTTGTTTTCCGGCTACTGGAGTTTACTTATCCATTTTTGGCCTCATTTCCAGCAACAAAAATGGAATAGTAATAACTATCTTTGATAATTTGCTCTCAACATCAGGTTATACTTATGATTTTTAATTCACACAAGAGATTTAAATACCTTAAATCCCAGTTGCCAGAGAACATTTTGGGGGAGTCACTATATTTGCAGGATCTGTCACAGGGTTGGGCACACAGAATGAGTTCACAGAGTGGACTGAATATCTTGGAACTGAACTGACTGGTAGTTAATGTGCTTTGGGTGTTTTTGCACTGCCACCATCTGAACCATATAGTCAGTGGTCTATGACAGATCTGTCTCACAAGTATCACAGTAAAAATACAAGGATCATAATAGCCCAACATAGTACTTTAATGTAATTGTCTACTACCTATGCTATTATAGTGATATCATAGAACTAATTCAAATGATTCACGCATATGAAGTCTGAATGGCATTTTGTATTTTTATGCATATTTTCATTATATTCCAATACTTTTTTTGTGAAAAAAAAGTAACAGTACCTTCACAGTGATACTGAAACTATGAAACCTAAAATAATTTAAGGTTAGTCACTTCGGAGAATAACTTAATCATCTTCACTCCTAGCCTAGTACATTTTTTTTTTTTTAAGTAACTGAACTACTTCCCTTTTACCTGCATTGAAAGCATTAAAATTCTTTCTGGTTATTCACACTTTTAAGGACCACTTGTTGAACTGCATCAACCATGGCTACATCCCTTTTGGTACTCATTAGTGAATACTTAATCACGTAATATTCATTCACCTTATGTCTCCCAATTGCCTACAGAATAATAGTCCAATGCCTTACCAAGCCTTAGAATACACTTCACAATCTAACCAAGTCAACCCCTCCACTGTTAGAATCTTCCACCTTTCACTCTGTACCTCCATTCTAGTCACATTGATCTTTTCTCCATCCTTCCTTTCCTTAAGCTTTTCTAACTGGTTTCTCTAGCTAATAATCAAGTACCTTATCCAATGCACTCATAAGTGAACAAGATCTACTCTCAACTTTTCAAGTACCTACCATGCAAAGGCTTTAAAAATCTCACCAGTTGGCCATTAAAAAATATATATAATATTGGCTTGATGCGGTGGCTTACACCTGCAATCCCAGCACTTTGGGAGGCTGAGGTGGGTGGATCACTTGAGGTCAGGAGTTCGAGACCAGCCTGGCCAACATGGCAAAGCCCCGTCTCTACTAAAAATACAAAAATTAGCTAGATGTGGTGGTGGGCACCTGTAGTCCCAGCTACTTGGGAGGCTGAGGAAGGAAAATTGCTCGAACCCAGGAGGTGGCGGTTACAGTGAGCCAAGATCACGCCACTGCACTCCAGCCTGGTTGGCACAGGATGGGGATTTTTTTGGATTTTTTCCAAATAATAAATAAATAAATAAACAAATATAAATAAAAATAAAAATATATATGTGTATAGGCACACACATATATATATAATAGCAATAAATGTTTAGTTGGTAAATGAGTGCTTATTTATCAACACCAAATATATTTCTATAGTTAAATAATTTATAAAATATACTCACTCTTTAAACTACTTTCACATACTTCCAACCAAAATTGAGAAGAACAATTATAACCTCTGGCTCCCAATAATGATTATTACTAATTATAAGGAATGATGTAATCCTTTCAAGGAAATTGCATATAGGACAAGAAATCTTCTGAGGCATTTTGGTTTTTTATTTTTTATTTTTGGATTTTTGCAGCTCTGATTATTTAGGGATATCTGGTTTCAAATATGTTGTTCTGCCAATATCCACTCTTCTCTTTCTCAGTAGAATATTTAGATAAGCACCTGGCCAAAATAATAAAGCCTACATTTCCTAGCCTCACATGAGGGGCGGGGACCGTGCGACTAACTTCTAGCCAAGAGATGGAGCATAAGGATGCCCATGTCCTCTGACCATGTCCTTGAAAGGAAAGTGTATTCTCTTCCCTTCCCATTTCGTCCTTCCTGGTTTGAATGCAGACCTGGTATCACCTGGTACCAATCTCAACACACTTGAGATTGCAGAGAAGATAGTATTAGTGCAGGCCCCTGATGACTTGCAGGCAAAGCCACTCAGACAAGACAGATAAGCCAGTTTATTAAGCTATTTTTGGTCTCTCTCACATGCAGCTATATCTATATTGTAACAAATACAGATGGCTAATTTCTTGTTAATTTCCACAGTTTTTTTTTCATGTGGTAAATTCAGGAAGTAACTTCATTCTGATGTGATGATTTGTCTGTTTCAATACATTTCATTTTGCTGATGCAGTCATTTGTTTAGTCATGCTCTTTTTACTTCTACATCCAATTTTGTTTCCCTTATCAGAGACAGTTTCTGTCGTTAAACTATATGAATTTTCAAAAAATCATATACCACTATAGTTTTTAATATAAGCATTCAAAATATTTCCTACCCACATTTCCATGTTGTCTCTAGGTGTGTGGCTGATAAAGTAATACAGAGAAATCTTCAACTCTTCCTTCTTATTTACCTTCAACAAGAAATGATAAAGAAATTATAAAGGCCAAAGAAAGCACAATTAAAAAATGCAAAGAAATTTGCAGATGGTACACTAGCATTTACGTATATACTCTAGGGTCCTTTTGGCTTTATTTTCAATAGCAAAGTAAGCTACTTGGAATGTAAGTAAATTGTGAAAGGTAATTCCTGAAAAGGTATAATTAATCTTTTGGGGGAGGTCACAAAACCTCTTTGAGATTCTCAAGAAAACCATGGAAGTTTTATCCCAAACAATTAACATATAAATATACATATATATTTAACATATAATTCAACAAGGTCACTACACAGAGACTTCTAGAAGATTATATGTGAATTTCAGGGTAAAGTCCTCGAGTTAATGTAAATATCTATATCCATGTTCATATCTATGGCTGTCTACTGATCTATATTTATTTTCTCCTGGATTTTAAATATCTTTACTCTTTAACAAACTATTCTGTTCTCTAACTGATCTCAGTATGAGTGATGATAAAAGTGATAATAAGAACAATCATAGGAGCAGCTACCTGTACTGGTGACCTACTATTGCCCAGGTACCACACACTGATTGTCTCATTTAGTCTTCTAAATAAGTCTCTTATATAGGTGATTTGCAAGCGGCATATCTGAAGCATAGAGAGTTTGTATCCCCATAGAAAGTAACAGGGCCATTATTTGGCACTAATATTTTAAAATCTGGATCCAGAACTCAAAACCACATTATTATGCTGGAAAGAAATGAACCCTTACAAGTTAACTTCAATCTCAACAATCTTTTTTTTCAAATAAAATAAAAATTTGCATGTCATAAAATGCACGCATTTTAAGTAAAATGTTCAATAAGCTTTGACAAATGTGTAACCACCAACATAATGAAGACAAAAAGCATTTCTGTCATCCAAAAAAGTCCCTTTCTTAGTTAACCCACCCCTCCAAAGGCAAGTATTATTCCGATACTCCTCATACATATTAGCTTCAGCTGCTCAAGAAGGTCATAGAGATGAAATTATAAACTATGTTCTCTTTTGCATTCGGCTTCCTTTATCTGACATATGTTTAAGATTCATCTATACAGTTGTGTGTATTAGTAGTTCATTCCTTTCTACTGTTGAGTAGTATTCCCTTGTATGAACACAGCACAATCTTATTAGCCTTCCTCCTCTTAATAAACATTTGAGTCTCTTCTAGTTTGCGCTATAATAAATAGAGCTGCTATAAGCATTGAGTATAAGTCTGTAAGTGGACATGCTTTCATTATTTTAAAATAAATACTAGGAGTATAATTTCTGGGTTACCAACCAGATAGGTGATTAACTTTATAAAAAACTATCAAACATATTTCTAAAATGGCTGCACCATATACACTCTCACCCGTAAAGTGTAAGAGTTCTGATCTGTGAACAACAATAATATTACTGGTTTCTTGTTATTGTTGCTTCTGTAGCTGTTGTTTGTAGTTGTAGTTGTAGCCATTCTAGTGAGTATAATGTGGCATCTCATTATCATTTTATTTGGCACTTTATCACTTTTTGAAATGCTTATTTACTTTTCGTATATTTTCTGTTGTGAAGTGTTCACAAGGTCTTTGACCTTTCCTTACTGAATTGTGTTTTTATTTTTGATTTGTAGGTATTTTAATATATAAAACATTATGGAGATGGGGGTATATATTGTTTTCCTCCTAATTTGTGGCTTGCCTTTCTGAAAAGCAGAACTTTTAGTTTTGGCAAAGTTTTTTTTTTACTATTATTTTTCTTTCTTTCTTCTTCTTTTTTTTTTTTTTTTTTAAAAAAAAAGAGAGAGTGTCTCATTCTATTACCCAGGCTGGAGTGGCACAATCATAGCTCATTGCAGCCTTAAACTCCTGGGCTCAAGTTATCCTCCTGTCTCAGCCTCTCAAGTAGGTAGGACTACAGGTGTGAGCCGCCTGTAGTCCTAATTGTTTTAAATATTTTGCCCAACTAATTGTTTTAAATATTTTGTAGAGATAGGGGTCTCACATTTTGCCCAAGCTGGTCTCAAACTCCTGAGCTCAAGCAATCTTTGTGCCTCGGCCTCTCAAGGTGCTGGGATTACAGGAATGAGCTATGGTGTCTAGCCTACCAATTTTTTGTTTTGTACTGTGTGCTATTTGTGTCTTGAAAAATTTTTGCTCACCCAAAGTCATGAATATATTCTCATGTATTTTTTCCTAAAACTTCATAGGTTTAACTCTTAAATTTAATTATGACTGATTAATATTCATGTATGTTGAGAGGCAAGGGTTAAGATTTATTTTTTTAAATATGTAGATACACCATTGTTCAAGTAATATAGATTGAAAAGATTTTTCTAACCCTATTGGATTATCTTGGTGCCTTCATAGAAAATCAGTTGATATGTTTGGTCTGTTTCTGAATTCTACTGTGGTGAATTAATCTTTTTCTCATCGTTATGCCGATGTAATACTCTTTTGATTACTATAGATTTATGTTAAGTTTTGAAATCTAGTACTGTAAATCCTACAACAATGTTTGTCCTTTTCAATATTGTTTTGGCTAGTGACTGTTCTAGCTCATTTCCATTTCCATATACATTTCAGAATCAGCCTTATAATCTTTACAAAGAAAATTCTGATGGAAGTTTGACTGGAGATTTCATTAAATCTACAGATTAATTTGGAGAGAATTGGCATAGCAATGCCTACTAGAGAGACTTCTTAGGTCTATTCACGTCTCGCTCAGACACACAAGGCCCATATGGACGTTACCCAGTGCCAGTCTATTTAGAAGGATTTAGATCAGGCAAGAACTTGGCAACAGGGTAAAATCAGGTGTTTCTGCTCAAAGTAGTACTTATATCCATCTGATAGCCATCCAGGAATTTTCATCTTTGATCTACCAAGTGATGACAACTGAGGTGAAAAGGGACAAGGTCCCCATTGTGAATATGAGGTCTACGCTCTTGAGAAGCCCTATGCACACAGGAGCCAATCTCTCTTGTAAAAACTTCACAGACAAAGTTTCCAGGGCTCCTGCAAAAGATGTGCCAATGTGCAGAATTCATTCACTAAGGAAAGCCTAAATTTAAGGCTCCCCACCGGGTACTTATAGTACTTCCCAGGTAGATGCAATAGGCTAATCTGGAGCCACATTTGCCACATAGCTGATGTTTCATCTGTCTTTACATTTCCTGGGGAGAAGAGTTAGAAAAGGATTGTAAAAACCTAGTAATTGTGACTTCTACCAAAGTTCCATTGTAATCAGATACCATACTCTGTTTTTAGATGAAGTTCAGCTTCTCATGTCAAAGAAAAAAAATTGTGTTAAAGATGCAGTCAAAGGAAAATTAGTGATATTATGCTTTTCAAACTATGAATGCATTCTATCTCTTCAGTTATTTACATTATTTTAAATTCCTCTAATTAATGTTCTGAAATTTTTAGGGTAATAATCATGTTCATATTTTGCTCAATTTACTACTAAATGTTTTATTAATTTGATGCTATTTCAAATGGCATATAAAAAAATCCTACAAATGAACAATTTCTTCATGTAAGCCTCAAAATGCATCACTATTATTTATGCAGTCAATTATAATTTAAATAGTATAAGAATAGAAAAAAATAGACAAGGATTTCTATTTGTCCATATACTTATATTTCCAAACTCCATTCCTTTTCATGGATCCAAATCATCATTAGGCATCATTTCCCTTATGTTTTTCAAATTCCATTTGTCATTTTTTAGTGTAGGCTTGTTGAGATTAATTCTTCCAACTTTCATATTTGACAGTGTCTTCATTTCAACTTCATTTTTGAAGGATATTCTCTGTGGATATACAACTCTAGATCGATGATTTTACTTTTACTTTTTGTTTCCTTCTCCTTTTTCTCCATAATTTGCCATTTTAAGGATGTATCTTTATCTTATGGCTTTGTTTCTCATATGAGGTCCAGCATTGCTTATTGTCGTTATCTCTTTTCATTTTTCTGTCTCTCTTTTCTTGCCTACCTTCAATAAGTCTCATTTTCATAGATTTCCCCTAGTTTGACCATGATGTCCTAGATATGATTTGATTTTTATTACCCTGCCTGAGATTCGTTTGGCTTCTTTGATCTAGAGGTTCTTGTTTTCTGTCATTTTAAAACATTTTGTCAGTATTTATTTTAATATATTTTCTGTCCCTTTTATCTTTCCTACCCTTTAGGGAGTCCGGGTATGTCATGCTACTTGATATTATCTCACAGGTTATTTGTTTTTTAAATTTTTCAATCAGTTTGGGTTTCAGTTGAGATTTCTGTTTACCTTTCCTCTAACTCACTGATCAAAAGATGTTATATCCAGTACGCCATTAATCCCATCTAATAAATTTATGACATTAAATATTACATTTTTTAGTTCTAGATTTACATTTAGTCATTTTTAAGTTGTTTTTTACATCCCTACTGAAATTTGTGTCCCTTAATTCATTGTATACTTTCTTTCCCTGTAAGTTCTTAAACATAGTTATAATGATTATGCTTAAGTCATTTAAAGCTCATTCCAACATATGCAGTCTATCTTGGTTTGCTTCTATAGACTGTTCCTTCATTTGTTTTTGAGTCGAATGTTTCTCACTTCTTATGATGGATATTTTTTGATTATCTACTGGAAATTATGAATGGTACATTGTCAAAGCCAGCAAATCATTTATATTTTTTGAAGACTATTGTTTTGTTCTAGCAGTGGTGAAATAATGAACAGGTCATCTTAATCTTGTGGGAGTTTGGTTCAGAGTTCATTTTACCCTTAGTTTTGGGCATATTAGTTCTAAGGCATGATGTTACTTCTGGAGTTTAAAATAAGGTGCTTACCAAATCCTTCTAACTTGGTGGGATTTGAGCTCTAAGCCCTGTCTTCAAAAAAAATGGACAGTTGCTGAAATATCTGCTGAGACTTTGAAGTCTTTCAGCTGTTTTTTTCTATTGAATATTTTAGAATCTTGTCTCACACATTACATTTTAGTGATCAGCATGTAATTTAGAAAGATTTTTGTTGCTCCATGTTCTAATAATAATGTGCTGAAGATGTGGTCACCACCAGTCGATTGGGTGAAGTATCAACAGTTTTACCAAGTAATTTGAGAAATGTTGACAGAGCTGTACATAGCTGTACAATATGTCTGTGTTTTAAGATAAGTGTTATCACACAAAAGTCAAAAAGTTAAAAGAGTTAAAAGTTTATAAAATAAAAAAGTTACTGTAAGCTAAGTTAAACTTATTAGTGAAGAAAACATAATTTTCATAAATTTAGTGTAGCCTAAGTGTACAATATTTATAAAGTCTACAGTGGTGTATAGTAACATCCTAGGCCTTCACATTCACTCACCACTCACTCACTGACTCACCCAGAGCAACTTCCAATCCTGAAACTCCATTTATGTTAAGTGCCCCACACAAGTGTACTGTTTTTTATTTTTTATATTATATTTTCACTGTACCTTTCCCATGTTTAGATTTGTTTGAACACAAAAATACTTATCATTGTATTACAATTGCCTACAGTATTCAGCACAATAACATGCAATACAGGTTTGTAGCCTAGGAGCAATGGAATGGGCTATACCATATAGCCTATAGTAGGCATGTCATCTAGGGGTGTGTAAGCACATAGTATGATGCTCACACAATGATGAAATTGTCTAATGATGTGTCTCTTAGAATGAATGTATTCCTGTCATTAAGTGATATATGAGTGTATCTGGGCTTACACTGACACAAAGGTAGAGCACGTGACCTTAATCTAAGGCAATGAATGAACTACATTCTCCTGAGAATAGTGATTGGTTTAGAATGGGTTCATGTCCCATTCAGAACCAATGAGATGTCAGAAGAGTTTTTATAGAAACTCTAGGAAAGTTTTATAAAAACTCTCTCATTATTGTAGGATTTTAACCCAGAAGCCTGAACAGTCTGGAAGTGCTGAAACCATTTTGCCACCAGGAGATTGTCATCTTCCTGAGAATGAAGCCAACATACATGAGAGACAAGAACCAATTTTAGCTAGGAAATTAAGTTCAAGGTGAAGTTTGATCCACTGAATCAAGCCTCAACCTTACCTATATTGTATAAGGTAATAAATACTGTTTTACCTTAAGCCAATAGAGATTGGGCTACTGGTAGCTCTGCTACCAGTTGAATTTAGGTCAGAGCTTTGCAAATGGTATATTATGGAATATACCATAAATGAGTTCAAATATGTGCTTAAATCTTAATTTTTGGAGCCCTTCGGCTGTTCAGCTGCAGCCACTAACAACCTCAAAATGTTAGCCCAGTGTGTCTTAGAATGATCATCACCTTCTATCTTTGCCATGACATGAAAACATTTGGAAAGCATTGCCTTCAGCACACCACTGAATATTTCTGAACTTCATTTTTATCATTTGAAAAAGGAGAAAGCTATAATAGGTTACCTTTAAGGGATTTTTAATCTACACTATTTTATGGCTCCACATTGTCAATTTTGGCTGCAGAATTACAATAACAAAGTTCAAAACCATACTGTTCAGCCAGGAGGGGAAACGGGCTGTCAATGCTGAAAGAAACAAATGGAAAGGCATAATTAACAAATGGAGAGACACTTAACACACAGCTCTGGAATAGATCAGAGGCACTATAGATTGTTTTGCATAAAAATAATCTTAAAATGGACTACGTCTCTTCGTCTGAAATCTGGGTGGTTTGTGATAACACAAAACTTTAAGAAAATCTTACATTCAAAACTCCACACATGCCACAATTGATATAGAGATTGAGCCTAAAGGCCCTTACAATATTAAAGTCTTCATCACTTGACTGACACCCATCAATTTCAACAATTGCATTCATATGTGCAAAATAATTGCCCAAAGTTAAAAAGACAATGCCATTCAGTCTATTGCATAAGACAAAGCATAGTTTGAATGTGGGCAGGGCCAAATTTTTCAAAGCAAGATGCACTACACTGCAAGAGATCTTACACAACCTCTAGTCCAGCTCTGCCAATTTAAAGGTGAGAAAGACCATTCCAAATATGATCATTTTCTGATGAACCAAATGGGTTATTTTGCTACATTACACTCAACCACAATCATCTAATTTAAGGTACATACCCTGTAAAAATCCCGTATTATGAATCCATCGGCTCCCTGGGAAGTAAACAGCATGTACTATTTCTCTGGATCATTTAACTCTAGCCAGTCACAGGATCATTATTTAAGTTGACATCTTTGTTTAATCTTGTCCTGATGCCTAGATATATCCTGCAGGGAATCAGATAAAAAGATCTGGCACAAAAAGGGGTTATAAGTTAACACCTCAGTTGGTGGTTAACAGTGACTGTTCAGTTTCCTCAGAGATAAAGATGTTGTTTCCATCCCATTTCATTGAAGCTATAAAAGAAGTACTAAGGTAAAAACCAAGAATTTCAGCAGGAGATTTTTAAAAAACAGCTGTAGCTGTGGTCCCTCTGTGCCAGCTATGCTGAGAAACTTGCTCCTGGGGCATGATAACAGAACTGGGACCCTTGAAAGCTGGCAGATCTCTGAAATGTTTGATCAACAAACACACACATCTGTGCACAAATAAAAACCTGGAGATGTGCCCTGGAAAGCTGGTTGGAGAAATCACGGGACTTTGCTGGCAAACCTGAAGTATGCACCAGCTTCCTAATTCTCCCATTTTTCATGCTGATAGAATATTGGAACAGCTTTGGAAATCAACGGTCAGTCTCTTTTGTTCACTTCTGTACTCATCAGCTCACCCAAGCAGGTAGCCTGGCATTTAGGAGAGTATCTAGCATAGAGTCATATCTGATATATCTTGATTGATTTTATGTAATACAAAAGTAAATCATCTTTGTTTAAATTAGACTTTTCCTGGCGTGACCTCAGATTGATGAGATGGTCTTAATTATTTTATATATTTTTAATTCCTAATTTAAACTTTAAAAAAGTAAGTTCTAAGGATAAAAAATAATGCTAATGATGACTATTATATTAATATGTATGAAACATTCAAAGCAGTATATGGCATGTACATAGCATTAACGAGGATGATGATGACAACGCAGACAGTGACCACTACCACTACTACTATGCAGATGTTTGTAGTCCATATAGACACCCTTATCCACATTCCATATAGAAATTTACATCAAATGCTTTTGATCAAAGGAAGTTATGTTCTATCCATTGAATAAGGCTGCCTCACATTTGAGGTCAAGCAAGGAGAGGTTAACTTTAAAATAAACTTTGGCTAAGTCATATTTTAATTAATTCAGCAACCATATACAGCTAATGCATGCCTTATCAATGGGGGTATGTTCTGAGTGCTGTACCATGAGGGGATTTTGTCAAACATCATAGAGTAGAGTTACACAATCCTAGATGGCATCGTCTATTACATACATAGGCTACATGGTATAGCCTATTGCTCCTAGGCTACAAACCTGTACAGCATATTACTGTCCCGAATACTGTAGGCAATTAAAACACAGTGGTAGGTATTTGTGTATCTAAACATAGAAAATGTACAGTAAAAATACAATATTATAATCTTATGGGACCATCACTGTATACGCGGTCAGCAGATGACTGAAACATTGTTATGCTGCATGTGTCTACATTTGGGCTTACTTATGTGCCAGGCACTATGCTAAAAACCATGCTACCTTCATGTGGAAGAGGGGGAGGGAAGGGATTGACAGTCAGTAGAGAGACTGAAATCTTCCCGAAAAGCAATGGAAAAAAGAAACAGACTTTTAAATCCTATATCTGTATTAAAAATGGGAGATGAATATTTCAGGTTTGAAGCCTGAGACATATGCCTCTTCTAACAAGTTAGATCTTTGATATATGCCAATATTCAACCATATCTTAGTAGTTGTATAATTCCTTCATTCATATTTTAAATTACTCTAAACATATTGCAAAAATAAAAACTATTTTAGAGGTCACAAACCGTAAGTCATTTGGTTAAAATTATGCCCAATAGACATGTTTATTTGGTGTATTTTAAAATTAGGAGATTTCTGATTAAAAAAAAAACAATTCCAGGCCATGAGTTCATGTCCTTTGGCCCCTCACTATCACAAGTCCATGCAAGCCCTGTACTTAATTTTATATTTTTATATTCTTATTTTTCAAGAGACTTCACCACTGCACTGTGTGTTTCAGCCCCACACCTCCTATAGAAGCCGCTGCTTTCTCCATCAGATTGCCAAACCAGAATGAAATTAAGCCACTGGAAAAAAAAAAAAAAAAAAAAAAAACCTCACATGCTAAAAGATTACTGGTACTCCTTACTCATACACATTTGATGGGATTCCACAGGGGAAAATGGATATCTGCCTTTATTGGACATTATCTCTAGTAGGGCATGGAGAATTAATTGATAAAACGATAGAGTCCTTTTACTCTTAGGATGCTTTTTAAAATGCAGAGGAATGCTAGCAGCCAAAAGTAATTAAAAATATGATCAAAAGTTACAGCCAGACCACTTGGTACAGTGTGTGATTCTCTGATTTCAGGAGAAGGGCAGAACTAACTTGTGAAGAATCAAAGCCTTGATAGAAAAAACTCTGATGCTGAAAGAAGGAGCACAAGGCCTTAACTCTTAAAGCTTCTTGTTTGCAGACGTCTGCTTTCAGAAAACCGGTTAATCAAACAGAATGTTTGAGAGTCTTCAGAAAATTTTCCCAGATCAAAAATGTCCCCCTCTAGGCCTTTAATAGACTGGATGATGCCCACCCACGTTAGGAAGAGCCATCTGCTTTACTGAGCCCACCAATCCAAATGCTAATCTCATCCGGAAACATTCACAGACACACCGTGAAATAATGTTCAGTCTGGGCACTACAATGGCCAGTCATACAAAACTAAGCCTCACAGCTGGGTACGGTGCTATATACCCATTTTATGTTCATGGTCAGTCCATAAAGTAGGTAGGATTAGCCATATTTCATAGATGAGCAAACTATGATCCCAGAGCTTCCTGGATAGTGACTGATAAGGCCAGCTCCGTCTTTCCTCAAAGCCCACGGTGCTTTTACTACATCACATTTGGACTCTGCATTAGAAATGTGGATGTTAGACTGGGCTCAGTGGCTCACGTATATAAACCTAGCACTTTGGGAAGCCAAGATGAGTGAATCTCTTGAGCCCAGAAGTTGGAGACCAGCCTGGACAATATGGCAAAACACTGTCTCTACCAAAAAATGCAAAATTTAGCTGCAAATGGTGACACATGCCTGTAGTCCCAGTTATCCAGGAGGCTGAGGTGGGAAGATCACTTGAGCCCAGGGAGGTCAAGGCTGCAGGCTTCAGTGAGTCATGATTGCACCAGTGTTCTCCAGCCTGCATTACAGAATGAGACCATGTCAAAAAAAAGAAAAAGGAAAAAAGAAAAGAAAGGGAAAAGAATAATAAAAGAAAAAGGAAAAGGAAAAGAGAAAAACAAAAAGTAAAGGAAAAGGAAAAGAGAAGAAAAAAGAAAGGAAAGGAAAGGAGAAAAGAAGGGAAGAGAAGAGAAAACAAGTGAAAGGAAGAGGGGAGGGGAGGGGAGAGGAGAGGAGGGAAAAGGAGAGGAGAGGAGAGGAGAAGAGAGGAAAGAAAAGAAAAGAAGGAAAGGAAAGGAAAAGAAAAGAAAAGAAAAAAAAGAAAAGAATAGAAAGGGCTAGATGTGTGTTGTGAAGGGTCAGGGAGAAGGGGAGTGTGAGCAAGCTGGCCACAGTCCCACCTGACTTTTGAATATGTTAAATGGCTTTAGGCAATTCCTTTAACAAATATTTATTGAGTTTCTTCTGTATGCTAAGCCTGAGGACACAGCCTTGAAAGGAGAAAAGGTCCTCATCCTAAAGGAGTGTACATGTTAGTGGCAGAAGACAAAAAAAAACAAAGTTTATTAGACAACATGAGAACTAATATGAAGAAAATAAAACAGTGGGGAGTGGTGAAAAAATAGCTTTCTAGGCTCAATTTCGAACAGAGAAGCCTTCTCTGAAAAGGTAGATTCGGACTTGTCCTGAGTAACTGGAAGCATTAGCCCTGTAAGGATCTGGCAGAAGAAAATGGCATGCAGAGCAGAAGCAAATGTGATGAACCTAGAATAGAAATAACTGAGGAAAATAATGAATTAGTGTGGCCTGGGCTTGTTGGACAGGGGAGGAAGAGTTGGAGTTGATGCTGGAGAGGACAACCGAAGAGATTGGATAAGATCTGAGCTGTAATGAGAAGTGCTATTTAGAATGGTAGTCACATAACTTGAAGAGTACTGTTGCTGATATAATTTTGATTCAATACTATGGTGCATGCAATATATTCCTTAATGCTATGAGCTTTTGAGAGGTGAAGCCAGCTGGGCTTCTGGGTCAGGTGGAGACTTGGAGAACTTTTCTGTCTAGCTAAAGGATTGTAAACACACCAATCAGCACTCTGTGTCTAGCTAAAGGTCTGTAAACGCACCAATCAGTACTCTGTAAAAACGCACCAATCAGCACTCTGTGTCTAGCTAAAGGTTTGTAAACGCACCAATCAGCACTCTGCAAAAATGGACCAATCGTTACGCTGCAAAATGGACCAATCAGCAGGATGTGTGTAGGGCCAAATAAGGGAATAAAAGCTGGCCACTGGAGCCAGCAGTGGCAACCCACTCGGGTCCACTTCCACGCTGTGGAAGCTTTGTTCTTTCACTCTTCACAATAAATCTTGCTGCTGCTCACTCTTTGGGTCCACACTACCTTTATGAGCTGTAACACTCACTGCAAAGGTCTGCGGCTTCACTCCTGAAGCCAGCGAGACCACGAACCCACCAGAAGGAAGAAACTCCGGACACATCTGAATATCAGAAGGAACAAACTTCAGACACACCATCTTTAAGAACTGTAACACTCACCACGAGCGTCCACGGCTTCATGCTTGAAGTCAGCGAGCCCAAGAACCCACCAGAAGGAACCAATTCTGGATACCCAGATTTTAAAGGGAAGACATGGGGTTTGGTGTTATTTCTACCATCTGGGATGGGCCCAAGTGCAAGGGATATAAAAAATAATGATTATTCACTAGCTATTCTACAGGATTTCCAAGAACACCTAATAGAAGGACTGCTTAAAGTTAAGGGGCTTCTCAAGGCAACTGCTGAAATTCAACATCAGAAAGGATAGAGGTAACAGAAATGGAAAAAGGTAAAGAATATAGACTTTTGACTTGTGCTCAAATTCTGGCACTGCCACAATGACAGAGTGACTTGCTGGCAGGCACCTCTTCTGAGTTTCAGTTTTTTTACCTGTGAATGAAGATAAGAAATTCCCCCTGAAATTCACTGAGGACAAAATGGGTTTACATATACACAAGCACTGATGACCGGGCTGTATATACAGAAGTATTTAGTATTAATAATTTATTTCCTTTTTTCAATAACCACATCAGTATGCACGATGGCTGAGAAAGAACGAGTAAATAAAACGAAGAATTTCTTCTATATCTGAGAGCTATTGCTGCATAACAAATGTTCCCAAACTCAGTATACATTTATTGTTGCTCAGGAATCCATGGGTGGTTTTGCTGATCTGAACCAGGTTTGGTTGATCTTTTAGGGCTAAAGCATATGTCTGTGGTCAGTGGGCACAGAAACTGAGAGCTGAGTGCTCTGGAAAAGATATCATTCACATATCTTGTGATTGGATGGCTCTTGGTTGTGGTGAGGGTACTAACCTGGCCCTGGATCACTTATTATCTACCTGCTAGCCTAAGCTTGTTGCTATGGGCAGGATTCAAAGACAGAAAATAAAAGAGGGCAAGATCACTTGAGAGCTAGATTGGAAACTGGCCTATTGTCTACTTCCGCCACATTCTATTGGCCTGGTAAGTCCCAAGGCCAGCCCACATTCACACACTAGGGAAAAACTTCAGCTTTTGATGGAAGGAGCTGTCAAGTCACATTGCATAAGGCATGGATATAGGAAGCCATGTAAAATTAGGACCATAACCAATCTACTACTTCCCTTTTCTAAAAAATAGGAGAAAATAGTAACATCTTTTTCGGGTTTGTGGTAAACATAAAGTAAGACAAAGCACTGAAAAGATTTAGAATATTGTTTGGCACACCTTAGGCACCAGGCAAATGTTACTGCCTACTATGGTTTGAATGTATGTTTCTCTCTAATATTCATGTTGAAACTTAACCCTCAATGCAATAGTATTAATAGATGGGGTTTTTGGGAGATGATCACGTCATGAGGTCTCTGCTTTATAAATGGTATTAGTGACCTTATAAAAGGACTTGAGGAGGGAGCCAGTTAGTCCCCTCACCCCTTCTACCACATGAGGATGCAGCAAGAAGGCACCATCTTGGAAGCAGATAGCAACTCCCACCAGATGCAGTGTCTGCAAGGACCTTGATCCTGGACCTCCCAGCCTCCAGAACTGTGAGAAATAAATGCCTGTTGTTTGTAAATTACCCAGTCTAAGGTATTTTCTTATAGCAGCAGGCACAAACTAAGACAGTACCTTTGCTGTATTGATCTACTGTATGTACTATCATTTAGCCAAACATTTTTTTCAAAGCTTGTTTTATTTCTCTCACAAGTGAAAAATAGACTTAATTCTGGATAAAGAAAAAATTATATGTATGTTATATTCCTCACATCTTGTTTAGAAATGATGAATATTATCCATGTAGGCAGCTCAAAAATAAGATGTATTTCCGTTGTGAGTTGAATGCATTTGCATTTTTTCTGCAATGTGTTAAATAGAGAGGCAAGATATAAATGTATGATGGATGAGGAATGTGCTGCCACTCTCCGTAAAGAATTTCCTTGGTGGCTTAGATCAAATCGTCAGGAGGTGTTGGAGTAACTCTGCTCTATCATAGCTCCTTAAAGTTTGGAGACAAGGCCCAATCAATACGTGGGCATAATGGGGAACCTAGGGGTGCTTATCATGTACCACAGAAAATTCCTTATTGGTGGTGGCCAAGTTACTAGGAGAAACAGATCTTTTCCGAGATGCTTAAGAAGTGAAAGATTCTGTACTCACCCATGGTATGGAAAATGCTGTACCAAATACAAGGAATGACTTGGCATACATACCAAGAGCTGAAAAATGCTATTTATAGGAGCAGAAAATTGCAGAGGCACAATGCATGAAAGGCTCTGTACAAACACTCAGGACATCCACATGGAAATACAAAGGAAGGAAGGCACTCGCAGATCCTGCACTTTACCGTCTAGTTGATGGTAGTAACTAGTAAGGTAACATAGGTTTAATGTGGAAAGCTCTAAAACTTGGTTTCTAACTTCAAGATTGCTAGTTTACTTTTTTTATTCTAATGAGGGAGATGCTTAGATAATAATTAGGTATCAAAAGGGATCTACAGAGGGATGACAAACATAAATATTATAAAGAGTTAAGTTTCAGTACAGGCAAGAAAACGATGGATGAACATTATTTTGCAGAAGCCTGTTGTAAAATGGGTCAAAGGAAAAACTTTAATGAGTTTAATGAAGGACTTTTTGATCTGGCACCTTTCAAGAATATTAAATAAGTAAAGCAAAACATAATCTCTAATGGAGAGTATATTCTGGAAAATATCAGGAATCTTTTCCATATCTTGACCATGACATTAACAAATTATCTCTCCATAACAGTGTTTTGCAATTAAGTCTTTTTTTAAACTAATGATCACTCTCTCGAAACATAAAGAAACAATTTCCTTTGGGTGTTGCCAGAAAAATATCTGAAAAAATGCAACTCTTTTATTTTCTCAAAACGTTTAATCATGCAGTATGATCTCTAGAACCACTTCTTATGTAAGACAGATGATACATGTGCTATCAATAAATATTTGTTGAATGGAGATTTTATTGAAGGTATTTTATGGACCAGATCCAGGACTAAGAACTTCATAAACATTATCTTATTACAATCACACAATTCTATGAGGCAGATACTTTATTACTGGTTAGGGAATCAGAGGCCCAGGAGAGGGAAGTAACTTGACAGAGTCACAGTGCTAGTTAGTAGAAATAAATGGAAATCCAAACAATGCAATGAGAATCCACATATGTGAATTAATCACTATCTTCCTTTACCTAGTTGAGTCTAATAATTAACACCAAAGAGACAGGTACATGTTTTCCAATGAACCTCAGAAACTACATTAAAAGGTCAAATTTGGTTTTTAATTCCAAAAGTCACCTTATTTTTTAAGCATTTTATTAAAACATTGTTTCTAGGTAAATATGAAACATAATTTTGTTCTCTTAAATCCTATTACAATTCCTTGAGCATTCCTTTTTTGGTTATTATAAAGATTTATATTTTATTCATCTAAAGCTATATTAAAAACATTAAAGCCTAGGGCAATACAATTAGGACCAATGAGTAGCAGTTATAGGAAGGAAGTTTTTAATGTTCCAAACTATTTAAAAATGCCTTGAACCGCTTTAGGATATAATAAGTTACTCATTATGGGATGTATTCAAGAAAAGCCTAGGTTGCCACTCTGAAATAGTGCTTTAGATTAGAGGTCTTAAAGCAAAAGTTGGGGAGGGGAAGGATCAGTCCTCTTTTCCAGCCTAGACATTCCATGGGGATCCAAAAATTGGGTTTATTTATTTGCAGTTCGGAGTCATTTTGTAAAAGAAAAATTTTTACCTGTTCAAAAGTCACACTCCGTGCAAACTAAATAGAGCAGTTCTAGTCATCTGACACTTTTCTTCACTCAAACAAGGGGTCTTGCACAGAGCAGGTATTGAATAAATGACTATTTCTATGTTACTCATAGTTGGTACAATTACAAAAAAACCCATATAGTCTTTCAAAATAGCTGTTACAGACTTTTATTATATCTCCTCAGATTAAATAAGCTTCAAGGCTTTAAGAAACCTCAAAGTTACAATAGCTGGTACAATCTGATACCATAATCATAACTTTACATGATTCAAACCAATCTCTGCATTCTTATCCCTTTATTTTCAACCAACTATAGTGGTGGTTATTTCCCACTCTATTAGAGGATTAGTCACTGATATTTAATCAGCGAAATGATCATAATTAATCAAAATGCCCATTTAGAGAAACTTACCAGTGATCAAGAAGTCTTTTTAGCCTTCTGACAAATCTTATCTTGGAAAGCTGCAATAAGCAGATTACATAAATTGGGCTTCCTCTGTTCAAAATGTAATTCTGTAACTTCAATTACAAAGTTGCCCAGAATTCTAAACTAGGACATATATATTCTATTCTCTATTTCAAGAACATATAATCAGTTTTTGAAGTTAAGAAAAATATCCTTTGATATAATGGTCCAAATCAAAACTTGGTAATAGCTTTAAATGTATTCAACACAAAGAACTATTTTAATACCACTCTTCATATGGTCATGCAAATATTAAAAAGTCTGTGTTCAGACGAGCTCTTTATTAACTAAGTGTTCCCTTCAGGGTACCCATAAGTACCCATAAGTCTACATTTCATTAACATCTAAAGATTCGAAGAAAGAAGTCACCTGGAAGAAATCCTAAGAAGACTATGTTAGTAGACCTGCAAGCTCATCTTAAGCAACCCTAAATTGAGTGCATCAGATCTGAGTTAGAATCTTAGCTCTGCTACTTACTAGCTGTGTAAACTTCATCTGCAAGATATTGCTAATAAAAGTAACTATTGCAATCAGGCTATTGAATCAATAAGTTAAATCAAAGCTTGTAAAGCACCAGACACAGTGCTTGACACATGATAATGTCCCAAAATGTGAAAAAGCCTCTCATTACAAACTGCAAGAGTCCTCTTCTGTCTCTCAGAAGTTCAAAATTATGTTGATTGACTTGCATCCTTATCATACAAACTGATCTTAAGAAACAGTTTTCCCTCTTTCACATTTCTCATCCTATCATCTGATACTTCAGCCCATTTCCTCCCACTTCCATCTAGATTTTTCTAACTCGATCTGATCCACAAGGGAGCCTTTGATGGGCAAAATGGAACATAAATGCTTAGGGTCTTTCCAGCTCTTTATGGTATCTCAACTCCCATGACAACAGTCTCATTCCCACTTTGAAGCATTGACCTATGTTTTGTCAAAAGTTAATCTATATTTTGATTCAACATAGAACCAACAGAGTGAATTCAACTTTTTTTTTTTTTACAAGATCTGAGTGAGCAAAAAAATGTTGGAAGAGAGTTCACCCATATACATAGGACAGAGCTGTGTCAGGCCCCTAGCATACATGTGTGCTATTTCTCTCACTTGGAATATTTCTTCCCATCATTTGTCAAAACTGCTACTAATGCATCAAAAGTCATCTCAGATATAACTGCATCCAGGAAATCTTCTATTTCCTGCTTCTCCACCAGGAATTCATCACTTATTTCAATGTTCTTCTCAATGATCTGTGTACTTCGGTTCAGCACACTGCTATAGTTATCTGTTCACATCTCTCTCCCTCAGCAGCTTCCCATGGGCTGAAATGGGATTCTTTTGTATCTCCAGCACCTAGCATAGTGCCCAATATAAATTGGGTCTGGATAAATGTTGAAATGAAATACTGATCAGCTGGAGGGCAGTAAGGGGACACCTTTACAGCTGGACTGCTTAAGTTTTAAACCCAGCTCTGCCTCTTCCCAATTTAGAGACTGGACAATCACCTAAACACTAAATGCCTTGGTTTCCTCATCTGTACATTTATGGGCAATCTTATCTATCTCATAGAGATGTTGTGAGAATTAACTAAATCACTGCATGGAAAGTCCTTAGATCAATGCCTCAGACATCATAAGCCAGTAAATGCCAGCTGTTTTGATAATTGTTTACTGTTCAAGTGGTTTTCCTTCACACAGCTGTCAAAACATAGTTCAAGAACATTCTAGCAGAGATGCATTTGTTGGTTAGCTTTGAGACTTGACCAATATAGATTGTGTTTCTGGACATTATATATGTATATATATATGCTCCAAATTTTAAAAATAATGATTTCAGATAAAAATATTTTAGAATGCCATATGTTCATCTGTTGGAGATGGCCAATTTGATTAAATTTCAAAGAAACATATTTAAATGCCAACACCTCACTATCAAAGACACTTTTTGATTGGGTACTGAGTTTATTCAAATCATCTTTGTAGGGTACATGTTCTTTGGTTGGGTTCTATGTACAACGGGAAAACTGATTGAAGTCCAGGAATCACAATCTCACATGTCAAATGCCTAATTCAGTGTCCATAGCTCACTCCCAGAGCCTTCCAAGACGGGTGACACCTAAACTTTTTTTCTGCAGTTTGCCAGACAGAGCCCTCTTCTCTTTCTCTAGCTAATTCCCTACCACCCAATTCCTTCCCCATAACACAAACACACACATGCAATTATAGCTCCAAATGTAACCCTATTGGGCAGGTGGTTTTTCAGTGCTCCTGTGAAGAAGTGGCTGGATGGGTGAGTATGAATGCTGTTTCTGGTGGTCCAATTGAGATGGTAATGACCTATAACATTATCTTCCCACTCAACCTGCCAAGATTCATGAATATACTAAAAGGGTTTTATGCAATAGCTGCTTCCCAGAATTACTCGTACCTTCACAACCCTGGTTCGCTCCATTATTTCTTCCCTGAGGCACACTTAATGCTGTTTGCAAAAATGTCCTAACACATCAGATTTTAAAGTCTTTCCAGATCATGGCCAATTCACAAACGCTCCTCACAAGAAAACTCATTCTTATACAAACAAAGTCTCTTTGAAAGCTGCATTAAGCCGCTGACCCATACCCACCTTCTAATCTATGCCCTAGTTTCTACTTAATTTTTACACTTTTCTCTTTGACGTTGAAGGAATCTTAGACATTTGCAAGAGAAGAATTAAAGTTATACTAAATGTCTCTTTCCTTAAAAAAATGAACCTTCACTCAGAGCTGAACACTAAGAAACAGTTATGGGCGTATTCCTAATCAGATGATGAGAATTCAAGGCACTTACTACTCAATAGCAATCTGCTATTGACAGATGACACCTTGACAGATGAGATGAAAACCTAGCAGTATGTGACCTTGCTTGCTCTTGATATTCACATTCCTACAAAACAATAAGCATATCCATGATGCCTACTATATTAGAGTTTTTAACTCCTTCCAAGTGTTAGGTATACAATTTTGTCTGTTTTGATTCTAAAATTGTTGTAAACATAAATGTGTTTATTTCACTATTAATTGAATCTGTTTGAGGAGGTAATTTCTTTCTGATATAAGAGTTCAACTGGAAGATGGAAGAGGCCAGGCGCGGTGGCTCATGCCGGCAATCCCAGCATTTTGGGAGGCCGAGGTGGGTGGATCACAAGGTCAGGAGATCGAGACCATCCTGGCTAACACGGTGAAACCCCGTCTCTACTAAAAACGCAAAAAATTAGCCAGGCGTGGTGGTGGGCGCCTGTAGTCCCAGCTACTCGGGAGGCTGAGGCAGGAGAATGGCGTGAACCCGGGAGGCGGAGCTTGCAGTGAGCTGAGATCGCCCCGCTGCACTCCATCCTGGGCAACAGAGCAAGACTCCGTCTCAAAAAAAAAAAAAAAAAAGAAGATGGAAGATTGCTGACCCATAAAGTCAGAAAACATATGAAAGCACTCAACACCTGTCAACCAAAAAAAAAAAAAAATATATATATATATATATATATATATATATATATGTGTGTGTCTATGGAGAGCGGGGTTGGGGAAGGAAAACAGCTCATTTGTTTTCTGTCTCTCCTACCACTGTTTTCTTCTCCAGAGAGTATTTCCCAGGGAAATCCATTTACCCTTCCGTTATTCTTGCAGAATAGTTAAACTGGCTCAGTGTTTGCAAACTCCTGTTGAGCCTTCTAAACAAATAATGGAAAAATCACTAGTATCTTCATATACAGATGAGAGGTAATTTAACGTAATACTCATAAAGCGCTTGGGTTCTTGGGTTTGAGGTCCCCTTCTGCTACTTCTAGGTAAGGCGTTGGACCTGTTACTTAACTCTATCTGCCTCATCTTCCTCAGCTATAATAAGGAAATAATAAAAGAGCCTCATAGGGTCATTATGAGAATTAAATTAATTAACATGTGGAAATAATTTGGTGCTTGTTAAATGGTAAATGCTCAAAAAGTTATCTAATGATAAGAATATTTCTACAGAGTAAGTATTTTGTTTTTGTTTCTTCTGTTTTATTGTCATGAATGTTAACACTGGAAATGTTAATTGTAAAGTTACTCCGATAACTACCTCCACCCCACCCCTCAATTAAATAGCTAACATTAAGAAGATTAAGTAACCCCTTCTAATTTGACATATAGTTGATCACAATGGACATTAGAAATAAGCACTGAAGTCAACTGATTTCACTGTATGATTCTTTCCACTTTGTGATAATATGAGGTTTTGAAAGAAAAAGCTTGATATTTTCATTTTGTGTAAAAACACACGTTCATTTCTATGTCAACATTTCTCAAGTTATTTAATAAAACTATTAATGCTTCACCCAATCCACTGGTGGTTGACCACATCTTCATCACATCATTATCAAAGCTATTATACTTTCCCATATGAGATATCTAAAATATAGGAACCAATTTTATCTACAATGGAAAAGCAAATAAAGGGAAATGTTAAGTAATGTGCCCAATATCCCACCTCTGGTAGTAGAACTATGATTAAAACCCACAACACTTGATTCCAAATCTCATAAATCTCTACCAAATCTCATAGTAGAGTCTCTTGTGAAAGAGACTTTTATTGTTAGTAGGACTGTCACAGAGATAACCCCAGAATTCTCTTTATCCGTATACACGGGATATAAACATGACTCAAGAAAGGATAATCATTCACTCTTTCTCTAGATTGTGGTTTTTCATTCAAACAATACAAGATCTGGAACAGATTCTCAAAGGTTCCTTAAGCCAGGACCCAAGAGCGTCTTCTTGGATTTCTGAAGATGTTGTGTTCTGAAATTCCTGAATCCTGTTTCTCCACCTGTTTTATCGGATTTTGTTTCCAATCCTTTATTCTTCCAATAAATTTGATTTTCATTAATGCTATGAGAGAATCGATATCTATTTCTTCCTACCAATGAACTATAACTAAAAAATAAACGGCCGTTTACCTTAAACATATCTGTACTGAAAATGTGCTCTTTCATTTATTGATGCAATGCCTAGCTTTGCCCAGTCCCTATGACATCAGCACTTTCCCTTATCTGTTCTCAGTTCATGTGCCTCAAATTTGGGGTCACCTTACCCACAGGTCTGAAGGTGGGGCAATCCTAGCAGGAAACTTCACTCACCAGATTTATGGACTCAGCAATGGGTATAAGACATACATTGATAATATTAGAGCTAATCACAGACATCTTATTAGAACTAATTGAAAAGAAATAACTTTCTGGTTATATTCTGAGAGAAGAGTACCTGAATGAAAACCATTAAAGTAGACATATGACAATGGAAGAGACCTAATTCTGACAAGTGCTTGGGCCCAGGGATCCAACTATCCCTAACCTAGGGACTACTCCTGGAATTACAATAATCTAAGCCATTATGTTGCCTTCCTCTCTCTTTTTTATGTTATATTCCTATCACTTGCAGCCAGAGAAGTCTTATTCAATATAATACCCAGTGAAAATCCTCTCACAGTTTGGTTCTAGAGATAACCAACATGTGGAGATAATGCTGCCCCTTTATGCTTTAAAAGAATAGCTGTAAATTTTTTTGAAAAGAAACCTTCCATTTGTTGACTTCTTCTTATGTGGTTTTTATGATGATAAGCACTTTATGTTTACCATTTCATTTTAACAGTAATAACAGCCACATGAGGTAGGCAGTGTTTTTATTTCCATTTTGCAGATGAATAAAAAGGAAATGGTCAAGTATTTGTGCAAAGATGTACTGAAAAAAGTAGGCATGCGATACAATAGGAGGTCTCTCTGAGCTCATTGTGGCTACCTTCTGCGGTACAATATGGTGAATAAACTGGAATAAAAATGTTAAACACAGTGGGGTAGGGTAGACATTCCCAAGGCAACAGTTATTCCACTTTCTGCTAGACCTCTAATAAACATATTGTATACAGATGCCAAATTATTCTAGAATAGATTGTCCTTTATTTTATAAATGCCTAAACTATGAACTTCTTGCAATTTGCCATTGATTCATATAAATGATGAAAACACAAATGGTCAATGGTAATCCAAAAAGAAATTCTATCTACTATAGAAAAATGGTTACTATATTACATTCAAGTAAGACTTCTACAGTTTAACAGGCTGAATAATGCAAGAGAGGTACCTTAATTAATATTAAAATAATTTAAATAAAAATTACAACCAGGTATTCCAGTTGAATTCTCTTTTCTTCTAATCTCTAGTTAATTTTTAACCTCCAGTAAATCTTAGCAAAATCAGAATGTCCTTGGAAATGCCCTTTGAAAATGCTTAATGGTAAGTGACATTTATTTATGGGAGCAAATCAGAGCAATGCCATTCTTAGGCTTTGTGTGGTTCAATTCTGAAACAATGTTTGTAACGAAATAATAAAGACCCTTAAAATAGAGTTTTATTTTTATGCAAATTCCCCAGGAGCCGACTATGGAGTGTAACACAGCATGAGTACATTCAAAATAACAAAGTAGATAAATGGGGAAAGCAACTAAACATGAGAAAGAATAGGGAAGGAAGTTTGATTTATTCAATTTCAAAAAGGAAATTCAGACTTTTCTCCTTATCTTCTATGGTGGACACACCTAAGGTGGCCCTGTAAGTCCCACCATAGTATAATCTCTTCCTGTTGTGCAGGTAGATCATGTGACTTGCTTCTAACCAATAGAATGTGGCAAAGTTAATGTGATGTCACTCCTATGATTGTGTTATTTTATACAGAACTCTGTCTTTGACTGGAGTTCGAGACGCTTCTGCTGGCTTTAAGAAGCAAAAATCAGTGGGAAGACAACACGATAGGGAACTGTCGGGGCCTCTAGGACCTACAAAACCTCCAGTCAACATGCGGTAAAAAGCCAGAGCCCTTAGTCACACAGCCACAAGGAAATAAATTTTGCCAGCAACCTGAAGGAGCCTGAAAGTGAATTCTTCCTCAGTCAAATCTCAGATGAGATCCCAGCCAGGCTGACACCATGACAGCAAACTTGCAGTTTTGCCTTGAATTCTGACCTATAACTGTCAGATAATCAATATGTGTTGTTTTAAGTTGCTAAATGTGCAGTGATTTGTTACACAGCAATAGAAGATGAATAGACCTGCTCTAAAATTCATATTCTGCTACATACTTGATGAGACTCAGCACCTATCAGAGAGTAGGCATATAGTAAATATTAATTAACTAAAATAAGTGAAAATTATTTTATATAAAGACAGAATTGTGAATACTCCCTTACCAAAGAAAGGGACTAATGTTCTTTATTTCACAGAAAATCATGATGATCTGAGGATATGATATAAAAATATTTAACTGTTCACAACTGGTTTTGTTATTCTCATAAAAATCCAGATCAAAAGTCATTATAAGTGGATTATTAAATGAGGTGATATTCCAGGTACCATTTGCACACTAGCATTTGAATTTCAAAGATTCAGAATCTTCCCTGAAATAGTTTAGGGGACATTACTAACTTGTAATTGAGAGACAAAATATACGTATTAATTTATTAAAACTATTGTACTTCTACTTAATGTACAAGCAAACTCATAACACCTGATAAAAATAATCACCTTGGCAACTTGGAGATGCCCATTTACAATTAATTTAATTCATTTAAAATATTTTAAAAATTATAGGTTAATTTAGAAAGTATATATTAATTTCTTTAATATTGTATATATAAATATATTTATATATCATATATAATTTCTTATTATAGCTATATGGTTTCTTAAAATGCCAAAGAAATTATTTATATTTACATTTATTATAATTATAATTTCTTTAATATATCAAGAAATTACAGATATAACTATATTTATATTTACATTTACTATACATATATAAATAATATCTATATTTTAAGAAATTACAGATAAAATAAGAAATTGTATATATAATAAGTTATATATTATAACCCAATGCTGCTGAGTTTGAGGTGAAAATGATATAGTCACATATTGCTAAAATATTGTAAATTGGTATCAGTCTTTAAAAAAGCAATTTGAAAGGTATGAGTGAAGGATACATCCATAATTTATAATGCATTAATCCTACTCCTTCTAGGAATAGATATGAATTTTTAAAAGTCAGGAGATATTAAAAGTAAGACATATATTTCAATATCCTTTGTAACATCAAAGAGAGTAAACAATCAAAATGGAGTCAGCAAGGAGGTAGTTTAGTATATTATGCTGCACAGACTAAATATTATATTAAATAGCTATAAAACTAGAGCTGTAAAAACTAAAGAAAAAATATTAACAATTCTTACTATCAAAAATATGAGAATACACAAGGCACAACACAAGGGTACATGCAGCATAAGCAAAACTCTTGGTCATGGGATTCATGAAATGCTTCATATGGTAGTGGGTGGTGGGTAGTGACTTAGGTGCACGCATTCAACTTTTGGTATGACCTTGCACCCCTCCCACTACACATGACACATCCACAATTCTGTCAGTCTTTACCAACATGATCAAAAGACTATAAAGAGACAGAACGGTTCTCCATAATTTCTTGAAATGAAAGCACATGCCATGATTATCCCCAAAGTTTAAGATATTTTGCTATGAGTAGTGGTTTGGAGGATTAATTTGAAAGAATACAATTTTCTCAGTGAACACCATCCACTAAGCTCCTCATTTCTCTTACATTTCTTAAATAGGACCTAAAACATGGGTCGGCAGTTAGCAGTGGCATCTACAAGGGCCATGACTGTGGAATTGTGTTCTATTCTAGAACAACAGTAATATCGTTTGGACCTGTGTCCCCACCCAAATCTCATGTTCAACTGTAATCCCCAATGTTGGAAGTGGGGCCTGTGGGAGGTGATTGAATCCTGGGGGCGGTTTCTCATAAATGGGTTAGCACCATCCCCCTTTGATACTATCCTTTTGATAATGAGCAAATTCTCATGAGTTCTAGTTGTTTAAAAGTGTATAGCACCTCGCCTCCTCTCTCCTTTTCTGACTCTGGTCATGTAATATATGCGCTCCCCCTTCCCTTCCGCCATGATTGTACGTTTCCTCAGGCTTCCCCAGAAGTGAGCAGATGCTGCCATGCTTCCTGTACAGCCTGCAGAACTGTGAGTCAAATAAACCTTTTTTCTTTTTAAATAGCCAGATGTCATGTATTTCTTTATAAGAGTGTAAGAATGGACTAATACCAAGTTGGATATAGCTTCTCTAGGATGATTAATGGCAAGAAAGACACCAGAGAGACTTCCAATAGGTATTTTGGATAATCCCTTAGTCAACAGATAAGAGCAACAAGAAAGATTCCATACATAGCTATGCTGTATATTCAGAAACAGAGACTAAGTGGACAAGAAAAGTGAGTGATAGAACAGCTTCACCAACGCTAAGAAACCATAAAGAGATCAAGTTCCTCTGCATAGCAGCCTGCAACTACAGATTCTGCCCCACAGTTTTCCATCTAGAAAATCTCTAGACTGCCCATACCTATTTCTATTATTCGGCTCTCCAGATTAAGATTTGAGATTTTAAGATAATTTTAAGAGTGTCCCTGTGAGAATGATATAAGCATAGGAGGTTTTTATTGTCATGTTTGTAGACAAGATCAGGCCAAGGGTAGACTCTCACATGTACAGATGAGTATATAGGAAATACCCAAAATAAAATATAAAACATTTCTATAAAAAAGGAAAGATGAGAACATATAATTCAGGAGAGGAAAGAGGAGCTTTTTTTGATAAAGAACTCTTTAGGCAAAGAAAAAAAAATATTAGAGAAATTATGCCTGGTGATTTCCATAAAATTAAATACAGGTATAAAATGAGAAATGAACTAGAAGACAAAATCTACTGATGACATTGCAGAACTAAAAGTAGCCTCAGAAACTGAAGAAAAAATAATATTGTAGTAGTAAGAGATGAAGGCTTAAAACCTGTTTCAGCATTCAGGGGGAAAA
This sequence comes from Homo sapiens, assembly GCF_000001405.40. Classification (NCBI taxonomy): domain Eukaryota; kingdom Metazoa; phylum Chordata; class Mammalia; order Primates; family Hominidae; genus Homo; species Homo sapiens. Next base: position 7,223,305 of record NC_000003.12, on the reverse strand, counting down.
AGACAAAAAAAATACAATCAAATTTATGAAATTATAGGATGTATAATAAGACAAAACAAAACCAGATAATTTGCAATCCCCAAAGAACAGAATGAAAGGAAACCAAATATTTAAAGTCTAATATAAGGAAATTTTCTGAATGCTGATGCAAAGATCTTACTAAATAATTGGCAAGGTTAACAGGGAAAAAAAAGCACCTATATATAAGTTAGTCAACATATACATTTCAAGAACAAGTATCTAAATATGAAACTATGATTGTTGAAGGGAAAAATATATTTTCCCTCCAACATTAGTTTAGTAACATGAATCAAAATATGAGAAAGAAAATGTATAATTTCAAAACTCACTATCCAGATATGCTGTCATTTATGTTGATGGCAAGAGATAAATATTCTTACACAGTCCAGTGATAGGAAAACAAACTGGAATTGCTGAAAAGACTGGCACTAAAAAAGAAATAATTTAAAGACACAATTATTCCAAACAAACACTTGAAATGTAATGCAAATCTCAAGAATAAACCAACAAATCTAGGATTGTGTATAAGGGAAACTGAGATTGAGCTAATTTCATTGCCTTTTAAATTAATTTCTTGCTGCCACAAACCATCACAAATTTAGAAGCTTAAAAAACCAAACATTTACTATTTCACAGTTCTGTAGGTCAGAAGGCTGTCAGGCTCAGCTAGTTTCTCTGCTGAGGGATTGCACAAGGCTGAAATCAAGGTGTCAGCAGGGCGGAGTTCCTTTCTGAAGGCTCTGAAAATGAATTTACTTCTAAACTCATTCAGGCCATTGGCTGACTTCAGTTCTCTGTGGTTGTGGGACTGAGGCTCCATTTCCTTGCTAATGTCAGCTGGGGGATATCCTTAACCTCTGGAGCAACCAGCATTCCTTGGTACATGGAACCCTCTATCCAATCTCAAAGTCAGTTCGCGGTGGGGGTTGGGAGTCAGGTCCTTTTCACCCTTCAAATCTCTCTGACCTGCAAAATATCTTCACAGCACTACCTTAATCTAGGTAGTGTTTGATTCAATGATCAGTGGATGGAATCTTGGGGTGACATCTTGAGAATTCAGCCCACCATACCTGACAAAAAAGGCATTCAGACATATTGTCATTTTGTTGATGATGATTCACAAATATACTTTCAAGGAAGAGGGCTGGTTTTTTTTAAGACTTAAAGATAATTATTGGCTGGGTGCGGGGGCTCGCGCCTGTAATCCTAGCACTTTGGGAGGCTGAGATGGGCAGATCACTTGAGGTCAGGAGTTCGAAACCAGCCCGGTCAACATGGTGAAACCCCGTCTCTACTAAAAATACAAAAAGATTAGCCAGGTGTGGTAGCGGGTGCCTATAATCCCAGCTACTTGGGAGGCTGAGCCAGGAGAATTGCTTGAACCTGGGAGGCAGAGGTTGCAGTGAGCCAAGATTGCACCACTGCACTTCAGGCTTGGCGACAGAGTAAGACTCCATCACAAAAAAAAAAAAAAAAAAAATACAAGAAATTAAAAAATACAATGTGTCATCTCCAAGTACCTCAAGACAAAAGAGAAACTAAAACAAACTACATAGCAAAAGATACAAAGAAAAGAAAAATGGAAGGAAACATAAAACAGAAGGAAATAGCTAGATTTAAAATTAATATATCAGTAGAGACAATAAATGAAAAGAAGTATAAAAAAGAAACTATACAATATTAGATTAAAAAATAAAATCATGGTGGAACACCCCTACAATATAAAATGCAGAACCCTTAGAAGAGATTGACTAAGTCAACTAAATAAAAAGCAAATATTTTTACATATCAAGAAACAACAAAGTCAGAATATAAATAAAGTAGAAAACTATGTGCTGCATGGCTCCTATAAATGGAAGAAAAACAACCCAATGGAAAAATAGCAAACAATCAGGTTTGAGAGTTGAAAGAAAATCACACAAATACTTCTTAAAAATATCTGAACAGCTGCTCAACTCTAGTCATAGCAAGAAAATAAGAATAAAAATTACACTAAAAATCTTCTTTTAACCTATCAGAGTAGCAAAAAACCAAATGTTTAACAAACATTTGGTAAAGAAAACATTTTTTACACTGCAGATGAGAGTAAAGATGCACATAACCTCAATGGAGGGTGATGTAGAAAAGTTTCTTTGGTTTTTGTGTTTTTTTGTTTGTTTGTTTTCTTTTCTTTTGTTTTGTTTTGCTTTTTAGACAGTCTTACTCTGTCGCCCAGGCTGTAGTGCAGTGGTGTGATCTCGGCTCATTGCAACCTCCGTGTCCTGGGCTCCAGCCATCCTTCTCCCACCTCAACCTCCTGAGTAGCTGGGAACACAGGTGTGTGCCACCATTCCCTGCAAAGTTTTTGTAGTTTTGGTAGAGACAGGGTTTCACCATGTTGCTCAGGCTGGTGCCAAACTCCTGAGCTCATGCAATGAGGCTGAGATGGAAAATGCTGGGATTACAAGTGTGAGCCACCGTACCAAGCTGCAAAATTCTCTTTTTAAAAATAAACTATATTTTAGAAGGTTTCAGATTACAGAAAAATTGTGAAGACAATTACAGGCACATCACACCACCCAGTCTCCCCTACTATTAACATCTAACATTAATTAATATGCAGCACTTGTCACAATTAATCAACCAATGTTGACGTATCATTAACTAAATTCATACTTTATTGGTATTTCTTTTTTTTACCTAATGCCCTTTTCCTAATCCAATTTCCATCCAGGTGAAAATGTTACAGTTAGTGATCTTGTCTCCTTAGGCTCCTCTTGGCTATGACAGTTTTTCCAACTTTCCTTGTTTTCTATGCCTTTGGTAGCTTTGAGGAGTACTGGCCAGGTATTTTGGAGAACGTCCCTCAATTAGGATTTGTCTGATGTATTTCTCCTGATTTGTCTGGTCTGGCATTTTGAGGAGAATAGACACAGAATAAAGTGCTATGCTCATTACAACGTGTCAAGGGAATGTAGCATCAACATAACTTATCATATGGATATTAACCTCATTCACCTCACTGAGATAGTGTTTGTCAGGTTTCTCCACTGTAAAGTTACTTCATCCACCTTTTCCAGGCAGTCTTCTTTGAAAAGAAGTCACCATGTGTAGCCCACAATTAAGGAATTGAGAAATGATGCTGTAACTTTGTGAGAGAAGAGTATCTATATAAAGTATTTGAAATTCTTCTGTATAAGAGATTTGCCTAGCTTTCCTTTATTTATTAAGTCATTTATTTATATCAGCCAGGGACTTATGGATATCCATGTTATACTTTGAATTATAGTCCAATACTACTTTATTTATTTTTTTGTTTAGATCAGTTCTGCTTTGGACATTAAGAACCTTTAGTTGGTCCTGCATCCCTTTGACATACTTTTACCATCATGGGTTTTTATTAAGCACTTTTTAACTTTCTAGCACCACAAGATACTCCAGAATCATCTTGAATATTTCCTGCCTCAATCATAAGATCAGCCATTTCTTCAAGGAGCTCTTCAAGGAGTTCCACTCATTGGATAATGGTATTAGATACCAAGACCTGCATGCCAGGTGTGCTTGCTGCTACTGATGTATACCTGCTTTAGGCCTGCTAGGCTGACACTAACAGCAAGAAAATATGCGAACACTAACCCATGCACACAAAAGTACCTATAAATATTTCTATATGTAACTACCTGCATATATATTAAACTGAACTTGAGCTCATATTAATGTCCCTAATTCCAATCCATAACCACATAGATCATGAAGGTGCCTCCCATTACTTACCTGTAAACTCCCACTCCAACAGTGAAGGCAATGTCTTTTAAACAAAGAGTACACTCAACATTTTCACTTCACAGACTTATTTATACATATACAAGGCTATTCACTGTAGTAATGTGTATGAAAAGTCAAGATACAAAAATAACATAACCATTAATAGGTGACTAACTAAACACATTTATTCCAGATGCAGCCGTTATATGAGCTCTGTCTGTTCTGATGGGAACAGATCTCCCAGGTGTAGCGTTCAGTAAATGAATGGTTAGACGTGTGAACCAAAGACAACAGAAATCAAAGAAAAAATATAGAACATTATATGAAAAATCTAGATTTAGAAAGACCTTTTAACTAAGGTAGGAAATTTAGCAGTCGGGAAAAAAACAAAGCATCTCCTCACACTGTATGCAACAATGAACTTCAGAGGAGTTAACGACTAAATGGGAAAAAACCTGTGTGACCTTATACATATGTTTAATGATCAAAATAAAACATAATTCATACCACTAGTGGCAAAACACCATACAATCAATAAAATAAGCACCATTAATTTCATTCAGTGGCAAAAATAACCAATATATTATCAATAAATGATGGGTAGTTTTGAAAAATGCATATTTAAATTTAGCCATGTAATCACAAACTACTTGTACCCCAAAAGCTATTGAAAGAAAAATGTTAAAAATAATAAGTAAAATGTATGTTACAAAGAAAATATATATATTTGTAATGCACATGACAAATCAATATCTATAATATTAAAATAAAGCTAATAAATTGATATGAAAAGACAATGAAATAGAAATGTAGAGATTATGAATAGAAAATTAAAGGAAGGGCACAGTCAAGTAGCTAATAAACATCGGAAAACATCAACCTTCCCAATTAATCAGAAAAATGCATTAAAATGATTTATCGCTTTACACTAAAGAATGGGTAGAAATTGAAATATTTATGCAATTACCTTATTATGGGAAATTACAGGTAAATTTTACCTTTCCTTTTAAGCTTTTATATGTCATCTATTCCCACCCCACAATAAACATGTATTATTTACATATCAGACAGGCAAAGTTATTTTTATTTAAAAAATTAGAAATAAAAATAAAACATGGGCACATGCAATTCACAAAAGGAAAACACAAATTGAAAATAAATGTATAAAACATTTTTAATTTTACTAGAAATAAAGGTACTATAAATTAAGGCAACGCCCTTTATTGCCAAACAGGTTTTCAGTTCTGAAAAATATTGAGAATGGTAAACAGATGTGATGTACACCATTTAGTCAGTAAGTTAGTAGAAGCTTTTTATAGTAACTTTCAAATATGTACGAAATATTTACACATGCATAGTTTTTAATCAACAATGGAACTTCTAACAATTGAAGCTAAAGAAATCATCTGGGATTTTTGGTTTAACCATAAGATTGATTGCTACACTGTTAGTCATATCCCAGTCACTACAGAGTCATAATAAAAGATAACCTTGTTATTTAACAGCAAAGGTTGGCTAAATATATTTTGATAGAGCCATACAACATATGTAACACTATCATATACTAAAGTCATAATATTAAGAGAAATCAACATCTTGACTAATAAGGATATGGGAGGATAACCACGGTGTTACAAATAATAAAAGAAAATCACAAAATTATAAAATGTAGATTTTATTTTTAAACATAATATATACACACACATATACACACATCTATACATCTATATCTATATCCATATCCCTATGTCAATATGAACAATGGTTATCTTTCAGTGTAAGAATTTTAAAATGTTTTAAAATAATTTTATATTATAATTAGTAAATATAATATTTTATATTATAAAATATTTATATTCTAGCTTATAAATACCTTCTGACAGAAATTGGAAAGATTTTATAATGCATTTTTACTACTTTTGCAATTAGCACATGGGTGTGTGGACAGATGAGGAAAACACAATAAAACATGAAAAAAGAATTTTAGGTAATTATTATTTTCACTATTTTAAAAATTATTATTGAAATGCATTCTAAGTGAAATAGAAGGTATAAGAGCCTTGGTAATTTTTTTTCCTTTAGACTTCAGGTTTGGATAACCATTTCTGTTTTAAAAGTCCGTAGTGAGACTCTGAACCAGAATGGAAAATCAGTTGTAGGTAATAAAGTTGAAGAAGACATCAGCATGCCATAGGGAAACTATAACAACTCCGTACTTTGCCAGTTGAGTGGGAATTAGGTCAGTCAGTACACACTTTAGTGAATGTGCCACTTGGGGCAAAACTATAATTTGCCTGAATCACATCAGCAGACTCACTGGTGGCCCATTTGTAATTCCGTAAGGTCTTATCACTTCCTCTCTGAATCTGGGCATCCTAATCCCTCACTCCTCTTTCAAATTAGCTCCTTTTTTATTAAAAAAGGCATTTTGTCTTTTTTGCTTATTTTCCCCTTCTTTCAATTTCAGCAAAAGGTAAGCAGGCAAACTACCTTCAAGGTATGCCAGCTCACCTAAAGGAGGAAAACGATTTCGTTGGGATGAAAAAAACTAAATGATGTGATGACTTAAATTACTACAAAAACTTCCCTTTAGCTGGTTACAGGAATGCCTGAATACCATCACATTAAAGATGGATGTCTGCATTTACACAAATACACTCAAACATGTTGACATAGCAGAATTTAATGTATATCCAACACCATCCATTAAACAATCATTTGGTTCACTATGTTTCTAATGAAAGCAACATCAACAGGGAGAGCAAAACAAACAAACAAAAACAAACCTTAAACAGGCTTCAGAAGTATATGAAATACTGTCAGTTTGAGTAACAGAAACATTTGCTAATATAAGAAATGTATGCAATAATAGAGAACAGTTTATTTGGGGAATTTTTAGGGAGAGTGAGGGTGGCAGTACTAGTAACCTACATATTGAAAGATGTGACCACAAAAGATGTGTTATTTTCCAGTTTTGCATAAATCTCTAAAGCAATCTCAAATTGTTATGGGTTATATAAAATCTCATATCTTCAGCTGATGTCAAATCACCATTAAAATATTCAGTTATCAGTTTGGGGATGTACTACTTTATTTTGAGGAAATGAGAATTATAAAATATGTTTTAAAATCTCCCCTTAAAGCCTATCACAGATACAGAAACACAAATACATATAGGTACATATACTTGCCTTTAGTCAATTATCAGTAGAGTCCTCTCATTGTTTATATAATTATACCAACATGATGCTAATGATGATGGTGATGTAGCAAAGACACGAGACATTTACATATTTTGCTTTCTGCAGCTTCTAAATTCCAAAAATACAGGCATAAAGTCACCTGTTCAATTAGGCATATTCCTACTGAAGTGACAGAAATAGCAGACAGAGATAACTTTCTGAGGCATTTTCAAAAGCTTTTGGAAATAAAAATAGAATCAGAGCTGGAAAATAAATTCACTTTATTATTTTTAAAAGATTAGAAAAATTGAAACTTTTACATAAACATGAGACTATATATTGTTTTTTAAATAGTGAATATTTTACAGTTCTTATTCCTGTCCTCTGACTTGGGGTATCTTTGCCAGGAAGGTTTTCCAAAGAGAGACGACTGGATGGGAATCCCTCAGGAGATGCCAAGTATTCAGTTGGCGGGAAAGTTGAGTTTTGTCCAATTTTCTAAGACGTTGTGTTGAAGATAGTGACTAAGAGAGCAAATGTAATGTTTAGTTCTTAAAAATTTCATTCACAACTACATTTGTCTAGCCTTTAAGACCCATAAGACATTTTTATGCATATTCACTTTTTATATACATATTACAACTTTTCAGAGTAGAAAAGAAATTTATTTATTTATTTATTTATTTATTTTTTTGAGACAGAGTCTCGCTCTGTCGCCCAGGCTGGAGTGCAGTGGCGCGATCTCAGCTCACTGCAAGCTCCGCCCCCCGGGTTCACGCCATTCTTCTGCCTCAGCCTCCCGAGTAGCTGGGACTACAGGCGCCCACCACCACGCCTGGCTAATTTTTTTGTATTTTTAGTAGAGACGGGGTTTCACTGTGTTAGCCAGGGTGGTCTAGATCTTCTGACCTCGTGATGCACCCTCCTCCGCCTCCAAAAGTGCTGGGATTACAGGCGTGATCCACCGTGCCCAGCCTCCAAGAAATTTATTTTTAATATCACTTCAAACAAGTGGGGAAACAGAGTCACAGATAAGCTATGGGATTTACTCAAGTCATGAAGTAAGGGCAGCATCAGAACAGAAATTTATCTTTTAACTCCTAAATATCTATTCGTTCCAACATATTAACCAATTTGTAATGATCGGAAATGATACATTACTAGGTCTTGCCCCATATTTTCTAAATCAGAGTTTCAGGGGATAACGTTTAGGGAAATACATGTTATAGCAAACTCCCTATGTGATGCTTATGCACAACTAAATATGTCACCACCTTGTCATCTCATTCACCCAGTGTTGTAGAGGTCGCTTTTTCAAATACATAACAAGTATATGATTTCATCAAACAGAAATAAGATATATTTCTCACTTTGAAAGAGGTTTAAATAAAGACATGTCATTATTTGTGAATGAGGTTTTTAGGTCTTTCTAAATACTAATCTTGGAAAAATCCTGGAATATATAAAGAATCCAATGTTACAAACTCTGTAACCTTCTTAGGAAAAATCTCTAGGTGTCTGAATAACCATGCTCAGATAATGAGGCCAACAACAAAAAAAACAAACCCAAGATTATTTATTCCAGTCACTACCCAATTGTATTCTTTTTCTCTGAACGTATTTTTCAAACCTGCCAGCATTTTCCTTCCCTTATAGTCTGCCTCAGGAAGATTTATGACATCTCTGAAATCTGGCTGGAGATAAAACAAACATTTGTTCAGCAATTAAATATTTAGAGGTGTGATGGCTGTAGCTCAAGTACTTGTCTACATGTGTAAAAGAGTTTATTACATTTTTCATTCAACAAACATTTATATGCCAGGCATGAAGCAAAGCATTAGAGATATAAAGAAAAGTAGAACATAGCTCCGTTATCCAGAAATCCACAATAAGATGCTAAAGATGTGAAGAAAACCAATAGGATGAACTCTAAGGGGTCAAGCCTTAGGGGCTTTGTCTTGTTTGCTTCTGAAGCTCGAACACTTAGAACATTGTTTGGAACACATGAGAGGCTCAATAAACATTTGTTGAATTAAGAATTTGAGAAACTAGGTTTTTGTTAATCCAATTAACAGGCTCTTTCTAGAAATGTTGTTTTCTCACTTTCCTGCAGATGCATATTCATGACTTCTACATTCATTATATTGCATCGTAGGTGACCTTCCAAAACGGCAATATAAGATGCTTCATTTATGAGTTCTTATCCCCAAGAATCATCACTGTGTTGTCTTTTTTTTTTTTTTTGGCTGATTAGTTCAGATGAGCTCTGTGAGCATCCAAAACTAACATTAAATAAAATTTTTCAGGCAAACGTATCTTTTTCAAGTAGTACTTTTTGTTTAGAATAAGAGAATTTAAAAAATATCCAGTAATGAGATACTTAGCAAGAAGTCAAATATAAAGCCCTTTGCTGTTCTTTACTGGGACATACTTTTTATGAAACTATCCTCATCTATTAGGGTAGATGCTGCAGTGAGCTGCCCAGATCCCCTTCAGCACCAAGGCCCTAACTCTCCCAGCTGCTGGGAGTACTGGCAGCTGGTTTTTCTCCTAGAATTGCCCCTGTCCAAAGCCATGCTCCGTCTCCAGGGGCAGTCCATTTCTAGTGACTTGTCCAAGTGCCTCAAGGCAGGGCAGCTCTGGAGATGAACCCAACCCAGAATCCACTATGGGCTCAACTGAGGCCTGTGTTGTGACTGCGTAGAAGTTCATCGTCTTCCTCTATCCTCCTGTTCCCGCCATTCCCTCACAAATGTTTTCCAGAGTTCTCCCCAGTAAACCTCCTGTATATACATCTGTGTCTCATAGGCTGTTTTCCAGAGAACCTAACTTCAGACATCGTATATGAATGCCTATGATGTATTTGCGTAACTATGATCAAGTCAATTAACATCCCTGAGCTTCATTTTCATTCAGTCTGTAACATTAAGAGATTGAAGCGGGTGATCTCCAAGGGCCTTACTACCTCTTAAGTTGTATGATTTGCTACTCAATAATCTTATTATGAGATAAATGAGTGGTATACTCCTTAGATATTTGAAAGAAAGAAAGGCATGATTATCATCAATCTTGAAGAGAAGGATTTGGATAATACTGTTCAAATCCAATTTTCATATCAAGATGATAAAACAATACCTTCTTTCTTAGACCTCTGGAAAAGAATTGTCTAAGAATTTTGTTTTTGACTGGTTAAGTTGGTATCTAAAGTACAGTCTCTGTTGCCTTGAGCAGGGATTGAAAGAAATAGTATTTAACTCAGAGCTCAGTGAGAGCATGGGGGAGGTAAACGCATAAAAATAGAACAGAATCAGGATGGTAAAAATCTGAAAGGGCCTCCAAATAGTTGTGCATTTCGAACCAAGTTTTACAAGACCAAAACAACATGCAGTAACAGTTGCAGCTACAATAATGCTATTAACACCTCCCTCCACTCCAGCCACTATTCACTGGGCTTTACTAGGGCACACAGGCATACATGAGCAGTGGAAACTCAGCATGCAGTGTCTTCTCAATGCCTGACAGGTGATGAGGATGTGATAAATATTTGTTGAATTGTTGAACAATAAAATCTCACTTTTAGTACAGCACCAGGCACAAAGTAACCACTCAAATATTTGGTGATTGGGTAGTGGATGAATGGATGAATGAATAAAAACATAAATAAAACTTTATAATGTTATTTTCTTGCTCCACTCAGCTTTAGCCAGATAAAGTTTTCTTTCAGCTGGAAGCTACATTGTACAAAATTACCTTCCTTCTTCTCTTCCTGTATTCCCGAGAGACCAGGTTTTCCAGTTATTAATTCTGCAATATCCTGGGCATTTCTTTCTCAGTCCTCATATGAGTTCGCAACTATATATTTTTTGTGATTATTTCACTAATGTCTCTTCAAAGTTTCCCACAGACTGGACTCTTGCTATTTTGTTTTGTTTTAATTATCACTGGACTTAATATCTATTTATTGGATAGATGAATTGATGGATGAATGAATGGATATTGAATGAATGAATGAATGAATGAATGGAGAAAAAGAAATAAATGAGAGTGAGAGAAGAATTAGGAAAACCAGGTAGATATTTCCATTTCCTTACCATTAGGCAGAAATGAAATACTAGGCCTGGATCTAAAGCTCAGTCCAAAAAGAAAAAGGAAAAAAAAAAAAGACCCAAAGGAATGACAGAAGCCAAAAAGCTTGAAAAACTATGCCTCATTTAGAAGGGGGATTAATACTATTTTTGACATATGAATGTGGTACTTCAACTGGAAATTGTGTAGAATTTTGGTGTCAGTGAAGTAAAGGCTGAGGAGGTGGTTTGGTAAGGGATGTTCAGGCCTATGCTAGTTGATGCTATTTGAAGAAAGAGCTACGCCTGAGGGAACTGCATCAGTTAATTGGAGAAAAAAAAAAAGGTGCCAGACAAAAACGGCCACGGAGCTAGGGTGACTGAAGAACACCAAGTCGGGGAAGTCAAAAGTGAAAAAGTTTTAATGAAGGTGGCTGAGATTGGTACTGTCAGCTGCAGCAGAGGGGTCAGGAAAAAGAGCTGGCTCCCTTACATTCCTCATTAATTATTTGTGTCATTAAGTCCGATGTGAACCCTAAAGTGCAAAATGAATTTCTTCTGGTACTTGCCTTTTGTAGCTATTCCTGTTGACATCCGCAACAAAGAATTTTTTCCCTTCAGTGTGATTTTTTTTTTTTTTTTGGTTGGGAGAACAGAAAGCTAATTTTGAAAGCTGGGAACTATTTGGCCCTTTTTAATAGGTTTATATAAAATTCAACCCCCAAAATAGATCTTATCTGCTGATTCTCAAAAGGTAATGGGTTGACTTTATTTTACCTGGTAAAAACCAGAGCAAGGCTTTACCAGGTAGGGTTTCAGGCTACAACACTCCCACTCAGGAACCCTAGATGATCCATCAACAAATCCGATGTTTATCATTGTCTGGCTCTCTTTCCACCTGCATCAGAATCCCAGAGGGTGCTATTAAAGGTACACATTTTGGTGTCTTACCTGTAAGAAATCTGATTTGAAGTCCAAGAGGAGTTTCTACAAATTTAACAAGCAGCTCAGGTATTTTGGATGCACACTGTAGTTTGCAAAATTCTATTAGAGTTTATGCAGAATTCATCTTTTTGCATTTGGCATTTACAAGACTTGTTCAAATCATACATATATTTTAATCAAAGGTGGGGTACTTTAGTCAAAGGTGAAGAAGAAAAGTCTACTTTTTAAAGATATGCCAAATATCATACTGTCAAGAGGTCTGAACACGTCAGTAATAAACAAAATAATAAAAACCTAGTTGGTTGGTTATTTATTTATGGAGTTGCCTTTTCACCTGGGAATGAAACTGGTGGATAATATTACTTCCTATGACTTAGCACCACCAGGGATAGAGACTTCTTCATTTAATAAGTGATTTTCATTTCTAATATTGGGTAGTCCCCATTTTATGAATTATTCATCATGCCAGCCTTCCACCAGAGTAACATCAGTTTAAAATTTACAAGGCACAAAACAGAACATTATAATTCCTCAAAAAAAAAAAAAAACAATACACAGCATGTTCATAATTGTCTTTATCGCTGTATCTTTTTGTCTTTCCTATCACATGCCCAGAGCGTGTGAGGAAAGGGTAGGGTAGTCACAGAGGCTTTCTTGGCGAACATTATCCTGAATATCAGCTTAGATGCTGACACAGTCAGATATTTTGTTTTATATATTTCTTGAACATTTCTTTTATTTTTGAAGGGTGCAGGATCTTAAATTACAAAAAAAAATTTCCATTAAAATTCCATCTGTGGTGCTTTTGGCATTTCTTTTCTTCACTTGATTCTTAAAAACACATACCTTCTGTAACACCTGGCCTTACACTTTCACATCCCTCTTCTCCCTACAGTTTATCAGATTTTTTTGAACTAATATTAAGTGTTTTCTTTAAGGATAACAAATCTTTCAAAGATATTACAAGCCTCATCAGCATGCTGAATGGAAGACTAAGGCTTTATAAGATAGCGGTAGGAAAGCTTCTTAGGGTATGTTTCTAATGGCTGTGAAGCCATGTAGCTAATAGATGGGAACTGAGTAAATCCTCCATTTGTTTAAGCTGATAATACTTTTGCCAGCTTTGTGCAACAAATGTTGTGTGGGAAGTTTCTTAGCTAAGATTTCTTAACTCAGCATCCAAGCCACTGCCCATTACCATGAAGAATGTGGCAATAGTTGAGCACAAAGAGATATTTTATGGGATTGAACTGTGAACAGCTGATGAAGATGAGTCTCCTAGATAGACTGAACAGAAACATTTTATTAACATGCCTAAAAGATCCTCTCTGCAAGAATGGTAATGAGTTAGTACATGCTGCCAGACAATCTTGCTTAAATGTTTTACGGCTTGGGTCTTTTCACTTCTTGTCTTTACTTCCCTCTCCCCTTGTACTTGAGAGGTGAGACAGGCCTCTCTCCTGCCGAGACCGTTGATCCTTTATCCTCATGTAAAAAAACAAAATAAATTAAAAATTACCCTTTAAGGCCTTCTCTACTTCTACCCACCTCATCTCTCATCCTTTCTTATGGCTCTTGGCTAATCTGGTCTGCTCTACCTTCGTTGAACACTTTGCATCTGGTTTGTATGCCTTCTCTTCAGTTTTAAGCCCTTCCTCCTGCAATGACTTCCATATGCCTTTGAGCTACCTCGTCAACAGACAGCTTTTTAGTTCCACACGTGTTTCTCGTACATTCCACATTCTCTATGCCTGCCATAGTGCAGTCTCTACCTGGCTCTTAACATTTTCTGAACTGCATCTTCTTTTAAAGCTTTCAATCAAATGCCTGATCTTCTGGCAATGACCTCCATCACTCAGAGCACATTGTCTCTGGATGTTTAACTTCTCAATTTTCTCTCTCTGTGGGTCTCCTTCTCTTATGTCCTTATTCATTTATCTATCCAACTTGGATCCTCCACTTCATTCATTTCTTCACTCAAATATATCTCAAGTTCCTAGGGGTTTTCCAGGCATTGGTCTTTCTTGGAAATACAGCAATAAACAGTTCAAACAGTATTCAAGTTACAGTGGTTTGACCTAGGATGTGACAAATTTATGATGATGTGAAAGTGTTACATATTCAGGAGAAACTATAGTTTGAGTCACCCTAAAACCACTCTGATTTGTACTTTCAGTACAGCATTCAATAAATTATATGAGATCTTCAATACTTTATTTTACAATAGGCTTTGAGTAAAACAGATAACTTTGCTCAACTGTAGGCTAATGTAAGTGTACTAACATGTGTTAAGTAGACTAGGCAAGGCTGTGAGATTCAGTAAGTTAGGTGTATGCATTTTCATTCATGATATTTTCAACTTATGATGGTTTTATCAGGACATAATCCCATCGTAAGTCAAGGAGCATCTGCACAGACAGTATTACTGAACTTGTGGAAGGTACATTCAACTATGCTCTTGCTGAACTCTGAAATCACGTGATTGCTTATCTATTATACCCTCTTGGGAAAATTCTATCCAGGATCATATTAGGTGTTCACCACCTTTGCTCTTACACTCAGACACTTGCTAGAAAAGGCAAATTGCAGAGCAGTATGGAGTAATACCACGATTTGGTTAAATGAAAGAATGTGTTTTATGGAACTACAATCAGATGTATCAGTAAGCACCCATGATGGTCTGAACCCCCACAGGACCCAACAGAGTCCCGTGATAATACTACGATATCAGCTAGTGTTTATTATACTTGGTGCTGGGTATATATAGGCCCTCTGAGCAAACCTCCCTTCCATCTTGCTTGCTTTTGTATCTCAACCACCCAGCACAGAACCTGATACACAGAAGGGGCTCAATATAGATTTTTTAAAATAAATCTGTATCCCGCAGATGAGAAAACCAAGGCTGAGAGAAGCGAAATAACTTGACTAAGGTCACGCACCAGCAAGGAGAACAGCAACATTACCAAACTGAGAACTGTAGCTCCAGACCATCTAGCCCCAAGCCCACTGCACTGAACTCACCTTTCTGTCTCCTTATGGCCAGTCATTGCTAAGGAAGACATTGAGGTCAGTGAAGGCCAGGTCCATATCTATTCTTCACTCTCTTTTAGTATTATTGCCACTGAAAAAATTATCTGAAAAAATAAATGAGTGAATGAATGAATGAACAAATGAATGAGACTTTTGGAGAGGTATCGAATGGGTGGCTGAAATGTTTATCCTCTCTGATTCTGAAGAATAATAATGGCTGAATATGCTGCTGTAAAAAGTACTAATGTCTTTTTCTAAGCACCTTCTCAATTTATCTTGCCACATTCAATCTTAAGGCAGCTGTACTAAATATAGAAGGCCTGGAATCTCTAAATGATCTATTTAATAGTATTTCTCCTTTGTGCCTCCGACATTTCATTTAAAAAGAAACAAGTTTGAATAAATATATTCCACTTTCACGGTTATAATTACAGAGGCATATGAAAGATAAAATGTGCCATTTTCATTTTGCTTTTGAACAGATGTAGCAAAACCAGTATGATTTGGAAAGAAAGTAAAATAATTCTGAAAGTTGTGCTAGTAGTGTTTTAAAAATCTGATATATCTACTATTGTTCTACTGTTTCTTATTCCAGAGTCTCACATCCTACACAATTAGTGTCCTAAGCTGAAGCCCAGGAGAGAGAATCCTTCACTTGATATTGAAATCTCGGTTTATGAAGACACTAGTATTAGGAATTTGCTTCTAGCCCTTTGCTTCTCTCTCCCCTTGTATCTGAGAGAGGAGCTACATGTTAGATGAAGACTGGGTGTTAGGGTATTATATCATGCTATTCGGGTTTCTGTTGAGGTTAAGACAGTGTATGTGAAGGGGATAAGGTGATGGGAAGAATAGGAAGAGTCAGCCTGTAGATGAAAAGGAAACTAAGACACAGTGAGGGAAGATGGCATTAAATGAAATTTGCATATTTCACAGAAACACTTGGCAAGCTCAGTCATTTTTGAGAGGCATCCGGGCCACTTTGCAAGCTCCTGATGCAGAAGCCCTGCCCTGTCTCCATCAACTCAGAATCTCCAGGAATGAGATGCAGGCACGAGTATATTTCCAAACTCCTCGGGCATTGCCAACTCTCAGTCAAGGTGAAGAGCCACTGTCCCCATGTCTCTAATGGCGGAAGGCTGTGAGAAAGTTAGCATTACAGAAGCTCACTTGGGCAGTAGTGAATGCATTCCTTCATCTTTTGCATGCTTCCCAGCGAACATTGTTTTCCTTCTGTTTTCTTCTATTTCTCTTTCAGATTACATTTAATTTCTCATGCTAGCTTTCTTTATTGTTACTTATTTCCATCCAAACTGTCTGTATGCAAATCATCTTTAGCCATAACTCCGACTTCATTTTACATATATATATCTTGTCCATATTTTCAACAAAAACTTCTCTGACACTCCATCCACATAAGCATCCCCCAACACCTGGGGGTTCTGAGTCTATTGTAAAGCCAGCTCTTCAGAAGAAAGCATCCATTAGAACCCGTCGAATAATAAGGGAAGGCTGAAGTGGCTTCACATTTCCTTTACATCACCTTGTTCTTAAGACCAATTATAGTCACATGATAATAAGCTGGGCCCTGAATGCTACCAACACCTCTAACTTTTCTCAGGTGCCATCTCTCCTTTTGCTTTCCTTGCAAATATTTAGCAGATATAAATATAGGCTCTCCTGTCTTGTACCTCAGAAACAACAGGGTTATTTTTTTCCTGGTCCAAGATGATACAATGTAGCCATTGTTAGCACTGTCAAATGTCCCAGGGAATAAAGGAGGTTGGCTTTGTGAGGTCATGGACCTTTCTTTATTAAATCTGAGGTTTATTAAACTTACAATACTTGATTTCCTTTCCAGAAATTTTTTTAACCATCAGTATCTCCAAAAAAGGAACATCTGACATCATTTAGTTGTGCAATAAATTGGTTTGCCTAATTATCAATTATTAATGAATTAGCAACAGTTAAATAAATTCCATAGATTATCCCTCAGCTTCATTTTAGTTAGTCGTAATAGCTCCTTCTCCCACTGAACATTTAATAGGAACTGCTAACAAGTTGCAGAATTAGCAGATTTAAATTTCATTACCTTCTGATTTCCCTATCTGCCTTCTAATGAGCGATCTAATAAGCAGGGAAGTAGCCAGAAGCAGGCAGTGAAAAAGAGAAAGAGAAAATGAAAGCAAAAAGACTAAGGAACATAGAACCAAATGCATTTTCATCCCCGCTTACCACAACACAACAGTAATGGCATGACAGAGGCTCCTCACCTGAATATCAGACTTTAGTGTATATTTGAGTTACGACCAGAGTATTGATACAATGTCATGAATAAAGAGAATTATGTCTAACACACTGAGGTACTTGAGGGAAATTTTAAGAATGACTTAAAGACACATAGCTCAATTCTATTAATTTCTAATTTGAGCCAGGTTGTTTAAATAAACTTAACACTTAGATGGTTCAAAGGGGTCTTCCCTCCATGTGGTTACGATTAGCATATTATCAATACACATTTCTCTTTTGAAATCCCCTTTATGGCCAGTTTATCAGCCACACGTAAAATGAGTGTTATTTTCTGCATTCACGTCTGGGTGTTACCTTCCCTGCTTCCCCGTGGTGAATCACCATACCACATAATTACCCAGACACTGTACTGAACAGCTTTGTTGTATTTTCAAATGTTAAATTCATCCTCAAATAGAGACTTGCCATCTCAGAGAAACATTGAAATCAGTGATTCTTATTATTGGAAAGCAATATCAAAAGGAAACATTATATAAGAGTATTAAACAAAAATGGCACAGCCTAATAATCACACTTGGTGTATGGTTCTGAATGAATTATGTGCTTCTGAATTAAGGCCAGCCCTTGAAGGCAGACTCTGTTCCCTGGCACCATCAGAAGTCTATGTTACTCGGTTGACTGAGTTGAAATAAACAATTTCATGGTCCCACCTAAAGATCTTTCCCAAATTATTAATTCACAGTTACAAATTGCACTAGACAACGTGACATTAAATCCAATGCACCACCCACGACCAGATCTTCAGCCTTTTGCAGTTATTATTTTCAATAAGTTTCTGAAAGCCAAGACCAATTTACCCAGTTCATATGAACATTGCTGTTAACTTCTACAGACTGCATGTGATGTTTGGAAACAACTGTCTTAAATTATGAAAGGACAAAGGAAAACTGACATTGTCTGAAGCCTAAAACCCTAGTCTTCATATGCTCATGCTTCAATCCCAATGTACAGCACAGTCATTCTTCCACACTGCTACCGTCCTTCTGTAGTTATTTTTAGAGATAATATTCAAATAAGTCACCCATAAAGCAAGCTAGTTATTAATTATTTACATATCTGGAGCCAAGCCTTTTGAGTTTTCATTGAGTTACTTATTTACAAATGAAAAACAGCTCAGAAATCCCCAACATATTGACCTAAAACATAAATTTCACATCGTTTTTCTCTTACAAAGCTATTTTTAATGTGAGTAATCACACATGCAAGGAGGCAAAAAATTGCTCTACAAATTAATGCAGTACTGGATCCGGTATTTTCCCACTTCTGTTAAAAAGCAATGGTCTGTCTGGCAGTCCCAATGGGGAAGTCAGAATGTGATGGTACTGCAGAGAACACTTCTAACACTTTACCCAGGTCTTCCTATTTCTGCAGTGGTTATTTGCCCACCTAGCACTCATTTCTGCTATGTTTCCATGTATGTATGCATCCTTCCCCACAAGGTAGCTGTGTGCTTCAGGGAGAACCAGCCTAACCTCCAGAGCTGACTAAGCTAACGGAATCATTTTCCCTTTGTCCACAATGGACTCAGGAATGCAAGGCTAAGCCAATAGATTTCATGACATTTTCTTGACCAAAAAGACTGGTTAAATAATTGATGGGTAACCCAATATTAGCTGACAAAACTCAGTAGATTTTTGCTCTGGGCATGAAAAAGAGATGCTCTTGCTCCTAAGAGAGAATGTCTGGAAGAGATAATCTCAGTTCCTAAGAGAGAACCACTGAAAGAGATCATCTCTCCTCCTCTGAACTTTAAATACTGACACGAGGCCTAGATTTCCCACAACCATTGTCTTTCTGTCTGACAATTAGGCTGCCACATGTTCGAGTGGGTGACCCAGGTGGACAGGGCCAGAGTCCTTGTCAAAACAGATCTGACCTCGGTCCACACCTGAACTTTTTCTTTTAACTGAAGCAATACTATGCCTATATTGCTTGAGTCTGAATTTACTTTTCTAATATTTATAGAAAATGATATTTGAAATGTTTCCAATCATAAATATTATATCTCAGCTATCACATCTTCCTCTAGATGTTAAAAAACCTGTTCCCATATAACTGACTATTTCTGTACTCTTAACATAGTTAAATTTTCATCTTCTCTAGAGAATCTTTCCTGGTTAGCCTGGAATCAATCTAACATCAAATATCTAAATTTGTAGCGATAAGAATATAAACACAAAGGAATATTTATTTTCTGTGTATCTGAGAACAAAATGTTTTATATAGCATAAGATGTTCAATATATTCAGAAGTTTCATAATCTTATTAAAGTCTAGGCAAAACACACATACACACATTTCGTGGGAATATAAGTTAGTGCAACCACTATGGAAAACAGTATGCAGATTTCTCAAAAAACTATAAATAGAACTAACATACGATCCAGCAATCCAACTACTGCATATTTATGCAAAGAAAAAAGAAAGCTGTATATAAAAATGATGCCCACACTCACATGTTTAGAGCAGCATTATTCACAATAGCCAAGATATGGAATCAACCTAAGAGCCCATCAATGGGTGAAAGATAAAGAAAATATGAGATATATATCTATATCTATATATACACACACAAACACACGTACACGATATGGAATACTATTCAGCCATAAAAAATAATGCATACATGTCATTTGTAGCAACATGGATGAAACTGTAGGTCATTATGTTAAGTGAAATGAGCCAGATACAGAAAGACAAATGCTACATATTCTCACGCATATGTGAGAGCTACACTTGATCTCATGGACGTAGAGAATAGAATGATAGATACCAAAGGCTAGGAAGGGTGTGTAGATGGAAGGAGACATGAAGAGAGGTTGGTTCATGGGTACAAACATAGAGTCAGATAGAAGAAATAAGTTCCAAGGTTTGATAACAGAGTGGGTGATGATACTTAGCAATGATATTTTGTGTATTTCAAAGTAACTAGAAGAGGGGACTTGAAATGATACCAACACATAGAAATGACGAAAGGTGATGGATACCTCCTCTACCCTGACTTGGTTGGAACACATTCTATGCATCTAACACACACTCATATGTACACCATTAATAATAGAAAATGTTATGTGTCAATGAAAGAATACATTTTGAAAGAAGACTTCAGTAAGAATCATTTTGAAAAATGCTGGTGGGCTTTTAGACAATTGTAGCTCAAAGTCCAGATTGTGAAAGTAGAGGTAAATGTAGAGGCTCAAAGTTTCATAAAGATAAAAAGACAGTTTTCTAAACCCCTTCCCTGGAGATTTTGGCTCCGAAGATCTAGGACATGTTTGAGTTAATGATTATATCTTCAATAAAGTTCAAAATAAAGAATGAAATTCTTTAGGTCAGCACATTTTTGCATGAACGCTATTTGTTTTTAAAGATTTTGTGCTGGCCAGCTGCTGTGGCTCATGTCTGTAATCCCAGCATTTTGGGAGGTTGAGGTGGGCAGATCACTTGAGGTCAGGAGTTCAAGACCAGCCCAGCTAACATGGTGAAACCCCACCTCTACTAAAATTACAAAAATTAGCTGGGTATGGTGGCAGGAGCCTGTAATCCCAGCCACTTGGGAGGCTGAGGCAGGAGAATCACTTGAACCCAGGAGGCAGAGGTTGCAGTAAGCCGAGATTGCACCACTGCACTCCAGCCTGGGCAACAGAGTGAGACTCTGTCTCAAAACAAACAAACAAACAAACATACAAAAAACAAAAGATTTTGTGCTTTGAATCGGGAATATGAAATTGAGGAATGGCAATAAACAGGCTGCTTGAAACTTTACCTAAATGTAGTATTTAATGAGAGAAGATAATAGGTAATAGGGAAAACACTTATCTTCTACATATATCATGGAAAAGAAAACCAGATAACCCTGAAAATAGCCTTTAATTTGAGACAAGATGACTATAGACTTTTTTGGCTAGCCAAAAATGCTACTGGAGAATAGATAGCAGCATCAAGAGCACCAGATCCTAATAGAAGGATAAAAATGATGCATTAAAGTTCCTGTAAGGTTGAAAAAAAAATGCTGGTAATGTAATTAATACTAAACAGATAGCAAAAACGGTCAGTCATGGCCACATCCTGTCAAGGCAATACATTAAATCTTGTTCCGAAACATTCCCTTTATTCATTATATAAAGAGGGCACTCCATTTGAACTATTGTTTTAACTAAGAATTAGTTTCATAGAGCCTAATTAAATACAGATGCCCACATCCTATTTCCAAGGATCAACTGTTTATCAAATCAGACAGGGTGAAAATTCTGGCTGTGATATTAACTAGCTATGTGGTCTTGGTTAAGTGTCTTAAACTTAGTATGCCTTAATTTCCTCATCTATGTGTTGAGGATAATAGTAGCTGCTTCTGAAGGGATTACTTAGTGTATTACAGGAGATTGAATTGGGAAAATATTTACATAATACCTGGTACATAGCAAACCTTCAAGACAGTATAGCAATGGCCATTACTATCAGCGTTTTGTCTAAATTGGCAACAGACTTCAACTTGTGGCCTCTATAGAGGATGTAATAACACAAACTCAAAAAGAACTGAGTGACTGACCCAGGAAGAAAACAGCACTTTTAAAAGTAGTACTTCTGATTCTAGTATATACACATCTAGTATATAAACACCTTTGATAAGCATAAAACTATCTTCCACTATTTTCATGTTATATGATATTTGAAAATAATTCAAGATGACCATTAGAAGCAAATCAAACTCATGAAAAAATTAAATGTGTTTTTTCTAAACGACACAGTTTCCTCCCTGAAACTCAATATTCTAAAATGTTTGGGAGGCCGAGGCGGGCAGATCACGAGGTCAGAAGATCGAGACCATCCTGGCTAACATGGTGAAACGCTGTCTCTACTAAAAATACAAAAAATTAGCCGGGCGTGGTGGTGGGTGTCTGTAGTCCCAGCCACTCGGGAGGCTGAGGCAGGAGAATGGCATGAACCCAGGAGGCAGAGTTTGCAGTGAGCCGAGATCGTGCCACTGCACTCCAGCCTGGGCGACAGAGTGAGACTGTGTCTCAAAAAAAAAAAAAAAAAAAAAAATTCTGAAATGTTTCCCCCAAGACAGTGTTTCCTAAAATGCAGTCCTGGGCCACTGATATAAGAACCACCCCAGGTGAGGCAATTTATTAAAATAAAATCTACTAGGTTACTAAAGGAAGAAATACGGTGAGGAGGAGTGACAGGTTTGAGAAACTGCAATTGTTGCAGTCACTTGAGATGCATTTCTATGTGCATTTAGGTGTACAAAATAATAATCTAAGGCAGTGATCCACAAAGTGTGGCCTCTGAACTAGTAGCGTCATTATCACTGGGGAACTTATTGGAAATAGGAATTCTCATGCTCCACCTCAGACCCACAGAATCCAATTCTGGGGGTGAGTGCAGCAGTCTGTTCCTTTCACGTGATACTGATGCATGCTAAAGCTTGACAACTACTGCTCAAGAGCCAAGAATGATCCAAGGAGCAATGCTTTGGCGTCATCTGGGAGCTTGTTAGAAATCAGAAACTTGGGCTTCACCCCAATCTAAGTGAATCACATTCTACACTTTATCAAGATGCCCACATTATTTCTAGGCACATTAAAATCTGAGAAATCCTGGGTAGGGCAGAGTTTTTGAAACTTTCATGAAAGTAAAAACATAACTTCCCAACCCCCTTCCCTGGATATTCTGATTTCTTTAAAGGTGCTATGATTTGAATGTGGTTTGTTCCCATCAAAAGTCATGCTGAAATTTGATCCCCAATGTGGCAGTGTTAGGAGGTAGGGCCTAGTGGGAGGTGTTTGTATTATGGGGGAAAATCCCTCAAGAATATATTAATGCCCTCCTGCCAGGGTGAGTGATTTCTTGATTTTCCAAGAGCATGTCGTTAAAAAGAATGTGGCTTCCTCAGTTTCTCTGCCACCTCCCTCACCATGTGATCCCCTGGCATATGCCCATTCACTTCGCCATTTTACCATGTTATGACCCAGCATGTGCCCTCACCAGGAACCAACCAGGTGCAGCACTATGCACTTGAACTTCCCAGCCTGTAGAATGGAGGCTAAATAAACCTCTTTCCTTTTTATAAATTACTCAGCCTCAAGTATTTCATTATAGCAACACAAAATGGACCAAGACAGAAGGTCTGGCATGATGTTAAGATTCCATATATATGACATGAATCCCAGGTGACTAATATGATCAGTAAAGTTTAGGAAATATGGCTTTAGAGAAAAATTATTGGGTACCACCTAAGTTATAAATCATGGCTCTATGTCAGGGTTCCTCAACCTTGGGACTATTAATATTTTAGGCCAGAAATTATTTGAGGGGGACATTGTAGGACGTTTACTAATATCCCTGGCCTCTCCCAACTAGATGCCAGTGGAAGCCTCTACAGTAGTGACAATTTAAAATGTCTCCAGACATTAACAAAGACCCTGGGCTGGTGGGAGTGAGTAAAATCTGTTCATCCTCCATAAAAAGCCACTGTTCTAGAAGACAACTGCTGCAGTGATTGATTGCTGCATAGCATGATACTCCAGAGCTTAGTAGTTTAAATAAACAACCTTACGGAATTTTTTTGTGGGTCAGGGATTCAGGGAAAGATTGGCTAAGTGGTTCTTCTGCTTCATGTGGCATCAGCCCTCAGCACTCACTCTGTTGCCTTCCACTAGCAACTGAGCTGGAAGGCCCATGAAGGCCTCACTCATATATCTGGTCATCCAGATCTCTCTTCATCCATGTCATGTCTCAGCATTTGGCATCCATCTCAAGGTTCTTTATGGCATGGTGAACAGATTCCCAAGAGAGAAAGCAGAGGCTACCAGGCCTCTTAATGGCTAGACCTGGAAATATTAGTGTTATTTCCACAACCTTCTATGAATCAAAGCAAGTCTAAGGTCAGCCTAAATTTAAGGAGCGGATCAATGGACACTTCCCACTGACAGGAAGGGAGAAATTGATAGCAGTAGCTTTTGAAGACTACTTACAACAATGAACCTTGCAGATACAGTCCACTTTAATAACAGAAATGGCCATACCTTGTTTATGAATCCCATTAAAAAACTTTTAAAGATACATCATGGAAATCATTTTTTCTGTCTTTCTGATTTCATTGCCTCTGTTCAACCTCACCACCCTTTTGAGGAGTAAACTTTTTGAGTTAAACGTAACACTCTAAATGTACAGGCAGTCCCCAACTTATGATGGCTCAACTTATAATTTTTGACTTTATGATGGTGTGAAAGCCTTATGCAGTCTGTAAAAACTGTACTCCAAGTACCCATATAACAATTCGGTTTTTCACTTTGTGTACATTATTTAATAAATTATAAGCTATTCAACACCTTATTATACAATAGGCTTTGTGTTCCATAATTTTGCCCAACATAGGCTAATGTAAGTGTTCTGAGCATGTTTAAGATAGGCTAGGCTAATGTATGGTGTCCAGTAGGTAAGGTTTAGTAAATGTATTTTGACTTAAGATATTTTCAGACTTACAATGGGTTTATCAGGACATAACCCCATTATAAGTCAAGGAGCATCTGTGCATGTCTCAATTGTAGAGCTAGATGAGTTTTTACATCCTGAATCAGGATATAGAAGGTTATCAGTACCCTAGAAGCCTCCCAGTCATTAATTCTCTCCAAAAGTAATCACACTGAATTCTATCACTATAAATTAGATTTTCCAACTTTTCAATTTCACATAAATGAAATCAGAATATTACTCCTTTGTGTACGGCTTCTTTTGCACACCATGATGTCTGGAAGATTCATCTGTGCTGTTGCATATATAGCCAGACCAATTATATCTCCCTTTAGCTAGTGTGCCTGTTTTCCATCTCTCTCTTTTTTTTTTTTTTAACATTTTATCCTTTATTCCTTAACTTCATTAATCTTCTTTAAAAGCTGATTCTACAGCAGTTTTGATTAAAACGATTAAAACTCATCATCAGCTCTTGGCTCTCCACTACTTCCAAAACAAAACCTAAATGCACAGCCTCCACAATCTGATACCAATCTATCTTCAAATCTTAAATTACTCTCCCACCAGAGTACCCAACTGGGTCCCACTTAATCTTTAACTTCCACCATATTTTCATTCAACTTTACTGGGGCCCTGGAATGAAGAAATTGGTCTTCTCCCAAGGTACTATGTTTTGTTTTTTTGTTTTTCTTGCTGACATGAGTTGACTGGACTTTTAATTATGAATTGTTAAGCATGACAGTAACTATATACACCACTAACTGGCCTATAAGATATTCTCTAACACCAGAAACTTGAAGTTGTTCCTGGTTAAACTAGAAAAAAAAAAAAACTTGTCGTAAAAAGTATTTTTTCCTTGGGATGTTAACTCACTTAGGAGAAATCTAATTGAGCTCTCTAAAACACAAACTGACTAGAAAAAAGTAAGCTAGAGGGAGTAGAAAAACAATTGAACAGAGGTCTATATGAATGGACTACATTATCTTGAACAATTAACAATCTTTTAGCATTAGGAACATGTCAGGATAAAGAGTATTGCTTGAATCCAGTGATCACAGCTTTGGGGAAACCATCTATTAAAGACCTAAAGGCAGCAGAGAAGGATAAAGGTCTGAAAGAAGTAACATTGAGAGAATTGGAATTATTTTGAACATGAAAGAATAGTGAGGATAAAAGATGTCTTTAAATATTGAAAAGAATGTTATTTGCATCTTTATTGGATGTAACTGGTGAGTGTCAAAGTGGCATAAACAACATCAGCAGACGATGAGCACCCAGTGCCAATATCATTGGAGTTGGGAATTCGGTCTTAAGCACAAGTTTGGGCTAATATAAGTGGTTTCCAGCTATTTGTTGGTTAACCAAAAGCATCAATGTCACCAGAGCATTTGTTATTAATACAAAGCAAAATCATCTTGTCCTACTTCCTAATCTGCTGAATCTTATGGGACATTGTGGCTAAGAATGTACATTTGTAAGAAGTGCCTGGTCAAGCTCTAAGACCTCCTTTAATTCAAGAAAAGTCTACCTTTGGTAGAAAACCATCTATTAAAGTGTTTCAAATTGCCCCTGATTAAAAAGAATGTTTTCAATGATCATGAGCTTCATTTGTTTATTTGTTTATGTATTCAGTATTCACTGGGTAACTTTCATGTGTACTGACATAAAGTGAACACAGTGACTCAGGTCCCTG
Source organism: Homo sapiens (assembly GCF_000001405.40). Classification (NCBI taxonomy): domain Eukaryota; kingdom Metazoa; phylum Chordata; class Mammalia; order Primates; family Hominidae; genus Homo; species Homo sapiens. The sequence continues at coordinate 7,196,838 of NC_000003.12, read as the reverse complement.
AATTCATGGAGAATCCAAATTAAAAGATAATGAGGATATTAAACTAATAAAGACAGAAGACAAATTTGAAATTATAAATATGCCAAGCCATATAATTTTGACAAGTATAATGAGAGAAATAAGGGTATTTGATGCAAAAATGCTAAGGGGGCCTGATAAGACTGGAAGTCAGGAACATCTTCACTAAAGAAACGCCATCTAAGCTGAGATTGAAGGATGAGAAGAAACTTTCCAGGCCAGCAGTAGGTGAAAGGCCATTTCGGGCAGAGGGAACAACATCTTTAAAGGTCCAAAAGCAGGAAACAGAAATTTGTGTTTGCTAGGACTGGAAAGACGGTCCCTGTCTTTGAAGCAGGTAAGTGGTCCAAGATGAAGCTGAGAGTTAGGCAGGGGCCAGACTCTACAGTGAACTATGCAGTGGCATAGTTCACTGTATGTGTCAAGTTGGCTGAGCCATGGTGTCCAGATGAGTGGCCAAATATTACTCTAGATGTTTTTATGAGGGTGCCTTTAGATGAGATTAACATTTAAATGGGTGGACTTTGAGTAGAGCAAATTGTCCTCCACAATGTGGGTGTGGCTTACCTAATCAGTTAAAGACCTGAATAGCACAAAAAACTCTTCTCTGGAGCAAAAGGGAATTCGGCTAGAAGACAGCCTTCCAGATTTGAACTGCAACATAGCCTTTTCCTGGATCTATAATTGGCTGACCCACTCAGCAGGTTTGAACTTGTTAGTCTCCACAGTGCATGAGCCAATTCATTAAAATAAATATCTTTTTCTCTGTAGGTGGGTAATTAGGTAGGTACATAGGTAGGTAGATAGTTAACTAACTAGCTAGATAAGAGATAGTCATAGATATACAAGTATACCTGTATATTTATCTTTATATCCACACATCCTATCGGTTCTGTTCTCTGGAGAACCCTGACTAACACAACAGACCTTAGAAAGTTTATACATTTTATTTTTCCCAAGGTTAAAATGGGAAGCCACTGTAGGTAACTGCCTTTAGCAAATATTAATTATTATGTATTTAGTTCTTATATTTTTTAAACCTTTGTATCTCAGTATGGACTTCTAAAATGGACTACCGGATTCACAGCCTCCCCAAAGTCTATCTCTTTAATATTCTCTGCTATACATTCTATATCTTTTCTTTTCCTCCCATTATTTATTCATTTTCAATCTCAAAAGTTCTACAGACTCCTGCTTTAAAGATTATACTGGAGAAATCACTAAAATAAAACACTTTTGAAGCCAATTTAATTCCATGGCTCCCAGCATACCAACTACATATAGTCCAAAATCCCAAATTTCTCTTACTTTAGAACTTGCATGAAGAGTAGAGTTGAATGACAAGAAAAATTCAGTCCAGATTCTGAAGTTAAGAAAATCATTCATTTCTTTTCCTTTCCCTTTTCTGAAATAAATCTGTGTCAACCTTTCTTTGAATTGGGGTGCCTGATAAGGGGTTCTATTGCAATTTGTTTTCATGGCTCCCATCCACAAGAAGCCACCAAACTAAATCAAGTGAGACAGAGGCAGTCTTGCTGGCTTACTGAAGCATGGAGGGAAGTCAGAATCCTTCTCAAGAAATTTACACAATTCAGAGAGCAATTATAAGTGCTCAATTTTCTCACTATGCAATGCCTGCAAGACTTTTGTTTAAAAATAGCATGAACAATATTGGGGTTTTATCATCATCATGTATATTTTGGTAACCTATTATGCATAATGTACTAGGCCAGGTATTAGGGACCGGATGACTGATTGCATACATCAGGCACTTATTTAACAATAACTTAATAAACATCAAGCCTTGTTCTGGCCTCTGGGATATAGCAGCGAATAAGGAACCAAGAAGGATGAATCCTTCCCTCTTCCCTCAGGTCCTCTTCCATTAGTCTGTTGAGGTAAGATAGACTATCATAGAATCCCTGAGCAAGACAATTTCGTAAAGCAGTAAGTGCTGTGACTGTAATCAAGAAAAGAACAAATGCTTACTATATATTTTGTGCCAGAAACTCTGCTAAGTATTTTACCCATATTAACTCATTTTACCCTTACAACAACGCTGTAAGACAGGTACTAACATTACCTCTGTTTAATAGATTAAGACATTGAGTCATCAAGAGGTTAAGTAACTTGGCTGAAAGCAGGTAGAGCCAGGATTGCCTTAAGGCATCCTAACTGCACTGTCTCTGCTTCTTACTTCCCACGTTATGCTGGTTGCTGTGAGAGGAAGGCGTGAAGGGTCCACTTTAGATGAGACCGTGAGAAAGGCCTCTCTAATTATTAACATTAGATCTGAGACATGACTAATAAGGGGGAGACAAGGATTTAAAATATTCCAAAACTCCGAGGACTTAAACTGTAGGAGGAATAGGATATTTGAAACAATAACAACAACAATCATAGTATCATTTAATGTTTTAGTAATGACCCCTGTATGTCAAACACTGTGTTAACACACTGTATGCTTCACCTCATTTGGCTATCACAACATTCCCATGAGATCATGCCACAGATCTCTATTTCAATGAGGAGAAATTAGGGACTTGGAGATAATAGAGACCTTGTCTTGGATCAGCAAAAGAAAGGATTGACTCTGTGTACAGATCTCTGGGAAAGTTTGGTGAGTGTTTATGTGAGTAAACCGGAAACCACAAACTGGAGGAGGAAAGGTGATTTACATCAGAGAAAATGCATTTTATACAATATTTTTTTTCTAATTAATGGAGATAAAATATTTGGCTTACTAGAGGATGTGTAAAGAGAGCATGTCTCTTTGAAAAGTAATGAGAAAAGAACTGAAATTTATTGTGTATTATGTATTAGGCACTGTAGTCAGTACTTTTAGAGCCAGTGGATTATAATTTTTAATCTTGAAGTAATCAAGATATCTGTTGTCAGCTCTAGGTCTGGAGGTGGTATCCACACTAATGGATGTCATCTCACTGACGTCTGGTGCTACAAGGTTTCTTCCAGTTGTCAGTCTGTTCTCTGGTTGTTTATTTGTGTGAAAAAAATTTCTATATGTTGTAGCTTGAGCTTATATTTTAAAGTCCTTCTGAAAATACTGTTTTTAACTTAATAAATCACCCTAATATCTGTCCTATGTGTATGTGAGTGAAAGACAGAAAAAGGGAGGGGGAGAGAGAGAGAGAGAGGAAAGAGAAATACAGAAATGACCATGAATGAGTATATCATGAAACATCTTAGACATCATAGATGTTTTAAAGGATGTGATGTTCATGCATTAATGATTACTATTTATTATCCCATTAATTCTGAGCTTTATTGTTTTGAACTTGCACAATGGAAATCAGATTCTCACAAGAAACAGAGGGAGTGAGAGGTCCATGAAATTCTTAGGCCTCCCACAGAGGTCTAATGGCCAACAAGGTTTTATGTTGCATCCTGGAATTTCTAAGCTAAACACAACTGAGTATTCTGATTACTCCTAAGTGCTTGGTAGAAGGTGAAAAAATTAATGAAATCCAATAAGCAACTATATGGATGTCTCTACCTATAAATTAATCCACACAATCAGAGATCAACAATCTATTTCCTTTTGCTGTGGTGTTTTTCTAGTTCACTGCCACTCATTCATTCAGCTATCTACCTATCCGTGCACCAACCCATTTATCCCTTAAAGAAACATCTACTGAGCATCTATGATCTTATTTGAGGCCTATGACCCTAACCAGAGGTACTGGTATAGGAATTATGAGTCTAAAGGTAGTAGTTCAAGTCATGGACATGAAAGAGATTACCCCACCAAAACAAACGAACAAAAAAAGTAAAAAGAAATGAAGGCCAAAGATAAACCCGTGGAGAATGCAGGCATTGAAGGGGAGGAATGTAAGGTTGGAAATGGAAGTTTAGAAGAAATGATCAGAAAATTCGGATAGATCCAGGGGATTAGTACCCAAGAGGTTATTGGCAGGATTCACCAGTGACATCTCATTGCAGGGTTAGAGGCACAGGCCTCATTACATTGGATTGAAAAGTGAAAAATAGGCACTCAGTACAAAATGTCATCAAAGATTACCTGCTTGAGGAATCTGGCTGTGAAGAAAAGCAGAAAAGGTGAGAAATAAAAGAATATTCTAAGTTAAAGGAGAGTTGATAGCATAAGATGGAGGTAGCTTGAACACATTACAGGCTGCTTGGAAGGAGCCAAGATAGAGGGACAAATCGGAACTGAAGGAAGGAGAGAGAAGAGCGTCAATGGCCACTTAGGCACAACTTCTTCCTCAGAAGCTGGAAGAAAAGAACAAAACTCAAGGCAATGCCATATTTTTTAAAGTATAAGAACAGCAAGTTGAAGGAAAGAACATCTAAAAATGCATTTTCCTAAGTGACAGAGTCGAGGTCAACCAACTTCTGGGGGAGTGCAGTAGAAAATTTGAGGAAGTTGGTTCAGGGATAAAATACATATCTTGGAGAATTGGAGAGGAGGCCAATCCAGGACATGCAGAATTACTGGGTGGACACAAAGAACAAACTGACTCTGCTCTTTATTTGATGAGCCAGAGTGGCATTTCTCAAAATCTATTCCTTGTACCACCTAAATTAGATGTTCTTCGGGTCCTTGGTAATAATGCCAATTTCTGGATCCCATCCCAAGCCTTACCAGGTCTTCTCAACTGATTCTGGCTCACACTGAAGTCTGAAACCACGGACCCAGAGCAGTTTCTCAAACTTTCTCTATCCCCCACATCATCCAGCCTTAGCTCGCATTACAATTTACATTCTTAAACTTCAGCCAGTCTATGAAATGAACATTCTCAGTAGAGAGTTCTGAGAATCTGTACTGTTCACAAGAGGCCTGGGTATATCTGGTGATCAGTAAAGTTTAAGAATACTGATGTAAAATTCGGATGTACCTGGTAAGAAATATTAATAGGGGTATAGGAGTTCACCAGAGATAGGTTTTATAAAATTTATTTTTAAATATATAGTAACGTTTATTTGTGCATGTATAGTTGTATGAATTTTAGCACACATAAAGATTTGTAGAATCACTACCACAATCAGCACAACTCCTCATCCAGAAAAACTCCCTTGTCCATTAAAGTCCACTTTACCCTTGATCAGTAACTTCTGGCCACATCTGATCTATTTTCCATCATGCCTTGTCGTTTCAAGAATGTCATAGAAATGGATTCATCTAGTATGTAACCTTTTGAGACTGGCTTGTTTCATTTAGCATAACGCATTTGTGATTTATCCAAGTTGTAGCTTTTACCAATATTGTGTTCCTGTTTATTGCCAGCAGTATTCCAAGTTTGTTTGTTCATTTATCCATTGAAAAACATGGGTTATTTCCAGTTTTTACTATTATAAAAAACACTGCAATAAATATGTGCATAGAATTTTGTATTAACATAAGCCTTCATTTGTTTAGCATAAACACCCAGGGGTGGGATTTCTACTAACGGTGATGTCTTAATTCATTAACAAATAGTTATTGAGCAGCCATTGGATATAAAGGGGAGTTTTGGTTGTCTCGGTATAAAGGAATTGTCACAAAATTAAATAAGATGCATAATGGGTTTCAACATGAAGTAGAAGAGAAGGACGTATTCACAGTTATTACAAAGGAGTGAAGGATGAGGTAAAAGGCAGAGACTCATGGAGGAAGCACTGACTGCAGCTTGAATATTAACATCTTCAATTTCGATTATCCTCTCATTGCCATGGCTAATATTATAGAATCCTGTGGACTCAAAAGCAATGGGCAATCTAAATAAAATTTTTAAAAGCTTATATTGATATTATTGTCCCCTGTTATATTGAAAAATTAGCATATAGTAAGTAGTCAATAAATGTTTGGTGAAGAAATAAACCAAGAATCATATATATATATTTATGTAAGGTGGAGGCCAAAGGGTTGGTGGTTAGTAGTACTGTGGGAAATGGTTTTAGATGCTGGAAAATGGATTTCTCATACCTGGGACAGCTTTTATCTGATGCCTGCCTTGTCTCTGGCTAGAGAGTGCCAAGAGGGGCACCTGCTGTTCTCCCTGTCTAACAACTCAACTCAATGGTGTGAGTTAATTGAGGCTTCAAACACACTGGGTGCTCTCTGCTTAAGGACACCATGATTTTAAGAAAAAATATATATATATTAAACTGCTTGTAGGAAGGACAGTCCCAAAACAGTAATGTGCTTGCAAAATGATGGCCCCTAGAACCTTGTTCCAAGTCAGAAATCAAAAGAATTGGCAAAAGCAAAGCACCTCGTTAGTAGGAGTTGAACAACTTGACAGAATAAAGCTAAAGAAAGAAGAAAAGATCAAGATTTGTCTAATCTTGCCTCCAAATTCAGGCAAACAGAGGACTTTAGAATCTCCCTTAGCTTTAAAAATAGGCCCAGGAAGCCCATGAGTCTAAAACCAACACACATCTGTTTTGAAATCTGCTTCTGAGTCTTATTTTTGACTAAGACAACATCCGTTTGGGCACATTACCAGAAGAAACACTGTACGCTGAGAATAACTAACAGATAAGTTTAAGGTGGTTAAGGAATAACTAGGCTTACTAATATAAAATGAATGCCAAATGCCTGCCTTACTCTGATCACCATGCTTCTGAAACTGCGCATACTAAATAAGACCAGTAAGAAAGCACAGAGAGAGGATATTTGCAGATAGTGTCAATGGATGTGTTACTTGACTAGCGCATAATCACCACCTTCACCATGGCTCCTGGCTTAGGACACAAGACAGAATCAACACAGATAGGAGAACTTTATAATTGTTCAACTACCTTGCAGAAAAGAACAATTTGCTTATCATGAAAGTTGTGTGTGGAATATGTATGTATGTATGTATGCTTCTCTGTGTGGGTCTGTTTGTGTGTGTGTGTCTACATTGCTTTTATATATATGTGTGTAGGTCTGTGTGTGTAAATAATGCAATAGTCTCAGCAAAAGAGGCAACGTTTAGTCATTCTAATATAGGGCTGGAAGAATAACTATTCCTCATGTTGCAATGTGACATCTCTATGATGCTTTATGTTTGCAAGATGATTTGTTACCATTAAATTGCCAAGTCTCTGAAAAAAATATAGGTGTCAAGAATTATTTTTATTACTGTTTCTCCTTGCTTATAGGTACATATTTTAAATTTATCCTGCAAACCAGCTCCTCCTATCTTCCCTGGGTCTATTATCCCATCATGTAAGACAAAAGGTTGAGGTCACCTTACTTTGGGTCTCTCTTCTTTCTATCTATAATCAGCTGTTGCTAAGCCCCATAAATATCTCTCAGAATATTTTAAGAGCATAACAACAGTAATAGTGATAACAGCAGCTGTAGTTGACAGTTTTTATTGAGCATTTGCTATATGCCAGGCAATGACCTAAAATATTTACAGCATTAATCTTCATTATAAACCCAAAGCCAGATCGTCTTCATTTGATAGATGAGAAAAATAAAAGCACATTCATTGGAAAGGATAATACTTTGTTCAGTGCCACAACTGGAAGATAGGAGACCCAGGAATTGTACCCAGGTTCTCAGTCCACTAATTCTCTTGATTTATTGCTTTCTCACGTGCGTGTGTGTGTGCGTGATATATGTGTATATGTGTGTATATACATATGCATATATGTATGCATATACAGGATATATTGAGATACATGCATACATGTCCACATATATACATACATTTGTATCTCAATATATAAATATATGGCTTCTCCTGTCACTGCTATGGGAAGCAATCAGCTCCCGGCTGAGTTAATTGCCACAACTACCTCTCACTCTGGCAGCAATGGCTTGCGTAGAGCTGGTGGCCATACAGTAAGGCTGCAACAGGTCGGAGACCACTCACTCAGAAAGTACAGCTCCTAGGCTCTTTGTTCCTAGATGAGTCCACACACATCCATCCAGCTATTGACAATAGAAACTTAATACAATATTTGTGCATTTCTTTAAAACCGTAGGTGTTAAGAAGCAGGTGTGTCTTTTACTCTGTCTCTCCCTTCACTGCTTGGATGCAATGATCATGAGTCACTACAGAATATCAGGGCCACAGGAGGAAAGGAGGCTGAATCTCAAAATTGCCACATGGGAGAAAGCTGTCCACCAATAGAAAACAGATGCCTTGAATAGTACAGGAATGAGAAATAAACTCCTCTGCTACACTGTTGAAACTGAGAGATCTATGTGTCACCACTGTCTCCCCAACCCTTATACACTCAAGTAGATCCTTTATTCCAATATCTTTTCTCATTATTCCTTACATCTTTCACCTGCAGGGATCAGGCAACATTTTTTGTAAATTTCTAGATAGTAAATATTTTAGGTTTTGAGGCCTCTGATGGGTATTTTACTTTACTTTTCAAATTACTTTCTTTAAAATGCTTTAAAAATATTTTCACTGGAGCACCATAGAAAAACAAGATATGAGCTGGATATGCCATGCAGATTATAGTTTGCCAACACCTAGAATCTTATTGTCAGACTAAAGTTTTAATTACAGATTATATTATATAACATACCTACCTATAAAGTTCTTTGGGTCTATAATTTCTATTTTATAAGCTATAAAGTTCTCTGCCTGGAGTTTTGGCTCTTCTGCAGGCTGATAATGCTGATCTTCCCTCTTGCTGCCAGTGATTCTCTGAAATAAAAGCATCTCTTCATTCCTCACTTCCGACAGGTCCCTTTCTCACGTCATAGCCCTTCTCTGTCCTCCTGCCCAAGTATAATGCTAAGTATAATAGCCAATACCCACCCCACATCATTCCTCCTCTATTAAACTCACCAGGGAACTCGAATCCTTCTAGGTTTGCCTTTCTTTTGAGCTCCCGAAAGGAATTTTTAAATCACATTATTTGGCTTTTAATGATATCCTTGGACATCAACTCCCAGCTACAGTACTAGGCATTGAGACAACTGAGGTAGGAGGTGGGACTCACTCTGAAGGTAGGGCTTGGACACCGAACCACATTGAAGACTAGCTAAAACAGGGCTGGGAAGGAAGAAGATTACCATAAGACACACCCACCAGTGTGCCATGTCAGTTTACCATTGCCATGACAACACTTCGGAGTTACTGCCCTTTTCCATGTCAATGACCCAATGACCCCAAAATTACTAATCCTTCCCTAGAAATTTCTGCATAAACTGCTCCTTAATCTGCATGTAATTAAAAGTGGGTTTAAATATGACTGCAATTGCCCTGAGCTGCTACTTTCTGTCTATGGGGTAGCCCTGCTCTGCAGGAGCAATCACGGAGCTGCAACGCCATCAGACCTGTAACACTGTTGCTTCAATAAAGATGTTTTCTTCTATTCTACCACTGACTTGCCCTTGAATTCTTTCCTGGGCAAAGCCTCAAAGAACCCTCAAAGGCTAAGCCCTACTTTGGGGCTCACCTGTCCTACATCACAACTACAATAAATATATCCTAGCCTTGCTAAACTTATGGAGGGTGAGAGAGACAAACAAGCGATGATAATATAAGGTTACATGTGCTACTTATAGAAATCTGAGCATGGAATGGGAAGCAATAGGGAATATTGTGTCTCATGACATTTTTTATTTTGTTTCAAAGGCACATCTTGTTGCGAGCTAGAGAAAAGGACAAGATTTTGTGTGTGTGTGTGTGTGTGTGTGTTCTCACTTCCTGCAGTAGCATGGGCATATTTCAGAAAAGCATTTAATTGATGAAGATCTGAAAACTCAGATCAAATCAATTGTTAATTTTTTTAAGAGATGGGGTCTCACTATGTTGCCCAGACTGGAGTGTAGTGGCTATTCACACTGGAGTGATCAAAGAGCTCACTGCAACCTCTGGAGTCCTCTGCCTAGGCTCCAGTGATCCTCCTGCCTCAGCCTCCCAAACAGCTGAGACTACAGGCATATGCCACCACACCAGACTCCAATTATTAACTTTGACATATGTATATGAAACGTATTGTCTTAGACACTTGGAGTTAATAGACAAAAATAAAACCTTATTTGTAATTGTACTAGCCCCAAGAGAACTTTGAAATTACTAACAATAGAAGACTAATTAACACTGGGATCATTAAGATAAAAATAAAAATGGAAAAGTAATATATTACAAGGGAGACTATAATTACACCAGAAAGACAAGCTAAAGACGGTTATGACAATGACACATTAAATGTGTTTTAGAGCTACATGATAACACAAAATCATGCAAGATAGATAGATTAGATAGACAGACAGACAGACATTATTGTCTGATAAAAACAGGGAATCAGTTAACCAGCACAGTTGAATTATCTGGTGAGATATTTATTTTTACAAATAATTATGCCCTGGCCTTATTCGTTTTAATGAACAATCAGGATTAAAGCCAGGGTAATCAGTACAAACAAATTTTTTATTCCCAGCAGTAAACTTTAAACAGAATTTATTGCAAGTTCTTGTACAGGAAACATAAAATGTTTATTTGTAACATTTTTTAATCCACTGTATGAACAAATAACTTTAAAGTATAGGTCTGTATTTTAACATCTTAAGGGGAGAAGAAAGAAGAACTATGCCCATGTGCTAAGCACTCAAATTTTATTAATTTATGTTGATACAGGGTTACAACCAAAAGAAAAAATACACGCAACTTGAAATATGGGTGATTACTTAGTTCATTGCACTGCTTCTCTTTAATGGCAATGGACATAAGAAGCAGGTGCTAAGTAGCTAGTGTTTACACAGTCAGCTCACTGTAGAGTGCTGGGAGAGTAGGCTTTGTCTGCTGATGACGGAAGACATATCTATGCTAAGCAGCCAGACATGCCCATGGTGAAGCTGACATTTTGGTATGAAAATTGTAGATCTTGACATGCAATTTTAGTTAAGCTGGAGGCCATATAATTTCCACCTGAAGATGGCTTAGAGAAAGCAGGAATAAAATGAGCTTACAAACAAAATTTGCTCAATTTCTGGGTAAAGTATATGGATGTAACCACAGATATTTAAACCTGGGCATGATTTGGAGACTTTGAAGGGCAAGAGTTCCCAATTAGCTATGCAAAGCATCAGGTATTAGTTCTCCCATGTTGACCTGTACCAGAATCTCCTCAACAGTTTGTTGAAACAGACTGCTGGATCCCCTTCCCAGAGTTTCTGAGTTAGTGCACAGGATGGGAGGCCCAAGCATCTGCATCACTTACAGGATCTCAGGTGATGGTGATGCTCTGGGTACCACTTCTTAAGAACTACTTCAAGAATGGAAGAGAAGGGTGCCTAGACAACATCTAATATTGAACATCACTACTTTCTAATAGGCTCACCATCATTGGTTGGCAGCAAAATGGCCTCATAAATCTAATTAATAGGTCCATATAGATAGAGCTACATAGTGGGGTCCATCTGAAAATTGAGAAAACCTGGCCAAAATGGTTATTTAGACTTGGGTATAGATTGTCTTGAGCTCTTCTTTGAGGTTTGTAATCAGCCAATAGGAGCACAAGAACTTCTGGACATAATAATAGATAATAAATAATACAACCAAAGCCAAAAAAACCCCATCACTTCTCAACTCTCGTTGGCAGTGGCACTGGAGCACACAACCAGGTCTTCCAAACTCCCTGTGAAGGTGTTGAGGTCTATTTTGGAAGAGGTGAATGTCGGGGGTCACAAGTATAAGCTGCTTTTTTTGCCCTCATATAACATGGCCTAGTAATTAAGGCCATGGTGGTCGCATTTGCAGAAATCAGGGTTTAAATACTGGCTTTTGCACTTACTAAATATATTACTTGGAGCAAGCCATTTTGACTTTCCAAACCTCTGTTTTCTTACCTATAAAATGCTGATAATGCCACCTAACTTATATCACTTTTAAGATAGTTACATAATGTGTAAAAATACTCAGCATGGTGGCTAATACACAGAAAATAATAAAATTTGCCACTAATAATATTAATATTTTCTTTTTCTTCTGATCATTATTACTATTACTGGCAATTAGGTGAGCATAGAACAACAATCATTATAAACACGAGAGTGAAATGGAAATATATCAACAATAGTGAAATCAAGTCAGCAAAGGGATGTCAAATGAGTAATGTAAGGAGTATCCGCCACAACATTGTTCATAAAAATAAAACACATTTGAATATATAAATATTCATTATGAGCAGACTGCTTAAATATATTAAGAGTTCATGTGACAGAATATCATCTGGTCCTTAAAAATGATAATATATTTCTAATTATATGCATGGAAAGTACCATGACACATTCATGGAGAGAGAAAGCAGTTTACAAAATAGAGGAAAGGATACAAGTTGAGGGATAGAGAACAGAAAAGAATTATATCTGAATAGAGCTATATACCACAATGTTAATAGTATTTATCATTAAGCAGTGGAACAATTAATATATTTTATCAAAATATTTTTGTATATATTTGTCTCATATATATGGAACAATTTTAACATATTTATTTTTATTTAGAAATATAAAACTAGTACTACTTTAAAAATTGATAATAAATTTGATTAATACATCTAAGGCAAGGAGCTATATTTAAAAAACAGATCACAGTAGGGGCAATGTCTAGGAAAGAATAAATGGAAACTAAACTCACAAATTTTTACTTTTTCGGAGAAGGGAATAGCTTATTTTTCATATAAGCTGCATTTTCTGCTATAAAAGTATGCTACATAGTATATTATGTACCTAATAAAATAGCTCTCTCTAGTCTTCTCATTCTCTCTCTCTTTCTCCTGCCTATTCACACTCTCTTTTTCTCTTTAATCATCCTCCTCCTTGTCATAAGACTAAAGAATTCCAAAACATACATTTCATTTCACCTTTTTTAAGTGGCATCTTCCATCAGGGCTATATTTATGAACATGGCACTCAGGATGACCATCTATACTTTGTCTTCAAAGTATCATTTTTCTATCTGTTCAACTCCTAATGCACCCTCATGTTCCAAATTAAATCTCTCTTCTTCTCTGAAGATTTCTTCAATGTTTTCATACTGATTTATTTTATTTCTTTGAGTTTTACAATACTGTGTGTGTGTGCATGTATCTGGAATAGTATTTATGATCGTCTGCTTTGTTAATAGCTCCAACAGCAACCACAATGAAACCAACAGTACAAATATAAGTGAATATTTACTAAGCACTTTCTTTATGCCAGACTCATGAAAAGAGCTCTTCATGCATCATTATTTTTTTCATTTTATTTATTTGTTATTATTATTATTTTTGAGATGGAGTCTTGCTGTCACCCAGGCTGGAGTGCAGTGGCGTGATCTTGGCTCACTGCAACCTCCACCTCCCGGGTTCAAGCAAGTCTCCTGCCTCAGCCTCCCGAGTAGCTGGGACTACAGGCATGCACCACCACGCCCTGCTAGTTTTTGTATTTTTAGTAGGGACGGGGTTTCACCACATTAGCCCGGCTGGTCTTGAACTTCTGATCTCAGGCAATCCACCCGCCTCAGCCTCCCAAAGTGCCGGGATTACAGGCGTGAGCCACCACGCCCAGCTTCATTATTTTTTCTATCCTTATTAAATATAAGTGACCAAATGCTAAAGGCATGAGTTATTTTGCTCCCCTGTACACAGCTAGATAATGTAATAGGACACAATTGTGGGTTCTTTCTTAACTTCCTAGTCTTTAAAGTTAATGCCCATGATATGCAAATTTATCCTTTGTCATTTGATATATACGTGAAACTTTGAAAAATATGCCTACTTAGGCACAACCTGGAAATAGAGAACCACAATGTCTTGAAACAAGACGAGGGCAACGATATACTTTATGAAATGTTCATAATTCATTTTGATGCCCAGCGTGTTTAAAAGCCACCCCCACTATGCTATTCTATCTGTACTCACCATGCTGTGATGAGTTGCATTATGAGTATAGTCTGCTCAAAAACTACTAAAAGTTCCAGTCCACTGTCTTTTTCATTGAAAAAAAAAAAAAAAAAAACACTTTCACGTTACGCCTAAAACCTAGCACACAAGGTCACAAGAAAATCTTCAAGATAAAATTGTATATGAATTCATGAGATAGTCTATTTCCCTTGTGGACTTCAGTAATGGAAGAAATCATCAAAGAAAGATTTCCAATCAACTTCAAGGAGAATTTGTTTACCCTAGACATGGCTTCTTACTATTGGTGAGATTAGGAAAGGTTTTTCTTCAGAAGAAATTCTGGTTACGATTAATTGAATCTTTCCTACTTGAAGACTTGGGAGAAGAAATAAAACACACAAAGCCACTTTGATGGAGTTGGTTTCTGAACCTGATGTTTAACAAGAGCTAAGCGTAGAAACATAAACTGCTAGATTTACTGTGTTGTAACTTCATCTTTTATTTTTTTGACTTTCCTCCTTTATTATTGAGAGAAAGGAAAGTTAAAAAAAGAAACTAAGGAGAACAAAATACAATCGTCTCCCAAAGATTTTTTTTGAAGCAATAATGTTTTAAAAATATCCATAAGATATCAGAGGGAGAAAAATTTGCAAACTATTCAAAATAGCTAATTACAGAGCAGCTGATATTACAAAATGCTTGAATACTGGCATATTAATGAGTGAAATGCTTAAGGCTATCTCAAGGTTAAAAGACATTAGGATACTCTTTTATTTTAATAGTTTTTTTTGCATTATCAGTAAATTCTGAGGGAAGCTTTTTTTAATAAGCTGCATAATTCTCTGAACTTGAATGTTGAAGGTAGGTAAGAAAAAGGACAATGAAATAAGTAGAGAAAAGGAGTCAAAAAAGAAAACAGTTATAAGAGGAACAAGACCACACTGTTTTTGGTTTGTACTATTCTTTAGCCTTGAACTTGAAAAAGAAAGTAACAGACTGATATTGTACCAAGGCCATTGTTAATTAGATTTAATTATACTTTTAGGCATTAAACTAAAATTCTACTTCTTTTTTAAGTTCTATGTGACTTCACCTTATTTTAGCTGAGAGAGGTGGCTCACACCTGTAATCCCAGCAATTCAGGAGGCCAAGGAGGGAGGATCGCTTGAGCTCAAAAGTTTGAGACCAGCCTGGCCAACATAGTCACCTCATCTCCACAAAAAATAAAAAATAAAAATAACTGGGTGTGCTGGTGCATGCCTGTAGTTCCAGCTACTGGGGAGGCTGAGACAAGAGGATGACTTGAGCCCGGGAGGTCAGGGCTGCAGTGAGCCAAGATCACACCACCGCACTCCAGCCTGGGTGACAGAGCAAGACTCTGCCTCAAAAATAAATAAATAAATAAATATTTTAAATCATTATTCAATAGTGTTTCTAAAATATTATTTTGAAAGCTGGAGGAAAGGATACTTCTTCTTTAATAAATGTCACAGCTTGTAAAATACAGAGATTTGCCTTCTTTGCTATTTTTAATGCCTTAAAAAAAAATGAGAATATGGAATACTAACAACTGACCAACAAGTTAGTGTCAAGAGATGGTGCCTGGATTTTTAAACCCTAGGGAAGATTCCAAAATAGTAGACTACAGAGAGGAAAAGAGAACCCTTACAGACTGGTAAGAATGAATCTGCATTGAAGGGAGACAAATCTAATTGAAAGGCCTTTAATAGAAACCTAAAAAATAGTATGGAAGATATGGCATTATAAGTGATGGGATGCCATATGTCCCCTCATTATGAAGGCCATTGGGTATGGAAAGAAGAGAAGGGTAATGGTTTAAGAGCTTAATTGTAACATATAACAGAAGATTGGGAAGAACCGGAAAAAGCATTTGAAATCTTCTCCGTCTCTATATCTATGATAAAAATATGGTTAATGAGTGGACACTGAACCTGTAGCAGAGAGGGAAATAATCTCAAAAGTCGCCAAGATTTAGTGGAATGAAACTCATTATTGCAAAAATGAGCATGGGATGTTTTACCCAATTCCAAAGTAAAATGACTTTCTAGAAAGGGAGGTAAATCGGTGTGTGAATTAAGGATAAAAAGGACTGGCTTAAAATTTGAAAACTCAAGGGTTGCAAACTATGATAGAAGAGCTCACTAGAAATAAAAAGTAGGAACAAAAGGAATACAATGGTAGGTGTTAGCAGCAAATTACTGGTCAGATGGAACATTTCTTTGCTGCATTTAATTTACAGAGGTCTTTATAATCGGCATAGAGACAAGATTTAGGGACTTAAGAGAGAGGAAAGATGTAAGTTTGTCAATTACCTGCTAAAGTACTTCTTCGCTAAAAAGAGGTATCTGGTAAATTCTTCCTTAACTTGGGGTCTATTTGAAAAACAGTATGAATTTTGAGGTCAAAACACACTAGATTTGAACCCAGCTCTTCAAATTAGACACTGTGATATGAACAAATTATACCCATTGAAGGTGACTGCTGCAGTTGCCGGGGGATATTAAAATGTAGGTCATTCTGAGCACCACCCTAGTCTGTACTCTTAAGCAGCCAGTCTAATACTGCGGGTCCACAGATTGCTGTTTGGGTGTGTTAGGCTCTTATGAAAAGTGAGAGATGTAAGAAGTATGAGCCTCCTGCACCTAAGAATGCAATGCACAGTGATTCTACCATATTCTTTGCAGACAGCAACACAGTAGCTATTAATATCAATCCTGGCCAAAATTTTAGCACAAATTAACAAGAGGATGATTTGTCAACAGTTCGAAAAGCAAGTGGTGGCCACCAGATTCTAGTGTGGCTTATCACTTAGCAAGTTGTACCAACTAATTTCTGTGATAATTTGTTTTAAATTGATTGATGTTATTTGCACTGTTTCTATATCATCACTTTTCAAACAATGTTCTGTGAAAGTCAGATGCTAATAAAAGAAGGTTGAAAGAAAATTGGAAGGTGGTAGATTCTAAGGTCAATTAAATTTTGAAATTCCCTGTTAACCAGTTTAAAGCGTTTCTAACTCTGGACTTCTTAAGGTCACTGATACGCTAATGGAAGTAAATCTCTGGGAAGGGAAAGAAGTCTGGGAGATTTCTCAAACTTTCACTTTTGTGTAAAATTTTAAAAGCCAAGGTAAATTGAGTGTTTCCCCTATACTATTTTTCAATTATTCCTATATCAAATGCACTTAATTCCTGGCCAGATTGCTCTCCCTTAAATATGACTTAGTGGCATGTACAAAGTTTAAGACAAGCATTGCACTTCTTACTCAATGCTATATATATTACAACTCCCACATCAACAAGCTGAATGAATCAAGTAGGAGGCAAGTTACAAGGTGTCTGTAGGGCAGGAGAGGTCAACCGACTCCTGTTAGTTCAAACAAGTCTCTCCAGTATAAGCCAGTAGGTGGATAAAATCAACCACCTTTTTTAAGGTACGCATATGCGGCTCCTTCTGCTGCAGTGACTATTTTGAATCTAAAATATAGAGTAGAAAAGCAAACCAGTGGTTGATGTCTATAATCTAAATGAGAAAACATTGAAAAAAATCAACACCAAAGCAAGCTGTGACTATCCAGAGAGAAATCCCGGCTGTTGTTCTCCTTTACAGATGTGCAGTAGTAGAGTCACTTGCATATATTAGAGGTTTATTTTTGGAAACAAACAGAAATGATTGGGAGGGGGACAATTAAATATTTTAGATGCTTCCACTTGCTCATGCCCCATGGTGTTTTGTGTCGGTGCAGTTGGGAGTTAGGGAGTCAAGGAGACAAGGACCTGACAATACCTCCAGAGATTTTAGATATCAAAGATCTCTGCACAAAGTGAAGTTTGCAGTGTACTATGTTTGTTTCTAGAGTACCAAGATAACATTTTTTTATTTTTTTAAATAGAGTCTGGCTCTGTCACTCAGGCTAGAGTGCAGTGGCACAATCTCCGCTCACTGCAACTTCCACCTCCCAGGCTCAAGCAATTCTTCTGCCTCAGCCTCCCGAGTAACTAGGATTACAGGTGCATGCCACCACACCCAGCTTGTATTTTTTTTTTGTATTTTTTTGTATTTTTGTATTTTTAGTAGAGATGGGGTTTCACCATGTTGGCCAGACTGGTCTCAAACTCCTGACCTCAAGTGATCCACCCACCTCGGCCTCCCAAAGTGCTGGGATTACAGGCATGAGCCATGGTGCGCAGCCTAACATTTTTTTTTTCATATGACATACTTGACATACAAACCCAACATACTTATCTGGTTTATCACTACTGAATAAGTATATCTACTTCAACATTGGGGAGAAAACCCAACTGTGTTAGGCCAGTTGAGAGGGACACCCATCTGCAATTTTGCCTTTCCTACAGTTTTCAAGATTAATTTTGATGATGTTCAATTTCTGCTTTATGGGTCGACTCTTGAATCTAGCCATCACATTCAGCGTATAAACCTATACAAACCAAACAGCTTAGAAGACAGAAATTAGAGGTGAGCTGAGGTGTGCAAGGAGCTAAGCAGTGAGCTCTGCTAATCACACAGCATTGATAGGGATCTACATGGATGCCAAGTGTTTAATAGTAGGGCAAGCTCATTGGGTCATTTATAATACAAAGTGGAAAAAAAAAACCAAAATCTGATTACACAATGTAAAACAAATAATGAAAAATAAGTCAGGAAGAGAGTGGCAGAAACAAGGCAATGAAAAAGACCTAAAAAAAAGCTTCTAAGTCAATTTTTATCTCATATGTTATGTCTAATATATTGGAGATGTTACTTTCAGAGTAATTTAATTAATGCATACATATTCTTAGATGTTTTGTCCAGACTTTCTGAAGCCATGATATGACTTTGGCTTTAATAAAACACAGAGAAATGATTCTTTAAGAAGTCTTGCTTTCACCTTGGCCAATAGATGTGCTTAACCAATACATTAAATTCATTAAAGAGTCATCTGCTGATACAAAAGTCAATTAATCAACAAATCTGAGCAAAAGCAAGAAGAAAAATAAGCAAGAAAGCAAGTTTTCTAAACATCTAACATAGGACTGGGTATTTTGAACAAAATATTAGAGGAGTTATTTCAGAAAAGCAGTGAACATTACTATTGAAATTTTAAAAATTTATTATAAAAGCATTTTCATTTGTGATAGGATTTAATCAGACTTGAGGTCTTAATTAAGTAATAGTAAGTTATAGGTAATGATAAGAAAGTGTTGCTCTTCGTCCTAAGCACATACATTAAGAAAGAGGTTTAATCAGTTGTAGCATTAAAAACACATTATATATCATGATTCTCGATATTTAAAAACAAAATAAAAATTAGGTCCTTCCTCCCTCCCTCCCTGCATTTCATTCCCTTCTTTCTATTTCCTTCTTTTCTCCCACCCCATCTAACTCTCCTGTCTCCTCCATGTCACTCTGTCGCCCGCCTTCCTTCCTTTCCTCCCTCCCTCCCTCCCTCCCTTCCTCCCTCCTTCCTTCCCTCCTTTATTCCTTCTTCTCTTCTTAAGTTTATTATAGCTAATAACTACAAGATATCAACTGGTTACCTGGATGAATCAAATACTGCTCTTTCGTCATTAAGCGCAGCAGCAGAAGAGATACAAGATGACTTCAACATAATTACTGATTCCTCAAAGAGCTCATGTTAGGTAGTAGAAATAATACCAGTGCATAAAATAAGTATAAAGTGGTGCCTGTCATTCTAGACAAACAGAAGATGTGCCTTGATTGCATGGAGCAAAAAGATGTTATTTTCACTTTGATATTTCAACCTCTAAGAGCCTTAAAGGCTATGCATTTTGGAGCCTATTTTAATAATTAGAAGACAGAGGCTCCAGAGTTTAAATCACTTCCTCAATACTTTGGTTTAAAAAAAAAGGCAGAGTTAGGATCAGAATTCTGTAGAAGTGATAGAGAATGGGAACAAAATGAGCAAAGATAAGGATTCAGAAAAATTTGGAGTCTATGTGAAAAGACTGACAAGCTTACTCTGGCTGGAACTTAGTTTGTACTGAATGGCACTGATTGTACTACTTGTATCTTGTGGTTCTTTAATTCCGCTTCACATGAAGGTTAACTTATATTCTTTTACAGGTAATGGTGACTCCTAGGACTTTGCATGACATGAATAAAGCTGATTCCTGAAGTCACAGGTATAAAATAGAAGATGGATGAGTTTTCTGGCTATAATAATAGTTGAGGTGTGGACCTCAGTCAAGATAGAAACTAAGAGGATGGAAGAATGGAATGTAACCAAGGTGTAATTAACTCAAAGCCTTGGCCAACAAGAGTTCTAAGAGACAAGGAAGAGACATGAATGAAAAAGCCACTACAAAGTTTCCAGTATGGGTGCCTGGAAGGGTAAAATTCAACTACTTAGCTTACCTTTCTAGGCAATATTAAAAATTACTTAATATATGCCAACTCTTTAAAAGAGGAGTAGATTACTCAGTTTTTGCAGATAAATGTAGCAGGTCAATTGCGTATATTTTCTGCACTGAATGAATAAAGACGAAAGGATGAGTTTGCAAAATCATAATATAAAGTGCCACATCTTGGGATTTATTT
Organism: Homo sapiens; assembly: GCF_000001405.40. Taxonomy (NCBI): domain Eukaryota; kingdom Metazoa; phylum Chordata; class Mammalia; order Primates; family Hominidae; genus Homo; species Homo sapiens. Next base: position 7,176,432 of record NC_000003.12, on the reverse strand, counting down.
GCTCTTTGTTTTTTTCAAGACAGGGTCTTGCTCTGTCACCCAGACTGGAGTGAAGTGGCACTATCACCACAGGTCACTGCAGCACCGACCTCCTGGCAGGCTCAATCAATCCTCCCACCTTTGCCTCTAGAGTAGCTGAGACCACAGGCATGCACCACCACACCCAGCTATTTTTTTTTTTTTTTTTTTTTTTTTTTTTTTTTACTTTTTATAGAGATGAGGTCTCCTTATGTTGCCCAGGCTGGTCCTGAAATCCAGGACTCAAGTGATCCTCCCACCTCTGCCTTATAGGCATGAACATGTTTCCTTGGCCTATTCTACAAATGTAAACGTAGCTCTCTTTAAGGTTCTATATCACACAGTATTATTTTGAACTGGATAAAGTAGTCAAAATTAGAAATCACATGAAACTATTGTATGTAACGATGCAGGTGGTATGAGCTCTTTAACATTTACATACCCACCTACACACAGATAGATAAAGATTAATCAACAATGGAGATATCACTTCAGCTTTTGGTGGGTTTGTACTGACTCCTCTAGCAGAATTTTTGTTTTACTTTTGATGATGCTTATTAATAAAATGCAAAATTTTGGATGGGTGCAGCGGCTCACACCTGTAATCCCAGCACTTTGGGAGGCCAAGGCGGGCAGATCACTTGAGGTCAGGAGTTCAAGATCAGCCTGGCCAACATGGTGAAACCATGTCTCTACTAAAAACACAAAAATTAGCTAGGAGTGATGGCACCTGCCTGTAGTCCCAGCTACTCAGGAGGCTGAGGCAGAAGAATCGCTTGAACTCTGGAGGCAGAGGTTGCAGTGAGCCGAGATCACACCACTGCACTCTAGCCTGGGCAATAGAGTGACACTTTGTCTCAAAAAAGACAAAACAAAAAGCAAATTTTCAAGTTGATTCAAGTTGTTACTCATCATTAAATAGTTTTCATACATGCTCTATACTCTGCTTTAGGCACCAAATGAAGAAGTGACACAATAATCTCTTCCACATTCTAAACAAAGTCTTTGTTTCATGGAGACATGACAATGGAGTCAGCCAATCTTAAAACATGAATAAATAACTCAGAATGTAAAATTATTAAATATTATAAAATCAAGGCAAGCTTTGAAAACTTGATGGTGCTCAGTTGATGGATGGAGACTATGGTATTTGCACAGAACAGGACTGCTACGAGCAGCTGCTGGCTGCATTGCAGAGAGCTGTCTCTAGCAGAATGTAGGAAAGTTATCATTTCCATTCAAGTCTTCAAGAGTTTAAATACATGTTCCAAAAGCAAAACTGAAAACATCAATTTAGAACCAAGTAAAACACATACTTTTCTTGGTTTTTCTCCATTCATCTCCTTTTCTATTGCCCTCAATGGAGTTTGGGCCTGATCTCGCTCCTTAATCCGAAGGAGGGACCTCTTATGTTCTTGACTTTGTGCTGGGACATTTAATGTATTACACCATTATTCATCATAATCAGTCTATATATTAGCTGCTATTGTCATTCTCATTTTACTGAAAAATAAATTAAAGCTTAGAGTATGTCACAAAATTGGCTGACTACCTACCAAAAATTCAAACTTCTCTTTCCATTGAGTAAAGTTGCCCTGGAAGGCAGCTACCCAGCCAAGAATTTTATCAGTACCCTTTGCCTCTAGGCAAAGCCACATGACTAGTTTTCACCCATAGAAGATGAAATTGGAGTTTTTGTGAAGCAGATAGCACTTCCCTATCTCCTCTCCTATTTGCCAGCCAAACTCAGTGGACTCTGAAGTTTTAGGGTGATTGTAGAACAAGATACAGGGAATAAAGACCAAGGACTACTGACCAAGGCATCCCATATTGGACAACAACTAGAAATAAACTTTTATTGTAGTCAGCCACTGAAACTTCAGGATGTGTTTGTCATAAAAAGGACTGCCCTAGATAATACAGTGCTTAAATAAAATGTACAAGGACAAACAGCAATTAAAGATGAGAGCTGGGATTGAAACCTAGCATGATGATTCTAAAAAAATTCTATTTTAAATGTGTCTCTGTCAAATAATTCTAAATCACTATGATGTCACTCTTATCTTTAATATGTTTTTAGTGGTTTCTTTTTCTTTACAGAATAAAAGTATCACTCTAGGCTCTCCAGTTTTATCTGAGCATAATTATTCAAAATTATCTTCTGATACTCACGATCTTCTAATCTGTATTCAAATGAATCCACACTCTTCACCAGCTACAAACATTGTGTTTTTCCATCACTAAGTTTTTTAAGTGATTTCTGCTACCTGGAAAGACATCATCCATACTCCCACCCCTAGTCTTATTTAGAAACTAGCCACCCTTCAAAATAGAGATTAAATACCACCTTCTCAATGTGGCCTCACTTTCTGCCTCAAAAGAAATATCTCTCTTACTGTGGGCATTCAACAGAAATTCAGCAATTTGACCATGCACGATTTTATGTGGGAAACAAAAGGAAATAAAATTCCTACTCTAATGAGCTTGCAATTTAGAGGATAGAGATAATCAAAAGCAAAATAAAAAATGTCTTAATGGCAATTAGGGATAAAGACCACACAGAAAAGTATAAGCTGTTAAAATAAGCTATTAAAGAGGAAACTATCTCATTCTGGGGGAGGAGGTTAGGCTTCTATGAAGTAGTGAAATCTGAGCCAAGCTCTGAGGTCCAGGAGTTAACTGAGTAAATGAATGTGGGGTGGGGCTGGGGACGCCTAGGAGAGTATTTTAGGCAGAAGGAATAGGATGTGTTTGAACCATGAGTCTAGAACATCAGCATGTATTTGAGGAACAGCAAAGAACAGTATGTGTGGTACCCAAAATAGGCAATGTGGAAAAGGGCCTTCTAAGAAGCAATGTTGATCCAAGCAGGGCCAAGTTACTTAGAAGCTTGCAGAAATATTCAGGATATTGTTCCTCATCCAGTGATAAATGACAAACCACTGGACAACTTTAGAAACATGTAACATATGAAATGCATTTTATAAGACTGTTAGGGCCACCAAAAGAGGGATGGGGTGGAGCCGGAGAGGGGTGGGGAGAGCAGTTGGTAAGTTTTTTCTGATGTCCCTGTGAGACATTACATTGGTCTGGACCAGGGGAGTGGCAGCAGAAATGGAGAGAAGTGGTGAAATTCAGGATTGTAAGTAGTAAAGACGAGAGAACTTGGTGATGAATTTGAATGTAGTTAACTTCATTCTTAAGGAGTTTAGTCATGCCTTAGAGGGGCATTGTGACTAAAACAAGAATTATGAAGTCAACTTACCTGCCAGTGTTTAAATACTGGCTCTGTTACTTCCCAGCTTGGTGACCTTGGACAAGTCCCTGTACCTCGGCGTCCTTTTCTGGATGATGGAGAAATTAATAGTACTTACCCTATAAGACTCTTCTGAGGTTAAATACACATATATAGTAATATATAGGTGTATATCTATATATACACATACACATACATATAATAAATTATGTGTATCTGTTATTATTATTATAATAGCATAGATATGTATATGTGTATCCTCCTCTGGTAAACAATATTCTTGACAGTGGGGCTGACATAGAGCATAGTATCTGTATCCATTAGAGACTCAATATATGTCTATTAAACATCCATAGTTCACTACTTATCTCATTCATCATTTTTAAAAAGTTCAGTTTCATGGGACCACTGGATGTAATCCTTCAAAGGAAGTATCAGTTTTCAAGTAGAACTCCAAAGATCTTTTATCTTGCCAACAAATACTCAAAAATTGTTCTTTTCGGAAATTCAACATCAGAAGTTAAGTTTATAGCCATTGACACCATGTGCAATGATGCCATTTTTGGGACAAATATGTAATATTTATATATAGATATATGTGGGGGGGGCGGGGGGGAAGACTACATATGGTCTTTCACGGATGTCCTGGGGTTGGTGAGCTCTAAAAGATGTGAGCACTGTTTGGGAAGCTTCTAGCAAAAAGAAATAGATGAGTCCAGCTCTTGAAAATGGGCAATGATTGGGATTGCTATTGTCAGAGTTAAGGCCACAGTGTCATAGATACATGGCTAGGAAATCATCCTGTTCACTTCCTTACCTTTGGAAGAACTGTTGCAAACATTTAAAACCTAGAGGAATGTGGTTTATTTAACAATTTTAAGTGTCTACCACATCACTTTGCTAATTCCCTGCCTCCCAGATTTAGCTCTCATTTTTGTTACTTAAAAAAAAATTATCATATAAAACCCCAGAGGGCATCTCATATAGTCTTTTGGCAAATCCTTTGGGTGTTTAACAGCTCATATCTTACTGACACTGTATTATTTTGAAAATCCCGTGCTAAAACAATATACATGGAAATGGAACACACTGACAATTTCAAATGCCAGCATGGAAGTCCCTTTCCCACATAAGCGCTGACGGACACACATATTTCTAGCGAGATTATGTTCTAAACCTACTTCTGCAGCCAGAGAATAAATGCACTGGGAAACTGCATGCTGTTTTCATTTCACTGCTGATGTATTATTTTCCTAGGGGAAGCTGTAGAGAGAATGCTTTAAACTGTGAAGCTTTCTAGACTGCACACAACCCTCACCCAACAGCATGTGATGCACTTGGCATTTACTTGGTGCTGATGTTTAGGGAGGAGGTGGTGTTCTCATTTTCTAAATCGAAGTTCTCATCAAGTCACGCCTCTATGTCTCATGGCCCACGTGACAAAGACCAAACAACTTAGGCAGGTGTGTAGGACGGTTTACCTTTTGTTTGTTTAATACACATACACTGGCACCTCTAAGATGCTGACCTTGCCATCTTAGAGAGTGATTTAATGGAGGAGGTAGATATCCACCCATATTTATTTATGCAGATAGACATCACTGCACAAATAAGAGTAAAGTTATAGCTGTAGTATATTCTGAAAGTGGAAGTGTGTGGTGCCATAAAATCTATAGCTGTGAGTTGAATTATGACTCCCAAATAAAGACACATTGAAGTCTTAACCCCCAATATCTCAGAATGTGATCTTATTTAGAGATAGCCTCTTTGGAGAGGTAATCTCTCCAAAATTAACAGAATTAAGTTAACATAAGATTATTAGGCTGGGCCCTAATCTGGAATGCATGATATCCTTATAAAAAGGGGGACATTTGGACACAAACACAGACAAGCAGAGGGAAGATAAGTGAAGAAACACAGGGAGAAGAAGTCCATCTACAAGCTAAGGAGAGAGGCCTGGAGCAGATCCTCCTGTCTTGGTCCTCAGAAGGAATCAATTCTGCAGACATCTTGATCTCAGACTTCCAGACTTCAGGAATGTGAGTCCATAAATTTCTGTTTCTAAGCCTTGCAGTCTAGAGCACTTTGTGATAGCAGTGAGGTAGGTAAGGGAAGGTCTGGAGGAGGAGGTGAAAACTGAGCTGAGAATTAACCTAGAAAAAAAGGAGGATAAGAGCTCCAGATGTGATGAGCAGCATGTACACAAGACATGTGTCTGCATGTATCATGCTTTGAAAGGTGGCCTGTACATCTGGAGTTGAAGGACCAGGAGGAAATGAATGGCAAGATGAGCCTGGAAGGAGATCTTGTAGCGAAGCCAGGTCATACAGAATCATGTAGGTTTCATCAAGTATTTCCTTTGTAACTCAATCTTTTTCCCATATCTTCTCCTAATCTGACAGACTACCCTTACCCTTTTCTTCTGAATGGAAGCATCCAAATTTGTGTAAAATCTCCTGCAATGGACACATCTCCTGCATGCACAGTCCCTTTTGAATAATCTCTCTATGTGTGAGGATATGTTAAGCCTTTTAGTATCACCTCCCCAGCTTCCTTCACATCTAATTTATGTGATAGGAGATAGGAATCCACCCACCAAATTTCACCATATGACAATTTGCTTCAAAATTAAACCACTTGAAGTAGAAGGCTCCAGATCAAACCCAAGAGTGGGGAAAAACAATCTGGCATTCAGGGAAGATAGTCATCCTAAGAAGTGGCATCAATATTGGCACAATCAGAACTGCAGCAGAGTTATGTTCCTGGCAGCTCTGAAACTGTGCTAAGTACGCCTTACTCAAGTCTTGGTGGCCCTTTAGTCATCAGGCCACTTGTACATGGCTTGGGGCATTGTTTCTGGAAAACTGGCCTCCACGATTTGCCCATGAACCACCCAATACCCACTTAATGTACTCCCATTCTACTTAAATGGCTAAGAGCTGCTTTTTGTAATTAAGAGCCCTAACAATCGATTTACTCCCCCAGTTCTCCTCCAGATGGAGAGAACATGCTTCTGTCGTGACTTCACAGGTTGCTATGCCAGTGGCTCTCAAAGTGTGGTCCCCAGAACATGAGTCTCAGCAACACCCAGGAATGAGTTAGAAAAGCAAATTATTAGGCTCTGCCTCAAACTAACTGAATCACAAACTCTACGGATGAGGCCCAGGGGTCTGTATTTCAGCAAGTTCTTTAGGTGATTCTGATGCAGATTAAAGTTTCAGAACCATTGTCCTATATATACCTCTATTTTTAATATTTTAACAGGTGTTAAAAATGTTTGTCTCCCTACAAGACTCCTGAGCTTCTTATGGGAACTATTATATCTTGGGTAGATCTTCAATGCTCAGCTCAGGCTGGTACAATTGCTTAATTATTGGCAAAAGTACGTCTCTATTTATCTCCTATTTATCAAAATAATAATGTCTCCTGTTTATCAAAATAAGCAAACCATTGCCCCAAAACCTTGTCTACCATGTTCGTGTCATAAGGGGATGAAAACAAAGAAGCTCTCTCCCCAAGGAGCATATGTAAGATGAAGCTAACTTATCGTTTTACCTGGGATTCTAGCTGCCTTCATCGCTATGTGCTACCCTTTTATCCCATTTCAGATAAAATTACACATTTAATTCAATGATATAATTTTCACAGTGTTTCCCACTATCCCACATCCCTTCTGTGTTTTTAGGTGGTCTTGACATTTAAAATTTATGTGAGTCCCATGATGGCACCTCTGAATTGAAGATTAGAGTGTCACCTGGCCACACCAGCTCCTCTTAGCACTACAGGATTAGCTGGGCAAATTGCAAGAGCCGTAGTGTTGACTGGAGAGAGTAACCTTTATTAACAAAGGGACAAATGGTATTTCTACAAAATGGATACACTGTGGTATAGAATGAAATTAGGGGCAAACTTTTGATATTCTTTTGTTTCCATCTTCAGAGATGAAAAATTCAAAAAAAAATGCACCCCTATGCATTTGATGACCCCGGACAAGATGATTTCAGTCTAGGAAGATTTGAATGAAAGCAATTCCAGGCAAAAATATTGAAGCCACTGGAACAGCAAAGGACACATAGATTGGGTCAGGTGAGGGAGGCTAAATACAAGTTTGACTTTACGGTTTATGAACAGTTTATAAAGTTTCTAAATGCATACATACATTTAGACAAAAATAGTATGTGTACATATTTATGCACATATAAGAATGCAGATACCTTTTCTGGTCTGTTCTCATTCTTTTCTTCCTTTATTTGATATGAGTAATGTAGAGGTGATTAAATTGGAGATTTATCCTCTATATGGTGAATATCAAGACAAGATGAAATCCTTTCATAGAGAAGTTGGCCATTACCTTAGGACTAGTCTTGGTAGTTACTCAATGACACTTCTGAATGCTGAATGCAGTCTCTGGGTATAACTACGCATTCCCTTCCATTGTAAATGGCAGCTAAATTGTTAGTGTTGTATGGTATATTTAGATTATATTAACAGGAATATATTTGAATGGGGTCGTCTTTGCTTGGGCTGCTATAACAAAATGTCATACATTGAAGGGCTTAAACAACAAACATTTATTTCTCATAGTTCTGGAAGCTGGAGAGTCTAAGATCAAAGTGCTGGCAGATTCAGTGTCCTGCTCTTTTCCCGGTTTGCAGGTCACACCTTCTTGGTGTACCTTGCATGGTGGAAAGAGAGAGAGATCTCTCCTGTTTCTTGTTATCAGGCCATTCATGTCATCAGGAAGTCCCGACCTTCATGACCTCATCTAAACCTAATCAACTTCCAAATGCCTCACCTTCAAATACCACCACACTGGGGCAAGAATTTCCATATGAAATTGGAGGGGAAAGAATTCAGTCCATAGAAGGCATGAAGAACCTCAACAATGGGAATTATATTTACAATCACTGAAACAATAGTTGAAACATAATTGCACATTTGCAAAGTACCAGGCACTGTGCTAAGTGTTTTCTACGAAAAGGCAATGCTTATAAATGCTGAGAAACTAAAGGGGTGGAATGTGAGAGGAAGCTCTTGGGTTGACTGCTTAGCACACAGATATCCCATTCTCTGAGAACTGCCACTATGAGCTCATGAAAGAGTGAGTCTCAGACTTTAATTGGGACAGATTTTCTCAGAAATTTGGAATTTTTTTTTTTTTTTTTTTTTTTTTTTTTTTTTTTTTGAGACAGAGTCTCGCTCAGTCGCCCAGGCTAGACTAGAGTGCAGTGGCGTGATCTTGGCTCACTGCAAGCTCCACCTCCCGGGTTCACGCCATTCTCCTGCTTCAGCCTCCCGAGTAGCAGGGACTACAGGTGCCTGCCACCACGCCTAGCTAATCTTTTGTATATTTAGTTGAGACGGGGTTTCACTGTGTTAGCCAGGATGGTCTCAATCTCCTGACCTCGTGATCCGCCCGCCTCGGCCTCCCAAAGAGCTGGGATTACAGGCGTGAGCCCCCGTGCCCGGCCTGCATTCTTTTTTTTAAAGAGACAAACTGACTTTTGGAGTCATTGGAGTTGAGCCATTTTAATGACTGGAACCTAGAAAGAAGATTCCGAAGGACCCATTGCTAAAGGATCTGATGTATTTTGATTTTGCATTTTCCGAGGCTTACTTGTTCTAGTCTGCCTTGAACACTGACACAGGCCAACACCCTTTTAATAAATTCAATGTTTCCCTTAAGCTAGGAAGAATTAATCTCTTATTTGGCAACCAAAGGACTCTAGCCTAACTATAAAATGGCCCTCTGCAATGGCACATGCAGGGATGTGTGGAAACCCAGGTTGACTGTCAATCTAAAGCAGAGCTAGGAAAAGTGAGGCTATCATCACAACATACTGATGAGGGCCCTGTGTCACAGGCTCCGTAAGAAACTAGCAAGCTTCCAAATTGAATGCTGACAGCATGGCCTAATGCAAATGACACTTATTAGAGATGGTGCTTCTTATTTTGGCGATAATAAAAACAAGAGAAGCTGCCACAGTATTTTTGCTTAGAGTGCTGATGAGGAAATATTTGATTGATTGGAAACAAAATCACTTTGTTAAGGCTCCATTACCAATAGAACAGTGAATATTAAAATACAAAAAGCCATGTTGTCTACGTTATTAAAATACTATTCTATCTTTTATCACCTCATTTGAGATATAATGAGTTTCCATTTCATTCAGCTGGGCAAAGCTTACCTTATTTCATAATAACTGAAATATACTAAAATACAAAGGTTGTCATGATTTACAAGACATTGTATTTAAACACAAATAGTCAAATTTTATTCATTTCCTAAAGCCAGATAAATGCTAAGGCAACATGGGAATTTATTATTAATAAAGAAGTAAGCAGGAATCCTGGGACGAGGCTACAGTGGTGACTTCTGCTCTGCCCAGGGACTGATTCAAGCAGAATCATTTTCTCTGATGGATGTCAGTGCCATCAAGCGGCATCTGTTCGTTAATAAGCAGCTGCCCTGGAATTGGCTTAGACAATGCAGGGATTTGGTGTACATGGCCTAGTGGTTACAACAGAGACTGAGCATCCACATTTCTGGGCTAGAGTCCCAGGTCTGTCACTGACACTTCAGGCTGTCTTGGAATGAAGTTCAGTCTATATGACACCAAAATAATCTCCCAGTTGGGGTGGAGACAGTGGCTGGGGAAGGGTAAGGGAGGGTTCACGTGAGTTTGATATCTCAGAAAGAGTATCTCCTTTTAACAAGTGGATGATTCATTCATCAGCTTATTGGGACAGAGGGAAACAATCCTATCATGGAAAAAGGTTAACAGCTATTATCCAAAATGCCTGTTTAGCCTATTGGCTAAATTTGGTATATAATGTTTCTGTTCTGAAAAATATCACAATGTTACAGGTATAAGATCAGAGAAAAGAATTCATAGACGCCACTATTAGAAATTCAAAAAAAACTTTATTTAAACCTGGAAATAGCTCATTTTCCTAAAGAAAGTTCATAATTTAAATACCGGCTCAAGTACTTTGCTCTCCGTACAAAGAGGAGAGACTATTAGTTATAAAATTATACATATCTCTCTGTCCCAGTTTCTTTAATTCTGAAACTGACACCATAACCCTTAGCCAAATCAATGAACTTTCAGGAGAACATATTATAAGTAATAGTAAGATAAAGAAAAGATGACATTCATATTGATGAAAGTCAAGTTTTTCTCTTTAACATTAAAGAAATAACATATTTCGAAGTACTTGAGAATTTAAAGCTACTTGAAAAGCAAAATTTAATTTACAATTGCTGAACTAATTTATTGAGAAAAAATAATGGATTGTCAATGCCAAATAAATAATACAAGTATTGTTATTAGAATGCAAATGATGAAACCCAGATAGTACAACTGAAATTATAAACATGTAAATAGAGCTTTAAAAAAGTGCAACAGCAATATATGGTTAAAAGGTAAATGTTTTCAAATAAAATCTCCTGAAGAGACTTGTCCTAGCTAACATTTTTTCCCAAATGTCATGATAGTAAGTATTTAAGTCCTAGTATTTTGATTAGCTGTATAGATATCGAATTAGCTAAGTGTACCCTATTGGAATTATTCAATATATATGGCAATACCAATGTTACATTCTGTTAGTGGAAATTTTTCTTCTTTTCTGACAGAAAGCAGAAAACCATATAGAAATTTGAACCAAACATTTAAACCAAACCTGACCCAACTAAAAATACACATAAAATATATTTTCAGACAGTAAAGTGAATAGACACCAGGTGATAAAACACTTGATTCTATATTACTCTGATAGTTTAATTTTTCTTCAATTTTTTTCTCCCTGTATCATACACAGCCCACCAGGGGGCCAGAGGCTGGCCTTGTATGAGCAAATCTAGCTTGTGATTGTCCTGTACTGTATACTTTAATTCTGGGATAATTGAAGGTGTCTACACAAGAAATGCAGTTACTGGGATGCGCCATGGGGTGGTTAACCAGAAACAGAGTTGCGGATGGTGAGGAAGTTAGGAAGAGTGAAAACAGACAAACTTGGAAAATGCTCCCACAATATCTCAAATGAGGAATAATAAAAGTCTAAAATGGGTATCAGTTACGTGTGGCTTTCTGGATTCATTCCACATCTCATAGCATTCTTCTCTCTTCATGGTGAAATGTACAGTGCTTCTGGGCAGTAAACACAGATGCTGATTTTTCCACTGTGGAAGACATATGAACCCCTGAAGACTCCTTTTTAGTTTCTGTTCTCAGCTTCTTCATATATTACACTAGTCTCAACCCAGAGATGGGCAAGGGATCTGGTGGACCTAACCAGATCTTCTCTCCTAGACTCTGCCTTTGAGTCTATCATTACAAGAACTGAAGAAATGCTTGAATTTATTCATCCCAAATGCAAGGTCAGCAGGAAGTGGCCAACTTACTAAATCTTTCAGCAGCTATCTGATTCTTTTCAGCTATTTCACTCTTTTTATTTCCAGTTCATTACTTTATATTTAGATTAGTTGGTTTCTGTTACTTACAACCAGAAAATATTGTCTGATTTTTATGGCAGCACCAGTGAAAAGAAGAAAGATAATCCAGCAACTCACTGGACTTGAAAGGAAGAAGTCAATGTGACTCCAAGTTAATGGTGAAGTTAGAGACATAGTGGGGATGTCATGTGGGACAGATGGTTCAAGGTATGAGTGACAACTCTGAAGAAGTGAAACTTTGAGAAGTCTTAGCATTCTTTGTTCCTTCACCAATGCAAGTGTCCAGAGCTAGACATAGGCTAAGTTTGACTCTAGGTTGTGATTTTTATGTTTTTTAATTTTTTTGAGAGGGAGCCTCGCTCTGTCGTCCAGGCTGGAGTGCAGTGGCGTGATCTTGGCTCACTGCAACCTCTGCCTCCTGGGTTCAAGTGATTCTCCTGCCTCAGCCTCCCAAGTAGCTGGGACTACAGGCTCATGCCATCACACCTGGCTAATTTTTGTATTTTTAGTAGGGATGGGGTTTCACCATGTTGGCCAGGCTGGTCTTGAACTCCTGGCCTCAAGTGTTCTGCCCACCTCAGCCTCCCAAAGTGCTGGGATTACAGGTGTGAGCCACTGCATGTGGCTATGGTTTTAATTTTTGATAAACATAGAAACCATGGATGGAAGAATCTGTGAGATGGTCCCTTGCATGTTTATCACAGGGGCTTTACAAAAGTTCTCTGATAGGGATGATGTCAAGATGACTTGAACACTGGAAATGAGGTTAAATTAGTACCTCAGGAATTAGCATTTTCTTTCAAATATTCAAAACACATTTTAAAAAGGGATCCAAGAAACTTTTTAAAGAATGGGGCATAAGCATGACTTCAACTAAATCATTCCACATAATGAGATACTTTCTTTGAAAGTAACAAGACACGCTTACATCAAGGTCTTGGAACATTGCTTTTCCTTCTATCTGGAATAATTTCTCCCAGTTCTTCACATAGTTCAGTTCCTCATTTAATTCATCTCTTTATTTAAATATCCCCTCCTCAAAGAGGTGTTCCCAACCACCCTGTCTAAAATAACATCCAACACACAGCACTTCTACTGTCTCCCCTTAAGCTGCTTTATTCACTTACTTATTTATTGTCTTTGCCTGTTAGTATAAGCTCCATGAGGATACAAACTACTCACTATTGATTACTCAAAACCCCTAGCTGCAATGAGGACAGAGTAGGCACTCACAAAGTACTTGATGAATGAATTAATAAAAATTTTTCTCTTTCTTGGGTGGTGCACATGTTTTCTTCAAGAGAAAGCGCTTCTGGTTACATTCACTGAGCAAGATTCTTTCCCTTTTCCATTGAATTGGTATCAGGAAGCTAGCACTCCTCAGAATTCACTGAGACAAACACCCTGGATGCCATTTGGGGGGCCCTGTCTAGCTACCTCTTCTGATATTTCTGTGTTTTCTAAAGCACAATATGCTGTTATACCATTCACATGGTCTGGCTCTAGACAACAGCTCTGTGTGAGACAGGCCTGAGTCTTTTCATGTTTGTATTCTTAGTCTGATATAGTCCAGAGCAACAGAAGACTGGAGGAGGAGGAAGATGCAGAATAGGCACGAAAGGAGTAGAAAAAACTAGAAGAGTAGGCTGGGCATGGTGGCTCACACCTGTAATCCCAGCACTTTGAGAGGCCAAGGTGGGAGGACCACCAGAGGTCAGGAGTTCAAGACCAGCCTGGCCAACATGGTGAAATCATGTCTCTACTAAAAATACAAAAATTAGCCTGGTACTGTGGTGCACTCCCGTAATCTCAGCTACTAAGTAGGCTGAGGTAGGAGAATCGCTTGAACCCAGGAGGTGGAGGTTGCAGCGAACTGAGATCACACCACTGCACTCCAGCCTGGGCAACAGAATGAGACTCCATCTCAAAAAAAAAAAAAAAAAAAAAAAAAAAAAAAAAAAAAAAAAAAAAAAATGAAAAATGGGAGTAATGGGAGATTGCAAGTAGATGCAGAAAACAAACATCCTCAAATTGCCTTTTTAAGCCCCTCACACCTGACAGTTCTATTTCTCTTATCTTTATTAGCATATTCTCCTATTAAATTGTCTATTCACTATTACCAATTTCTCACCTCCCATTCTTTCTTAAGCCTACTCTATTGAGGTTTTTGGCCTTAACATTTCACCTAAAATTATCTTTCAAAGCCATTGATCATCTCCATGTTGCAAAGCTCAATAATTAGTTCTCAGGCCTCACTGGACCTTCATTTCATCTTCATTGCTTCTTTAAACACTTTTTTACTTGGTCTCTGGGACACTTTAACTCCTTGTTTTCTTTCTACGTCTTCAGGCATGCCTTAGTTCATCTTACTAGATCACCAATTTTAGAGTTTGAAAAACTCTTGTTGGTTCAGTTCCCAGGCATCTTCTCCACTGAAGTAATCGCTTCCCATCTCACAGCATTTTTGTCACAGATCTCAAATTTAGGTCTCTATTGTGGACTTCCCCTCTTAACTCTAGATTTATACATCTAACTACCTGTTCAACTGCTTCACTTGGATATACTGTAGGCATTTCAAGCCTCACAAGTCTAAAATAGGGCTCTCGATCCCTACCCCATTCTTTAAATCTGCTCGTAACAACCATCACCATCCAATTAGTTGTTCACAACCTAAATATATACATCTCCTTCAACCTCTGCAGCCAAGTAATTAGCAAGCTCTATTGGCATTACGTTGGCAATATCATCAAATGCTTGTTGCCATCTCAGCTCCATTCGCCCTGTTTCTAAGCCATCTGGATCTGCCAATATAATGTAAGCAACACAAATAAAAGGACATCGTTTTTATTGGGCACAGATATTTGCCTAACGCTATATGGTTATTTGTTTACTCCCGTTCATCTCACCTAAATTCACAGGCAAGGTCTATTTTGTTCACCCCTAGGATCTAGAATAGTGCTTGACACCAGTAGGCACTGAACAGATATTTGTTGAATAAATAATAGAAGTAATGAGCAAGGAAGGACTAGTAATATTGTTACTAATATATTCACATAATTAGTGTAATAGTAACCATTATAATAATCATCACAGTAGCTAATGTTTATAGATTTAATCTATGATGGGTACCATGCTGAGCATTTGCATGCATTAGGTATCTTACTTGTTTCTCAAAAAAGCCTTCTAAGGAAGGAACTGGTTTTATTCCTGTAGTATAAACACAAAAATGGAAACTAGATTAGAGTAAGTGACCCACACATTTCTCTTTTTTTTTTTTTTTTCAGGTCATTACAAAGAAAAAGTGTTATTTCACGTAAGAGTTAACACCTTTTTAACTACTAGCGATTTGACCCATGCCACAAAGGGAAAGGATTTCTTGAGAAAACCCCAATATCTAAGGAAATGGCCCCAATTTGTTTATACTTGGAGCAGGGTAGAGATTAAGGGAACCGTGGACACCTACACTGGAGTTGTCACTCCTGGATCTATCTTGGTGGTGCCTTCAGATCGTGAAAAGTGAACTGTACAGTAAAGATGGGGTCAGCATGAGAGGAGGACCACCTTATAGGAGTTACCAGCCTAAGGCTGTCTGGTTCTTAGCTCAGGGGAAGACAGAACCTGAGAGTAGAAAGTAGTCTTCTAATTTTAGAATGTTTTCCTCCCCTGCATTTATTTAATTTTCCCATGGTGGTTAACAATAAATCCCTAAAAGACTGATTTAGTTCATTCATTTATTCCAGCAACAAATATTTGAGAACACACTGTGTCCCAGGCACTGTTCTAAGGACTGGCAGCGAAGTCCAAGACAAACAATACCTACCTTTAGCAAGTTTGCAATCAAACAGGATACGGATGCTGAGCATTACAAGGGAAATGATTATTCTGAAAGAGGAAGTATGGGGTGCTATGGGAACATATAACCAGGGACCTAATTAAATGGGAAAGGGACCATCCCAGATCCAGTACTTGCTCTCCCAGTTTACCTCCAATAGGTTCTTTTTAACTTGAACTAATCTTGTTTGGTGGGGTACACAGTGAGGAAAAAGAAGAGCTAGTGACAAAATCTAACTCCTTTCTCAGTCTTAAGCAAGGTGAAGGCAAGGGAGTAGAAGATATCAAGGGAGTCAGTGGTGGTAGCCACCAAAGGAAATAGCAAACTGAGGCCCTTAAAAAAGAAAGGAAACCTAAATCTATCCAGCAGGACCAGAGAGAGAGCACTGAGGGTGATCAGATGGAATCCCTGCATGCACTCTCCTGGCATTCTGAAAAGGAGCCAAAACAAGGACGAAACTGGGGTATCTAGTTAAGACCTCACAAATCACTCATCCATTCCTCTGACATGTTCATAAACTTTTTATAGTGGTTACAAACCAAAAGCTTGGTATTTCTTGGCACTTTTCCAATAACCTTTACCAGCTCACATTATCTGGGCTCCCACCCAGGCTACATAGCCTGGCTGTTAGTACTTCACAGAAGGAATATAGACTGGCCCAGGTTCAAGAGCTGTCCTTCTCATTTACCTACAGTGGGTTTTTAACTTTGAGCTCCCACATAGAGATGGGGCAGCCAAATATCAAGACCAAATCCCTCACTTCACCTACTCAACAAAATGACTCCCAAAATGTAAAGTTTGTGTGCCTTTAATGCTTCCTGATCCCTAAAAGCCCAACTTTTCCTCGAAGCTGGGCACCTGACCTTTAGCCAGATTTCTTAATCTTTTCATGCTTTTCATAATAGCATGGGTAATGCTTTTCATAATAGCAAATTCCACTAGATCTCTTAGAAACTCTAAAACCAAAGCTTAAGCACTTTAAATAAATAAGTCCTCATGTCACCACTGATTTTGAACTTTTAGTTTTTAAAATAAGGCTAGCTCAACTTTTGAGTCATTTTGAAAAGTAGGAGACGTCCTGGTTTAAAGGTACCAGACTAGACATGGGCTTCCTTACTACGTCCTGACACAGACAGATAGGCATCACTATTCAAGAGGACAGGGCGACCCACACATTTCTAATGTGAGTAGAGCTAGTATTTAAACCTAGGTATATCTGGCTTCCAATTTTGCTTACCAACCATTAGGAAATAGTCATATTCAGGTGTTCGATTGATGTTTGGAGAGATGATGAAAATGGAATGAAGAATGAAAGAGGGGGAAGGTGGGAAGCAGGAATAACAGGTATTGAACATCTATCCACCTCCTGCTAGCAATCTCTGTCTTTCTCCATAAAACATAGAATGAAGCTTGATCTCCCTCCCAGGCTCATCTCTTTCACTCTGGGGGAAAATAAGAATAAAGAAGTTAGTCTCACCCTTGTTCCCTATCTGATGAACTTAGTCCTTGCATGCTGCAAAAGCTAAATAAAGCAAATTGATCTTGAGCCAGGTAATATTCTTGCCCTTTAGAATACATATTTCACCTGAATCTTCGTGTTTTATTGTATTTCACGTTAACAGATCTTTAAAATTTAGGGGGAAAATACTCATTTTTCATCTCCCAATTCATTAAAATCAACATTTCTTTAATGTTTTGGTTCAAATTATGTCTCATCTCTCTATTTTAATCTTAATCTTTCTCACACACACATAACTAATCTATAAAAATCTACTTCATGTATTGGATACATAAAAGAAACCCTTTAATATATGGGCAGAATTAGTGTAAGCTTCAATTTTAAAACATAATTACATTAGGTCTTGCTTTAACAAGCTCAACAGAACTGACAACAAGAAAATCACTACTATTGCAATCTGAAACCTAGCATTAACATTATATACATTTATAATCTGTCATAAACTTGTAGCTAAACTACCTTTAAGGAATTAGGAAATACATGTTTCTCTACCAGGTTACTATAGCAGTTTGTCTCTAATATAACACAGCGTAGGCTAAAAGACTCTCTAGAGAGGTGAGATTTATAATAAAATTTAAATTAAAAAGGCAAGTAGATTTATGGACTGGAGATGCCAGAATTTTACTACATCAACAAATGTTTATTTAGTATTTAATATTTCCATGGGACTGTATTATAAGCTCTGATCAGCACCTGGACTGGGAGAGATGCCCGATAATGTTTAGTTCATCTTCCCTATTTTTAATATCTGTAGCTACTCTGAAGGAGTGCATAATCTTTCATATTACAACAGTGACAAAATTAAATGTGTGGCCATGGATATATGTATTAATGGCAGGAACACTACATGGAGTAGGGTGGGGAGACGGGGACATACTGGAGAAGCGTCACTAAGGGGAGGGTTTACCAGGCAACTGAGCTTCAGAGGGGATGTTCTAAGCAGAGGACACCGCTTGAGTAAAAGCCTATAGAGATGCAAAGTTTGTTGGGCAGGGACTGGCTTGTCCAGGAAAAATAAAAGACAAAGGAAAATAACTAAATGGCCAAACAGAAGCTGAGAGAGTGGGGAAGAGATTTAAAGCAGAGGTCTTCAATCTTCTTTCTCTGTGTTAGCCTACTTGTGGAAGTTTGTTTTATGACAGAATAGTAACCCTTACCTACGTTTGCATTTCAATTCTATCCTTTGCATTCTCTTACCTATTCATATCTCAGAAAAAATGAAGATGTGTGTTAAATAAGTCCTCTTCCTACAGTTTGCATTTTCCCAACTGAACAACAAACAGTAGACTCTATAAAGCTAGTTTTGCTAAAAGCTTTTCTTTCTGCAATGCTCTCCCACACAGTTTTTGAAAAGAGCTTTTATTAGACTGCATGGCAAGCACTACCAGGAGATTCTCATCCTTATCCCAGCGTGCGATGAGCCCCTGTCATTTTCCTTCTTAAGGAGTCCTGGCTCTCCTGGGCTTCAGCACAGATTGTTCGGCCACCTTATTAAATCCATGTGTGTGCAGGGAAGAATGCAGGAACAAGGCCTGTCTTCTGCCGCTTCTACATTTCAAGGAATGTTTGCCTACTGCCATTATCAAAAATCCACAGGGTGCTTGGAGGAATTTGGGGATTGTTAAAAAAAAAAAAAAATGAAATAGCATTTGTTTATACAAACTGTCCAGCACAAAGAAGCAAAAGCCATTCTTATCCTGTAAAAAACTCTTAACCATATCACAGATGTAAATCTTGGAAAATTACATTTTGTATCTTTTTAGAAAGCTAGTAGCTTGAACAGTCCTCTACGTGTATTTTAAGTTGTGATGGTTTCTTTTGAGGATCTAGTTAGAGGAAAAAGAAAAAAGAAGAAGGAAAAAAAAATCCCTTCATTTCAAATTTCAAAATTTCAACAGAACTACTTTAACTAGAAAAATTTATATCACTATTAATTTTTTTCTTTTTTTCCAAATGTGCACTACAAGAACAGAGAAGAAAATCTATTTTATCACATTTCATCCTGTGTGTTTATCATTTCTCCCTTGCTATTTACTCTTTGGGTATCAAGATTCTATGTTTATCCTGAAATATCTACAATAACCATCTTATGGAATCGTCAGTCAACTACCCCACATACCTATAGCCAATGGATGACCACATGATCAACTGCAGACAATGGGGTGCTTTCTTACTTGATGCTGAGTTTGGAGCCCAGAATTGAAGGCCTCCATGGAGTTGGAGCTGACTCATCCTTCTGGTGGTACCCTGAAGACACAGTCTGTCATCTTCTGCTGCTTGTGTCACTAGAGTAGCCTCTTTTCCCATCCAGTCCAAGCTTCTTGATTCCTTACATCTTCCTCAGTATTTTTTGCATTGCCTAATAATCTTTCAAAGAATTCTGATTTTTTTTTTTTCTGCTTAAGTATCCCACGTTGGTCTATCTCACTTGCACTTTTAGGGGAGAGGTTAATTCTCAAAAATGTTTTGAAAAAGTGATTTGAATATCCAATGAAGACTAAATAAACAAGTGAAAACAACAATGAAAAAAATTCACGTTGATTAAAAAGAACTTTCAAAATAACTAAAAATTTTGTTGTTGTGATGCATAGTACCAGTTCCTCCCTTCCGCAGCATAAGACAAGGTCATGATACAAAAGGGCAGGTCTTCATTATTTAACTGTGAACTAATCCATGCAGTTTACACTTAGGAGACTGACTTCAAGGCTGAAGTTGTTTTTTGTACACAGTCAACTGTAAACAAGTTTTTATGTTTTCATATAACAGATATGGGGATGCGTTCTCCCTGTGAAGGAAGTGAACACAAGCCAAGGAGCAAATAATAATTATCAGTCAAAAGCCGGTCAAAGTGAGAATCAGCTCAATAGAAGTGTCTTACGTTACTGATCCGGTTGCCACCCAAAGCCATTACTCTATCTAAGTGCAGTCATCTAAGGCTAAGCGAATTTGTTCGGAGAAAATAAGCTCCATCTAAACTTTACCCACATTGCATGAGGAAATGGAAACTTTTTGTTCAATAACATTAAGGGAATATTCCAGAAAATAGTGCAATATAAAGAAAACACATAAAGCAGTTGATTACTAGGACCATCCTCTCCTGACTGTACTTTGCCCCATGGCTTTCCCCCCATACTTAGCATCCTGTGATCGAGACTCTACTCTCATGATCTTTTTGTTTCATGACTAATACTTAGTCTCCTATGAGCACCTTCTGTCTGCTCTTCTGTCTTCTCACAACCTACACACTAGTTCCTCAAAGGTACACCCTAATATCATTGCTTTTAGAGTGTAATGATACTTGAGGATTGCCTATTTAAACAGGAGCTTGTTTGACAACTAATGCCAAATGTAAAATATTAATGCAATGGAATAATACTGTCCAGTGATTATGGACAATGTGGTTTAAGTGCTTGCTTTTAAGTCATCTAGGCAAAAGAGTAACAAGCAATATGAATAATTGGAAATAGACAAACTTGGAGCTACGCAAGGTCAAACTATTATTTGAAAGTCAGTCAATGCAGTGTGTTTGGGACGGCTACTATTACTGCCGGATATGTTTATCATCTGCTCCCCTTCAGCTTGACTGAGAGTGCTACTGCAATTAATGTGGAGCTTTGTAGAATTTTCTATAATCTCTTGAGAGATTTAACAGCAGGAATTCGTTTGCCAAATTAAAGGAAAACAGATCCCTTTGTGCAGGTCTCAAAGAGGCTGCATTTACACATATCAGGTTGTTCAAAATACAAAACAATTTAGGAAGCAGTTGAAGTCCAATAAATAGATATTTTGCAAGCAACCATTTATTAATTTAATGTTTCTTGGATTGGAGTATCTACTTGTTTTTCAGAACTCTCCATTTGACTAATTCCGATGCCCACTTTCATGCCTCTGTTTTAATGAATACTACATTTCTTGTGTGTGGGCACAGTTAAAGCCTACTCCTTTTTACTTGTGTATTCCAGGGGTGGGGGTGGAACAGTGGGGAGCCTTTGGTAAGGGCAACCAAAAAGGTAGCATTTTTTTACACTGTGACTACCCAACTTTTGGTTACAACACTAAAATTACATTGGGAAATATATCTTCCCTATTGTTTATGGCCTTGGAGAGATTCGAAATCAAGGTGTCCTATTTTCCCAAAAGCCAAACATAGGCAAGTGCCATGAGTCACTAGTTCACTTTCTCTGATGAGATACCGAAATTTGAGCACCATGATATGAGTGGAGGACGTATTGGATATGCCAGACTTCAGTAATGACACTAAGCATTTAAGTAAGTTTTACTACTCTGAAATTTTTAGCTACTCTAGATCTGGCTATCCTTGAAACTTTTTCTGGGTACTTTCCTCCAGTTCTATACACTAATCAATATCTTTCCAATATACATATAAAATTTTCCTACTGAAATTTATCTCTCTTGCTGACATCTATCAAAACCGATGAGATACAGAAGTAGGAATCTCTGAACATTTTTGTGAAGACTAGGAAGAGAAAGCTTCACCTTGAAGGCTGAATGCATCTTCCTTAAAAAGGGAAGACTAAACATTTTGCCCCTAAAGTTTATTGATTATAATGATATTATTACAAAAGTGTGGCTACTTCCCAATGTAAACTATCATAGAACAATAGTGCTCTTCCCCCTCAGCCAATTAACCAAGAAATTCCATGGCTCAATAAAATTCTCCATATTTGAGTCTCTACCCCTCTATGTAAAGATGAGCTATGTTTCCTTACACTGCATCTTTAACCTCTCTGCCAGAATCCCATCACCTTTTTCTCCTTAGCACATGCATCCTATGGCAGTCATTTCTACATAGGCAAGTAAAGAAAGAGTTCACTTCACCTTCAGATCTTTTCATACCCTCTCAAATTTATCAAGTGCAATGATGGCAGGCAGAAGAGATGAGGAGGAATCGCTGAGACATGATTTTTCACTATTTTCTCATCCAGCAAAAATACCTTGTCACTATCTATTTCTAGTCCCATGGCAAAAATGACAATCCATAGCCTGGGAGAAACCCATCCTTTGTAATTAGGAAGATAAACATCTGAGATTTGTCTGACCCAAGAAAGACTAGTTTTCTCCATTAATATGTGATGACTTTCCAACCCAGAGAAACAATATGGTAGTTCCCAGTGAGTTATTGGAGGCATTAGGGCCAGAACCCGATGTTCTTGGTTTAAAAGCCAGAAAGTTTTTTGGAATGGCTACCACATTGCTTGGAAGACAATTTTCCATCACATTAATTCAAGATTCACACAAGTTTTCAAAGCAATAGTATTTCTCTTGCAACATTCAAGTATTTAAACGCTATCAAGCAATTTTATTTTGGACTTTTAACATGCTTCTCTCTTCCTAGTATGTCATCCACAAACCACTTTAGGTCAGCTTTGTCTGGTTAACATCTACTTACCTTTGGGATTTAGTTAAGATCTACCTTCTTTCAGAATCTTTCCTTGTAGTATGCCCTAACCAGGCTGTGTTCATTACTCTAAATATGTAATTCTACTCTTTGAAAACAGAGGGGTTTTTTTTTGTCCTATTGTTGTTTCTACTAGAATTATTATTTATCATTATTACCCTGAAATAGTACCTGCTATAAAGAAGGTACTCTGAAATAGTACCTACCATTCAGATACATATTGCATAAGTACAAGTCATATCACCAGATTTCTTGTCCCTTTTTTCCCTCCTATAAAGTTAATTATAGCAGATCAATGATCACTTCAGAAAATTCAAATTAGAAAAACTTTCAACTGCTTTACTGTACCCACTACAACCTCAAAGACATAACCACTTGTATCATTAACACATTATTTTTAAATTCAACATGCATTTATTAAACCTAGTCTGTGTTGGGCACTGCTCTGGGTATCGAGTGTTGAAAGTCAAATGTAGCATACTGTCTAGCCTCGAGAATTTTACTCTCTAGTGAGAGAGGATAACTAGGCAGATGATTACAATGAAATACAACAAAGTCCATGATAGAGTTTAAATAGGGTGCTGTGGAACTCATAAAGAGACAACCCTGGTTATATTCATGAAGGTTGAAGGCAAACAACAGAAGTCAATTCTGTCTAGGTTAAGCAGAAAAATAATTTAAGTTATGAGGGATAATAAACAGAATCCCTCTGAAGGCCAGGGAAACAAAATCAGAAAATAAGCAGAAACAAAGGAGGCTCGGTGGTCAGAATCAAAGCCAAAAAAAAAAAAAAAAAAAAATCCACAGTACCAAGCTTACTGGGCAATGCTGCAGTTTCTTCTGAAAGAGGGAAGCTGGAGATTGTTCTACTGCACCCAGCTGATGCTGGATACCACATCTATCTGTGACAAGTGGTTTTTACTGCTACTGCTGTTACTGTCAACAAAATGGGTTTTCCATCGCCCCAGCCTTTTTTGTGTCCCTAGATCTTGTTTCATTCCTGATAGGTATGTCTGATTAGCCAAGACTGAATTAATGACTGTACCCTAGCTTCAAGGCAGGCTAGGAACATGAATATCTGACTGTTTTAGCTCTACAGCGATGCAAAAGCTTTTTCTTTCATCAGAACTTACACAATTAGTGATCCTCTATTAATTTATCAATGGAAATAGATGTAAGAATATTGTGATGTTAAAAAGATGAATGTATACATCACAATCCAAAAGAGGACCATGAATTCCAAAAGAGGAAGACTGAGTAAGAGAGAGCTTTCTCCAAGGTGTCATGTTTTGAAAAAATAAATTGAAGTTAGCTGGTAGTCCAGACAGAAAGCAGAGCCTCTGCAAAGGCAAAGAATATCCGCAAATCCACAGAAGGTTGAATAAGTGGGGTAAAGAGTATATGTATGGGGGCTCAAGGTAAATATGAAAAAGGATAAATATGGGAATGAGACTGGAGATTAAAGCAGATGTCAAGTCATGAAGGACCTTATGTTTCACGCTAAACATCTTTTACTTGATCCTCTGTGGAAGAGGAAACCAGAAACAGATACTGAAATGACTTTATTTATGTTTTAGAAAGATTATCTAAAAAGCTGAATGGATACTATATTGGAGGGATTATTCTGGAAGAATGGATAATGATAACTATAAATCAAGGTGAATTAAGTGGGTCTCAGAGGTCACTGTAATGATGGGGGAAGGGGACATACTCAAGAGGTGCTAACAAATGAAGCATGAGTTAAAAGCTGAAATGTTGTGCTAATCACTGAGGATCCCAAAACAAATGAAATGCAAGTCTTTCTTGAGGAACTTACAGTTTAGTTTTAAATGTACCTAAAGATAAATGACATTATAAGAATTTTGTGATTTTGTGTCTTAAAATTGAGTTCTCAAATGTTTAGTATCTATATTTAAGCTGGAACCACCAAACACCTCATTAGGAAAATAATCTACCTAGTTTTAAAATGTGTCAGAGTTTTCCATAATCACCATGACATAGACAGAAAGAAAAAAAAAACAGAATTCAATATAGATGGTGGTATTAGGAATTACAGCCTGGTTGCACCATACTGCTATCAGTTTTATATAGGAATGGTGAGAGGAAATAATGGTGTAAATTCAGAGTGAAAGCAACTGTACTAAACCACAGCAAGCAGATCTAGGATGTAGTATTTTATGGCCTTCTAGCAAAATTACATATCGTAAGGTGTTTCTCTACATGCTTCCTTTTTTCCTAAAGGGCAAAGGGGAAAAACACAATTCTTCCTTCTGTTAAGAAATAATGATTGACTGCTTTCTATGTACTAGGAATTATCTTAGATAATAGAAACACAGGAAAATGTCCTTGCCCTTATGGAGCTTAAAGTAAATTGGCAAAGACTAACAATGGGCAATGCACACCACAAGATAGAACATTGTATCTGTGAAGGAGAGAGGCACACAGTGCTCTGAAATCCCATAGTAGGAAAATCCATCTAGCTCTGGTTTTTGTTTGTATGTTTGTTTGTTTGTTTGTTGTTTGTTTTGAGACAGAGTCTTGCTCTGTCTCCCAGGCTAAAGTGCAGTGGTGCAATCTCGGCTCACTGCAACCTCCGCCTCCTGGGTTCAAGCAGTTCTCCCGCCTCAGCCTCGCCAGTAGCTGGGATTACAGGTGCATGCCACCATGCCAGGTTAATTTTTGTATTTTTAGTAGAGCTTGAGGTCTAAAAAACTGAAGGCTGAATAACAGTTAATAACAGTTAATCAAATCTTCCTCTAAGTATTTTAGGAAAAAAATATGCTAGGCTATGATAAAGTATTAATTAAAAATAAATTCTAGAGTTTATCTGAATAATAATAATTACTTTATAAGAACAATTGAAATACAACTATGTTAAGTGATCACTGTAAAATATCAAATGGATAGATCTTTTAGGTTTTGAGAAGTCGACATGTATGATGGTAGCATAGCAGTAACAGTTGTTACTATTTGTGCTATATTGTCAAGCAGTATTCATGAGATTTTCCTGGAAATAGTCTGATGGACTGTAAGAGTCATATATGTAGTCCTTAGTCTTATAGTGCTTGAATCAGATTTGGTTAAAAGGATCTGGAATTTATTAGTGCCACATGCTATCATAAACATTTACCTTGACCCTCACTTTGATAAAGGAGTTTTAAATGTCTAATTTAGGTCATTTTTGCTGACCTGAATTTTAAAGCACATAGAGAGTGGATTTTCTTTCCTTCCCTGCAATATTAAGAAATAAATTGCCTTTGTTGCTATTGCATGTGCATTCATTCAAATAAACAGGGCAATTTATGCAAATATAACTGTTTTACAAAACCTCATCGTCTGAGAAAATCATGTTACAGTTCTCTTTGAAAGTTCAACAAGGAAAAGTATCCACACATATTTAAATCTGCCGGACTCTACTTGAAAGAATAAGTATTGAGGTTGTCTTTGACAGTTTAGTGAAAATGTGCTTAGACTTCCATGTTTTAAACAATTACATGGCCTCTGTTAAAGGATGGCTTATTTTCTCTGACATCATTGTCTTGGTTCGTTCTATCAGTAAATAATGAAGAGGCGCTTATCGGTGCACTGTGACGGTGAGCATGGTGGAGATGCTTTAGGCTCTGGTTTATAAGTAGCCTCTGCCTCAGGATTTAAGTCTAAAGTAAATTTTGAAGCTAAAGCATTTTAAAAGGGTGAGGCCATTTATAGAGGAAAAGAATCACAACCTTCAAAGTCAAACTGTTCAGAAACAATGGAAGTAAATCCTTCCAACCTGCCAGCAGTACACTGAAACAATGCCATTGAGTCTATGCACCCCCCTCTCTCTTTCTTGCTCTCTCTCTCTCTCACACACACACACACACATATATGTATACACATACACATATTCTACATACATAGGACAATGCAAATAGCTCACTTCCTTTTCTTCATATCCATCTTACATCATGACAGCATGTTAATAAGAATAGAAACAGCTTAAAAAATAACCCTCTAGTTACAACTCAAGGCAGATAACATCTATTACTCAAGTTATTTTCAAAGTTTTCAGACTCAAACAGTAACTCTACTTATTTATAGGGAGCCATTGTGATTCAATGTAATCAGATATTGTTGGGTATTAAATGCTTCCCCATGCACCATCTTATACATTCTACCAATCTGGTGAAGCAGAAATCATTAATTTCATTCTTTCTATGAGGAAGTTTAGGCTTGAAAAGTTAAAGCATGTGTCAAAATTGTTAAAATAAGAGAGTGATGGAGTCCATCATTCAAATCCAGGTCTTTCTGACAGCATAACCAGTGTGCTTATTTATTTTTGTGCCATATCGCCTCACCTACCCATACACATTGGGTTTGTATCTTTTGTGAGGGTGACTTTTTCGAGCCTGCAGGTAAAGAAAAAAGTGAACACATAAAATTACCTTGGAGAATTCCCTAACCATGTATATGCCCAGAAATTCCAATAGATAAATTTTTCTTTTATTTTCTTATTGTTTTGGAATGAGAATATATGATTATTTCTTCAATTGAACATCAGAGGAAGGAGATGGATTCTTTTTAGAGGTCATGGGATGTGTGTCTTTAAATACCAGAATCACCTTTGCAGCAGCAAGATGCGCGCCTTATGAGAGGCCCACAGAAATAAAACTCACTGAATGAATTTCATGTTTTCTCTAGGCCATACCAAAACTGAGTAGACTTACTCCACACCATTTAAGCTAATAATCTTTCTTTCTTCCTTTCTTCTAATTGAAAAGAAGGGGTGTTTGCTAATCACATAAGTTCATGCAACTAAATCACTTGCACATGTGATATAGTTCCAATGCATTTTGTTATAAATACGTACCAGATACCATAATATGTATAAAAGAAGGATACTTATTAAATACTTATTATAAATACATGCCAAATACTATAATATGTATAAAAGAAGAATACTTATTAAATACTTATTATAAATACATGCCAAATACCATACTACTTATTATTAATACCTTGAAGAGGTATTAATTTTCAAGACATCACCTAAACATTCACTGTTTCCTTGCATTTCTGCAGCACCAGCTGGCTTTTTAGCTACTCCCGTCCTCAAGGGGAAAGGCTCTAGGATGGAAAGATTTCATCCAAAATGGCTGCCACTGACGGAATCCTTATTTTTTAGCTGGGGCTTTTCAATGTAGGATTGGCTAAAAATATGAGCTGGGGAGTTCAGATCATATTATAAGAGCATCTCCTTTTTGAAGAGTCATTATATATAATAGCAAACTCAGATATTAATGTTTTAAGTTTCCATCAAATGACACCAGGAATAAACAACCATGTGAAAGTCACCATTGACCTGTCTATAGAATATAGTTTTTTATAAAGACCCAGAGCAAACATTTATCTTGATCCCAAGGCAAGGAAAGCTGCACTTTACAGAATAATCAACATGATTTTGACCTCATGAACACTGTAAATCCTGTAACAGAATGGGCAGTGTTCTTCCTTTGCTTCATCCAGTTTAAAGTTCAGTGTTAAATTTGAGGCTCACTTTTAACAATGATATAGTGCAAACTGGCATCTGCCCTTTGTCTCTAAGCTTTATCTTACTATTTTACCCATATGTTCTTTTCATCTTATTTTATCTATTCAATTCTATCCTGAAATTTTTGATATGTTTCTAAGTCAGCCTCCAGCCTTAGTTTGATCAAGGCAGGATTCAGAAAAACAAAGAAAGAAAGAAAAACATAGTCATCAAAAATGATTAGATACCTCTTTGGGGATTTATGAAGTCAATAGTTAATGAGTCCTATAAATCACAGCCTGCCACAAGGCCAGAGTTAAGATTTCTTTCCTAATCAGAAAGTTTCTAACTGAATTGTAGCCTAAATTTTTCCTTTAGGAATGTAGCACCTGGGGCCATAGTAGAAAATGAGACAGACATGGTCTCCTATAGTCATGAAGATTAGATAGAAAAACAAACAAATAGGAAATTATACTAACCTGTGATAGGCGCTGTGGGAGAAGACACTAGAAGTTTAAGACCAAGCCAACAAAACAAAGGAAGTTTTTCCGAGTGTTGCATTTTAACCCAGAAATAGTGGTTAGAGCGAGACTTGACAATGATTAGAAGCTATTTAGTCAGCTTTGTTAAGTCAGAAGGAAGAGAATAAGAATCTCACAGATCTTCACAGATCTCCTGTGAAGTTTTGAAATTACAGCTAATGATGCAGTGAATTAAAAACATGAGATTTATAAACAAGTCCTAGTTTCTCTCTTCTAGCATCATCCGTATCCGGAAGCGCTTTATTTCTGAGTATATCTGTAGTCTGACCGTCAAATACTCAAAGCTGTATCTTCACAATTTATGACATCTTTCCTCATAACATGGAGCTCTCTTTCTATTGCTTTGCTTGTTTGTTTGCTTTTATGGTCAGTAAACTGTTCTGGTAAATAACACTTTAAATTGCATGAAATGCTTACAAACAACACTGAGCACCCATTTCAACATAAGAAGAGTGTGGGAATATCTAAGCATGCATATTGGTATGTATTTACCATATCCAATACATCCATATGGGGAAACCTGAATACTTATTGTCAGAATTTCTAAGTGTAAGAATTTTGTCTCATTTTTCAAAATCTGCCCACTGGAAGACAGCTGGCCAAACATTTGAACCCATTACTTCCAATCTGAGCTAAATAAACAAACGTAAGAGAATCCTCTCCAAGGGCTGCTGAAGAGAACTCTCTCAAAATAATCTCAAGTTTGAAAGACTGTTTGTCTAAATACATTCTACTGCCTGGATAATTTATTTAATTTTGTTTTGGCCAAGTCATTCAGAGGAATTCCAGGTATTCTTCAAATCAAAGTTGGCACAGTGATTGCATTCACGTAATTCTAAATTATTCTCTCCATTTTGGAGAGAGGCAGAGAGGAAGAGTCTTCATGGGGAGGTACATCCAGCCACATTTTCCCACGTTTTCATACACAGGCTAGAATCTATCCTATTACCCATTAGGCAGAAGTAAGATATTAACTTTAGTACATATTTTTTTTTCTTCATTTATTCTATTAGTACTCAAGGGATCTCAGTTTCACAACTTCAAAAATCTCTCCAAAAACAACAAAGTCATACAGATGAAGACATCACAGGTGTACTTCACAGGACTCTGGGAATGTAAGAGTCTGTAGTGTTTATTTAATGAAGTTTGAAGAGAACTCTACAAGCCACAGACGTTTGAAGAGAGCCAGCTTGATCAGAGCAATCTCATCCTACCTGCCTCTTTGGAAATCTGCGTGAAGGACTCCACACCTTTCTCTCCATAACTTCCTTCCGATGCGAGGGTAGACACATAATTCCAGCCTAGGGCCTTTACAATGTCTACCATGGCCTGGGCTTGGAAGGAATCGGGTGGCACCACGCGAGAGAAGAAGTCATAGCGCCGGTCATCACTTAGCTCGGGTGCCGTTGATGCATAACTAATCTGGGGGATCTGCAAAGACAAGAAAGCACCACGTGAGAGTGCACCGTCAGGATGTAAGAGACTCATTTATACTTATGACAGTTTACTTAAAATACAGGGTTTGAGCTGCAAAGGAGATACATGTTTTGCCAAACACCACCATGTAATTTTAGACCACCTAAATGCAACCATCTACTTCTTCGCAGCACAAAAGTATTGACTTCAGCGTCTTGCCTTTTTATTTCCTTGTCTTAGGAATAAGGGAAGGAGGTTAGCATGGGAATTCCAAGGTCAGGGTCATGGTTGTTTAGAAGAAAAAGATTTATGACCATTCTACCAAACATGGTGAATCATGCTTTACTACTTATAAACCAATAGAAATAAAAATACAACAACCTGGCTGGAGTGTATATAAAGATTGGTTTAGTTAGCACAGCTTGTGAATACTGGGTGGATATCATTAGCCATCTAACATCGATTGATTGTGGATAGTCTCCAAGGAAATAGCTAAGTAAGTCACAAGCATTATCTAATTTATTCTTCACAAGAACATTTTAAAGTAGCTCTGTAATACCCTTTGCCCCAGGGAAGAGAAATTCCCCACCCCCTTGGCATTTACTCTAGTGGTCTTTGCACATTGACAGGCTTTCCTCAAAATTTTCCAAATTCTCTTTTGGATTCTGGGAGAGAGCTGGCAGTACTGTCTGAGTGGAGGCCACAAGGGCCTCTGATTTCTATCTTTTCCCTTCAGGGAACCCTCTGACCTCTACCCCACATGGCATTCACCAAATGTCCTGAAGAGCTCTAGAACTTTTGCCTATAAGGATCATCTTAGGACTCCACAGGCCCCTTGAAAAAAAATCACATTATCTCCCTCATCTGCTGTAGTATTTATTTCTTAGCATCATTGGAAATTGGGCTATGTGAGTAGTCCTAACACATCTACTTTGCTAAATTAAATTATATACATGGAAAGAGCTGCAAAAAAATGTCTGCCTGGGATTTCAGGTAGCCTAAGGCCAGCCCTGAAGTAATCACAGATGAGAAATCTGGCTTAGTCCCTAACTTCAGAACTCCTATGCTAGTTACCTCTTCAAAGCACCGTAACATTTGTTCCCTTCTTTGTCTTGATTCTATCAAGCAATAGAAAATGAGTGATACAATTAATTTTCACGTAAGAATGATCAACTCTGACAAAATTCTGCTTACAAACTCTCCCAGGTCTTATCCCTGCTTTATCACAAAAGGTTTCTCGGGTGTCCAAAGGCCAGTTGATCTTTTCTCAGACCAAGCCCAAAAGTCCAGTGTAGCTCAAATATGGTAAAGCCACGCTCAAGTTGATTCCTCGAGCCCTGAAAACTCTACTCACTATTAACCCATTTATTTCCTTCCTTTGTAGTTTGCCTAAAGTATACCCATTTGCCATAGTTTAAGGCTAGTTATCGCCTCCGTAAAAATCATTTCTCCACCAACATTTCTAGGTCAGCATTAGAGTTAAGTCCTGTGGCCCTGAAATCAGACGACCCACCATTTTCCATGCAGCCTGTCCACGATGCACTTCTGCTCTATGACCATTGGAGGGCAGGCTTTCTGCCCCTGACTTAATTCAAAGCCAGTGTGAGAAAGCCTGCATGTCTCCTGATGGGTCCTTCTACCTGAGCAACTTGTCAATTATAGTGAGGTTTAATGCAAGTAAAATAGGATTTGGTATTGACAAGATGTAGGATCAGAGTCTGGCATTTCTGTTTGCTAGTGTTTAATTTGATGAAGCTATTTCACTTGAATGAGTTGGTTACATCACTAAGATCAAGTTCTGAGAAACAGGGAAAATGAATGTGCATTGCTTTGCACGATGCCTGGAACAGAGGAGTGCTTAATACATGGGAGTAATAATCATCGAAAATAAAGAATGGTATGTTTTTCCTTACTAAAGTTATCGATTCCCCACATTTGACTTTCAAGTCCTCTGCTGCACGTCATCACGAACATTCTCCACACTGTCCTATGGCAATAAAATGTTTTTACATATTCCTTTCATTACTGCTTTCAAAGTAATATGTACTGTTTATCCAACTCTTTATTTTGTACCAGTCATGTTCTAAAAGTTTTATATGCATTGCCTTATCTAATTGTCAGCAAATACTCTGAACCGGACTGTACAATATTACATTAGACTATATTATAGTATTATTAACTTGTTTTACAAGGGAGAAAATTGAGGCTTGGAAGAATATTACCTTGCCTCAGGTCACAAAGCTATAAACACTCACAAGTACGATGCTTTGCTGAATTATTACTAAAATATTTTTTAAATAAGCATTAAAAAGGAAGGCCAGTAGATTAATGGAATCCAGGCTGACTTCTGTTCACATCACTGACTACATAGCCACTAAAAGTTATTTTACTGGTCACTCTCAGACTGCTGTTCAAACACCTTATATAAGCGCCTCAGTAAAGCCCATACAAATATCTTTATAGAATGAGTTACCTACGTGTCGATTGTAGTTTGGAGATTATAAGTTTTAGGTAACAAAAATATCAACTGAATAAAGGCTTTGGACAGAAAAATAGAAGAGGGAGGAAAAGAGGGAGAAAGAGAGAGAGGCTTTCCCTCACAAGAAATGAAAAGGAAAGAAGCCAAACATGTCAATGCATTTCCATCAATTTCAACTTGTGGAAATGTAAAAGCTTCATGCTGTTGCGCAGATGCCTTTCCTGCCAAAATCCCTCTGTACCTTTGAAAGGGTGCTAATAAAGATACATCCAGCCCTCTCCTTGAATTTGCATTTATGTAGCTACTGTAAAACATCAGAATTGTGAAGTGCCCCAATGCAATGCATTTTCTACACCATGCCCCATATTTTAGTAATGAAAATCCTGAGGAAACAGATTTCTTTCCTCATTACTGTGCACCCTTTGAAAATGGTTACTATCTGTGGTCTATCCCTTCCGGTGTAAATAAGGAATATCTCCTGGCTTAAGACCCATATTTCTCTTTAGGATCATGTGTATACCCTCTATCCAATGGTACTTATTTTGACACTATGAATATAATGATGCAAGAATAAGGAATGAAAGACAAAAAGGATTTTATTCTGAGATAAAAATACGGC
This sequence comes from Homo sapiens, assembly GCF_000001405.40. Lineage (NCBI taxonomy): Eukaryota > Metazoa > Chordata > Mammalia > Primates > Hominidae > Homo > Homo sapiens. Next base: position 7,143,368 of record NC_000003.12, on the reverse strand, counting down.
TTTATAAGGATATCCCTTGTAGCAATAGAGGTGAAGGACTGGAAGAATTTATGTAACCTGTGAAAAATGATGTTGCTTATTGTCCTGGCTATTATGCTTCATGTTTAGTTACTTGCTTTCAAGTTAATGTTAAAGCCTACATAGTTATTATTTTGCGTGCTACTACTGGTACCTACAACTGATCAAATGATAATTAGGCATCTTTAGCAATTAACTTCCATTTTCACTCAAATATCTAGATATACTTTCTCTTGCTGCTATTGGACCTTTTCTCTCTTGCCAGTCTTCTTTGGAAATGGAGACTTGATCTTTTGATAAAGGCAATTTAGTGTGATAACACTGCAGCTATATAAAAAGAGAGATTCCATCTCTTCTTAGGCCTTTTTTCTTGAACTTAGAAAACTAAAATATTTTTAATCTGTATCACAGGACCATATTGTCATCTTATTATTCTTTTCTCCTCATAAAAATTTGGCTATTGCACAGGAATGGTTTTGTTAATGAGTTTCAAATAGGATTTAAAAACATCTATAACCTATTTAAAATAAGTGTATGCGTTTTAATGAAAATTAACAACATATGCTATTTATAAAAATGTAGAGAAACAAACACAAGAAAACAGGTTAATTTTAATACCTTGATCCCTGTCAACATTTTGTTGTACCTTCTTATTGCCTTTGTGTGTATATTTGGTTATGCACAGATACTGATATGGTTAGGCTTTGTATCCCCACCCAAATTGCATCAAGAACTATAATCTACATAATCCCCGTAATTTCCACATCTCCAGAGACCAAGTGGAGGCAATTGGATCATGAGAGCAGTTTCCCTCACCCTCTTCTTGTGATAGTGATTGAGTTCTCACAAGACCTGATGATTTTATAAGGCGCTCTTCCTCCTTTGCTTGTCACTTCTTCCTGCCGCCTTGTGAAGAAGGTGCCCTGCTTCCCCTTCGCCTTCCACCATGATTGTAAGTTTCCTGAGGCCTCCCCAGCCATGCTGAACTGTGAGTCAATTATAGCTCTTTCCTTTATAAGTTACCCAGTCTCAAGCAGTTCTTTATAGCAGTGTGAAAGCAGACTACTACACATATATAGTTATTAATTATTGCTATGAGCTTATAAATATTATTTATTATTAAAATATGGGTCTTAGTCTCCCCTTCCCTTCCTTCCATCCTCCCTTCTTTTCTCTCTTTCTTTCTGGTTGCATAATATTCTGCTGTATGAATATTTGACCTAACCTAAGCCTAACATTCATTGTTAAATATTTAAACCTTTTCAAGTTTTCACTGTCATTATAAGTCAAAACAAAATCCTCAGAGCTAATGCAAGCCTTTATACATACTCATGAGTATTTCCTCACAATAATGTTTAAGTCGCTCTACCTCAAAGTAACAAAAATATTTGAGGTTTACATTTAAATCTTTCCCTACATGGAAATTACTTTGGACTTTTAAATACAAAAGAACAGTAATCTATACTTTTTTCCTTCCAAATGGTTAACTACTTGATTTAGCACCATTTATTAATTAATAATTCTTTAATGACAGAAAAGAACATCTTTTGTTCTATATTAAATTCTTAAACATCCTTAGGTCTTCAGGGTGTATCTTCTACTATTTGATTTTTTTTTTCAAGTCTTGGGCCAGTGTTTTACTATTTTAGCTGTTATGAGCTTAGAGTATTTTGAGGCTATCTTAGTTGTAGCATACTCCCTCTTCATAGCTGTCCTTTTAAACATGATCATGGATAATCACGTTTTTAATTTTCCTTATTAGCCTTAGGATAATTATTTTTAGGTTAACAATAAAATTCCATTAAGATTTTAATGAGAATCATAGTATAGCTATAAATAAATTTGGGTAGAATTTAAATATTTACAACATTTTATCTTCCCGCATGGGAAATTATCTACTTTTATCTATTTGGTTGTTCATTCTTGCTCTTCCTAAAATCTTATAATTGTCTCCATGTAAACCTTGCACATTCCTTAACTTTGTTTCTAAATAATTATTTTCATTGCATTATGTATGAGACAAAATATTCATTTTGTTATCTCTTTATTGCTGCCATATAGGAATCTATTAATTTCTGTAGATTTTCTTTTTGTCTTCTACCCTTGTTATAATTCTTTTTAGTTGTAATAGCTTTTAGTTTATTTTCTTGGGATTTCCATGTAAGCAAGTTATAATGATTCAGTTAGTTTTCTAATTACTTCAGCTAGAGTTTCCAGAAAAACAAGAGTGATAATAGGAAAAATTCCTTTCCCTTTTGTTATTTCTGAACAGTGAGCAATTAAAAACCAACTAGTATCATTCTAATTTCTTATCTTGAAACAAATATATAGTTAAATTAAGAAGCTTATCTTTAAATTTTTATTTTGTCAATATAAAGTCTTAGCTAGAACTTGTAGGACATTTCTTTAGATTTAGAAGGACACTTTTAGAATTGAAAGGGAACTCCTAGATCATATGGCCCAAAGTCTCCCTCTCTATATAAGTTTATGACTTGCTTCAAAAATACCGTGGGGACCCTTACACAGTCTCTGTGTCACCATCTACCACCACATTTCTTGAAAGCATTTTCTTTATATTTGCTATTGATATAGGATGCTCTTATTTTTACTTGAGACACAGAACCGTACTTCCTCAGGATATCCAGGTAAAGCTATTCTATGAACAATAACAAAATAATGATAATATTATAAATTATAATTTAGTGTCTTCCCATGTGTGAAACATCATGCTAAGAGCTGTAATACATTATTTTATTTTAATCCTCACAACAGCACATTAACACAATTTCTGTTTTTACAAATAAAGAACCTATGACACAGAGAGATCAAGAACCACTTTGAAGGTTACGTATAAGTAAGTGGCAAATCTGGAATTCACTTTAAGCACATCTCTAAATCCTTTACTCGTAAGCCCTGTGCTACAATTCCCCTTTAAGAAAACATCATTCTGGTTAGAATGGCTTACAATTCATTTTTTTCCCTTCCTTTATAACATGTTTTTCCTCCTGCATTGTGTGATCCTGGTTAAGCCTTTCTCTCCCCTTACTTGGAATACTCAACCACTTCATGTTTTTTCTGACATACTACCTACCTTTAGTCTTATAACTTCTCACTCTCTCTCATGAGAAAGATGAGACATCCAAAACCTTTTATCACCTATTCAAGGGGGACCTTCTCTACACATCCTCACCAATGCTTCTTATATTTTGTCTTTTTGATTATAGCCACCATAACAGATGTGGGGCAATATCACATTGTGGTCTTGATTTGCATTTCCTTGCTGTTGTGCACCTTTCCATGTACCTGTTGGCCATTTGTAGGTCTCCTTTGAAGAAATGTATATTCAGATCTTTTCCCCATTTTTTAATTGAGTTGTTTTCCTGATTTTGATTTGTGTGAATTCTTTGTATATTTTGGATATTATCTCCTTATCAGATACTGGTTTCCAAATATTTTCTTGTATTTAGGTGTCTCTTTACATCATTGATTGTTTTCTTTGCTATACAGAAACTTTTTAGTTTGATGAAGCCTCATTTATTTATTTTTGCTTTTGTAGCCTGAGCTTTCAGTGTGATGTTCAAAAAAATCATTGCCAAGGCCAATATCAAGGAGTTTTTCTTTTCTAAACCTCTGCTGACTCATCACCTATGAAAGTATCTTTATAATCAGCTGTATCGACATATCACTCTAAACTATACATTGATCTAGAATCCTGTTTGGAGAAGAAAATGTATTTATTTCCTTGAAGATAATTTATTATAAGGTATTCCATTCTTTCAGAGAAAAGATCTATGCATGAATTCACGCTCTCATATGTGCAATACATTTCCAAACATCCAAGGTGTCTCCTCTACAAAATCAAAATTTCCCCTAGGCATTTTTTAAATCAGTACTTTTTAGAATGCTACAGACCTTTTTGCTTCTCTAACTAAATAACTTTAAGCAGTAATTAAAACTAAGTTTTTCATTTTTATATTGATGCTTCAGATTAATTTACAAATTCTGAATGCTGTGTGTTGCTGTGTTATGCTAGATGTTGTGATCATTCTAATATCATTGTAGAACCAACTATTTCCAGCATCTTTGAGGTGTTCAGTACCGTAAAAAGAAAATATGACAAAACGTCCAAATCTCTGTGGTGTTCTTTCTTTCTCTCTTTACCAATTAAGAAAATCAAATACCTATAGCCTTTAATCCTTTAAGAGGTTCATATAGTATCTATATAGTATAATATATAGTATATTATATTATAGAGTATAATATAGTACATTATATAATATTATATAATGTACTATATATTATAAAGTAGGATATATACTATATATAGTAATATAGAAAAACTAAAAAAATATAGTAAAGGTGAAATTTTGGTCAAACTTAACAGTAGTAGTTAATTATCTATAATGTGCCTACACTTGTCATTGTATGCCTTTAATATCTTTTTGGGTCTTAATGAGCAGCTAAGTCTAAATGTGTACAAACAACAGAACACATCTTAGGAATCTATTCTGCACTTCCTGTGATTTCTTTCACTGAATTTAATAAATGTCTCCATTGCTTTTATAAATGAAGGCTTACCATATAGATATATGGTAACATATATTTACAGTTTACTAATAATGTAATGTATATCTAAATTAATTTTCCTTTTGCTGATTTAAAGAAATTGTGAAAAAAAACTAAACTTTATGCCAGTATTTTTCAATCTTTAGTCATTTGCAAATGTGTCTGTTTTTTTCCCACATGCTGTAACACATTAATGAACACGACAATATATTCATACTACCAAATCCATTATTTATTTAATATTTTAACTTCTCACTCTTCTTTGCTTAAATAAAGTACAAAGAACCTTCTTTTCATGTCTACCAGTATGCCTATAAAGTGATTATGTATTTATTTTAATGTGAAAGAGGAATATGTAACTATTAGTATTATTCATGGTATCTTTGATATACAAAAACATTTTCTTCTGATCTACTTTATCTATAGAAGATCTACCACATCTATAGCTTCTTAGCTCTCAGTGATAAAAAGGGTCTAACGTCTTGTTGATTGGGCATATTGTCACCTACAGTTTATGATTATATATTTGCATAACTGATCTTTAAACATTTTAATGCATCTAGGATCTACTTAATATATATTATCTGTTATGGGCTAGGACTTTGATTTTGTTTTTTGTTTTTGAGTAGATAGCCAAGTGAATAGCCAGTGTTTTAAGAACAAAAAATATTTACTGGCATGTCATTATCACTTTTATGCATTTTTATATAAAATTATATCTATAGAAACACAGGAATATTTTTACTTCTACCACTACATAGATATTATCTCATGCACTTGGATGTCTTACGAAATTCACTATTAATGTATAAAATATTTACATTTACATTTCTTAAAGAAGCTCAGTCTTCTCTGATGTGTTGTCTTCAAGTTACTATGTTATTTCTCAGTTTGAATGAACTGACAGTAATTTGACTTATTAGCTAAAATGGCATGTATTTATTTCTCCAGGAGTCTATATGGCATTCACACTCCTTCTTAATGACGTTCCAATGAAGAGAAGACATTATGTGGGTTTTTCTGGTCCTGAATTGCACCACTCCAAATATTGGGCCACCACCACCTGCATGTCCATAATCCTCTCTGCTTTTTCTGCCTTTCACAGTTAGATGCCAAACTAATTCCACTTCTCTATGTGGGTCTCCAACTAGCTGTGAAAGCATCTCTCTCCCCCAAGTTTTTTTCTCAACTCAAATCTTCTCAATCTCTCCAATTATTTCTCTCAAGGCACTAGTCAGGTGACACTGATGACAAGACAGAAAACTCATTTCAAGTAATCAAGGTTTGAGAGCAATTCTCATGCCTCAAAATTATCATATAAATTTTATGTTGAAGTCAACTTTCCTGGCCATTGTTAAAAATAAACAAGCAAACAGGGAATAAAAACAGCAATAAAAATCATACTCTTTCAAGTCATCAGATGTAATTTTTCCCAAATTCAGATCTTACTTTCAAGATAGAAAAAAAGTGCCCAATTCTCGGTTTCTAATTTTACCTTTAAAATATTTATGCAAATTTATGGTTCTAAGAATTCCTGTAACTCTAGGAGAAACAATGCTAGGGGAAAAAACAATTTCAAGAATAGTTAAAATGGACACATAAATAACATATCATATACAACCTATATATACCTTTGAGACATAAATATTCATATCTCATCAATAAAATGTATTGTGGTGGTTGAATTATTTTGGTTGACTGAAAGAATGATCAAAAGTTAAGTTATATCCAATAAACAGCACACATTAATCACTAAAAGGTGCTCAAGGCTCTGCCCTAACCTCTACAATGTTTGCCCCAGAAAGCACAGTGAATTTAGAGGAAGGTCAATTGATGGGTTCTTCTGGAACATGGTAGTTTTCTTTGGTAACAAGTGCCACAGTTCTAATTAAACAATTATCTGTATCATTATCTGTTTATTCTTCTCCCCATTCCTTGAGAGTATTTACCCTTATGGAAGAAAAAGACCTTGCTCATCATTGTTTCCCCATTGGATACCACTCTATTGGGAACAGCATAGGAACGGATCAGTATTCATTGAAGAAATGGGCATGCCAGGAAATGGATAAAATGGAATAAGCTAAGAGAACAGATTTCTTTGACCTGCTCCTCATCCACAAAGTTGGTGTGGCCAGAGACACTCACAGTATTTGGGAGTTTTTCTTGTCCTGGGTAGGTCTCTGATGGGCTGCTTTAGGCTCCAGGGCAAATACTTTTTCTCACCTTTTCTTTTCCTCGGCATACTTTTTTGGGGAATGTAGGAGAAAGAAAGCTATCATTTGGATGGAAGATCAAAGGTAAAGAGACCAAGGAAGTCATTTAGGAAGCTGCTCACTCTGTTTTTGTTTTTTTTTCTTAGGCCTTAGTTCCTGACAACCTAGGCAACATAAACTATGATGCCTCAGGATTCAAACTTTGCCAGACATAACTAGGATTTGTCATTTTAAAGAGGCAGTTTCTGCCCTGCCTTTTCCTTAACTCCTCTCCCCTCAGGAACCAGGCTGCCAGGCCCACATAGCAAATACAGTGTTTATGGTCTTGGGTCCTCATTTTACTTGATGTTAACATTACTACTGCCAAGTTAAAATAGAAAAAAAAAATGAATAAAAATAATATATTAAATCCAGAGAAAATAATTATATGTCATTTCTAATAAAAAAAGAAATATTATGCATGTATGACGCACTTTCACTTTCTAAATGTTGACAAGATTGAGTCAAGTTTAATTTTATCCCATAATTATTACATAGTAAACTGCTACTAGGCAGAAGGATCTCCTAGGCTTGGAAACATACTCCCTTAGGCATCATCTTACTGTCAATAATTGTCACTGAAGACTCAAGTACAGATGTCTTCTAGAAAACATTAATAGAAATGTTTAAAAATCCAAATTTCCACCACTGCTCCACTGCAAGCTTAGTTCTCATAAAAATAAATTTCTAAATATTTACATAAAGGAAATTATTTTATTTATTCAGAACACAATGAAAGTTCTGAAATTGTTTCCATGCATGTTAACTTCCTCCCTTTTTGTATTATTCCTCTGTATATTATATTTTTTTCTCTATATTACATTCTTTCTCAGTATATTTTTTTATATTATATTCTTCCTCTCTTTATTGTATTCTGCTTTGTATTATAAACACATTGCCTGTAGCAAGGACAGTCACCTGAGGAGTATCTTACTTTTTGGAAGGCGAATGTGGTTCATTTGTTCCTGGGGGATTTGCATATGTGGGCAGTACAAAACTGCAATACAGAAAGGCAAAACAAAATTCACTAATGCTAGTTCTAGAGGGTAGTTTCCACAAAACTTGTAAAAGGCGAATTTTTGAAAGTATCATGTGCAATTAAGATAATGCTTCAGTGTACCTGTTGAGATATTAATGAACTCCCAGTGGGGCATTATTAAGTTCACAGTTAGTAGTAATTTCACTCTTAGTTCTTATTAAGCTTTATTGATATGGATCACCCAAAAGGGAAAATCATTGAAGAACCATTTCGGGCTTATTCTTTGAAACATCACTCCCTTTGATTTATACTTATCTCCTTTCTAGATATCATCTCTGCTCACATAGGATGGTTGGGCAGGAATTCTAATTTGGGGGTAATTTAATTTTTATTAATTTATTCCAAACTACTGAGAGATAACTAATAATCTTGAATTAGCTTAAAATCTGGAGTTATACACAACTTTAAATTACTCATGATGGAAGTTATCATCAATTATTGCAACTCTTTTTTCCTTCACTTTTCATCTCTCTAATTACATAACACCAAACACCTTCAGCATTCTGTGAGTGGTTTGTAACCATTTTCTTGAAATCCAAGTAGTTTTGTGTGTGGATCGCAAGTTATATTTGTTATAGCATATGTTTAAAATAATGCTTATTGCTTTACTAAATCTTTATATGTAGTGGGTATTGTTATATGTGGTATTTTATATGTACATATAATCTCATGTATTTTTGCAACAACCTGTTATAGGTGGAAATATTATTGTCATACTCACTGTTTGTGCCCATCTAGCATATGTGTACCTTTCTCTTGGTTACAGTTCCCAGATTTGCCTGAGGAACCACCTTTTCTCATCCCTGAATTCCTGCGGTTTAGGGAGACATGGCTGTACTTCAGAATCCAGATGCTGGTCCAAGTTGACCAATCAGAACACAGGATCCTTTTAGCTTCAAGAGAAGTAATATGGCCTGATCCAGACCAATATGAACAAGGAATTGCAATATCAAGGTGTGGTCAGAATTTCTAGATGAAAGGAACTTTTTTTAAAATAAAATATCTGAGAGGAAACCATATAAGTCTATGGTTACTGATGATGATGATGATGATGATGATGATGACGATGATGATGATTTTGCCAGGCGACAGTGGGGAAACCTAGTTATCTTACACACCTCATATTTTGAAAATATTAGGCTCAGGAATAGAGATAGACTATCACTTAGAACTTGTCTCATCCCATTTTTTTATGGAACATGGAAAATAAGGAAGAAGCTGCAAATTTTGTCTTATGGTTAATAGCTGCAAAAATAGCAGTAACATGCAGTTCTCATCAAGCTAGACAAACTCCTCAGGACTGTTTCTCTACCCAGAAAAATGACGCTAATCTTACGATCCCAAGACACATCACAGGGTTAAGATGAAATACCTACAAAATGAAAGTTGCACATTCCATGCTAATATACATTGCTATTTTGTCTGGTGCTATTTGCTTAAATAGACATCTTAGTTATAAGTATGGGAGGGGTTGCATGTGTGTGTGTGTAGTATGTAACGAGGCTTTCTGAGATCATCTGTAGATTAGAGAAATACTTTTTTCCATATTCCCACAGCATTCAATGACATAATACAATGAAGGCCTTTCCATCCCAACGTGGTATCCCAGAAACCATCAGCATACACTTACCTAGAGTAACAGAGAAAAGCAAAGGAGAAATATAATTTTTATGACCTCTCCGCCTCCTTCCTAATCTTAATTGTCTATGAACTCTTGCCGGTCAGTAACCTAGGATTAATCCCTATAGACAACCATATATTAGGAGACAAAAACTAAACAGAGTAAGATTTTTATTAATCCTTTTTATATTGATTAAATATGATCCTAGACTTCTTCCAGGCCTCAAGAGCCAGCATCTCATACATAGAAGTTTGGCTTACCAAACACTAAAGGTTGACTTTTGAGGTATTTTGCTAGCAATATAAATGTCAAATCTCTGTAGAGCAGGATTTCTCAAACTTGGTGATGTTGACATTTGGGCTAGGTAATGCTTTGTTGTGGGGGCCACAGGAGCCATCCAGGGCAATGTAGGCTCTGTGGCAGTACCCTGGCCTAGATGCCAGTAGCATATTCCCCAGTTGTCAAAACCAAATAGTTCTCCCAGCAATGCAAATTATCACCTCATGTGTGCGTGGTATTGGGGGTGGAGGAACATTGTCACAGTTGGGGACTACTGGGCCGGAGGTCTGTCTGTGCAAAAGGGGAATCTCAACCATCACTCTGTAGTCACAAAATGAAAATAAAAGAAAAAGCTATTTTTAACATTTCATATTCTCTCTCTGCTTTTCACATTTTGCTTTCTACTTGCCAAACTTTCCCCATTATCAGAGCTCCTTGTGTTTCCTAGCCACCTTCAATCATCTCGTGTCTCAGTAGAATGCACAATGACAACACAGCTGCAGTGCTGAGTCCGTTACATGGACACAGCCAGGAACTTCTTAAAGTGAAAAGATACTTTTCCAGGACAGAATGAAATTAAATCCACATGATTTTTTGAGAACCATCACCACTTGTATAAGTATGTTCTAGTAAAAAAAAAATCGATTATTCAGAAGGGTTGAAAATGGAGTGTTATGGTTTATTGAATAGTCAAGTAAACTACATGGTATGCTGTATGGCAATTCCAGTTTTCAACAAGTTAGTGAACAATAAAGTGCACTTAACAGAAATGCTATGGAACATGGTGAAATCTTCACTTAATGATTCCGAAGCCACTTTCAGCGTCAAGCAAGCCTTGGGCACATTCTCATTGTAAAAGACCACAGATGTAGATGTTTCAGAAGGTGAAATTAAATCTGTGTTGATCCTTTGATTTCCTGAAAGAGGCTTACTTGACAAAAAATTTTTATTTAGTTCTTTTATTCTTATAAAAGGAGGTAAGCTATGCTTTCTTTCTTTTTTCAACCTTTGATATGCCTCATAGTCTAAGAAAATGAGCATTTAGCGTTTCCTACTACCAAAAAAAGATTTATACGATTTCTGCATGGTAAATAATTCCTTACCATTTAATTCAGATAATACAATACCCCATCAGTAGCATATGACTTTTTTTCTTTTTAAAATTTGTATATTTGAGGCACTGCAGATATAGTAATTAATGAGGTAGGCCAGCTCTACGTATGCTTGTGGGTACCCAGGAATTATTTAAATAATGAATACATAACTCCATGAGCGTATTTATGTTTTGTTACATACCAAGTAAGGAATATAATATGTAGCTTGTACAAAGCATATTTGACCCATAATCCCTTCCCCCCAGAATGTGTATTTTAATTTTATATGGTTATTGTTTCTCAGTAACCATATTGTTGGGGGGGCACCAGTCTACATAAAACACTAAAAGGTCACTGAAGAAAGAACAACTCTTTAAAACTGGAAGTTTAGGAAACGTATGAGCAAGAGGTGTTGTTTAAGCTAATTGGGAGAGAGGAGGCAGATTTCCTTTAGCAAAAGAGCAAATGAAAGCCTTTCCCAATGAAGAGAAATGGTAAAAGCAAATTCAAAAAGTAATGAAGTAGGTGTCCTTTGAAGAAATGAGAGACACTTTCCTAGCTTGAGGGTAGAGTCCATTGTCCCACCTGATTTACAGCTGGAGAAAATGATGTGGCAAGGTGATAAAATAAACAAAATTGATCCCCGTCTAAATTTACTTTGTTTCTTCTCCTATTACAATAATTACTTTTCTGGACTAATAAAATACACAGAATAGCCTGGGTGCGGTGGCTCACGCCTGTAATCCCAGCATCCCAGCATGTTGGGAGGCCGAGACGGGTGGATCACGAGGTCAAGAGATCGAGTCCATCCTGGCCAACATGGTGAAACCCCATCTCTACTAAAAATACAAAAATTAACTGGGCATGGTGGCGTGCACCTGTAGTCCCCGCTACTCAGGAGGCCGAGGCAGGAGAATCACTTCAACATGAGAGGCAGAGGTTTCAGTGAGCCGAGATCGTGCCACTGAACTCCAACCTGGCAACAGAGTGAGACTCTAACTCAAAAATAAAAAATAAAATAAAATATACAGGATATTTATAACATATGTTACTGCACTCTTAGAAGGATAGATAAGAGATGCACAGACACCTCAACAGCTACTGAGACCCAAATACCTCTAACAGAATATCTAAGGGGCCCTTCCATGAGGATACCGGCATCACTCCCCAAGGATTCAAGTAGACGAAGTGTCATTGATTGTTTAACGAGGGCCCTGTGACAAAAGGTTTTCATGGTTCCATTTGACATTTGAAGCAGGTCACTCCCTGCTGTTAGAGGGAGTAAGAACTTTACTCACTTTGGTAATAAGAATCACTTCTGCCTACAGATCACAGATCTTGGTGGAAGAAGCAAAGCTGAGCATTTGCCTATTTTTTTTGTCAGTCCTTCCTAGCTCCTGGATGAATATATGAGAATAGAAAAGGGAAAATAAATAATAAAGCTTTTGGAAGGGAAAGTCTTAGCGTTAAATTCACAATGCTAGTGAAGTTTATTCAGGACTAATAAATCCTGATATAATTCCTTGCGCACGTGTGTGCGTGTGTGTGTGTGTGTGTGTGAGTGAGTGAAGAAATACCTCCTGTAAAATTTCCAAGGTATTTTCAGGCTGGAGTAGCCTGGTAGGTTCCCTTCATTGCACACTGTTGGAAATATTGATTTGTTCTAGAATCTAACATTTTCAATATTCCTTCCTACATCCAGAAACTGACTTTTGCTATCACATCACCTGCCACCATATCATCTTCCAATTACCATGACTGAAACTTTTTTGCATGTAATTGCATTTTAGGTTGACTGCTTCCTGGGGAGATTGAGGGAGAGAGAGAGAAGGTCATCAGTGCCAACACCACTAGCTGTATTTTAACAAGTTTGCTTCAGGGAAGATTTTGAGATAGAGCTACTAATCCTCTCCATGGGCCATTAATCCTTTTTTTTTTTCTTTTCTTTTTTTTTTTGAGACAAGAATCTCGCACTGTCACTGGGGTTGTAGTGCAATGGTGCGATCTCGGCTCCCTGCAACCTCCACCTCCCGGGTTTACATGACTCTCCTGCCTCAGCCTCTCAAGTACCTGGGATTACAGGTGCCTGCCACCACACCTGGCTAATTTTCTGTATTTTTAGTAGAGACAGGGTTTCACTATGTTGGCCAGACTGGTCTCAAACTCCTAACTTCGTGATTCGCCCACCTCGGTCTCCCAAAGTGCTGGCATTACAGGTGTGAGCCACCAGGCCCATCCCATAAGCCATGAATTCTTATTAAAGGTAAATCTCGACTGGACTTGGGAATTGTGTTCTCTTCCTGATCATAGCCTTTAGACTCAAGGTTATAAGGGACGTTTTAGTCAGGACAAGGTATCTCAACAGGTCAAAGATGGAATGTTAGTGCTAACCGAGTCAGATCTCTACTTTTATGGAAGAAAACAATGCTCAGAGAGGAAAAGTTATTTACCAAAAGCCACATGGCCATAGAGTTAATGAGAAACAATTCGAATCACATCTCTTGACTAGGTCGTGTAGTGATGTTTCCAAAAATCTATACTGCTCTGCTAAAGTGTTTAGTCCCTCTGTATATGTGATTTCAAAATTTTAAAGACTCATTTTGATGATTAAGCAATACCAATTATTTACCGGTTTGCTTGCAAAAATAGAAAATAAAAATAACAATTGCTTGAAAATATGTTTTTGTCTTTCTCACATAGTAAGTTGACAGGTAAAGAATTCAGAGCTGGTATGGAAGTTTCAGTCACCAAGGACCCAGGCTACTTCTGCAGCGCTGTCCTAGAATGTCAATTCCATTCTCAGTGTTGTTCATAGTTTCAGATGTCTGCTGAAGCTCCAGCACTCATGAACTCATCTCTCAAGCAGTAAGAAAGGGGATATGGAAAAAGACAAATGGGCAGTTGTTTTTGTTGGGTGAAGTCTTTCCATGTTACCTTCCCAGCTTGGCATACAACACTTGCACCTATATACCATTGTCCAAAATATTCTCATGAATCACACGTAGTTGCAAGAACTGATTTTTTAAAAATGTAATTTTTTAGCCAGTATATTGTCACCTCGAATCAAGCTTAGTTCTTCGACTAAGAAAGACTAAGGAATATAGAAGGAATGGACATTATCTGCCACAATCATGGACGGATAAGTGTTGATCATGTGCAGCTTTAGGCTAGAGAACTTGTAAACGGATAACGGCTGATCATTTATGTGTGGCTAAATCAATTTTTGAAGTATTTGTGTAGAAGGCAAAGAAGACAAAGTAAGTAGGCAATAATTCTCTAGTAGGATATCAATTGTTTGTTGATCACAGGTAGCAAATGATGTCAAAAATACAATTCCATTAGGGTCACCTACAATGACCCCAAATAGTGCTTCTGTTTCCATGAAAGCATCCCAGCTACTAAATTGGTGCACTCCTAACAGTACTGTCTTTATAACATACCAACTCTGCTATGAACATCCGTGAATGTGCACTAAACACGTTCAACTTTCTCCTACCAAAGACTCTCTTGAATTTTAACATGAGCAAGTTTAAGAATCTTTCAGAAAGCAACATTTTCTCCCAACTTCAGCTTAAAAGCAACTTTATGATAGTTTATTGAGGTTCCTGTGCTCTTTTCTGCCATAATGTTTCTCCATGGATTGGAAAGATAGCTCCCTTAACCTGCTCCAGTTTGGGCAATTAAGAAGTCTGGGTCAGGTGTGGTGGCTTACGCCTGCAATCCTAGCACTTTGGGAAGCGAAGGTGGGTGGATCACCTAAAATCAGGAGTTCAAGACCATCCTGGCCAACATGGCAAAACCCCATCTGTACTAAAATATGAAAAAATTAGCTGGGCGTGGTGGTGGGTACCTGTAATCCCAGCTACTTGAGAGGCTGAGGCAAGAGAATCGCTGAACCTGGGAGGCGGAGGTTGCAGTGAACACAGATCGCGCCACTGCACTCCAGCCTAGGTGACACAGCAAGACTCCATCTCAAAAAAAAAAAAAAAAACAAGGAAGTCTGATTTTTAAAATTTTTCTGTTACTAAGGGCAGAAAAGTACCTAGAGCTGTAAAACATAATCTCAAATAAGAACCCATGAGATTCTAGATGTCATCATGATCAGACCTTTCATCGTGAGGCAATGAATTAAGGGTATTAGGTGTCTGGTTTTCAGCAGTCAAACTTGAGTCATGTTTATATTCATGCATAGAAAATGAATAGGAAGAATAAAAATATAACTTCCCAGCTAAAATATCAAGCAAAATGATGAGATGCATTTTATTTTTTACAATGAATGGCTACACTCTGAAAAACAAGTGTAGGAATCAAATTTTAAATGGACTCTGGAAGATCAATACTTTATATCCACCAGTTTTTTAAAGTAAAGGGACCCACATAAATATTATTATAAGTATTATATATATTATGAGTAATCTATAATACATATATATTTAATTTTGAACTCTTCTAGTCTTTTACTGGCCATCTTTTACCTTTATCTCTCTAAAATTATAGTGTGTGTTTCCTACTCGAAATAATTCTATTTCCCCAGGCTGGCACTATTATGCCACAGAAAAGGTCTACTTTTCATTCTGATCTTAATCTATTACCAAAAGCAAGTCATTAAGCATATTAAAAAGCTTTGACTTCACATCTCACAGATAAGTCTCTTAAAATTTTCCAAATTTGAAAATCGATCATTGGGGTTAGGCTAACAGTATTGGAAGTAAAACAAACAAAAAAAGGCAAAATATCCCAAACCAGTTTCTTTTAGATTTGAAACCAATGCATTTGTACATGTCTCATTTATGGGTGTGTAGCATATACATAAAATTTACAATTATACTCCACACATTACTAACTACAAAAATATTATATATGTTATGTATAACTTTTAAAATGCACCTTCCCAGTTAGTATTAAGAGAAAAAATAAAACCAAAATGTTTATATATCCTAAGGATTATCCTAACTAGAAGCTTTGCTAAAGAATACTAACAGGGAGTAGAAAGCAGCTGCTTTGAATTTAGCAGATATTGCTAAACAGAAAAGTGGATGCTGAATTATTAACTCAAATTTATATAAGATACTGTCATTCAGGTTATTAGGGTTAGATGCTATCAATTATTTTCTTTGTAGTGGTGGGGAATCTATCCCCATTAACTCATCCGATCTTTTCTCTGCCCAGTCTGTTTCCTGAACACTTCATTGGAATCATCTTGCGGAAGATGTTAGAAATCAAAGAGAAGTAATCTCTCTTCTCTAGGTGTTTAGGGGAGAGAAAGGTGTGACGCTGTCAATATGGAGTAAATGTGGTTGCTGTCTAGAACTGTGAATGGAAGACTGTCTCTCCACATATATCCTTCCACCTTTCTGGAAGAAGAGTGTCAGATAATTTTTTACAACTGACATTACTTTTTAGTAGAATGAGCTGTTTTTAAGAAAGGCATCATTCCAGTTTGGGGATGTTTTCAGCTACTAGTCAAGAGCTCATGATTCTGGCCACTGGCCACCTTTGCATAATTTCCATAAAGTAGAACATTTAAATAATTGAAATTTACTCAACTTTTTAAAATAGATTTGTGTGCACCTTGTTCTCAATATCTCAGGGACATAGTGTCCAAATGATTTCTTAACAAATTTAGATCATTGGCTATGAGAAAGAATGGAGAAACATCACAGCAGTGAGCCAGGGAGATAGAGATATATGATGGGCCATGAAGAGATTAACAAAGTGAAAGAGGTAGAAGGAAAAGAGACTAAAGAAAAGGAAGGAGAAGCAGAGAGGAGGGGGCAACCTAAATGGTTTCTCACGACAACAACACATTTATCTTGAGATATTTAACTTTTTGTTAAAAAGAACACTTAAAATTCCCCATAATATGAGTGGTAGTAGCTAACTCAGTCCTTTCCCTCACCCCACATAGCCCAGGAAATAGTAAAAGCTCATACATCAAACAACAAAATGAGAAGCAAAATGCCTAGGCATTTCCAAGCATTATCAGTCATTCAACCACCGGTTCATACTCCCATGGAAGTTGACAAACCTTCGGGGTTTCATATGTCATATGTGACTAGGGTTTATTGAAGCATGCTTTCTGGAGCACGGCAATTAACACATTAGGGGGGATTTTCAATGTACTGCTCTATGCCTGAGTGCCACACATTTGACCTCTGTTGATCTACTTACAAGTCAGTGTTTCTGTGCAGAGTTATGGTAATAGATGGCATTTTCAGAAAAGTAATTTCAAATTTTAACAAAGTACCAGAGCAGCAGCCTATTTTGGGATAGAAATCACTGGCCTATTATTATTCAAGTTCACTTAAGGCCCTAGGCAGTTTGAACCACCTGAATAACCTTCCCAAATAGCCCATCTTTACAACCCACCAGGAACTTTGAGCTATTTCCAGTGTGATTTTCCCTGGCTCCCAGGCTGTCCTGATCCTGTTTGCTTTGCAGCAAGTAAAAAAGATTCTGATTTTCTATTCTTCTGTTTCCTGACACGGCAGAGAACAAATTATAATTAGGAAACCACCTGAGGGGAAGGTGACAATTCAGTTGTCAATTTTCACGGATAAATCCCATTTCTATCAACAGAAGCAAAGCAAGCCTCTCACCCTCAAAATAGACACTCAGGAGATGGTGTAGTTAGCTGGTTCACTGCCCTGAGAAGAAAAGCAGTTGCAAAGATGACAGCAACTACATCAGAAAATGTGAACAAAAAAGACAGCCCTCTCACTGTAAATATTTTTACTGCCAACAAGTCTCTAATATGGGTATAGAGTGATGTGAAACAGTCATTTTGCAAAATATCCCTTCTAAAGCTGATGAAAAGCTGTCACGTCACAATATGGAATGTAGCCCAACAGGGTACCCAGAGATAAATAAATGTAAGTGTTCAAAAGGTAGAAAATAAATAAATGTGCAGCTTGTTGTGAGAACGGATTAACTCAGAATGAATTAAGAAGACATCATAACCTTATCTTTAGTCATCTGGATGGCAAGCTCTAAAAATTTGTTATGCAAAGGGATTTTTTTAAATCTCAGATTATTTTTTCCCCAAACAAGCAATCTTGATCTTATGCATACTCTATGAAAGACATATGAGGGGAGTGGGATGAAACCAGAAATAAGGAAAATGTTCTAAGTTTTGTTTTTGAGACTCTTCTTGCTATGTTTCCCAAACTGGCCTCCATCTCTTAGGCTTAGGTGATCCTCCTGCCTCAGTCTATTGAGTGACTGGGATTAGCCTCCCTGTGCAGCTAATAAAAAACTATTAGGCCGGGCATGGTGGCTCACGCCTGTAATCCCAGCACTTAGGAGGCCAAGAGAGGCGGAACACTTGAGGTCAGGAGTTTGAGACCAGCCTGGCCAACAAGGCGAAACCCCATATCTACTAAAAATACAAAACTTAGGTGGGCATGGTGGTGGGTGCCTGTAGTCCCAGCTACTCAGGAGACTGAGGCAGGAGAATCACTTGAACCCAGGTGGCGGAGGTTGCAGTGAGCTGAGACCCGCGCCACTGCACTCCAGCCTGGGCGACAGAGTGAGACTCTGCCTCAAAAAGAAAAGAAACTATTAATCTTAGACTAGCATAGTAATATTTCAGATGCAAAAGGCAACATTAGATGAGTATGTGGGACTGGAACATGGCTATATTTCATTAATGTTTTAAATCATGAAATATAAGATATGAAATATGAATACAAGACATTATATTTCATGATATCCCTTTCTTGGGTCCATTTTCTTTCCCTTTACAAAAAGTTCTCATTGTGATGGGGAAAAAGCCCTGGATAGAAGTAGGTCTATTAATAAATGACTGAATCACCTCTCTGTTAATAAGAAAAAAGTATCATTGTTCTAATCTAAGAAATTTCTTAAAAAGCTAAATTTTGTGTCTATCCTGGCAAAATAATGAATCTTTTATCAATTATTAGGAAACTTTATATTCTGGGTTTGCCAGGTTCCAAATCTGGTTTTCAATCATCCCCACCACCTAAGTGATATTTTCTATATCACTCTGGATATCACTCCAGGTTGGAGCGCAATGGTGCGATCTCAGTTCACTGCAACCTCCGCCTCCCGGGTTGAAGCGATTCTCCTGCCTCAACTTCCTGAGAATCTGGGATTACAAGCGTGAGCCACCATGCCTGTCTAATTTTTGTATTTTTAGTAGCTCTACTCTGTGAGATAAAAGGACCCGCTCTATCAATATGTTTAAATCTAAGCATGCTATGCTCCACATTTGAACTTTCCTGAAACTGGAATGTTTCTTCAACTAAAGTATTTTCAGAATCAGGGAGTACCATTATTGGTCAGAATATAGAATTTCTGATTTAATGTCTTTTGCTTTGACTGTATCCTTAGGAAAAAAACAAACATAAAAATAAACATACCAGTTACAGTTCCATCAAAGATGATTCTGGATCACACCAAAGTCTAAGCAAGGTAAGGAATGTGAAGAAAGGGAAGAAAGAGACATAAAATTTCTAGACTAGAAAAAGGCACTAGATCAAGATAAAGGCAGGCTGGCAAGGGAATATAATTAGGCAAAGGACAAAATTTATTTTGAAAGGGGCAGAATTATATTGTTGTATATTCAAAATACAACTGAACACAATGGAGACCCCAAACTCAGGAGCGGAGAAGCAGCAGACCAAATTGATCTGCAGGTCAAGAAAGATTTTATCAATGAGGCAAAGTGAGAATTTCACACAAGCATATTTATATTGTTCTTTTAGAAGCATAGGCAAATCCAGGAAGCGTTGACCTCCAAGGCTGATGACAGAAATGTTTGAGAAGCCCCCATTGGAGTAAGCAGGGAGTGAGTGAGGAAGGTAATCTCTGATGTAGTGCATTCCTGAACAATGCATCCCACTTTTTTTTTTTCTTTTTTCTGAGACAGAGCTTCACTCTTGCCCAGGCTGGAGTACAGTGGGGCAATCTCAGTTCACTGCAACCTCCGCCTCCTGGGTTCAAGCGATTCTCCTGCCTCAACCTCCCAAATAGCTGGGATTACAAGCGCGAGCCACCACACCCATCTAATTTTTGTATTTTTAGTAGAGACGGGGTTTCACCACATTGGCCAGGTTGGTTTTGAACTCCTGACCTCAGGTGATCCACTCACCTCGGCCTCCCAAAGTGCTGGGATTATAGGCGTGAGCCACCATGCCTGGCCCCACTTTCTTAAAAAGAGTGCACAGAAGCCAGTCAGGATGGGTGGCCAATTGCAAGCCACCATTCTGGTACTCTGACCTCCCCATCATTGGTCACCCTCATCAAGGCAGCTTAAAGAACTGCAGAATGCATTTAAACATTCTCAACACACATTACTGTGAAAATAAATAGAAGTGAATTGTAATGGAGAAAGGAAGAAATGAAAGGAGCAGAAGATGGATACATTATTTGCATGAATCGTGCATTTACCACTGACATGTTCAAAGATGAAATGTTTCTGATTATAGTGATTCTAATTTACCAATTTCACTGTAAGTAAGGGTGCATAATTTTCATATGTGTCTCAACAGGGAAAAGGAGACCTTTTCAAAAATTCTCAGGAATGCTTGTTTTATAGCTGCAGGTTGTTCCCACCCTGATATTCAAGGTTAAATGGATTCCCCTCCCCACAATAAAGTGCCTGTTAAGAGCTTATTAGTTGCTTTCACCATTTGCTTTTTCTTAGACATAAAAGGGAACTATTCTTTTTGAAAAGTTATTTGTGTCTGATGGGAGGTATCTACCCCAACAGATGTTTGTTAAATAATATGTGCTAGATGCAGAAAATGTTCTTTTCCTATTTTCAACAATTTAAAATGTTAGCACTGAAATATCTTTTGCTAACAAGTATTATCAAAGTAGAATAAAGTTAGGTAATTACTGTGTAGGTAAGTCAGCCAAATTTTTCAGAGCATTTTACCACCATTTTTTGCAAAAGAAAGTCAACCTGGTAAAAGCTACAGTTTTATACAATTAGTTCATACCATTTGAAGAGCTAATCATATTAAAACACAGATAAAAATATTTTAATTAATTTTTAATATTTGTTTTAGTAGTCATTTTATCTTTCAGAATTAGGGTTTCTTAAAAAAATCTTTTTTTGACAACCTATAAATTTATTACATACAGTTCTCATTACATTTTCAATCATTATTTAATCTTCAAAATATATGTAATACATTCATTCTTAGGGCTTTTTACCTCTTTCATCATGACAAATAAATATAGGTTTGGGGCAAAATGCAGTAAATACATCAGGATGCCTGCCAAGATGTCTGCAAATAGGCTGCTACCAGCCACCTTTCCAGCCAGGCACAGCCACAACTACAGGTGAACAACTGCTTATCAAGCTTAGGTTTGGTCACTGTCTTAGTCTATTTTCTGCTGCTATAACAGAACACCACAGACTGGGTAATTTATAAAGAAAAGAGATTTTATTTGGTCCTTAGTTTTGGAGGCTGGAAAGTAACAGAGCACAGTGCCAGCATTTGGTCACGGCAACCCTTGGCAAAAGGATGGAAGGTGAAAGTGAGCATGTGAGACAGAGAGAGCATGAGGGGTGAACTCTCTTTTGTAATATGGTCTCATGATAACTAGCCCACTCCTTCCATAATGACTTTCACCCATTCACGAGAGCTCTGCTCTCATGGCCTAATCACCTCTTTTGAGGCCCCACCTTGCAATATGTTGCGTTGGGGATTAAGTTTCCAACACATGGATTTGGGGACCACATTCAAACCACAGCAGTCACTATGTATTGGCATTGTTTTCAGCTTTATCCATAAAACCCATCTCTGCTTCCTCATTGATATTTGCAGTATAGTAACCCCCAGTGGCTTTACATCTATAGATGTGTAATATATGTTCAGTTCTTCTTTGAGAATGAGTTAATCTTTCAATTAGACCAAGAGGGAGATAGAAAAGAATCTAAATTAGGAGGAAAGGGGGATAATGTTGAAGCTTTGGTTGTAAGAATCTACGGTGGAATTTGGTTCTTGAATACATTAGAATGGGGCATAGGTTTCAATGAAGCATAGATAACTCATAATAACTTCAATAATGTATTTATACATTCATTAACAAATTCATGTGGCATGTAAAGTACCATAAACACAACGCCTTACAATGAATAGAGGGGATGGATGGATGGATGGATGGATGGATGGATGGATGGATGGATGGATGAATAGATGGATGGGAGGATGGCTCAAAAAACATCTCAGAGAATCTAAAACCACAGCAAAAGTCAAATGGTTCTTCTTTCTATCAGTGAATATGGGACTAAAGGTCAATTAGTCACTTCTTTTTAATGGAATCTGCCGTAGGAGGATACATTGAGTTGTTGGACCAACTTTAAATGAGTGTTCCTGGCAGTCACAGAAAGTTCTCATGATAATACTCTTTCATCTATAGTTCAACAAACAATTATTGAAATCTATATATGTCAAGAATCCTGCTAGGGCCAGAGGCACCATGATGGATAAGGAGATTATTGACTGGATTTGGAGAAAGAAGTTAGAAGAAAAAAACCCCACAATAATAAAGTGTTGTAAGTGATGCGATACAGGTAAGTGTAGGATGCTAGTGGGGACATGTGTAAGCTGTGACAGAGCTTGGTGACAACTTAGGATTCCCTTTAACTTGAATTTCATAATTCCAACCCTTCTAACAAATAAAAACTATTCTCCAGAAAATTATAAAGTAAACTTGTTATGGTCTATGTGTAAAACTGTCTCCAGAGAGGCAGAAAGTTATGAGATTTTTAAAACTGTTACGGGTCAAACATTTTCTATCCAAGTAATTTAAGCATTTGTGATTGTTGTTGGTTTCACAAATGGCAAATGGCCTTTGATCCACATTTGTTATTTTAAATGATTGCATATTTAATGTAGAATATATTTTTGGCAATATATATAACTATATGCAGTAAAATTTGGGTATAATCTTGTATAATTTGCTCATGGAGCTGATTATTACATGGATCTCACTGTGTTCACAAGAAAGTATAAATGCCTGATACAAAATGTTTTTGTAGCTACCTAAGGGGATTATCATTTCTATAACAAGTTTATTGTTCAATCAATCCTTTAGAAAACATTAAAATTGATATTGGCAGTACTTATGATAGAGAGTGGGTACCCCAAATTTTTCCAGCTTCTCACTCCCTAAAAATATTATGTAAATTAAGGTAGAGTTTCACAATTACATCTAGTGTGGATTTGGGAGACAGATTTTAGATGTGACAAACTTTAGTCTCCTATACATCTCTCTTTTCCCGTTCTTGACTAATAGGTTTTTACTTTTGTTTTAGGCTTTCTGGTACATGAATATTTCAGTCACTGTGTAAACCAGCTTTTTGTAATACTCAGGATTACCTCCTTTTTCTAATTTTCCTCCTGAAGACAAATGTCTCAAATGTCTTCAGTTTTCTTAATATTCTGAGACTTTTTGTGCTTGTTTATTTTATCTCTCAATCTCCTAGGATTTATTTGTAGGACTGTGAGGAAAGAAAAAAGTCATCATCTGCTACATTAATGAAAGATTGCCATCTCTAGAAAACCTTACAAGGAAAAGCCATATTAAATCAAAGCAAGACAAATACCACGCAAACACATATTACAATGGGAGGAAATGAGCTATGTAAATCAGAAGCGCCCATAATTTTAAAATATGAGCTGAAGTCATCTTCTAAGATATTGACCTGATTTTGTTCTACGTTGAATAAACCTAATGCAAATTCATCTATAAAATAATCAACAGTGTTTGTGTATAGATGCCTAATTTCCAATTCTAACTGGAACAGAGGAAGAGCTCACAGAAACAATTAGGTTAATCCTTTAATATACAGGATTTGGCCTAACGTGAGTTACTACAAGGAAATATCCAGTCCTAGATTATGAATGTTAGAGCACATTTCAAATGATTCATTGAAAGTACTCACTTTATAGCTCAAACTTCAAATAGTGATGAAAAGTGTCGAGTAATGTATTTGAGAGTGTAATTGTTTTATGTTTGTTCTGCTGATGTTATCACAAGCACTTTGTAGAGTTTACAAAGTATATGGACTACGAATCTAGTCATGTGTGTGAAATCTCAAGAAGGCATCATGAACTGCAATGACCTAGCAAGAATAGATCATTGATACCCAGCACGTATACAATTTCCAGTAGAGCATGTTCAGTAAAATCATCATGCAATTTTTTTTCAAGGAATCAGTTTTGAAAGGGCCCAGGGAGGTAAAAAGAAATTACAGACAAAAACCCATCTCATAAAAATGTGAATGTATCATATGGGAAAACAATACTGAGGAACGTTTAATAAAATGTGGAAGCAAAAGCATACAGACTATTGGAATGCCAGAATAATCTGATTGGTCACAAACACGCACACTCATAGTTTCTAAAAAGGGGTAAAATGTATAAAGGACAGAAAAGAACTGAAAATTTAACTGATTTTTAAAATGAGAATTCTGTAGGAAATTTGTTGCTACGCTTTAAACCCAAGAAATTAGAATGCTCCTAGTTAATTAAAAGAGAGAAAATAGAGATTAATTATTATTTTAAGGCAAGTCAAGATATGCTTTATAAATGTCACACTTCCAAAATGTAAGTGTAACCACCTAAGTAGGACACAGTGTAAATGTGGAAAGATTTTGGAAGGTGAGGATATCGATGTTCTTGTGATTGGAAAAAACGAAACAAAATAAAACCTCATTCAGTGTTTTGATTCTCAGTATTTTCAGATCTAAAAAGACAAAAACATTCTGTAGGAAGTTTCCAGAGGCACTGGCTCATTGTCTTCCAAGATAACATCAAAACCATGTGAAAAGGGGTGATTTTTATCTCACTACTAGAAAGGAGGAATCAGATCAGTTTTTAATTACTTTCTTTGGCTCTTCTTTTTTTTTAGCAGAAATTGGAAAGATCGAGCCTCCAATTTTCAAATTAACCACATATAATGCTACTTTATGCTATATCAACAGCAAACTATTGTTTTCTGTAACTTTTTTTTAGAGGAAAGTTCAAAGGACATACTAGATTAAATTTTATTCTTTCTCTAAAAAGGATTTTAGATAATGGTGAAGTTTCTTATTTTTTATTCATTTTTTCCATTTATACTTACATATTTTGAGACTGGGTCTCATGCTGTTGCCCAAGCTGGAGGATGGTGGTATGACCACAGCTCACTATAGACTCGACCTCCCAGGCAAAAGGATCTTCCTACCTCAGCCTCCGGAGTAACTGGGACTACAGATGCATACAACCATGCCCAGCTAATTTTTATTTTTTATTTTTTGTAGAGACAGGGTCTCACTATGATACCCAGGCTGGTCTCTAGCTCCTGGGCTCAAGTGATCCTCCCACCTTGCCCTCCCAAAGTACTGGGATTTCTGGCATAAGCCACCATACCCAGCCTTCTTTTGGGTTTTTATAAATAATTATGCATAGGAAAACTATCTTTCCCTTTGACAGAAATTGTCCTTCTATTTTTGTAACTCACAGTAATAGTTAAGGAGTTTTTTGTACTCCATAAATAATTTTCTACAAGGCCCCCACCCCCAGAACTTGATAAAAGATAAACCAAAATGGTCCTATAGTTCTTCAGATGGCAAGAAACTGGGATTCTCATTTTATGAAGAAAACAAGGGAAGCATTCATTGCTGAGGAACTTCTATGAGCCTGGAATTTTGAGAAACATCATTTAATCTTTACCACAAATGTGTAAACAGTTACTACTGCCACATCTTACAATGATGACACGGAGGCCTCGATTGACTAAGGATTTGCTCAACTTCACATGGCCCATAAGGGTAGCATTCCAGATTTTAAATGAGGCTTTTTATCTGAACTGTCGTGTTCTTCCGTCTTTGCACTCTGAGATAACTGAATAACTGACTGGGAGAGCATGAGGATAACTGATGGTAGGCATTGGACTCAAGTGCAAGTCTTCTGATACCCAGGAGGGCCCCAGAGTCAGGGGATAGCTTAGACCACTTGATGCAGGAATCCAATGTCCCCTTCCAACTGGAGCACGTTCTACAAGGAAAAGATGATCGCTTAAGTGATCCACAGTTTCAGAGATACACGTGGGTTAGTCTATGGGTTCCAAGGGAAAGAACAAAGGTGAAAGTCTTGGTTTAGAATGTTGTGGAGGCCAAGGGCCTACTTAGGCAAGACCTGTATTATTTGCTCTTTTCAGATTCTTCAGAAAAGAAAGGGAAAGGAAAAAGATTGGGTATCTTGAATTGGACTTTTTTTCTTCAACATCTGACTCATGAGGTGGTGGGAATCTTAGTGCCAGGACACAACACAGCACCAGATTAAACGGCCTGGCTCTTTTCTTTACAAGGCTGCCACTGCGGGGTTTCCCATCTCCTCCACTCTTTGAGGACTGGAGTTTATTTCTCTGTGTATTCCTGGAGCTAACCCCTTTACTTGGCGTGTGATGAAGTCAGTGCTTAACCCCAACACTTCCCAATCTACTCCTAATACTTTCATACACTTTCACCTTTAAAGCACAAAATCAAATTGCCTGAGTCAAAATTTTATTCCCTAACTTGATTTTAAGCTCTAATTTTATACATTAAGTGGTCAAATATTGCCAAGTAGAGCAAAGGATTCATTTCCTCAATCTATAGCAATTGAAACTTGAACACTGAGAGAGAACTCATTTAATGCCTGATCCCTTTCTCAAAACACACTAAAAAATATGAGTATTAAGCTGTGTGGATGAAGTTATTTTGCAACAAAATAAACCTCAAAATTTTTTAAAGGAAGAAATAAAATAGAGCAACATCTAAAAAGGGAAGGTTTAGATTTTGAGCAAAATCTTCATAGTACGATAACTATGGGAGAATTATTTTTTCATGGTACCACTCCAGTAATTTATTTTGCTTGGTACAGAACCTGTTGCCTTCTTATAACAGTAAAGTAATCATATGGGTTTTTTCTTTTACAAATATAATAACAGTACACTTTTTAAATAAGGGCATAAGTAGAGACAGACAGTATGTGACTGTGGTGAGGGACTGAAGCCCCAGAGGCAAAACACTTGGATGAAAATGTGTGACTTTCCCACTGATCAGCCAGATTTCTCTGGGCCTCAGTTTCCTCATCTGTGGGCATAATGACAGATGGTTTTATATATTCAATATGCAAATAGAAGTGTCTACAATGGTGCTTGGAAATAATGAACTTGGATCCATATAGCTGCACCTCAGTTGTTATAATTCACGATTTTCAACTTATGGTAAAACCAGTAATGCCTGGAGAGAAATGGCATTAGACAATTGTTTCTGTGGTCACTAAGCCTAATAACTACCAACTCTCAAAGGAAGAAATTATTTTTGCCACCATCACCAGACTCTGTTGGTACAGTCTGAGTATTTCCGTCCAACACAACAGGTATGCACCCCTGAAATATGCTGATAATGAATCCAGGAAAACAAACCTCCCAATTTAGAGCATCTTCCCTGTAAAGTTTGCAGTTTTATTGCCAGGGTCTTTGCATAAGAGCCCTCTGGAAGAATCTAAGGTTTGAGAGTGGCAGTAATGAGACATCTGAAAGGCAATGTCTATAAAAGGTAATTTTCTGATCCTTGTTTTGTACCCAAATGCAGTACTGCCAGGTTGTTGATTTGTGAAACCTAGACTGTTCCAGGAGGATGAAAGATTCATTTCAAC
Source organism: Homo sapiens (assembly GCF_000001405.40). Taxonomy (NCBI): domain Eukaryota; kingdom Metazoa; phylum Chordata; class Mammalia; order Primates; family Hominidae; genus Homo; species Homo sapiens. The sequence goes on along the minus strand of NC_000003.12, from coordinate 7,115,835 downwards.
CCTCTGACACATATATGCTTATTGATTCAGGCTCTCTCTTACTAAACCTTCTATTTGTACAGAATAATCAGGAATTAATCTGGAATAATGTGTCGCCTTCCCTTCTAGGCCCTCTCCATGATTAGTGAGGGCAGGCGTCATTTAATTAGATGATCTGAGTGACACCATTACAGCTACCTGTCCTGAATGACTTCCCATAGAAGTCTCCAGGGAAGAGTAACATTTATAATAGATTAGCCCTTCCCTTGATTTAGAAAGCAGAGATGGAGTTATCATCCACCAGCCTTTTATAGACCTTAACTTGAGAAAAAGGCTCTTGTCAATATTCCTATAGCATCTATCTATATATCTATCTCATTGGCAGGAGCAGCAAGGAGATACTGGCACTCACAGCAACACAGGAAAAGGGGGATTTGAGAAAGAAATTAGCACGCTCAGAGCACCTAGGATTTTTTCAGGTGCTTGACATATGTTATTTTGCATCTTCCTGGGACAACTTCAGCAAGTCTGTTATCACTAGCAAAGAGAAGCTAAGAAAATTGCACACAGAAGCAGAGTGACTTTAAGCAGATGGAGAACCAACATTGTCCTAAAGTTTGTACTTATTAAAATATAGCATTATGGTTCAGATCATGTGCTCTGGAATCTAAAATCATTAGATTTAAGTCATCTCTTACCCAAGTATTTAGCCATCTGACCTTAGATAAGTGGCATAGTTTCTCTGTGACTTAGAATACATATCTATGGATTGAAGTGAAAAGACTGAATCACAGAATAGCAAAAATGACACATGAAAATCATCTTCATTCAGTGATTGGCACACAGCAAGTTTTTGTCAAATAGTGCCTTTCACTACCTCATCCGAGCTCCTTCTCATGAGGGCCATTTGCAGAGGAGCAAGGGGTGATAGCATGCCATGCTGCCACCAGGAGAGGGCAAAACATGGGGTGGGCAGCAGTGATGATCTCCAATTGTTCCTGAGATCAGCGATGAAAGGAAAACACCACGAAACTGGTCATTAGAAACTGGAAAAACTTGGTCCAAACCTGTTTCTGACTTTTACCCCAGACCTGCTATGTTATACTCCCAATTTATTCTAATTAGCTATGTACTCCAGGCTTTCCAAAAGTGCAGCGTTTGGATAGTGCCAAGAAACACAAGTTCTGTGGTGATTTCAACAGAACCAGGTACGCAGAGGAAAAAAGTTTTCTCAATTGGACCTGTGCGTTTATTTCAAAGCAGCAGATTAATTAGCTTTATTGATCCTTTTTGTGGCTGTATTAGAGGAAAGAGGAGACTGCATTTTCCAGATGTGCATGTTTAATCCTTAGTAAATTTTATGTATTAAAAAATGTATTCTGTTGTTTTAGAACAAAGCCCCTCAGTTTATCAGGGGGTCACCAGATGTGAATGTATAAACCAGAGTTAAATAATTGGAGAATAGATTTAGTAGAAAGTTGACTGTATTTTATAATGATTATTATTTTTAACAAAGTAGGTTTTGAAGTAAGGTATGTGAAGGGACTGAGCATCTTCAGAATGGGTTGCATTTGTGTAATAACCTCATTGCTCATTAAACCATTACAATGTTAAGTAGCCTGACAGCAAGTTCCACTTCTAGTAAGTATGTGCTATTGTTCATATCTGCACTAGAGTAAACCAAGGATTATAAAAGTCATTGAACTTACACGTTTTCCCCAAAATGTTAAGCTTTATCTCCATTAAGTCACACATCTTTACTTGCCATGACACAGCTGATTTTAAAAATTTCAGTATCTATTATCTGAGAGGCAATATGCATAGTAGCTGTATTTAGGGCAATTGAAATCAGATAAATATCTGTTCAAAATCTAACTCTGTCATTGAAGTCCCGTGTCATCTTTGAAAACTTACTTAATCTACAAAATGAGATAATTTATAGAGATGTTACCACTAAAAATAATACAAGTAAATCACTTGTCAGTATACCAGACGCAAACTAAATACTCAAATGACAATTGCTATTTTCACTTCGGCCATAGAAAACCATACCGTTGAGGGTTTGCACCAGAATTCTGGTGATGGCTCATGAGTTGGGAGTGGAGACAGATACCATATTTCATCACATCTTATACCATCTACTAATAAGATGCACCATTATTTAATATGCCATGAAGAACAACAATGACAAAATACAAAAATAAAAAACACTGCAAATATAAATTTGTCCAAAGCCATAGAATGGGCAACACCAAGAGTGAACCCTAAAATAAACTTATGAACTCTGGGTGATGGTGATGTGTCATTGTAAGTTCATCAAGAGTCATGCCTGTAATCCCAGCACTTTGGGATGCTCAGGCAAGAGAATTAATTGAGCCTTGGAGTTGGAGACCAGCCTGGGCAATATGTTGAAATATTATTTCTAGATAAAATAATACATTGGAACAAATGTACCACTGAGGTGCAGGATGTAGATAAGGAACGAGGCTGTGTATTTGTTGAAGCAGGGGAAATATGAGAATTCTCTGTACTTTCTGCTCAATTTTTCTGTGAATCTATACCTGCTCTAAAACAAAGTATTAATAAAAATAAAATAAAGTCACTATAATTAAACTATGACAATGCATTCTTACCACTTAGAATTGTTTCGTACATATTTTTTAATTTTTTTCACGTATTTTGAAAGAAACATTTCAAGTACACAATGATTTTTAAGTGTGTTTTATAGTGTTAAAAAAAAGCAGTAATGGTATTACTAAAAGTTCATCAGGACCCAGCTCTTCTCAATCACTTTTTTTCCCTTGGAATCATCAGTCTATGTTTCATTACTTTTCCTACAGAGTTTTCATCTAAGCTCATTTTGAAAAGTTTGATGCTAGTGCTGTCTAACCTGAACCAACTCAGTTTTGTTTCTTTCTCTATGGAGTCACAGGCTGCTGAAAGGGAAGGAGCTTCTGTTCAAAGTTAACAGGAAGTGGTAGTCCTATTGTTTGATGTGTGGCCAATACACCTGCTGAATCAGTCATACCAGTCACTCATGACCTTGAAATTCCTTTCTTCTATTCTGAGGGATAGGAAAATTTCTCCTGAAGCTGGTAGCACAGCTTGGCACATGGCATCAATACATTTACCACTAGTCATGCACATGGCTTAATTGAAGTGATGACAGTCATGGCCATGATGGAGCACAAGCCAAGTGAGGACAAAAACAACCGAGTGGGGGCTGCCACACACCAGGCTGATGGCACACCAGGCTGATCAGCATCCATTGCAAGATAATTCTCAAAGTCAGAGATATAAAAATGTGAAGCAAATGCATTTTAAGAATCATAAGGCCAGGTGCAGTGGCTCATGCCTGTAATCCCAGCACTTTGGGAGGCCGAAGCAGGCAGATCACAAGGTCAGGAGATCGAGACCATCCTGGCTAACATGGTGAAACCCCATCTCTACTAAAAATACAAAAAATTAAAGAAGCATGGTAGCACATGCCTGTAGTCCCAGCTACTCAGGAGGCTGAGGCAGGAGAATCGCTTGAACCTGGGAGGTAGAGGTTGTAGTGAGCTGAGATCGTGCCACTGCACTCCAGCCTGGGTGACAGAGTGAGACTCTGTCTCAAAAAAAAAAAAATCATAAAATATGAAAACTCAATAGACTAATTATTAAGGAAAAACATACCCTCTCTCATAAAAATAGCTAACCAGGTCCCTTCTGCTAGGAATTCATGAATTCACTGCATAACCCCTGCTTTCTTTGAGAGGTGATCTTTGCCACATGCAGTGTTAACAGCTCTGAAAAATCTCCTGCCTTTTACACTTCTGCCAACTTAAATTCCAACTTCATCAATTATTGCCTTTTGCCAAAATAATGGGCAGCTAAGGAATACAGTTTTCATAGATAGTCAATCTCAGGCTTAATTTTAAAAGGCCCTGAAACGGGACTCTCTGAGGGTGGGGGGGTGCTGGTAATATGTTCTTCTTCTTGATTCAGATGTTGGTTACATAGGTATGTTCACTTTGGAGAAAAAGAAATGAGGCTATGTACAAATCTTAAGTTTACATAGAAATGATTTTTTCCCAAAATGAAGACAACCAGGTAGCTAAGCTGTGATACATGTACTTTACTGCATGCATACTATAGAATTCAATTAATAGTTAAAAATAAAATGTGAAGAAAATGCAGTTGAAAACAAACGGCAATAATCAAATAATGAGTCTATCCAATTATCCTATGTTTTAATCATAGATTGAGTCACAGCTCAAGTTATTCTTTCAGCTGAACCTCTGCTCCTCAGAAACAGTCAGTTGGAGGCAAGACCATCTCTTAACGACTCATGCTAGAAATGGGTTCCTGATGCTTTCTTCCATTCTCCTGCCTCTTTATAATTTGAATCAAATACTAAGACTTACTGATTTTACTTCCTAAATGCTTCTTGACTTGGTCCTCTTACATGTAACATACTCCTAGTACCAGGCCCTCACAAATCCTTATCTGGACCTCTGCAATATACCATTAAGAACAATGCTGGCCTCTAGCCATGCCTACTTTCAATTCATTTTTTCACCATGTATATCCTAAAGTAACCAATTCAAATGCATGTGAGGCCATGTGTCATCCTGCTTAACATCCTAATTTAGGAATCCATCCTCGTGGCAGGCTCTGCACCTGAGTATGGACATACCAGCACCTTCCGTGAGGGGCTATGATCAACCCCTGCAGCCTATCTCTCATCACTTCCTGCTTCAGGGTTTAAACTCTGACACCTGTTATTGACCCCACATCAGTCAATTTCTCCATTCTGTGTCTCTGTCCAAGTTGTTTTAATGACTTGAAACACAGCTCTTTCCCTTGTTCTATGCCATCTCTCCTTCCCCTCCACCCATTCTGTCTTCCCCTGGCTCACAACCTGTACTTCAACTTGTATCTCAGACATCATCTTCTGAAACAATCTTTCCAGGACTCCCTGCATACATGCTGTGTTGAATGTTCCTCATCTGTGTTCATCTGCTTGGTATACACACCTCCACTGCAGATCTTGTCAAACCTTGATGTTGCTAATTTACACATTCTTCTCCCCTCCCAGACCACTCATCAAATATTTCTCTATGCTTTATCCATGAGCCTTTCAACCTAGCATCTGGAAATTAGTAGGTAATCCATTAAAGTTTTATGAATGGAAATGAATGCCAAAGGACTTAGACTGGGAAGGCACCTCTAGCAAAAAATTATATATATATAATTGTGTGCGTGTGTGTGTGTGTGTGTGTGACAGAGTATCGCTCTCTTGCCCAGGTTGGAGTATAGTGGCACAATCTTGGCTCACTGCAATCTCCACCTCCCAGGTTCAAGCGATTCTCCTGTCTCAGCCTCCCGAGTAGCTGGGATTACTAGCCATCACACCTAGCTAGTTTTTTTATTTTTAGTAGAAATGGGGTTTCACCATGTTGGCCAGGCTGGTCTTAAACTCCTGACCTGAAGTGATACACCCACCTTGGCCTCCCAAAGTGCTGGGATTACTGGCATGAGCCACCGTGCCTGGCCTGAATCAGTATTATATTTTACATTATAGTTTCCTATAAGGAAAGGTACATAATCAATGTTTATATAATGTGATTGGGTTGGACATCTGGCATTAAAGGCTTTAAGAAGTTTTCACAGAAATTAAAACCTCTTGAAGGTTTAGGTGGTATAGTAAATCACTTGGCTATTAAATGATTTTCCATAGTAGGTAGATTGAAGTTTTACATCTTCAGTTTTTAAAATAAATAATGAAATTGTATTTTGAGGCAAAATTTCATGTTATGTATATTTTTTAAATTGTCATTTATAGTTAGAAATGTACTGAAGTACATTTGTAGGTTAAAATGGTTTGGCTTTGATTTGTGTTCATCTAATTTAAGGGAAGCTAAACATATTTAATTTAAAAATACAAGATTCAAACATATAAAAACAAAAATCAACTCTAGATGAGAAGATTGGATTTATGGCAGAATCATGAACATACTATCCACAACAATGGATATAATGGAGAAATTGTAATAATTACTTGCAATGGTATTGCTGTTCTCTAAATTGGTATTACCTGCACATAATTTTAAAAAAAGAAATATACAGATGGAAATGTTCTTTTACTGGCAAGTGAATTGATTCATTTGATATCATCTTTTATTTTTAGTACATAGAACTCACTATAGCGGACGAAATGAAAAGGAGTCCAGCTTCTTCCATGCTGGACCGGAACAATGGAGGAAAATGCTAGAGAATCTCCTAATTAAGCTGTACCATTTGGTGCTATCATTTACCCATTCCTGGACAGTAAGTCTACTGGCAATGATTACTTTTCCTGCAGGTATCACATGTCTTAGCACAAAATAGCAAAGGGTAAAAATGGTGAGAATTAACTAAACCCATACCGTGGACAATGGATTGGTAGGGTGGAGGGAGGAGCACAAAACATTTGTCAGAGTTGACGCAGAGTTTGGTAAAAGCTATAGTCTTATAGAAACATTAAAATAACCTGTAAGAATTAAAACAAAGACTAATCTTTTGGCTTCTGACTCTTTTTATACTTATTTATCTTTGTAGTTTTTCTTGATGATCAAATTCACAGTACCCTCTTCCTTGAATTCAACCTTTCATCTGAGTTCTGGTTCCAATTAGACATAATGATCAACCAAAAAATGAACTAAACTGTACCTCAACTAAAACAAAAGGAATGAGGGAAAAGAAGGAGTGTATCTTTCTTCTCATTTCATATCAGCCTCTTTTATGCTCAGCACTCGGCCATGGACACTTCCCTGAGGATTCTATTTACTCAGATTTTCATTACTTACTCCATCCCGAAAGAATTTTCTAAATTAAGAAAAAATAAATAAAAACTTAACATTACTCTGGGAAAAAATAAATTTTGAAACCTCCAATTGCATGCTAACTCTGAGACATATCTGCTTATAAATCCTGCTGGTATGTTGAATCTTATCACACAGGAGAAAATTGGAAACTTTATCTGCATTGAAACCAAGCGCCTCTATGACTGCAACCTTCTTCTGCAAAAACCACCCCTGGTTGTTTCTTTCACATAAGTGGTCTTTTTGTATGTTATGTGATTTATTATTTTGCCTTTCATGGGTTGACCCAGGAGGCTACTTACTTGCCCGAAGTAGCTGTCAGCAACCAGTGGCCTCTAATCTGGTGTGGTGTAAGATGTCAAATGAGATGGTCCATAATGAATGGGGACTGACTGAACCATTCTTTCTCTTGTGTGGTCTTGAACGTGAGACACAGAGAAAAGAGTGTACGATGACAGAGCAGCAGAAAACTCAAGAGGGCAAGAATCAAAGAGAAAAGCAGCAAAAAAAAAAAAAAATGGTTGAGTCCAAGGTACTGTAAAGTCACAGTTGAAGCAAGCACCTGCTTTTAAGGAAATACAAGATCACTGGTTCTTCAGAGCCATGGTAGTGGACCTGTGTTCAATAACAAATCGGTACCATTCCAATTCTTCACAAAGCCTGTCCATACATGTGCCCAGACTCTTTCATCATCTGTCTTGCCTAAGGCCACGCAACCATATAACTTCTTCCTGCAATCAGACAGAACCTAACACAGTTCCCTCACATGGATGCCGATGTTCATTTTGACTCTGAAATATATAATGTAGAAGGCTCTATGGTTTGTTGAATACTTGAATACTCTATCGTGCAGCACTTACTTATGAAGGTAAATGATCTCCAATCATAGCACAGACACCATTTTCACTAAAAATGGCATAATGTAGGCAAACAACCCCATTGCTTGGTACAGTGAATTACAGTTAGTACTACTCTGTAAAGGCTCACATATTTCCCTTTTCTGCTTACACTCAAACTGCTGCTCTCTCTCCCCATCTTGCTTTTACTCTCAAACATTTTATGAATGCTCAAACATCTGCCTGTCTCTTTTCTCGTCTTTTTTTCCAGTTCTCTGAAATTGGCTCTTTGGCAATGTCCTACCTCTTAAACCAGGATACTAAAAGGCCAAGTAACTTCTAATTAACAAATCTAATTTTCCTTTCTTTAGTTTCCATCTTACCTGACCTTTATGTAGCATGGTAAAAATGACTACCCTTTCTTCTCTAAAGCTCTTTAAATAACAGTTAACTTCTTGAAAAACACCTCCTGCCAATCTATTTTTAATCAAGTACATTATGAACTAAACTTTACCGGCAACTAATTTTACAGGTATCTCTTCTTGAAATATAGATCCTCAAAACCACTTGCTCTACTGGAACTTTTATCCCAGCATCTGTTTTGTAATATTTAGTTGTGATCAGCACTATTTTACTTTGTGTTTTTCCAGGGTTAGATTCTACTGGGGCTAATGTCCTATCTGGTACACATCTTTGTTATATTACTCATAGAAAAGTACATGGTAATTGTCAACTTTGTGATTCTTAAGAAGATTCCCACTTAAAGAATGTTCATCCATATAATAGATTTATGGGACAGGACCACTTGAGAAAACCAGTCTAGACTTTACTGTAGAACGTATTACATAAATATCCACTCAGCAAACATTTATTAGGCTCCTACTAGGCATCAGACACCTATCTAACTGGAAAAAGAAACTAGACTGTATACTCCGGAGGTGAACAGAAACCGTGCGTGTCTGTTTTGCTCTCCACTGTTTTCCCAAGGCTTGGCCGAGTATCTCTATCCTGATGAGTGCTCAGTAACAGTTTGCTGGATGAAAGAAAATAAATGTTACATGTTTTGAGTCTTTCCTAGCCTGTCAGTCTCAAGTCAGGCTATCCTGTCCCTCAGGTGTCATAGCCCCCTAGGTTTTGTGTGAGTTTAAAAAGGTATCTTTTTTCTAAGTCAGTATCTTACAATGTTTTGATTTGGTCATCATTATATTGCTAGCATACCAACTGGCACAGCACTATGCACTCAATACATTTGTGTAGTGAATGGCATGATTTATTCTTCTCATTTGCTAGATGTTATCTTGGGCAGGCAAAACTGGGCAGGGCTTCCTTACCTGTCAGACAATCTGTCTCCTCATAGCCATTGTAAATAGAAAACGCAATATGCATTTGCCTTAGTCCAGATCACTGTTCCAAGTTTATCTCACAAATAGTTTGTCCAGCAACTGAAAGCAGTAGTGACAAATGCAGGTGGAACTAGGTCACTAGCAGAAATAAAATGTGGTCCTAATGCCAGGACTAAAATGGACCTAGTGCCAAATTAGTCCAATTGTAGCCTTTGCTTCAGCTGGATCATCCCGTGTTTGTTAGAGCTCAGCTGTGGCCATTATTCATTTGTTGATTGCTGCCCCATTCTTGGAAGTGCATAGGCATCCCATTCATTTGAAGCTGTTTTCTTAAAAATTATCATTCACATTTGATTTTTTTTTCCTTTTTGGCTGCCCAAGATAGCAATCCAAGATGTTTAAAAACCCAGCATGTGATTACAATATAGGGGGGACTGGAACATGAATTGGGTCTATAAGGAAGCAGAATGATCCCAGAAAATAAGAAAAAAAAAGGCTGCATACTATATGCATGTTGTGCACATGTACCCTAGAACTTAAAGTATAATAAAAAAAAAAGAAAAATGAATTGCTTTATTGAAGTTGTTCCTGACCTTTTCAAATTTTGCTTCTAATTTAATTTTCTCAGAAATTTCTGTTTTAAAGAAAATATCTAATATTTTTCTTTTAGATATTATTTGGCACTATTAGCAATTTAAAAGCTTGCCACTTTGTAAACATTAGTTAAGTGAATAAATAAACAAAGAAGAAAATGGACTGAATTAAGTTGAATGGTTAAATAAAGTCTATGTACCCCCAACAGTTTTTGAGAAGTTAATACTTCTCCAGGTGAGATTATATGATACTATTTAATTTGAATTGTGAAGAAAAAGTATCAATAAATACCAATATAAATTCCAAATGGGGACATTTGAAAGAAAGTTTAAATTATTCAAAATTTAAATTATTTTTCTACATAGAAAATAATTTGCATATTATTGTGTACATTCAATAATAACCCAACTCTTTCATCTTAAAAATCTCAAATACCATATATAGAAAATAATTTAAATTTATCTTTTCCACTGAATTTTCATTTTTGGACATAACTATATATTAATAATTCCACCCATCCCACAAAATACCTGAAAGAACTCAAAAGAAAGAAAGAAAATTAAGGGAAAGTGAATATGGTAACTAACAAAAACAATAAATAAGAATCATTAAAATTTCCAACATCCCACAACAATTCTTAAATAAGTAAGAAAGGGAATAGTTTATACAATATTAGTCTTAGAAAGATTTAAGAGTGAAGCTATTGTTCCCCAGCACCGTAGATGTCTGATCAACTTAGTCTACTAAGGTATGCAGGAAAAAATGCCAAAATTCATGAAGATCTAACACTGCTTAAACAAAAACTTCTATAGGAGAGACTTAAAGAACTTGCTACCATTGTACTTAACAATAGGCAAAGCTTCTGATGTCTTGCAACTTTGCAGCTGGATCCCTGGATAGATGGTTGTAGACAAAGAATATGAGTTATTTTTCATTCATTTTGGATAACCAACCTCTGGAACACATTTGCTGGATTGTTCTGGGTCAACATTTTTTGACCATCTTAAAACAGGAAAAGTCTTCACTTTCTACACATTAAGTTTAAAAAAAAAATTCATTACCACATTATGACAAAGAACATTAGGAATGAAGTCAAGAATATATTAGGATTTGAAATCTGAATATTTCAGATATAGGCCTAAAATGAAACATGTAAATATTTACTGGGAATCTTTTGTACCTACTAGTAAAGGAGAATAAGATAATGCCTTCATGCTCAGGGAACTATTCAACCATGTATTACTAAATGAGAATATGTTAAATTTTACAACAGTGTTTGAAACATAATTAATGCCATGTGTATATTAATCTATATATTTTGTATTATATTGTATTATATTGATTAACATTCTGGATGCCAGACCAGAGAGACATGACTTTGAATCTTAGATATGCCAATTTTTATCTATGTATCATTGTAAAAGTTGCTTCATTTTGTGAGCCTGAGAAGTTTTCTCTGTAAAACAGGGATAACATACCAGCTCTTATCTCCTAGGATTGTCAGAAGAATTAATTAATGTTTTCACCGGGCTTGATGACTGATAAAAATGATAATGATGGTAACAGCTAACAATATGAGATGTTTGATGAGTTCCAGGCATAACACAAAACAAACATCAAAAATGTTTAACAAAAAAAACTGGCAATTACTTTTGCTAGAGATAAATTGTACCATCTTATGATGTGAAGTCACCAAGATTTGAGAGTTATTTCTGTAGCGCTGATAATGGATCCTAACTGATAAGAGTAATAATTTATAAAGAGAAAATATTCATAAGCAACCAGATTATGGAAGTGGAGTGTCTTAGTCACTTCAGTCTAAGACAAAATACCTTAAAATTGGTGGCTTAAAAATCAAAAATTTATATTTTCACAGTCTAGAAACTGAAAGACTGAGATCCTGGTGCCAACATGGTCATGTTCTGTTAAGGCCTCTGCTTGGTGTGCAGAGGTCAACCTTTTTGGTCTTTCCTCACATAAAAGAGAGCAGAACAGAAAAGAAAAGAAAAAAAAAGGCACTTTTTGGTGTGTCCTCTTTTCCCAATAAATACTTAGTGTGTCCTCACATGAAAAGAGAAAGAGAAAGAGAGAGAGAGAAATTTTCTCACATACCTTCTTATAAGGGCACTAATCCCATCATAAGACGACTACCCTCATGACCTCATTTAGACCTAATTATCTCCCAAAGGTACCATCTCCAAATGTCTTCACATTGGGGTTTAGGGCTTCAACATATAAATTTGGTGGGGACAAATTCACAATGGTGCAATGAATGAATGATTAACAACATTGTCTACAAACATTCTTAACTGGTGGGTTCTGGATTTACAGACCTAAATACAATGATGGTCACTTCTCAGAAATGGGAAAGAAAGAAAGAAAGAGAGAGAGAGAGAGGGAGAGAGAGACAGAGAGAGAGAGAAAGAAAGAAAGAAAGAAAGAAAGAAAGAAAGAAAGAAAGAAAGAAAGAAAGAAAGAAAGAAAGAAAGGGAGAGAGAGAAAGAGAAAAAGAGAGAAAACAAAATAAGACTAAGCATTAGTACACAGTAACACTGTAAAGAGGTCATGCAATCAAATGTTAGTATATAATTAATTATGGAAGTAGAGATAGGAAAATATAAGAAGCTGTTAGACAAACATAAGACCCAATGTTGTAATTAAAAGCCTACAGCAATCAGAACAGAATGATGCAACATGTAAGTGCAATGGAAACATTGGCCCAAAACAATTTTATTTTGGCAATCTCAAATCCTGGCTGATTCCTAACCTAAATTTGTGTGGGGGGAACTCCAGTGATTCCAGCAGAAAGCAACAGCTCGAAGTTTGAAAAAGCTGAGCAGAGATTTCAGCTTCTGCCCACTATCAAAGAGGCAGAATTTAGAATCTGACTCCTACCAAATTAGAGAGGCTTGGTAGCCACTTTTGGACCAGACTTCAGAAACAAATACTAAGGTCTCACTCTCAGACTAAAAGACAGAAAAAATGCATGAAACAAAGTTTCCACAATTCTAAGCTAATCAGCCAGGATTTTTACTAGCATACTAGGACAAAAAGCAATATTCTTAAAAGAAAGATAATAGAATCTGGAACCCTTACAGCATATTACTCTTAGTTTTTAACATAATAAAATATGAGACATATAAGATAAAAACAGTTACATTATCAAGAGGGAAAGAAAATCAGTGGAAACGGGCTTCTAAATTACCCAGTTGTTGCATTAGCAAGAAAAATGTGTAGAGCAGGTATTATAAATATATTGAAGCCTTAAAGGAAAAGATGGTCAAATAAGCAAAGAGATGGAGAATATCAGCAGATAAAACTATATAAAAGAAAAAAAGAATGGAACAAAAATTCTAGAACTGAAAACAAAACAAAACCAATATAAACAAATGTACTGGAATGGCTTAACAGAACATTGTAGATAGCCAAAGAAAGGGCCATTGAACTGAAAAGCAGATAAATAGACTTTATTCAATGTCAAAGAAGACCAGAAGAGAGAAGGATGACTGAGCAGAGCCTTAGTGACCCGTGGGACAATCTAAAACAGTCGAGTATGTGTGTAATTGAAGTTTCGGAAGGAGAAGAAACAGAATGGTGTAGAAAAAATGTGGAGAAAAACTAGATAAATGTTCTCCAATTCGAGGACAATACCTCGACTTGTACATCCAGGGAGCTCAACAAACTCTAAGCAGGATAAATACGAAGAAAACCACACTTAGGCACATCATACCATAGGTATGAGGGCACATCATAGCCAAACTCCCGAAAACCAAAGACAAAGAGAAAACCTTGGAAGCAGCCAGAGAAAAACAGCACTGTGTATACCAATGAACAATGATTTGCAGATACACTGACTTCTCTTCAGAAGCGATGGCAGCCAGCATACAATAGAACAATGTTGTTAATGAATTATTAACCAAAATCCCACATCTAGGGGAAAAAATACATACGAAGGCAAAATAAACACACAAACAACAACAACACTGAAAATAAAATATCATCAGACAAATAATAAAAGCTGAGAAGGTTGGCAGCAGAACTGCATGCAAGAAATGCTAAAACCACTTTTTTAGGCTGAAGGCAGCATGAGGACTGAACAGAAATGGAAATGGTAAATAAGTGGGTAAATAAACTTCTTTTTTCTTAGTTGCTGTAAAATATAACTAAATTTTGAAAGAAAAAAATTTTACATTATATTATGGGATGTATAATATACATAAATGTAAAATAGTGACAACAATATCACAAAGGACAGGAATAAATTAAATGAATTTATAATTTTGCAATTCTCTTACATTTTAAGTGAAGTAGTACAATGCCATTTATGAATGAACTGTGATAAATTAAGGATGCCAATTGTCATCTTTGGAAGCAACACTAAAATGTGTATATATACATATACCTTTATATATAAAGCAGATATAAATATATATTTATATATAAAGTTTTATATATTTATATATTTTAATTAATTAGATATTTACATGTATATATAAAGCTCTCTCTGTAGATATATAAAGCAAAAACTATGAAAACAATTTAGTCAAAGGCCATGAAAACAGTTGAATAAATATTTAAATGATCCAAAAGAAGGGATAAAAGGAGGAAAGTAGAATTTTTAAAAGTCAAATAGAATAAATATACTAATAAGAAAATGGCAGACCTAACCGTGATTATATTACATGTAAATCTACTAGATGTTCAAATGAACTGAGTACAAAATAAATGCAAAATTATATCCTGTTTACAGGATATGCACTTTAAATATAAAAACACAGTAAAAAAGTGGGAAAAGATACACCACACAAACAACAAGCATAAGAAAGCTGGTAGCAATATATTGATATACGACAATCAAGTCTTCAAACACAGAAATGCAAGTTATAACCAAAATGTGATACAAATACACACCCAAATGAGATATAAATATCCACCCATTGAAAAGGCTAAACTTTAAAAAATACTGGCAATATCAAAAGTTAGAGAGTCTGTGGTGCAATTGGAACTCTCACGGATTGTCTGCGGGAATAAAAAAATGGTACAACTATTTTGAATAACAGTTTGGGAGTTTTTAATAAAGTTAAACATAAAAGCTACCCTATGACCCAGCAATTTCACTTCTAAGAATTTTCCCAGAAAAATGAAAACATATCTCTACAAAAAGACTTGTACAGGGATATTCACAATGGCTTTATTCACAATAAACAAAAACTGTCAACCACACAAATGTTCCATCAACTGGAGAATGGATAAAAAATCTTTAGTATATTAATAAGGTGGAATGTGACTCAGCAACGGAGGAAACAAACTGCTAATGCACACAACAATATAGATGAATCTCAAAAACATGTTAAGCAAAAAAATCCAGATACAAGAGATTGCAAGACTAGGCAAACCAAATCTATCACAGTGTCAGAACACGATTTGCCTTTTTAGGAGAAAGGGGTGATCAGAAGGGAAACACAGGAAAGGTTTTTTGTGTAGATGGAAATAATTCTATATCCTGATAGGAGTAATGATTATATGGGTGTATACATTTACCAAAACTCTTAAAATTCCTCTCTTAAAATCTGAGCATTTCACTGTATGTAAATTTTTCTTCAGTTAAGAAAAGTCGCATTTCCAAATAAATGACAGAACTGAAATTTTAAAGCTCATAAAAATTCAAGCCCCATGTTTTTGTGGTATTCCACAGTACACTCATTAACATTAAACTGTGCAGGGATTTTAGCCTATGATTTAGGCTGGTATTTTTGCCTATGAAAAACTATCCAATTTTTGTTTTTCTAATAGCAGCATCTTCTCTTTGTACCATTTTCTTTCTGAGGAGGAAAAAATAAGTTAGCCTCTTGGGGAGCTGCATCAAGCTCTTTAAAACTGCAGGGGTGCCAATTAACACAGTTTCAGGAAGTGCCTAAACTGAAATCCCAGAGAGACAATCCTACATTACCAAGTACACAGCCCATGAAACACCATGTTGTTTCATAAAGCCTACATTTCAACAGTCATTTAAAACAAACGAGAAGTGCACAAGAAACATAAAAGTTCATGAAGTCAACATGTTATAAAAGTTAGGTTCTTTGTTTCTGTGCCATTTTTCTATTGCACTTTCAAATCTACTTCGAAGATTTAAGAGGTGAGTCAGTGCCTACGATCTTCTGTGGGGAAAGTAAATTACATATATATTATATGTAATATACATATGCATATATATGTATATTACATATATGTACATGTGCAATTATATATGTACATATGCAATTATATATGTATAATATATGTATATATACATAATGTATATCATAATATATATAATATATTAATATTATATATGTATAATCTATGTATATATGTATAATGCGTGTACATATACATATATGTGCACATGTATAATGCGTGTACATATACATGTATGTGCACATGTATAATGCGTGTACATATACATGTATGTGCACATGTATAATGCGTGTACATATACATGTATGTGCACATGTATAATGCGTGTACATATACATGTATGTGCACATGTATAATGCGTGTACATATACATATATGTGCACATGTATAATGCGTGTACATATACATATATGTGCACATGTATAATGCGTGTACATATACATATATGTGCACATGTATAATGCGTGTACATATACATATATGTGCACATGTATAATGCGTGTACATATACATATATGTGTACATGTATAATGCGTGTACATATACATATATGTGTACATGTATAATGCGTGTACATATACATATATGTGTATATGTATTTGTATGTACATGTACATATGTATAATGTATACGTATATACATGCATAATATGTATTATGTATGTATATAATGTATATATTATATATGTATATATGTATACATGTGTACATATATACATGTATAATACATGTGTACATATATACATGTATAATACATGTGTACATATATACATGTATAATACATGTATTCATATATACATGTATAATACATGTATTCATATATACATGTATAATACATGTATTATTATATGCAATATAATAATACGTATATATATATATGCAATTAAACCTGCGAACTTCTTTGGGCCTAATGTTTTCCTTCATTTCTTGTGCA
This sequence comes from Homo sapiens, assembly GCF_000001405.40. Classification (NCBI taxonomy): domain Eukaryota; kingdom Metazoa; phylum Chordata; class Mammalia; order Primates; family Hominidae; genus Homo; species Homo sapiens. The sequence goes on along the minus strand of NC_000003.12, from coordinate 7,099,128 downwards.
TTCATTCAATCATTGATTCAATCATAACAGTTAAAGAACATTATGCCTGAAACAAGCTCAAGCACAAATAAGATATAGGTCTTGGCTTTAAGGAACTTAGTAACAGTGGTTAAGGATAATTAAAAAGATAATGCTAAAACTTCATAAGTACTGAAATAAAGAAAAACCCACAGGCATCAGAGAGCATATTTGATAGCCACTAAAGTATGCTTGTGCATATATATTATTTCTCAATGGGAGAAAGAAAGAATTATTTATCTAATACAGATGCACACCAAGTCTCATCTCATCCTTAAATGGAAAATGCATCAGACGCATAACCTGACATTCTAATGAACCAGAACAGATTGTGACACCACCTTGCAGTAGAAACAAATGGAGTCCCTCATATGGTTATTATCCATCATCGATGTTTTTTATAAATGGCACCGAAAAATATTTCTTAACAGCTTTCTCTGCTAGAGCTATAATTATAGTCCTACTGAAGAGTAAAATAAAATATTAAGGACAAATATTTTCACCTTGAAGTTTTATTTTTTTAAATAATGTCTTCATTACTGTTGGGTAGAATGCATAAATATGTGGGACAAGTGATATATGAAGTTAATCCACAGATGAGGAAAAAAATCTCATATCTGATTCTATAGTTTGCTGTTGTTGGACATTTCTTAATAGCATTATCTTCATTTGTTTGATAACTCCAAAGTGACCCTATGAGTCACTAGTTTATCCATGGAATTGTGTCATATAATTGTAGGTGAATTAATTATGTTATCAAGTTACCCTAACCCATATTTCTGGATTCCTAGATCTAGGTTTTACTGTAAATACTTTAACATGCAAGGACCCAACAAATAACTGTGTATTGGATTTCAAATGGTTAATTCATTTATCAAGTTATTCAAAATGCTATACATTATATTTCCTGGCCGATCATTTCAACATTCATAACACACAAAGTTGAATGATCAGAAGACAGAAACAGCTGTTACTAGGGAAATAAGGGACCACTGTAAGGAATTTAAAAACCATTCTGGGTAATCAGTTTCAATTTTTAGAAATTAACAGCTGCTTTGAAAACACAAAATCCATATGTTTCAGGATTTATTTTACTTTTGTCCCTTTGTCATTTTAGTGTGTGTCATCAGGATATAATAGCTGAGAATACATAGTATATTGGACTTTCTTAGACACTCATCTCCTCAACGAGATTCAGTGGATTCCTATAGCTTTCTGCAAGTCAAAGGTATGGCAAATGTAAACACTGTTGGTTAATAATTAAAAGAGGAAAAGTTCCAATTAGAAAAGCATGGCTTCGAATGTCAAATGAGGCAAAGGAGTCAAGAATTTTGATATGTGAGACAAAACTATTGAATTTGCCAATCTGGAAGTTCTGGTGACCTCACAGCGAAGTTTTTAGCAGTGTCGAGAGTATATAGACCAAACTTGTACGAGTGATGGAAAAATGCAGACAGTAGAGAGAATTCTATTTATTAGTCACATTTAGTCAAAAATTAAAGATTCTTTATTCCAACACTCATTTTGGAAATTCTAATTCTCTTATATTTTATATTATTCTTTTGTTAGTGGAAAAGTTCAATGCCATCTTCAAGTTTTCATAGAGTAGACACATTTAGATTCCACCCCACAGGATAAAATGTTTCAGGAACTATTATGGATCTCCATATAATACTTCTTTCAGGCCAAGGTTTATAATCAATACACCTACTTTTTAATAATCAATTCAGTTAATTGTTACAAGAAACTAGTATCCATTGGCTCATATTTTTTGTTCCTGAGTGGATAGTTATTGCATTGAAAAACACAGCACTAGCCATTTTCTGGTTGTCTCATATCCTCTTACACATGCCTATGTGTAGGCACAATATTCACCTAGATTATCAATTTAAGTAGTGACAGGGACAGGGCTCCCCATCTGGGTGAGGTCAGTCTACCACTCTCCATCTGCTTTACCTGCTCCTGAGTAAGTGATCAACTCAGTGTTGACCAGCATGCATGGGTGACTTCAATGTCAACAGAAAAGTGTGGGAAACTAAATTGTGCCCCAGACTCGGATTGTATCCTCAACTGTTTCATATTTAGGCATTTTGTGTTTATTATTAATCAGCTACAATTCAGTTGGAAGAAAAGGTGAGAGACTGATGTTTCACGTTTCTACTATTAATGTTCACTTGTTTTTGTTTCCATTTCACAACTATGTAATGATTTTAATGAAGAGTATCTATAGCATAATAAAGAATATATCTGGTCTTTGTCCTTGGTTCTTACCATAGAGCTTCAAAAACCACTGGAATTTCCTGATTGATAGGAGTGTCTTTGTTATCTTAATGAAGTAACTTCTGATAGGCCCTTAAACAGCTTTCATATGGGATTGGTCAACAGAAAGAACAACCGTGAATAGAGCATTGGAATTTTGAGCCATTCTGACCTCCTCAGAGGGGACAAGGGCTGTAAGTTGAGTTGACTCATGTGGCCAATGATTTCACCAGTCGTGCCTATGTATTAAAACCCCCATAAAAACTCTGGACACCGAAGCTCAATGAAGTTCCTGCTTGGTGAACACATTGATGCACTGGAGGGTGATGCATCATCACAGTGGGGGGAGAGGGCATGGAAGCTCTGTGATCCCTCTTAGACTTCACCCTAAGCAAATCCTTTATACTAAAATTATAAGGATAGCACTTTCTTGAGTTCTGGAATCATTGCAGAGGATTGTCAAACCTGGTGGGATTATAAGAACCTCAAAACTTATAGCCAATCTATCAGAAGTACAGGTGTCCTGGGGACCCTCAAAGTATGGCTATTGAATTAAAGACAGTCTTGTAGAAGACTGAGTCCTTACCTTGTGGGGTCTGCACTCACTCCAGGTGGTTAGCATCACTAGGTGTACTGCCATACACCCAGCTGGTGTCACATTAGTGGAGTTTGTACAGGGTAAGGCTTTAAGGAGCAAACTGGCTTGAGTTAGCTTTAGGATAGGGGAGAGCAGAATATTTTCACTGGCATGATAGAACTTCATAGAGAAGATACTTGAAATATATACATAAAACAATTGATTCACATAACTGTAAACATTGTATATTCAATATTTTTAGTTTCAAACAATAAAAGCAGTAAACTGTGTGAATATGTGTATCTATACACACAATGTATACCTAAAATATATATGACATATATTTTATATATGTATGTGTGTAAGGTGTGTGCACTATTTTTCTCATAGGCTTCTTTGACTAGTAATTCACATTTTCAACAAGGCTGCTACTTTTTCTTGAGAAACTGAACATCTTAGAGATTCAAAATAAGAGTTGGTGAAGAAATTTAACCAGCAGACTAGAAAAAAATATGGCTACATGGGCACAGAAGTCATAATTTTTTTAGAACAAAATACTGATCCCACTCTCTATGATGCTTTATATTTTATGTCATCTCTGTATTCCATGAAGATAACATACAATATTTTACCCAAAAAACAATAGTTATAGAATATGAAAATGTCTATCCCTGATATAATAGAAAACATTGACTTATTTTTTAAGAAATCATTGGGAAAGAATGTGGTCCTAATATTCCAAAGCTCCAGGTCCTCCGGAATATGTAATCTCAATGTCAATGGGTTTTTATTGTACAGAATAAACATTCAAGGCAACGGAAGGAAAAGCAACATGACTTGCCAAACCCAATCATTCCTTAAAGAAAGGGCATTAATTAAGTGATGAATTGCTCACTGAGTCATTCCAAAGAGGGATGCTTGAAAAAGAAAGTAGGAAGTATCAAGTTAATGAGTTTACAGATGTAGTCAAGCCACTTAGTAATCTGAGCAAAAGAGTGGAACTGGAGACTCATTGCTTCCATTTCCCCATCTGTCAGATAATTAAAGCTATTTACCTTCTTTTCAGAGGTTTAGGGAAGATTAGTTAATTTCCTGAAGTATGTTGAAAGTGAAAAGTCCTTTTACTTTCACCAAGTCTCTTTCTTACATTTACTAGGTTGGGCATTGCTGTAAATCAACACCAGAGACCAAGAGATTCTATTATAGCAACCTAAGAACATATTGTAGGAGAGGGATAAGAAATTAATGCAACAGGGATGGGCCACAAGACTCCCCAGGTTAAAAAAAAAAAAAGTCTATCAGCCCTCAGTTCAAGTAGCATTTTTATATATTTTTCATCAAGTATTAATGAATGTCTTCTATGGGCTAAATACTGTAATGTATTAGTGAAGTGTCCTTGATTAAATAAAGATGTAATTTTTTTAACATTTACTTTATACTAGGCTATATGCTAAGTGATTTACATGCATTAACTTATTTAATTTCTAAAATTATTGAACACATTTTATTATTCCCATTTTGCAAATTAGGAAATGGAGGCTCAGCAAATTTAATTACTTTTCCCCAAGTTACAGAACTAAGGGGTAGCAAAGCCAAAATACAAACTCTGTAGCCTGTCATCATAGTTCTATTGCCTATGAAAGCTATATAATATGTTTTCATGTGATAAGTGAATTTTAGGCAAAAGTATTGCCCAATGGGAGTGCAACTAGTACAGGGAAAAGAGTATAAACCTGGCAGTAGGTAACGTATCTCAAGCCCAGTTTTGCTGTTACTTACTTTTCTGGTTTTGATCAAGTTATTCTTAGCTTTCTGGGTGCAAACTAACAAGAATGGCCTGGAAAACTTGCTGTTATTCCTTGTTCCGGCCTCATTCTTCTAAAGGCCAACAGTCAATTCCCATGTGAAATGATATTGTGCCATAATCTGACAAAATCCTGGAATGCATGAACTCATTTATTATGGCCAATTATGTCGGTTGGATGTACAAAATTAAACAAGATAATCTCTTATACTCATTCTTTATTTTTATAAAATTGTGGGTTTTTTTCCAGCTTGCTTCGCTTAGCTTCAGAAACATTCCCACTACCTGACATTAAATCAGTTATCTGTTTATTGTCTGTCTCTTTCACTGAAATATAAACTCTTTGAGAACAAAGGACATATTTACATTATTCTCTGCTGTATTTCTAGTACCTAGAATGGTGCCCACTAGATGCTCAATAAATAGTTGTTAAATCAGTAAAAGAGAGTAATTAAAGAGTCCAATAGCAAGATGGAAAGATGGCTACCTAAACTGTCTAATTAGTTTATAGCAAGAAAAATACATATGCAATTTAATCCCATAAATAGAGTTTTCTAACTCCTGCATTTGTTCTCTGGTTGTTAGTCTCGAAACATACTACTTTAAGTGAGAAAACCTTGGTGACAACATCTATAAAAGCTTCCACTACATAGTAAGTATTCAATAGGGGAGCTTAAGTATTCAATTGAAGTTTAACAGAACTTTCTGCTTCCTTCCAATGTCTTAAATGTAAAAGAGCAAAGGCCACTAACTACCTTTTTTTTTTTTTTTTTTTTTTTTTTTTTTTTTTTTTTGAGACAGAGTCTTGCTCTATCGCCCAGGCTGGAGTGCAGTGGTGTGATCTAGTGTTACTGCAACCTCTGCCTCCTGGGTTCAAGCAATTCTTCTCCCTCAGCCCCCCGAGTAGGTGGGATTACAGGCATGCGTCACCATGCCCAGCTAATTTTTGTATTTTATTAGAGACGGGGTTTCACCATATTGGACAGGCTGGTCTCGAACTCCTGACCTCGTGATCCACCCGCTTCGGCCTCCCAAAGTGCTTGGATTGCAGGTATGAGCCACCATGGCTGGCCGGCCACTAACTACTTTTATGGAATAGTATAAGAATTTCCTCTTTTCCTCCAGCACACACACACAGACACACACACACAAGTACACGTCATGAAGCCAGTAATACTTGCCTCCTCCATCACAGTCAGTCAGTATGACTTTGAAAAGTCAATTAATCAAACTGGGCCTTAGTTGCCTCACTGGAAAATTTAAAGTACATATTTTAATTCCCTGAAGTCTCCAAGTGGAAGAGAGTGAATGGCAAAGGTCTCTGCATCTTTCCTAAATCAGAGTTTAATGATTTGGTAATTTCCTTTTTATTGTTGTTGTCGCTGTTGTTGGTGTTGGTGTTTTAATTGAGACAGGGTCTTGTTCTGTTACCCAATCATGGCTCACTGCAGCCTTAACTTTCTGGGCTCAAGGAATCCTCCTACCTCAGTCTCCCAAGCAGCTGGGACTACAGGTGCACACCACCACACCTGGCTAAATTTTGTATTACATGTAGAAATGGGGTGTCACTATGTTGTCCAGGCTGGCCTTAACTCTTGGCCTCAAGCAATCCTTCTGCCTTGGCTTCCCAAAGTGCTGGGATTACAGGCATGAGCCAAGGTGCCCAGTCAGTAATTTCTCTGAAGTCTAATATTGGCAGACAGTGGGAGAGGGTCCACCTTCTGGCCAACCCCAAATATCTCAGTGAGATTCTGATAAATATGACCTCCCCCTTCTCAAAAATAGCAGCAGGTCTTCTGACTTGAGCATACCGGAGCCCTCTACTGCTTCAGGATCTCAAGTGACTTTTAATCTAAATTGCCCCCCCCCCAATTCAAAGAACATTTTTACAGCTGAAAACATCAACATAAAGAACAAACAATAAGACCTAACTCTGAATACTCACTGTCAGTAAGCATTTGACTATTTAACATTGATTAGCTTATTTAAACCTTCCAATAAACCATTTTGTAGAAAAGCAAACTGAGGTACAAAATGATTGTCAATTGCCCGAGACTCATTAAAGTACCAAGTACAGGATCCTGGATTAAACCAAGAAGTGGTAACTAAAATGTTTGCTCTTAACATAATGGATAAAATAAGAAATGTGTCAGATTTATGATCAAATAAGGAACTATCTCTATTTAGAAGTTCTGTCATGAAGATAGCTAATCAGGCATGGAAAAAGTTAATTCAGGGGCTTCTAACTAGATTCTGTTCTGACACATCATTAATTTCTTTACTTCACGGATTAAAAGAAACTTTAAAAATGGTGAATGCCTGTAGTCCCAGCTTCTCCGGAGGTTGAGGAGGGAGAATGGCTTGAACCCTGAAAGTGGAGGTTGCAGAAAGCTGAGATCACGCCACTTCACTCCAGCCTGGGTGACAGAGTGAGATTCCATCTCAAAATATTAAAATAAATAAATAATAAATAAATAAAATAAAAACTGAATACATCCTTCCATTTTTCAAATGAGAAAATTAAGGTTGCAAGCAGCAAAGTTATACCATGTGATTCCTTACAGTGTGATCATTGCAATGTCACTCAGGAAAGAACTGTCCTACATTGTGTTAAGGCAAAAACTTCACATAAAGTACCATGTAGCATAAGGTAGCTACTGTATAATTCAGGGTTTCTAAAATTATCCTGAGTTTTAAAACTCAGTCCGCACCATACTGTCAAAAACGCTCATTCCTGACATTCAATGTCTGGCTTTAATTAAGTTATTTATATAGACTTTACTCCAAATATATTTGTTGAAAAGGTAGAGCATATCAAAAACAAATCATGGGATTTTGCTATTCACTACAGCATCTCTCCTCCTGCACATAAATGATTTAATGAGATAATGGGACTCTGGAAGGGAGTGAAAATCCAAAAGGGAGTAGACACTGCCAAAAAGGTCATTTCTTGATGCCTGTAGCAAAGGGAAATGTTCAAAATGGACTAGCATAAACACACCAGGAGGCACTTCATAATGTGCTTTGCAGCCATTTACAAGGTATTTTATGTGTTGTGTTTGATGGAAACAATAAACATCTTATATCAAATGGTAGAAATGATGTCTTATAGTTCTGCTACCTGCTGTGGCATCACTTTAAGTCACTGGAGAAACCTAGAGGATATTTAAGTCCCAGAAGAAGGCCTTTAGTTATCAACATTTAGCAAGTTCATGGGTTGCTCTAGCATATAATTTTTCTTTTTTCTTTTTTTTTTTTTGGTACTTCACTGCCAGGCCTACAAATCAATCCTTTCGACACCTATTAACCTATAAAATACCTCTATTCTTCTGCAGAGCTAAAGAATTTATATCACTCAACTTGTACAAAATGCAAATTTGAAATAATTTTCCAAAGTAGAAAGTATAGGATATCAGTTTGTTGGGACAAATAAATCATGACAGATACATTTAATATGTTAATTATTTGGAAACAAATTTTTAATGTTCATCACAGCATGTCTTCTCTATTCTATTTCTTTCTTTTTATGTAATTTTCTTAAATGGCTGTTTTTAAAAAGCTCTGCAATAGAATTCCCTAATAGTTTAAGATATTTTATTAAGAAGCTAAATTCATTTTCTTAAGCACTTCAAAGACTCATGGCTGACCTTGAGTTAACAACCCATGTATGATAGAGGATCCCTTTCTAAATTTTCGAGTTTCTGCTCTCTCTTCTCTATCTTATCTATCATTGGTTTCTAGTTTGAGTTCCTTAAATATAACCAATGGCAGAAACAGAGTTTTCTGTATATATGCTCATAGAATCTAATTCTTTTTCTTTGGCCAGGAATACTATCAACTCTCTATGGCCACACTAATCAGAAGTTTTGTCTATTGACATTTTAAGAATAATTCAGGTAATAACAATGAATTAGGCAGTTATCAGGGCTCAGTGTTAGCTGGTTGAAGCCTTCAATTTGGGAAGGGGGTTGGAGGCCTCCAGTGGCATCACTGTGTGGGAATATTCTTGCATTTGAAAGAATGCTATGTGCAAGAAACTCTTCCTTCTTTCATCCATTCATCCCACTATCTCATTCTCAGTGTCACTTATTCAAGACAAGATCACACACTTACAGCCACCTAATAGGTCTCTATCTCCAGAAAGGTGCTTCCTCAGTTCATATTTTTCACACTAATCTTTCTTGGTGGCTTCCCATTGTCACAAACAAATACCCAAATCCTCATTTTCACATCACTGTTCTCAAATTCTACTTACCACATGCTTATTCCTTTTTAAAATGTTTTACCCTTCTTTTAATCCATCTATTTTTAATTCAATATTAATTTAAGGCTGGGCACGGTGGCTCATGCCTGTAATCCCAGTACTGTAGGAGGCTGAGGCTGGTGGATCACCTGAGGTCAGGAGTTCAAGACTGGCCTGGCCAACATGGTGAAACCACGTCTCTGCCAGAAATACAAAAATTAGCCAGACATGGTGGTGCGCACCTGTAATCCCAGCTACCTGAGAGGCTGAGGCAGGAGAATCACTTGAACCCGGGGAGTAGAGGTTGCAGTGAGCCGAGATCATGCCACTGTACTCCAACCTGGGTGACAGAGGGAGACTCCATCTCAAAATAACAATAATAATAATAATTTAATCATTTAATGTGATCCTCTCGCATTACTCTAGTCAGGGCTATCTCACAACATCTCTTGAAATGTAGTTATTCCCTAACTACAAGCTCCTGCCTTCTTGGTATCTTTCTCTTTGACAACTAAAAATGTAAGGTTGTCAAAGATTGTAGCTTAGTTTACAAACTCTTGAACAACATTTTTAAGACAATTCACATGTTACTGTTTTTCCTGAATGTCTATATAATTCCATGCTTATGTTAACTGTCATGGTGCTTAGTCACTTACTGCCTTCAATTTTAATTTTCCTATGCATGTTCCACCACATTTCTGCTTGAAGAGCAGCAGATGAAATATATACAATCCTTCTGCTTCTCCCGCAGCTCATAGTCAGCATCTTGGCTGAATGAACACAATTAAATGAGAAACAATATCCCTTTACAGTATGTTTGGAGAATTATGGAAGAAACACAAACAGCCTTAAAAGAAACTGGATATACAAAACAACTCTATTATATGGAACTATAGCTGATGCAAGAAAATTACATAATATTATTAACTTTCTACTTTTATACCTTTCTCATTGATTTTATGACTTGATATTTTATGTATAACATTTCTTTATCCTATTTTCTCTTCTATAGATTTTATGCTATCCCTGGTACTACTGAATTCTGTAAGGCACTCAGTGCAAGCTCTTTGAAATAAAATAAACTCTACCCAATAAAGTTGGAATTTTCCAAAAGAGATACTTTTAACAAAAATGATTAGAAAACAGAGAGATTAAAACAAAAGTAATGGGAAGTGTCCAGACCTTTTGTTGTTGCTGTTTGGTAATCGACATTTGCTTTTGGTTGGAAGAAACTGGGCTTTTCTCTTCTCAGCTTGAGCAATAACAAATTGGGAACTGAAGAGAGCTCTGTTTTTAAGAGGACAGCTGTATGTATACCCTCACAGGATGTCCTCTTTGCCAGAGTAGTCAGTTTAGACTATTTAGAAAAGTTCTAACTAAATTCTTCTTACAAATTCCTGTGTCATGCTTTATGCGTTCCTCCACATAGTAGTTGTGAATCCTTAAATCTTTGGGTCAAGAGGTGGAGGGCACTGTCACACAAGCCTCTTACCCCTGCCGTTCCAACTCGCACCACTGGTGCTTCGATGAATAAGAAATCAGTGAACCTCCAATGTCCTTGTGGCTTCAGATAATTTTAGAGGTAGAAAGAATGAACAAAAGGATTCATTCAACGATCCATGTTTGTTTTTAAAGTGGAGAGGTTGTAACCAAGTGTTTCCTGAGGCCACGCATTTAGATGATCTCTGGCCCCTATCTCTCATCCCTGGCACTGCAAATGTAGCCATTTTAAAAGAAAAAAAAAATTTAGATAATATCCCATCTAGAGTCAATACACTATTTTTCTCATTTAAAAATTCCACTTACAACCCAAATTCTTCACTTCATAAACTATTTTAGATTCTTGCTTACAGATGTTTTGATTGGAAGATTCTCTTAGTTCCTCCTTCAAGGCATATTTGAGTTCATTGCCCCTTTTTACAATCAGTTTCACGTTTACTTCCCTGATTCTGGCAACCATGAGGAAAGGAAGGACTGACTTTCTCTTCCAGCAGGAGTGTCCTCTGTGGGACAGTTCAATCCCATGTCCCAGGAATGGAGAAAAGGTACTGAAGCTTAGACGGCTGGAATAGGCATTAGTTAACAACTCCTATGGATCATCCGCAGGTTCATTGCTAAATACTTCACAGTAATTTTCATGGTATAACTGTTAACTAAGGATGGTCATTCTCATTTTATGGATAGGAAAAGTGAGGTTCAGAAATGTTGGCTACTTTGCCCAGTGATTCACAGTTATAAGCAGTAGAAAACCCAGGCCTGTCTGGCTGCTAAACTTATTTGTTTATTCCATTGGTTTGCCCTCTAAACTACGTTGTCTCTCTTCTAAGTATTAGACAAAGATGGCAATGCTGGTGTTTTCATAACAACACTAATAAAGTCATTACACATCTATATAATGACTTAATTCTCACTACCTTTGAGATAGGTAGCAAGGTATCATTGGTATGTTACAGATAAAGGAATTAATTTTATAAACCCTTTTGCTACAGAGTCCTCGTACCACAACTATAAAACACCTGCCCTAGAGAGCTTTCAGCTCTCAGAACATGTACTCATTTACTTCCTCTCTTTCATCTCTGTACTGAAGGCTTTAGAACACAGAGTATTGACTTATAATAAAGCTTAAAATGTTAGTTCTGGGGAACAATTTTATCAGGGAATAAAGATATTTAAAAGTCTATGTCTTTCTTTTCCTTCAGCTGCCTCTCAAGTCCCTCGGTCCTGAAAGTTATTTTCTTTCAGCTGCAAATAAACTTGTCTTTTCCCTAGCTATCACCTGAAAAAAGGTCATGAGACCTACAAGTAATTTTTCGGTTGGGGTAAAAAAAAAAAAAAGAGCATATTCTAGAATAGAAAATATACAATAACTTAGCAGAGAACTTGGCACAAATTAGATATAATCATTAGTTGCATCCAAAAACTTTAAGTACTATAATGTAATTAAGATAAACATTTATTTTCAGGAGGGGAGTGACGTGTTCCACAAAGTTTAATATTCCAGGAACATTCCTTAATCTAGCAATCCAAGAATAATAACCAAATATCTTAACCACTAAATAAATTTCTTAATCATAAGAAGAAAGCACATGCTTATCAATCATTTGGAGGTTGTTTTTGAAACATTACCCCTAAAAAAAGTGAGAGTTTTTCACTTTCTTCTGTTTATTTTTATTGTGGCCTCCTGTAATGTCTTCTTTTATTTGGCACTCATAGCCTTATCCAGGAAATGTGTCTGTTCCATGTCCTTATTTACTGCTGGAAGGAAATATGAGAATGACAGCTACACAAAATGAAATTGGAATTAGACACAGAAACAACAGCATTGGCTTCTCCATTTGACTATAGCCAACAGCCAGAGAGTGACCTCTAAGTGAAGCAAAGTTTCCAGTCCTGAGATTTTGAGCCTGGATCTCTCCTCTTTTTTATCTGTTATCTTTTTCTTAAGCAACTGTAACAAGAAAGGACAAAAATGAGACTAGCTCTTTATTTTCTTTATTTCATGAACACATGCTAAAGTCTTGCTGCTTTCTGCTCTTCCAACTCGCTGGAAGCTTTCAGAGCTCCTCTTGGGAAAAAAAGATGAACAAAGCACTGAGCAGGATACGTTGATGTGGAGCTCTAGAGGCTGGCAAACATCAAGTTGCACAGAAGTCACCAGGGTGTTAAGCAACTATCACTAAGTTTGTGAAAGATATCTTTGGAAATATTTTTTCTTTTTCATACATTCTTCACTTTTGCCTTCTAGAAACCCAATGTTCTCACTTACTACTTTAATATAACAAAACTCTTGAATACTCAAATTTAACTAAGCTTGACTGACCTGTGGTTTAACAACAAAAAAAGTGTGTTTAAAGGAATACTAACTTGTATTTCTATAGGATCTTTTTTATTTTAAGATATATATTTATAAGTGGATACAGATTTATACACACATATACCCTCATGCATATTAATTTATTCTGATAAAGGGTTATTTGACATGGTCATGCTAGATAAATTCAAAACGCAAGCAACTTCAAAATGTAAGACAGTGATTCTATAGACTCAATATAGCTCCAGTGAACGTAACTAGAATCAATCCAGTGATGCTAATGTGCCTAATGACTGCTAGTGTCTGTGGTTGTGCTTAGCAATCATTAGACATATTAGTATCACTGAATCTTTCTTCAAAAAAAAATAATTTTTGCAAATTTTAAACCAGGAAAGAACTTTTACTGTCCTTATCAACCCAAAGCCAAGTCATTAGTACTCAAAATTTGCCATTATTATTTCTATCACATTTTATTTTATTAACTATACATCACCAATTGTTTTTAGAGCTATTCACAAATTTTCATCTTTAAAATATGTTGACATTTCTATTGGGTTTGAACAGCCCATAATATTTTCCAACAACTGAATAAGATCAATATTCCAAGAGGATGGGGGTAGGTTCCACATCCAGCTGAAAGGGTGTGCATATTTTTCTAGCTACACATTTCACCAGCAAAAGGCTTAAAAGAGCCACTGAAGCCCTCCAAGTATGTTTAACTTGATAGTTACCTACCATGCCAACCACTCAACTCCTTCTTAACTTTTGAGTAAAAAGTTAATTGAACTGAACAGATCTTTGCTCGCTTTTGAAGATACTAAGAGTAATTATCTCTAAAGTTATTCTAGTTTCCAACTCTTCCTTCTTAGTTTGCCAATATGGAAGCTCTAGATCATCGAAACATACCAAAACTATAATTCAAGACAGAGCTATACAACTACAATTGTTAATAATTAGGTAGAGAATAATGTCATTACTTACATTCTTAATTCTATACCAAGTCGAATAAAACTACTTATCCCATTATAAATTCAGGCATATTGTTATTTGAAAAATAAAGAACATTTTGATTCTTTAAATAGAAAGATGTATTATATTTCAAACAATGGGGAAATAGATAACATGATATATAACTCAGGTATCTGGATTTTTATAAAAGATGAAGTTATGTATCAGCAGCCAATATAACTTTCAGCCTAGGCTGTTCAAAATTAAATTAATAGGTGCAAATTAGGCTGAGCCAATTCCAAAAAGGTCTAATGTGAAACAGATTTCACAGACTATTAGGATCCTTGGTACCACTGCCATTAAAATGCCACTCAATGGACTTCTAAAGCAACCCAGCCCCTCAGCAAGCTATTAAATCAGATATGGAATACTACCTGAGGATATGAAATGCTCATGACACCTTTGTCTTTCAAGGTAATAATGGAATGATTTTTAATTTCTGGGCTCATTAAAATACACTTAGTCATTTAAGAGATTCTATTAGGTGATCCACAGCATATGACAAGTTGAAGGAATTAGTCTTGGGAAAAAATTAACAATTCACTTTTCTTCTTGAGCTAATTTTTTAAATGCTGTCCTAAATAGTTCTTTAATCTCTACAGGTCCTCTTCTAATTTCATTTCCCGAATAAAGAAATCCTGAATAACAATATATAAGTCTACGTACAACAACTAAAACTGATTTATTAAAGAGTGACTCCAGACTTGAATATCTAATCACCTGCCCAACGGCTCTACTTGAGTGACTAATAGACACATCACAATAACTACACCTAGAACTAACCTGACTCCCATTTCAGCAGCTCCTCCCAGGATCTTCTCTCAGCACACAGCAACTGGATTCCACCAGTTTCTTAGTTCAAAGACCTCAGTGTTATCCCTTTTCTCATACATACCTCACACATAACCACTGGTCAATCCCATGAGCTCTAATTTCAACATATATCCCTAATATGACTACTTCTTATTCCCTTCCAAGCTACTGATGACCCAAAGCATGATTCTTAAACTTTGATCAGCATCAGAACTTTCTGGGAGGCTTGTTGCAACACAGATTCCTGGGCCCTACCTACCTCTACAGTCTCTGATTCAGAAGGTCTAGGATAGAGCCCATGTGATGTTGCTGTAGCTGCCCCAGGAACCATGCTTGAGAAATGCCATCCTGTACTAAGTCACCATTGCCTGTTGCCTCTACTATTTCATATATGTCCTTCTGACTTCTCCTTTTCAGCCCTCGCTCCCTTGGAGTCTGTTTTCCAGAGAGTAGCCCAAATGATTTGCTTTAAATCGAAGTTAAACTTTGTTACTCCTCTGCTCAGATCCCTGCCCCCTGCCCCTACGGTTCCCATCTTACCCAGAGAAGAAACTGAATTCTATATAATCATCTACATGACCTTACAAAATCTACTTCAGCTTTTACCTCTCTAAAATTTCTCATTTTTCCCCAGCTACACTGAAGGATGCTTCGTGAGCATTCAAACACATTCCCACCTCATTGCCACTCAGGTTGCTGGTGTTTCTACCTCGTAACACTCAGCCTCCACATTTTGGAAGGATGCATTACCTCAGCATGCTCAAGTGACACCTCATCAGAAAGGCCTTTGATTTTCGTCGTAGCACTCACAGAGAATACGTCTAAAATTTAGTAAATGTATGTGCTATTTATTTCTTGCTTGTGTCCTCCTATGAAAATATCACAAGAACAGAGACTTGGCCCAGTTTGATCATCACTAGATTCTCAGCACCTGGAACAGGATCTCACACAAAGTAGCTGTTTATACACTATTGGATGAATCAGTGAAAACATAAATGAATGCAGGCCTACAGAAAGAGTGATGAATTAGCAAGAGCACCTACTGTGTTTCTTTATCAGGAACTCTTAGATAATTACTATATGGCATTGTAAGCATGCCTAGGAGATATTGTAGAATTGGCTCCAGACCACCACAGTAAAGCGAGTCACATGAGGTTTTTTTGGTTTCCCAGTGCACAGGAAAATTGTGTTCACACTGTATTGTAGTATATTAAGTGTGCAATAGTACTATACATAAAAAATATGCATCCCTTAACTTAAAAATACTTTATTGCTAAATAATGCTAACAATCATCTGAGCCTTCAGCAAGCTGTAATCTTTTTGCTGGTGGAGGATCTTGCCTCGATGTTGTTGGCTGCTGACTAATCAGGGTGGTGGTTGCTGAAGGTTGGGGTGGTAGTGCTGGTTTCCTAAACTAAGGCAACAGTGAAGTCTTCCTTTCACAAAAGATTTCTCTGTAGCATGCAATGCTGTTTAATAGCATTTTATCCTCAGTAGAATTTCTTTCAAAAGTGGAGTCAATCCTCTCAAAGCCTGCTACTGTTTTGTTAACTAACTTTATGCACTATTCTAAATCGTTTGTTGTCATTTCAACAATGTTCGTAGCATCTTTACCAGGAGTAGATTCCATCTCAAGAAGTCACTTTCTTTGCTCATCCATAAGAAGCAATTCCTCGTTCATTCAAGTTTATTATGAGATTGCAGCAAAGAAGATTAGCCACATCTTCAGGCTCCACTTTTAATTCTAGTTCTCTTGCAATTTCCACCACATCTGCAGTTCACTTTTTCCATTGGTGTCTTGAACCCCTCAAAGTCATCCATGAGGGTTGGAATCAATTTCTTCCAAACTCCTGTTCATGTTGAATTTTGACTTCCTCTCATGAAGTATGAATGTTCTTAATGGCATCTAGAATTATAAATTTATTTCCAGGGGGTTTTCTATTTACCTTGCCTAGATCCATTGAAGGAAGCACTATCTATGGCAGCTATAGCTTTATGAAATGTACTTCTTAAATAAGTCTTAAATAATAACACTGGAAAGTCAAAATTACTCCTTGGTCCATAGGCTGCACAATGGATGTTGTGTTAGCAGCCATGAAAACATGAATTTCCTTGTACATCCTCATGAGAGCTTTTGGGTAACAAGTGCATTGTCAGCGATAATGTCTTGAAAGTAATCTTTTTTTTTACCGAGTAGTAGCTCTCAATAGTGGACTTAAAATGCCGTAAACAACTGTGCTGTCATCCAGGTTTTGTTGTTTTATTTCTAGAGCACAGACAGAGTAGATTAATCATAATTCTTAAGGACCCCAAGATTTTCAAAATGGTAAATGAGCATTGTCTTCAACTTAAAGTCAGCAGCTGTATTAGCTCCTAACAAGAGAGTCAACCTGTCTTTTGAAGCTTTGAAGTCAGGCATTGATTTCTCTATACCTACAAAAGTCCCAGATGAAATCTTCTTCCAACAGGAGCCTGTTTTATCTGCATTGAAAATATGTTGTTTAGTGTCGTCATCTTCCTTTATTATCTTAGGTTTTCTGGATAAATTGCTGCTGCTTCTATATCAGCACTTGCTGCCTCACCTTGCATTTTTATGTGATGGCAATGCATTTTTAAGATCTTTTTCTTAAACTTTAGGAACCAACTCCTGCTAGCTCCAAACTTTCCTTCGGTAGCTCTCTCACTTCTTTCAGCCTTTGCAGAATTGAAGACAATTAGGAACTTTTTCTGAATTAGGCTTTGGCTTAAGGGAGTGTTGTGGCTGGTTGGATTTTCTATCCACACCACTCAAACATTTTCCATTTCAGCAATAAAGCAGTTTCACTTATTTATCATTTGTGTGTTCACTGCAGTAGTAGTTATAATTTCCTTCAATAACTTTTCCTTTGCATTCATAACTAGACTGTTTAGTACAAGAGACCTAGATTTTGGCCTATCTCAGCTTTTGACATGCCTTCCTCACTAAGCTTAATCATTTCTAGCTGTTGATTTAAAGTGAGAGATGTGTGATTATTCCTTTCACTTGAATAATTAGAGGCCATTGTGGGGTTATTAACTGGTCTCTCTTCATTATTGCTGTCTCAGAAAATAGGAAGGGCCAAGGACAGGGAGAAGTGCAAGCAGAACCAGTCAATGGAATAGTCAGAACACACACAAGACTGATTAAGTTTATTGTCTTACACGGAGACTGTTTGTGGTGCCCCACAATAATTGCAATAGTAACATCAAAGATCACTGATCACAGATAATCCTAACAGGTATAAAAAATGAGAAAATTTTAAATATTGTGAGAATTACCAAAGTGTGACATAGAGACATGAAGTGAGCACGTGTTATTTTGAAAATGGTGTTAGGAAATGGACTTGCTTGACACAGGATTGCCAGAGACCTTCAATTTATAAAAAACAGTATCTGAAAAATGCAATAACGTGAGGCATAATAAAACAAGGTATGCCTGTACTTATATCCTACAAGGACTCTGTACCATAACTATTTTTATAAATGGTATGGAGACAACGAGGGGAGACAACAAGGGGGGAGAAGCTACACAAAGTAACTTATATCTTCGTTATTTAAACACAGGTATAAGGAGATGCATAGAAAACCACCTGAAGTCTTTATGACTGTGTAGCTGAAGCCTATGCTGTTTCTTACTCCATTATACAATGAATGAATGAATTGAACTAGATTAATTCATTTGCTAAATATTTTGAGCATCAATGATATATCAGGCCTTATCTAAGTATAGGACACGCAAGAATGATTTTTTTAAAAAGTCCTTATTTATAATCTGCCAGAGGAAAAAGACAATACAATTGCCATATATGTATGTCATATAAGTATGGCAATTGTATTGTCTTTTTAATTTATGTATGTATACATAAATACGTAGTTTGTATATATATATACAAATATACACACATGTGCGTGTTTATATATATGCATACACACATATATACATATATGTCTACTTGTGTGATGAGGTGAAGCTTAGAATAGAACAGTCCTAGAAGAATACAGTATATAAGAAAGGGCATTGTGCTAGATTTGGGAATTTAGTTTGGACTTCTTTCATATCCGCTGACTATGAAACATATAAGAAAATATGCCAAGTAAATCCTTTTTCCTATCACTTTGAAGCTCAGAATGAAAACCTCACTTGAAGGTCCACATTTTGGATTTGTGGTAGGAAAGCCGGTCAATAATTTCATGACTATGAATCACATCACCAAAGCGAAGAGTACACAGCGAGGAGACTGGACCAAATGTGAAAGGGAAACTCTAGGAATATAGAGTCCATAGGAAATATGTTTCATGAAAAGTATGTAACAGTCTTAGAAGTGCTTAGTAATAAGATTGAGACTTTGGAAAAAGTCCCTGAAACTTAAAAACCCTGCAGTAATTGATGACCACATATTTTTGGATTAGTTTTCTGGGGGAAAGACAGTTCGGAGAGGTTTGTGGAGTGAGTGGGAAGGAGAGAAATAAAGACACTATAAAAAAGATGCTAATGGGGAAGCATAAGGAAGTTGCAGAGAAATTCTTTTTAAAAGGTTGGCTGTACTGAGCAGAAAGAATTGAGGTGACTGTATTAAGGAAAACCATTAACTCTTTGTTTCACATCAATGCCATTCATTAAGCAAACTCTGGCATCAGAATTTCCAGCTAGAAAAACAAATGAACAAACACTTATTGAGCACTTGCTCCATGTCAGGAATTATACAAGGTTCTGTTGTAGGCATGACCACCTGGGATTCACACAAGACACCACATGTGTGCAGTTATCAAAACCATTAAATAACATAACTAAAATTACTTTTCTAGAAATTATGATCCAGGGCCTCTATTCAACATATATCTCAAAATTCCTATTCAATCAACCCTGCTAAATATCCCACCATCACAGGTAAACTCACCCTTATCCAGTTCTCTATAGCAGTTACATTATTCTGCCCACTCCAGTCCTTTCCTTGATACTTCTATTCAACTACTGTCTGCCTACTAGGCATGGTGTTTAGTTACCCATCTCTGATTCAAAGTACTCCAGAGTCAATTTGAATTATTTTTAAATAAAAAAAAAGAAATGTTTCAAACGTACCAATCATTTGTACAGTTCTCCATTTTTTATTCTAACAGTCATTCCTACCTACTTAAAAGGTTGAAATAAGATATTTCGGTTTTAATCCTATCTTGGACTTCTGAAGTATCATTCTTCTAAAGAGCACAGTGACCTTTATTGTCTGTCCTCACAATATCTGTAGAAGAACCAGCATTATTCTCATTTAAGAGCTGACAAAATAGATACAGAAGATGAAATGACTCTGTTAGACTGTGTTCCTTTACTCTTGCTAAGCAGTGACCTTACACTGTAAAATTCTTTACACAATGCCAGCCTTTTAGAAAAAAGAGGTATTCTAATTATGGTTAACAACCAAAATCTGGGGGTCTGGGCCATTGCTTTAACATAAAACAGAAGGATAAATGAACGTAGAGAACATAATTCACTTTACTACTAATATTACACGTTATATAACAAATATTAAAAGAATGCAGCATTCATGTTTTCTTAAATTTCTGATTAACCAAGAATATGTTTTTGTGGCTTAGGTCTTTAAAACAAAATTTTCTCAAAAACGATATTGTATTTCTTATACCTTTCTCACTTCGAAGATAGTCCCTACCTCATTCTAATATCATCTATTTACTCTACTTACCACAGCAAAGAAATGAAAAAAAAAAAACAAACTCAGAGTTCCAAAAGGACTCAGAAAATGCCAATAGGAGAGAAGCCTACATTTCCTCCCCACTTGACTTCACAAAATTCCTTTACTAAGTCATTCATTATTCAGAATATGGCTACACCTTACAAGTTAAACAATTTGCAATGACCCTAGTATGCTGTAGCTCCTGTCACTCCATGAATAAATCCTATTCATCATCCCATATGGTTTGGCTTTAATTTTAATTAAATGTGACTTGGTTTGGTTTTAATTTAATATAAAATCTTCCTAGATTCCACTTAATTCTGAGTTTTCTGACAAATCCTAATACAGGCATGGGTGAGCAAAAACATGATGGAGTGATTATTCTAGTTCTAGTACATAAGTGCTTTGAGGGCAGCATCTCAATTAACCACACAATTCAGTAACCCTATACATTGATGTACTAACAACATCATCATCAGCAGCAGCAGCAGCATCTGTCCCCGTGCTTCTCCAACTATGATACGCAAATACCCCAAGGGGCTTGTTAGAATGCAGATTCTTGAATCAATAGGCCTTAGGCAGGGCCTGTGGTTCTGCATTTCTAACAAGTTTCTGGGTGATGATGATGTGTAGACCACAAAGTGCACTTGGCCTATCTAGGCTGTCACTGAGGAAATCAAGCCTAGGAGAGTTTGTATACCTGATACATGGCTGACAACAGAACTGATATCAATACCAGAATTCATCACCAGCTTTAATTGCAAAGCCTTCTCTTTTCATCAGGGTTCAGCAAGCTATGGCCTGCAGGCAGCACTGAAACACAGTCAGGCCCATTCATTTACCCAATGCCTGTGCTGTTATTTGTTCACGCTACCTGAGGGCAGAGTTGAGTTGATTATGACAGAAACAGTGTGGCCAGCAAAGCCTACTATATTTATTATCTGGTTCTTTTCAGAAAAATTTGCCAACCTCTGCTTTAAATCATAGCACTGTATTGTCATATTAATTTGTTTTAAATCCCCAGAGCCATATATAAAGTGGTATGGAACAAATGTTTAAAATCCATTAGTTAAAAATAATAGCTCCCATTTGTCACTTCCTATCATTTCATCTACAACTTTTATAACACAATTTTCTTTTTTTATTTATAAAATCTTTATTTTTTATTATTATACTTTAAGTTCTGGGGTACATGTGCAGAACGTGCAGGTTTGTTACATAGGTATACACGTGCCATGGTGGTTTGGTGCACCCATCGACCCATCATCTACACTAGGTATTTCTCTTAATGCTATCCCTCCCCTAGCCCCCCACCCCCCGACAGGCCCCAGTGTGTGATATTCCCCTCCCTGTATCAACATGTTCTCATTGTTCAACTCCCACTTATGAGTGAGAACATGAGGGGTTTGGTTTTCTGTTCCTGCATTAGTTTGCTGAGAATGATGGTTTCCAGCTTCATCCACGTCCTGCAAAGCACATGAACTCATCCTTTTTTATGGCTGCATAGTATTCCATGGTATATATGTGCCACATTTTCTTAATCCAGTCTATCATTGATGAGCATTTGGGCTGGTTCCAAGCCTTTGCTATTGTGAACAGTGCTGCAATAAACATACGTGTGTATGTGTCCTTACAGTAGAATGATTTATAATCCTTTGGGTATACACCCAGTAATGGGATTGCTGGGTCAAATGGTATTTCTGGTTCTAGATCTTTCAGGAATTGCCACACTGTCTTCCACAATGGATGAACTAATTTACACTCCCACCCACAGTGTAAAAGCTTTCCTATTTCTCCACAGACTCTCCAGCACCTGTTGTTTCCTGACTTTTTAATCATCCCAATTCTAACTGGCATGAGATGGTATCTCACCGTGGTTTTGATTTGCATTTCTCTAATGACCAGTGATGATGAGCATTTTTTCATATGTTTGTTGGCTGCATAAATATCTTCTTTTGAGAAGTTTCTATTCATATCCTTCGCCCACTTTTTGATGGGGTTGCTTTTTCTTGTAAATTTAAGTTCCTTGTAGATTCTGGATAGTAGCCCTTTGTCAGATGGATAGATTGCAATAATTTTCTCCCATTCTATAAGTTGCCTGTTCACTCTGATGATAGTTTCTTTTATTATATAGCACAATTTTTTCTTTATGATATATTTACCTAATAGCTTCATGATCTCACCTTTGAACAGTGATCTTTAGAGTGGAACATACTTGCCTAAGGAGTGTTTACAGCGCTCCATTGGGGTGCTGCATTAGTCTGTCACAGTGCTATAAGGATACCCAAGACTGGGTAATTTACAAAGGAAAGAAGTTTAATTGACTCAAAGTTCTGCATAGCTAGGAGGCCTTAGGAAACTGACAGTCATGGTGGAAGGTGAAGGGGAAGCAAGTGCATCTTACATGGCAGCAGGCGAGAGACAGGAAAGCAGGGGAAAAACTTCCACTTATAAACACATTAAATCTTCTGAGAACTCACTTTCACAAGAACAGCATGGGGGAAACTGTCCTCATGATCCAATCACCTCCCACCAAGGCCCTTCCCTCAACATGTGGGAATTACAATTGGGATTACAATTCAAGATGAGATTCAGGTGGAGACACAGAGCCAAACCATATCAGGTGCAGGAAGAAAACAATGGAACTACTATTTTTATTTAACTTTACATTAGTCTGTTTAAATTGTGTATTTGTATGTGCTCTAGGATTATTCTTAATGTATATTACAGTGACCTTCCCAGTAAATATCGAATGAGGAAATAACCCATATTTGCACTCTCCCCATGCCCAGCAGAGGGCCTCACACATGGCAGGAACACAGTAAATTTTTACAAAGTATTTGTTCATTTAGTAAAAATGTTTTTTTCTTTTTTTCCCCTCTAAAAACCTAGATGAGATAACTTTCATTAAGGTTTCAGAATTTGGCATGGAGGGATATAGTAAAAAAAAAAATTAAAAGTCAGTTTTGTGGCACAGAGGATTGCTGAATAGGCTGGCATTTGAACCAGAATATTCTATGAAAGATTCCTTCTAGAATATCCTATGACAAATATATGTACATCTAGCCAGGCACAGTGGCTCAGGCCTGTAATCCCAGCACTTTGGCAGGCTGAGGCGGGCAGATCACCTGAGGTCAGGAGTTCGAAACCAGCCTGGCCAACATGGTGAAACCCTGTCTCTACTAAAAATACAAAAATTGGCTGGGCATGGTGGCGGGCACCTGTAATCCCAGCTACTCAGGAGGTTGAGGCACAAGAATCGCTTGAACCCAGGAGCCGGAGGCTGCAGTAAGCTGAGATCATGCCACTCCAGCCTGGGCGACAGAGTGAGACTCCATCTCCAAACACACACACACACACACACACACACACACACACACACACACACACACATCTGAGAAGCAAGAAGTTTTGGATAGTGAAAAGAGTTGAAAAGGAACTTATCCACGTGGAGTTGAAGGAAGGCAGTGAAGAGGCCTGGGAGGTACAGAAGTTATAGAGAAGGAAGAAAGGTTCCAGAGAAGAGCCTGGCAAAGCCACACAGCAAACTGAAAGCAGCACACAGCTGCAAGCTTCAGGCAGCAGCTGATGCTGCTTCCCATTTGTTCAAATCCTCCCCTGGGTGTTCAGCACCAAGGTCTTTACTTTGACAGTTGTAACCCTCTGAGTGCCTGAATCAACATTCTATAGCATCAGTTTTCACTGTAAACTACTGTAGAAGATTCATCTGAGTCCATACAGACTCCAGGACCTTCTGAGCAAATTCTTTTTTGCATAAATCCCCTGACCTGCACCTTTTTTCATCTAACTTGCCTCTTTATTCTAGAACTGAATTACAAAGACAGACTGACCGAAAGAGACCCTGATAGAAGAGAAGGTTTGACTTCAGTACTGTTCCTCAGACTAAAATGATCACTGAAGTGAGATGCAGTGAAAATGCTATTAACCTACTCTTGGTTTTTATTCTCATGGTTACAAGTTCAGCTGGCTTTGATTGAAAAATCTACCATGTGCTAAGCACAGTGGGAGATGCTAGCTAATATGTCCCTGCATTTAAACTTGGAAGCCATCCTACTAGGTAGATATTAAAACCATTCCAAAAATCATATCTGCAACTAATAGAACCAGGATGGTCTTTATTCTACATTGGTATTTCTCAAACTCTTTGCTGGAAAACACCAGATTTTTGTTCTTGTTTTAAATTCTCCAGCCTGTCACTGATTATTATAGAACAAAGTAAAAATACAATTCTAAAAATATTAAATGTAAAACATAAAAAATACAGTCCCTTTTTTTGTGGTTATTAGTTTCAACAGAAAAAAATACTATCAAATTGCTGTAAGAATTTTGTAGGGCTAATTCTTAGATTTTGTATTTATAATGTCGCAGAACAGTAACATAAATAATTCACAGACTAGAAGAAATTCATGGACCACACTTTAAGTAATGCCCTTCTATACCACACGTCTTCTGAGAGCAGTGTTGCACAGAGCACAGCCCACATAGAATGTTTCCATTCCTGTCTCCTGTTGGTAAGCTTGCCACATCTTATGGTTCAACCTAAATGAACTTAACTCTGTGTTGATGCTTACAGGGTTTACTGAGTTGGAATCTGAACTCTACCACTCACCGCTAGTGCAACATCTAAGCCTCATTTTCCTTGGCTACACAACTGGAATAATGACAGGACCAACTCCACAGTGTTATTTTGAGGACTGAGTGAGACAACACATGTAAACTCCTGAGAACACATGAAAAATATTTAGATATTTGTTTTTGCTACTCTTATTAATATAAAAACATTAATATTTTATTCTTGTTCATATCTCTTTTCTTATCCTCTTACTATAATGTGCATTGCTTAAAAGATTTCCAGCAATGTTTTGCAAGTAAATTATATTCAGTGATGTTTTTGTTTCACCCTCCCCCCAATTAATATCCTCATTTATATCTTTGTGATTTTAAAAATCCAGCAATAAGGGAATGTTTATGAAATGATCAATCTCCATGACATTTGTTTCCACCTTCCTCAGGATGCTTACTTAGGTAGCTCTACTCTAAGACCATAAACCTTATCTATTTCTCCAGTTCTTTGTACATGAGGGTCAGAAACTCTGACTGCAACCTCTTCACGTTAATCAGAAGTACCATATTATAAACATAGTCAGGTCTCTATAAATACCTGTTAAAGTCCCAATAAAATTCAAAACTAGAATTTTTAGCATAAACTATCAGCAGTACTCATCGACAGCAACAGGTGTTTCTATGTTCAACAGATGCAGTGTTTCTTTTTCTAAAATAAACCCTAACTCCAATAGTCACTTAGGAATCAAAGAATTCTTGAAATCTGATCTGAAAATCAACTATCAGGGAACGAGTACCTTCCCTGATATTTTTTTCCTTCAAATATAAAGCAGACCATCTGCTTGTTTGTAATATAATACTAAGGCACAGTGCTGCCTTGAAACAAGAGGCCTAATCAGACACTGTGAGTGTCTTCCAGCTTGAAGGATTTCAGGGAGTATGTGAACCATTATTTTCAAGTTATAGTGCCATTAGCTAATCACATCCATTTTAACAAGGCAACAGGTGTGGCACAAAGAGGAATTATTTTGAGATATAAGAAGTAAGGTATGCTTTTTTTGTATCTTGGATGCATTTAACTATTTTATCACCATATCAATCTGAAAGGATCTCTACCTCCTTGGAAATTAATTTTGAATATTTGCCTTTAAAATTAAATTAGTACTACTTGACCATTTGTTGCAGGAAAAAAATGAAACATAAAAAATAAAAAGATTTTCTGAAGCCCTGGTATCACATGAAAATACATCGCATTTCACTAGGTTAACTTCCTTAAAGGTTACTTAATATAGGGTCCACTAATTTCCACTTTTCAACCCATAAATCCTTACAGATTGTCCACAAAAGCAATAAGACAGCATGGAGCTTGAGGAGTGCTCAATGTCATGATCTGAATCTATTACGACTTTAGCCTGGGGGCTATGATTCAGAAAGACAGCAGCCCCTCAAACAAAGAAATGTATTTTAAAATCCTACAGCAAACATCAATATCCTTTCTATCAATATCCTTTTGCAAACACATTACTGTGTTCTGTAATGTTCTGCAATGTTGAGGGATATTACACAACTTCAGTACCTTGAAGTGAGACCTTTATCTTATTTTTTTTAATTATTTTTTTGAGACAGGGTCTCAGTCTGTCTCACAGTGTGGAGTGCAGTGGTGTGTTCAACGGCTCACTGCAGCCTCAATCTCCCACTCTCAAGTCATCCTCTCACCTCAGCCTCTGAATAGCTGGGACTGCAGGTATGCACCACCACACCCAGTTAATTTTATTATCTATCTTTTTGTAGAGACAGGGTCTCACTATGTTGCCAAGGCTAGTCTCAAACTCCTGGGCTCAAGCAATCCTCCTGCCTCAGCCTCCTAAAGTGCTGGGATAACAGGCATGAGCCACAACACCTGGCCAAAGTGAGAACTTTAGATATGACATATACAACAGATAAATGAGCATACTGACAATAACTTACTAAACTATTTAAACAGACAATGACTTACCAAAAGTATTTAAGGTCTCAGAGTTTCACAGAACCTCATGTATGACAGATGTCCTTTCTAGCTCCACTGTAAGAGTTTGGGATAACTAATGGATCGTGAGGGGAAGGGATTATACAACTACACCATATTCACCTACAAGAGATGCTGCAGGTTATGCCCATAGTGAAAATCCCTCCTCAGTATGAACTGGGCATATTACGGTCACCTGGAATGATCCAGGACTACCAGGGGGAGAAATGCTAAGAGATAATGTGAATCCATCCATGAAAGGGAAGACAGATTTCCTTGCTTCCTTGCCATTGTCATGGTAATAAGGAAACTGAATTTAACATTTTACTCAAGCATTTCTTTTTTTTAAATTTTTTTGGTAGACCGTTCTCTGAGATTAAGAAAAATGGAGTAAATATTAGATATTATTGTAAATCAGCAATAATACTGGTATAGGTTTAATGCTACTATAGACAAAACAAGGTCTATTTTTATAGGACTTCAACACTAACTTCACCAATGGCTTATTATAAATATATCTTTTAAAAATATTGATTGATACCAAAAATAATATTTAATCCAGTGATTGTCAAGAAAGTAAATTTGAAGTGACTCCAAATCAATAAATGTTTTACATACTTAGTGAAAATAATTTAGCCTCACTCAAATTAGCCTCACTAAAATATCCTTTCTTGTTTTATGGTTCCTTTGGTGACACATCTTTCTATCCTCAGTTTGGGGGACAGTAGCTGTTAATCTATCTCTTAGATATGGCTCACCCGAGAATGCAAAGACAGCAAGTTTTTAAAGCATGCCAACAGTGAGGAGAAAACATGAAGGAAGCTGGGTAAGAATGTTTAGAAAGTGGAAGACAGCATTTCTTCACCTCTGGAATGGCTAGAATGGAATATTTTTCCTCTTTAAAAGCAGGGATGGAGCCTGGAAGTTTTGTCCCAATAAAACTAGTTGAATCCCTCAGGCTCAGATGTTCCTTTGAGAGAAGTCAAAAGTTATTCTAAGAGTGACCAAAAAATGCTGCCTATTTCATTCCCATCAACTCTTTCTATGCCCTTTCTAAGACTGAAATAGTCTACTCCAAAGTGGAAAGCAACTGAAAAACCAATACCACCTATTCACAGAAAAATTGGGTTAGGTAAGAATCAAACAGAAGAAAGCCACCATCCCCTGATGAGCTTGACTCTAGTGGAACCTACTAAAGGAGTTTTGTTCACCTCAGAAAGGGAGGCTGAGCTTTTCAAAGGAACACACTGTGTTCACTTCTTTTATGGAAAATAAACACTGTGTCTCTCCAGAGGATCTGAAATGAAAAACCCCAGTGTGCTCTTGAAAAGTCTTAGATAACAATTTTAAAAAGCAAATTAAAGTAAAAAGAACTCTTTTTAGTGAAGTTGAACCAGTTGACCACCCATGAGCCAGCTGATAGAGTAGAACTCTTAGAAATGCTTCTTAAATCAATAAGCTTCTAGCTTCTATTTGATGTGCAAAATTTGCATTAGTTCTGTCTACAGTTCTCAGTTCTTCCACCCCTCAATCATTTCAACTTGCATTGTCACAAAGATAAAGAAAAAAATGTCATATGAGCAACCGACTGTACTAAGACATTCAAAACTCTCTCACAGTACAAATTCTTGTGGGAAAAGGGAAGGGACAGGAAAAGGAATCACCTTGACATCCGTTATATCCCCGTAGTGACTTTAAAAAAAATTGTCATCCGGATATTTCCATCAAATCAAAGGAACAAATCCTACGTGAACAATAGTGTCTAATGCACTCACATTAGAATAGTATTTGAAAACTGCCATTACCCGTTTCTGAAGCAAAAATGATTAAATAAAAATAAGTTTATTAGGAATGAAAAAGTTTTGTTTTTAGCATTCATTTGTAATTAATGCAAATCATTCAATCAGAAGAAAAGTGTTAAGCATATGGAATGTGGATTATGAGACTACAACATTGAGAGCAGGTTATTTTTTTATTTTCCTCAGCTACCTGGAAAATTCTAAACAAAATACACTTTGGAAACTGTTATTCTGATAATTATCCATTTCATTAAATATTCTAAATAAAATACACTTTGGAAACTATTATTCTGATAATTATACATTTCATTAAATATTCTAAATGAAATACACTTTGGAAACTGTTATTCTGATAATTATCCATTTCATTAAATATTTACTGAGCAGCTATCCTTTTCCAGATTTGGGGTTAGACTTAGAGGATATAAACATTTGTCAAAGGATGAGGATGAATTCTCTTCCTCCACCTCATCCATCTGCTTCCCTAGAAGGGGACTTGGTTTATTTTCTCAAAGGAAAATACTATATAGTAAATAGGTGGATTCACCCTCAGTATTTATTCCTCCTCCAACTCTATGGAAAGTGAATCATTTGACTGGGATGAGTGTAAAGTACTTAAAAATCTACTGGGTTAAGTCACCACTAGGAGAAAATTTGTGTCTGAAAGCCAGACCAGAGTATACCATGTTGCTCTTCACTTTGTCAGCTACACAGATCTATAAAAGTATTTTGACTACTCCTCCCCAACCCATGTGTTGCTGGTCAGTGTTGTTAATCACACTATTCAGAAATCCACACTGTACAACCAGAGTTATATAACCAGAACACAAAATTTCCCTGCCTACTGTGTATGGACATATGATCCAAGCCAATGAACACTTTCTCTAAAAATCATAAGAGGCCACTGGAAGAAAAACTATCTCTTTACTCAAGTGGATACATTGATGTCATTGGATATTCTCCCTTTTCCCCTCCATCCTTAATTCTCACCTTGCTCTGTTGAAGCTAACCTCTATGGACTGCCTTAACTCAATTCTCTTACTTTCAATTAGGTTTGGCCCATGGGAGGCAATATTAAGATCAGAGAAAAAGAAGAAAGGACGGAGTATTTGTTCTCCTGGTTCTCTCCCTTCTGGGCTCCAGGTTGGCAGTAGCTGTGATTTTCTACTGAAGGCCACAGCTCTAGTTTGGTAACCCTCTCCCACAACTGCACTACTCACTGGTTCTGGTGACCTGTCGTTCCACTTACTCCTTCAGCCTAGCAGTGCGAACAATCTTCCTTCTACTATCCCAGAGTGTTTCATTACCCCTCATAGCTGTCTCTTAACCTGCCTGAAACTTGCAAATAGTTTCAATATTAAGGGTTCTTTAATTATCCTTTTTGACTATGCTCTTTTTTCTTGCAATGTATTCCAGATTAATATATGATATATATATATATAAAATTATGTATATCATCATCGTATATATAATGAGAACAAGCCTTAGGCTGATATTACCCACTTATCTACCTCATAGGGAAAGCCTGCAATTCAAACTGAAGTCCATTGAGAAAAGCAGAACTAAAAGTAAAGAAATAGTTACATAAAAACTGTCTTTAATTCATGAGTAAAACTATGCTGAAGCCAATGAAGCCACTAGGCTTTCTAGTTATATAATTTAATATATATCAGGGGTTTTTTTGAGGCAGCTTATACTGGGTTTTTCACAGTTGAAACTGAAAAGAGAGGCATACCTTATGGAATGAAATATATGCATTGCTAAGAATTTCAAATTCTGAAACAGTATTAAAAGTAATAGGGTTCAGGAGAAAACTAGGATTGAGAACAGAACATGAAAACCCTATTCAACTCTGCAACTTACTAGCAAAAATAATCCTAATATACTATCTCAGTTTAACAAACAAGCCAAAAAATTACATTTCCAGTGGAAATCAACCACAGTAAACAATGTTGTACACAGCATGCTCAAGATAGAGTTTAAAATCAAAACCGGTTCTTATAGAAGATCATGAAATACATGGGTATTGCAGACAGTAGAAAAACAGTTTGTTGAAATCAGCTGTGTAGCGTACTTTGTGCGTAACTATTACTTGATGGTGCAGGCCTTTATTGACCTGAGCAAAACAGTGTTTAAATCGATGTGATTCCCACATTATGCTGACATCATTACCCTATTTATAAATAACATGTGAGTTAATTCACATCATAGAAGTATGCATTGTACTAAAACAGACTGTAGTCCTATATAGCTATCATTTTTCCTTTGCTCAGTTGTTCCACTGGTGATTTAGAAAGGTGTACATGTTACATTTATTCTATCAGTAATCACTTCTAAGTATTTTAAAACACATCTAAGTCTATTTTTCATTTCCATGCAATCTCCCAGTCTCAGATGGTTTGACCTAAAGACTTCTTGTTTCAGCATCATGGATGGAATATCTTTATACACGAAGAATTATCTAAAATGTTCTCATTTATTGTAATAACTACATTACAGGATGGCAGTTGTTCTGAATAGTTGTTCTGAATATTCGGCTGGGATGCAAGGTGAGTTCTTTACGTTTAATTGAAAGAGAATGCATGAATAATATATTTATATGTGCAGCAATATATTTCAGGTTAACAGAGAGGATATTTTAAGGTAATCCAATACTAAAAGGTGGGGTATTATGGTACAAATTGGCTAGCTGTTCTCCAACTTTTTTTCCTTCCTCATGGGCACATAGCTAGACTATATTCCCCAGCCTTATTCAAGTCAGGATGACCCTTACGACTAAATTCTGGCCAATAGTCTTTAGACACAATTGGTTTGCAGTCTTCCCAGACTTGACCCATGGAGCCTTGTTTGTAGTATCCCAGTTCTCTCCTCCCCTTGACTCTCGGCTGCCTGCCAACAACCAGAGTATTCCTGGGAGTCATGCATTAAAAACAGCAAATCCATGAGCATGGGATGTGTTTCCATTTGTTTATGTCATCTGTGATTTCTTTCAGCAGTGCTTTGTAGTTTTCCTTGTAGAGGTCTTTCAACTCCTTTGTTAGGTATACACCTAAGTATTTTATTTTTATTTTTTGCAGCTATTGTAAAAAGGGTTGAGTTCTTGATTTGATTCTCTGCTTGGCCGTTGTTGATGTAATAGAAGAGCTACTGATTTGTGTACATTAATCTTGTATCCAGGAACTTTGCTGAATTCTTTTATCAGTTCTAGGAGCTTTCTGGAGGAGTCCGTAGGGTTTACAAGGTAAAGATCATATCATCAGCAAACAGTGACAGTTTGACTTCCCCTTTACCAATTTGGATACCCTTTATTTCTTTCTCTTGTCTGATTGCTATGGCTAGGACTTCCAGTACTATGTTGAAGAGGAGCGGTGAGAGTGGGCATCCTTGTCTTGTTCCAGTTCTCAGAGGGAATGCTTTTAACTTTTCCCATTCAGTATTATGTTGGCTGTCGGTTTGTCACAGATGGCTTTTATTATATTAAAGTATGTCCTTTGTATGCCATTTTGCTGAGAGTTTTAAGCATAAAGTGATGCTAGATTCTGTCAAATGCTTTTTCTGCATCTATTGAGATGATCATATGATTTTTGTTTTTAAATCTGTTTATGTGGCGTGTCATATTTACTGACTTGCGTATGTTAAATCATCCCTGCATCCCTGGTATGAAACCCACTTGATCATGGTGGATTATCTTTTTGATATGCTTTGGATTCAGTTAGCTAGTATTTTGTTAAGGATTTTAGCATCTGTGCTCACTGAGGATATCAGTCTGTAGTTTTCTTTTTTGGTTGTGTCCTTTCCTGGTTTTTGGTATTAGGATGATGCTGGCTTCATAGCTGAATTAGGGAGAGTTCCTTCTTTCTCTATCTTGTGGAATAGTGTCAAAAGGATTGGTACCAATTCTTTGAATGTCTGGTAGAATGCTGCTGTGAATCCATCTGGTCCTGGACTTTTTTTGTTGTTGGTAATTTTTAAATTGCCATTTCAATCTTGCTGCTTGTTATTGGTCTGTTCAGGGTATCTAATTCTTCCCGATTTAAGCTAAGAGTGTTGTATTTTTCCAGGAATTCATCCATCTCCTCTAGGTTTTCTAGTTTATGTGCATAAAGTTGTTCATACTAGCCTTGAATGAGCTTTTGTATTTCAGTGGTGTCAGTTGTAATATCTCCTGTTTCATTTCTTAGTGAGGTTAGTTGGATTTTCTCTCTTCTTTTCTTGGTTAATCTTGCTAATGGTCTATCAGTTTTATCTTTTCAAAGAACCAGCTTTTTGTTTCATTTATCCTTTGTAAATTTTGTTTGTTTTTTTCCATTTCATTTAGTTCTGCTCTGATCTTATTTCCTTTCTTCTGCTGGGTTTGGGTTTGGTTTGTTCTTATTTCTCTAGTTCCTTGAGGTGTGACCTTAGATTGTCTGTTTGTGCTCTTTCAGACTTTTTGATGTAGACGTTTAGGGCTATGAACTTTCCTCTTGGCACCGCCTTTGCTGTATCCCAGAGGTTTTGATAGGTTGTATCATTATTGTCATTCAGTTCAAAGAATGTTTTAATTTCCATCTTGATTTCATTTTTGACCCAGTGCTCATTCAGCAGGTTATTTAATTTCCATGTATTTACATGATTATGAAGGTTCCTTTTAGAGTTGATTTCCAGTTGTATTCCACTGTGGTCTGAGAGAGTGCTGATACATAGATGGGTAGAATCAATAAAGTGAAAATCACCATATTGCCAAAAGTGATCTACAAATTCAATGCAATCTCCATCTGAAGACCACCATCATTCTTCACAGAATTAGAAAAAACAATTCTAAAATTCATATGGAACCAAAAAAGAGCCCACATAGCCAAAGCAAGACTAAGCAAAAAGAACAAATCTGGAGGAATCACACTACGTGATTTCAAACTATACTATAAGGCTATAGTCACCAAAACAGTGTGGTACTTGTATTAAAATAGGCACATAGACCAATGGAAGAGAATAGAGAACCCAGAAATAAACCCAAATATTTACAGCCAATTGATCTTTGACAAAGCAAACAAAAACATAAAGTGGGGAAAGGATACCCTTTTCAACAAATGGTGCTGGGATAATTGGCTAGCTACATGCAGGAGAATGAAACTGGATCCTTGTCTCTCACCTTATACAAAACTCAATTCAAGCTGGATTAAGGACTTAAACTTAAGATCTGAAACTATAAAAATTCTGGAAGATAACATTGAAAAAACCATTTTAGACATTGGCTTAGGCAAGGACTTCATGACCAAGAACCCAAAAGCAAATGCAATAAAAACAAAGATAAATAGCTGGTGCCTAACTAAACTAAAGAGCTTTTGCACAGCAAAAGGAACAGTCAGCAAACTAAATAGACAACCCACAGAGTTGGAGAAAATCTTCACAATCTGTACATCTGACAAAGGACTAATAACCAGAATCTACAACCAACTCAAACAAATCAGTAAGAAAAAAACAAACAATCCCATCAAAAAGTGGGCTAAGGACATGAACAGACAGTTTTCAAAAGAAGATATACAAATGGCCAATGAACATATGAAAAAATGTCCAACATCACTAATGATCAAAGAAATGTAAATCAAAACCACAATGCAATACCACTTTACTCCTGCAAAAATGGCCATAATCAAAAAACAGTAGATGTTGGCATGGATGCAGTGAACACAGAACACTTCTGCACTGCTGGTGGGAATGTAAACTAGTACAGCCACTATGGAAAACAGTGTGGAGATTCCTTAAAGAACTACAAGTATAATTACCATTTGATCCAGCAATCCCACTACTGGGTATCTACCCAGAGGAAAAGAAGACACTATTCGAAAAAGATACTTGCACACACATGTTTATAGCAGCACAATTCACAATTGCAAAATCTTGGAACCAACGCAAATGCCCATCAATCAATGAGAGGATAAAGAAACTGTGATATATATATATATATATATATCCATACATGATGGATGCGTGTGTGTGTGTGTATATATATATATGTGTATATATATATGTATATGTGTGTATATATATATATATATGTATATATATCCATACATGAGGGAATACTATTCAGCCATAAAAAGAGTGATTTAACAGCATTTGCAGCGACCTGGATGCGATTGGAGACTATTATTCCAAGTGATATAACTCAGCAATGGAAAACCAAATGTCATATGTTCTCACTGATATGTGGGGGCTAAGCTATGCATACACAAAGGCATAAGAATAATACAATGGACTTTGGGGACTTGGGGGGAAGAGTGGGAAGGGGCAAGCGATAAAAGACTATAAATATAGTATAGTGTATAGATGGGTGATAGGTGCACCAAAATCTCACAAATCACCACTAAAGAACTTACACATGTAACCAGATACCACCTGTTCCTCAATAACTTATGAAAAGAATACATAAAATAAAATAAAATAAATTATAAAGTAAAATAAGTAAATAAATAAATAAAAACAGCAAATCCTCTGTCAGCTTAGATCCCTAAATGACTGTGTGGATCAGAAGATCCCACGCTGCATACCCACCACCTTTTGCTCTACACGAATTAAATTTTCATTGTGTTAAGCTGCAGAGATTTCCAGATTTGCCTATTATATTAGCTTGTGTTGCCTTAACCACTATGGACAGCTTCTGTTGGACATTACATACATAAGTTCTTATGAAAAATATGCAGACTCAGATGGGGAGAAAAGGGCAAGTTAATATTTTTTCTTGTGTTACTTTGCAAGTAATACAACACTCCATTGGAATAGGGGGTGACCTTGGGTCTCTCCCAACTGGGAGTTTCACCTATGAGCCAATTAGTTTCTTTTTCCAGTTGGTGTATGTGTTAGCCAAGATACTTTCAGGTGTGAGGATTATAAACCTAGCCAAATTATTTCATGTAAAAGAAAGTAATTATCTGAGAGCTTATAGATTTTCATCAAATTCTTGGGCAAGAAAATGAGCTTTGTACAAAGTAATTAGGATCCTTCAAGAACTGGGAAATTAATTGAAAGTTAATTAAATAAAAAATTAAACTGCCGCCTCTGAGGTGTAGCTAGTGTGTTGTTTCTGCATGTCCAGCTTATCCTCTCTCTAACCCCAGCTTCACCTGCTTAGTCTTCATGGTCCAATAACTCAATAGTCACCATCAGGGAACAGCAGTCTGTGAGCTCAAATTCTACACAGAGTGAAAATGAATGAATCTGATAAAATTAAGATAATCTCTGATTCACTGAAGCCTTGTATACCAAGCCTTACTTGTGTCTTGATTGTCTTTGGATTGGCGATGTGGTATCCTCTAGGCTGATTAGTTTGGGCGGGAGAGGGCTGTGTCACAAGACCCATACCCATGCATCAGGGAGTATCTTTAACATTAGGCAACAGTGGGCATGTTTAAAAATATGACATTCAGCTGAGCTAACCTTTGGCTTGTGCTACTTGGGGAAGGAAAGACAGGAAATAAATGCTGCTCAGTGGTTTTCTTACAGTATGACTTTCTGGTTTCTACCAAAGCTCCCTCAAACACCAGTGGGAATAAGATGGTCCCTTGGAACTTATTATTTCCTTCAACTAGGAGTTTTATTACAGTTCTTCTAGGAACATAGCCAGCCAAGGATAAGCTACTCCTCTGACAGAGCTATTCTACTATGAACAGGCACAGCTAAGATAAATACTTTGTAAAATTCAATCTCTTGTGCACTATATTTGGCCAGAATCGCCCAAATTTTTAAGTGTGTTGATGACAACCATCTAATGTTGATATGGGTTATCACCATTTTTGCATGAATTAACAATTTAATAGAGTACAGATGTGGAAAGAGAGGGTTAGACAAATATGCTAAAAGTCAACTTTTTACATGGAATTTTCCACTGCTCATTATCACTGTGAAATTATGCCTTGGGTTGACCCATTTTGTGAGTCACAGTTTTTCAAAATGGCAAACTCCCTGGGGGTGATTGGAGAAATTAAATGTATTAAATTGCAGAGACCACTTCTTATATTTATTTGTATTTATTGTTCCTTTATAGCTAAATACACATTTATTAGGTGCTATATTTTTCATATTTATTCTGATTCTTAATTCCTGGAATGAAACTCCCCCTTTTGTCTTGGCTCCTTGTTTCTTCCTTCAGTTGCAGATGGGTGCTCCTTTTACAAAACTCAGTTCCACACACTACGATTGTACACCGTCTCCTTCATGTTCTTTGAACAGATACAAAATCCTCAGTGTAATGCTTTATCCGTTCCATTCACTACTCATCTCCTTACTCCCATTCGTCTCTCCTTTCATCTCCTATGATCCTTGTATTCCAAACAATCCAAGATGCTTAATGCTTACCATGCCAATTTCTGTAAGTATTCCCTTTTATTTTTCTTTTCTTGAAATTTTTTTAACAGTTTCTAGCGGAGTGGGCTTACTTTGTGTCTCCAGTGGGTTCACTGGGGAACTTTAAATGTCTAGTGGGTATCCAAACAGGAAGCTGATTTTCTCCTGGTGAAACACAAGCAAAGCCTCTCCCATATTCCCACATTACTCTCTCTCCTGGAAGGTCCTTTTATCATGTTGATTAGATAAGAAGTTAGGGGCAGGGAATATGCTATTTTGTATTTTAAAGACCTGGTTCAAATCCCAGCACTTATATCTACTCTTAGTTGGACAAGAAAGTTACTTAAATTCCTTGAACTTTAGCTGCCTTGCTTTAAAACTCAATGATAGAACCAATTTTGCTGGATGGTCTTGCAGGTTATTACATGAGGTTGTGTATGCAAAGCACTCGACATGTAAGCTTCTGTTCTTACTCTCCTGTCAGTCCTTGCTTATCCTATCTGGTACCCAGGTCAAGTGTTACTATTTCTCCTTAATTTGCTCTTTCATTATTTTCTTTGTTGAGACATTTATCTCATGTATATGCCTAGTTGTTCCCAAAAAGAAAGGGTAATATATAAATGTTTCATTCTTTCCTATCACAATTTCCAGATCTTAATTGCTAGGTACAATGGCTACAAACAGTCAACTCCGGGTTTGAACACCAGCTTACTACCATGGAAGCTTAGGTATGTTTCTTAACTCCCCTGTGTCTCTTTTACTCATCTGTAAATGAGGGCAATGTAAATATCCTACCTCATATGTTTTCTATGAAGATAAAATGAGTTATGAACTTTAACATTATCCAGCACATAGTAAAGTCTAAAAAATATGCTGGCTATTACCATTGTCATTGTTAGTAATACTATTCCAGCCATATTTATAACCAACAGTTACACAGCAACTACCTAAGAACAATTCAACCAATATAAAACAAAGTCACCCATGTTATGCTGAATTGTATGAACAGCCTTATGGAGATTTATCTTATATACCCCAAATCTTAACACAAGGAGTATGGTCTTCAAGAGTCTGCCCACATATAAATCTTAATAGTTTTATGAAAGCACATCAAAAAATGCCTGTACTAACATGAGAGTGAATTGCAAATAAACCTAAAAGGGCATTAAATTGCATTCACAGAAATAGCTTGGGAAAAGGCTTATGGATTCAACGGCAGTGTGTTCTATAAATCAGTCACCCAGTATGACTGTGAAAGAGGAAGATGCATCTCATGTGAGGTAGGAAAATTGTTTGAGAGATAAACAATGATAGGACACAAAAACATCAACATATGCTTCAAAGACACTGTCTTTACCTTTCCCCATAATATTTTATTCTTTCCTACCTTTCTCAACAAAAATAAGGCTGTTTCTTCATTTATAGGCACAAGGAAACATTTCTAGGCGTTAAAGAAACATGCATTTATTTTTATTAGACATCATTAATCCAAAAAGCCATTTGAGTCAGCATAATGTTGGTAGCTATATTAAATAAATGACCAAACTTGAGTGGCTTAACATAACAATAGTTAATTTATCATTCTTGTAATAGTTCATTAATGATGTTCCTGACTCATGATCAGCTCTCTTCCCCAGTGTTTCCTTCTACTGTATAGATTGGTATCCCCATAGCCACTGATTTCCCTGCACTGCAGTCAATAAAGAGGAAAAGGGAAGGTAGAGAATGGTAAAGACAGCATATGTTTTTTTCACCATCTTGTTCCTACAATGGTGTAACATTTCTGCCCCTACTCAGTCAGTGAAAACTAGACATATAGCCCCACCCAAATGCAAGGAGGTGGTGGTGGAGGCTATGAATTCAAGATCCTGTTAGAAAGCCGTTTCCAATAGCTTTATACCAAACCACAGCAAACTGAATGCAAAGATCGGTAGGATCTGGGCTCCTTCTGCCATATTTAATTTGACTGGATACACTGAAGGAGATACTTGAAAAATTAACTCAAGGGCCTTGCCAATTATTTAAAGATATTAGTTCTAATGGACAGAAAGAAAGGGCAAGTGGATGGAATCCCCAAAGAAAAATCGGTCTATCTTCCAAAAACCTCTGCTTCTCTGTACTCCAGCCCAAATCATTACAGGATACACAGAGGGAATAGCCTTTGGACTTCGCCTGGAATATGTATACTCTACTCCATTCTAAGAATTGTGCTGCAGTCCAGCTGGGCTGCTATAACAAAATACATAAACTGGGTAGCTTATAAACAACAGAAATATCTTTCTCATAGTTCTGGAGGCTGAGGAGCTCAAGATGAAAGAACTAGCAGATTCTGTGTCTGGAGAAGACCAATGTTTTGGTTCTTAGAAGACATCTTAATGCTGAGTTCTCACATGGCAGAAGGGGTTAGGTAACTCTCTAGGGTCACTTTTATAAGAGCACTAATCCCATTCATGAGGGTCTCACCCTTATGACTCAATTACCTTCCAAAAATCAAACCTCTTAATACTATCACCTAGGTATTTTAGGTACTATATAGGGTTAAGATAATAACATACAAATTTGGGGGAGATGAAAGCATGCAGAACATAGGAAATGAGATAAAAAATGATTTTAGAAAGATTTAGGTTACCTTTCAAGATCTCTAGCAATTTTCTTTGGAAGATTTAGACTAATAATGATCAAAGAACAAATATGAGTGAATCTTTTAATGTGTTTAGATACCCTTTTGTTTTTACATATAATGAAAGTATTGAATAGAAACTTTTATAAAGACCTTTCTAGTTTTAAAAATCTGTGGCTTAAACAATGGTAGGGGGAAAGAAGAAGGAGAGACAGTGTATAAACAAGTAGTAAAAAGTGGCTCTTTAGATGTGGTTCATTGATAGATAATTTTTGCTTAGGAACTTTCAAAAAGTAAATCAATTTCTCTGTCCTGTGTAGATTTACTTTGTCCTACTGAAAAAATATATTGATGAAACACTGTTACATATATGTGTAATACATATATATATATGTAAAATGTAAAGTAGGGGATCCTCTTCAAAGACTTTCCTCCCCATCTAATTAGGAATAAATAGTAACTTCTCTTAGAAGCAAAATGTATTCAAAGACCTGTACTAACATTCTTAAATATCTGCTAGCGTTAATAAGGAAATCATTGTACTTTATGTTCTTAGCTCCCACAGTTTAGCCTAAATATTTGCCCTGGCATGCTTATACTAGTCCAAGCAAGCATTAGGTCATAGCCTGTTCCTCTTCCTTATTTGAAGATGTTTTTACCTTTCTTAGCATTCTACAAGTTACTTCCTCCTTCCTTTGTTCTCCTCTGCCTTTGCCTCTTTTAGAAAGTTCTAAGTTGCTAGCCAATCAGGACAAGGACAGAATGTGAAGTCCCATTCCAGGGAATGGAAACCAGACACAGCAGTAAGATGACACATCAGTTTATAAATGACCCTGTCTCCTTTGTTCGGTATACTCTTGCAAAACAGCTGGCGAGTGTACCCTTTCTGCAGAAAGTAAAAATGGACTTGCTGAGGAAATTAAATTTATGTTCAAGTGCTATTTATTTATGGCACTGAGGAACAAGCATTTCTAACAAATATAAATAAAACACAATGATATATAAAATAAACACCATTAATATATTAATGAACATAAACTCTAACCAGATGAATGACAATATTGCCAACAATCAAATATTGACATCAACATCTAGAAGCATAAGTAATTTGTTCCTCTCTGTAGAAAAAAATTGAGCTAATTCTTCCAAACCTAAACATAATCAATGTGATATTCTATATTAACCAATTAACATGGTTAAAAAAACTTTAGAACAATATTTGTGTTAAATACTTTCAATTTTGAATACATAGAGCATAAATATGTGAATTAAAAATATTTGTTTGAGACTTCATATTTGGTTGACTTAGAGAGGGAATTCTATCTAATTATGTGGTTATTTTATAGAACTTTATGGAGCTAGTTTCCTAGAACTATAGGTAGCCTAGAAAAAAAATGTAATATGGTCAATCATCTCAAATAGGCCGAAAGTCTGTTTCTGGATTTCAATAAAAAGGCATCTGAATTTATAAAAGATAAAATTCTGCATGTGTTTATACACATAAAAGTTACAGATTGTCAAAAATAGCTCCAGGAAATTTTACTGGGTCAAGAGAGAAAAAACTGATCAAAGACTATCTGAATGCCTAAGAACCGAAAACCACATATTATACAAAATATGACCTGTCTAGATACCTGATGAATCCATGTTCTTGCTATATATGCTTCATTTGCCTAAGTAGATCATTTGCCTACGTAGATTTGTAATTTGCAAATAAACAATAGAGATAGAGTGTGCACTAGATCGAGAGATCATCCTGATATATGAAGAGGTGCCAAGTCCCAAGGTAGTCACAAGCATTAAACTACCTCACCCATCCTAAAACATTGAGCCTCCATTTCTCCAGCTGGAAAACAAGATTTGGAAAATGTTTCAGAGCTTAGTTCATCTAACTCAAACATTAAGATATTCTAAAGTAGATATACTCTAGATCTTTCATTTTCCAGAAGTATGAACTGATTTTTTTTATTTTTTAAACGCAATGATTTGCCACAATTCAATTTTGAAGAAAAAACATTTGATTTGTTGAAAAGGCAGCTGTTGCGTGTTTTTATCTGAGATTCAGATGAAAATTATTTGTTTAGGGAAAACGTTATTAGATGTATAAAAAAGTAAAATAACATAAGAAGATGAAAATTGAAACGTCTCATATTTTTACAACCTAGAGATAACCATTGCATTACTTTGTATCTACTAATTTAGAATAGGTTAGTTGAAAAAAGGATGATCTATAAAACAAAAGATATGTATAAATACAGGGGTAAACAGATATCAGAGGTAATATTCGTAACTATTGTAATTAAATGAACTTCTCCAACATTCCCTTAAGCACTCTGAAAACCTTTATTTGCACAGAAACAAGCCATATGTTAATTGAAAACCATTACAATCTACTAATTTCAACAAGTTTCTAGGAATCTATCACAGGCAACACTTACTTTGTTAGCCTAGCTTTTCATACCAAATGCTCTTGAAATGAACCTAATTTAATTTCTTCCAATATTTGCATTAATTCACACCACATACATATACAGACTTCCCCTACAAAATCCAAGTTAGTATGTTTAGTTGTACTGCAGAATGATTTAGAAAATTAAAGCAGATAAGAAAAAGAAAATGAGATTTTTAAAATCTTTAAAATTAATAAGGATATCTATGAGGACTACAGCAAAATCAAGCACTAAGTTATAATATTAATATTACAACCCAAATTCAAGTTAATAATGTGACTAAATATTATACTACTATTAAAAACGAAATACACAAGGTTTTTCTCTCTGTTATTCCACTATTTGAAAATGGGTACAATAGTTTAACCAAATTTGGATGGTATAATAAATATAGGTAATGTGGCAAACATACAGTTTTTTTTGGAGACCTCATAATGATCAGGATGGTAAATAGATCTCAGAGAAATGAGTAGTTATCTTCCGTAGTAGCTACAAAACCTGATTCACCTCTGAGCTGCTTCTCACTTGCACAACTGTGTATACTTATTCCAAAAAGTGGAACTTTATTTAACAAAGATGATATATAATGTTTTGTGGTCCTAAATGTCTCAAAATGGAGTCACTTATGACAGGTAACTCAGCTTACAGTGAAATTGTTGACCTCGGAGTGAGAAGCATATACATGGTGGACTGAGGTGATAAGCCAACCCCGGCTGTGGCCAGGCACCCTGAAACCTGATGAGAAAGTAAACCTAAAAGGCACCTGAGGATAATGGCCATGGATACTCCCAGGCATTAAAAACTGCAAAGAAACTGACCATGGCCACGATGCCTGTAGAAGCTCTGCCATTGAGAACTCTAAGTCCTCTTTTCCAGAAACTGTGGCTGCCAGAAGCCCTGCGTTGGGGAAAAGAAAGGACCTCCACTCTGGCTGGCCTTCCAAGGGAAAATCAGAGCTGCTGGTTCATCAGTCAGTGTGCTGGTCTCTGAAACTACTTGCTGTGTTTTTTTCTCCCTCTATCTTATTACTGCCTGTGTTATTGAATATATTTGCATGATTGTTGTTGTGTGAAGGCCTCACAATAAACTGTGAATTTGTAAGCATTTAA
This sequence comes from Homo sapiens, assembly GCF_000001405.40. Lineage (NCBI taxonomy): Eukaryota > Metazoa > Chordata > Mammalia > Primates > Hominidae > Homo > Homo sapiens. The sequence continues at coordinate 7,056,000 of NC_000003.12, read as the reverse complement.
CTGGCTACTGAGTCATAGGGAAACTTCCCATGTCCCCATATCCTCTACAAACCCTGTGGAGTTAGCACAACTAGGTTGATTCAAACCTGACACAGGAAAAGCCTAATACTTCTCCTGATCAATACTGAGAGGGCCATGAGTGTGTATATATTCAGTATATATTTAAAATATTTGTCTTTAGGCTGAGTGCACTGGCTCATGCCTGTAATCTCAGCACTTTGGGAGGACAAGGCAGGCAGATTGTTTGAGGCCAGGAGTTTCGGATCAGCGTAGCAAACATGGTGAAATCCTGTCTCTACTAGAAATACAAAAAGTTGCTGGATGTGGTGGTGCACGCCTGTAATCCCAGCTTCTTGAGAGGCTGAGGCATAAGAAATGCTTGATCCAGGGAGGTGGAGGTTGCAGTGAGCCAAGATCATGCCACTGCACTCCAGCCTGGGTGACAGAGTGAGACTCTGTCTTAAATGTGTGTGTATGTATATATATATATACATACACACACACACACACACACACACACACAGATATATAAAATATTTATATATAAAATGTTTAAATTCTTGATTTTCATAAGAGAGGAAATCGTTAGCCTGACTCCAACAAAACGGTTCTCCACCTATGAAAGAATTGATTTGAAAAAGAACAGATTTGAAGAAGGATGTTGCAGCAACTTCTCTTCACCCAGCTTGTTTGGAAACTTAAGAATAGTTATTGGTATTAACAGTCTTGAAAAATAGCTGATTTAAAGCAGCAACCCTCTCCAACTTTAAAATAAATAATAAAAAGAGAAGAAGAAGAAGAAAATGAAGGAAGAAAATCCCAATAGATTGTTTGGTACATTAACTAGAACGCTAGAAATAAATTAAGACATCATCCAAAGGCAATAGATTTGCATTAGGTCTAAGCAAAAACAAATAAATAGGAAAAGGACACACAAAAAAAGATTGATACAAAAACCAATAGCAAGAGACCAGATTTACACACTCATCTTAAGCAACGGGAAAACTGGAACATACGTATATTTCCAGGAAAACAAATTAGATGAGCCTTGCAATTCCCCAGCTCACTGCCACTGCCTGGAGAGATTCTAGAACATACCACAAGTGGGAGAAACCTAAGGAGAGCCTGGTGATCTTGTTGTAAAGAAGAGTCAGAATTTGAGTTTCAGGGAACCCAAGGTGACCCAAATTTTGAAGACAGAAAACAGTAGCTTTGCTGTTAAGAGGAGAACGATGGGTAGAGAGAGAGAAAGAGAGAGACAGACAGAAAGAGAGAGAGAGATGAGAGAAAACCAGTAAGAAAAATACTTGATCAATTCCATATATGCAGAAAAGTTTTTGACAAAAATTTAATATTCCATTATGATTAAAAATAGAAGGAACAGAAGTGACTTTCTTCAACCTAATAAGGACTTGCGAGAAATAATAACAGTTAATGGTGAAAGACAGAAATCTCTCCCACTTAAACAGGGACCAATGCAAGAATGACTACTCTCATTATTTCAGTTTAACGTTGTACTTAACATTGCATCCCAGTGCACTCAGACAAGAACACACACAAAAAAATTAAAGATACATATATAGCCATTTTAATCTTATCTTTTATGATATATATATCATAAAAGATATCATATATATCATACATATATCATATATATCATCATATATTAGATGTCATATATATCATAAAAGATATATATTTTAATCTTATCTTTTATGATATATGTATATCATATATCATATATATCATAAAAGATAAGATTAAAATGGCTTCATTTATAGAGAATCTATTTTGAAAGTCTTAAGGAACCTACAAAAAACTATGTTTACTCATAGCAAATGATATAAGTTCAATATAGAAAAATCAAATGAACTTATATATGCTAGTAATTTAAAAATTGAAAATTAAAATGAAAATACTTATAGTAGTAGCAAAATATAAGATAGTTGTAGCTTGAAGAATACATATGAAAAAACTGTAGAACAAAAATTACAAAATATTGATAAAATTAAATAAATCCCATATACCATGTTCAATATTGTCACAGTAAGAGTTTGTATGATTTACAGATTTATTATAATCCCAATCAAAATTTGAGAGAGAATTCTATAGAAATTAAAAAACTGATTTTAAAATTTATATGGGAAAGTAAAGGGCCTATAATAACCATAACAATTTTGAAAAAGAAAAATAAAATTGAAGGACTTACATTAGCTGACTTCAAAACTTAAAGATGTAGTAATCAAGACAATGTGATATTCTTGTAGAAACAGACATATAGATCAAAGGAACAAGACAGATGGTAGAAAAAAAAAGCCTTCATACAAGGTCAATTCATTTTAAAAGAAGGCAATCAACCAAAACAAGGATAACATTTTTAACAAATGATGCTGAAACAACTTAATATCAATATAGAAAAAATTAACTTCAGCTCTCACTGTACAACATACATAAAAATTGACAAAGTGAATTATAGACATTAATGTAAGATTTAAGACTATAAAATTTCTAGAGAAAAGAATAGGAGAACATTAAGCTAGTAATGATTTCTTAAACAGGACACAAAAGAATAAAAGACAGAAACAGGGATAAATTGGACTTCTTCAACATTTTTTAAAATGCTCTTTTTCATACATCATTGAAAAACTGAAAATAACAGCTACACCCTGGCAGAAAATATTTTGTAAAATATTTAGCCAATAAATGATTTATATGGGGAATATATTAATATAAAGAGCTCTTATTCAATAATAAGATAACTAAAGTAAAAAAAAAGGATTTGAATAGACATTTTACCAAAAAAGATATATAAATGTAAATAAGTGCATGAAAAGATTTTTAACATTAAGCCTAAGAAAAATGCAAATTAAAATGACAATGAAATATCAATACACTCCAACTAGAATTATTTTAAAAAAAAAAAACCCAAGAAAAACAAAAGACTAAGTGTCATTGAGAATACTGACCAACTGGCATGCTAAAATACACTGGTAGAAATATATAAAATAATATAGCCACTTTGGAAAAGAGTTGAGCAGTTTCTTATGAAGTTAAACATACCCTTACAATAAAACCCAGCAATACACTACTAGGCAGTTATGCAAGAGAAATTTAAGGCATATGTCTACTGAAAGCCTTGTTCATAAGTGTTTATAACAGTTTTATCCTTAATAACCCTCAATGGGAAAGAACCTAAATGCCCATCATCTAGGGAACAGCCAAACTGTGATGTATTCAAACAAAAAAATACTACCTGGCAATGCAAAAAAAAAAAAAAAAACTACCGATACTTGCAATAACATGCATACATATCAAGAGCAATAAACTGAATAAAAGAAGTCAGACACAAATATTACATACTCTTTGAATCCATTTATTGAGAAGGCAAAACTATAACAACAGAAAGTAACTAGTGGTCACAGACTTGTCTGTGTGTGTATATGGAGGTGGGATGATTAAATTCAAAGAGGTACAAAACAAATAAAATTGGAGGACAATGGAAGAGTTCTCTATCTTGATTTTGGTGGGTGGTAAATTAGATTTTTAAAACAAGAGGATTGCACACTTAAATTGATAAATTTTATATGTAAATTAAACCTCAATTAAACTAACAAAAACAGAAGAAAAAAATCAATGCCTAAAAGTTAATTGTTCTTAAATGCTTAGATTTGGGCAATTCTCAAGGAGTTCAACTAACAAACTACTGTATGGAACTTTTTCTGATACTACTGTGAAGCAGAGAACAGGGCAGAAGGGATAAATAGTTTTTACCAGCATGGAATCTTTAAAAATGAAAATGATCAAGCTCAAAGACAGATAATCACTGATTCATAAATACATTTTCAGTCCAAACAACAAGTGTTACTTCTCTGTCATTTGGAAGCTTTAAAATTAAACTCCTGGAACAAAGTATAAGCAAAATGAGAATTTCTGAACCAATGAGATGACTTTTTCCTAACATAATTTGTTATTTTATTACATTATGACTCCCCAATTCTGTGAAGAAGGGCATCATCTTATCTTCTGGCACAAAAAAAAATTAATTAATGTAAATATATTTTACAGCTAAAAGAATTAATTAGATTAGCTTTATTTAGTTTCTAAACTATTAAATAAAGTCACCCATTGATGTAGAGATTACAGGTTGATCTACCAGGTCAGCTTCTCTTCCCATTTTCTGTATCCATGTGGAATTCTTTTAAAAATATTGTTCTGTTCAAAATCAATAGGAACTACTGCAGAATACAAGACATCTTTTGCACTTTAAAAGGCATTTTAGGTTGCTGACTTCATTTAGATCTCTAAAACCCTAAAACCAATCTTTTAAATTACAAGCATGGGGAGGTGGGAGAAAAGAAGAAAACATCCTGGTTACCAATTCCTTTGGACACTTTATAGTCAAGTCAACTTTTCCTAAGGATTCCTTCATCAGTAATTTGAGTTAAAAAGAAAAATCAGTTCAAGATTCAATTGATAGCATATGTTCCACAGCTAGAGTCTCTTTAGACTGGAGAAATGCTACCTAAGAAACAGAAAGACAGAAGTGATGGTTCTCATAGACTGCCATTTGGATTCAGTTTCACAACTTTTTTTTATTTTTCTGACAGTTTGTTAGGAACTCTGCTGTCCTGCCCAGTTGAGCAGGAATTTTTATTCTTCTAGTCATTAGACATCCTCCACCTCAGGCCAACCATTATTTTCAACCAACCAATTATTCTCACAGGCTGTGGTGAGGATCAAATGAGAAAAGAGTTTGAACGTTTTTGTAAAATTAAAGCACCATTCCTAAGGGACCTTTCTCTACAAGATGAAGCATTTGATTCTGCACACCTTATATTGTAAATCCTGGTTTCCTCAATTGCAAATATTTCTCAGATTTTTACCTTTAATTCAAGCAGTGATCCCCAAACTCTAAGAAAATATGTTTGTGAGTGTTTAATTAATGTATGAAATATAGTATAATACATATTTTAAAATATAAATTAAAAATAGTGAGCAAACTAAAGCTCTAATACTGTTACTCACAGTCCTGTGGAGCTTACACAATGTAAGCATATTTAACCAAGTACAAAACAAGTAGACTTCTGATTTCAAGACAACTGCAAATTTCATTCAACTGGCATCTAATTGGTTTTGAATCAAACACTGTGGGGAAAGGAGGAATAATTTATAGGTTGAACCTAACTATTACATCAAGACATTGCAAGTACTTGTCAATATGTGCATTTCCAAATCCTGACTGATGACCATATGAAACAACAGCATTCAATACAGAAACATTCCTATAAAATTACCTGTATTGTCAATTGGAATAAACTTTTGTGGCTCCCCACTTCCCTGCTTTTGCAGCATTTGTGTAGATTATGGTTTAATTTGGCTCTGAGGATTGTGACCTTTGAAAGTAAATGCATGGATTTATTTTTCAGCACTTTAGATTTTATTAAATATGCAATCTACTTGACCAATTACATCATTAAACTGTTTACATTAAGAGAAGTAACCCCAAGTCTGGGGTGACTATAGTGGATATAACATGTGTTTAGATGTGAAACTGTCACAGATTTAAATTTTGTTTCCAGGCTACGAAGCTTATGACTTTGAGTCACTCAAGCTTTGCAAAGCCTGATTTCTTCACATGCAAAATGAGATTCTTATAGGGTGTTTATGAAGTTGACACTGAACAGTTGGATGTCTGCAAAGCTTTTGTTTTAGAACAGACTTTTATGTTAGTTATTTTCTTCCCCCTCCATTAAAACAAGTCTTCTATTTTACAAAAGTTCATGAGATCACTGGGAAATTTCAAAGTTATGAATGTGTGGAACATGTAGTTTGTGCTTGTACAAATTTGTAATTTGTACATATTCCATTGAACATGTGACTTTCCACAGACCTCCTCATAGCCTTGTATCCTTCCATTCTTACCCCTCCATTCATTACTACCCAGCAACAGGAGTGATATTTTCTGTTCTCAAATATAGCCATGATACTTTCCTGATTAGAACTTTACAATGACTGTCTATTGCTCCTGGAGTAGAAACAAAACTCTTTAATATGGTATGGTTTTTGCTTTGTCTGTCAGCTTCCTCTGATAATAAACTAGGTTCCAGTTCCTTGAGTAAGCCTTGCTCTCCACTCCTCCATGACAGGATCTTTGTACTGGCAGTTTACTTTGTTTGGGTAATCTCCATCTTCTCCCCCATCCATCCCTAACTAACTCTTTTCTCTTAATCTGTTAGTTCTCAGCTCAAATACATTCTGAAAACATAAATTGATCCTGAATCCCATGCCTATGTTGGGCTTCTTTTGCAATAATTTTTCATAGAACCATAGAACCATGATTCCTTCCTCACGAACGCTTTTCTCAGGATACAATTTTACTTTTATTTTTTGTGGAAATGTTTTGTTAATAGCTGCCTCCCTTGTTATATATACTGCATGTGATATGGTTTGGATTTGTCTCCCCACCCAAATCTCACCTTGAATTCTAATAATCTCCATGTGTCAAGGGTAGGGCCAGGTGGAAATAATTGATTCATAGGGGTAGGCTCCATTATACTGCTCTCATGGTAGTGAATAAATCTTACAAGATCTGATGGTTTTATAAAAGAGAGTTTCCCTGCACAAGCTCTCTTGCCTGCCATGTAAGATGTGACTTTGCTCCTCATTTGACTTCTGCCATGATTGTGAGGCCTCCCAGCCATGTGGAACTGTGAATCCATTAAATTCTTTTGTTTCTAAATTGCGCAGTCTTGGGTATTTATCAGCAGCATGAGAATAGACCAGTACAACGTGCTACATGAGCCCAATTATAGTATGTGGTTTGGCTCTACATTTATTTCAATGAGAGCATAGGAATATAGTGAACTCTCAATAAACATTTGCTTAATGAACTAACGTGAGAGGAGTGAATGGACATGAGTGAGATGTTTTGTTTCAACATTTTAATATTGATTGAATATAATTTATTTAATCTCTGGATGATAAATAACACTATGACAATTCACTTATGTAACTTCTAGAAATGCTTTATTTTTAACCAAGGAACAAATTCTTAAAGGAAAGAGATGGCATAAACACAGGAAAATAGAAGCAGAATTGATTGAAGAAGAGAACAGAATGGTGGTTACCGGGGGTGAGGAAGTGTTCGTCAAAAAATATGAAATTTTAGACAGGAAGAATAAGTTCAAGAGATCTATTGTACAGCATGGTGACTATAGGTAAGGTATTATAATCTTGAAAATTGCCAAGACAGACTTTAAGTGTTCGTACCACAAAGAGTAAGTATGTCAGGTAATGCATATGTTGTTAGCTTGATTTAACCATTCCACAATGCATATATGTGTCCATATATACATATCAAAACCTTTATGTTGTACAATATAAATAATTCTTGTCAATTAAAAATAAATTATGAGAAAAATGGGGAAGTAAAGCTTGTCTTTCTAAAGCTATAAATCTGTTACTTCTAATTAAGTTAATAGGCCCCAGTAATGCATCTTTTTTTTTTCTTTAAACATGACAACCTACATTTTCTTTGGTCAGCAAAACAAAAATACAAACATCAATTTAGCACACATTTTAATTTACTATTATTTAATGTGAACACTACAAACACTAATTTTAATAACAAAGTATTGTTTGTGTACATTGTATTATAGACAAAATTGCAACAACCAAGAAAAAATAAAAAATCTAAATATTTAATTCCCCAATGTCAGATGGTAACCCAACTCTGAGCTTGGTACTCCAACTTATAAAAAGGCCATGACTCAGTTATGCTTGGATAAGGAGAAAGAAAATTTTGAATACAATCTGTTACTTTGCTTATCTCCTATGCTTGCCAATGTATGTCAGAAATAATTAAAAATATAGGAAATCAAACTTTTATAGAGAACTGTAATATTCTAAAAACTCAATGTGCTAATTTGACCTGTTCCATTCCATCGCAATGTTGAACTGAGACTAAGAATTATTAACTATATTCATGTCAGAGGAAGTTATTTAACATCAAAATCTTCACATTGTCAATACCTAACATTACGAAAGTGCAGCTAAACCGAATTATAATAAAGCACCAGGCATCTAATGACATTAGTAGAATTGTGAAGTTGAGGTCTCACGGTAATTTTCAAAATAAAGAGGTTTTTGAGAGAAAACCATTCTTGGAATCAATAACCAAACTCTCTGAAAGATTACTCAAGCTTTAGGATAATGCTGACCCAAAAGTCTCTGCTAGGATTTGCATTAAACAATGAGTGAATGTTCTATCGAGGTCTTCCTGTTACTACTAGAGATTTAACTCTTTGCGTAGAATCCAGGACACTGGAACATTCCTCAATGCAGCAGCTCCCTGGACTGTAAGGAATTCATGTCAAATACTAGACAATAGGGACCACTTATCCATTTTTAATCAACTTCTGAAAATAGTACTGGCTGGAACTACAGAGGCCTGGAAGTTTATTTTGACTTTGTCATTAATTTGCTGTGTGGCCTGGGGCAAGACACTTCACCTCTCTTTCTCTTGGTTCCCACTGGTGAGAGAGATGGTGGTTGGACTATACGACTCCATTAAACCACTAAGCTCAATTTTAAAAGCAAACACATATTTCCCAGTGGCATGGTAGCTCTAACCATTCACACTGCACTTGGGTAACAACAATTCTAGTCTAGTAATATGTTCACTGTGTATAGCAAGCACTGACAAACTTTTTCTGTAAAAAAGCCAGATTCTAAGATTGTAAAATATTTTCAGCTTTCAGGCCATACAGTCTGCATTACAACAGCTCAATTCTGTCACTGTAGAGCAAAAGCAGCCATAGAAAATACAACAATGAATTATTTTCCAACAAACTTTATTAAAAAAAAAACAGGTAGTGGGGCAGATTTGACTCATAGACTAAATTCTTCTGGCCCTTGGTATATACTATTGCAACTATGACTATAGATTTTGGATAAGAAACCTCCTAATTTCATCCTTGGATCTGCCTCAATGGCTCAAATGTATTTAACAAATATCCCCTTCCTGTTTTCAGTGTTTATTTTCTTATCCTTCATTTACTCTTTATTCATGTACAGCTCTGCTTTCTTTCTTTATAAGAACTTCTCTATTGATCTTCAGCTTTGACTCCCCAGAATTTATTTAGAACATAGTTCATGGCAAAAATGCAATACTTTGTGGGAATGACTGATGCAGGCTTTCATGTGACATTCTCTTTTCCAGAAACTGAAGCGCTATCCATCAGAAAAGACCCTCTGGACCCTCAAAAATGCATCCATTGTCCTTCTTTTCAGTTATCTCACTGCTTCTAGTCTCACTCACTCACTTAACTCTTAGAGTAAACCTCTCAGAGAGGACAGCTAGTTACCCATATGAAATGTCTATGCCTCTTGAAGGGGAATGCCTCCTGTAAATAGCCTGGAAGTAACAAAACTACAAACCAGAAAATACAACACAACTGGCTGTTGCCAAATTCTCAAAAAGATAAGAAACAAAAGGAAGTTCTGAAAAAGATGAGTTCATTGTCCCACTATATTAACATTCAATTGCAAGCAAAGTGCTAACAACTTTATGTGGTTTTCCATGTTGAAGAAATGATGGTATTTTTGTTTAGAAGCCATAAACATCATATGTAAGACTTTGGCACAAGTCTAGCTCCAGCTCAGCAGACTCTTTAACCTTGCCAACTACTCACACTTGCTACTTTAAGCGTACCTGGGAGCCCTGTTTAGAAATCTATAAAACACTCATTCGATTCAATAGCAAACAAACAAACAAAAACACACAGATAATCTAATTACTGAATAGACACAGAACCTGAATGAACATTTCCCACAAAAAGCATAACAATGGACAATAGAATACGAAAAGGTATTCAATATCATCGATTATCAGGGAAAGTCAACCCAAGCCAATATATATTACCTCACACCTATTAGAATGACTATTAGCAACAAAAGGTAAGTGCTGGCAAAGATATGGAGAAAAGGGAGCCCTTGTACACTGTAGATAAAAATGCAAATTGGTACAGTTATGGTAGAAAATAGCAAAGTTTCTCCAAAAAAAATGGCATGTAGAACTATCATGTGATCCAGCAAATCCACTTCTGGGTATATATCCATAGAAAATGAAACCTGAAATTCAAAGGAATATCTATGATTCTGTATGCATTGCAGCATTATTCATAGTAACCAAAATATAGAAACAACCTAAATGTCCACTGACAGATGAATAATGAAAATATGACATACACAAATAATGGAATATTATTCAACCTTAAAAATGGAGATCTTGCTATCTGTGACAACATGGATAAACCTAGAGTCATTATGTTAAGTGAAATAAACCAGACACAGAAAGACAAATAGTTCACAATATCACTTATATGCCAAGTCTAAAATAAAATAGTAAAGCTCATAGAAGCCAAGAGTAAAATGGTGCTTATCGGAGGTTTGGAGAAGGAAATTGGGAGATATTAGTCAAAGGGCACAAAGTTTTAGTTTTACAATACAATGAGTTCTGGACATTTAGTGCACAGCATTATTACCACAGTTAAAAATACTTTAGGGTCATTGCTCCCTCTTGCCTCTTCTTATCCTTAAAGAAAGAAATACTAGATCTTCTTCCATGCAAAGTGAGACCTTGCAATTTTACTTACTCTATCTTTGCTTGTTGCCCAGGCAAATGCAGAGGATTCAGCAACAGGTCTTATAAAATGCCCATACCACAACATAAAGGGAACTTCAAATGGAAGGCTGTCTGCCAAACATCTGACTAGACTACCTACACTTTAATGTTATACCATGGAGATTTTGTACAATTTATTACCGCTGATACTAACAGCCCTAACACGTCAACTTATGAAATTCAACCTTGTAACATTTCATAGTCATGAGCAAGGTCAGGCTGCAGCTCAAAAGCACACCACCCTTCATCACATTAACACAGAATCTTCTACACTAAAAGCAAGAAACAGAAATAGAAACAGGTCTCTGTGCCAATCATTCAACAGTACATGTCAACAGAATAGAAATGAAATGCTTTAACTAATTTCACCTCTAAAGTTTCTGTCAAAAAATAGCAATTTAAAAAATGACCTGCAAATTGAGCAGGATAAAATAAACACCAAAGAAAGTTCAGGGACTAAGTGGGAAGAAATTAGGATCTCTGTGAGTGTGGGTAAACTTTACCAGGTGAAGTTCACTCTGAGAATATTTGGAACTTACTACTGAAATTGCCCAGCCTCAGTCAGTGCAACTTAAGAAAGAATACTAAATGAAGAGATGAAAAATCGGCACTACACCACATTTCCATAGGAGAAAAAAAGCCGTAGAAAAGATTCTGAAATGGCTAATTAAGGGCTAAGTTGTAAGTCTTTTAAATTGAAAATATGATCATTTGGAATTAGCAAGAAGTAACTAATAAAACGTCACTGCGGCTTTCTTTTCTATTATTCTGAAAGAACCATCTAATAAGTAGATTGGGAAGTGTTGAAAACTGAGACACAATATTTAAACTTATTTTCTCATATTTTAAAAATATAATCCAATGTAAAAATTATCTCAATGATAAGCAATAATAAAATATAAAGATCACCTCTCGTTCCACCACCAGGAAACAATTCCATTAGCATTTTCCTTCAATCCATATTTTTAAGCATTTAAAACACAAAGCATTTCTCAATATCATTAAAGCTTTTGGTATAGACTTAAGGTATCCGTGTATACAAATACAAATTGAATGGTCATACAGTAGGTGCATGTGTGATTTGGTTAAATGACTCTCTGCAAAATATTGATTCATGGATCCATGCCAGTCTGGAAGATAAACAGAAGAATGTCCCCTGCACTACTCTGATCAATATTTTTATCAGTGACTTGGATGATGATATGAATTGGTGACTGCTTATAAGTAATTTCTAAAATAAGGTGATGTGATATTTTTCCAAAATGTATTGACTGCTTTGAGTGATGAGCTAAAGTTAATGAGATGATAATTAATCAACATACAAAATGCAAAAGCTTGAACCAGGGGGGCGGTACATGCCTGTATTCCCAGCTACTCAGGAGACTGAGGCAGGAAGATCACTTGAGCCCTGGAGTTTGAGACCTGCCTGGGCAACACAGTGAGACTCCTCTGGGAGGCGGAGCAGGGTGCTGGGTAGGAAGTCAAGGCTTGTATTTGAATTCTGAAAACCAACTGCAGAACTACTGAAGAGGGGATGTGGTTAAGCATTCATTCATTTTTTAAAAATTGATGCACAAAGGCATAGGGATCATGCCAAGAGAACATCAGGTGCATTATGTGTGGGATGTTAAAAGATTCAGAGAGGTCAGGAGAGATGCTCCATGGCAGAGCACTGTTCTAACATTTTAATATGCACTATTTCTGCTTCTGGCCAAGATGGAGCAACAAACACCAGATTATACTAGTTACACTTTCAAATGAAACAATTAAAAGCTGGAAAAATATCCGAGAGAACTTTTTCAAGACTTTAGATATCAGGCAATAAAGGACAGTGAACTCTAAAAGTCAGGAATGAATGGGATGAGTCTTATGGTTGCCCCCAGTTTGCTACATGGAAAGGGTGTCTAAGCTGTGACACAAAGAGGAAATGCAGGTGGAGCCCAGAAGACTACATGCATTGGGGAGACAAAGCTGAGAGTCCAGGAAGACCAAGGCAGCTTGAGTTCACAGGGCAGAATGCCATACACAAAGAGAAGTCCAAGAGAGAACTCTGAAGATTTTCATTAGGATGCCCCCTCCCCCCGCTTCAATATATGGCTGACCACTGCTCAGCTCATGAGTGTGGGGTAACTGCCTGAAGCCAAGAAAGAATCACTTGAAAGTATTTGAGAGAACAACAGCAGGTCTCACAAAGCTGGAACTAGTTCCCGTTAGCAGTAGCCGAAGTGGAAAACCTCATAATGTATGGAGCATTGGAGACAGTACTCAAAACAGTGTTTTCCTCAGAAGTGGAGCAAAACTTAGCTCTTTAACACTGATCTAGATCGCCTGTCAAATCTTAAAAGAAAGATGAAAAAGGATGAAACTGTCTTTAAGTAACTTGAGTACATCCTAGAATAAAGCTCAGAAATACTTGTAAAAATATAAAAATCTTCAGTAATCAACAAGGTAAAATTCATAATGCTCAACAATCAAAAATTATCAGACATAAAAAATGACCAATATTTGGGAGGAAAATAAATCAATTGAAATGAATCCAGGAGAAATATAGATATTAAAACAGAACTGTATTCCATGTGATCAAGGAGCTAGAAACAAAATTCTATGTTAAGGAGAGATACAAAAAAGTGTTTAAAAGATGAAAATATAACTTTTAGAGAGCAAAACTAAAATGCCAAAGAAAAAAATACTCCAGATAAAATTAAAAGTGTATTAGACATTGCAGATGAGAATATTGGTGCATTTGAAGATATAACTATAGAAATGACCCAAGAAAACACAGAGAAAAAGAAAGAATGGGGGGAAAACAAGCAAACAGAATGAGTGAGGTATGGAACAAAGGTCAGGCAGTTTCTTATAAAGCTAAGAGTATTATATGGTCTGGTCTGATGACGTAGGAATAAAACCAAAGCTTATTTTCTATTCTCTCATTAAACATCAATCAACAAAGTATACTTCTGTGCCCTGTGATCACCAAGAAGTGTGTGGGGATTTCAACCCACTAGCAAGCAAGCCATTAATTCTGCAGTGGACACAAGCTTGTTGCTCCCACCCCTCCTCCAATTCAATTCCTATGCTTTTACCTGTGTTTCTGATTGACTGGCTATAAACCAGAGCTCCCACAACCTCCCCCTACAACTCCTTGGATTGGATTAATTTTCTGGAGCAGCTCACAGAAGTCAGGGAAACGGGTTCATTTGCTAGTTTATTATAAAAGATATTACAAAGGATACAGATCAAGAGATGCATAGGGCGAGGTATGGGAGGTAGGGAAGCTTCCATGTTCTTTCCAGGCATACCACCCTTCAGGAGACTCCATGTGCTCAGCTATCTGATAGCTCTCTGAATGCAGTCCTTTCGTGTTTTTCATGGAAGCTTCATTATGTAAGCAAGATTGGTTAAGTCATTGGCCATTGATAATGAACTAACACTTCTGCCCCCTTGCCCCTCCTTAGAGGCGAGCAGAAGGGGCTTAAAATTCCACCTGTCTTGTTTTTTTCCATGGTGATCAGCCCCCACCTCAATCTACCTAGGGGCTGCCACCCATCAGTCAACACATTAGCATTCCAAAAAATCACTCTGGAGATTCTGAGGATTTTAGGTGTTAAATTCCAGGAAACAGGGAGGAAGACCAAATCTATATTTCACAGTATCACAATTGAGTATTCTACTCTAGTTGTTTGCACAAAAGAAATGAAAACATATGTTCATAAGAAGACCTGGACATAAATATTTATAACAGCTTCACTTGTAATAGTAGAAATATACAAACAATACAAATGTTCAGCAAGCGCTGAAAGAATAAACAAATTGTGGTATGTTCATACAATGGAATACTATTAATAAAAAGAAATTAACTATTAATACATGCATCTGCAGAGGTAACTCTCAAAAGCAAAGAACCAAAATTATTTTTTGAAAGTACATGTTATGTAATTTCATTTATTTTTAAAACTAGAAAATGCAAATTAATTTGTAGCAGAAAATGGATCAGTGGTTGCCTGGGAATGGGAAGGTGGAAGGAGTCAGGAGAATTAGAGGGAGACAGGAGGAAACACTTGGCAGTGATGATATGCTTGTTATCTTGATTGTGGTGATATGTATACACCTAAGAATCAAGATAAACCTTTATTAAAGTGTTCACTTTATTTGTGCTTAATTTTATGTGGACTTGATAAAGGTGGTTGAAAATTTTTAACATGCAATCACCACATAATTTTTTTTTTTTTTTTTTTTTGAGACAGGGTCTCACTCTGTCACCCAGGCTGGAGTGCAGTGGCACGATCATGGCTTGCAGCCTTAACCTCCCAGGTACAGCTGATCCTCCCACCTCAGCCTCTTGAGTAGCTGGGACTACAGGTGCACACCACCACACCTAGGAAATTTTGTTTGTTTTTGTAGATACTGGGTTTCACCGTTTTGCCCAGGGTGGTCTTGAACTCCTGAGCTCAAATGATCCACCGACCTTGGCCTCCCAAAGCGCTGGGATTACAGGCATGAGCCACTGCACCTGGCCTGACCTCATCATTTTTAAAATGAATATTCTGAGTCAGGAACTTGGAGTGGCACCTAAGGATCTACATTTCTAACATGCTCTCCAGCAAGGCCCATCCTGCTGGTCCCAAGACACACCTATAAGTAGCAAAGGACCAGATTCATACTTGGAATCCTAGACAATAGGAGTAGGCAATACAGTTAAGAGTTTATAGAGACAGGCCAGGTGTGGTGGCTCATGCCTGTAATCCTAGCACTTTGGGAGGCCGAGGTGGACAGATCACCAGGTCAGGAGATCGAGACCATCCTGGCTAACACAGTGAAACCCTGTCTCTACTAAAAATACAAAAAAATTAGCTGGGCATGGTGGCAGGCACCTGTAGTCCCAGCTACTCGGAAGGCTAAGGCAGGAGAATCGCTTTAACCCAGGAGGCAGGGGTTACAGTGAGTGGAGATCGTGCCACTGCACCCCAGCCTGGGCGACAGAGCGAGACTCCATCTCCAAAAAAAAAAAGAGTTTACAGAGACAGACAAGGGTCTAATCATGAAACGCACTCCACTGTGTAGCAGTGAGGTTTCTGTTACAAGAGGTGATGAGTTATCAATGTTCAGCTATGTTGTAGAGACGCTGGAACTAGAACATTTCTAAGCTAAAATCTGATGATTCACTAAATTTGAACTTCGAGTAAATGTGTTATATAAACTGGCAGTCTTGGAATGGGGCCCTGCAAAGGGTATGCTGGCCTAGTGAGAACTACACAAGGGCTATGGGTTATGGTATAACCTAACTAATGAGAAAAATACTGGCCATTTGTCCAACAGATAATTGCCAAGCAATTGCTAGGTGCCGAGTACAAAAGATACAGTTCTGAACTCGGCAAAAATCATCATTTTTAAAATGCCTTCGTTTTGTTTTAAAAATGCCAAGGAAATTAGATACTTGCTCCTACTCATAAACATTCTAAAACATTGAAATGGGAAATAAGCATTCTACCCATTCACAAGAGCCACATAGCTACAAAAAAACCGATCGGCAATAATAGATCAAATCCATCGCTGGTGGAACAGAGTCTCACTAATCTAGGGATTCTGAGAGATTTTTTTTTTTCTCAGTTACTCTGCCAGAATATTATAAGAATGACATTTTCCCTGAACTGCATTTTAGCTTTGTATTGATTGACACTCCCTAGATGGAAATTATGGGTCCTCTGATTTTTCTTATCACGGCATATCCAATATTATACATGTAACATGCATTTGATACACTGTCATATTCACAAGCAAAATGTTGCCACTACAGGCTTATTAGCATATGCATTGCTCTAATCCCTTGAAAGGGAATAAGCTGTCACAAATTCTTAGGATAAGGAAGGTTACTTTTTACCTCTGTGCACTTCATTAGAAGAATAAAGACATAAATAGAATTTCTTAATCCGTGATACCTGTCACAAAACATTAAAAATTTTTTTAAAAAACACTTTCTCATTTAAGACTAAGCCAATTTTCTCCATATCATCTGCCTGCTATATGGTTAGGATAGTGACAGGAATTCAGAAGTCGGATCTTCTCCAAGTTTTTCTAGACAACTTATACTTTCTTGAAAGGAACCATGCAAACTCCACAATCACAGGCTTGTAAGAAACAGCAAGCTCAGCTAGGTTGTTTGAGATCATTTTCTGAGTCTCAAACTAAAAGTTTTTGCTTTATTATTATTTTTTAAACATGAGGTAGTAGGTATAAAGCAGTGGTCCTCAAACTTGACCATGCATCAGGATGGCCTGAAGAACTTATTGAACCATAGGGTTCCACTCCCCGAGTTTCAAATTCAGTAGGTCTGGGATGGAGCCTGAGAATTTGCATATGTAGTTTCCAGGAGACGATTATGTTGCTGCCCTCTGATGACCCCACTCTGAGAAACCTATCGGCATAAAGGTTAAGTACATGGGTATTATAATTTTTTAAAAAAAGGGGTGGAAGCTTTATTTACTAACTTATGAGTTGTTTACAAGCCCCTTGAAAACGTTATTAAAATCCTCTAAGTCTCACCTGCCTCAGCTTCCTCATCAGTAAAATAAAATGATAATTGTATCAACCTCTTTTTACTGTTCACAGCATTAGAACCATGCTTGTAACAAATGTATCATTGTGTGGCAGGCTCCAGGCACTAAATAAACATTGCAGAACACATCATGATGAAAGTAATTGCAGTAATAGACTCACGTAGGTAGCACCCTTTTGGAAAGTGTATCCAAGGTCTTGTTACCCAGTGAGTATTTTCCTAGCTCTTTCTTCCTTATCCGTGAGCTCTGACACTTAAAGCTGAGGATTTTCATAGGCAGCCGCTAAGTCAATGAACTCTGCCTTTGCTGTCTCTCATCTGTTGATAAAATCTGCCTGAGTTCAGTACCAAGAGAAAGGGAAAGCGGAATCAAGCAAGTCTGCAGATAGTTTGTAGGATACCAAGTATTTTCAGGGTAGAGCAAGAATCCTGATTCTTAAGAAGCCCGGTCAATAAGGCTATGTATTAATGAATACCTTGGAGCCTCCCTTCTTGGTTAGCTGTAGAAGAAGGTGGTTGAACAGAGATCTTTCCTGAATATGCTTCAAGAGAGTTTAAGACTTTCAAAACAATACCTTCAATCATGTTGTAAGGGTACTAGGCATCAGCTTTGTCGCTGAGGTTGGAGCTAGGATTCCACTGCAATGGACTAACCTGTCTTTAGTCAATAGAGGGGTCTCTAAACATGAGAAGAAAACTTTTATTCATTTGAATGCCCTTTTTATTGACTGAAATGATGCTATTTATTATAATTCATCAGAAGAAAAAAACTACCTCTTTAATATGGCAAGCAATTAGACTATTTAAATTATTATAGAAGTTGAGTACTTTATGTTTAGAATACATTTCCATGTTTATGAGATCTCAGTTTATTATTTAATAACTAGGGACTTGGAAATCTGCTCAGAGTATAATTTCCCCTTTGTGGTTTCTATGACTACTCTCTCTTTCCTTTTATTTTATGAACACATTGTAGTCAGATGTGTGACTGTTGCTGCAGTAACAGGTTCTATTTCTTGAGGAAATTAAAATATTTGTACCAAATATATTTTCCTTGTTCCTACAGGCATTCAGCACACTATCAAATCCATCACATGCTTGTTGGTTCCTTCCTTCAGTCAGACATGGTATATTTAAAGTTCTTTGCAGTTCCTCAAGAGGTGTGGAAAAATATTTTATATCTCTGTAGAAAAGCACCTCAGTTCCAATTAAGGTGAGAAAAGTAATAACTAATGTTCGTGGAGCACTTCCTATGTGCCCTTTACATGAATTCACTCAATTCTTAAAACAATTCTGGATGCAGTGTCATTATTCTTGTTTTTAAGATGAGGAAACAGAGACACAAGCAGATTAAGTACTGTGTCCAAAGGTATACTGCTAGTAAGTGATACAGCTAGGTTCTAACCCTGTGTAATCTAGCATCCTGATTCTTTCCTAACTTTGTAATGTATTAAGTGTATTAAAAGTAACGACAAAAGCCACAATTACTTTTGCACTGGCCTAATATAATGTGTATTTCTTTCAAACTGACAAACAAGTCTTTTTTCTAAATGAAGCTAATGGAAAGCCCATTAGCAGCCAGTCAGTTGGGTCAGCTGGTATCCTACATATAAATCACTGAAAAACCTCATACAGCTGTTTAAATATTTCTAAAAATTCACCGAAGGCCAAAGGTATTCCTAAGTACTTGATGAAGTATTATTAGAAACATTAATAAATATTTCAATGTCCTAAGACATCTCTTGACACAGATGGAGAAATCAGAGATTCAAGGCAGACCGCTGATCCATTAATCACTCATTATGTCATGCCCTCTTCTTTGCGTAAATTGCTGGGACAGGGTGGCCAGACTCATTTTGTAGATGGAGCAACTTGAAACACAGGGTAATAGTTCACGATTTGCCTGAATCTTATTCAAAAGTTGTGACTGAGTTTCTAACTGCTATAATAGTTATATATAGCAAGTTATATAAAGCAAGAAAGACCTTGCTAATTTTTAGAAAACCAGTGCTTTAAAACTGCAAAATTGCCATGCAGTAGCAAAGAAAATAAAATTTTATATAATTTCTATGTTAAACTGGGGACCTTTTCTATTCAATCAGTGAAACTGAAGCATATATAATTTTAACGAAAAAAACCCACGTGAAATAAAATGTCAATTTCACAGTTAAAGTAGCTCTTCATTGAATTATAGTTGGACTATACCCCATCATTTCTCCTCCCCTAGATGATATTTTTAATGAATTAGATGTAAGTGTTGGAGATTCTATAATCCCATGTAAGCTTTGTTATCTAGATGTGATTCTCAAGATGATGACCCTCCATATCTTTCTCCATTTTCAAAATTACTGTTCA
Source organism: Homo sapiens (assembly GCF_000001405.40). Lineage (NCBI taxonomy): Eukaryota > Metazoa > Chordata > Mammalia > Primates > Hominidae > Homo > Homo sapiens. Next base: position 7,036,408 of record NC_000003.12, on the reverse strand, counting down.
TGCCATCGTCAAACAGAGACATATGAGGCACATCCCCACACCCCACAAAGCCAGTAAGGTAAGCCCACTCCCATAAGTTAAATTAGCTATAGGAGTTATATTTTAATTTCCTTATTCTGTAGGATGTTTCTTATTCTTTCCTCTTTTCTTCAACCTACTTCAAATTATTGGCCATGATTCATTTATCAGCCTCTCTTTTCTCTCTCCTTTATAGAATTTTTATTATACAATTAATGAATCATAATGCCATAACCTCTATAGTGTAGGCTGTAAGAACAATTGGTTTGGAGTCTTCAAGATATACATTTATGTCTCTGGTTTGTCCTTCTCCAGTTCCCTGACCTTAAACAAGTTAATTTATCTCTCTCAGTCTCAGTCTCATTCTCACTGGCAAAGTGGGAGTAATAAAAACACTATCATTTGTTGTCAATAATAAACAAAATGGTGCATGTCATAACTTTAGCAACAGAGCCTGGCACATAGTATATGCTCAATAAAGGTTAGCAAAGATAAAATACCAATTTAAGTTTAAGCCACATTTGTGTCTTGGCTGTGCTAAAAGTGTCCATAATTATTTCTAAGACATGGGGGCTGAGAAGGGAAGGTAACTCTGAGACTTGTCTCTGAGATGTCCCCAAATCTTTGATACATTCTCATATAAGCCACATTTGTGTCTTAGCTGGGCTAAACATGCCCATGAATATTTCTAAGACATGGGGGCTGAGAAGGTAACTCTGGGACTTGTCTCTGAAATGTTCCCAAATCTTTGATACATTCCCATTTTCACTTGTCTATAGGCTTAACGGAAGGCAGATCATTATTATGGTCTGATATCTCTTTAAATTACATCTAAAAGGAAGTATGTCCTTCAAATTGTTTATTTCGGATAGCCACCCCTCACGTGCAGCTCTTTGTATAGGCCTTGAAATAGTATTCTCTCACTCTTTTTAAAATTTCAGTCTTGCTCCTTCTGTATTGAAATAGCATTCTCTATTCTCTATTTTCCCCTGGGCCTTTTATACTTTCCCTACTCTCACGTGACCATATTTTATCTCAGCAAAAATTCTAAAGTACTGACTGACTAAATCACCTGAAATATTCTCTTTCCTAATTGAGCAGGAAGAAACCCTAATTTGGCTTCTTTGCTTCCATTTTTGCCACAGCCATTTCAGTAGACAAGAGCTCAGATGTCTCAGGCGGTGCACATCTCTGATTTCACAGAGAATATTTTGTCAAATTATTTGACAAGCAGCCCTCCCTTTCCTACCACAGGGTAAACCAACAGTGCTCTTGGGGGTGCAGCTGCTTAGTCCCAAAGAGGTAGCCAGTGCAAAGATGTATACCTCCACCTGCTCTTCCAGACCTGGCCCACCCCATATCCACAGGCCTCCCCAAGAACCTAGAAAAGGTCAAATCTCACGAAGCCATGTTCTCTGTACAAGCCTGACTCATCCAGGCCTTCATCCTCGGGATCCTTCTCCTTCCTCCAGGGTCTGACCCTTTCTGAAAGTCTGAGACTTCCTTCTCCACACTGCCACCCTGTCCTGGAACTAACATTGCAACACTTTCACTCCTGAGCTAGTGGAGTCTGGAAGGACAAGGAATTGACATGACTCCAGCTGTGTCCAGCTGACATGGATTGCACCAGTCACCCTTTAACTGCTTTGGGTTCTGGCAACTATACACAGCTCATGTGACTTCTTACTGATCTTTATCACAAATATCTGTTCTTGGTTCCTGAGTCTATACTTGCCAAAGCTGAGAAAAAAATCATAATTTTTGATAGGACTTATAGTTCTCAAATTACATGACTACTAGAGTCTGGAAAAAAGTAATAATGAAGTTCACATGTATGTGTGTACGTATATGTATGTATGTATGTACATATACACAAACATATGTATGAAATTGCTTTATCTTAAGGTAGCTATAAATCAAGTAGCCATACTTCTATTGGTGGGAGTTATCATCTAGTAAATGCTTTGGGAGAAGTGGTTCTTTTTGATAATTCATCTGTAGCCCAGGTATTACAGTAGTTTAAAACTGTTCCTCCCAAAGTTGGTTAATTATCAGAATCACCTGGGGTAGCTTCTGATGAACACAGATTTTTTTTTTTTAACCCCCACCAGAGACCAATTAAACTTCTGGGGATGAGATCAGAAAAGCTGTTTTTCCTCAAAATGTTTAAAGTGACTCAGGCAATGACAGCAATTTAGGAACAAAAGATCAATGATGGAATGAGATCATTCAAGGAACCTAGTATAATTTTACCCAGAGGATATTTTTTCCCTTAGCCTACCCTTGACCAATTTCTATATACTTTGTATGTCTCTTCAGCTTTGAAAGGTATCTATAATCAGATCCATAATGACCATTAAATGAAAGATTCATACCATAAGACCTGTAATTGGTGCTTAGGCATAACTGCAGGCAATTGCACTTCAATATTTGAACCAATGTTCTATTGTACCTGTAACCTAAGGCCAGAAGGAAAGAATCCCAGAAATATAATAAATTAGCAAATGAATACTACTTGGTCCTCTTCTTCACTTTCACACCCTCGAGTCACTTTCCCCTGAGACCCTCTGCTAGGGTGACCAACTGTCCCCATTTTCCTGGGATTGGGGAGTTTCCCAGGATGCGGGATTTTGAATGCTAAACTCAAGACATCATGTTCAAACTGGGATGGTTAGCCATCCTGTTCTGCTTATTGTTTTTTAGGCATAGAGAAAGGAGACTAAGAGACTTGAGAAAGTAAAAAGAAATTAGTTTGACCATAAAAAGGACATTTGCAGCTTTAGGGGGAAAAAACCTTTCATAAACATTTTGTAAGTGGCTAGGTTTGGAAGGAAGTAGGTTTCAAGAAGAATGAACTTGAGAATATATATGTTGAGCATGAGAAGAAGTTTTACAGTTATATTTTGAACGTGTTTTTATAAATGTTGTTGCTTTTCATGTTTATCCCTAAATAGCAACACAAAACAGAGAAAACTTGATTTTAGGTTCTTCATATTATATTTTAATAAGTCAAAATAATTTTATATATATTGTGAGTTGAATAGCATAATCCCGAATTCATGTCCACCTGGAATCCATTTGGATTGTGACCTTATTTGAAAATTGGGTCTTTGCAGATATAATCCGTTATGATGAGGTTATACTAGATTAAGGTGGACCTTAAACTCAAGCACTGCTCTCCTTAAAAGAGAAAAGACACAGATATATAGACACACTGAAGGGTGAAAGTGACGTGAAGACAGAAGCAGAAATTGGAGCGATGCATTTACAAATCAAGGAACACCAAAGACTGTGGCAACCTCCAGAAGCCAAGGAGAGGTATGAAACAGATTCTCCCTGAGAGCCTCCAAAGGACCCATCTCTATTGATGCCTTGATTTCAGACTTCCAGCCTCAAGAACTTACAGGAAATACAGTTCTACTCAGTTTTTGTTGATTTGTTATGGCAATCCTTGAGAACTAATAAACCATAGAAGGGGGTAAGTTAAAGGACATTAGAAAGGCTCTTGGAGTAAGAGGTCAGAAGTCTAAATTCTAATCCTAGGTTTGTCTTTGACTCAGTTGGTATCTTGGAATATGTTACATAGTAGATTCTAATTTCCTTGAGAACTAGAAGATTGTCAAAGGATCCCCTTCCCTCCCATAATCTATGGTCTGAGTAAAAATTAATGTACTTTTCTTATTTGTGTATTATCATTGTGTGCATAGTTTTACTAGTCACTTCCTATGACAAACTCATGCCATAGTATCTTCCAGCAATTTGAGGTCCTAAAGATCTATTAGCCCCTATCTGAAAAAAACGCCCTGGGAAATTTGACTCAAAAAATGGTAGGGGAACTTATCTTTGCTTGATGTGAAGAAGAGAGGATCCGTCTCCAAGTACACTTCTGGCTGATTTTCTCCTAAGCACGAAAACAATAATAACAACTAACATTTTTTGAACACGTATTAGGTTCTACACTCCTAAGTGCTTTTGTCTATTATTTCCTTTAATGCTCACATAACCTTATGGAATTGGAGTTAAATAGAAAGTTGTCTACCTATACTACTCACATCTAACCAAATAACTCACAGGATAAATGTCAGAGCATATAAGAACAGTTTGGGCTGAAAGCCACATTTTCCCACAGCTACTTAATCAGTTATGCATTTGGGCAAGAAGTATAGATTCTACATTCCTCTCCAGCAGAAGGCCTACATACATTTTAGATAGCAAAATCATCACTTAAAGTATAAGAGCATGTTGTTCCACAAGCTGGCTTACCAAATTAACTTCCATAGTGACTGACATCTATGTGAGATGTCTTTGACGTGTTTTAGGATATTAGGCACTTCAAATGTAATATTAATCTACAAATCCTTCCGTTGGACATAAAAGCATAGATTGTCATTTCCCTTAATGCCTGATCAATGCTAGAGGACAGGTAGGTTAAGGGATAGGGCACAGGTCAGAAGACTGTGTTAGCATTCATAGTTGATTTTTCTTGGCCAAGTCACTAAGTTCTTTGTCTTGGTGGGATTTGTTTTCATATATATTTACTACATGCCTGTTTGTGCTTGGCCTTGTGCTACACAGTGGGGATAAAAGTGAACAAAATCAAATCACAGCATACGTTCTACATGGGACACAGGAATTACACAAATAAAATCATCTATGAATATGTTATTAACACCTGAACATACAATCAACGTACAATAGTAGCAATGACAAGTATAATAAAAAAAATGTATCTGGAGTAACATCATGAAAAAGTATTTGGCCCTGGCTAACATGGTGAAATCCCTGTCTCTACTAAAAATACAAAAAATTAGCTGGGCGTGGTGGCGGGCGCCTGTAGTCCCAGCTACTCGGGAGGCTGGGGCAGGAGAATGGCATGAACCCGGGAGGCGGAGCTTGCAGTGAGCCGAGATCAGGCCACTGCACTCTAGCCTGGGCGACAGAGCAAGACTCCATCTCAAAATAAATAAATAAATAAATAAATAAAATTTAAAAAATTTAAAAAAAGTATTTGGAGTCCAGGTTTTAATGGGATTCAAGGAAGTTCACGGTGGGGACATGAAGGCAGCATCTGAACTAAATCAAGGGAAATGCATCCTAAGCCCACAAAAGAGCATTTCAAGGGAATTTTAGGTGTGAAGAGACTTAGTATTTTGATTGTAGCAAAAGACAGCAAACATACTGAGTATAAAACAAGGAGAGAAATGCATGAGATGAAGTGACTGGATTTTATCCTGAGTTATAATTGGCAAATATTGAAAGCTTTACATTTGTAAAATGAGGAGAACGGTATTTATTTCACACTTTTTTTCTACCTAAGGAATAATGTGATAGTGTTTATGAATATGCCTTATAAAAATGTCAAAGTATTTCTTGCTACAAACATATTTTTTCAATAAGTAGAGCATATACTTTATTCTTTCATCTATTCCAAGATTTGTCTAAGGAGGAGCAAGAGAGGAGGATGTTTTAACATTACACTTCAAGAGAGCCAGAGTTTTAGTAAACTTAATTCTGAATCATTTGCTTTTAAATAATAGATGTTAGACAATTTTATGGCAGACATATTAATTATTCATTCAGATAATTTAAATTGATTTCAAGTTATACTATATAATTTTCTATTAAATTTCAATACGACTGCAAGGAATCCATTAAATTCCAAATCATTATCATTCATTTTCATTAAGATACATGGACACCAAACGAATGCATTCTATCTCCTAAAGCCGGTGATTTCCAGGATCCATTTGATCAAATGACTGTGAATATGAGCCAGGTCTCAGATTGTGCCCTTCATAAATAAAAACAGCTTTTGGATCAGAAGGCCAGCCTATACATATAGATATTGTTGCATTGGTACTGTGTCAGTTTACTATTTTTAAAAACTCTTCATTCAGGTATAATTGAAATCCAACAAACTTCACATATTTAAACTATTCAATTCAGTGAGTTTTGATTTATGTGTGTATCTGTGAGAAAATCACCAAAATCAAGATAATGAACATATCTCCCACCCCCAAAAGTGTCTAGGGGCTCTTTGGAATACTCACAACCCACCATGTCTTATGTCATCATTTCCTGCAACCTTCTGACACACACGTACAAACCTACAAGCCACCATCGAACTGCTTTCTGTCACTACAGATTAGACTGCATTTTCTAAAGTTGTATAGAAATGTCATGATAGAGTGTACTCCTTTTTCATTTGTATTTTTTTCATTCAGCATTATTATCTTAATATTCCTCAAAGTTGATGTTTGCCTTGATAGTCCATTCTTTTTCATTGCTGGGTATATTTTATCTATGGACATATCACCATATGTTTATTCATTTACCTGTTGGTAGATATTTTGATTGTCTCCAGTATTTGGCTACTGCAAGTAAAACTGCTATGAACATTTGTGTACAAGTTTTTGTTTAGATGTATACTTTCTTTTCTCTAGGATAAAAACCTAGAAGTGGAATGAATGCTTAGATATTATACATAAATGTATAACTTTTTAATTGTGGTAAAGTATACACAACATAAAATTTATAATTTTAATCACTGTAAGAGTATAGTTCAGTGGTATTAAGCATGTTAGCACGATTGCGTAACCATCACCAGCATCTATCCACATAACTTTTTCATCTTCCCAAACTGAAATGCTGTGCTCATTAAAAATAACTCCTCGTTCCTCTCTCCCTACCTCCAGCCTCCAGCAACCATCATTCAACTTTCTGTCACTATGAATTTGACCACTCTAGGTATTACATATAAGTGGAATCATACAATATTTGTCCTTTTATAGCTGGCTTATTACCCTTTGCAAGGTACTTCAAGGTTCATTTGTGTTGTAGCATGGCTCAGAATTTCATTCCTTTTTAGACAGAAGAATATTTCATTGCATAGACCACATTTTGTCTATCCATCAATTGACATTTGTATTGTTTTCATCCTTTGACTATTGTGAATATTGCTGCCATCAACACTGGTGTACAAATACCCGCTTGAGTCCCTGCCGCCAATTATTTTGGATATGTACCCAGAAGTATAACTGCTTATTCATGTTTTTTTTGTTTGTTTTTTTTTTTTGTTTTTTTTTTTTTGAGGCAGAGTCTCACTGTCACTCAGGCTAGAGTGCAATGGCGTGATCCCAGCTTACTGCAACCTCTGCCTCCCAGGTTCAAGTGATTCTCCTGCCTGAGCCTCCCAAGTAGCTACGATTACAAGTGTGTGCAACCACACCAAACTAATTTTTGTATTTTTAGTTGAGACAGGGTTTCACCATGTTAGCCAGGCTGGTCTTGAACTCCTGACCTCAGGTGATCCGCCCTCCTTGGCCTCCCAAAATACTGGGATTATAGGCATGAGCCACCGTGCCCAACCCTAATCATGTGGTAATTTGATGTTTACTTTTATAGGAACCAACATACTGTTTTCCACAGCAGCTGTACCATTTTACATTCCCAACAGCAGTGCACAGGGTTCCAGTTTTTCTTAAATGTCTAACTTCTAAGGAACTGTCAAGCTGTTTTCTAAAGTGATTGTATTATTATACATTTTTCTTAGCACATCTTAATTTGTTTGTATCAATGTAAACACTTGGTGTGGTCAGTCTTTTTTATTTTAGCAATTCTAATAGGTCTGTAGTGATATTGCAGGGTGGTTTTAATTATCATTTCCTACTGACTGAGATCATGTTGATCATCTTTTCATGCATTTATTTATGTAGTAAACTCACAGAATCATAGGGATCACACTGTTTCCCATCCCTCAGGAACTTATGTCCTTAACTGCCTGATATCCAGTGTACTGAAAATCATTGTTTCATATATTTTATCTGTTATTTTTTTAAAATGGTAGTTTTAGGCAAGAGGATAAATCTGGTACTCTGTCTTAGCTAGAAGTGAGTTCAGACTTCCTGTTTTTGAGCCAAGGTTATTATTATCTGAAAGTTTTAAAACTAACACACAGATTCCCTCATTCTGGCTTTTTAAATCCACTCTTGAACCATCCAATAAAGATATTGCCAGATCTGTACTATACATCTATAAAAAGCTAACTGTTTTGTACTTTTAATGGGTTTAGTTAAATGTGCAAAGCGAGGTATTTATTTACAAGATGCTTACAAACTCATTGGGCAGAAAAAGTACAAATGTCTATTATATGACATTATAAACCAGGAGTCAGGCAGATGCACACATTTATTAAATAGTAAGCTGACTTTGTAAATGTCCACTTAGGGTTGCTCTGCACCAGGCTAAGCACTGGGAAACTGGTGAAAAAGACAATGTTCCTGCCATCCTGGAGCTTCCACTCTATTGAAAGGAAACAGGAAAAACAGGTAGTCAAATACCTAAGTAGAATCATGTTAGATAAGCAGTAGAAGAAAATAAGATTTACTATCAGTCATTACATTAGGTATGTAATTAAGCTGATGGGACAAAAAAATTCTTTTGAGGCTAAGTACCTGGCGATTTTATATGGGGTGGTCAAATAAGTCCTAAGACCTAAATGATGGAAAAAACCATCCATGTGAAGATTCAGAAGGAAAACAAATGTCTAAGAAAAAAATGAATAAGGAGTGGAAAACTTGGCATGATCAAGAAAAAGAAAAAGAACGATGGTTGAAACACAACGCATAACAGGGAGGGAAGTCTCAGGTGAGGGAGGCTAGCATAGAAATACGTAATTTCTCTAAATTCAAAGAAAAATATTTAGAGGGTTTTAACCAATGAAGTGACAAAAACCTCTTACAAGGTTTTTTGCCTTTCTTGTTTTCTTTAAGATCATTCCAGTATACATGTGGAGAGCCAGCAGAAGAGAGGCAAAAGCAATCAGTAAAAGAAAAACAAAAAAGGTAAAGGCAAATTTGTAATTAATTGCAGCGTCCCCAGAGAAACAATAATGAAATGACATAAATGAGTAAGCTCGTTGGATGTAATCAAAATGTACAATGTGATCGTTAGCAAACTGAAGAACATATTTCCTAAATATAGAAATGGCTACTGCTCAGTTTTAGCCAATTGTTGCACCATTAATTATAAGCACAATTTTGGTAGCTGTTGTCATCTTTCAAAGGTCTAGATGTTTAGATTTTTAAGATATTCTAATTTTACAATCCTGCATGGGATGCCTCAAAACGTCTGTGAGATAGGTTTATTCTGTGAGCCAGCAGTTTGTGGTCCCTAGCATCAGCTAACAACACAAAAGAGGTTGAAAGCAGGATGTGGGTACCTGGAAAAAGACTGGAGGTGAAGTGTTGTGATTTTCACAGATTAAAAACTTGCCACAAGAATATAGGGGTCAAGAATAACTTCAATAAGAGGTGGAATTTGTGGTGACCCTTTAAAGCTATGTGAGCTACACAGGCAGAACACAATGGGGAGGGCATTTTAGGGCAAGAGGATGGCATGAGCCAAAGCAATGAGGCTTGAAAGCTCAAGAGATAGGAGAAGATGAGTTGATTGGCCAGCGCCAGAAATTTGGTAATGGAACAGAAGTAAATCAAGCTGGAAAGGTCACTGTGGTCAAATATGTTAATTTGGGTAACTTTGAAATTCAGTCCAGAATTACTGCACTAAAACCCCATATTTTCTGGTGTGATAAAGTCAGGGAGAAGTGGCTCAACAACTGTGTTTTATTGTGAGTCATTACATTAGGTATTTACACTAGCAGAGTGAAGAGTAAGAGAGAACCTAAGACTGGAGAAGAATTGAGTTGACATCATCAGATATTATTCTTACATGGGTAAAATTTCTGGGCATGCATTTGCATAATTGAGCATTTTTCCCCTCTCTTGTGTGCCAGGAAGATGTTTTTCTTTTACGTTGGTGCCATGATAGTAAGTATTCCATAGTGCTTTATTAAAGGCAAATTTAATCCTCTTCTTACAAACACAGCAGAGAAAATTCCCGGGGATAGAAAAGTCCTTGAATATTCAACACGGCAAATTCTCTTATCCCCGCAGCATTTATAATCAAGAGTAAGTGATGGGGACCTCAAAGAGGCATTTTATTAAGGATTTGGTCATTCTCCCTTGAATGTGATGAAGAAAGCTATTCATATGATGGTATTTCTTTTAAACAGCATAGATCTGTTAAGCAGAATCCTTACTACTGGTCCTAGTGCCCACAGGGTGCTGGACAACTTGTAGGTGGCTCTGGTAGTTAACAACCTCAGCTGCTGCCTAAGGTGCAACCCAGTTTGTCTTAGACAGTAAGGCTGCATGAGTCATGGTTCCAAAACCACTGGGTTATGTCAGGTCCCAACATACTCTCAAATATGACTGGCATGACACTGCCACAATCCACTTCTTTTCCCTGCACCTCTTGCTTAGGATATAAATTAGGTGATTGGCTCTAAGAAGCTGCAATTGAGTCATTGTCAGGGGTGTTGGGGGATGATAGTCACAGGTAGTCACCTAGCTGCATTCTATTAGCCATGTATGGCTTTGCAGGGTAGGTGTCATGAGCTATAAAGGCTATAAATATATTGCTGCATTACTTCTGATGCCAGACACTCCTGCTACTTGTAACTAAATGGTAGCTCCCCATGCACAGTGGAATTTACCTTTTGAATAAAGATGCTGCCAGTGCCATTCTCTCAATTGTGGTCACTTACTAATCCCCTCTAATGAGATCTTTGGGTAATGAGGCTTCTAAAAGAACACAAGAGGCCAATGTTAGAGTAAGATGTAGGTAAAGCAAGACACACGTGTCAGAAGGCTATCAACGGAAAATACCAGGGAAGACACAAGAAAGATAGGGCAGAGGAGTGCACCAATAATTCTGTTCTTAAAAAACCTGCACGTCTGCAGGCATGACTCAGGGATTTGATGTCCCAGCCTTTACAGAGATGATTGAGAAGAATTCTGGGGAAGCTGAAATGTCATACTTTGAAGACACTTCTGCAGATCTGTTCCCAGATCTGTACAATGGGATTTCTATAGTCACCTACTCACGCTGTATATTAAATCCTAAAACAAACTACCCCTTAACGTCTTCACATGGCAGAGATGCATTGGCCTGAAGTTTCTATTTTATTATTTCTTCCTGGCGGACAGAATAATGCTTCATCCCCAGAGATGTCCACATCCTAATTCCTAGAACCCATGAGTTTGTTCATTATATGGCAAGGGAGAACTAAAGTCATAGGTGGAGTTAAGATTGCTACTTAGCTCACCTTGAGATGGAGAGATTATTCTAGATGATCCATCTGGACTCAGTGAAATAATATGGATTCCCTTAAGTGGAAAAGTGAGGCAGGAGAGAGTGTCTGAGTGATGCAAAGGAGGAAGAATGAACCATCCATTGCTGGTTTTGATGACAAACAGAGGCCCATGAGCTAAGGAATGGAGCAGTCTCTAAAACTTGAAAAGGGCAAGAAAACAGATTCTCCTCTAGAGTGTCCAGATTGGAACACTGCCCTGCCAACATGTTGATTTAGCACTATGAGACCCATTTCAACTTCTAACCTCCAGTGAGATAATACATTTACATCGTTTTAAGCCACTAAGGTTGTGGTAATTTCTTACAACAGTCATAGAAAACTAATAGGCTCCTACTTCTACCTGTGAAAAATCTGCATTATAATATCAATTTAACCAGGTGAGTTTTCTGGGACAGAGACAGTTCTAGGAGAAGATTTTCAGTAAGCCCTTGTTTAGAGTTACGGGAAAATGATATCTAACAAGCAGCCCCTTCTAGGCTCAACTCTTGTTCTGCTGTCCCATACACCCTAGTCCTATAGCTACACTAGACTGCGATTTTGTGACCAAGTCATGTGTCGTCACACTCGGCATCTCCATGCCTGCTGCAGTTTTGCCTGGAAGGCTCTCCTCATGCACCTGCCCCAGCAGTTACCTCTCTGTGCCCAGAAATTTTCTATTTGCTCTTCAAGGCCCAGTTCAAACACCACCTCCTACTATGTTTACCATTTTTCATCTTGGGGAAAAAATAACTTTTCTTTCCTCTATGGCATGGTGCTAATGTCAAAGTGCACGTCATCCATTTGCTTCACTTGAACGCAGCAATTGCATTTGGTGTGGTTGGTTTGACTGGGTTTGGTCTGATTTCCTTTCCTTCATTGCATAGCAGGATGGCATATATTACCCCTCCCTCTTGCAGAAGGTTTAGACATTAAGCCTTCCCTGACCTAGATAGAGGAAACGAGTTTTTCTGTTACTAAAGATGCTGGCTTTGAGTTAAATAGGTCTGTTGTAAATAAGATGAAAGGAGGATTTGAAGAGAAACCACTGCTGCCTGAAAGAAACAAGGGGGGAGGTAAGATTTCCCCAAAACTGAGGAGACTGGAAGAAAAAGAGAAGTTACCGGAGCCACTTGAACCGAGTTGTCCTGTAAGGGAGTGGGCCTGCTGCCCTGGTTTGCGCCTCTTCCATAAGATTTCAGAGCCTGCCTGGAGAGAACAGGCCTGGTCTCCATCACCCACCTAGGAAGACTTTCATTAGCATCACGCATTCTCTGCCCTGAAGAGCGATAGAATCCATGCCATCACACTTTGTTTAGTCCTCTCCTGATGAACTTATGTAAACAATCTCTTGTAAATTGCATGATGTCTCCCCACTCCAAGATAAGTTAGACCTGTGAATGTGACCTTACTTGGAAATAGGGTCTTTACAGAGGTAATTAAGATGGGTCTTTAGAGAGACACAGGGAGAACACTGTGTGATGACAGGCAGGACTGCAAAGGTACAGGTGCAAGCCCAGGAACACCAAGGGCCTCTGGCCATCCCAGAAAGCTGACCCTCCCTCAGAAGGAACCAGCATGGTTTACTCCTTGAATTTGGACTTCTAACCTCCAGACCTGTAAGGAAATAAACTTCCATTGTTGTAACCTGCCAGTGTGTGGCAGTTTGTTACTGCAGTCCTAGAAGACTCACGCGGTGAGTGCCCCTTATGTTGGGGCACAGAAAATGATGCCCCAACACAAGGCACCTGGGCATGCTGAGTGCCTTTGAAAATCGAAAGGCCCTAAGAAGTAAGCCTCAGAACCAAGGTCCCTTTCTGACCTATTCCCCTCTACCTGACTCTCTGATCTTCTTTCCAGAAGCATCAGGAGGGACTCTCTGGAATTCTTTTTATCTGACCAGCAAAGCTTCTTTCCAAAAGAAATGCAATTGTCTTGAGATCTCCTCCCTTGGGGTCTCATCAAATAACTAGGAAAGATCAATAACTAGAGAAGAGACTAGGGTTAGTCATCACCAGGCCCGGACACTTTTCATTTATTTTTCTGAGGGCAACTCCAAGAGATGACATGGAGGACTCTATCTGCATAATGAGACAACTTTTGTTCCTGTGCGACTCCACCATTCGCCTTCTCATGATATCTGCCTCCCACCTCCCATGTCCATCCATTCTCCCTCATGATTTACTGCCCCTAAAAGAATTTTCTACACTCCCCATCTCCACTCTCCCCTGTGAAAAAGGGTATATAAGCTTCCTTCTATAATACACTGGGTTATTGGATAATTACTCTGACTACTGCCTGCCTCCTCCATGTACATTAATAAATTTTGTATGCTTTTTCTCCTATTAATCTGCCTTTTGTCAGTTGATTTTTCAGCAAACCTTCATAGGACAAAGGGGAAGTTTTCCTTCACCCCTGCAACAGGGACAAAGACGACCCCTGTTTCTGCTGCCCTGGCTATAAGAGAACCCTCAAGGGCTCAAGACACTTTTGCTTTCATGGGCTCTTTCTTCCAAAAAAAAAGTTAAAAATTACATTTTACAATTGCATTTACAATGCATTTACAACAGTATAAATATAAGGATGCACATATTAATATATATACTTAAACATTTTCTTCAACCTGAAAGGTCAGTTTTTTTTCTGATTTTAAAAGAAAATATTTTTTTGGGGTACTAGAAGTATTGTAGGCTATGCATAGGGGGCCTCTGCACCCTATGAGATAGTCAGTACTGGCTGCTACAGAGGCAGAAAGACTGAAGCTCCCTGAGATGATATACATAGGCACTATATGGAGATATCATTGACCACTGGTGTGTGTGTGTGTGTGTGCATGTGTGTGTATATATATATATTTTATTATTTTTTTTTTTCTGAGCCAGAGTCTCACTCTCTCACTCAGCTGGGGTGCAGTGGCACAATCTCGGCTCACTGCAATCTCTACTTCCCAGGCTCAAGCAATCGTCCCACCTCAGCTCCTGAGTAGCTGGGACTACACATGCGCACCACCATATCCAGCTAATTTTTGTATTTTTTGTAGAGACTGGGTATCACCATGTTGTACAGGCCGGTCTCAAACTCCTAGGCTCAAGCAATTCTCCCAACTCAGCTCCCAAAGTGCTGGGATTATAGGTGTGAACCCCTGTCCCCGGCCTAGAGTGCATATATTTTTGTATGTCTATTTTATAGTCTTCTTTTATATCATATTTGGTTGGTTATGCAGTTCATACTGTGTGTAATTTATTTCTATATGAAAAAGCCCTTAGTGTAGTAACGCATTAGGCAACATTTTCACACCAAGTGTCAAGCAGTGCTATGTGCTACTGAAACAACAAATGCCATAAATCTTATTTTATATGAATTGCTCAGTACCTAAGCAGTGTCTTATACATAGTAAACATTCAGAAAATGTCAGATAAATAGGCAAATGCATAAATGGAGCATGAATATTTCTAATTTATATACAAGATCATTAATAATTCATCAATAAATGGTAATTGCTAACCATATTAAGAAGCAAAGACAAGAATACTATACAATTAAAAACTACTTTGTCTTAATATTGTTTAAGGCAAGGTTTGCTCTAAGATATTCTAGGTAGGGTTCACCTCTTTAGTTCATTCATCAGAAATGTTCTTTTCCCAAGTGAGTCCTGGGCAGAACTGAGATGTGAGAATTATGCACCACAGTTTTTAGATGTTCAGCTTCACAGTCTTCTAGCAATTACCACATAAGTGACCTTTTCTAGGTGAGGAAAGCACTTCGATCCCTCAAAGTCCAGTATAACTTAAAGTTCCTTCACATAACCTTCTCTTCCATGTACTCAGTAGACAGTTATGAGCAAGTTACATCTTTTCTCACCCCAGGGCAGGGTGAGGGGAGGGTATAGAATCAATTCAAATCAATTGTTTCTGCTCCATTAAGACAAAAGTGTTCTACTGCATATACAGGATCACATACTTGAGTCAGCTGAACAATTACTGCATTTATATATGTTGCCTGAATGTCACTGGGAACATACAAAGGAAATAAAGGGTTGATCAATTTAAGGGGCATCATTTGCTGGGGAGGAGAGAGAAAGTATATTTAATAGCTCAAAGATAATAAGGTGTCATGAATCATTAAAAATAATGTGTATAGAAAACATAATCTGGCAGGGTTTATTAAGGTGACCTAACTTCTTTGTGTGTATTATATTAAAAATGATTTGGCCTACTTCCTTCCTAAGAGACCCTATCTACAGTCATAGTCAGGGATGTCTTCCTCTTGGCTCTCAGAAACCGCTTTACATTATGTAACTTGACTGTCATCAAGCTCAATTATAACTACATTCTGTCAACTGGACTCAGCATTCTTAGACAAGAGATTGCATCTTATTTTACAATGAATTGCCCAGTAAGTAGAGGATTGTGCATAGTAGGAACTCTAAAAAAATTTGATAAATAAGCAAATGCATAAATGAATCATAAATTAAAATTGTAAATATACACGAGATTACCAGGATGATATTTATAGTGTTGTAGTCACCCTATAAAAGGAGGTCTTCTGCAATAGATTTTGCAATTACATTCATTCGAATTGTGATATCTTTATTAAGTATACTAATTGTGTGGGTACCTTGTATAAAATTAAGACTCCCAGATTCTCAAACATTATGTCAGTAGGTATGGGTTGGACTCCAGGAATCTGCATTTGAACAATGAAGCCCAATGTTTGATGAACAATTGAGAAACACTGCTCTAAATAGCAGGTTCTGCCATTTTGCATTTGATTGAACATTTGGTTATGATTTACCTTTTCACTGCTATAAAAATCCCCCCATGTTCTGCCTATTCATCCCTCTCTCTCCCCTAACTCCAAACAATCCTTGATCTTTTTACTGTCTCCATAGTGTTGCCTTTTCCAGAATGTCACATAGTTGGAATCATACAGTATACAGGCTTTTCAGTTTGGCTTCTTTCGCTTAGTCATATGCATTTTCAACCTACCTTTTAACATATTATCCTATAGGGTATTGGGAGATTTGCACATTTTTTAGAGAAAAATCTATCTTGGCAGGGTGCAGTGGCTCATGCCTGTAATCCCAGCACTTTGGGATGCTGAGGCGGGCAAATCACGAGGTCAAGAGATCAAGACCATCCTGGCCAATATGGTGAAACCCGTCTCTAATAGTACAAAAATTAGCTGGGCGTGGTGGCATGTGCCTGTAGCTTGATGAACAGGTTTTATTTTTCCTTTGCGGACTTCAGCCAGTGATAGAAACAAAATCTTTTCCGGTGTCTTTTTAGTAATTGTACCACCTGACCATATAGTAGGTGCTCTAAAAATAGTTGTTATTGTTTTTCTGAAGCCTTTCATGGTGAAATTGTGCATTTGGATGATTCGGTCAAATTGGGTTTTTTATTTCTATGTTGAAAGGGAGATTTTATTTACGGATGTACCACAGCTATTTCCAGTTCTTCACAGGCTACACTTTCACATCACAGGTTACTCTTTACCGTCCTGCAATTAGTCATAATCACATGACTGGCTTTGGCTAATAAAAAGTAGAAGAGATGCATTTCAGAGTTGTTACACCACTTTCCATGCACTCTTATTCATTGGTAAATGCTTGTTGGCATCACAAAATGATGGCGACTCATTCATCCCTGATCCCTAAGGAACATAATCTTTCTCAGCCAATCTATATTTGTCGGGAGACATGAGCAATAAATACATTTTATTTGTTTGGATTTAGGGGAGAGAGAGGGATGGATAGGCAGAGCATGGGGGATTTTTATAGCAGTGAAAATACTCTGTATGAGACTATAATAGCGGACACGACATCATGCATTTGTCCAAACCTATAGAATGTATGACACCAAGAGTGAACCCTAACGTAAAGTATTGACTTTGGGTGATAATGATGTATCGATACAGGTTCATCCATTGTGTGACTCTGATGGGAGATGTTGATAGTGGGGGAGGCTGTACGTGTGTTTTTCTGAGAAACTACATTGCTCTCAAAAGTAAAGTCTTCAAAAAAATTGTGACAATTCATGCAATACAGAAACTATACATTTTCACAAACTTTAAATTCACAAAACTTATTCATTTTTTTCTGAGATGGAGTCTTCCTCTGGAGAGGGAGGCTGGAGTGCAGTGGCACAGTCTCAGCTCACTGCAACTTCCGCTTCCCGGGTTCAAGCGTTTCTCCTGCCTCATCCTACCAAGTAGCTGGGATTACAGGCATGCGCCATGACGCCTGGCTAATTTTTGTATTTTTAGTAGAGATGGGGTTTCACCATGCTGGCCAGGCTGGTCTCGAACTCCTAACCTCAAATGATCCACCTGCCTCGCCCTCCCAAAGTACTAAGATTACAGGCGTGAGCCACGGCGCCTGGCCCACAAAACTTACTTTTTAAGCAACGCTATTAACTTCCTAGAGAATTGGCATTGCCTAATATATAGGACATCTCTTGTGCCACTCAGATCCTCACAGTTCCACTCCTATTCCAGCCACTGCTGCAGCAGCAAGTATTTCCTCTTTGCTCTGACTAGCTTCCCTCAGGTGCACGTTAACAGCTCCAAGCTTTGGGGCTGCACCACTTCCCCACTCACTTCCTACGCTCAGCCTTCTTTGATGCCTCTGCAAGGGACCCCCGTGGGACTTGCTTGGTCCTTAGAATGAGCAGCCCAAAAGTACAGTATGGGGCAGTTAGGGCCATGGGGCCACCTTTGCACAAAGGGTGATAGATAAAAGTTTTCTGTGTTCATCCCTAGGTAGATAGTTCTCAGACACTTAGAAAGTTCCATGGGGCCAAACACCAGACACCTGCAGGTGTGGACAGTGTGATAACACATCTCTTCCCACTTCTCTGTAATTCTACTCTTTATTCCAAATCTCTGGAATCACTTCCAAAGTAAACTGACATGAAATTGGCTAGTCTGAGTTTAGTTGTGTTTAAAAATAAAATATGCACCGAATTTCAAAGACTTCATATGAAAAAAAGAATGTAAATACAGTACTTCTTAATATTTGTTATACTGAACACATGTTAAAGTAATATAAGGATATATTCAAATAAAATGTACTATTAAAATTAAAATTTCACCTGTTTCTTGGTATCCTTTTTCTTATCATGGTTACTAGAAATTTAAAATTAGATCAATGGTTCACATTTTTATTGGATAGTGCTTTCTTCAACTTTATGGAATAACATACTTTCTTTCAATAAATCATCTTTCCCTTTTATTTGGCTTACAAGTAATTAGGTGCTTGGAACTAAAGGACCTAACCAGTAAGTCTACCAGGACAATAGGTAAGAGGTGATTATATGTCTCATTTTATCTTCACTATGCTCATTCAGTTAACATTAACTGAGAAATCAAGAAGTACAAAGACAAACCATAGCTCACAGTAATTCTCTAGGTCAGTGGTTCTCAACTCCAGTTGTAAATGAGAGCCATATGGGCAACTTTTTAAAAGCTTGTGAGGATGGGGCTTCACTGCGTACCATGAACTCAGGATTTCTAGGGGGTTAGGCCCAGGTGTCAGTATAGTTTAGGACCTTCCCAGGTGATAATAATGTACAGCAGGTGGAGAATCACCAGCACAACTTATCGACATCGGATTCGGGAAAATATATCTATCAATGAAAAATGATGGCCACAGCATTACTTTTTACATACTTACTTCTGAGCATCTAAGACTATAAACTTTACCCCAGTTTCTGCATTATTCCGTTCAATACTGTTTAGCAAAATTGACTCGCTTGCCCAGCTCATGGCCTGTTGATATTTTTTGGGTTTTAACAATAAAACTTGTTTTCTTCTGCATGTGGAGAAGACAAATTTTCCCAAACCTCTTTGTGGCCCAGCTTAGTTGCTTATTAGTCTAATTATTAAAAGCACAATCTAAAACTTTCCTTTTTAAAGTCTGACTGGTTCTTAATTTTGTTGAAAATTGTCAGGAAAAGGGAGGTGTGGAAACACCAACAACCTCGTTATATTAACGAGCCCAAAGTTCCCTTGTCTTTTATGTGCATAGCTTTCACATGGTTATTAAATGTACAGAATTTAGAATTATTCTATGACTGGAAGTCTTCTTAGAGACAGCAATAGCATGTGTCATTAGAGCAATGGCTCCCAAGTTTTAAGTGCCTCTGAAGCAGCTGGGGCTCATGTTAAAATGCAGACTCTGCTTCAAGAGGCCTGGAGTGCGGCCTAAGACTCTGTTTTCCCTCCAGGCTCCAAGGTGATGCTCATGCTACCAGCCCCAAACAACAAGTTAAGGAGCAAGGGTTTAAAACTGAACTATAACATGAAATTGCAATTGCCAGAGTCTAGATTCTGTTGCCACCAGTGGGTGACATTGGGCAAGTTACTTAATCTCCTTAGGTCTCAGTTTCTTTGTCTCTAAAACAATACTATAGTGGCAATCATGAGGATTAAAATGAATACGTCACATATTGTACTTCGAATGTTGGCACTATACCATGTATTTAATAAAGGTGGTTTTATTTTATTATTACTACCATTATGCACAAGTTTAATCCTCTACTTTTAAAACTGGCCCAACTGTTCCACGGAACCGATATTGACAGTTTTAAATAAACAAGACATTAACCCTCTGTAGTCTTACAATTTGTAACTTACACTTGCCTTGTCTGAGTTCCTTCCTCAGAAAAGGAGCTGCTGAAACTCTCTAGATCACAGCATACAAACAAGAGGCAGACCCCTCATCCATCATGATGACTTCCTCACCCCTCCTCAATTTCTGTTTCCCCTGCACGCAGCTACATCACCTCTCTAGCTATATAAACCCCGAATTTCAGTCAGCTGGGAAAGACGGATTTCAAACTGATCTCCTATCTCTTTGAGTGACTTCACCCAAGTAAAACACCTTCTTCTGTGGCAATACTCATTGTCTCAGTAATTGGTTTTCTGTGTGGTGAGCAAGGAGCCCTAGACCGACCTCCTGGTGTTTTGGTAACACTTTTTCAGTTGTCAAAAATGTGACCCAAAGAAAGAAAGTAATTTACCTAAGGCCATGCATTCAGCTAACAATAGAACTAGCTGGGATTTTAGCCCAGATAGATCAAAGCCCTTAATAAACTGCGTATTCCTCTACAGTAGCATTCCATTTACAGCTAAATGACTTTGGACAATTCTTTACTGTAGTCTTTGTTGTACTTTGTGGTAATTATTACCTGTGGTGTTTTAAAATATATCAAAAAATCCTTTAGAACTCCTTTCAAAGGGTGTAGCCTGATTACCCTCCCATTGAGTGTGGGCTGGAATTAGTGACTCATTTCTAATGAACACAGTAAGGTAGGAGTAACATGCATGACTTCTGAGACTAAGTTATCAAAGGCACTCTGGCCTCCTTCTTGCTCTCTCTTACATCACTTACAATGGGAGAAGCCATGTTGTAAGGACACTCAAGCATTCCTATGCAGTGGTTCACCTGTCAAAGAACAGCTGGCAGGGAAAGAGGGCTTTCTGCCAATAGCCACATGAAGGAGGAATGTTGGAAATGTATTCTCTGGCTCTACTCAAGCCTGAAAATCGCTACAGCCCCAGCAGACATCTCAACTGCCACCTGATGGACCTTAAGCCAGAACCAGCTAGTTAAGCTTCTCCTGAATTTCTTGCCCATAGAAACTGGGATATGTTTTCATTATTTTAATCTGCTAATTTTTGCATTAATTTGTTATGTAGCAAGAGATGACTAGTGCGTTATTTACTTATCTGTGTACTCCAAAAGATTGAAAGCACAGCATCTGTCATAGCATGCATTAATCCATTTACTCATTAAATTACTCATTCACTCTCACATTCATTCATCTACCCATCAAGTATCTATCGATATCCCACTGCATCCACAGTTGGTTCCTTCTGGTGGGTTCTTGGTCTCGCGGACTTCAAGAATGAAGCCACGGACCTTCACAGTGAGTGTTACAGCTCTTAAAGGTGGCAGGGACCCAAAGAGTGAGCAGCAGCAAGACTTATTGTGAAAGAACAAAGCTTCCACAGCAGGGAAGGGGACCCAAGCAGGTTGCCACTGCTGGCTTATGGGGGGGTGGGGTGTAGGGCAGCTTTATTCCCTTATTTGTCCCCGCCCACACCCTGCTGATGGGTCCATTTTACAGAGCACTGATTGGTCCAGTTTACTGAGTGCTGATCGGTCCATTCTACAGAGTGCTGATTGGTCCATTTTACACACCTCTAACTAGCCACAGAGCACTGATTGGCACATTTTACAAACCCCTAGCTAGCCACAGAGCACTGATCAGTGCGTTTTACAATCCTAGCTACAGAGTGCTGATTGGTGCATTTTACAATCCTCTTGTAAGACAGAAAAGTTCTCCAAGTCCCCACCCGACCCAGAAGTCCAGCTGGCTTCACCTCTCACTACAACATCTCAGCTGATGCTTCTAGATGTTGGGGATACAATGGTTAAACTTGATACAGTCTCTATTCTTAAGAAATTTACAATCAAGGAGACAGATATATAGTCAATAAATGACAAATGACTTGAGGCAGAACACAGTAAATACGGTGAAATCTTAGTTATTATTGTTTTCAAAATATGCTAATTATGGCCAGGTGTGGTGGCTCACATCTGTAATCCCAGCACTTTGGGAAGCTGAGGTGGGCAAATCACTTGAGGCCAGGAGTTCAAGACCAGCCTACTAAAAATACAAAAATTAGCTGGGCGTGGTGGTGCACCTCTGTAATCCCAGCTACTCTTTGAGGCTGAGGCAGAAGAATCCCTTGAACTCTGGAGGCTGAGGTTGCAGTGAGCTGACATTGCACCACTGCACTTTAGCCTGGGTGACAGAGTAAAACTCTGTCTCAAAAAATTATTAAAAAATAAATAAAATGAATAAATAAATAAAATATTACTAATTTTGCTGATTTAATCCCACTGAGTCACACTTTGCCTACTCCCTCCCTGGCTCAAAGCAAGAAAGTCTAGGGTAGAGTCATAAGCTTGTGATGATGCTGTCCAGAGATATTTGTTTTGGTTTTGTTTTTTATTCCCTAGTAAAATAACAGACAATGATCATCAGTAGAGGTAGCATTACTTTAAGACAGGCATCCACAGCCCACATGCATCAAGATAGAAGTATACAAAAGCATTGACGGCTGTACACATATTCTTGCCCCCACCAAAAAATCTATCAGAATTAATTAAGCCTTTATATCTAATTGTTTTTATATACTGCAAATCAAGGGAAGGGCAGATATGTCAGTTAACACCAAAAGAAGCAAAATCCAAATTGTGAAAAAATTTACGCAAAATGATGCAGATTCTTTAACAAATTAATTACCAAAGAAAAGAGAAATAAATGAGAAAAGATAGGACATATTAATAGATTAAAAATAAAAGACCTGAAAGACATAGCAAACAATTGCAATTGCTTTTAGTAGGATTAAAAAAAAATTGTAAGAGATAGGGTTCTCACTATTTTGCTCAGCCTAGACTGGAAGAACTCCTGGCTCAAGCAATTCTCCTGCTTCAGCCTCCTGAGTTGCTGGGACTGCAGGCACTCACAGGCACGCACCACCACGCTAGTTTATTTGGATCTTAATTCAAACGAACTCATATAAGAGAGAGGATAAAGGGAGAAATAGATATGTACTTAAAGAAAATTATAAAAGCATTAAGAATATGTGAACGTTGACTAAAAATTTAATAATTAAAAAATGCAGTGTTTTGCTTGTTGTTTTTTCATGAAGAGAGCCTCCGACATTTAGAGAAATCTACTGAAATTATTATGGATAAAATAATATGATATCTGGAGTTTGCTTCAAAATAATCAAGGCAGAGGGGAGGAGTGAGACAGGAAAAACCATGAGTTAACAAGTTTTGAAGCTGGGTAATGAGGGATGGGGAGAAAAATATTTTTTCTTACACCCTTACCTCATGGCTAAGGTCCTTATAAAAAATGACAGATTAACAAGAGAAGAGCATACACATTTGCTTTTTGCAATATAATTTTGACATGTCACAGGGGCCTTTATAAGGACATTTATTTAAGTTTCTTTTTCTTACTGTTTCTGAACTTTTTTTTTTTTATGGTAGGGTTGATGAAGAATGGATTGTCATCCAGAAATATGGTAGGGCAAAAGAGGTGTGGTCTAATGGTAAAAAACTGGGGGTTGTCAGGAAGGTCAGGTGCCATTGCTCATACCTGTAATCCCGGCGTATTGGAAGGAAGACGCCAGAAGATTGCTCAAAGCCAGAAGTTCGAGACCAGCCTGGACAACATACTGAGACCCTGTCTCTACAAAAAATAACAAATTAGCTGGATATGATGATGCACACCTGTAGTCCTAGTTACTCAAGGGGCTGAGGTAGGATGACCACTTGAGTCCAAATGGTCCAGGCTGCAATAAGCTATGATAGTGACACTGCACTCCAGCTGGGTAACAGAGTGAGAACCTGTCTCAGTAAACAAACACACAAATAAACTGGGGGAAACTTAGCAAGGCCTATTTGTTCAGATTCTTCTTTGTCTGTGTCTCTGCATCTTTGGAGGTAAGGACGTTCCTTTTCTATGGGAAGGCACCTCTTACTTAATAAGAGTCTTATGGTCCTCCAGGGAAAGGTCAGAAAAATCTTCCTGGTTTCTATGACCTCTTCAGGGGAGAAGGATGGGGGAAGGTCAGAAAGGCCTTCCTGCTTCTGCCTTTTTCTTAAATATTTTCAGTTTAAAATATTAAATATGTCAATGAGGGCTATTCTGGGGTAGTGTTTCCGGAGCCCCATCATAGGTATATGAGGTTTCATTGAATACTATTTTCTGCTTTTAAATATGTTTGAAATTGTAAAGAACAGTTTTTAAAATGCGAAGATTTTACATAATTGAAAAAAGATTTCCAGGTTTTCAAATGCCCTTTAAAAACCAAAGTATCAGGCAAGGATGTGGAGCTGAGAGCCAAGATTGTTTCCTTCAGATAAACCATGCTGCCTTGAGTGAACTAGGATCCTCACTCCTTCCTATCCTCTTTACTTGGCTGGCGTCACTCATGTACAGGATTCTCCTGGGCACTCAATCCATTTGATCTCTAGGGAAACAGACTTTTACCAAGTACCAACTAGAAAACCAAGAGTCAGGGTACTCTAGTGACAGGGAAAGAAAATGGAGCCCAAGAAACAGCTCAGAGGCAGGCTTAATCTGATTCAGCAGTTTAACCTGTTTCTGAGGTCAATTCTAAAGCTTATTTTATTTGAGAAGAACACTCTCTTCTAGGAACCTTCATTTGCAAGACAAAGGACAGAATAAAAATGAACCACCTAAACCCAAATGGCTGATTTGCTATTTCCTAAGGCTTTTGTAGGAGCTCAAATATAAAATGATACCTTTCCCACTGTTTCTATTACAAATTCACTTAACATTTTAAAATCTCTTTTTAATCCTTCAAGACTGAAAAAAAGAGACTTCCATTATCATACACATGGTTCTCAGTATAGGTAACTCTGCCTCTTTCTGTTCCCAGGTTTGCCTTCAATTGTTAGTCAATTATACAAATAAGTTCTTGGTGTTATTAAATGGATTCCATTTCAGATAAAACAGATTTTGTACTGCTAAAACCACTGGCATTGAGTGATAGCTATGTAAATGAAAAATAGGAGATAATTACTCTGGCTCTGTTCTCTGCATTAAACTGAGTATAAAAAGTGCATGCAAAGAATAAAAATGGCCACCACAATCACCTCCTGATGGTAAGATACCACCAAAGGCATAAAATGCTCATTTAAAATTAAGGCTTTTGGTGGAACATGAGCATATAAACTTAAAAATGCTATTAAAAATAAAAGGTGGCATTAAGAGCATCAGGGTAGAGATTTACCAATTCACTAATGGTAATAAAGGTTATTTTCTTTTATTTACAGAGAGCTCTTCTACATATAAAGTTTCCACTTATGTCTACATTAATAATATTGATTGCTGTTATTATTGGTAACATTAATGTATGTGCCAGGTACCATTCTGACGTGTATATGAGTCAGCTCATTTAATTTACATAACAATTTCACAAATTATTTATGATTTTTGTCCCCTGTCCCCCATTATTTTTGTCAGGTAAGAGATCCAAGGCTGTGAGAGGACAAAACCTTCATATGTTGTAGAGTTAGCCAGGAGGGGAACCAGGATATAAACCTAAGTATTCTGACTCTAGTGTCTTGGCCTGGATCCACTGCACTGTTTCTCAAGCTAGTTCTCAACTCATGCACTTTGAGAGAACTGGAAGTCCCTACTCTTCCCCCGACTCTGCTTCTGCAATTCTTTTCCTGACTGGTCAATGCTACAGGGGAAAAAAGATTTGTTTGCTTTTTTCCCATTTTCTGGCAGTTCCATGGTATCAAGCTCTCCATGATCTTGCCCAGACAGTTTCCCACAAAAGGGACTGAACCTTGGAGGATGGTTTCTACACTCTGGCTCTCCACCCCATGCTGCAAGTCTCTCCTGGACAAAATCCTCATCGGCCTCCTCTGAACACTCTTCTCAACTAGCTCCTGATTTTTAGGTTTCTGTGTTTGTCTCTAACCTATTCTACTTAAGCAAAAATCCTGCTAAATCAGTTTAGCCTTGATCTCCCATCTTCAATGTCTTATCACCCTCAATATCTGATTCGGTTGTTTATCTTTCACTGTCCCCAGGCAATGTCTGATCACCTTGGACTTGCCTTCAGCAAGAATCCTATTAGATCAGTTTAGCCAGAATCTCTCCCTCCCACTTTTCTTTTTAGAGAGAGGGAGTCTTGCTCCGTCACCCAGGCTGGAGTGCAGTAGTGTGATGTTGGTTCACTGCAACCTCTGCTTCCCGGGTTCAAGCAATTCTTGTGCCCCTGCCTCCTGAGTAGCTGGGACTACAGGCACACACTGCCATGCCTGGCTAATTTTTTTTGTATTTTTAGTAGACACAGGGTTTCACCGTGTTGCCCAGGCTGGGTTCCAACTCCAGAGCTCAGGCAATCTGCCTGCCTTGGCCTCCCAAACTGCTAGGATTACAGGCGTAAGGCACCATGCCCGTCCCGAGCTACTGGCCCGGCCCAGAATCTCCCCTTGTCTGTGATGTTTCCTTTTAGTAATTTTCTATCTACTGGCCCACACCCTGCTCCTTAGCTGTAAGTCTCCCTTTTTCTTGTTATATCTGTAATATATTAACAGGTCTGATTTTGAAGGTATAGCTGAAAAGTCAATTGTTATTAATGCCAAGTTTAGGGAAAAGGTTGCTTTTGATAAAGATCAAAGTTGCTAAATGTACTCTAGAGTATCTTCTTGGGTCTTAACATTTTGGAGTCTGATTCGAGAATCTGTGAAACATACTCAGCCACTACAATGTATTGCACTCAATTTCAGGGGTTTCTCAGATTCCCAAAGCCCATCTCAAGGATCCCCTGGAGGCTAATGGACCCTAGTTAAGGTCTCTTTCTGTGATAACTATCCAATAGACACGCATCTGAAAGGTGACAGCTACTTCTATCAACTGAAGGCAGACAGTGCGCACAGAATCAGACAAATAAAACTGCATATTGACCTGGGCCCTTAACAACCTTCCTCCCTCCTGGCTCCCCTCCAAATCCATTATGTTTGTTGATCTGAATTTCAAAGGAGTAGGACTTTCTATCTATATTTTGAAAGAGTCCCCCAGAAATGGAAGAACCACTGGTCTACTTTATATCATACTTTATATCTACTTATCATTTTTTAGATACATAAGAAAATGGATAGAAAACTAATTAGAATCCTATTCTTACTGCAACTCAGTCTCACCAGCTGTGCGACCTTGGGTCAGTACTACAAACTTCAATTTCTTCATTTTTAAAATGGGTTTATGAATAGTTCTTGTATTATAATTGTTGGAGGAGTTAATTATATTAAGTAGTACAATATTTGGCACCCAAGAAATACTCAGTACATGTTTTCAAAATGTATTGATGTGAAGATACAGTGATACACATATTCTTATTATCACTGTGATATGAAAACTTACTAAATTCAAGGCAAAGATGAGAAGAAGTTTAGGCACCAGTTGTTTCATATCTGAGGACAGACTGGTAGGAACTGGCTTAAATGAATAAAGCAGATCTATTTGTCTTGAGATAAAGAAAGGCCTCCGTGACAGCAAGAATTGATAATTTTGAAATTATTTCTTTAAGGATAAGTCACTAGTTCTATTCATAAAGAGGCAACTTTTCGGAGAAGATCTTTTTATATTCATTATTTCATCTGAGCCTCACATACATTTTATGAGATAGTCATTATCACCTGCCATTTTCCAGATTAAAAAAAATAGTTTGACAGGAGTGGAGTGTTTTAAATTTGTGCTATTAATGTGCAGTACGAACAGAATTCGAGTCTCATTCACTGGCTCTAAGCTTCTTCCAAGAAAAAAGGAGAAAGGAGAAAGAAGAGGAGGAAAGGAAGAATAAAACCACAGAGGAGATTATTGTGTGAGTCTACTCAGGCTCTGAAAGCCACTTCTGGCCCCAAAATGAGGTAAAAACAACTAGTACTTCATTTGGAATTGTAGATATAAACTTGAATTTGAGAGAGACACAAAATCATCATCAAGTTGTTTTCTTCTTTCTTTGCAAACCAATTTTCTTTTAAGAAGATGGTATTTAAATTTTGTTTCTTTTTGTTTGTTGGAAGAGATGCAAATTTCCAAACAATTGAGTTTCTCACTCAGCAACTTTCTCCTGGTTGAAGAGAGTTTTCTTTAATTAAATGTAAACACATTTAGCAAATCAGTGTAGTAAGTGTAAAGGCCTCCTAGGATGATGTGAATTGTCATCAGACGTTTCCATCAGTTATGAGTGTTTGATTTGAATGCCAAATAATTTCCTTAAGGACCAGGTCCTAAACAAAAGATGAGCTTGAATCAACAACAAACTAAATAGGCCATTCTTGACAATTTCTACTGATGCACCAGGATGCTGCATAAATGCTGCACAGCCAATTAGCCCTATAACTCCTTCTAGGTCAGAGACAGGCATTGACACAATGAGAAAATTCATCCATTTTAGGTGACCCTGTTAAAAAGGCCAAAGGACACCAATAGAGGAATACACTAAAAAAAAAACGCATTCTCATTGTTATCTACAGGCATCATTCAAATAAACAGTGTAGGGAGTCTATACCATCTTTTACTTGCTTGTTAGATGTTAGGACATTTGCTTTAGAAAAGAGTATAATTTACCTTAATTTCAATATGAGACAGAATGAGAGGGAACGTTTTGAACATTTCTTACGTTGCTAGTTCTGCAGGTACAGTTGGGCCAAGAACCAAATGTCCCTGGTGTCAACAGTCAGTTAATGGGTAAATGGCCTATTTCCCAGTACTGAAATCTCTCAAACCTCTGTGCAGTTTCAGAATTTGGGATAAACTGGAAGCTACTGCTGACTATTTTATGTCACATATTTAGTGTTTTCTTCTTCAAGAAACAATCTACAGATGAACTTGAACATTTTGTGGGGCATCAGATCATTTAAAACTCTTTCATAAATAAATGAAAATTTATAATAAGAGGAAAATACAAGCCAGATATTCCAGGGCAGAGCAAACTCAGACAGGAGTTGGCAACTGAGAACTTCCCATCTTAGGCCATGAGGCTACATCCAGGCATTGGTGCGGTGTCTGGGAATGGAGAAAGAAAAGGGAATGTAAGATAATATGTTCTTAGAGACTCTGAGCTATTCCAGATATTGAGAGATATTTGCTAATAGGCCTTCCCAAATCTCTGAGAATGAGTGAGATAACAGATATTATTTCTATTTTTGGGGATATAATATCTGCTACAGGAGAGTTATAGGGAAGATCTTGAAGGCCAAAAAAATATGAATAACACACATTCTTATTGATGCTTCCACTCTTTTATAGAAACCGTTCCATTTAATCCTTATCATCACGATACAGGTTAGGTGTGGCCATCATCTCCGTTTGATTGATGGAGAAAGAGGGTGGAAGGGCCAACGGAACTTGCTGAAGGACCTACAGCAGTTGTTAAATGGCAGAGCCAAAAATCAGGAGTAGGGCCCCTGCCTCATCCTGAGCTTTTTCTTCATTAGCCACGCCATCACTAATCATTTAAGAATGCTAATTTAAGCTGGAGACCGAAGGAGAAATACCTTGAACCAATATATTCAGCCTATCCAGAAGTAATAACCAAATTAGCTCTAGGAAGCTGTCTACCAAGGTTTGTTGTTTTGTCTAATAAACATATCCTTTTATACTCATTGAGATATTCTGTACTGTTTGAAGTTATTTTCATATGCTTTATTTATCGTTATTATTTGTCAATCCCTTTGAAGGAAAGTCACCTTTTTTATCCCTATATTTCCTTCAGATTCTAACACATAGTAGGTGCTCAGCAAGATTTATTTAACTTAATTCATTAGAAATACTTAAAGATTGTAAAATGAAATCAGTGTTCTTTTTGCCTTTCAGTTATACACACAGCTCTATGTGATGATATTTTATTTTTATGAATTCATTTCTCAATTATGAAAATTAATTAAAATTTTCTGATTTCTCCTCCCAGTATGATTTAGTGTGGCTTATACTACTACTGCAAAATTACACACTGAATAATAGTCATAAGAAAGGAGAAAAAGGATTTGTTAGCCACAAAGACTTATATTATTACTATGGCAAAACAATAACTTTTTCTTTGGGCTTCCCAGCAGCCAGAGTAAAAAAGGAAAAATAATTAGATGAACAGTCTTTACAATCTGATGGAAGGAAGAACATCAACTTACCAAGAAATGACATTAACAAGAATTTACTCTGTGGGCGTTCCCATTGAGTGACACTACATTTCTTAGATGATAGTTCCCTTCACATAAAGACAGTTTTTCACACACTTTCTGCTAGTGATCTTGGTAGTATGACTATGAAGCTCAGTATATCAACTGAGTTTCAGTAAGAGAAGAATTCTAATTAGTTTTCTATCCATTTTCCTATGTATCTAAAAATGATAAGGCTATGATATAAAGTAGACCAGCGGTCCTTCAATTTCTGGGGGACTCTTTCAAAATATAGATGGAAAGTCCTACTCCTTTGAAATTCAGATTAACAAACATCGTGCATTTGGAGGAGAGCCAGGAGGGGGGAAGGTTGTTAAGTAACCATTTCCCTTTTGATTACAGCATCCCATTTTTCTTTTGAGGCATTATACCTCTCCTCTATCTTAGCCATATGGTTTGAATGAGTTTGGCTATATCCCCTTCGTTACCTGAGTAGGGATATGACACAGTTCTGGCCAGTCTGAGCATTCCTCAGAAACAGGGCAATGAGACTCAACACTGAGCCTTTTGTTGAAGCTATTGAAAAAGAGGCAACCTCTCCATGCTAAACATAGTGTAAAAATAGGTAGTCAGCCTTGACTCCCTATAAAAAGAGGCAGCAGAAATATAGAGAGAGTGCCAGCCAATAACTTGATGTCATTTTCGGTGCATCTGGATTTTTCTGTATCTGAAGTAAGCCTGGATTTTTGAATTTAAATTAAAATTTTGATTCTTGCTATTGCAAGAGGCTTACTAACAATGGCTAACTATCAATATCTAAAATCATACAATTCTGCC
Source organism: Homo sapiens (assembly GCF_000001405.40). NCBI lineage: Eukaryota > Metazoa > Chordata > Mammalia > Primates > Hominidae > Homo > Homo sapiens. Next base: position 7,005,614 of record NC_000003.12, on the reverse strand, counting down.
CAGAGGAGTTTCATGATGAGCCAAGTTAGAAACCCACTGCATGAAATGTTCTTATGAAGTATGTTTTAAAATACATCTGCAAATACCTAAATTAACATATGGTACTATTGAACATAAGTTTATTCATAGAATTCAGTATTACTGAAAACTTTGAGAGGCTTTCAGAACTTTAAAGGTGCCAGGATTATAGGTTAAAATTGATTTATCAGACTCTTAAAATAAAATGTTATTCATGTGATATGAATGAGTTATAGATTTGACAAAAAATATGAATCCCAGGTAGCTGGGGATAGAGGTAGAGCAAACCAATGCCTAATTGGCCAGAGTCCCCGGATGGCCACATCCAGCTATGAGCAGAGACTCTGGGCTTTCACAGAAGGTAGCCTAGCCCTGAGAGGAACTACTGAGTAGGCCCATGGTCCTTAATGGCTGTGAAAATGATGACCAGCATCCAGTATCTGCTGCTCCACCTTGACGCGTGACTTGTTCGAAGACAAGAACTGCCATCTGGCCATATGTCTCAAGAGCCAGCAGCCACATACAGACCTTCCCTTTGTGCATAAGGTGCACCACTGAGCTTCTTACAGGGTGTGATGTAGAGCTAAAGTGCAATTTGTAGAGGGTGCTGTGCCTGGCAATGACACTCAAGGATTCCTGACATGCACAAGTCCAGCCAGCAGCCTGAAATCTAAGTCTCATATATTGATTTGCCTGCCTGTTGTCTGTGGTGTTTTTAGAGAGATTTGTCGGATGTGCTTTTTTGGAGTCATCCAAGCTTCTTGTAGGGGCCTCTAATCCAATAAGGCAGTGCATTTTGTAAATTAGAGCTTCATTATTATTTTGAAACACCTGACGGGAAAAACATGGATTGGATTTTTAATCCATTCACATTTCCACAATAAATTGAAAAGAAAGAGCTGTTACAATCTTTGAACATAATTTGGTATATGTTTTAAATTGTTATAAAATGATTTACATTATTTTATTACCTACTCGTATGAGTGAAGTTTCTCGTTAAAGATGTTTATCAAGAATTTGAAAAGATCATCATTAAAAAAGTCTTGATCAGATATTTCACGTAACCCTTTCAAGCATAAGATGAGTTCTTAAAAATAGGTTCCTTCTCAATGGGAAGTTCAAGTTTCTCACTAATCATAACCAAAGAGATTGTATTTGAAAGTTTTATCCAATTCATATTTGTCCTAATACTTATATAATTATATCCAAAGTTATATAATATATAAAAAAGATTGTTTTCACCAAACCTCATTTGTATACTTCCACATTTTTCCAGTTCATCCCAATACATCATATACATGTAATTCTTGTGTTTAAAAAATTTTTACTATGGTTGCCAGCCTCTAAAATGGGTCCAAATTATTCTCACCTCCTGTTATCCATACTAATTATTTATTCCTCTACCACACTGAGTTTGGCTTACATGTATAATCACGAGATATTGCATAAATGATGGAGTATGACTTATCAGGTTAGATAATTAAAGACCATGCAGCTTCTGTTCTGAGCCCTTTGGGATCACTTATTCTGGGGGAAGCCAGCAGCCATTATGCAAAAACACTCAAGCTTCCCTATGAGAAGTTTCACATTGCAAGGAACTGAGGCCTCCCTCCTGCAACCACAGCTAACTTGCTTGATATGTGAGTGCATCATGTAGGAAGTAGAGCCTCCAATGCCAGACAAGCCTTCCAATTACTTCATCTCTAGCTGGCATCTTGAGTAAAATCTCATGAGATACCCCAAGTTAGCTAACCTGCTAATTATTCCTAACTCAAACAAAGTATATGAAATAAGTGTTTATTGTTGCTTTAAGCTGCTACATTTAAGGGGAACTTCATACATAGGAGTAGATGCATGTACCACTGAATTTTATCACTATTAGAGTAATACATTGCATTATTTACTACTATAGCAGCAATCACTCTGCACTTAGCTAAAATTGCAAAGTAAAACAAAATTAAAGCACATGTTTAACATAGACCTAGACTCATCCACTAGCTTAGTGACTCATTTCCACCTATCACTCTTACAGTGGGCAAAAGTCATAATGTAGACCAGCAGCATCTCATCATCTCATCAAGTTTTTATGGTATAATCTTTGAGGACCATCCAAATATGTTAAATCATTATGCTGTGATAATCAATTGCATGCGCTCCTTATAGAGCATTAAAACTTTTTTTTTTTACAAAAAAATACCTATTTATTTATCTTAAAATGACAAACATTAATTGCATATATTTATGGGGCACAATGTGATGTTTTGATATATGCATACATTGTAGAAAGAGTAAATGAAGCTAATTAACATATCCTTTACCTTACTGACTTATCCTTTATTTTTTGTGGTGAGAACATTAGAAATCAATTCTTTAGCAATTTTGAAATCTACTATATGTTATTATTAACTGTGGTCAACATGCAGTGCAATAGATCACTAAATTGTGTTCCTTTAGTCTAACTGAGTACTCTTTGATCAACATCTCCAGATTCCCCATCCCACTTCCCCTCAACCCGCAGCCTCTGTTAACACTTTCTACTCTGAGTTTTGTTGAGATCTGCTTTTTTCAGCTTCAACATATAAATGACATCATATGATATTCATCTTTCTGGGTCTGGCTCATTTCACTTAGCACAATATTATCTAGGTTTATCCATGTTGTCGCAAATGATAGAATTTTCTTCTTTTTTAAGGCTGTATAGTATTCCATTGTGTAATATACCACATTTTCTTTATCTACTTATCTGTTGATAAACAATTAGGTTAATTCTATACCTTGGCTATTATCAATAGTACTTAAATGAACATGGGAGTGGAGACAACTCTTCAGCATACTGCTTTCAATTCCTCTGGATATACACCCAGAAATGGGATTGCTGGATCGTTGGGTTGTCCTATTTTTTAATTTTTAAAAGACTCTCTATATACTATTTTCCAAAAATCCTATACTATTCACATTCTCACCAAGAATGTACTGTAGCGTTATAACTCTTTATGCCTCTTACATTAGGCTAGGGACCATCTCTATTTTTACATATGTCCATATCCCCAGTGGCTAGCAGAGTGCTCAGGATACAGCAGGTGTTCAATAATATCCTTTCAGTTATGTATTCTAATATGTATTTAAGTTTCTCATATGTATATATTAGTGATTCTTTGTCAGTAATAAGCATTTTTGAAAATGATTCAATCTATTAAATGGTACATAGGAGCTATTCTTTAATGAATCTGTTAGGCTCATAGTTCTAGTAGAGAAGCCCTACGGTTATCCTGTTTTTTAGTAGAGGAACCCAAGTCTAATAAAGATTATACAAAATTCCTCAAACACAAATCTAAAAAGCTTGGGAGACCTTTGTGGCAGGTCTGTTTGATTCAGAGCCTACGTAGCTAACCACTATACCCTTAGATAATACCTTCTCTTAATAATTCCTAATAATTCAATCTTCAAAGAGGATTATTTGTCTCTTTCCTACTTCCCAAATTTTTTAAACTAAAGCAAGAGATATAAGAAAGTCTTCCAAATTGTCTAGAAAGTTTCCCACTAATTAACATGGAATGTTGCAGCTATAACTTACGGTTATTTTAACCATTAATCAAAAGCATATAATTAAAGATTAAACTGAATTAAATGTCTCCACTAAGTAATTGGCTTAGGGGACTTAATGCATACTACAGTAAGAGTCCATGCACACACATGTCATTGGCTGAAGTGAATCGATGTGCAGATGGGACTTCTACCTGCAAGTGGTATATAATTCATGTTTATTGTAGATAAAAATTTGATGCAGGGCTGCCAATATGAAAAACAAAGTTTTATAATAGATTTTGTTTTCATTCAAAGAGTTTGTCCAAAGAGAAATTAATAAACAAAACTTAACATTGAGCACGTTCTGTTCAAAAATAAATTAATTTCAACGTCCTTAATTCAGTTTTTAAAAGTGAAATCACTTTCCTTAGTAACTCAATTTATCTGTAACTTGCTGTTTTCTCAACTCAATTTAAAAGTTAATCTTATTATATTTTAAAACCTGAAACAAGCTGTTCTTCATATGTGGAAAAGCTTATTTGCCAGTTTACAAATAGGTGTGTTTTCCATTTGGTTTTAACAGATCTACAAATAAGCTCATAATTAAGTAGCTCATCTATACATTACCCACACGTAAAGTTAACATTTATGTTTCCCACCAACTAGAGCATATTCACGTGCACAAACAGATAGCCTTTATTTTTAATTTTTTTTTAGTTTTGGAGACAGGGTCTCACTCTGTCACCCAGGTTGGAGTGCAGTTGCACAATCACAGCTCACTGTAGCCTCAACCTTCCAGGCTCAAGTGGTCCTCCTGCCTCAGCCTTCCAAGTAGCTGGGACAACAGGCATGTACCACCATGCCCAGACAATTTTAAAAAAATCTTTTTGTGGATATGGGGTCTCACTATGTTGTCCAGGCTTATTGTATTTAAAAAGGCTTTGCATGATTATAAATTCTCAAATAGTTTTCTTCATTTTGGGTTATGTTGGATGGCTAGGTTAGCAGCTATCACCATTCCCTGACTATGATTTTCAGCAAAAGGCTAATTACACTGCTGAGTAACCCTCCAATTGGCAATATCATTCAAGCATACTATATTTTTTCCAATCTTCGTTTCCTGTTTTTTCTGTTCATTGATGTATGCCTTGAAGGATTCCTATAGTCAGAGTTCATTCACATCTCTGTCCCATTGTCTGGCTCTATCCTCTGACTTGCTCTGGCCAATGGAATGTGAGCAGAGATGACATACACCGTGTTTGAGCCAATGTGTGGCTCTGTCTCTTGCTTTTCCCCATTCCAAAGTAATGGCTGTCCTAAAGAGTAGCCACTCCTTTAGCCTGAGTCCCAGAAAGAAAAGAAATGCCAAAGTGCATCAGTCAGTCCACACATGCTGACATATTTCACAAAGGCTTGTGGTTGTGAGCCACTAAGATCTGGGGATTCTTCATTAAAGCAGTTCAAGAGGAAATGAGGGACAGAGATGGAATTTAAAATCAGTTATAATGGACTCTACTTGTAGTGCATGTTTTTCCTATTACACTTTGAAACCTCAGAATGTGCTTTTTAAAAATGTCACATGCTCGCCCGGGCGAGGTGGCTCATGCCTGTAATCCCAGCACTTTGGAAGGTCAAGGCAGGTGGATCACCTGAAGTCAGGAGTTCGAGACCATCCTGGCCAATGTGGTGAAATCCTGTCTCTACTAAAAAATAAAATAAAATAAAATAACATATTAGCCAGGTGCAATTGCAGGCACCTGTAATCTCAGCTACTCAGGAGGCTGAGGAAAGAGAATTGCTTGAACCTGGGAGTCAGAAGTTGCAGTGAGCCAAGATTGTGCCACTGAACTCCAGCCTGGGTGACAGAGCGGAATTCTGTCTAAAAAAAAAAAAAAAAAAAAAAGTCACAACCTCTGACATTACTGTTGTCATGGCATTTATATTGATGAAAAAAAGTTACAAAAAACTTTAGCATGAGAGAACAAATCTTGAAAAATATTATGTAAACTCCTGTGTTATATTCATACAGCATATAATGAATCCAATGCCATTTATTATTGAAGGTACATATTATGTTCTAAATCTTAATTTGAAAATGAAATTAATACATCTTTTATTTAAAATGTAATAATTATATTCATTTATGCTACTAAAATATTGATATGATTTGGCTGTGTCCCCACACAAATCTCATCTTGAATTGCAATTCCCATAATCCCCAATTGTCTTGAGAGGCATCCAATGGGAGGTAATTGAATCATGGGGTCAGTTACCTCCATGCTGTTCTCGTGATAGTGAATGAGTTCTCATGAGATCTGGTGGTTTTATAAGGGGCTTTTCCCTTCCTTCACTCTGCACTTCTCCTTGCTGCTGCCACGTGAAGAAGGTTGTGTTTGCTTCCTCTTCCACCATGATTGTAAGTTTCCTGAGGCATCCCCAGCCCTGCAGAACTGTGAGTCAATTAAGCCTTTTTCCTTTATAAATTACCCAGTCTCAGATGTGTCCTTATAGCACCATGAGAATGGACAAAGTAAATTAGTACTGCAGAGAGTGGGGTGCTGCTATAAGGGTACCCGATTGTGGAAGCAACTTTGGAAATGGGAAACAGGCAGAGGTTGGAACAGTTTAGAGGGCTCCAAAGAAGACAGGAAAATGGAAAGTTTGGAACTTCCTAGAGACTTGGAAGGCTCAGAAGACAGGAAGATGTGGGAAAGTTTGAAACTTCTTGGAGACCTGTTGAATGACTTTGACCAAAATGCTGACAGTGATATGGACAATGAAGTCCATGCTGAGGTGTTCTCACATGGAGATGAGGAACTTGTTGGGACTTTAATGAAGGTGATTCTTGCTATGATTTCGCAAAGAAACTGGCAGCATTTTCCCCCTGCCCTAGAGATTTGTGGAACTTTGAACTTGAGAGAGATGATTTAGGTATCTGGCAGAAGAAATTTCTAAGTGGCAAAGTGTTCAAGAGCAAGCAGAGCAAAAAAAATTTGGAAAGTTTGCAGCCTGACAATGCAATAGAAAAGAAAACCCATTTTCTGGGGAGAATTTCAAGCCTGCTCCAGAAATTTGCAGAAGTAACATGGAGCCAAATGTTAATCACCAAGGCAATGAGGAGAATGTCTCTAGGGCATGTCAGAGACATTCTTGGCAGCTTCTCCATCACAGACCAAGAGGCCTAGGAGGAAAAAATGGTTTCAGGGCCTGGGCCCAGGGCCTTGCTGCTTTGTGCAGCCTAGGGTCATGGTGCCCTGCATCCCAGCTGCTCTACCTCTGGCTAAAAGGGGCCAAGGTACAGCTCAGGCCATGGCTTCAGAGGGTGAAAGCCACAAGCCTTGGCAGCTTTCATGTGGCGTTGAGCCTGCAGGTACACAGAAGTCAACAATTGAGGTTTGGAAACCTCCACCTAGATTTCATAGGATGTATGGAAACACCTCGATGCCCAGGCAGAAGTTTGGTGCAGGAGCAGAGCCCTCAGGGAGAACTTATGCTAGGGCAGTGCAGAAGGGAAATGCAGAGTTGGAGCCCCCACACTCAGTCCCCACTGGGGCACTGCCTAGTGGAACTCTGAGAAGAGGATCACCATTTTCCAGACCTCAGAATGGTAGATCCACTGACAGCTTGCACTGTGTGCCTGGAAAAGTCACAGACACTCAACACCAGCCCATGAAAGCAACTTTGGGGGGGACTGTACCCTGCCAAGCCACAGGGCCAGAGCTGCCCAAGGTCATGACAGCCCACCTCTTGCATCAGCATGACCAAGTTAAAGGAGATTATTTCTAAGCTTTAAGATTTAATTACTGCCCTATTGGATTTCCAACTTGAATGGGGCCTGTAGCCCCTTTGTTTTGGTCAATTTCTCCCATTTGGAATGGGTGTATTTAACCAATGCCTGTACCCTCATTGTATCTAGGAGGTAACTAACCTGCTTTTTTTTTTTTTTTTTTTTGAGATGGAGATTTGCTGTTTTTGCCCAGGCTGGAGTGCAATGATGCAATCTTGGCTCACTGCAACCTCCACCTTGTGGGTTCAAGTGATTCTCCTGCCTCAACCTCCCAAGTAGCTGGTATTACAGGTGCAGGCCACCACACCCAGCTAATTTTATATTTTTAGTAGAGATGGGGTTTCACCATATTGGCCAGGATGGTCTCGTACTCATGACCTTAGGTGATCTGCCCTCCTCAGCCTCCCAAAGTGCTGGGATTACAGACACCTGGCCCTAACTTGCTTTTGGTTTTACAGACTTATGGGATGAAAGAACTTGCCTTGTCAGAGATTAGGCTTTGGACTTGAACTTTTGGACGAATGCTGGAATGAGTTAAGACTTTGGGGAACTGTTGGGAAGGTGTGTTTGTGTTTTGAAATGTGAGGACATGACATTTGGGAGGTGCCAGGAGCAGAATTATATGGTTTGGTGGTGTCCCCACCCACCTCTCATCTTGAATTGTAGTTCCCATAATCCCCACATGTTGTGGGAAGGACTAGGTGGGAGGTAATTGAATCATGGGGGCAGTTACCTCCATGCTATTCTCATGATAGTGAGTGAGTTCTCACAAGATCTGATGGCTTTATAAGGGGCTTTCCCCCATTTTGCTCTGCACTTCTCCTTGCTACTGTCATGTGAAGAAGGACATGTTGCTTCCCCTTCTACTGTGAGTGTAAGCTTCCTGAGGTGTCCCCAGCCCTGCAGAACTGTGAGTCAAATAGACCTCTTTCCTTTATAAATTACCTAGTTATGGGTATGTCTTTATAGAAGGGTGACAATAAATTAATACAAATATTAAGCCGAAGTTTCTATTAAAGATAATAAAATAAATTATCACTTTAGAAAAGTCGCCTCTGTAATGGCACCTGACCAAGAAAATATTAATTATTGAATGTAGCTAATAAAACCAGCTTGGAAATTAAAAAAAAGAAAAGAAATAAGAGGCCAAATGAGCTATGGAACAATTAATTCAGCGTATCCATATTAAATGTTTATCTTCTCTCACAGAGAGAAAAAATAAATACAGGATTCTAAGATTACTAACATTTTTCTTGCTTTTTAATCATAACTTCTTACTACACTGCAAGTACCTGACACTTTTCCATTCCGAAGCATTTCATCTGGATTCCGTATGTTTGTAGGTAGGACAGGGAATTGCATGGATGTTTTTCCTTCCAGACTTTGTTCTGTGCTTGTCAATTCACTAGCTTTTTGTTGAGCTGCAGGGATTGGTTTGTCAGGGATTTTGATTCTGGTGAGTAAGACCCTCCAGCTCCCATAAGGAATCCTTGGCTCAGGTTTCTGTTTACAGGAAGAAAGAAATCAGCAACATGAATGACAGAAGGGAGATAAGAAATAAAGACTAAAGGGAAGGAAGATACCCTTTGCTTTTGTGACAGAAAATTTGAGGGATGCAATAAATTTGGCTGAGATGGCTCTCACTACTCATGGGAGAAGTTGGGTCATTTTATCTTCAAACAGATATCCATAAGTTGTGACGTTTTACCCAAAAGAAGCATGTTTTTAGAAAACAGCGTTCAGGAGCAAACTCCCAATAGTATGACATTGTCCAGAGAACTCCTGACTGGATCACAGGATGCTGGAGTTTACTGACATAACAATCACACTTTACAAATTACTCTTAAAACTAAATCGTTCGTTTGTTATGAACACTTCAGAAATGATTTCCTTCACTTTGGTTTTTGAAATAATTCTATTAAAAATTTGTAGAATTAGGCCAGGCATGGTGGCTCATGTCAGTAATCCCAGCACTTTGGGAGACCGAAGCAGGTGGATCACGAGGTCTCTGCCTCGAGATCATCCTGGCAAACACGGTGACATCCCATCTCTACTTAAAATACAAAAATTGAGCCAGGCTTGGTGGCGGGCGCCTGTAGTCCCAGCTACTTGGGAGGTTGAGGCAGGAGAATTGCTTGAACTCGGGAGGAGGAGGTTGCAGTGAGCCGAGATTGCACCACTACATTCCAGCCTGGGTGACAGAGCAAGACTTTGTCTCAAAAAAAAATATATTGTAGAATTATAAACACAGAAAAGGACATGTCATCAGGCATATGTATGGCTGGATGCGTTTTCATGAAGTGAGCATACCTATGCAACAGTACTAAACTCAAAAAATAGAAAATCAGTAGTGTACAGAAGCTTACCTTTCACATCTTTTTAAACCTCTATAATTAAAATTTGAACTCAATTACTATTAAAATTAGGGTTTAAGTGATAAGAAGTCAGGAAACTTCTTCCCATGGTCCCTTGCTTATATGTGTTCTCTTGGTACTACTTCTGTGGTGATCACTATAGCCTTTCAAAAATAATTTCTTTTCTTTTTTTCTGTGTTCAATTTTGGGAAAATTTCTAAATGTTCAGCCTGCTTTAAAAATAGCTGTTCCAATTCAATTTTATGTGATTATTTCTTTGATTCTTGATATGATTCAGTTAGATTAAATAAAGCTCCAAAACCAAATCAATTTCACATGGTCCTATTTTAACAAATATTTTCATAGCAAAGTACAAAATTGCCATTGCATCCATTCAGTACTCTAACAAATTTCCTTTGTAAAGTGTAATAGTAGTTAGGCAGTATAGTCTAGGTTATACTGCTGTAACAACCTCAACACCTCAGAGGTTTAAAACAGGTGTCAGTACATTATGGCTCATGGGCTGAATCTGACCGCCGTCTGCTTTTATAAGAAAAGTATTCTTGCAACACAGACATGTCCATTAATTTAATTTTTGTCTATGACCATTATTTGTGCTACCCTAGCTAAAATGACAAACTTGAGTAGTTGGAATAGAGATCATGTTGCCTACAAAGCTGAAAATATTTAATATCCTGCCTTTTACAGAAAAAGTCTGGTGACTATTACTTATCCAAATAAAATGCATTTATCACTCATGTCTCGTGACAAAAATAGATTGGCTGAGAAAGATTATGTTCCTTAGGGATCAGGGATGAATAAGTCACCATCCTTTTATGATGCCAACAAGCATTTACCAATGAATAAGAGCGTGTGGAAAGTGGTGTACCAACTCTGAAATGCATCTCTTCTACTTACTTTTTATTAGCCAAAGCCAGTCATGTGATTCTGACTAATTACAGGATGGTAAAGTGTAACCTATGATGTGAAAGTGTAGCCCGTGAAGAACTGGAAATAGCTGTGGTACATCCATAAATAAAATCTCCCTTTCCGCATAGAAATACAAAACCCAATTTGGCCGAATCATCCAAATGCACAAGTTCACCATGAAAGACTTCAGAAAAACAACAACAATTATTTTTAAAGCACCTACTATATGGTCAGGTGGTACAATTACTAAAAAGATATTGGAAAAGATTTTGTTTCTATCACTGGCTGAAGTCCACAAAGGAAAAATAAAACCTGTTCAGCAAGCAATAAATTGTCTCTAAGAAAAAAAAGCTGTAATAGTTTAAGGAATCACCATGTCCAGAATAAACATCTGACCAACGTTCTTTTAAAAAAAATTCAACAACAAAAACCAGCTTCAGCTTTCTACCTTAAGCATTGAGATATTGTGGCAATGTAACTACTCATAGGGTCAGTTTAGAAAGTAGTGTCTCCCTCCTGTGGACTCTTTGAACATTGTTACTACAGTTTATTAAGGGCAACTAAGACTATGTTTCATTAACATGAAAACAGGGAGAAAATATGACAGTAAGAGAATTGTTTCCCCTCTCCCAGCTAACATGCTCAGGTTTCCTTTATCGGAGAAACAAAACCACATTCCTTCCCATGTCACCTCCCTGCATAGGGTCTGTAGATCTCTACCCACATTGCTCCTTCACCATCAAAGTCTCTGAAATAGTAATTTACATAATTGCACAATCCAACAACCTTTCTCTGTCCTGATTCTTTTTAGAAATATTTTACCTTGAAAATGCCTCTTTCGATGGCCTCTATTGGCTCAATATTTTCTTCCTTTCTTCTCCTACTTCAATATCCCTCTTCTATATCTTGAACTGATCCCTTTATATGATCACATTACTAAGATGTTATTTGCCAAATTTCCACTAATAAATCAATTATCGTTTTCTATTTTTGGCAACTCTAATCTCTTTTAGGCAACTATGATCTCTATGCAGTTGAGTCCCAAATGTACAACTTCAGCCTGTGCTCCATTCCCAAATCCTGCACCTCCCAGCACAAGTAGCTGAAAATGAATTCATCCCTTCTTCCCTCAGTTCTATTTTCTGCTGACTTCCTTCTGTGTGCCATGGAAGAACATAAATTAAAGCCCTTATTTTTACATCTCCTTCTATATGTAATCCATCGTTAAGCCCTGTTTGCTTGAACACCATAATTTCATTATTTCTTTCCATTGCCAACATCCTTTTCAGACCAACATAGTTGCTTAGCTTGAATGCTGCAATATGCTCCTAACTGGCTTCTCTGAATAGAGTCTCTACCACCTCCAGGCTGTCTTTTCTGATGCCAGATTAGTTGTTTCAATATGCTTTTCTTTTCAAGTTAAGACCATTAAATCACCAACTACAGTACAAGCCACCCAACTGGGCATCTAATGCTTTCTTCTACACTCTCTTAAGACCACTTACTGGACGCACACCATGTATTTGAGCTAATCTGAATTACTGTCTTTGAGTTTCCACTTCTTTGCTTTTTCTCAGTCTGTCTACACCTCTGGGAATGCCATAACATGGTATGTTATATTTGTTCGAAGGCTTGTATCATACCTGCTCCTTTTTGATACCTCCAAGAAGGGGTCTAATATGGTTTGGCTGTGTCCCCACCCAAATCTCATCTTGAATTGTAGTTCCCATAATTCCCACATGTTGTGGAGGGACCTGGTGTGAGGTAATTGAATCATGAGGGCCGTTTCCCCCATGGGATTCTCATGATAGTAAGTTCTCACGAGATCTGATGCTTTTATAAGGGGCTTCTCCTTCACTCAGTTCTCATTCTTGTTTTCTTTCCTGCTGCCATCTGAAGAAAGACATGTTTGCTTTCGCTTCTGCCATGATTGTAAGTTTCCTGAGGCTTCCCCAGCCATGCTGAACTGAGTGAATTCAACCTCTTTCCTTTATAAATTATCCGGTCTTGGTTATGTCTTTATTAACAGTATGAAAACGGAAATCTCTATTTGCTTATCCTCAGGTCTCTCTCCTATCTTTCTCTGCCCTGATCTGTGTCACAGGGTGCTGCATTGTCTCATTGACTGGGCTATCTACCTTCTCAAATGAGCTGACTTCACATTTGGCTTGACCAATGGGACCTAGCAGTAAGACATCAGAGGGTGGGAGGAGAAGGAGCTGGAAGTAACTCTTTCTCCAACTCTTGTTGTTCTAAGCCATTTTTTTCTGGCAGTGGCTGCTTTTCTTCATGGTTATGGCTCCTGTGGGGCAGCACTTTTCCATGTCTCTATCCCTTACTGGGTTTCAGTCACACTATTTCCTCTTTTGGCCCCTGTAAGCCCAAGGTTGCTAACAGCTTTCTTTAATTGCTAGTCTCATCAACTTCATTCCATGTTATCGCCCTTGAACCTATCCACAGCTCTGTAAATAGTTCCTTTATTAACGTTTCCTGAATCATCTAAATTGGATTCTGTTCCCTGCAGGCAGCATTATTGATATGAAGGAGTGGCCTTACCCACTTATCAGCTCACAAAGGCAATTTGTTCTTGTTTTTGTGATTTGTGTCCAATTCTGCATTACACTGCAGTTAAACGTATGTGCATATTATCTCTTCTACTTGACTGTAAGTGATTTCAGGTTAAATATTTATCTTTAAGGACTCCTAAAAATCAAAGCACAGGCTGGTTTATGTAGAGATGCAATAAGTACTTGTTGAATTGAGTGTATTGAATAGTAGTAAATCATGTCAAAGAGCATGTAGCACAATAGACAGGCCCAGAAAGGAATACTAAGAGTCATTTTCCTGGACAAAAGCCTACTTTTGAGATTACAGCACCCTCAGCCTACGGCTACACCTCATCCTCTCTTTCTCTTTCCACTTCTGCCTTTCTTCTTTCTTTCTGTGACTAACGTATAAATTAGTTTTTTCTGTCCTTACGTGACTTCTCTGTGGCAGATGGCATTGATAGTTTTTTTTTTTTCCTTTTTGAACATAAAACAAACTGGTTGCAAGGAGCTGCGAGGTAGGGAATAGGGAGATGTTAGTCAAAGGGTACAAAATTTTGGTTAAAAGAGGAATATGTTCTAGATATCTAACGTACAGCATAGTGACTGTAATTAATAATTCTGTATTATATACTTGAAATTTGCTGAGAATAGATTTAAAGTGTTTTCACCACACACACATGTGCATGCACAAATGGTAACTAACAGAATGGATGTGTTAATTAGTTTGGTTGTGGTAATCATTTCACAATATATATTTATATCAAATCAGCACTTTCTATACCTTAAATCAAGAGAATTTTTGTCAATTATTCCTCAATAAAGTTGGAAAAAAATTTAAAACTCCATTCTCTTGGCTTGTGGGGTATGACCCATTTTTCTTCTTCTTTCTCAAATCTTGTTTGTGCCTCTTCTTCACTGACTCTTAACTTTAGCTGTATTTCAGTGATTTTTTGTCTTCTCTCCTCACCTTACATATCCCCTCTCTACAATCTTATGTTCTCATTTGCTTCGAATACTAAATTTGTTCTTGCAACGTTCACATTTTTTTGCTTGCAGTCAAGCGTTTCTCCTTAGCTCTAGGGATTAGGTCCAAAGGTTGCTGAAAGCAATCAGTCCGGTGGGAAAGGGTGGAGAAAGAAGTTCCCCCAACTCATCTGGGAGTAAAGAGGAAGAGCAAGTTTACGTGGTGTAAAAGTCTCATTCATAGGTTCATTCATTCTTTATCAGCACTCACACATTGGCTGCTTTTGTGGAATTTCAAATCTAGAGTAGCAGACAGGGAAGAAGTAATCTCATGCACAATGGGAGTAAACTAAGGGTGCAGGTTGGTAAGAGGGCATCCGTGTGTGTGTGTGCATGTATGTATGTATGTATGTATGCATTAAGACAGAGTCTGGCTCTGTCACCCAGGCTGGAGTGCAGTGGCGTGATCATGTCTCACGGCAGCCTGGAACTCCTGGGCTAAAGCAATTCTCCTATCTTTGCCTCTCAAAGCGCTGGGACTATAGGCTCCTACCACCGCTCCTGGCCTCTTGTGACCTTTAAGCAGTCCTGGGCCACAGGAACATAAAGCTCCAAGGAAGAATCCCAGTCAGTCTCTCAAAGAGATTTAATGAAGACTTTGGAGTTGATTAGCTTTTTCAAACATTAAAAACTAAAGAGAAAGCACATCTCACTAGGAAAGGAGGAATGTTGGGGAGAAATAAGCAAATCCTGCAGAAAGAACCTGTATTTTATGGCAGATCATGAAGAGAATGAGGTACTAATTGGAGAGTGTGAAGATAATGAATAGATCTATGTAAAGAAAAATGAAAAAGCAGGTTTGACAGATAATGAAAACCCAGCATTTGTTAAAAATTCACAGTCAGAGACATCTCACCCCAAGCCAACTCAGCCCCCGTCCATGAAACCCTCTCCCTCCATGGAGCCATGTCGATAGTAATAACTAAAAAGCCTGGATGCCTGATGATTTGCTAAGGAGAAGAAAAATGAACAAAAAAGGTTTATTTTGTATTTATATGTGATTCCTAACACCCATCTCCCAACCCAGTATTAACAGACTTAGAGAAATTCAAAAAATACCATTTTCTAACTCCCCTTAAGAGTCCATGAAATACTGCCATTAGATTTATTTGCTTCCTTTTAAAGTTTTTCTTTTCTTCTCATGGAATTTTCAAATGTTAAGGAAGCAACAGACTAAAATACAAGGCTGGGGGACCAACATCTTTCCAAGATTTGGGAAAAAATAGCTATCATATTTGGAATTCCATTTTCATGTAATTCAAGATAAAAGGGGGAAATTGGGAAGGGCTGCCTGTCTCTAACATCCACAGGGAGCCCCTGCTGGCATAAATAGTGAGCAGCCCTCTTAGGCACAGCCCTTCAGGAAGGGAGGGAT
The DNA here is from genome assembly GCF_000001405.40 of Homo sapiens. Classification (NCBI taxonomy): domain Eukaryota; kingdom Metazoa; phylum Chordata; class Mammalia; order Primates; family Hominidae; genus Homo; species Homo sapiens. The sequence continues at coordinate 6,990,053 of NC_000003.12, read as the reverse complement.
ATAGGTAATTCAGAAAGAAAATGCAGAGTCAGCTAGCATCCTGTGTTCTTGAAAGTCACAAAATCAGAGCAACTGAGGAAAGAGGAGCCCTGAAGATAAAGGGAAGCAACAGCTGTTCACATTTCTGAATGTTTTGTCAACATCCAGGAAAAGAACCATTAGCACATAGTAGAGAGAGGCTGCTGCCTCTTTCACTCGGGAGATTATATTTCTCTTCATGGGTCCCAAGATAACACTAGCTCTTTTCACACAGATGTTAGTTACACTGATGATTCATACTGAGTGATCAGTGAAGACACTACGTCCCTCTAACCAATAACACTGCGCAAGCCATGTGAATTATCGGCTCTTTGGACCTAAAGGTTGTATTTTTCCATTACTCCCATTTAGTCTTGGCTTCTTAGGTTTATCAGTTTATTTTACAACACTCTTTCAATCTAGATTCAGATGTCTTATATATTTGTCATTATGGTTGTTCATAGTTGTATGATCAGGATTGACAATTTGGAAAAAGAAAGAAAGTTTGTGAAGGAAGAAAGTCTGAGATAAGAGTAAGTTTTCTATTTATATATGATAGCCATAAACATATAAGTTAAAAATACAGAATACAAAATAGAAGACTGGATCCATCCCCTAACTATGTCATCTTAAGGAATTCACTGTCCTAATGCTTCTGAGTTTTCTCATTTATAAGCTTAGGATAACCTTTAAAAAAATGCAGATTTTATGGATCTTTTATTCTTTGTTGATCTGTGTTTTCCTAATAGCATTAGCTAAAGTGTTGACATACATAAAATATATGAAAGGAAAAAAGTACATAATTTCTTTTGAACCAAAGAATGGCCTTCCAGACTGCTATTTGAACATCAAAATACCTTTAAAGGAAATCTCTTTGTGTAAAATGCTTTGTGTAAAAAGGTTCTGTTGTCAATTTATAGTTGCTTTCAGAAATGTGATATATCCTGCTCACCATTGGCCATTTAAAGAGCTTGATGGCACATTTTTATGCTGAAAGATTTAAGAAATCCTACCCTAAAGAAAACTGATTTTGTTTGACCAAGCATTTAAAAGTGATAGAAAATAGGAGGGTTTATTTATTTATTTTTTTGACAATAATACCGATTAATTTCTCACAAATCAAATTGAGCCTTTGAGAAACATTGCCTTAAGAATATTTACTTATGTGGCCTACAAATAACCCTACCTTTGGTGTATATGGAGTGAAGACATAGCCAACTTTCATAATGGTTTGAAATTCAAAAATATAAAATAAAAATGATTTGGAAATTATACTTCTTATGAAAATTCTGGCATAGTCAGAGTACATGTTCTTCTGAATATTTGCAAATGACAAGTAAATTTTAAGGCTTCAATTTCTATTGCTGTGGTGTGAAATAAGAGAAAACAATGATGTGAAATATCACACAATTTTAATAGGGGGAAAACAACAATAACCAGTAAGCTTAGTTCGAAGTAGCTACTTCAGTTAGAGCTGAGAAGCACTGATACTCACAACTTGCAGTGTTAGTAATCACAAGGATAACATTAAGACCTGCCACTATGGGACCATCAGTAGAAAAGCAAATGCATTACTCTGAGAAAGATAATGCCCTTAGTGATTGAGCAGCATTCTTGGAGAACACTGGATGCATCTGGTATCTGCTGGAACTCCTGAGAGCCACCCAACAGATGAGCTGTGAAGTCCCAAAAGAGTGGTCCATGATGACCTGCAAAAGCTAGAGGTGGGCTGGGCGCAGTGGATCACGCCTGTAATCCCAGCACTTTGGGAGGCCGAGGCAGGCAGATCATGAGGTCAGGAGATCGAGACCATCCTGGCTAACACGGTGAAACCCCATCTCTACTAAAAAAAAAAAAAAAAAAAAAAAAAAATTAGCCAGGCGTGATGGTGGCCGCCTGTAGTCCCAGCTACTCTGGAGGCTGAGGCAGGAGAATGGCGTGAACCCAGGAGGCGGAGCTTGCAGTGAGCCGAGTTCGCGCCACTGCACTCCAGCCTGGGTGACAGAGCAAGACTCCGTCTGAAAAAAAAAAAAAAAAAAAGCTAGAGGTGATGTGGCCTGCCTAGATGTCATACTGATTCTCAGGGACAGTTCATGCAGAGAGTCTAGCTCCATGGGCCTGAGTTTCTTTTTAAATAATTTGCTCTTCTTCTGGAATGGCCTCCATGGCTACCATCCTGGCCTAGACCACTGTCAGATTTCCCCTGGGCTAGGTCCAGAACCACCTTCCTGGTCTCTCTGTTTCCAGGAATCTTGGTCCTCAATACTCCACTCTTCATACAGCAGCCACTGTGACCTCTTAAATATAGTAAGCAGGTCATACAACTTTCCAGTCAAAATCTTTCTGCTGGCTTCCATGTGACTCAGGAACCAGTGGCTTACAAGGAACTAGCATGATCTAGCTTGAATAGCTCTCAAACTTCACCTCAGCATATTTCCTTCCTGTCTGCTCCTTGAATGCTCACGTTCACTCCTGCCTTGAAGCTTTTTGCACTTGCTCTTACCTGTGCCAGGCAATACTGTTTCCTCTCATTACCGAAGTCACAACCCATGTCTTCGAGAGGTCTTCTCTGACCACCTTGTTTAGAGCAGTACCAAATATTTTCTGTAAGTTTATCAGGGATTTTTTTTTTTTTTGTCCTTCAGCACCAATAATTTCTAAATCTGTCTAATTTACTACTTGTTTGTTGTCTTTCTTTCCCTATCACAAGAATGTTAGGTGCTCTGAATGCAGGAAAATTGTCTGCATTTATTCATTATTTTATTCTTGCAACACTTCATTGTCTCTGCCAAGATAGCAGTACATGCCAAGCAGTGCATGCCTGTATCTTGTGCCATAGTAAGTGCACAAGAAACAGTTGTCAATAAAGCACCACAGAAGGCTAGAAGAAAAAAGAGAAAAGGCAAACAGGGAGGGAGCTAAAGGGAAGGGGATTAGAAGGAAACGAAAGAACAGAGGAGAAAAGAAACTAGGCAAGAAAGGGATTAGAAGAGCAGTAGGTAGAACTACTGTTGAATAGTGTGAATTAACTGAGTAACAGAGGCCAAGATCCAATTTTGGAAAAAATGAATCATTTCTTCCTTCCTTCCTTCATTCATTCCTTTAGCATTTACATGCTTTCTGAGTAACAGGTACTATGCTGATAGCTGAAGGTATAGAGATGACCAGATTCATCCCTCCAATCATGCAGCTCACGTGCTCAGAGGAGAGAAGAAAAAGTGAGGGGCAGAGTGCTGGTGGGGCTGAGACAGAAACATGGAAGGAGGGCTGTGGAACTTAGAATGAGAAGCCACTGCTTAGATACAGGGGAAGCCAGGACAGGATTAGAACAGTGGCATCCTAATGATCAGGCCGAAGTTAGCTAAGTCAAAAAACACAGCAGCCTATTCCATACAGAGAGCTAGAAGGGAGAGAAGTAGAGAGAGCTTAGAAAATCATCACAGTTAATTCCAAGATTATGAAATACATGAGGGTGTGAGGCAGAAGACCACGTATGAGCATTAACAGAGTGAACATTAGAAGTTAGGAAAACAATCCATTTCAAGATGTAGAACTGGAACTAAATGAATGCTTACAGTGGAATTACTAGGAGATGAGGTTTTTTCATTTTTGTTTTTCAATGTTCATTATTTTTCATTTTCATTTTATTGAGGCATAATTGATATACCAAAAACACTGCACATATTTAATTTGTACCATCTGATGAGTTTGGACATATGCATGTACCTGTTATACCATCACCATAATAAAGGTGGTAAACATGTCTATCACCCCCAAAGGTTTCCTTGTGTCCGTTTGTGTTTTTTGGGTTTTTTCATTTTTATTTTTGTTTTTGTGGTAGGAACACCTAATGACTGATTTATCCTCTTAGCAAATTTGTAAGTGCATAATACCGTGTTACTAAGAATAGCTACTATATTGTACAGCAGATCTCTAGAACGTATTTGTCCTGTATTACCGAAACTTCATACCCACTGTGGCCACCAGGTACGTGCAAAGGCTCTCATCATCACTAGTCACCAGGAAAAGGCAAATCAAAACTACAATGAGCTGTCACCTCACACTTGTTAGGCTGGTTATTCTCAAAAAACCCAAAAATATTAGTGGGAATTTTTAAAGACTTCAAATAAGCGAATTTAAGTCTTGAAAACATCCTCGGGAAGGTCTTTTTGTACATTATTTTAGACAAGTATTAATACCTTAATATTTGTCTCTATAGTTTACCCCCTTTACAGTCAAGCTCATTTCCAGATTTAATAACACGTTTTTGTTCCTGCTAGGCCCAACTGCTTCAGCCAGTATTATCATCCTTTTCTTACTACCTCAGCACCAGCAGATGTGGAATAGTGAAAAGAGAAGTGGAGCTTAGTTGGAAAATATGGATTCACATCCAGCGTCTACCTCATATTAGCCATGTGACGTTGGGCTATTTTGCCACTTTGAGCTTCAGTTTCTCCATCTATAACACAAGATCCATCAGGCATACCTGCAAGCCTGTGGCAACAATGAAACAACATATTTGTGAAAGTGGCTTGATAACCACACATTGAAAATGTGATAAATGGCACAGACAGACAAACATCACATGTTCTCACATATTTGTGGGACCTAAAAATCAAAGCAATGAACTCATCAATACAGAGAGTAGAATGATTACCAGAGGCTGGGAAGGGTAGTGGAGGGTGGGTGAAGATGGTTAATGGGTACAAAAAAAAAATAGAAAGAATGAATAAGACCTACTACTTGATACCAAAACAGAGTGACTACAATCAATAACTTAATTGTACATTTTAAAATAAACAGTGTAATTGGATTGTTTGTAACTCAAAGGATAAATGCTTGAGGGATGGATACCCCATTCTCTGTGATATGTTTATTTCACAGTGCATGCCTGTATCAAGACGTCTCACATACCTCATAAGTATATATGTCTACTATGTACCTACAAAAATTTAAAAAACGAAAAAAAGGAAAGAAAATGTGATAAATGGCGGAAACACCAGGAGGTGTGAGCCTTGTTTATAGAGGTAATCTCAGCCTCGGTGCTCTGTCTGACGCTGAAGAAAAAGCTGAGGAACTGAAATGGACTGCTTTTCCGAGCTGCACTGATACACAAACTGTTTTGGCACACGCATATCCCACTGGAATAATACATTAAGTCAGCAGCCTCCTCTCTCAGTTCCAATGGGAAAAAGCTTTATTCTGCCCCAGGAATGCCTCCTTCACAATCTAGGACCTTACTTTTCTTGCACCTAATTTTTCAGGAAACTCTGACCTCATATCACTGGATGTATCAGTGCAACTGAAGGATGGTCAGCCAATTCCCCTCCATAAAGGCTAAAAAAAAACATTCAGGGTGAGTGCAAGATCCAGAAAAACATCTGTGTCACTAAAAGGCATGTGTAGATGCCAGTCATGTTCAGATAAACTCTACAATGTTCACAGGGTAGAGAAAAAAAGGTGATTCATAATAAAAATTAATTTCTGGTAGCAAATGTATATCACCTTTTGCTGTGATTACTATTAAGAATAATTCTTGAAAAAAAATAGATAACACATAAATCCAGTAACCATTGATGGAATAAAGTCTACGTAATGAAATCTATGTAATTATTACTAAGGACTGCCATTGTAATGCATCAGCTTTCAAAAGAGTTTAAACAGCAGTTGGAGAGAGTTTGATGAAATATTGTTTCTTCTCCCCAACACTTTTGCACTCTGCTTTTTGTCACCAGATAGGTGCTGGCTGGTACAATAATAAGGATAATAATAATATACAACATTCATTGAACTCATGACTTTACAGCTCATCTTCTTAATAACAAGTTTCTACGGCCTCCAAGACGATGTGCAAATAAGTTTCTGTGTATTTTAGCAGGGGCTAACTGAACATGTCTTAATTCAGGGAATACCTAAAAGTCCTCAAAATTAAAAGTGGCAAGGTAATTAAAAAAATGTTTTTGAGTATGTGAGCTTTGATTTGTTCTTCAAGTCATTCCACGGAAGTGGTCCCCTGTCAATGTCCTATGCCTGGCATAAGCTCTTTGTTTTATGATGACAGAAGAAAACAAACCACATGGAGGGTTATTTTGATTGTTTTGTGGCTTAAAACCACAGATACATTGTTAAATATTGTTAAATATCTAATTGTTAGATGTAAAGATACTGTTAGATATCTTTAGTAAGATCTATTAATATTTTGGCACTCAGAACACTGAAAACAAAAAAAAAACAAAACAAAAGGTCATCTGAGGTTGGATTGTAGAAAAAAAATAATGTGCTTAAGTTTGTAAATAATATTATTACAAAAGCCAGGTTCTGCTATAATGTTTAACTTATAGATGAACTGCATGGTTCAATGTCAAGCCAGAAAACAAAAATATCTCATAATAATTTATTAGTTTGTAGGGCTCTGGCAAAACATGAAAGTTTATGTTTCTTAATTAACCTTGAGTTCATTTTATGTAAGAAAATTATTAGGAACAGTAACTAGACCCTCAGTAAACATATAATTCACCCAATGTCATTGATGTATCCCTTTCTGACCCTTAAAAAAAATCAATTAACTTCCTGAAATCATTAAGGATAGTGACCCTTTTCCCCATTCATCCCCTGAAGTTTCCTTACCACAGAAACCCGAGGAGCTTTCCTCAGTGGGTTTATGTCAGTTCCTACTCTACCTCCAGGCTGAAAATATCAGGCCTAATTTTTCTTGCATATGAACTATTTACCAATTATTACCATTGCTTCCTTTCTATTTAGTCTCCCTGCATTAACGAACTTGGCAAATTTTCACTCCAAACAATCTTGGATAGTCAGAGATGTGTGGCCTTTTAGTAGTTTGTGGTTGTGCCTAAATTTTCCAGCCTATGTTGCTTTTACAATCCTTCACTTTGCTTATTGAATACAAAATAAAAATCAATTAAAATACATTTCTAAAGGAAAAGCAGAGACAATTTTATAATTATAGACAATTCAAAAATATCTTCGCCTACTGCATATTTTTTTCTTCAAAAGCCATGGTAAGCAATCCCATTATTTGGCATTTACTCTAAAAAATGAAAATCTATGTTCATACAAAATTCTCAACGTGAGTGCTTTTAATAGCTGCATTTGTGATATCCAAAAACTGGGAACAGCCCAAATGTCCTTCTCTGGGAGAATGAATAAACTAACTGATGTATCTTTAAAATAAAATACTATTTGACAATAATAAAAAATAAGGTATTAATATACATGACAATTTTGATAAATCTCAAAGGTATTAAGCCAAGTCAAAAAAGCTAGTTTCATACTATATGCTTCCATTTATATGATGGAAGTCTCAAAAGGACAAGACTATAGTGATGGTGAACAGATCAGTGGTTTACCAGCTGGGGGAGACTCTGACGATAAAGTAATAACATAAAGGTTTTTTTTTTTTCTTTTGAGTTGATGAAACTGCTCTGTAGTCTGATTCTGGTGATGTTTACATGGATCTATACATGTATTAAAATTTATAGAACTGTATGCTTTAAAGGCAACTTAAAAAGTAATATCAGAAAAAATACCTATGTGTCTCATAATTGATTTTTATATTCTATCTTCTATTTTCTTCCCACTGGCTCCTTTGTAACATGTATTATGACTGATCAAAATGTCACTGAGGTTTGGTGTAGCAATAATCCTGTCATCCAGTTGCTGAGCATAGTGCCACACAGGTAGTTTTACAACTCTGGCACCCCTCCTACCCTTCTCCCTCTTGTAGTCCTCAGTGTCTACTGTTGCCATCTTTATAGCCACGTATACCCAATGTTTAGCTCCCACTTACAAATGAGAGCATGAAGTATTTGGTTTTCTGTTCCTGCATTAATTTGCTTAGGACAATGACCTCCAGCTGAAGCTATGTTGCCACAAAGCACATGATTTTGTTCTTTTTTATGGCTGTGTAGTATTCCCTGGTATATATGTACCACATTTTCTTAATCCAGTCCACCGTTGATGGGTACCTAGGTTGATTCCATGTCTCTGCTATTGTGAATAGTGCTGGGATGGGCATACGAGTGCATGTGTGTTTTTAACAGAATGATTTATACTCCTTTGTTTATATACCCAGTAAAGAGACTGCTGGATCCAATGGTAGATCTGAGTTCTTTGAGAAATCTACGAATTGCTTTCCACGGTGGCTGAACTAATTTACATTCCCACCAGTAGTGTATAAGTGTTTTTATTTTTTTTCCTACAGCCTCGACAGCATCTGTTGTTTTTTTGATGTTCTAATAATAGCCCTTCTGACTGGTATAAGAGGGTATCTCATTATGATTTTGATTTGCGTTTCTCTGATCATTAATAATGTTGAGCAAATAGTGATTTCAATAGAAACCAAGCAGTTCTCTCCCTCCAGCTGGAAAAGTCAGACTCGGAGGCTATCAGTTTGAGGATGATCCTGTGGCCAGAGCTTCACCTGTGCGGAAGGTGCCTTCCCTCCATCAGCAGGAACCGCAGGACACTCAGTAATTCTCCTGCATTACAAGTCTTGTGCTCAAGGTAGACAACCTATGCCAACATCAGCCTCTGGATACGAGACAATTATTTAGAAAAAGAAACGAAGATACTCATGGAGCCTCATTTCAGTATTTTTTTAGCAGGGATGGGAGATTCCTTTGTCCTCTTCAAAGCCCTTTGTTCACCTTCAACTGCTGGCAAAAAACATCAACACCAAAGAAAGCCCACAAGTTGTGGTGAATTCTATAATATGCCTAATTTTAGACAGTGCGTGTAACTATAACAGAGTTCTTAAAGCCAAGATATTTTTTCTTTATAAGAGCATATCTAAATTATAAATGATTCAAACATGTATAATTTAAGTATCAAAAAGATGCAACCCAGAAATCAGTTGTGTCTCAATATCCTTCAGGGTTTTGGTTAAACCTTATCTGAACTTCATTCCATGGCCTTTGCGAATTTTACAAACTTCTGAAAATTCTTGGCAGAACCCTTGTTTTCACCTCTTCATCCATTTCCTCTACCTTGGTTCTTCCTCAAGGTAGGCTAAAGATAAAGTTTAGTTCCTTCAAGACTTTGCACTGGGAAAAAAACATCCCTTCTAGTTTAGCATTTTGTAACTTCAGTAATTTCACCAGTTTACATTGGATGGGTTATGAGGAGGGATCATCTCACCTAATCTATAGCCTTTTCCTATTTCTCTAGCTTCGCACTTTACTGTCCATCTTTTGTCATCTTCTCTTTGTGGTAATAAGCAAGTTCTTTTCTTCCTTCTCTAGCAGGGAAGCTCACTCAAGTTCCAGTGAGTAAACAGTTTTCCTAATTTCACTCTAGTAAGAACTTGCACGTGAGTGGCTAAGAGACCTGTGAACATCTCATTACATGTATATCAGGTGTGTATTTGCTTACCACTTACGGCATTCAAAGTATGTGTTCATACTGCATTTATAAAACTAATTCAACAAATATCCTTATAAGAAAACAGTGGAAGTTCTCAAGTATAAAGATCTGATCTCTTTAACAAACTAGTTTAATTGGATTTCACAGAGGAGAGCTAGAGATCTAGGCTTCCCAAGTATGCAGTAAACAGGGAAACTTATCACTGGAGTCTTTCATTCATTATAAAAAATTGTTGGGAATACAAAGAACAAATTCACCCATGGCTCCATTACCACCTTCTCCCAAAAATTATATATGAAATGTTGCATAAGTACATTTTTTGGAGAGAAGATCAACAGTTTTCAGCAAATTCTGTAAAGGTCTATGGCCTCAAAAATATTAAGTATTATATAATCAGTAAGTATTGTGTAATCATTAACATTATGCTCTGATTATTCAGGTAAGTTTTATTTGTTTTTCTTTCCCAAGGCCTCTTCATTAGAACTCAAGAAAGAAAGAGTGAAAGAATGAAAGAATGGAAGGCAGAAAGGAAGGAAATATATGAAGTTAGAAAAATATATGCCTTTCTAACATTTAACCTTAAAGGCCATTAATTCTAACATACTAGAAGGTAGATGGTAAACAAAAAAAATTCCAGTTGAGATTTGGGGATTTTTCAACAAGAATTAGCAATTATATGTTTTATTCATATGTCTTTATAAAGTAGAATGTTACCCCTCACAGAATGACATACACATCAGTATATATTGGAGAAAAAGAAGAAAATGGCAATCAACTGAAATTGGCCAGATTGATAATCACAGATAATAACCTATTATATTACTTTCTTCTTCATTTTCTCTACATGTATTATGTTGATGCAAAAGTGATTGCAGATTTGCAATTAAAAGTAATGGTGAAAACCGCAATTACTTTTCCACCAACCCATTTTTATTTATTTTTTACAAAATAAGATAATGCAATAAACAATGATTTGTAATCTGTCATTTGGTTATATCAATAATAGACCTTTGTAATCTTGTAAAAATTGTAATCTTGTAAAAGTACTGTTATTCTGTGATCTCCATGGGCAATTTTAAATTAATTTCTATATTTGGATATTGTTTGACTTTTTTAGCTGTTAATAAATATCACTGAGATCCTCACAGATAAATCTACGTGCATTACTATGATTGCCATGAGTCCTAGAAACGTGGTTGTTGGGTCAAAATGTCTGCAAAGCACATGTCTATGGGTATGTTTGTTTCTAAGTTTCTAAGCGTCATGGTGAACACCAGAGATACCAAATGTCCTCCCCTACCAATCGGCAGAAAGACCTTGGCTTGCAGGGTAGTCCAGGCCATTCTTCTTCCCTTGAAGATTTTTACTGAATGTAGCGTGGCTTGAGATGATCATGGCTGACCTACCCTGCTGTAGAAATCACTCCCTTGTTAATGTTTACATTAATTTCCTTATTAACTGAAAAGAGAGAATTCGTGGAAGCTAGAAAATCTTAAATCAAATGGTGGGTCTTTTGATTAATCTTACTGGGAAATATTTTAGTGTCGATACTTACTGATCAATGAAAGAGGTTTTTCAAGAACACAATAGGTTTGTTGGAAGGATCTGATTTTGTCTTTATCTCCTTACTCACTATTTGGCTGAGGGCTACTCTGAAACATGTATACACTCTCCCAGCCACTTCTTTCTATCATAACTTGGATAGAATGAAAAACAAAACTTTATGAATGTCCATACCTCTTCTCTCTAGGGACTCCTTTATTTTAAACCACTATCAAGGATGAATGATTATTCTGGAAGTATTTGGAAGTCTGCCTTCTCGACTTGGAAGAGCAGACACATGTCCCTGGGTTAATACATCTCCACTTGTTAACAAAGTCTTCTCCATTATTTTTAATTAGGAAAAATGTTCCAAGAGGTCCTTTCCTTTCCCGTTATGCCACTATGTTCTCCTTTAGTAGAAATAATGTAGATAAGTCATCATCTCCCCCACTCACTCCCATCAAGAAAAGTGGTAAGATAAAACAAATCCTCATTTTGCAGTGCAATTTTGCCTAACCCAGCATTCATTTGACTAAATAACTTCTCTTTTTATAGTAAATTATTTTGGAAAATAATGGCGATCAGTGCCCAAAGCAATTTAATTGTTTGGATCAAATGGGGGGGAAGTACTAAAACAATAATTTCCAGTGCCCTTGCTATATTCATTTCTTACTGTTGCAGCCATTTAAAAAATTACCACAAACTAAGTGACTGAAGACAACAGAGATGTGTTCTCCAATAGGTCTAAAAGCTAGAAGTTTATAATCAAGGTGTTGGGGGCATCACTCCCTCCAGAATCTCTAAGGGAGGTTCTTCCTTGACTCTTCCAGCTTCTGGTGGCTCCAGGAGCTCCCCAGCTACTGCTGCATAACTACACCATCTTGCCTCCCTCTACACATAGCCTTCTCCTTTTCTCTGTGTCTCTTCTGCTGTAACTATTTCTACTTGATTTTCTCTTCTAGGTACACTCATCATTGGATTTAGAGTCCATCCATATAAACTATGATGTTCTCACTTCAAAATCCTTAATTATTTCTGCAAAAACTCTATTGTGAGCCCAATAAGCTCACGTGTACAGGTTCTGGTGGTTAGGACATGAACATAGATTTTGAGGGGCCACCACTCAAACCACTACTCTTGCTCACTTGAGGTCTTTAAAGTAAAATGTAATAAAGTTATTAACATAGGGCAAAAACAGAATTTTATTTTCCCAGTTCATTTTTAGGGAAACGTTCTTATTTTCATGGAATCACTCCACTATTGGCCAAAATACTATCAGTTAGGACTACTTTAAAAAACACTTTTCCAAGAATTTATGATGGCTCCTTAACCCACTGAAGTCATGTTAAGCCCAACATTTGGCAACACCCATATATTTCAGTGTTATTAATGTCTCCTCTGTCAGTCTACACATTGGCCCATTCTAGTAAAATCCAGCAAGGTACTGATCCACATTATAAGGGATACAACTTAGATTGTTTTAAATAATATTTCTGATTGGAGACTTAGTTTGCTTGCTTGTTTTGCTTTCGGTTATGGGGATGGCAGGGTCCTGCCACTTAGTGGGGGGTTGGCATTGCTGAATCTAAATTTAGACGTCCCATCTTTTGTGACCTCTGACATTGAAGAAAAGAACAGTTTAGGCAGTTATACTAATACCTTAGGGAATAACGATTTATTTCAATCATGTGTCTAAAACAAAACAACACACCAACACACACGCACACAGACACACACACACACAGACAAACACACACACGCCAGCTTAACATCTGCCATTATAGATAAGGGAATAGTAAGTGTCTCAATACAGGATATCAAAAATAAGGATAAATTGTACACTGAAAGCACTCTCGTTTTTGGTGAAGATAACATCTAATCTGCCATGCTTGCTTGTGATGCCAACTAAAGTGGCAAATGGCATCAACTAACCCCCAGTCCTCCTGGTAGCTTCATATTTGGCCAACACTTGGTTTCGCCACAACTTCCTGGCTTGCCAGCAATTAGAGGAGGAAATATGCCATGGTGCTTGGACAGATTAATCAATAAATGGCCAGCAGTCATTCTGAGTAGTAGCTGTCCAGTCAGTAACCATCAATTCTGATCACTTCATATCATAACCCAAGCCTCTGCACTGATTCTCTTCACTGCATTCTAGGGACCAGATTATTTACCTTTGAAAGCAACAATGGGGTAGAACTATGAGTTAAAAGGAGAAGACCCTGAGAGCCTGAGTCTGTCACAGGCTGGATATTTTTCCTGCTGTCAAGAATATCTTTTTAAATAGTGTTATAACACATCTTACTTAAGTATTTGGCAGTGCAGATGGTAGATTTTGTTTCAGCACACTTGAAAGAAAAAGTGAACTCATGGGTTGTGAAGACAAAAATTCTGGTCAAATAATCAAATTAGGACCCCATTTTTTTTTCAGTTAGGCTGTAAATAGACAATAGGTGGTGAGCATGATGGAGGCTCCTATGGCCAACTGCATAATACAGGGACTAAAGCCACAAATGCTGTTTTAAGAATTGGTGCTCAAAGAAACAAAAAATAAATAAAAAGATTAATTAATCCTTAGTTACAATGACTGTATAAGTTATTGCAGAAACCAGGTAACACTGGAACAATAAAGTGCAAACTGACTCTGTCCCTGGAAAAGTGGGATGCAGGGCCTCCCCACTTACAGACAGGTTTCTTTTTCTGACATTAGACTTTCACATGGGTGTCTGATTTCTGGTCATCTGTGAGAAGTCTATGCTTATTAAAATATTCTAAGTGAACTGGAATCTTGCAGAATGAAGTCACTGAAAGTTTTCATTTTCTCTACAACATCTAGTAAAATGTTGGGCCTTTTTCAAATGCTCAATAAACATTTACGTATCATAATTTGGTTAAGGAGATGCCTCAAAATTGGTATTGTTCTTAAACTACAGCATGGGTTCCTAACTTCTACGGCTATAGGGGCAGAGCTGGTGACCAAAATGAATGAAGTGGGCCAGGTGTGGGGAGGGTAAATAAACCGGAAAGCTCAGTGAGAGACCAGGCCAACCGTGCCAGTTCTGACTTTTTCAGAGGCACTAGAAATCCAAATTGTAGAATCACTCCATCTTAAAATCTTGGTAACTAGCTTGTTTATTTTTTTCAACAAAATCAGTGTATGGTCCAGCTCTTGATTCTGATCACATGTTCATAATATGCCTTCTGTGACTGAGGTCATTTTAGCCCTTATGTTCTCCCTGAGAGTTCACAGAATCTCATAATTAAATAATAAGAGGCACTTAAGGAAGTGACTTTTCAAACTGTGAGTGCTTTTCAAATTGTAGATCATGTCCTATTTGTGGGTTGTGAACCTTCTTCCTAATCAGATCAGCCAGGCTTAAAACAAACAAGCAAACAAACAACAGCAAAATAAAATATATTAGAATAAATCTATTAGCCTAGAATAGAAAACATCAGAGAGCATCGTAAGCACATATAAAATAAAGGTAAGCATTGTTTTTTAAACTTCAAGTTTGCAAATACATAGGTGTGTACTTCATTTTGTGTGTTTAGTGGGTCATGATATAAAACGTTTTAAGGAGACTCATGCTCAAATAAATGTGCATGCCCTGATTTTGTCTAATTCCTAAAAGACAAGTAAATGGAAACCTAGAGAAGTGAAATGATTTTCCAAATCTTGTACAGGTAGAAAGTGGGGAACTTGAAACTCAAGTTACAATTCAGGTTTCTCTTGTTAAAACTTTCTTATTAGACAGAGCCATCATTTGGAAAGGAACTATAATCAGAGCAGTTACTTTGTGACCTTTCAAGAAAGGATTTGACAACTCCTGGTAGATTTTAATCTGACCATTTCTCGCTTCTTCTTTAACCCCAAGTTCCTCTTCTAAGACCTCATTATCCGATTGGGAATTTTTACTGAGAAAATAGAAGACCTCAGGAGATTCTCCACATATTTTCCCATTGCAGCTACTTACCTCCACGCATCTGCAGGCTCAAAGCATGTGTTTCTACAGATGTTCTACCCTTGCTCCTGATGCCAACCCTTCTCTGTGTATTCTATCCCACACCCTTTGCTTGTTTAGTACTTCCTCTGCTAAAACTGCCCAGTCTCTCCTGAATCATGATATCTGCCTCTACTGGATCAAACACATCAATACCTAAGAATACTCTCATATTTCCCAATATGCCCCCAAAGCACGATCTATTTATTCTATATCTCCTCCACCATGATTTCATTCCTGCCTCTTTCCAGAAAAACTCTGTGGTAATTTTTCTACACAACTCCCAAATTTTTCCTCTACTTTTCTAAAAATCACAGTTCAATCAGGTTTCCACCTCTGCCTTCCATTTCTCCCCAACAGCCCTTGTTATGTTCACAAAATAACTTTCCCTTGATATGTCTGATGGGCCATCCTCGGTCCTTATCTTACCCCATCAGGCAGCAGCTCTTAACACAGTTGATCACGACCTCTTCCTTGAAACATCTCATGCACCTGGACTCCAGGAGACTACTTTCTCTTTTTTCTTTTCCTACCTCACAAGAGGCTCCTCTTCAGCAGCCTTCCCTGATACCCTCGCATTCTACAGGCAGCTACATGTTGAGTTCCCAAGCTCAGTTCTCACGTGTCTTCTATTTTCAACCCAGACTCACTCCCTTGATAATCTCAACAACATCTCAACAAAAGCATTCTCTTGGCAATAAATGTTATTTCTAGGCTGACAGCTCCCAAATTGATGTCCTCAATTGGACCCCCAGAACCCTTTCACTCAACTGTCTATTCAACATCTCCACTAGGATGATGAACATAACATGTCAATTTTTTTTCTCCAAAACTCAGACCCTGATCTTTCCCCAGTTGCTACCCCCACTGGCCCATCAACATGCTACACATTTCGGCTTTTTCCATATATGCCAGTGGCTTTCTCTCTGTTGTTCAGGCTGATGGCTTTGTGGAATCATCTTTGCTGCTCTTTTACTTTCATGTTTTGCATCCTCTCTCTTGGTAAATACTGTTAATCTTACCTTAAACATGTGTCCAGAATCCAATCGCTTCATTTCAAATTTAAAGTTTGCACTCTGGTCTGAGCTACCATCATATCCCTCCTGGCTTTTTATAGGAGCTGGGTAACTGGTCTCTCTGTTCAGTTTTCCCTCTCATACAATCAATTCTTAACACACCAGCCTATCAGATAATGCCAGCTATGCTCAAATTTCTACCATGACTTTCCCTCTTATCAAACAAAACTCAAGTCCTTACCATAGCTGCTAAGGCCCCATGTGAACTGCACCTTGACTGCCTCTCTGACTCCATCTCCTTTCACATTCCCTTAGCTCAAGCACTCAAACCACATTTTATTCCTTGCTGCTCTTTGAATATTCTAGGCACATTCATACTCAGGGCCTTTGCAACTGCTGGCCTCTCTGTCTAATGGTTCCTCCTGCAGTAAGTCTCTTGAATCACTTTTACTTTCTTCCTATCTCACCAAAATATCACTCTATCAGTGAGTTCTGCCTTGGTCATGAAACCCACATTCCTCCTTTCTCTTGCTTTGTTTCTTCCCAGGCACTTATCATCACTTGATATAGTATATGTTTATTATTTTACTATATATGTAAATATACACACATACATATATGTGTACACATATATACAAATTTACATGTGTGTGTTTGTATGTGTGTATATGTATACATTTTCCCTACTACTGGCATGCAAGCTCCTTGTAAATAGGGATGCCAATTATTTCACTAATCTTTAGTACTGAGATCGGTGCTAAGAAGGAACATGGTACATAGTAGATGTTCAATTAAGAGTTGCTCAATGAAAGAAAGAAGGAATGAATGAATGATTGAGTGCCATTAGGGCATAATAACAATAATAATGATGATGATGCTGATAATAATAATAATAATAATAAAACCATCATAATAAAATCTCAAAGCACTTCTAAAACTAACCAAAACATCTGCGTATGCAATACCTTATTTTTGCCTTACCACCAGTCTTTATGGTTGATATACATTATGTTCCCTGTTTACCGAGGAAGAAAATAAGGCGTAAAATGCCCAAAGTGCCATAGCTAGTAAACAGAAAAATCAAAACTGACTCTCATATTATTTGACTCTAATTCCAGTTCTCATTTCCCCATGAAATATTCCATGAATATATCACTCTGTGTCAGGCACAGAAATGTGCCACTGAGATTCCTCAAGAAATGCCTTGCTGCCCAGCTGTGAGAGTGTGGTTTGCTAATGGCCTCAGCTGTTAGCCCTAGCAGGATTCTCCTCAGCTTTTGAGATAAAGTCAAGCTATTTTGGGGGCCCATAACTGAGCGAGGTAGTGGCACCTACCTTTCCTAACCATCTCTGCCTAACACAAGACGATTCTAAGGGACCGTCCTTACCGCAGAGCTCTCCATTGGCCTGGCAGAGACTCTGTCAGTCCTAAAGCACAGTCTAATGCCCCATTCACCGCAATCCTGCTTCCTCTCTTTTCCTTTCACAAGTTCTTGCCAATAGGCCTTTTGACATTAGTATCTAAATCTCGGCTTTCACCCTCTAGAAAATCCAAACCAGCAATGGACGATACACAAGGCACGCTGGAGATGGCCCTGGATGAAAAGAAAGTAAAAGCGAGGAACCTCACATGATTTGTATCATTATGGATTTCTGAGCCACCCTGCAAGAAAGACATTTTCTCGTCCTTTACCCTTACCTTCTGCGCTCTATCAGAAGACGAAGAAACACGGACAATCAGAACTCTCTCAGTGGAAAAGCCAGTACTGCCGAGGTTTGAGGAAGGGCCAATGTATTCAAAATCTAACTCAGAGAAAATTCACAGGAGTCTTTTTTAATAAATTGAGTGCCTTCCTGCCCTGCATTTCAAAAGCAAATGGCACTGTGTGTTCTGACGTCAATGAAGTGAGAAAATGCCACAACACAACTCATATATCTCTCAGAAATTTGTGCTGACACTACAAATCCCCTTTTTACATATTTAACTGGAAATGATGACAGACATTCAGCTATCTCAACTGCAAAACAGAGAAAATAATAATAATGTCTGCTAAGTTGTGTGAAAATTAAGTTAGATACATTATAAAGAGTAAAATGCTCAATTAATATTATTTGCTATTATTATTTCTAAAATGCTATTATTAATCATTTCTTTAAAAGAAATGCAATAAATATTACCTTTTAAAAGTCATATTTATTTCTAAGCTTTACTTTTAGTTTTAATAAAACAACCATGATGAGCTCTGCAAAAAAATTAGTTAAGTGCCACTTCTTTTATTTTATTCAATGTGACTTTCTCCATCACTATAAGGAATTTCTTAACCCACATTATCTACCTCAATAGAGTGAATAAAACAGTGAATATAAATAAACTGTACAGGAAGAAAAAAAGGAAAAATTTGAGGCTAAATATAAACCCATACAAACCTGAATAGTAGTTGATATTCATCGTGATAAAGGGTGTCAAAGTCAACCATTTAGCAATGCATGATGCTATATTACACTCTTTTACTATAAAGAACACCTTTGGAACAATTGGTGAAACTGGAATTGGGTCTGGGATTTAGACAGTAGTAATCTAGAAATATCCGTTTCTTGATTTTGATGGTTTTATTGGGGTTTTGTAGGAGGGCTATCCATGTTCATAGGAGCTGCACTCTAAAATATGCAGGGGGTGATGGGTATTAGGTAGGCAACTAATTGGGAAATTGTTCAGGAAGAAAAGTTCTTCGGACTGTACTTGCAACATTTCTATGAGGTTGTAATTGTTTCAAAATAATTTTTAAAAGTTAAAATATTCAGCTAGTTGTTGACTTTTATTGGTAGGTATGGCTTTTAAGCTACTGGTTTTAAAATATGCATTCTGATTAGAATCAATTAGCAAAGTGCTTTGTTGTTATTTTTAATTTTTTTTTTTTTGTGGAATCATCTTTGCTGCAGTTTTACTTTCATGTTTTGCATCCTCTCCCTCGGTAAATACTGTAAACCTTACCTTAAACATGTGTCTAGAGTCCAATCACTTCATTTCAAATTTAAAGTTTGCACTGTGGTCTGAGCTGCCATCATCTCTCTCTCGGTTTTGTTTGTTTGTTTGTTTGTTTGTTTGTTTTTGAGACAGAGTCTCGCTCTGTGGCCCAGGCTGGAGTGTAGTCGTACGATCTTGGCTCACTGCAACCTCAGCCTCCCGGGTTCACGCCATTCTCCTGCCTCAGCCTCCCGAGTAGCTGGGACTACAGGCGCCCGCCACCACGCCCGGCTAATTTTTTGTATTTTGTTTAGTAGAAACGGGGTTTCACCGTGTTAGCCAGGATGGTCTCGATCTCCTGACCTCGTGATCCGCCCGCCTCGGCCTCCCAAAGTGCTGGGATTACAGGCGTGAGCCACTGCGCCTGGCCTCTCTCTTGGTTTTTTTGTAGGAACTGCCTAACTGGTCTCTCTGTTCGGTTTTCCCTCTCATACAGTCAAGTCTTAACACACCAGCCTAAGAGATAACGTCCAGCTACGCTCAAATTCCCACCACGGCTTTCCCTCTTACCAATCAAAACCCAAGTCCTTACCATAGCTGCTAAGGCTAGGTGTATATTTTAAAGTTTAAAATATTTTAATGTTTAAAAAGTCAACAACTAGGTGAGTATTTTAACTTTTTAAAATTATTTTGAAACAATTACAACCTTACAGAAATGTTGTAAGTACGGTCCAAAGAACTTTTCTTCCTGAACCATTTAAACACATCAATTAGCTCTGAAGACACAATAGTAAGTTTGAACCCAGTGATTTAGTTGGGAGGCCGAGCAAGCTGTGGTTTGATAGTTTAGCAGCTTCTAATTATACTGCAGACACTTAAACATTAGCTGCAACCTGTAGATCGGAAGGGAAAGTCTTGGAGCAGTTTTCAGGAGAGGCTAGCTTTTTGCACTGGAAGATGCCCTGAGTCACTCTTGGCTGGGAACCAGGTTAATCAGAGTAAACTTCTTTTTTGGAAGATGTACCTAGAAATGTAATTTTACAAAAAAAGATGTACCCTCTGGCCCAGTTCACTTAGTGCAGGCAGTCGGGTGGTGTGTGGGGTTAAATGTTTCTTGTGCTCTTTCACATCTGAGGCAGGAGAAAATTGCCTCTAGGTCTTAGGAAAAGGCACATGCATTTCTGCTTTACACACTCTGAAGGTGGCAGTGGGGAAACAAGAGTTGACAATTGCAGTCACAGCCAGTACTCTGCTTTTCCTGGTGACTCTCTTGTACTCTGGGAACATACGATGTGTCAAGTCTGTCTGGGGATGGAGATTCCCTGTACCCCTAACCAAACCACCACCACTCTCTGTCTTTAAAGGGCTGGGCCTTAGATATGGGTGGAATTGTTAACTTCCTAAGAGAAGGAGCAGGCAGGGCAAAACCATGGAGATCATGTGATGGAAATTTCCCATGAACTCTCAAGAACTGATGGATAATGGATTTGCTTTATCCTGACCCATTCATTCATTAACTATTCATTAAGGCGCTACTGTGCTAGGTCACGAAACACAGATTTTGGAACCTGACAGAGCTCTTTATAGTGCCCTAAATATGAAAGGAGCCACAGTGGGGGCACACAGTGAACTGAGCATCAGTAGAGTTGGATTCAAATCTATTTACTGATTCACTAACTATTCACTGATACACTATGCGACCTCAGAAAGTTTAATTAACTTCTCTGAGTAGTTAGTGTCTTCATTTATGTAATGGGGATAATGATAACTACCTGCTATTTTGAAGATGGAAACAGATATTATAGCTAAACATATTTCTTTGAAATGTAAAAAACCAACTTATGTGTGTAAAATGACCTATATTAGTCAGGCAGAGATAGATAATTTTCAGGACATTATTAAGTCATACTACCTAACCTGCCCTGATGGGGCCAACTTTGAAAACTATAAATTACAAAAATTAACAAAAAAAGCAAGCAAAATAAAAAGGATGTGCTGGTAGTTTTTAAATTACTGGCTCACAAGAAAGAAAAAAAAAACACCCTGGTTTGTAGAGCTTCCTGATTTTAGTGGTGTAACTACTCCCAATATAACCAAATTTATGCTACTAACATGACATCATTGAAATTGGAGTGAGTTAGGCAGGAATGAAATTAGTTGTCAACATTCAATTTTTGGTAGATTTTACACACAAATTGAATTTCTGGTGTACTCAAAGAATTAGAAAATCTGACAACCCTGGGCTCATATTCTACAGAGCGGTACACATGTGGTAATTCTGGTAAATGTATGGAATGGGTAACAATGGTTAAGTGCCTTGCTTTCAGACACTTTTCATGATGCCTTGAAAGATATGGAGGGGAACTGTCTTGAGTCAGCTTCTACTTCTTGACCCTGCAATAAAAAACTCTCCTGAGCCCAAAGGAGCACAAAAGTCTTGGGTATTCCTCTGAAAAGGAAGGGAAAAATAAAAGATCATAAAATAAATAATGATAATGAGAACAAAATATTAAAATAATGATCCTGATACACAGCAAATATTAAAATAGCTTATTTCCAACTTAATGTTGCAATAAGCATTTTAAGTAAATGATCCCACTTCATTCTCTCAATAAAATGAAAGAAGTGCGATTATTATCCCCATTTTCCAGATGCATATAGTAACTGTCATGTGTTGAATTATGTCCCTCCAAAAATATATTTGAAGTTCTAACCACCAATATCTCAGAATACGACCTTTCTTAGGAATACGGTCCTTACAGAGGTAATCAAAATAAAATGAGTTCATTAGGGTGGACTCTAATGAGACTAGTGTTCTCATAATAAGAAGAAATTTCGACACAGAGACAGACAGGCACAGAGGAAAGATGATGTGAAGAAACAATGGAGAAGATGTAGCCATCTAACAGCCGAGGAATCCGAGAGACTATCACAAGCTAAGAGATATGCATGAAACAGATACTTTCCCTAGAGCCTTGGAAAAGAGAAAGACCCTGCTGGCACACTGATTTTGAACTTCTGGCCTCCAGATATTTGTAGACAATACATTTGTTTTTGTTCAAGCCCACCCAGTTTGTAGTGCTTTGTTATGGCAGCCCTAGGGAATACACAAGTCTCAGGGTAAATCAATGTCCCTAATTCACACAGCTACTAAACTCTCAACTTGATTTCAATAACTTGTTTGTTTTTGTTTTTAACAAATACCAATGCCCAGATCTCCTTGCCCTCCTCCTCTCCACACCCCAGAGGCTGATTTAATTGAATGGACACCCACAGGGCATTCTGATGGGCAGCCAGGTTTGAGAACCACTGTATGAAATGGCAGAATGAGGATTCCAGCTCATGTCTGCCTAGTCCCCAGTCCTGTATTGAAATAAAGCACTGAGGTTCAGCATTTCACATGGGACATAATAGTTTTTGTTTTATATTTGTTCTGTATCAATATATAACGTTGTTCATCCTTATTGACTACATAGGAAAAATACCCTCCAAAAGCTGTATTCTTCTTCATAAAGACTGAAAATATATGATAATTTATGATGTATATTACATAAACTCATCCCAACTTTAATGATAAAGTAAGAAGATATTGTGTGAAACAACAGAGCCGATTAGGGTAAATCAGTAAGTCCGAGCCAGGCGTGGTGGCTCACGCCTGTAATCCCAACACTTTGGGAGACCAAAGTGAGCCGATCATTTGAGCCCAGGAGTTGGAGATCAGCCTGGCAACATGGCAAAACCCTGTCTCTACAAAACGCACAAAAAGGAGTAGCTAGGCTTGGTGGGGCATGCCTATAGTCCCAGCTGCTCTGGAGGCTGAGCTGGGAAGATCACCTGTGCCCAGGAGTTTGTGGCTGCAGTGAGTGAGCTGTGATTGTGTCAATGCATTCCAGCCTGGGTGGCAGAGCCAGACTCTGTCTCCAAAAAATAAAAATAAATAAAAATAAAAAAAGGAAGTCTTATTAAGGCCTTACTATAGTTTGGCAACTCAAAGCAAATTCCATAATGGTTACCAACACTGGTTGAAAGTCAATAAAATACTGAGGTGGGAGGATCACTTGAGGCCAGGAGTTTGAAAGTCAATAAAATACTTCAGCAGTCACTGTGCTATAATAGAGTCACATACCTGATATTATTTAATCAACTCTAATCTTCATCATTATTTTGTAAGATATTATTATTATTCCCCCTTATAGGAGAGATACCTGAAGGTGAAAGAGGTTAAGCCTCATCATGGCCAAAGATCACATACATTATAAATGGTAGGACCAAGATTTATACTCCCAGATATCTGCTCCAAAACTCCTGCTCTTACCACCACATCTGGGCTCAATAAATTGAGTTTATTAGCAATTACAGAGACTCTTTTGTTTTACTAGTCATTTATTGCCAAAGTTTTTATATCTGACTTTAAGCCACCATCCTCTTTGACCTATTTTTCATTATGGCAACATTTGGAACTTTCTAATAGATACACTGATTCATCATATACATTAAACATAGGCCTTTCCATCTTTTAAAGTTTATTTGCAAGGTAAGTATAAGAAGACAAGGAAATGATTATACGAATTCATGCCTGAATGAGAGTTAATGGGCAATCTTAGGGAAGTTCACCTTTTGGTAAACACTGTTTCTGCTCTCTAAGAATATGTATTCATTGCAAGAAATATAAACTGCAAAAATATAACAGCTTCTGTTTATTAGCTGGAGACCCCAGAAAATCCTCAGCTTAGAAGATCTCAGAAGTACTAGTCCAACCTTGCATCCTTACATTTTTCTCCTCCTACTTGATTATTCTGTTTTGATCTCCAAAAGAGAACAACCAAATGTGAAGGAGTATTACATTGTCACAACTCTTTCACCTCCTGCCTACACTAATTATGTGGTCTGATAAGGAAGAAGATTAAAACGATGCCACCAAAATACATAAATTCTGGAAGTATAAAAAAAATTCCATGAATCTAGCTCATACTGATGGAGTCACAGTAAATTCTTTGTTAACATCGGAAGGACCTGGGCTGGGAGAGAGCCCCAAGGGCATTTCGTATAGCACTCGTGATATGTGCATTCCTTCTGAAACATTCCTGCAAAGTAATTATCCACTCCAGATCTGAAAATCTTTCAGATCACCTTGGCACAAAGGATAGGGTGTTGGTGACAGGGATGACCAAAACACCGTTTCTTTTTGGTGTGGATATTTCTCAACTTGAGTGTGCCTTGTTTGTGGAACTGCTGAGAGGTTGCTGAACTTCCTACTCCTGCCTATCTGTAATCAGCAGACCCCTCAATAGCACCACTCAGATGGATGCGAGCAGAACCTTGCTCATTTACTCCCCAGAGAGCATTGAAAAGTCATTTACTCATCTGTAGGCGGAAATTGAGTTGGAGACAATTAAGAACAACCTAAGATTTTAATTTTAAAATAAATGTTACATTGTCTACCTGACCTATCAGGTGCAGGCAGGAAGTGCCTGCCAATAAGATGAAAGGAGAGGCCAGGTATGGTGGCTCACACCTGTAATCCCAACACTTTGGGAGGCTGTGGCAGGAAGATCTCTTGAGTCCAGAAATGCAAGACCAGCCTGGGCAACATAGTGAGACCCCCATCTCTACAAAAATAAAAACATAAAAAAATTAGCCGGGCATGGTGGCACATGCCTATAGTTCCACAAGTCCCAGCTACTGGGGAGGCTAAGACGGGAGGATTGCTTGAGCCTGGGAGGTTGAGGCTGCAGTGAGCCACGATCACATCACTGCACTCCAGCCTGGGTGACAGAGCAAAACTCTGTCTCCAAAAAATAAAAATAAAAAATAAAAAGATAAGAGGAAAAATGAAAGGAGAGAAGGTAACATTGTTAAGCAAATGTCATCTGACACAGAAGACTGGATTGTTCTTGAACAACTTTTCTCTGTCCTCTCTGTGCTTCAGCTGCATTAGTTTTCCATCAGTTCCTCTTCAGGGGGAAGTGGCAGGCTCTCTCCCACCTAGGGTCTTTTTGCTCATCATTTATTTCTGAGTACCAGAGAAGCAGCATGATGTCACCCAGCTCTTGACCTTTACTTGCTGCTTCCCTGGTACCCACATTTCCCACAATGGTTAATTGGTCAGAAGCATGGATCTGGGCCAGAGTGGTGGCAAAGAAAGCAGAAAATGAAGGCCAGATAAAATAGACATTTGGAAGAAAGCACCCAGTCAATTATCAAACATAAATTCAAGGGACAGAAAAAAAGAGACAAGTGAAAGTGACACTGAGATATTGAACACAGAAGACAGGGAGAACGCTAACGGCATTGCTGTCAGATACCAAGAAATCTGGAGGGGCAGCTGGTACAAAAGAACAATCATGAGTTTGGTTTTCTGCTGATGTGACAGCAGAAATAAAAAATTGCAAATATGTCAAAATGGATGGTCATCTGAGAGAAACTATCTTTGAGGAGAGGAAACTGATAGAAATTAACCTTTTAGGATTATTTACATACATGGAGACTATAATTGCAGATGGGAGACTTGTTGATTTCTGGGGGAAGTGTAAAGAATTGAAGGCTGAATCTTAAACCACGTTTATATTATGAAGGCATGTGGAAGAAGTAGAGTGAGCAAAGAAGGGACTGGATATGTCTGAGAAGTAGGACAAGTCACCATGGGGGGCAAGAAGTTTGAAGAGGAGGGATGTTACGGACTTACTGTTTAAGTCCTTACACAATGCGTAATCCTCATGAATGGGATTAGTGCCCTCATAAAAGGGACCCCAGAGAGCTCCCTAACTAACTCTCTTTCCACCAAGTGAGGATACAATGATAAGTTCACAGTTTGCAACTCAGAAAAGGGCCCTCACCAGAACCCCAACCAGATTGGCAGTCTAATCTGGGACTTCTAGACTACAGAACTGTGAGAAAATTTCTGTTGTTTATAAGCCACCCAGTCCATAGTACTTTGTCATAGCAGCCCCGCTGACTGAGACAGGAGAGATATTTAACAGCGTCAAAAGCTATCAAGAGGCCTTTAAATTTGTTGATTAAGGGGCTATTGCTGATCTTCAAAATAACAATTTCAATTAAGCATTGAGTAAGGAAATAGGGGTGGTGGATGGTGGTGAATCAGTGGTGAGAATATGGAGGCAGCAAATGTAGATGGTCTTGTATGGAAATTAAGTTGGTGAAATGAAGGCAGTAGCTTGAAGGCATTAAAGTGTCAAAAACAAGCTTTTATCAAGTAGAGAAAACTCCAACAGAACTTCAGCATGGCAAATCTGATGTGCAGAGTGGAGACGAAAAAAATAAGCATATATTTCTCACTCATACTGAGAGTATCCTTAATATTTGTGTATAAATCTCTGAAGCTAGGATGCCATTCATGTAAGTCACACCACTATTTTACATAAGAAAGGAATAAAATGTTACCAATTAAACTATGACCCACATTCATTGTAAACTGTACCATGATTTTAAAAATGCTAAACATATACACACATTTTGGAATGAATGATATGTATTGGGATAAAATTTCCTTTATTTAGTTAGAGGCAAGCTCTGGCTCTGTCACCCAGGCTGGAGGGCTCACTGTAACCTGAAACTCCTGGGCTCAAGCAATTCTCCTGTTTCAGCCCCCAAAGTTGCTGGGACTACAGATTGCACCGCCATGCCCAGGTTATTAGTGCATTCTCTTCTTCAGTTAGTGTTGGTTTACATCATGAGCAGAGATATATTTTTTATGCAGTAATCTATACATCTTTGTGCATGATAGAGCTCCATAAACATCCAGATGCTGACAGTAGTATTACTCGGATGTTGTTCTTAATTATATAGTAGATATTTGGGGTTGCTGAGCTAAAGAATGCAAAATGTCAGCCCATAAAAGTTCTTCAGAACCTAAAACTTCTGAGTTTTCCACATGGTTCTATTTTGGCAAATAATTTACTTCTCTCCTGGCAAAATTGCAGAGCTTTGTGTTTATGCTGAAGCAGCAGTTATACCCACTTTGCAGAACACTGGCCACCTGGAAAACATCTCCAAAGAAAATAAGGGTTACCATAGACCACCAAGGCTCTTTTTTAATCTTATTTATAAAAGCTGCAATTACACACTGCAGAGAAATGAACTATACATGGGCCCTTTGGCAGTTTTCCAGAAATGAAGGCAGTTTCCCCTTGCATTTAACCTTGAAGTATACTTCCTCACAATCACTTCATGATTGATGATAGCCAGAGACAAGTAAACAGCTTAAAACTTGAAATGTAACATGATTACAGCATTTGTTCCTTTTCTTTTTTAAGAAAAAATTATCTCCACTTTTCTCCTATTGGGCTATTAGTCTTCTTGATGAAACCTGGAACTGTCCCCCTCCTTCACTGCTTTGGTGGTAAAATTCACACTGCAATGTAGCATTGTAGTTAAGAGCAAGACTTTTAGTCAGTTCTGGGTTTGAATCCCACTCTTGGCACTACTAGTTGTGTGACCTTAACAAACTACTTACACTAACTGAACCTTGTCATGTTTAACCACTTCTCACCTGCATTATTTGTGTCACTGATAGGAATAAGTATATGTCATCATTATTCATTATTTTCATATCATTATTGTCCTCATTGACTGTTGAAGAAAATCTCATTATATTCATGTTCCTCAGGTTTTATCTTTGTAGTGCTAGTGAGTTTTCCTTTCTCATTTTGTATGTGGGCCACCTTTTTTTCTCCTTTTGACTGATTCTAACATACTGTTTCCTGCTTAGCTTTCTTCACTTTGCTATATTTCTAGTGTCAGTAGATATAATTCATAGCTCTAGTGTCAGTAGATATAATTTCCTCAGATATCACTAACCATGATTAATTTTGTCATGCATTTATTCGACAAAAAATTATTCAGCTGTATACCAGGATTGTGCAAGGCTATGCAAGTGCGGGGACAAAAATGATAGTCTTCACGTTTCCTAAATTTAGGTGGGAGTAGACAAACAAGTACAATACAGCAAAGTAAATGCTAAGGGAGATCTAGCTCATATGGTATCAAAAGTATGCATAAGGTAATGAATGAGGACGTACCATAAAATTTAGCAAGATGGAAGATGTGGAGATGAAACCTCAGTTGCAGTGAATTAAGGAAAAACTGGAAGTTGAAGTAGTTTGGACTATTTCTTTCAAGGAGTTTTTCTAAAAAGGAAGAAAAGAGATATGGAACCCTGGCTGTAGGAAGTTTGTAGTTAGTTTATTTTATTTTTTTTTAGATGGGATGGTGTAGTGTAGTATGTTTATACCTCAGGAGGGATAATCTAGTACAGATCCATATGCTGAGCATACAGAAAACTGAAGAAATAACTGCATGAGGACAGGGCTCCAGTGGGACAGAAGGGAGGGTCTACAGGACATGAGTGGATGGTTTTGCCCTAGTTAAGAACAAGGAGGTATTATCCATGGGAAAATGCAGCTGGGCCAGTAGATTTGGTTGTAGGAAGGTAAGGCGTTTTCTTTTGATTGTGTCTATGCTATTTTTAAATGAAATAAGTAGAATCAATGGAAGTAAAAAGAAGACAGATAGGATGAATGGTTAAGTGGAGAGGAGAAAGTGCGATTGATGGAGGGTGTGGAGTAGAATTTCTGGTTGGTGTAAAGGTCCATGGAGACACTCAGGAATGACCAGTCAGTACTGCTTGTGCATTTTTCTCAAGCCATATTCTACCTCCTCAATTCAGCAGTCTAATAGGTGGAGAGTTATGAGAGGGTTTGCCAGGAAAGTCAACAAATGGAGAAGAGGCAAAGGAGTTGAAGGTATGAGCAAGGGAATGATTATGACAAGAAGAGTAGCAGTTAAACTGCGTAAGGTGGAATTGACAGGGTTTTCAGAGATCTGAAAGGGGCCTGCAAATTGTCAGACTGGTATCTTTAGCGTGATATTATGAAGAGAAGGAGGTGGCTGTGAGAACACAAGATGCTAGTGATTGAGATTTCGCAAATTTCACTCTTACTGATAATAAGTTATAGGATATTTCCAAAGGAATGAGTGGCTGAAATCAGGTGGAAGAGAAGATCTCATATGTACACAGGTCAAGGAAGTGAGAGAGACTGGGATTTTGGGCAAACGATCAGTGTAAATTTTGAAATCACCAGAAATAAGGACAAAAATAGTGAGAGAAAAACAGAAGGCTGCAAGCAAAAATATTCAGAAAATAAGGAGAAATGAGTAAAATTTAGCAGACAACTATGACAACCAGGATAGTACATTTTGTTGGCCTGTGTTTTTAATACAGTGAGTTTTTTGAATCAGAAATGTCTGAGAAACAGCAATAAGAGAGAAAGAGAATGACATCCAACCCCCAGGCCCCACCATAGGTAGAAGGAGCAGAAAAAGGCATTCTCCTCTTAGGGGAAAATAAGGGAACCTGGGTCATCAAGGGAAGTCAATTTTCTATTCAAGTCAGAAGAGGAAGAAAACAATAAGAGAAAATATTGGAGATTGGGAATTTTGCTAATGACAGACTGCATGTTCCAGGGAATACATTGAAAATGTTTTGGAGAGTGAGGAATTGGAAAGAAATGGAAGATTATGTTAGTTAAGGGATATAACGGGTTATAGGGATAAATTCTGGGTATTTAAAATCCTGGGATGCTTGGATTTTTTGGTGGTTACAGAGTAAAATGGGAATAAAGGCATGATGGGATTAATCTGGTAGTATTTTGGTGGGAGATAAATTAGTGTCAGAAGCATAGGAAGTGTGGAGAGATGTTGATTTGGATTGGGTTGGGGGTTGGTGATCATTGGTTATATACATTGATTAGTGGGCTTCAAAGGTGCTAAAGTGATGTCATAGCTGGAAAAGAGAGCTGGAAAATCTTTATCAGGACCACAAAGAATTCTTTGCAAATTTCTTAAATCCAAAACAGTGAAATACAAAGAAGAAGGCACACTGGAAAGAGGTCGGGAAGAGCAGGGGAATGGATTGGGGGTGGCTCAGCTTGAGTCATTGCCTGGGATACACACTGGGGCTGGAAGCTTCCCTTAAAAGAAAGGTCTGGTTAGTTGATGTTTGCCTGATTTAACACTAGAATTAGTCTTTAAGCAAAGTATGTTTAGGATTATAGTTGTTATTGGTTTGGAGGACCTATTGATATAAGCAGAAACTTCCTAAATCTAATCTTCTATTAGTCTGACCTCCTCCAGTTTTTAGATGTTCAGCCTCTTTTCTGGTGCTACAGAAAGAAACACCTTCAGATAAGAGTCCAAGAGACAGAGAGAAACCATACCTCTCCATGAGTTTCCATTTGTTACTCACAAGTGTGAAAAAAACTAACCTCCCAGTAGAGACACCACATTTTAAAATCACCATACGGACAATGAGCATTAATAGAGTCTGCATGATTATGGGCTGATGATCCATAATACATATTGTCATAAAGATAAATGGATTCTAAATGAATCTGGTGATCGATCACATGTCTGGGACTTCCTATTTTAAAAAACTGTGGACTCATTTGAGGGATATATGTGCTTTGTAACTAAACATGGTAACTGCAACCCTTAATGAGGTCAGATGGGGTAATATATTGTCTAGTATTAGCATTAAACTCTTGCCACTTTTCAGGAAGCCCAGTTTCCTAGAGTCTTTTCATAGCCTCACAGAGCATCACAAAGGGTAATGTAATTATTAGAAAGCATTTATAGAAAAACTTCATTTATTTTCCATGATTAGGGAATGGATGTTTCTACTTTAACTGCTATTTTACATACCTTAACCATCTTCCTGAAGAATTCCAAATTTGAAGGAAAAAAAATCTAGTTTTGATGGAATTCTTTTAAAATTTATTATTATTTTTACATAGGTAAAAATAACATAATTTAATCTTTTCTTGATTACTTAGAGTAGGCAGGCTAGAGTCATGGCCATGAGCCATACAACCAAAGCAAAGGTACTTAACTTCTCTAAGCTTTCCTTTCTTCCTCTGTAAAATGTATCAATACCTACTTCATAGGGTCATTATGTGAATGAAATGAGATCATGTGTAGAGAGAGCTTAGCCTTAATTCTGCCACATATTACACAATCAAGCATAGCTATCACTTTCAGATTAGCATTTTAATTTTCACCATCAAAAATTTCCTCCACTTTAATCAAATGACGCCTACAGGGCCATATGCCCCTGGACATCATGGCCTTAAAGTACCATTTTGATTATGGGTTTTGAGTTATAATTTTATGTTTTTCAATCTTTTCACTTTTTTTGCTGTGGTATATGCTTTCACTTATCTGCATTAATTCTTCTCTTCAACCACTGGATTTTCTGCTTCTAATATGCTCTAGTATGAGAAACTTGGTACCTGGATTTATTTGAACTGTATAAAGTAGGTATCAAATAGATTTTTGAATGAGAGCTAGAAGGACTCTCTTATAATCCAAAGTCATGGATTTTAGGGTATGAAATTGGTAACATCCATATTAGTTCTTAGGAAAGTTTTTTTGTATTTAGTTTAACTCAGCTTCAACTCTCAGATACATGTCAGACATCGGTTATGTAAGGTCTAGACCACCGTCACTGCCATTTATTCAATGACCAAATGTCTTAGAAAATGAAATTATGTCCCAGAAATTCCACTCCTAGATATTTACCCAGGGAAAATGAAAGAATAACATCCACACAAATACTTGTAGACAAATATTTGCAACAGCTTTATTTACAAAAGACAAGCCTGAAAATTTCTCAAATGTCCATCAGCAGGTGAACAGATAAATAAATTGTAGTACACCCTCACAGAAGATTACTATTCAGCAACAAAAAAGTAAATAATTTATCAATTAGTCAACCAATAAGAAGAGTAAACTATTGATAACACAAAATAGCACAGATGTATCTCAAACCATTATGCTGAGTAAAATAAACCAGACTCTTCCAAAAAAAAAAAAGCCTGATACCATTTTTATAAAATTCTAGGAAATGTAAACTAATATATAGAGAGTAACAAAGATTGCATAGGGG
Source organism: Homo sapiens (assembly GCF_000001405.40). Classification (NCBI taxonomy): domain Eukaryota; kingdom Metazoa; phylum Chordata; class Mammalia; order Primates; family Hominidae; genus Homo; species Homo sapiens. Next base: position 6,958,166 of record NC_000003.12, on the reverse strand, counting down.
CACAAGAAAACTTTGGGGGTGGTAAATTTGATGTTTTGATTACGATGATGGCTAGTGGGTATATATATATACACACACACACACACACATATATACACATAATGAAATAGTGTGTGTACATGTATGCCGTGTATTACATGTAAATTTTACCTCAACAGAGTTATTTAAAACATCCTTCTGTGTTCCCCTGATCACCTGCTTCCAAAATAGGTGAGCTCCTGTTTGCCATTCTACGTTATATTATAACAGTCTGTACTTTATCTTTGTAAAATGCATCCAAGTGTCTTTTAGAGTTAGTGGAATACCTGTTTATATAATGTCTTTCCTCTGGATTGTCAACTCCAAGTCGACCAGAAATATATCCCTCTTTTTCACTGTGTTTTCTCACCACTTATTACATTGAATGAATGGATGAAACATTGAAGGTGTTACTTGTGCTGGTAAATATCTTGGACAATAGAGCAGTAGGGGATGGGCTGATGGTGGATATGAGGAAAGGTGTCCCCTTGCTATGTTACAATGTGCAAATGAGAGGAGGGTAAATCGGGGTGGGAATGAAATTGGTCTGCAGCAATGCTTTAACTTGGGACATATGCAGAAACCAGTAAAACAAACCTACACGAAGGTGAAATACAGTTTAAAATATTTTATGCAAGATGTGCTGCCTATGGGACACTACAAAACAAGGCTTACATTTTTGTGTCAGTGTTGAGAGTGCAAATGCAGAGGGAGCGTTTTGCAGATGTCAAATGCAGCCCTCAGGGAACACTCGTTCTGGAATGAAGCAATGCCACACATCACACCGGGGCTTCGGCTGCCATTGAGCTATGCTCTGAGATCCCTGCCCTCAGCAAGCTGACAAGTGAGACACCTTAATCAAGAATGGAAAGCTCTGAGTCCTGGGAGAAATTCCTTCAACAGAGAGATTAATTTTAACTAAATGGAAACACCTTGTGAAATAAAAGCAAGAGTGAATCTTTATGGAAAATTTTAGGATTGCACTTAGTGGCAGTCCCAAAACGACACCAGGGTCCAAAGGCAATCTTAAAAAGACACTCATAGGGTCACTGAAGGCACTGAAAGGGTCTATAATATAAAATTAAATTCTAGTGGGAAAATTATAACGCTATATCTATACATATAAATAGAAGGTTAAATAGTCATCTAGCTATTTTTAGATATTCAGCATGATGTAAACTCGATGTTCTTCTCAGCAGCATTTTTGTAAAGTATCATTGCATGTTATTTTAATTGAGTTTATATTTGTTTAGCCTATGTGTTCATTACCATGGGGTTGTAAATTGTAATTTAAAATACAATCAATGACTGCCTTTAAAGATTAGCCTCTCCCTTCAAATTGTATTTCCCGGCCCCTGTGCTACTTGAACAAGACATAGTAACACTCTAAAGATATATAAGAGACATTCTACAACGGAACACTCAATTGTGAGATATAAACCTTTTTTCAGGCGTTTGGAGTTGCGAGAGATTCATGTGAGCAGTACTGAGCAGGTAAACATGCACAGAAAAGATGAGCTTGAACTTACTTTTGAAGGACGTTTAGGATTGGGAAACTGAGACAGGATAGAAGGGCATCTCCCTAGGAGAACAGAAGAGAGAGTGTGGAAAATATGCCACAGAAATCTCTCTGGTTTTCTTCTCATACAATAATAAGAGAAAAGAAAAAAATGAATGAAAAACATGGTGCCGGCGTTTGCCCAAAGTCTTAGAGAGAAAGGTCTGAGAGGAGCAGGGCTTCTCTGTAATGATTAATCCTCTAATGTGAATTAGAAACCACATCAGAGCAGAGGGAGGGTGAACAGGCAGCACACTGTCATCTCTCCCCACTAACACCCATAGTAGAATATTATTTGTAGATCAGAACCCCTTTCGACTGTTGACTTCAGACTTGACCTCAGAATCTTTCCGACTACAATGCAATGCATGAGAGTTGGCCCATACGGCAAAACTCATGCGTGATCCCTGCCTTAGAGAGTTATTTTCCCGCCTGAATTGCAATAAGCTAGTTGTATGTGTTGCTGAATTTATGGGTATACTTTGCTAAACCTTTGTATTGAGATTCTCTAGCAAGGCACTCAATAACCCAATGGAATTTGTCTTTACTAATAACTTTAAAATTAACTTGGGGTAGAGCTTACAGGAGCACAGATATTAATATTTCTCTCCTTTGTGATTAAAGCAATTTATGCCATATACAATGTGTTTCAGAAATGTCACTGCACAAATCCAGCAGTGGTCTTTCTTCATAATTTCAACGGTCACATTCTTTCAGGAAAAGAATGTCATTCTATTTTTTTTTTTTTTGAGATAGAGTCTCACTGTGTCGTCCAATCTGGAGTGCAGTGGCATGATCTCGACTCATTGCAATCTCTGCCTTAAGGGTTCATGTGATTCTCGTGCCTCAGCCTCCCAAGTGGCTGGGATTACAGCCATGTGCCATGACACCCAAAAAATTTTGTATTTTTAGTAGAGAAGGGGTGTCACCATGTTGGCCACGCTGGTCTCAAACTCCTGACCTCACAATCTGCCCATCTCAGCCTCCTAAAGTTCTAGGATTACAGGCGTGAGTCACTGTGCCCAGCCCTGTCATTCTATTCTTCTTTTTTTTTTTGATGGAGCCTGGCTCTGTCACCCAGGCTGGAGTGCAGTGGTGTGATCTCGGCTCACTGCAACCTCTAACTTCCAGGTTCAAGAGATTCTCCTGCCTCAGTCTCCTGAGTAGCTGGGATTACAGGCTCCCACCACCATGCCCAGCTAATTTTTGTATTTTTAGTAGAGACGGGGCTTCACCGTGTTGGACCAGGCTGGTCTGGAGCTCCTGGTCTCAGGTGATCTGCCCGCATCGGCCTCCCAAAGTGCTGGGATTACAGGCGTAAGCCACCAGCCCCGGCCGTCATTCTATTCTTAAATAATGATGCTGTATGCAGTATTATTCTTTATAATTGTTTACAATCTTGTTTTGTTTTGTCTTGTTTTGATACTAACTACAGAAGGCCAAATAAAAGACATAATTTATGTGAAAGAAAGGTCAACTTGCCTAGGGTGACAGATACTATAAATGAAGTAAAGAATTTTTACACGCAATTAAGATTTTATGGGTTTGAGGCAAGGTTTTATTTACTTTCACATACTTTATAATACAATCACTCCTTCAACCCCTGGAGGGGAATATTATTAACCCCACTTTATTGGTGAGAATACTGAGCCTCAGCAGTTAAAAGCAACAAAACCTAGACATAAATTTGAGTCATCTCCCTCCAATCTCAATATTCTACCTACTACATTTTACTGCCTCTTCTTTATAATCATATTAATTATAATAACATTTATTAGGCACTTACTATACACCATCTTCTCTGCTAAGTACTTTACATATATTATCTCTCTCCATTGATAATGTTTCTATGAAGGAATGTCACTGACTAAATTTCACAGATTTGCAAAGAGGTTGCTAGAGCTCACACAGATAGTAAGTAATAGACCTGGACCTTGAATTCTGAATTGGAGCTCACAGGGCTAGTAAGTAATCAATAGTAAGTAATTCAAGCTGGGCCTTGATTTCAGAATTCAGAACCAAAGTTGTTTATTGGTATTCTTTGCTGCCTCTTTCTGGGTGGTGAAAACTTATAAGGGGATTCAGTTACAGGTGTTCAGACCTTATTTTAGGGATATGTCAGAAGGTGAGGGGGAAAACCCATTTTCTTGAAGAATCAGACAGCTAGCACATAATGAAAGCTTATTATGCTTTCATTGCAGCATAAGTTCTACTGGTTAATAGAAGAGTAGGGTGACTATAGTTAAAAACAACATAAGTTAATTGCAGAAAAAGTTTGAATGTTTGATAGAAGAGTAGGGTGACTATAGTTAACAACAAGGTATTATATCTTTCAAAATAGCTAGAAGAAAGGACTTGACATGTACACAACACACTGGTAGGATAAATACTTCAGTGATGTATACCCTGAATATCCTGACTTGATCATTACACGTTCTATGCATAGAACAAATATGCATATATTATGTTTGTAAGTATTTGTGGGGTACATTCTATGCATATTTGTTTTATATATACATAATATACCAATTTTTTTTGTTGAAGAAAACAATACGAGCTTAACTTTTTCAATATATTATCGCCATCCACAAGGAGGGCACTTAAATATTTCCTTAAAATCCTACCATTAACTAATAATTACAAGAGCTTTGATTATGAATTGCTTTCTATATGTGCCTGGGACCATGTTTAGCACCTCACATGAATTATCTCATTTAATTCTCATAACTTCCCTATCTGGCTTATGATTTTTTTATGTCACTGGAGGGAGCAGTCTACTAATCCCAAAGAAGTCCAACAGGTACTAGCCTACCTGGCTGAAAGGGAGCCAAGCAGGTCTACTTCACAAATGCTTTGAAGCTAATCATGGCTTCCTTTTGTATGGACTCCACAGTCCCTGAGATTATTCAGCAATCACCTGGTGAGATGTGATGTGTGATTTTGATACAAATGTGGGGATTGTGCTATGAAAAGAAACCTAGTGTGCTTTTTTAGTTATACAAAAGAAGAAGGCTCCCTTAAGAGCGTGAGTGGATGAAAGAGACATTGAGGCTACTGCACAGCATCAGAGTTGGAGGCATGGGGGGAAAAATGAAGCATATATTTTAGAAGGGGTTAAAAGACCAAAGAGTTCTTTATGTTTGTCAAGAGATGGTGAGCAATTCAGCAGAGAGCTTGCTTGCCTTTTTGGGGTACAGCTGTTGCTATATGTTGGCTTGTCAGGGCAACAGTTGCCAGAACCTCCTGCATCTAGATCTTGCCAAGGCATGTGAGTTGAAGTAATGAGTATCATATCTGGGTTTAGGTGATGGAGAACAATGTGGCTTCTGCACCCTCTTCTCTGTCTTCTAACTGTATTCAAAACAAAAACAAAACAAAAAATTCTGAGGCACTGGGAAATGACAGAGACAGGGGATGAAAGAATCTGGGTCCCCAAGTTATTTCATCAAAAAAAGTCTGCAGCACATTGGAAACATCATGTTCTACTCCAATGTGAACAAGAAATGAAACTTTTCTTCACGTTCAGTCACTAAAATATAGAGAACTGTTGTTACACCAGCTCATATTGCCCTCACTAATATAATGTAGGAATGTGAATCTTCTTTATTTCATTAAGAACAGTTGTTGTATTGTGCAGTCAACTATCCATTGTCGTTGGAATTTTGCTTCATGACTACATTAGAAAAATCCACAGGGAAACCTAAAGTTTCATTTTAACCACGAGGATGTTGGTAACAAACTAATATAGGAAAGAAAGTCATATGGTACTATTAATTCAATTTTGCATCCTTTTGTATTCCCTATTCTAGCTAAATTAGAGTAATAGGGGCTGGATTTACCTTCTTACCTGAAACGCTCAAAAACAAAACAAAACAAAAAGCAAAACAATAAGCAAACAAATACATGAAACAAATTTTTAAGAAATTAGATCATTAAGGATCAGTTTTCCCCTGAGAGATGGGAAACAAACAAAATGAGTCCTATGACTGCCCCAGCTTATCGCATTCATAGAGATTTTAGGCCAAAATGCAGGAGGGGAAATAAGACAGAGCCCAAAAGACTTCTTCAGTTGAAGAGTCACAGAGGCAACTGGAGAGATTACTGCAGCCAGAATTAATAGGACAGAATACCAGAAATAATAGAGCTGCACACAAAGAGACCTCCAGAGATCCACAAAGGGTTTCTCCCTCAAGCATTTAGCAGAGTGCTGTTTGGTGCATGCATGCAAAGAAATCAGAAAAAACAAGGTTTAGAGGTAATAGGCGCACACAGGCCCTGAAATCATGCCTGTTTCCACTACCCAGACAGGAAAACCTCATAATTCATGGGATAGTGGGTTGAGGACTTGGAAGGGTCTGGCCTAGGTTGTAGGGAATAACCTTAGACTAAATATGATTCTGTTCCTTCCTAACGACCCTTGGAAGGAACACCAGAATGAATGAAACTGTTTCCCAAGTAATATCACTGCATCCTCAAATAAAGCTCAAGAATATTTGAAATCTGAAACAAATAGAAAACAAATAGCAAGATGATAGATGTAAACCTTACAATATCAATAATCACCAGTTAAAAAAAAAGGTAAGTGGTTACATTAAATCAGGCAAAGTGGATTTCAGAAAACAAAATACTACCAGGGATAAAGAAAATCATTTCATAATGATAAAGGGGACAATTTATCAAGAGGACATAATAGTTCTCAATCTCTAGGCAAAAAACAGAGCTACAAAATATATGAAGCACAATAATTAAGAGAATAAGTAGATAGAAAAGTGAGTAAGGGTACACTGGACTTTTACCCCACTATCAACTAACTTGACCTAATTGACATTTATAGAACCTTCCACTGAACAATAATGGAACACACATATATTTTTTTCTGAAAGGGGACTTGGAACATTTACCAAGATAGGGCATGTTCTGGACCATAAAACAAGCCTCAGTAAACCTTAAAAGATGCAAGTTCTGCTAATTAGAAATCAATAACAGAAAGATCTCTAGAAATATCCCAAATACTTGTAAACTAAATAATGTACTGCAAAATAACCTAGGAATCAAAGAAGAAATCACAAGGGAAATTAAAACTGTTTTAAACTAAATGTTAATGAAAACACAACACGTCAGTATTTGTAGAATACCACTAAAGTAGTACTTAAGGGGAAATTTATAGCATTAAATGCCTATATTAGAAAAAAGAAGAAAGACCTCAAATCAATTACCCCAGATTTCACACTAAAAGATCAGAATAAAAAGAGAAAACTATACCCAAAGTAAGCTGAAGAAAAAAATAATAAAAATCAGCCTGAAATGATAGTATAAAAATTTTAAAAAGGAGGAAAATAATTCAGGCACAAAGCTGATTCTTTGAAAAATTAATAACATTCGTAAACTTCTAGTCAGACTGGGGGTGGAGCCAAGATGGCCGAATAGGAACAGCTCCAGTCTACAGCTTCCAGTGTGAGCGACGCAGAAGATGGGTGATTTCTGCATTTACAACTGAGGTACTGGGTTCATCTCACTGGGGAGTGCCGGACAGTGGGTGCAGCGCACTGTGCGTGAGCCGAAGCAGGGAGAGGCATCACCTCACCCGGGAAGCGCAAGGGGTCAGGGAATTCCCTTTCCTAGTCAAAGAAAGGGGTGACAGACTGCACCTGGAAAATCGGGTCACTCTCACCCTAATACTGCACTTTTCCAGAGGGCTTATCAAACGGCACACTGGGAGATTATATCCCACACCTGGCTCAGAGGGTCCTACGCCCATGGAGCCTCGCTCACTGCTAGCACAGCAGTCTGAGATCAAACTGCAAGGCAGCAGCAAGGCTGGGGGAGGGGCGCCTGCCATTGCTCAGGCTTGAGTAGGTAAACAAAGCGGCCCTGAAGCTTGAACTGGGTGGAGCCCACCACAGCTCAAGGAGGCCTGCCTGCCTCTGTAGGCTCCACCTCTGGGGGCAGGGCACAGACAAACAAAAGACAGCAATAACCTCTGCAGACTTAAATGTCCCTGTCTGACAGTTTTGAAGAGAGCAGTGGTTCTCCCAGCATGCAGCTGGAGATCTGAGAACGGGCAGACTGGCTCCTCAAGCGGGTCCCTGACCCCCCAGCAGCCTAACTGGGAGGCACCCCCCAGTAGGGGCGTACTGACACCTCACACGGCCGGGTACTCCTCTGAGACAAAATTTCCGGAGGAACGATCAGGTAGCAGCATTTGCAGTTCACCAATATCCACTGTTCTGCAGCCACTGCTGCTGATACCCAGGCAAACAGGGTCTGGAGTGGACCTCCAGTAAACTCCAACAGACCTGCAGCTGAGGGTCCTGACTATTAGAAGGAAAACTAACAAACAGAAAGGACATCTACACCAAAAGCCCATCTGTACATCACCATCATCAAAGACCAAAGGTAGATAAAAACCACAAAGATGGGGAAAAAACAGAGCAGAAAAACTGGAAACTCTAAAAATCAGAGTGCCTCTCCTCCTCCAAAGGAATGCAGCTCCTCACCAGCAAAGGAAATAGCTAGATGGAGAATGACTTTGATGAGTTGAGAGAGGAAGGCTTCAGAAGATCAAACTACTCCGAGCTAAAGAAGGAAGTTCGAACCAACGGCAAAGAAATTAAAAACTTTGAAAAAAAATTAGACGAATGGATAACTAGAATAACCAATGCAGAGAAGTCGTTAAAGGAACTGATGGAGCTGAAAAGCACGGCACAAGAACTACATGACAAATGCACAATCCTCAGTAACTGATGTGATCAACGGGAAGAAAGGGTATCAGAGATGGAAGATCAAATGAATACAATGAAGTGTGAAAAGAAGTTTAGAGAAAAAAGAATAAAACGAAACAAACAAAGCCTCCAAGAAATATGGGACTATGTGAAAAGACCAAATCTACGTCTGATTGGTGTACCTGAAAGTGACAGGGAGAATGGAACCAAGTTGGAAAACACTCTGCAGGATATTATCCAGGAGAACTTCCCCAATCTAGCAAGTCAGGCCAACATTCAGATTCAGGAAATACAGAGAATGCCACAAAGATACTCCTCGAGAAGAGCAACTCCAAGACACATAATTGTCAGATTCACCAAAGTTGAAATGAAGGAAAAAATGTTAAGGGCAACCAGAGAGAAAGGTCGGGTTACCCACAAAGAGAAGCCCATCAGACTAACAGCAGATCTCTCAGCAGAAACTCTACAAGCCAGAAGAGAGTGGGGGCCAATATTCAATATTCCTAAAGAAAAGAATTTTCAACCCAGAATTTCATATTCAGCCAAACTAAGCTTCATAAATGAAGGAAAAATAAAATACTTTACAGACAAGCAAATGCTGAGAGATTTTGTCACCACCAGGCCTGCTCTAAAAGAGCTCCTGAAGGAAGCATTAAACATGGAAAGGAACAACCGGTACCAGCCACTGCAAAAACATGCCAAATTGTAAAGACCATCGAGGCTAGGAATAAACTGCATCAACTAATGAGCAAAATAACCAGCTAACATCATAATGATAGGATAAAATTCACACATAACAATACTAACCTTAAATGTAAATGGGCTAAATGCTCCAATTAAAAGACACAGACTGGCAAATTGGATAAAGAGTCAAGACCCATCAGTGTGCTGTATTCAGGAAACCCATCTCACATGCAGAGACACACATAAGCTCAAAACAAAAGGATGGAGGAAGATCTACCAAGCAAATGGAAAACACAAAAAGGCAGGGGTTGCAATCTTAGTCTTGGATAAAACAGACTTTAAACCAACAAAGATCAAAACACACAAAGAAGGCCATTACATAATGGTAAAGGGATCAATTCAACAAGAAGAACTAACTATCCTAAATATATATGCACCCAATACAGGAGCACCCAGATTCATAAAGCAAGTCCTTAGTGACCTACAAAGAGACTTAGACACCCACACAATAATAATGGGAGACTTTAACACTGCACTGTCAATATTAGACAGGTCAACAAGACAGAAAGTTAACAAGGATATACAGGAATTGAACTCAGCTCTGCACCAAGCGGACCTAATAGACATCTACAGAACTCTCCACCCCAAATCAACAGAATATACATTCTTCTCAGAACCACACCACACCTATTCCAAAATTGACCTCATAGGTGGAAGTAAAGCACTCCTCAGCAAATGTAAAAGAACAGAAATTATAACAAACTGTCTCTCAGACCACAGTGCAATCAAACTAGAACTCAGGATTAAGAAACTCACTCAAAACCGCTCAGCTACATGGGAACTGAACAACCAGCTCCTGAATGACTACTGGGTACATAACAAAATGAAGGCAGAAATAAAGATGTTCTTTGAAACCAATGAGAACAAAGACACAACATACCAGAATCTCTGGGACACATTCAAAGCAGTGTGTAGAGGGAAATTTACAGCACTAAATGCCCACAAGAGAAAGCAGAAAGATCTAAAATTGACACCCTAACATCACAATTAAAAGAACTAGAGAAGCAACAGCAAACACATTCAAAGGCTACAAGAAGGCAAGAAATAACTAAAATCAGAGCAGAACTGAAGGAAATAGAGACACAATAAACCCTTCAAAAAAATCAATGAATCCAGGAGCTGGTTTTTTGAAAAGATCAACAAAATTGATAGACTGCTAGCAAGACTAATAAAGAAGAAAAGAGAGAAGAATCAAATCGATGCAATAAAAAATGATAAAGGGGATATCACCACCAATCTCACAGAAATACAGACTACCATCAGAGAACACTATAAACACCTCTACACAAATAAACTAGAAAATCTAGAAGAAATGCATAAATTCCTCGACACATACACTCTCCCAAGACTAAACCAGGAAGAAGTTGAATCTCTGAATAGACCAATAACAGGCTCTGAAATTGAGGCAATAATTAATAGCTTACCAACCAAAAAAAGTCCAGGACCAGATGGATTCACAGTCGAATTCTACCAGAGGTACAAGGAGGAGCTGGTACCATTCCTTCTGAAACCATTCCAATCAATAGAAAAAGAGGGAATCCTCCCTAACTCATTTTATGAGGCCAGCATCATCCTAATGCCAAAGCCTGGCAGAGACATAACAAAAAAGAGAGAATTTTAGACCAATATCCTTGACGAACATTGATGCAAAAATCCTCAATAAAATACTGGCAAACCGAATCCAGCAGCACATCAAAAAGCTTATCCACCATGATCAAGTGGGCCTCATCCCTGGGATGCAAGGCTGGTTCAACGTATGAAAATCAATAAACGTAATCCAGCATATAAACAGAACCAAAGACAAAAACCACATTATTATCTCAATAAACGCAGAAAAGGCGTTTGACAAAATTCAACAACCCTTCATGCTAAAAACTCTCAATAAATTAGGTATTGATGGGACATAGCTCAAAATAATAAGAGCTATCTACGACAAACCCACAGCCAATATCATACTGAATGGACAAAAACTGGAAGCATTCCTTTTGAAAACTGGCACAAGACAGGGATGCCCTCTCTCACCACTCGTATTCAACATAGTGTTGGAAGTTCTGGCCAGGGCAATCAGGCAGGATAAGGAAATAAAGGGCATTCAATTAGGAAAAGAAGAAGTCAAATTCTCCCTGTTTGCAGATGACATGATTGTATATCTAGAAAACCCCATCCTCTCAGCCCAAAATCTCCTTAAGCTGATAAGCAACTTCAGCAAAGTCTCAGGATACAAAATCAATGTGCAAAAATCACAAGCTTTCTTATACAGCAATAACAGACAAACAGAGAGCCAAATCATGAGTGAACTCCCATTCACAATTGCTTCAAAGAGAATAAAATACATAGGATTCCAACTTACAAGGGATGTGAAGGACCTAGAACTACAAACCACTGCTCAATGAAATAAAAGAGGATATAAACAAATGGAAGAACATTCCATGCTCATGGGTAGGAAGAATCAATATCATGAAAATGGCCATACTGCCCAAGGTAATTTATAGATTCAATGCCATCCCCATCAAGCTACCAATGAATTTCTTCACAGAATTGGAAAAAACTACTTTAAAGTTCATATGGAACCAAAAAAGAGCCTGCATTGCCATGTCAATCCTAAGCCAAAAGAACAAAGCTGGAAGCATCACGCTACCTGACTTCAAACTATACTACAGGGCTACAGTAACCAAAACAGCATGGTACTGGTACCAAAACAGAGATATAGACCAATGGAACATAACAGAGCCCTCAGAAATAATGCCAAATATCTACAACTATCTGATCTTTGACAAACCTGACAAAAACAAGAAATGGGGAAAGGATTCCCTGTTTAATAAATGGTGCTGGGAAAACTGGCTAGCCATATGTAGAAAGCTGAAACTGGATCCCTTCCTTACACCTTATACAAAAATTAATTCAAGATGGATTAAAGACTTAAATGTTAGACCTAAAACCATAAAAACCCTAGAAGGAAAGCTAGGCAATATGATTCAGGACATAGGCATGGGCAAGTACTTCATGTCTAAAACACCAAAAGCAATGGCAACAAAAGACAAAATTGACAAATGGGATCTAATTAAACTAAAGAGCTTCTGCACAGCAAAAGAAATCACTGTCATAGTGAACAGGCAACCTACAAAACGGGAGAAAATTTTCGCAACCTACTCATCTGACAAAGGGCTAATATCCAGAATCTACAATGAACTCAAACAAATTTACAAGAAAAAAACAACCCCACCAAAAAGTGGGTGAAGGATATGAACAGACACTTCTCAAAAGAAGACATTTATGCAGCCAAAAAACACATGAAAAAATGCTCACCATCACTGGCCATCAGAGAAATGCAAATCAAAACCACAATGAGGTACCATCTCACACCGGTTAGAATGGCGATCATTAAAAAGTCAGGAAACAACAGGTGCTGGAGAGGATGTGGAGAAATAGGAACACTTTTACACTGTTGGTGGGACTGTAAACTAGTTCAACCATTGTGGAAGTCGGTGTGGCGATTCCTCAGGGATCTAGAACTAGAAATACCATTTGACCCAGCCATCCCATTACTGGGTATATACCCAAAGGATTATAAATCATGCTGCTATAAAGACACATGCACATGTATGTTTATTGCGGCACTATTCACAAGAGCAAAGACTTGGAACCAACTGAAATGTCCAACAATGATAGACTGGATTAAGAAAATGTGGCACATATACACCATGGAATACTATGCAGCCATAAAAAATGATGAGTTCGTGTCCTTTGTAGGGGCATGAATGAAGCTGGAAACCATCATTCTCAGCAAACTATCACAAGGACAAAAAACCAAACATTGCATGTTCTCACTCATAGATGGGAATTGAACAATGAGAACACATGGACACAGGAAGGGGAACATCACACACTGGGGACTGTTGTGGGGTGGGGGGAGGCGGGAGGGACAGCATTAGGAGATATAACTAATGCTAAATGACGAGTTAATGGGTGCATCACACCAACATGGCACATGTATACATATGTAACAAACCTGCACATTGTGCACATGTACCCTAAAACTTAAAGTATAATTTAAAAAAATAAAAAAAAAATTCTAGTCAGACTGATCAAGAAAAACAAGGAAGAGAAAGTCACAAATTACCAGTATCAGAAATGAGAGAGGCAACATAACTATAGATTCTACAGATATTAAAAGGATAATAAAGAAATTTATGAACACTTTGTGCCATGAAATTGATATTTTAGATCAAAGACATGTTAAAAGGGCTCACTTAATAAATAGAGAACCTGAGTAGGCTGAAAATGAACTTGTGATGCAAAACCTTCTCACAATAAAAACTCCAGGTCCAGATATATTTACTAGTAAATTCTACCAAATAAGTAAGACAGAAATAATATCAATTCAACATGAAGTTCGAAAACGTGAGGAGGGCAAATCCTTCCCAGCTCATTCCACATGGCTAAATTTATCCAGATAGCAAAAGTACGGGGAAAAATGCATTATAAGAAAAGAAAACTACAGAACAATACCTCTCAGGAATACATATGCAAAGACTCAACAAAATTTAAGGAAATCAAATCCAACAACATATAAAAATGATCATTTGTCATGACCAAGTAGGTTCATCCTAAAAATGTAAGGCTGGCTCAGCATTTGGAAAGCAATCAAGATAATTTAACATATTGACAAACTTTAAAAAGAAAAGCCATATAAGTAATCTCCATAGATGCAGAAAAATCAGTTAAAACCAACATCCATTCCTGATAAAAAACTATGAGAAAACCAGGAGAAAAGGGGAACTTCCTCAACCTCATAAAGGGTATCTATGAAAAAATCTACGGTTAACAACATACTTAGTAATGAAAGATTGAAAGTCTTTTCTCTAAGATGAGGAACAATACAAGAATATCTTTTCTTGCCACTTCTATTCAATCTTGTACTAGAGATTCTAGCCCATGCAATGAGACTAAAAGAAAAAAGAAAACCATGCAAATGAAAAACAGAGATTAATTTGTCTTTATTTGAAGACGGTATGGTCACATATATAGAAAATCAGGTGGAATTCACAAAAAAAGTTTATAAAACTAAAAAATGAGTTTATGAGAATTGCAAAATAAAAGGTCAGTATACAAAACCAAATGTACAATATTTCTATATGCTAGAAATAAAGAATTGAAAATAGTTTTCAAAAATATCATTTCCTATAGCATCAGAAATTTAAAATATTTAGATATAAAAAGCAACAAAAGATGTACAACACCCGTACACTTAATGAACAAACATTGCTGAGGAAATTAAAAATTACCTAAATAAACTGAGTTACCTTTTTCATTAATCAGTAAGCTCAGAATTGTTTAGAAGACAATTTTGCTCAAATTGATGAATACATTCAATGAAACCCCAAACATAACCCAACAGGTGATTTTGTTAAAATTGACAAGCTAAGTCTAAAACGAATGTGGACATGCAAATATTTAGAATAGGCAACATAACCTTAAAGAACAAAGCTAAATGATCCATATTACTCAACTTCAATATGTGTTATAAGGCTACACTAATTGACAAAGTAGGATATCGGCATAAAGATAAACAGATATACAAATGAAGCAGAATAGAATCTATAAATTGACCTATACATACACTGGCAACAGATTTTATTTTTTTGGCATCAGATTTGTAACAAAGGCAATTCAATGGAGATGTTGGTGCTGAAATAATTGGATTTTCATATGCAAATAATCAACTTTAATTCATAACACACATTGTATAGAAAAATTAATGAAAAATAGACTATAGACCTAAATGTATAAAACTATAAAACATCTAAATCAAAACATAGAAGAAAATATTGGGCAAAGATTTGTTAGACAACACACAAAAATTTTTTCTTTTATGGTCCATAAAAGAAAAAATATATATAAATTAGACTTTATCACAACTGAAAACTTCAGTTTTTTGAAAGACTCTGGTAAGAAAACAAAAAGATATGCTGCCAGCTGAAAAACAACTTCAATGTATGTGTCTGATAAAGAACTTGTCTCTAGAATATATGAAGTATTTTAAAAACTTGACAATAAGGAACCAACTTACCAAAAAGTGGACAAAGATTTGAACAGACACTTTATCAAAAGCATAAAGATGGCAAAATAATCCAATGATATAATAAAAATCATTCATCACCAGAAAATTCAAATCAAAATCACAATGAGATATCACTCCATGCATACTCGAATGGCTAAACTTTAAACAGATTGCCGACACAGTTTGTTGGAGATAAAGAATAACTGGACATCTCATACAATGCTTATGGAAATGTAAACTGGTACAACCGCTTTGGAAAACAGTTTGGCAATTTCTTAAAAAGTTAAGCATATTCTTACCATATGATCCATCCAGGTATTTACTGAAGAGAAATAAAAGCAGGCACCCACACAAAAGCTTGTACACAAATATTCATAGTAGCTTTAATTTTTTAATAGCTAAATTAACTGGCAATAACCTAAATTCCCATCAACAAGTATATGGAACAAACTGTGGTGTGAACTATACAATGGAATAGAATTTAGCACTTAAAAGGAATACACTATTAATATAGACAATAACATGGACAAATCTCAAAATTATTATGCTGAGTAATGGAAGCCAATAGTGACTATGTGAGCTCTTTTCAATAACATTTCAGAAGATGTAAATAAATCTGACGGAAGCTTAATTAACAAAAAGAAGACACAGGAGGAAGTTTTGTGAACATCAGATATTGTGGTGATGGGTTTTACAGATTTACACATAAGTCAAAACTTATATTGTGCATTTTAATTACATGCAGTTTATTTCATGTGAATTATACCTCAAAAAGCTGTTAAAAATAAGCCCTTTAGATATATTATATCTTTTAATCCTCACAATTTACTGGTAGTAATTATGGCAGTATTGCCACTTTACAAAAACAAAATCCATACTTACAGAGAAGGGGAAGGTAGGGAGGGATAATAAAAAAAAAAGAGCTGAAAATACATTCAATAAGGTATAGTGACTTCTATCCAAAGCATTTGATAATACAACATGCTTAAAATAAAAGTGATTAACACTTGGATTTACCCTTCAATATTACAACCTTTATTGGAAAGTTTTGCATGTTGAACAACTAAATAGTCAAATATATAACAAGACTGAATGAAATTGTTGTTCCTGATATTCTATTCTGTTCATACGACTAAAACGGTACTTGTCAAATTTTACAATAGTTATGTGATAACCTACAGGATTCCACACAAGACTGACAGGGCCTCCAAAGTAAAGGTAATGACTTGTTCACCTATCTAGCCCAGCACCTAGATCAATACCACACCAACAAATGCCTCATGAATATATGAATTGATACTTAAATGAATGAAAATAAGAATGCAAGTACAAATGAATGAATGAATGAAGAGACTGAAATATACAAAGAATAAAACTATTATTTCTACATCAAGACCACTCGAAACCAAATAATTTCCATTTGACTTTAGAATGCCTTTTTGACCTGTATTTAAATGTGGCTTTGTCTAAATCAGTTGAAAATCCTTCAAATAGTGGAATTAAGTCACACGATTAGAGGTTAGATCTAGCAGATAAAGCTCATCTATTTTGTTCTTCATCCTCAATTTCTCT
Organism: Homo sapiens; assembly: GCF_000001405.40. NCBI lineage: Eukaryota > Metazoa > Chordata > Mammalia > Primates > Hominidae > Homo > Homo sapiens. The sequence continues at coordinate 6,941,491 of NC_000003.12, read as the reverse complement.
TCATAAACCTTTCTGACTAAGGCAAAGCACCAACCTAACTTGACTTTTTCATCCAAAGTTTGTTACCTTCCTGCTGATTGTTTTGAATAAAAGACAAAGAATAAGTATCTATTCAATATAAAAAGTCAATGTTTTCAGCTCCCAAAGACTTCAGGTTCAGTGTAGATAAAGAAAGGGTAAAAAATAGAGACGTTTGCCATTTTGGTATTACTTTAAAAGTTCTTCAAGACAGTTCTAAGTCGTATACCTAAAGCAGAGGGTTCTAGCCAGTCTGCTGAGGTACACAGTTTGGAAACTAATGTGTGTAAGTGGCACATAAGATAATGACTCCCTTGGCCTTTCGGGTTCCCAGGCGGGGAGGCTAGTTTACCTGGAATGCTGGAGCTATTGACGTCCAGCCATGAGTAGCAACTCCAGAGTCTTCTGGAAAGGTGACTCAAGAGAGGCAGGGACTGATGGAGGCTTAAGTGGCCACAGGCGGCAAACACAATGAGCAACATCTCCACCCATGGGTTTACCATAATTTGCTCAACGTTCAACCCATGTGGACATCGATTTCTGCAGCAGCCAGCTGCAGTGTGTGCCAGTGCTCACTATGAAGAAGTGACTGCAGGAATTTCTAGGAAAACTCATATTGCAGGGTAGAGTAGGTGAGGAAGAACTTAGGTGGTTATTCCATATCTCTATCTTCACATGAAGATGATATGACTGTTAAATAGATGTCCAAGCTACATAGAAAATGGGGGTTCAAATATAGCCTTGTTCCTTCTACAAAATAGAGCACCATCATTACTATGACATACTTGTAAAAACAAACTTGGATTGAATTTAATTTGATACACATTATCAGAAGTTATTTCAATTGCCTATGTGTGTGAAAGAAAGAAGAAACTGTAGGTTCTTTTAAAAAATGAACTTGTAAATTTCTCAATGGTTGTAAAAATGATAAAAAGTTTCTTATTGAATATGACTATCAAAAATTGGAAAATAGCACTATTGAAGCATATTGACCAGAATTATAGGTGTGAGTTAAAGCATAAGATCTGATAGAAAAACTTATGTTTGTTGAGTAAGAACAAATTTCTCACTTAAATTAAAAACGGGCCGGGCGCAGTGGTTCACTCCTGTAATCCCAGCACTTTCGGAGGCCGAGATGGGCAGATAATGAGGTCAAGAGATCGAGACCATCCTGGCCAACATGGTGAAACCCCATCTCTACTAAAAATATAAAAATTAGCTGGGCATGGTGGTGCGCACCTGTAGTCCCAGCTACTTGGGAGGTTGAGGCAGGAGTATCGCTTGAACCCGGGAGGCGGAGTCTGCAGTGAGCCACGATTGTGCCACTGCATTCCAGCCTGGTGGCAGAGGGAGACTCCATCTCAAAGTAAATAAATAAATACATAATAAAATTAAAAACGTTTCAAAAGTGCTATGTAAATTAAATATTTCATATATTTCCAAATACCCTATATTGTATTCTTATTATAGTTGTTTAATTTTAAAAGGTATAATAAGATTTTCACCAAACTTCATTTAAACCCCCTCTGGTTCACCCCAGTGTGGCATATGAATATTATCATTTTGTAAATCATGAAATGAAAACAGTAAGCAGTAGTAGCCTAGAATATGGGTAACATGTTAACACTCACAGCCAGAAACTTTGCTCTAGATTTGAAGGGGATAGAAACCAGAAAACATCCTTAGCCTGCTGATTAGGTAAATATTCAATTTAAGATTATATCTTTCCTAGACCACACAAACAAAAAATAAATACCAGGATAATGATGGGATTTGAGGTCTGTAATTTCATCTGGCAATGGAGGCTTTAGGGCAGCAATCCCTGGTGTTTTATGCATTAATTGCCTACTGTGGAGCTTTTTGACACAGAGTTGAAATTAATTTCATACATCTCACTATCTAAAACTTACATTTTTCATGACACATACAGAATCTAAAGATTTATAAATGTGAAATATATATGCTTTCTATTTAAATGTGGCATTCAACTATTCCTCTGTGCCCAAAATAACAATGTGAATAACTGTTTTTTTTTTTTAATCCAGATTTACTTAAAATCTTTGATTATCTTTTCCCTCACCCACATGTTTGGAGGTGGTAGGAGGTGTTATCCTATGAAGTCAAGACAAAGTATTCTGTATGTGAAGAATCAGATTTATTGATTGATAATGATGTGAATCACTACCACATGACTCACAAAACTGGGAGGGAGTACAACTGGATATTTCTTATTACAACTAAAGCCTAAAGCCTTAACAGATTTGTTTTTTTGGTTCTATATGTATAGATCAAGTAACTTTTCTTAACTGAGCTGGAGTTTTCTCATATCTAAAAAAAGGTTGCATTAAATATTTATTGAGTTCTGTTGAACATCTTGTGATTTTGCTATCCTGTATAACTTGTGCAGAAAAAATCAAAATGAAACATATAAAACTCTAGCAGTTGGTATTCTGCTTATACATTTAAGCAAGAGATCGAGAGGGGTTAGTTTATGCACTGAATTAATTTGATTTTCTGCCACAATGCCTACTAAGAAATAAACAGCAAGTGCCTTAACAGGCATTTTATAATAAGAAGGAATATCAATGGATTTCCCAAGTTTTGGGGTTCAGATGTGAGCTTGACCTTCCCTTGTTGATAAGACACAACTTCATGATTTTCTACCTGTCTACCTCCATTACAACCAGTCTCCTTCATTTTTTTGTCAGGCTTTTTAAGCTCTGAACAAAACCTTCATGGTCCAGAATTTCCCAGAAGTGGCTCACCTTTAAAAAGCAAAATTCCAATTAAGAAATGTGAGAATGGGCCCTGCTAACACGTCCCTCTCCTCACCTCCCTCCTTTCTTCACTGCCTTAAGATTGAAGTGATTTTGTCAATGGTGTCAATGCCTGTCTCTCTTAAGCTGTCTTATTATTTTTAAATCCCCTCTAAGCCTACCGCAGTGATCCAGACTTTTGCACGTTAATGGTGCTCAAGATATATTTGTCAAGCCAGCACATCTTTCTCAATTTTACCGGACTGTAGCTCCTCAACTGAAGACTCTAGGATCAGTGGGAGACAGAGCAGTGGAGTTACAGCTGGACTGGAAGACACTATGCAAAAACTACAGACTTTGACTTTGTGTAATACTTCTGGAAAGCCACATGGTAGAATATGATACAAGTGAATTTTATTTGTCAAATGTGTTTATGATGGGAAAGAAGTTGATAATAACAATGCCAGACCATATAGCACTATAATACATTTGAGAAATCCAAGCAATTTCAGTTCAAAATGGTGAATGAAGGGGAACAATCTAATCATTTGACTTGATAATAATCCATAATCCATTGTTTCTTAGAGACTCTATTGGAATGAAGGCCTAAAGGAGTTGAATGAAGGTGCTCAGGCTGTTGTCATTGGAGTCAGACAACCTAACTTGTGCACTGGCTGAACAGATGGGTAATTGTGTCATCATAGCCAATTTCTTAACTTTTCCCCACTCAGCATCTTTATCTGTAAAATGAGGATGTCATCAGTATTTACTTATTAAGAGACTTGTGAGGATTAACTAAATAAATCATAGACAAGAGGCATGTAGTCTACATAGTAAGTGCTCAATAAGTGGCAGTGTGTTATTGATGATAATGATCATGACCACAACAACAAGCTTGCCACGTGCCTGTTTTTATGATTACATTGTGATAACAGATAATAGAAATTACACCTCCTTGTTCTGAGATTAGCACAGCATTTCTTGCAAATCTTCCAGTGGCTGACTAAAGACTGGTGTTTCTACAAGCTCATTCAGAAAACCCCTGTAAGCAAATCACAGACATAAATGTTGAATTAAGATGACCACTTTCAGGAAGAGTGTCTGAGGCTGTTTGGTTCCTTCCCTGTGGGAGAGAATTTTCAATGGTTACCAATCAGGATCATTCCTTCATTTGTTCAAATTAACCTGAAACATCCTTAAATGTTTAACTCAATATTAAAGATTATTTATACTAGATGCATTCATGTCAAGAAAACAACAACTGGGCCAGTGGATGAGGCCTTCCAGATGAAGCTATGGGGATCTTTTCTCTAAGCACAGGAAATCAGCCAAACTCAATTTGTTTAAGATGCTGAGGTTAACAATTTGTTTTCTTTCTCAAAGCACTTGCTTCTAAGAATAACCAAGATACACGAAATCATTTCATCCTTTCCCATTTTCCATTCTTCTGATGAGGTGGAATTCCCAATTGTAAAACACAAGGAAAACATTTAATCAAAGCAGCAGCAAGAAGTGATTTATGATAATTGATATTTAATGGCTCATTCTCAAATCTTGTTTCAGTTCTTGTGTTACAGGAGAGACTTTTCGAATTCCTGCTATGAAAGTTTGGCAGGAGAGAATAAATACCGTGACTTTCTTTCTTCTTATACTTCTATCTGATGTTACATTATACCCCTAAATAATATGTTCAAAATTCCCCTGGAATTACATAAAGCACTTTACAAAGTGTGTTCATCATTTGCCATTGACTAAAATGTCCAAATGACTAAGAGTTAATTGCAAGGAAATCATTATGGATGTCAACAAAGATTTAGGTCCAAGGGTGAACACCTGAGCATTGTTCACAATTTGAAAGCAGTATATATGTCTAATAATAAAAATAAAACATTTTATATGTCTAATAATAAGGGATGGAACAAATGATGAAGTATCTACTACTATCATGGATTACTAGGCTGCCATTAAAATAATAATGTAGAAACTCATAGAATGTCGTGGAAAGGGGACTTGTGATTCTTTTAAACATTAAAATAACACACACAAAGATTAGAAGACTAATCAATTATCATCCTGGGTCCAATCAGGAGAGAAAAATCACATAACAACTCCAGCATAAACAATTTAATAAAAAAGAATTTTTAAGTACATCCAGGAATTAGAGTAATGAGAGAATGAATGGTGATAAGTAAAGAGAACTCAAAAAAATAGAAGAGTAGCAGATATGAGGAATAACAAGTTACCCTCAGGCTAAGAAGAAATCCAGGCCTAGTTGGAGAGAGCATGACTGTGGCTCATTGGATAACACAGAAGTTTCTGTGGTGCCACACCGGTACAACTGGGATCCAGAAATAGGCTCTTTGGAACTTATTGGAAAACCACCCTCTAGGCTTCCAGGAAAAGCTGTTTATGGGGAGGTGTCTTACCAAAGACACTCTATTACAGAACCTCTTGATGGGACCTGTGAGAAGCTGCTGGCTGCCCTCTACTGCTGAAGCCAGCTATGGGAGTTGTGTGCACTGCAAGAGCAGAACACCGAGGGAGAGACCTCAGAGCTGAGACAGCTGGGTGCTGGAGGAACCTTGAATGCTGGAGAAATCACAGGTGTTGCAGAGCTGGGTGCTGGGAAAGTCACCGAGCTTTGTGAGCTGGACACTGGAGAGGCCTCTGGGAGACTTCCAAGCAAGCACATTAGAAACAGAAAGCAAAGGCTGGGAGTGGTGGCTCACACCTGGAATCCCAGCAATCAGGGAGTCCGAGGTGGGTAGATCACCTGAGGTCAGGAATTCGAGACCAGCCTGGTCAACATGGCTGGCCAACATGGTGAAACCCTGTCTCTACTAAAAATACAAAAATTAGCCGTGCGTGTTGGCACACACCTGTAATCCAAGCTACTTGGGAGGCTGAGGCAGGAGAATTGCTTGAACCCAGGAGGCGGAGGTTGCAGTGAGCCAAGATCTCACCATTGCACTCCAGCCTGGATGACAGAGCGAGACTCTGTCTCAATAATAATAATAATAATAATAATAATAATAATAATTTAAAAATAAGAAACAGAAATCAAAGCCTTTCCTTCTGCAATGTCTCTCCAGTGCCATCTGTTGGTAAACCATAATATCATGCCAGCTGGCAAAGGAAATACTATGTAAAAGGCTCAGATCTGTTTTCACAGAGCAGGTAAAAAGGGTGAATTTAGACCTTGAGGGGCAATAAACCAGAAACTGTCACAAAGAATATATATTAAAATACTATCAATGTTTCTCTTAGGGTGGGAGATTTCAGGTTAATTTTTCATTATTCTTTGAGCTTTGCCATATTTCTATGATGTAAATGTTAATACATAGACTTCCTTTTCAAAAAAAAAAAGCCTAGCAGCTTTACAATAAACTGAATTTTCATTCAGTGAATGTTGTTTTACATTTAATTAGTCATAAAGTGAACATAAGTACAATGTGGATAGTACACATTTAAGGCATAATCAATAACTCTTACTGATTTTGTGGAATCAAGTAGAAGGAATCATTTAATTGTTCCTAACAATTTCTCTTTCATTCTACTACATGAAATGCTCCCTCTAACTAAGGACATAACATGAATCATGTTCTAGTTTTCCAAATCAACTGTGTTTTCATGTTTGTTCTAGGGTTAGTGCCGAGGGCAAGGGATGCAAGATGAAATAAGTTTTGGTAATGATCAATGAACCAAAAGGGAACAAATTTAAATGTTACTGAGTTTCTCAGAACTTCTAAAATGTTAGTGTTCACTGAGAACCTTGAAGAGGGATGATTAGCCCATTATTGTTTTCGCAACATAATTCTGTTTGGGGGAAGACTGTCATCTTCCAATATTCTTTTTTTTCTCAGGGCATAATGTAAACATCATGTGAGGCAAAAATCTAGGAGTCCTTCTCAAAATTCCCCTACCAATCCAAACTTCATCTAGTTCTATTGATATTTTCATCCTAAATATGTTTCTGAACTGAAAAGTATCTCACCTTGCCCTGCCACCGTCCTCATTTAAACTAGATCATGTCTCACCTGCACCACAACAACCGAGTCATCTCCACCCCTGCTCTTCTCTCCTCTATATCTGTTCTCCACTAGCATGGTCTGTCAAATCTCTTCCAAAAATATATGCAGTTATACCCTCCTATAGATACATACAAATACTCATATACACTCATTCTAATGTCTTCATGGTAACTTTGAGCACCATAATCTTTAAGATAAACTAACTCCGAATTGTAATGATATACTCTCTAGTTGGTTTTGTTTTCTAATATTATTCTTTCCTAATGTAATGAAGAGATGGGGCAGGGTGGGGGGCAGTTTTCATGGTACCTTACTATTGTATCTGTGCCCAGTACAGCCCTGGTACAGAAACGATATTAAAAATTGTGAAATGGTGAATGAAAAAAATAAATAGAAAATACCACTGTGTGTCTCCTAGTAAACAGATTTTCTTATGGCTCATCCATTCATTCAAGGGAGATTTTCTGAGTACCTAAATACCACACTGAAAGTTTCAAGGCCTTCAATCCCTAGTGAATGGATGAATAATAGATTATAATTAATCTAGACATAGTGGTCAATTCTACCCTGGTTTTATTGAATGGACCATGGTGTATACTGGCAGATGTGAAAAATGAACCTCCCCATACTCATGAGTGAGTTTGTCAGTCACACATTGGAACTGTCTTAGCTCGGAAAGCTCCTTACTTTCCCTCACTTAGCCCAACCTTGTCCTCATTTAACTTTCCACCCTGATCCTGTTGGTTCCTTCTCTAGAGAATCACTTAGTTGAACAAAAGTTTATAAGTCAATATTTCCTACCATTTGTATTGGCTAACTAAAAAAGAAAGAAAGTTACTATTCTGGTTTATTCTTTCCTGAATAGTAGGATCAAGCCCTGATTACCACTCTGGCACAGTTTTGTACCTGACTCAGAATAACTGGCAATGTTTTGTTTTGTTTTTTTTTTTAATTTTCTTTTCTCGCCAGATTTGGTAAAATGTGGCCTGATTACAAAACAAGTATTAGGCACATAACTGATCTTTATTCTTTCAAGGAGAGGACTTAAAAGTTCTGATTTGATCTTGCAAGTCATGGCTTGCAGTTATCCTTGCTTCTATTTTAGTTTTATCTTAAACAAGTTGCAAGTTGCATTTTATATCAATGTCCTCCCGTATTTCAAATACAATAGGAGTTGACTTTGCATAAATTTTTCCACTTTAAAATTCATTAGATGTCTTTCATCTTAAAGTAAGCAGCATCTATTGGATTTAAATACTGTTTCTGCTTCTATGTATACATGATGTGTAGGTTTATACAGAACTACAATCAGTTTAGAGTCCAATTAAGCCTGGATATGATCCTGTTTTACCAACCTAACAAGGAAACTCTCCTTTGAACATGATTGAGTCAAGGAGAATGAACATGTTTTGGGGAAATCATAGGGGCCAACAAAAAGCACTACTTCTCTCTCAAGTGCTATAATATAATTGTAAAAGCTTTTGGCTTATAATAACTATTGTCTTTCAGCCTTCCTTCCTGTATTTTATTAAACTCCACCTTATTTTAAATGTGATTTAAGGAAATGTTTTGCTTTATTCTTTCTTCATTCATCCCTCCCTCTCTTCCTTTCTAACTTATAAAAACATTAAAGGCTAGGCACGGTGGCTCATGCCTGCAATCCCAGCACTTTGGGAGGCCAAGGCAGGTGGATCACCTGAGGTCAGGAGTCTGAGACCAGCTTGGCCAACATGGTGAAACTCCGACTCTATTAGAAATACAAAAATTAGCCGGGCATGGTGGTAGGTGCCTGTGATCCCAGCTACTCAGGAGGCTGAGGCAGGAGAATCAAATGAACCCAGGAGTCGAAGATTGCAGTGAGCCGAGATCGCGCCATTGCACTCCAGCCTGGCTGACAGGGCGAGACTCTGTCTCAAAAAAAAAAAAAAAAAAAAAGAGAGAAAGAAGAAAACATTAAAAAAATAAACAAAACAAAAAATTCCAGCCAATTTCTAAAAAACTTCAACTGGAAAGTTATATGTGACCTCCCGATATGATGAACATAATATCTAATAATTTATCATTGAAGCTGTAAGAAAGTTAGCAGCGTACATAAAACCACCTTTTATTTTAAATATCCCTTGCTAGACTAGTAATGATGTTTCCTTTATTATCCCCAAATTATGTTTTTAAATCTAAAAGACAAGTCCAGTTTCATTTATCTAAATTATTTCACTATAACTACATGTCCCCAAACTATAAGAAATGCTTGGGCCATTTTTTGCTTAAAATTTCAGCAGACTCATGCTCACATAACCCCCACTGACCTTTGCAAATGGACAAAAAGCTTCCATCTGGGCTACTCGATCAGAATAAATGGGGATATATCAAGTACAAAGCAGGATAAAGGGTTAAGACTAAGAATATCCTTAAAGGAAAAGCCTAATTGTGGGCCCTCGGTAGGCAAAGTATCCTTTATATTTCTTTTAAAATGCATTTAGGATGCTACTATAGGTACATGTTAAAATATCTAGTCATTCGATTCACAAATAAAACTTCAATGGTAGAACATAACATTCAAATAGAGAGCAGTTGTTGCAGTGTTTAACTTTTCTTACACAGAAATTTTATTGAGGTTTATTTTTAAGTCTTACTCTTCAAAACCCAACCTTACCATTACATCTGTGATGCTATCTCTACACCTGTCACCCTACCCACGCAGCAATATTCCCTTATGCCTGTATTGCTTTTGTCTCATTGCATCATAATAATTTACTTAATCGACTTTCTTCTTCACTAGAATATGAGATGTAGGAAGTCAGGAACCTTATTTGATTAAGTTGGAATCCCCAAACTTGAATGCATTCCAGCGTTTCAAATGCCTACTGCCTTCCAGGCATCTGTGCTGAGTATGAGGGAATAGCCAAAAAGAGAGACACGGTTCTTGAGCTCACTGAGTTTAGCATTTGGTGCAGGGGGTAATAAATACACAAATAAACATATCAAGGAATAATTACAAATTTATATAATTTCTATGGCACAAAAGAGGGGAGTGCTACAACATACAACAAACTGGTGTCGTTTCTTAGAGTAAATAAGGTAGAGCCTTCTTGCAGGGGGCACTTTGGAGAAGGGATCCTCAGCAAAGCATCCAGTCTGAGGGAACAGAATGCATGAAGTTTCTGAGTCAGGAGGATGGGCAGGAATTAATGGGAAATTGAAGGAACAAATGAATAGTTTGGAAATGGACTCTACAGCCACGTAATGGAAGGTGGGAACATGATCCCAGTCTCCAAGAAGGGCACTAAGAGCAAGGATGAGAAGCCTGAGAGTGGCCATCCTTTCAGTCCTCTATGTCACTCTTCCTATTTCTATTATTTTCTCTTTTACCAAGGGCAGACATTGCTAGTAAGTCACGGCATTCTCCACTATGGCTAGACAAAGCCTTGACATGTTCTGAACTCTTCTCTTATGAGTGTTTCTGGGCAGCCACCACTAATCATTCAAAAAAGGCCCTCAAGATGATACTGTCTTGCACTTCCTGATTTAAGTGGTTCATATTTTTAACTAATGAATGAAAGATTGATATCCATTTGACAGGGGCAAGAGCTAGTGCAATTTCAGCTAATATAAAGTGAACAATATAAATGGATACAAAGCCTGGCTCCTTTAGGTGCTAGAATTGATAGAAGCGATTATGAGTGTGGAGGTAATGACAGTGGGAAAGGATGGGGCATCCCAGTAACTGGAGGCAGTTCACATTTGAGGCTACTCCTGAAGGTGAGAAAAATGACCAGGTGGGAAGCATTGAGTGTCCTTTAATAACTTCATAGTTTTTACATGGGCCAGCAGCTAGTATATTCTCAAAAATATAGGAAAAGACGCATTCTTATGCTCAAGAAAATGAGACTATCTGCAAGTGCCTATTGCTGCTGGAAATTGACATCTTGATCTAAACCAAGTACACTTAGAAATGATCAACCTATCAGTCTGGCTGACGATACTCCTTGGTCTGTGAACTGAGAACAGAGCCCCAGCAAGCCAGAGTCAGTCTGCCAAAAATGTTTGTTTTTTTCCCCACCTGCATTGGGTGAACCATATATTTAGGTCTAAAATGAGTGCCTTTATAATTTAGTAAGAGCTAAACTCAGAGGCACTCTAATACATTATTAAGATTAAAAAAATCAAACACTAAGACACCAAAAAATTATAAAGGCTTAGTTCTTATAATTAATTGGAAATGTGTTGCCTACACTACATATTGAGAACCTATTTGGATATAATTTGATGTGTTATAATCATAGGATATAGACACGCAATCGTTTGACCTCTTGCCTACTCTATGTTCTTCCAGTAAGTTTTATCGAACATTGTTTCACTTTAGGATGGTCTATGTCAGATATAACATTTTTCCTGAATTATAGAAACAGCTACCGCTTTTACTGTCTTTTTAATATCAGTACTATGCTTGGCTTTTCACATATATTATCTCTAATACTACATTAACCCAGCAAGGACTGACCCTATTTCCACCTACAGACAAGGCAACTGCAGTTCAGAGAATATAAAGAACTTGTTCAATTTACTGAACTAAGTCAACAGTAGGGTTGGGATTGCCACACAGTCTGTCTCACTCCAGAACATGTATCATTTTCAATACCCTTTGTTTGCCTGAACATTAGCTTTATTTCATTCCACAGCCACATATGGGTTGGGGAAAATCAAATGATTACTCCAGACACCACGTTTGTGGGGTCTGCCTTGTAAAAATTTGTATGAGGTATTGATCTCCGGAGGAGAAGCGTTGTTCCCATCTGATGTGGAAAAGATCCATGGCAGGGCATATACTCTCTATCAGCCCCTAAAACATTCTGACAGCACCTGGACAGTGTGTGCCGTCAGCATCTTTCACCTTCCCTACACACCTCCAGGCCACTTAGGATTGTAATCAATTTTTAATGTTCTGATAGATGCTCATTTTAACAAGTCTGTCATTGTAAACAGGGCTGGGTGTAGGCCCCATTTTATCTGTTATATGCATCTTATTGACAGTCAAAGACTGCATCAATACCTGTCCTCTAGTTTTATCTTACAATTGTAGACAATATGCACTGGTAATCCCAAGCATGAACAGATAGACATAATTCTATTCTCTTGTCCCTGGGAAAAAAAAATAAAGTAAAAAGACAGCATACCTACTGTGTGATATACAGCAGGCAGTCTGCTACTGTATCATCTTCATGAACACGGTACCACCTTATAACTATTCAATTTTAGTTCCCATACCTTTCACTAGTTTCTGGATTCTGAGTTAATTTTGGGCACCTCAGTGCTGTCTCCAGTAGATATTCCAAAGCAAGTCCTGAAATGAGCAGCTGCTAAGAGGGGAGAGGCAGTTGGGAAGGCATGGAGGTCTAAACAGAATAGTCATGGGGACAAGGAGCAGGGGTGGATGCTCTGTGTGTTATTAAAAAATGAATATGCGCCCTCTTGCCAGCTAGAGGAACCATCTTTATAAAACTGAAATACTCCTTTCTCACACCTCCGTCAACTACTCAGAATGCTTTGACTGTGATTTTTTACTGACAACTTGGCTTGTGTTATAATACCAATATCACACTGAATGGAACAGATTGAAAGTCTTACAGATATTACTGTCCTTTTCCAATTATTTATCAGCTTTCCAAGCAGGTCGTGGGTGGAATGTTCAGCTCTCTCATTTGCTTACAGAAGCCAAGTGGTGCAAGATATTAACTAAGCACTGACCCAAGGCATCTAATCAAAACTGCCGAGGGAAAAATCACTTTAAAACACTATGACTGGCATTTTATGTACCAGTTCAAATATGGGGGAACCTAATCATCATGAATGACAAACAAGTGTTCACAAACCCACAGCGTGCTCAATTTAAAAGAACATTTTCTAACAGTAAATATAGCAGAAGGCTACAATTACAACCTTTCAATGATTGCAATCCATGGAAAAGCCATTTAGTGATAAATTGGAGGCCAAGAGAAGATTATCACCTGCTTAACTAAGCTTCTATTGATTCTATCAAGTTGTTTGCCTGGCAAAATCTGGGCTATAATGAAAAAGTTGAGAAAAACTTATTTTCCCCCTATCTAAATGTTATTAATTACAAACATTTATTTTAAAAGGTATATGGCACTTGGTTAGGAAAAACATCTGCTTGGCAACTATTAATTATACTTAATAATAAATAATATTTATCATTTGCATAATGACTTTCACATTTAAATCCTTTCTCAGATTTTGCTTCCTCATATGCCATGATGCCTATATCGAATATCAATGCAAATTCACTGTGTGAGTAACATTGCCACCTTCCTGCAGGACCAGTGCCAAATAGTAAACTTTCATGGGAAAACTGTGGGGCTTAATCATATCTACAAGTTAACAAGTCATTACAACTGCATTTTTTAGTACCTGGGAAAGAGAGTGGTATTGAGCAACTATCTTTGGGGGAATTCCAAGGGACATTTTGGGAAAATGCCCAGTTAATGCAAACCAAGCAACGTGCTTGGAAGAGGCAACAGGATCAATGAGGGATGTGTTAAAATACCTACCTCAGCAGTGTAGAAAAAAAAAAAAGGAGCAAAACAGATAAAAGGGATATAACTGAAATAATTTCAAATGTGAAGGTCTAGATTTAGATTTCTGAAAAATTGCCTATGTGAGTTACAAGTGGATTTGCGACCTAGTGATTACATATTTAGAAATGTGTTCTAAGTGTGAAACCAGAAGAAGTAACAGAAATCTATGTACAATGGCACTAACTGGAACATTGTTTGTAAAACGAAAAACTTGGGAACAACTTAAGTGCCGAATAATAGGAGATTATTTAAATAAGTGACCCCATATATTGGAATATTCAGCAACTTACAAATTATCTAAATGAAGAACACTAGATCATATGGGAAATGGCCATGTTATGATGTTAATTGAAAATGTAATATAGATAAAAATGACATAAACAGCATATCTTAACATTATTAAACTGTGTATAAAATGAGTAGATTTACATATGCATATGAACATAAATGCATGTAATAGTGGAAAAAATAGCAATGATGATATTTATTCTCTCTAAAGTATATTTTTTTCTAAATTTTTCTGTATTTAATAATTTTCCTAATTTAACTACTAGATTTCTTTCTTTCTTTTCTCTTCTTTCTTTCTTTCTTTCTTTCTTTCTTTCTTTCTTTCTTTCTTTCTTTCTTTCTCTCTCTCTTTCTTTCTTCTCTTTCTTCTTTCTTTTCTGACAAGAGTCTAGCTCTGTCACCCAGGCTGGAGTGCAGTGGCATGATCTCGGCTCACTGCAACTTCTGCCTCCTGAGTTTAAGCACTTCTCCTGCCTCAGCCTCCCGAATAGCTGGGATTACAAGCATGCACCACCATGCCTGGCTAATTTTTGTGTTTTTAGTAAAGACAAGGTTTCACCATGTTGGCCAGGCCGGTCTCAAACTCCTGGCCTCAAGTGATCCGTCTACCTCAGCCTCCCAAAGTGCTGGGATTACAGGAATGAGCCACCATGCCCAGCTTCATTTTTCTAACAATTCTACTTACTTATTTTATGGCACATATTTAAATTGTATAACATGAAGTTTGAACAATTCTATGTTTTACCTATGTCTACATATACAGTGGTCAAATTTTGCTTAACACAGTGCGAGTGAAAGATGCGGGCTGCTTCCATGGACCTGACTATGATAAAAAGAAGAAAAGTAGTTCTAAAAGTCTATTTTGGCTCAATGATTTACATCCAGTGTAGAATTTCATTATAATAAATTATCAGGTATCTGGGTAAATATGTTGTACAAAGATGTTTGCCGCAACTCTATTCACAAAACGGAAAATATGGAACCAACATTAAGGCCTATCAAAAGGAGATTTATGAAATCAATCCTGGTTTATCCCTTGCATATAGTTCTACAGTTATTAAAATGGTGATGTTCAGGGGACACTAACTCAACCCGAGGGGTGGTTGCATCGGCTTTTTGCAAGAAACAGGCCAAGCTAATGGCTAAGCTGTTTGGGGAGCACCTGCTCATTGTAGAGGAGACACCTGCCTTTCAGTTTCCATCACATCCTTGTAAGACTACAGACTCAATATCACCAGATTATCCTCTTCGCAGGAGAAGCTGCAAAATGTCCTGGCTTTTAAAACGTTGTGCAGGTCTTGGAGGGTAGAAAGAAAGTATCTGTGGGCTGCATTTTAGCTAACATTCAGGAGTTTTGCAAACTTTAATGTGGAACTAAAATTATTGTCAGGTAATAATGCTCAGTACTTATAATCAGTCTTAAAACATAAGATTAAAACACTATATTTCTATTTAGGTAAAATTATGTACATATGTTTGCATGTGTGTTTATGTGATGTTGACACAAATGAATGCACAAATGATATATGTAGAAAAAAGCAGATAGATCAATGGATATGAAAGAATCTGAAAGGGCTTGTCTTTAGCTAATGAGCTATTCTGAAGGATTTTTGTGTTTTTCTTTATGCTATTCTATATTGTTTTTATTTTTTAAATAAACATATATAGATTTTATGACATAAGAATTACATTTAATAGAAATATAGTTTTCCTTGGGTGTACGTGCATGTGTGTGGGAGGTTTTGGGGGGTCCCTCTTTCTCAGATGGACCACATTTGAAGCACGAAATCCCAGTCTGAGCACAATTTGGGGGAAGTAACTTTAGAAAACAAAAGCGAGTGAAAACAGGGATAAACAAAATGGTGAGGAGCCTAGACATACTCTCACATGATTTATAGGAAAAACACTACAATATTTGACCCGAAGAGAAGACTTTAGGGATGTGATGATGGGCTACAAATATCTGAAGTGCCAATGTATGTATGTGAGACTGGAATATTTTTCATTCCAGTTCCACCAGGACAAGGTAGGATCAATGGGTAAGATGCTTCAGGGAGGCAGATATAAGGAAGGACTTCATAGCAGCTATAGCTATTTATATACAGGATGAGTTAAATCATCAACTAGAGCATTCAGATCACAAGAGCTCTCAAAATGAGACTAGATGACCACTACCTGGTTTATAGAGTGAATTCCTACATTGTATGAGATGATAGAAGAGATGACCTCAAGTTCTAAAATCAAGATCCTGGTTTCTCTTTTAGACCTAATGATATGACAACATAACCTTCTTAAGTATGGTATAAAGCAGGTAACTCATCTGAGGAGGGTGCTGAGTTTGAAGTTAAATTGATTGATTGATTCGATTTTGGCCTAATGATAAAACAACGTAACCTTCTCAAGTATGGTATAAAGCAGGTAACTCTTTTGAGAAGGGTGCTGAGTTTGAAGTTAAATTGATTGATTCATTCATTCATTAATTCATGCATTCATTCAACAAATGCTTATTGAGGGACTTTGCTAAGTGCCTGGAATCCAGAAAACAAAATGCCAGCAGACATCAATCTCCTTAATGGAACTTAAAATATGTGGAAGACAAACTATTAAATGCCTATATAGAGTAAAGCATGAAATGGAAGGAAGAAATACACATGATTATACGATGAGGGATTGCCCAAAAGTAAGTCTTCTCTAGATGGATTACTTTTGCTTTTCTCTTTCTTTACTCCATTCTCCCCACTCATATCTCTTTTTCTTTCTTCAGTAAAAAATATTTGTCCTTTCCACTTCTACCATATAAGAAGCCTCAGGTATAGACTTCGTATGTAACTGTGGGTCCCTATATTATGAAACAAGAGTCAAGGGTCATGAGCCCTAATATCATGACTCCCAAAAGAATCACAGGCTTTTCTGAAAATTTCAGTGATTTGGAGATATTTCCTGTCTCTCTCTCAATGATCCAGGTATGGAGGCATCCATATCACAGCCCCAGAATCCCTTCCATCCCTTCTACTGACATTGTGTTGGAGATATGCTTTTAATGCTAACATACTCTGAGTTTCTTTAATTAATGTCTGGTAGCCTCTTACAGTGTTTATATATATCTATAAAACTGGCTTCTATGTAAAATTTTTAAAGAATTCATGTTGCTACTCATTGGCATGGAGTTGCCCATGTAAGAAGCAGAACTACCCTGTGACAACATCCACTTTTGTGATACTTAGCCACAATATCTTAACATATGTAGAGTTCTCAATCTTCACTGCATATAGGAACCATCCTGTGAGTCTTAAAATATACCAATGTCTTGGTGCAACTCTCTAGCCCCAGAAATTCATATTTAATTGGTGTAAGTAACTGTCTGGGCTTTAAGATTTTTTAAAGTTCCCCAAGAGATTCTCCATCTATAGCCAAAGTTAAGAACTACTGAAATTATACATCATCTGTCTCCTGATGAAAGGTCAAAATGCTTCTCATTTTATCTTTGATTTTGATGATCTTGGAGATATTTGTCTATCTCTTTGAAGTGCCTTCAGAGGGTCTTCACAGTATCCCATTTAGCTAATATTTTCAAACGGACCATTGCAAACTTCCAAATCTGATGAAAGTCAGTTCAATTATTTTTCTCCAACACGAGAGCAGATGGGAAGAATTTCTTTTCTGTTTACCATTCTAACTACATTGTGTTATAGGCATAATTATTCACATTTTATAGAAGAGGAACTGAGATTCAGAGAAAACAAGTGAGGTACACATTGCTATAAAGCTAGCAAATCTAAAAAGTTAGAGAAAGCTCAAGTCTTCTGACTCCAACTTAAATAAGTATCAGATGTCATCATTTTATTTCTCCACTGACACTATTGTCATGAGTGAACAGAAGAAAAGCAAATAAATGAAAATGTGAACATGTCTGTGAACAGAAAGAGAAATCACATCCTTCACTCAAAGACATGATATGTGTTCAGCCATTAAAGAGGTTTAGTCAGCTGCATTTATAGTCCCATAAACGGGAAGAAACATCATGACAAAATGAAATTTTATGAATCCAGGGAAAAACACATCAAATGAAATAAATAATTCATGGATAGAGCAAAGTTCACAGAATGGGTCTGATAACAAAGTATCTAAAATAAGTGTTGATGTGTTTCTTTAACCATTCCATCTGTCAGTCCCAGTGCAGGGGGAAAAAAACCCTATCATAGATATAGTAAAAGTTAAAACAAAAAATAAAAACCAACAGAGGAGATGAATTCTAAATTGGTGACCCTTTGAACAATCCTCAAAAGATTTCATTTGCTATGTTAATCCAATGTTACAGACATTTTAGAAATAAAAGGACATTTTTTTCTTGTGAGAGTTTATGCATAAATCAAATCAAGATGCTTCTAAAATTACAGAACTAAAGATAATCAACTATTATTTTTTAAATGGCCACTTCTTCATGTTACAGGTGAGAAAACTGAGTTAGCTTTTTTTTTTCATGTTCGTGTGGGCTGGGCGTGGTAGCTCACGCCTGTAATCCCAGCAGTTTGGGAGACCGAGGCAGGTGGATCATCTGAGGTCAGAAGTCCGAGACCAGCCTGGCCAACATAGTGAAACCCCATCTCTACTAAAAATACAAAAATTAGCCAGGCATGATGACACACACCAGTAGTCCCAGCTACTCGGGAAGCTGAGGTGGGAGAATCGCTTGAGTCCTGGGGGCAGAGGTTGCAATGAGCCGAGATTCCGCAAGTGTACTCCAGCTGGGCAACAGAGCAAGACTCCGTTGCAAAAAAAAGAAAAAGATAAAGAAAATAAAACAAGAAAAGAAAAGAAAATGTTTGTTTGATAGCCTAAAAGTCAACTTTATTCCTGTCAGTGGCCAAGATAAGATTAGAATGCAGTTCTCCTATTTTCTCTTCACTTATTCAACATTCTTTATCCATTTAAGCACAACTAATGCATTGCTGTTTGAAATCAGACCATTCCAATGGCAGTCAAAATACCATACCTTTAACAGTGTTTTCATTATCTTTGAACAGAACATTAAATAACTGACAATCATAATCTGAGCTTCTTTTCAGATGAATTATAATGTGTTAAGCTCTATTTCAATAATGATTTATACTACATTTTCTAGTAACTTAGCTTCCTCTAATCTCTGTTTAAAGTTCTGTTCTATATGTATGTTATAGGTTCTAAAATTTGTGATCTAATGAAGTATTTCCCATATCTATCATGTCCAACAATTCAAAAAAAGCCACTGCAAGAGTAAAAGAAGTGATAAATTTAAAAACCAGAATCTTGTATTTATTTCAAGAAAGCTATTTGACAGCATCTAATCTCTAGAAACATGCATAGGACTTAGGGAAATATAACAGCCAACTTTCTATGAAGTATTACAGTTGGAGAATGCTAGGCCATTTTAATCAATTGAAGCATATCATTAGTTACTTATGACCACGAAAAAGCTAGAAGACTTCACTTAAAAAAAGTGACTATCTTCGGTAATGGAAAAATAAGAGCATTTCAAGCGTCTTCCTGGTTGTTCATTTCTATCTGGAACTGTGTTCAGTTTCTCAGACTTCAAGAGAAAAAGTAAACTGGCAGGTGAGGAAGTTTAAGTAGTATGATAGGTTAAAAGCATGGGCTATGTGATCTGAGGATGTCGCTTAGCTTCTGCTTCAGTTGCACATCTATAAAAAAAGGAATCAAGCATGTCAGAAAGAGGCGTGCTCGGAACATGCTTAGTCGTCAAATGTTTGCGAGGGAATTGAAAACCTAACCCCACGGCCCTCCAACCTGTTCCTGGAAGAAGAATTGTGATCTTTATTGACCAACAACCATGACGTCTATTGAGCAGTGAGAGGAGTTACTGTATTAGAAAGTGGCAAGTGTGCTACACAGTCAGTCCCAGCATCTCGGTCTGTGATTCTGAGTAAATCATATTAGCTTAGGCTTGTCCTGTGTTCTAGTCATCTGTGATTTGGGGGGAGAGGAGAGAGAGAGAAGCCATTCTGAATTCCAAAATGAGATAACAGGGCCAAGCTCACTTTTAACAAATAATAATTTGGTCTTTCCTGGCTATGGTTTCTTGTACACAGATCCCTTGGTAGGAACCTTCAACACCCATTTCGGAGGTCTATTACTCAATAAGACACAGTATGGAAAGCAACACAGTGCAGAGCCTGGTACACAAGAAGTTGTGAAGGAATACTAGATAGATGGCTTTGGATTTGTACTTAAACGTTTGTTGTTAAATCAGTTTATATGAGGCTGGGCATCCTGAGCCTTAGGATAAAATGGATCCACACGTTTTAATAGATGTAAGCTCTTTGAAATTCTAATTAGTGTGTCCTACTATTTCAGGTAAATAGAAGCTGTTGGCTGCGCTTTCCCTCGGGGCACAGGTACTGACAGAAAAAGGACTTGGCTTATTGAAACCAGCCCGGCATTAGATGGTAAACTATCTCCCGGGCACTGCTGCCTCCTGTTCAGCAGAAGGCTCTCATGGAAATTGCTTTCTGAATCATTAGCTGTCACCTACCCCCATCTCTCCTCTTGCAGCTGCTCTTTCGGATTCTGCCTGCAAACTTTTCACATTGGGCATGCTCCCAAGCCAAACAAGTTGCCTCTCGGCAGCTTTTGTTCCTGCTGGGAGCTAGAACCAAACCACACAGATAAGCCAAAGTGGGGATGCAGCATGGACTAATACATTTGCTGAAGGAACAGACTTCTCGAAGCCAATGTGACGGATGCCTTCAGAAGTCATTTTCACACTGGTTCACATAAGAGTGTCAGCCAGTCTCCAGAAGCAAATGCTGCTATTTTAAAATTATTTGCCTCTTTAGATTTCTCTAAGGTTCTGATAATCTAAGATGTATCTTTAGATCATGATCTTCCTATTGGCTAGAGACATGCTGGTGATATTTTTGGAAACATACAATTCCAAGAGCATGTCTGGGTCCAGTGAAGCAAAATGAAATAATATATGAAATACAAGAAGCTCATATAGAAGGCCCTTCTCAGGTAACTATCAGCAGCTCGTGAAGTACAACTCAGTCAAACCCAGGCATCCAAAAGGAGAAGGAGACCCAGCCCCAAGCAGTGGAAATCATGGGTATTAGAGTGAATGAAAACAGGCTGGGGATTTAACTGGGCAACTCATGAGAGTAAAATATAGACACTTAACTAATTTGACTTGATCTGCAGAGGTATTATCCAATATTTGTGGGAAAAGTCATCAATCATCATTTTTTTTTTTTTTTGACATGGAGTCTCACTCTGTTGCCCAGGCTGCAGTGCAGTGGCACAATCTCTCAGCTCATGCAGCCTCCACCTCCCAGGTTCCAGCGATTCTTGTGCCTCGGCCTCCTGAGCAGCTTGGATTACTTGTGCATGCCACCATGCCCAGCTAATTTTTTGTATTTTTGTAGAGATGAGGTTTCACCATGTTGGCCAGGCTGGTCTTGAACTCATGACCTCAAGTAATCCTCTCGCCTCGGCCTCCCAAAGTGCTAGGATTACAAGTGTGAGCCACTGTGCCTGGCCCATCAATCATCATTTTTGTTAATTTAGGGATTGATAAAAATTTATTATTGCTATGTCACTAATTAAAGCTTAGCAATCTCAAAACTCTTCTATAAATAATAAAGAGTATAAATGCATTTAAGGTGAAATAAATGAGAAAATTATGCCTTACATTTAAATCATACTTTACAGCTTCTGCTGGTTATATGTATTATATATTAATCAATTGGCAGAGCAAAAGAATACAAGATAGCTTTGTCTCCCTAAGTCTTAACCACTGTGTTATATTCAACTTTATAAAAATTGTATGGCAAACATTTGCTTAATAATTGCCATCTCATTCAGATAGAATGAATAAGCAGAAACTAAGCTTCACCTCTAGTTTTAGCACCTCACCTGGTTGAGCATCTCAAAGTGGAACAGGCACATTCCTGTATGAAAAAGCTAAGGTACAGGAAAAGGAAGGAGTATGTTTTAGTCAAATCCTAATTTCCTACCATGGTTAAATATAATATCAAAAATTAAATAATTTAGAATCTTCGATAGTTATCTTTATCCATATTAAAACCCTAAAGTTGATGATTCCCATTAATCTAAGTTGAGTAGGGAAAGAACCCCATGATCTTATATTTGAAATCAAAATTTTAAAGTGTTTTCTTCAGATTCTGTTTTGCCTGGCTGCAGAGGAAAAAACTAGCTGATCAGCGTGTCCAAAAAAAAAAAAAAGATGAACAATACAATAATGTTTTTCTACGTTTTGAAGCATAAGATATAAAATATATTTCTGGCCAGGTGCGGTGGCTCACTCCTGTAATCCCAGCACTTTGGGAGGCCAAGGTGGGTGGATCACCTGAGGTCAGGAGTTTGAGACCAGCCTGGCCAACATGGTGGAAACCCCATCTCTATTAAAAAAAAAAAAAAAAAAAAATTAGCCAGGCATGGTGGTGGGCACTTATAATCGCAGCTACTTAGGCGGCTGGGGCAGAAGAATCGCTTGAACCCAGGAGTTGGAGGTTGCAGTGAGCCAAGATGGCACCACTGCACTCCAGCCAGGGTGACAGAGTGAGACTCTGTCTCAAAAAATAAAATAAAATAATAAAATAAAATACATTTATTTTAAGATTTCCTTTACTTATGTCTCCATACATAAAGAACCAAAATTAAGTGACATTAGACCAATGAGGCAAGAATTTTCCATTGATTCAAAAAGTAAGATCTGCCTGATGTGTCAATGTCAGGCTCAACCAGAAAATTAGAGTGCTGTGATCACTTGCTATGCAGCGGGGCCATAAAGATTGATTTTGTTTACAAACATACTCATATGTAATAATTTATCCACTGCTTCCTGTGTCACATCCCATATGTTCCCTCATTTAATCCCTACCAAATTAACTCTGTGAGGTATGTTGAATCAATCCATTCTCTAGATTTGGAAACCGGGACTGGAAGTGCAGTATGTCCAAAATCACAACGCACCATGGCTCCGAATACCTCCAGGCCTACATCCTGGAAGTGTGTGAGAGTCATTTCTCCTATTATCTGAGCCTTTAATCTTCTCCTAAGGTCAGTTTCAACCTTACTTCTCAGCTCTACTGACTTCTGCTATCCACTGAAAAGTGTTTCTGGCACTCTAGGGAACTTAACTATTCTTGGCAGAGTACTTGACATGTAGTGAGCTCTTAGCCAATATTTGTTAGATGAATGAATGAATAAACATAGAAGATAATATTAAAATTGACACTTAATGGAAGGGGAAACAGGCATCAAGAGGTTAAGAAACTTTCTCCAAGGATACACAACTAGTAAGTGATGGAGCTGGGATTCAAATTCTAAAGCACATGGGATCAGCCATCAGGATGTCAAATTTATCTTCATTAGAACAGAATACGTCCAACCTAAATACCTCACCAGACTCTTAAGTAACACGAAGGAGGAACTGGGTACCTAATACAGTTTATTCCCTATGTCGTCCTACAAGGCGATAGGCAAAAATTCTCGTGTAAAAATGAACTGAAGGCTTAAGCTTTCCCTGCTGTATTCCCTCCTGAACTTTGAGTCATTCCTGTGATGAAGTCCTTGTCTAGCTCACAGAATGACCTTGAGCAAGAAGCTTTCCTTTACAGCCTTTGTTTCCTCTTCTGTAAAATACTGTTGACAGGACTTGTTTTACCTGACTCACAGAGATGCATTTAGAAAGCACTTTGGAAAGTACAAAGCTTTCATTAAAAGCAAGCAAATATTTTAAATGTCGTTGTTATATGACTGCTTAAAAAGGACCTTTTATATGGTGAAAAGAAACCTTAGCTTATCAATTGTGCAGCTAAACCATACAAAATTTAAGGCAGGATGGTATTGGTGCAATAATAATTCCAAATTGATCCCTTTAATGAAGAGGTAAAGAATAGTCAAAACTTCTTTCTGTACTATTTTGATTTACTATGGAGGGAGCCCCTTAAGGAGTTATGAAAATATAGATATGAGCCTCAAATCCTAGTTTCCAATGTGACATTTTTTTCTGAACTTCATCTGCCAGTCTTGCTATCAATTCAGTTGCAATGTAATATATTACTACATTTCATTTCTAGGCAAGAACATTATTTACTCACAGGAGAAATACTTTCCTGAGGAAAGATTGTCTTTGGGAACTTTCAAGGACATTTGAGAAATGCTTTAGCCCAAGCCACAAAATTATGAGCATTTGTTTGTGCCTCTGCATTCCCAGGGAACCATTTTTAAAACTCTTTCATTTAAGTTTATTACAAACATCCATCTTCTCTTTCCAAAAAAAAAAAAAAAAAAGCAATTAACAAAACTTCATTGATTTCCAGTTTTCCTAGGTGCTATTTTATAATACATATATTTCAATCAATTTGCATCATCATTTTTGCCTCTTCCAACATTTTTGTCTCCCCATCTAAATTTTATTTAACCTTATATGAAAAGTTTTATCACTTACAATTTACTTAAGTAAATCTACAGTCAACATTCACCATTATTTAATTACATTTATTTTTCTCAATCTATATCTAATTTAGCAAACTGAGCAACAATACCATATAACTACAATATATAATATTTATATAGACGCTAAATGCTGGGTATAGTCCTAACCTCTTACCAAATTCTCACCCAAATCTATAATGAAGGTATTATCAACATTATCAATGGACAGTTGAGAAAACTGAGGTACAAAGACTTTAAGTAACTTGCCTGAGGTCACACAACTAGTGACTGGCATGGCTGGGATTCTTCTGAATAGAATCGCTAGGCAGTATCTGCACCTCCTCCTCCCAATAAAAAGGAAACATCTATATCTGAATTTTGAAAACTCCTAAGGGTTACTTAACAGTGATTGTTTTGAATCCATCTCAACCTGCAACATTTTCTGCCCCCACCCAGCCACCATTTCAGTTTCTTAGAAACATTTTTTTCTTCTTACATATCAGGATTGAGAATAGTATAG
This sequence comes from Homo sapiens, assembly GCF_000001405.40. Classification (NCBI taxonomy): domain Eukaryota; kingdom Metazoa; phylum Chordata; class Mammalia; order Primates; family Hominidae; genus Homo; species Homo sapiens. The sequence continues at coordinate 6,916,830 of NC_000003.12, read as the reverse complement.
ACACATAGTAGGTTCTGAATGAAAAAAAAATGAATTAATAAAGTTTTACCTCTGCTATGATCTGAATGCTTGTGTCTCCCCAAGATTTATATGTCGAAATCGAATCACCAGTCCAATAGGTAGGGTCTTTAGGAGGTAATTAGATAATCAGGGCAGAGTTCTCATGAATGGGATTAGTGTCCTTATAAGAGGACTGAGGCAGCTTGTTCCCCCCTTCCACCATGTGAGGACACATAGAAGGTGCCCAAGATGCCGAGAGCCCTCACCAGACACTGAATCTGCTGGCACCTTGATTGTGGACTTCCCAGCCTCTAGAACTCTAAGAAATGAATTTCTGTTGTTTATAAATTACTTAGTCAAAGGTATCCCTTTATTGCTCATTTCAGTGACTCCCCCTATACTGCCACTACTTGCTTAATGCATTCCTCTGGTCTCAGTTCAAATAGCACTTAGAAAAGTCTTTCTTGGAACTCCTGATAATGTTGGTTCTCCTTTCACTTGCTTTTATGGCATCACATATTTATTTTATATTTTACATTTGTGTGACTGTTTCATTAATGTCTGAATCGGTCCTTCCTGTGGGTACCTTTAGTACCATCAAGCTTTCCAAAACAGAAGATTCATGACTACATGAGCTCTGTCTGTTTTGCCCATTATTGTATCTTTAGTGTCTGACACACAGTAGCCTTCAGGAAATTTGCTGAATGCACAAAAACAGGACTTTGTAAGAACAAATAAATATGTAACCAGATCAATGATTTTGGTTGGCTGCAACATCAACAAAGATAGTGCCTTGTTGAAAGTTTACTCTGAGTCTACTCCCAGAATTCTTCCCAAACTGAGTTCTTATTTGTTGTCTATACCACTGATTAGAACAGACAGAAAACAATCAAACTCTGACTTTGCCATTATCCACATAGGCTGAAGCTCATGGGCTAGGAAAGAAAAGATGGATTAAGCATAATATTTCTTCTTGGAACTACACATAGAACTCAGTCTTTGGTTAAAAAAAATTTACTGTTATTATGTTTGGGTGAAAGGTAAAATAGAGTATCAAGCCCATTAGTTGTGATACTGAATTCTGTTGTCCCATTTTCACATTCATTTCCATGAATTTAGATGCCTTTTGGTCAGCATCACCTAAGCATTTATACCACCTTGATGAATAGTGAAAGTCAATGAATACATAGAAAGAAAGTTTCTGTATTTTGCAAAGAACATATTAGCATGAGCTTGAAAATGTAACATGCAGGTTCATTGGTATGCATAGAACCAAGCGATTTTTGTTAAAGTAAGAAATTTGATGACAGTATGAAAAGATGAACGTTGAGAATGTGCTTCCCATTTTAAAATCAAGAATTTAGAAATATTGTAAGGATTCACATTTATTTATATCTGCCATCCAAGTGACCGTAAAAACTCAATATTTATACATGAGATTTTAAAAGCCCATCATCTCCAAGGTACAACATGGGATAAAACAAAAACATAGCAGAGCACAACAGCAACGACAACCACCAAAAACTGTTATTTTGGCTCTTTTTAATTGTGAAATGATTGTTGTATACAGAGGGGTAAAAATAAAACTTTCAAAAGAATTGCACTCTGAAAAGTATTTGTAAATATGGATGACTATTTTATATAAGATTCATCACAAAATCATAAAAGCGTGACTCTTTATTACATATGTTTAAGAATACATTTATAATGCTGAATAAGGACCATGCAGTCCTGGAGCAATAAGGACCTGGAGCAGTAAGTCCTAAGTAAGGAATATTTAGTCCTGGAGCAATAAGGAATAAGTCTTGAAGCAAATGCATACATCAGCTTCAGTCTCAATACATGCAGAATTTTCTTTTTGTCCTCTTGAGTTCCTGTCAAAAATATCGGCCTAGCTGTTATAACCAAATAATGTTGTGCAAAGAACGATAGGGGCCACACTGGTCTTGAATAGAGATGGGGAGGATTGAGGGAAATTTTCTTTGCTCTCTAAAATTTTGAAGTCAACTTTATTGAACATCCACTAAATGAAAAACATGGCAAAATACTAGAAAACTGAAAAAAATTGTTAATAAATACTTTATGTCTTCAAGAGACTGGTATCATAGACATATCAAAATGTGAAAATAGGGCCGGGCACGGTGGCTCACACCTGTAATCTCAGTACTTTGGGAGGCCGAGGCAGGTGGATCATGAGGTCTGGAGTTTGAGACCAGCCTGACCAACATGGTGAAACCCCATCTCTACTAAAAATACAAAAATTAGCCAGGCGTGCTGGTGCATTCCTGTAATCCCAGCTACTCAGGAGGCTGAGGCAGGAGAATCACTTGAACCCGGGAGGCAGAGGTTGCAGTGAGCCAAGACAGTGCCATTCACTCCAGCCTGGGAGACAAAGCAAGACTCGGTCTCAAAAAAAAACACCTAAATAGCTATCATGAAAGCTATTGTGAAAATAGCTAAAACAATGAAGAATATTTTAATATCATTTTAGAGAGCATAAAATGAAGTAAGTTATTTTTAGAATATATGACTGTGGAAGCAATATAACCATCACTACTAAAGATTGACAACTTTATTTTTAGTAGTTGAAGAACTTCATTGAAGCAACTTATGAACCTACTAATGGTTTATTGATTAATTGACATGTTGATCCTGGAAAGAATAGCATTTTCTAAAGTACTTGAAGGCAAAGGAGGATTCAGTCCTGTGAATAACATGAAGGAATTTTCTAGGCAGAGAAATGGGGATACTTTGGAACAGAAAAGGAGAAAACAATTCGTACCACAGGTAATTAAATGTAGTTCAGGTGAATGGATGTTCAGTGTGTGAAAGAAATAAATGAGGAGTTATAATGGGAGGGAGTTTTTAAAGACAGGAGTATGTAGTATCCTGAATACCAAGAGAAAAAATGATATTTTATCTGGCAGACTGTTTTTGAGAAGGCATGGCACGCCAAGAAGGCCAAGGTCACAGATTGTTGGTCAAAGTTATGAACTCTATCATTCTGTCTGGTTGTCTATCTATCTATTGCATCAAGCTGATCAGAAGTAGGGTTAGGTGGAAAACTGAGTGGTTGCAAACAACCCATACCTACTTTTGCTACTAAAACTGTGCGTACTCTAAAACTTGAACAGAACAACCTCTGGCCGGACTAGAAACATCACTTTATGAATAAAGAATGAAACCAAAAGGTTTATTATAACTAGACCCAGAAATGAGGAGGTCTGCAAATAGTCAGAAATTCAGTATTACTGGAAAGTTAAGAACTTCGTAACCAAGAACTAGAAAAAGATAAGAATAGAGTACATCAAATTGGCAAAGTTCCCTGGTAAGTATTTTCACATAACGGATTTCTTGTCATCCAAGTGTTCATTATTCACATCCTCACAATTTTAAATTGCCCCAAAATTCCAACTTTTCTAAGTTGGTAACCTACCCATTTAGTTTTAGTTGATTACTCATTGATGAATGCAAGATATGAACATCATACCACACAAAAGAAATAAAATGCAAATAAGTGCAATGTGAAATCCTAAATTTTGCAGATTGGATATCATCTAGCTACCCATTTACACTGATAAAGCCAATGAAAATAATATCAGAAATCTTCCAGAATAAATACACGAAGCCATTGCTAAATGGGGATCTGGCAAAGACATATAGCTACATATATTAAAAGATAAATGGACACAATAGGAGTTACAAGATATATTTCTTTGAGTATCAAATGATTAGGAGAGGGCTTAGGAAAACTGATGAACTCCTTCAGTGAATTTTTACCAGAAGAATCCTGTTTGATTTGAACTGCTAATGTTGAATATTCAGTGGAGGGAAGGGAATAATGCTATAATCCAATTTTGTTGGAATAATCACTCAAAACAACATGTAATTGTTTTTTAAATTATTACAATTGTGCATAAGTGCTATTTAGCTTGAATTTATGAAACACAACAGAAAATGTGGTTTTATTCACTTAATAACAACCTATTTTGACATAAATTTCAAATCACAATTTATTCTAAAAAATTATTTTAAATCAATCTTTGATCACTATTTATAACTTATTTTAGCATTTTTTCTAGGTAGAATTTGTCTATGATTAATAAAAATTTCTTAAGTGGGATTTTTTAAATCCAGAGATCAGATCTATGTCCAATAAGTGAACTCTTAAAAGTTAAAATTTTCTAACTGTAAAAAAGACATTGAAGTTAAAGCTTCCTAACAGAAAAGCATTCCAACCATAGAATCAGCTGATCTGTATGGCATCGAACATTCTGTTATCAAAATATTCATCCACAGCCAAATGAGAGGATAGCACGGATATAGTGAAGATTTCTATATTGGAAATTGGATGAGCTTGTTGGTGGGCCTCCCTCCAACTGCTAAGATTTCAATGGCACAGCTGAAAGTAGGACAGCATTTCCCAAAGTTGCTAGAAACAAGTTTCCTTTAAAACGTTCCACCAACAAAGGTTTGCATAGCCAAATGAAGTTTAAAAATTCTTCACACCAACACCTACTTCACATGAAAATTCACAGGGCATATTATAGCTCATTCTACATCTTAGAAGTCCTGTAGTGAAGAAACATATTTAATTTTATCTAATGCAGCATTTCCCAAACATATTTCACTAATTATAAAATTCTTTTTTATTACTTTCCTTTACTTGATATCAATTAATGTCCTGTGGGAGCATAGGTGATATTCAAAATACTTAATAACCTTAAGAAGAAAGCACTAAACAATCAGATGGCTGTCTGATAAAACTAGTGTTCTTTGGAACATGGTTGGGAGAGGGAGAATCTGGCTTAACACTGAGATCTTATTTAGTAACCAAGTGTAATCAATCTTCAAAGCCAACTTAATTACCGAATCATTTTTCTTACAGTCGATGGACTTGAATGTGGCTGACACGATGCAAATCATTTTGAAAACGTCTAATGCATATGATTATCATATGTTCTTAGCTTCATATCAATTCCACTAAGCCTAAATTAATCTCTCTTTTAAGAATGATATTTTTTAACTTTGGAAGATTTACTCTTCGCTTAAATAAAACTAAAAACAATTTTTGAAACTAAACAAAAAAGTTTTAAAACATAAATGAATGGAAATAAGCAAGAGCTAAAGTAGAAGTTTTCATTAGCCATGAAAAATCCCTTCTTAAATCCGATTTGAAAAATAAATAGCAAAGATGGGTTATTTGGTTACTTTCCCTAGTGGCTACCACTTGTCTTGTAGTACAAACATTTACTGAGATGACTTTTTCCAGTTTCCTGCTTCTGTAATTTTATTATATAATAACTTCTGAAACATGCATATGTGTATTTGCATATATACACAGAAAACTCTGATGGACACATAAGAAACTAATAACAGTTGTCAAGGGGTAAGGGCTCTTAAACTGGTTGGATGAAGGAACATAAGTCCCAGAAGAAATTTCTACTATTTATCTTTTTATATTACATGATTTTCAAATTCTCATTAGGTATTCTAAAAAGTAAATAAGCAAAAGAAGGATTCTTTTAAGGGAATGGCAAAAGAAAATGTGGTTATATATTTTGGCCAAATAAAGGCTGAGGGAGAATTTAATAATAGTATTAAGTAGGCCAAGAAACATGAAGAAAAAATTATTTGAATGTGGCAAAAAAAAGTGCCAGATTATAGAAGGTACTTTCTCATAAGCAGAGAAATAAATCTGCCCTCTTTCCTGTTGTTTTTGGTTAAGGATGATTAGAAGCTCCTATGAGGGGGCTAATGCCCACATCAAGTTAATTGCTCATGTCTTGATACCAAATACTAGAAATCAACCAGGGCCCAGGAAAAAAATAGTGGTAGGTTGCAGTTGCTATTACAGTGCTTGGTAGATACAAATATTTGTACTGGATTGGTGGTTTCTAGTGGATGACTTAATTTATTGCAATATAGAACTCTGTTAGATGGGACAGTGCTCCTCCATGACTAAGAAATCAATCTTTCTCAATCTTCACTTGTCACCATCTGCAAACATTGCTCTTCTTTGTCACAGATTACCCATCTTCAACTGTGTCCTAGAGAATGAGATGCTTTGGTTTCCTCTTCCTGGGCAGAGAACAATCCTTTGTTTGTTAAGAGGTGGGTTCTTGCTATGTTGCCCAGAACATTCTCGAATTTCTGGCCTCAAGCAATTCTCTTGCCTCAGCCTCCATGTAGCCAGGCCTACATGTGTACAAACTAAAGAGAACACTGAGCCCAACTAAAGAGAACACTCCTTTTATAGGCTCACTGTATTTAGGTGGAGGTCATGATTTTGCATTCTGGCCAAAAGGCTATATGTCCTCCACTTCCAGACTTGGCCAGGAAACCTTGCACACTGCCTGTGTCCCCTTCTGTTTTAACTCAGGAGGCTGTGTATTTAAGACACCAACATTCCAAGATGGAAGAGACATGGGTTCCTGATTGACTACTTGAAGGTGATCTGTTAAGAAATAATTGCCTGAACTACATTTGCCTCCACCATGTGAAATAAACATTTATTAAGTCATACCACCTGGATTTAAGGAGGGTTTGTTACAGTATCTAGCATTGAATACCCTAATTCATTGCTACATTGGCACACTGGTGATACCTATGGATTAGTGATGAGTCTACTCAATGTGAGACCTCTCCATTTCTCATTGTCCATTTACCCTATCTACTAAATATTAATTTTCACATACTACTTATTGATGATGATGCCAGTTTTTAATTATCCCATGTACCTCTTGATTTTTTTCCTTCAGCCCAACTCCCCAATGAGGAAGCTGACATCATGTATCTTATATAGATAAAATCCTATATAAGGATTTAATATAGAATTTTTATATATGGAGGATCAGTCCATTGAGGAATCATATCTAGAAAGGCTCTCAATTAGACATAAATTTGCCCCCTAAAGTCTGTATTAGGTCAGTTCTTGAAAACTACTTTTTCTATTCTATAAATCTAAATTTTTACATAAAAATTTACTATTTTCCTTAATTTATATATCATGGATAGAAAACAAGATTTTTCTTGTGTCCCAATTGAAATCAAACAGGAATACGTGATTTATATTGTGCAGAAGGATCCTGATATCGAGTCTAGACCCAAAGGGAAAGAATGTCATGATAGACTGGGGTAATTACTGTAATGAACATGGGAAGGAAAAGTAGTGGCATATTTCCCTGACTTAAATCATTTCTTTTTTATATACAGTGGAAATCTCAGTACTTTTAGTTAATTTCTGTCCTGCAAGACACCAACAATTGGACCAACAATTGATCCACCCATCTAACTAACATTTCTGAGATCTTAATCTGAGTCAAGGAATATGCTGTCTGCTGGAAAGATAGTGAAAAATAAGGTCTCAGGTCTGTCCTGAAGGAGTTTATAGGGGAAGATTTAACTTACTCCAATTAGTAATTGACACCAGATAATTAGAAAGGCAAATGGGTGGTTTGCTTTATTATACACGTGAGGGATAGAAGGCAGAGAGAAAAACATCTTCAAAGAGTTGGACAGTTTTACTATTATTGATTTTGGAGTAACCACCAATCAAAGGGCAGGCTTAGTAGTAATAAATGATCACCTCCTTAGATGACTACAAGAGTTGGATGCAAAAGTTTGCCCTAACCTCTCAGTTCTATTTTCATTTTATGAAGAGACAGGTAAATCAGACGTCATGTTCTTGTATGTCCATAACAGGGGTAATTTAATAATTCTAGTAAACTACCTGCTGAGCTAAACCTAGGGTCATAAGTTTTTGAATTCATGAAAGGATTTAATGACTTATGCAACTTTCTTTCCTGGACATACGTGCAACATGGATGATGAATGGTACTGAATTATAATATATGATGTCGATCATGAATTTAAAGTCTCTAAGAAATGGGGAGAAAAAATTGCAAAAGGGCATTCTTGACTTACCTAGCCAGAAATCCATCTCTAACTCCCAAAGCATTCACTTCAGCAGTCAGACCACAAGACATATCTTTAATCTCTGCAAAATCTAGTTCTTGCTAGTTCTAATAGGAACGTGATCTTAACAGACATCTCATGTTTCTCATACAGTGTGGCTGAGAAATTTTATGGGATAGAGTCAACAAAAAAGACTGGTCTTTTTATATAGTATTCTTTGTGTCTGATTACTCTTGCCATAGTCTTAGTGTCCTCATAAAAGGACACTTCAAGGACTCTGTGCGAGGACAGGTACAGTGAATTTTAGCAGTCAGAGTGGACCAGTGGATAATCACCTGTGAAAAGGCAAGCAAATAGGGGAGTTATTTCTGGTGTTGGCATCACCACAATGAATGACCTTGACTGAGTCATGTAGCCTCTCTGAACCTCAGTTTTTTCATCTGCGAAATGAGGGAAAAACACATCTGCCCTTTCAGGGCACTCTCTCAGGATTGCCGGAGAATTAAACAGATCATTGCTGCAAGCTTAAGTGCATTGAGTCCATGAGACGAAAAGAAAAGAAGACATCATCTAAGTACACAGTATTCTTTTCATCATTATTAATTTTCAAAGGTGAAGATAACTGTGAAAGAACCGCGTAAGCAGATTGTTGTCTTGGAAACAAAATAAAGGCTCAACCGGCATTCCTACATTAGAAAGAGAGCTGCCACCTTGGTATCTACTTTTCACATCTACTCAAAGACAGAAAGGACCCAGACATTCTTTCCACTTTCTCAAGATTCTGTAGCTGGAATATTTTCTTGCTTGCTTTGTCTTTTTATTTTCTTTGTCTTCTTTAACAAAACGATATTAGCTATTTTTTTAGTTTTGTTATTGCATAGTTTAGCGTATGTACAGTATATGTAATCTTCTTTCCTACTGGCTAATAGTAAGGGAGTAAGGGAGGGAAAGCAGAGAGGGAAAGAGAGATCAATACATTAAGAATAACCCCACATGGCTAAAAGAAACTGACTTCTAAAGACAAAGCAATTTTATAATCTAAAATACTATGTAATACAAATAAACTTAAAAGTGTGCTTGCCCTGAAGAAGGTTGAATGAAGAGGACTGTTGTGGTTTTCTAAATAATGTCCTATATTTCCCTACTTCAATGAGACATTTGTTTCTAAAAGAACTTATCTCTCAGAAATGATAAAATCAATAATTTTTCTCTCTCCGTGGTTCCTTAAAACAAAAATGGCCTTATTTCTTTTCATTCTTCTTTCTACCTCCACTCTTTATCATGGCCAAACTAGGGGAAAGTAGCATTGTGTAATTACTTAGAAATAAGTAGAGATCACTTCATGATTTATGATTTTCAGGTTCCTGATACGAAAAATGTGAATTTGGACCCAATAATCTCTAGCTTTTTCTTTAGTTTTAACTATAGTTCTTTGATTTTAGACCTTGCTGTTAAAGCACCGCTTCTTGCCAATAATTTTGAACTAGAGATCAGACTGTTACTTATCTTGTTCAGCATAACCCTTTAATGATCACGTCTCCACGGTACTTTTTCAAACCATTTTCATCTCATGTACTTTTTACAGTTGAAATCCTAACTTTACAGTAGGTTCACCTGTGAAGGTGAGAGACAGGAACGATGAAGAATTTCCCCTTTTTACTTTGTATTTTTATTTTTTCAAGAATTTAGTATTTTTTAACTAAAAAACAGGCCAAGCATAGTGGCTCATGCCTGTATTTCTAGCACATTGAAAGGCTGAGGTGGGTGCATCGCTTGAGCCCAGGAGTTCAAGACAGCCTGGGCAACACGGCAAGACACTGTATCTAAAATAATAATAAAAGAATACATCTCAAGAAATGTACCCATCTTTAGTTTACTTTTCATACTATTGATTATAAAAAAATGCATTAAGGGAATATTGGGAGGTGTTGAATTTGTCTATTACCTTGATTGTGGTGATGGTATAATGGGTGTTCGCATATGTCCAAATTCATCAGATTGCACATGCTAAATATGTGCAGTTCTTTGTATATCAATTATACCTAAGTAAGGATGTTAAAAACTGCATCAAGGTAAAAATTTAATTTATATTTAGAGAAACTTTTTTTTCAACCCTGGAGATACTTTCAAATTTAATTCTTTGTACAGCAGCTAAAAACATAAGAAAAATGCTGGTATGGTATAAATGAGACACACTGTATATTATACTCCTTGAAAATGCTTCATGCATATATGGGTTCAAGAGGCAGCTGGGAGATCAGAGCCTTCTGAACATCCTCAGTGCATGATAGGACCCATTTGTCTAAGTCTATGTGATCTAAGATGTAATATTCATTTCTATTCCCTTCAATTATTTTAAATGCCCCCAGTCTGGAAAGAGAGAATTGGAGGTTGAAGAAGGACATCAAACTGAATAAGAATAAAATTTTTAAGTCAAATTGTTCTTATAAGATAGAAGCCAAAAATCTGAGTATAATATTATTTCACAGAATTTTGAAGAATATTAAAAATAATGTGATAGGATGTTTCAAAAATAATGGCATAATCCCCCCTCCTGCAACCTCATCCCTGGGCCACCCACTTCAGCACTGACTTAGCTTCAGCATGTAACTTGTTCCAGCTGCCCAGTGAGATAACAGCAAAGGAGCTTGACCTGTCTTGCTGCTGTTGGAACCCAGCAGCCTGTCAGATCCTAACGATATTATACATGAATCAAGTGCCCCCATTGCCCAAGTCAACCATGAAAGATGTAAGTGAGGCGTCATCTGACAAGATCTCACCCTGCTGATTCATCAGCTAACTGAAACTGTATGAATTATTCCAGGAGAAACCAGGAGAAAAATGTTCCCAGTTGAACCCACCCCAAATTGTCAAGTGATTGCTATCTTAAGCCAAATAAAGGTGAGGTGGCTTATAATGCAACAAAAGCTAACTTACACAAAATCAATATGGCCACTTAGGTTTATCCCTCAGAATGCAAGTTCAGTTCAATATCAGAAAATCATGACTATGATTGACTACATTAGTTAAATCAAGGAAGAAAATCATACCATCATTTCATTAGATATAGGGGATAAGAACCACCCAATGAAGCTCAAAACTTTTTGGGCAGGAAACATTTTATAAATATAGATCCAGATAAGAATTATCTTTTTTTGACCAAGGCCATATACCAAAATTATGTATATGTGTAACACTAATTAAAATTACCATGCTAATATTTTTAAAAATCTTATTACTTCCCTGAAGGAGAGAAACAAAATAAAGGTTTTCAAAATTACTGTCTCTGTTTAACATTATCTATTGGAATTGGCCAACAGAAGACGGAGAGGGAGAGAGAAAGAGGAAGGGATAAGGTTTCAAAGAATATAGATTGAAATGTCATTTTATAGATGTTTTGATCATTCATTTATTTGGAAACCCAAGAAAATAAGCTATTAAATCTGATTTTAAAAAAGTCTTAACATGGTGGCTAGACAAAAGATCAATATACTAAAATCAATAGTATTTTCCAATAGCATCAATAACCAGATAGAATATAAGATACACTTGTAATATCAACAAAAACTATAGAGAATACAGAGCTTCATATAACAAATGGTACAGAAAATCTTCCTAGCAAAAACTTTAACTCTGTATGAAAGGACACATGAGTAAAGGAAATACACACTAGTTAAGGATGAGACAACGTAACACTAATAATATCAATCTCCTTATATTAATCTATAAGTTAAATGCAATTCCAATACAAATCCAACCTTTTTTTAAGGACAGCGTGAAAAAGCGATTTTGAAATTAATTCTGGAAGAATGAAGTTCTCCAGACAACTAAGGCAGTTTGGGAAAGCAAAACCAAGACGGAGAACTTGCCCTGCCGGATATTAAGATATATTAGGAGCCAAGTGTGATAGCTTGTGCCTCTAATCCCAGCGATTTGGGCAGCCGGGACAGGAGAATTGAGGCCAAGAGTTGAAGAGCAGCCTGGGCAACATAGCAAGACCCAGTCTCTACAGAAAAAATACACAAATTATCCAAGGAGGGTGCTATGTGCCTGTAGTTCTAATTATTTGGGAGACTGAAGGTGGAGGATAACTTGAGCTCAGGAGGTAAAGGCTGCAGTGAACCAAGATGGCATCACTGCACTACAGCCTGGGCAACAGACTGAGACCTCATCTCAAAAGAAAAAAAAAACACACATAAGGAAGTCATGATGATTAAAAACATTGTGGTCCTGTTGTGAGAAATGGAAAATGCAACTAAACAGATGGTCTAGAAATAGAACTATATAAAGATAGGAAGTACACAAAAGAGGTAGCATCATAGTCCTGTTGAGAACGTTGAATTACCAACTTTGGGGAAAGAGGTTCATTATATAAAGAGACACAGAGCTGAATCCTAACCTAACGATACAACTTATATTGCACTGTCTTATATAGCTTGCTGAATTTTCACAAAGAAATCCTATGAGACACAAACTAGTATCCTACTTTACAGGTGAGAAAACTGAAGCATGAGAGTAGAATGACTAACCTAAGAAGTATGTGGCAGAACTGAGACTTAAACCCATACAGTTTTTCCTCAGAGATCATTCTACTAAATACTATAAATACAATCCTGCACAGTGTCTGAAACTAAAATTCAATTAGTTTAATATCTAAATGTCAAAGACAAAATTTAGAGAGAATAAAAAACTACAAACAAATATCTTTGTGATTTCAGAGTAAGGAATAAAATAGATTTTTTTAAAAAAACAAATAAAAGCATATATTGTATAAGCAAAATGGATGAATTTGGCTACATTAAAATTATAGATTTATGTACAACAAATGGAGCCAAAGTCAGATTTAAAAAGAAGTGACACGTAGACGATATATACAACATTAAAAAATCAATAATGGATTTATATCTGAACATAAACGAACACCTACAAATCTAAATGAAAACACATAACATTTATTAGAAAAATGAGCACAGGTCATGGATGAGCAATTCACAGATGGGAAAATAGAAATGGCAATATTGTATATGAAGACTCAACCTCATTAGCATCACAAAAATGTGGAATTAAAACAAAAATTACATGTGAATTTCTATATGCCAGATTTCCAAGAGTTAAAATGTGAACTAATATTATTTGTTGGTTAAGGATACGGTTAAAGAGAAACTGCTAGTGAGAGATAAATGGTGAAGCTATTCTGGGGAATAATTCGTGAATTAAAGTACGTATACAACTTCTACCTTAGCCATTCTATATCTGAGTATAAACCAGAGAGAAACTGCCTGTTCCTAGAGGGGACATGTAAAAAGAGTTGATAATTGCTTTATAATGGAAGTGAAATGTTGAGAACAGCCTACGTTCTCATCACTAGGGTAATGGATAAGTAAAACTTGGTATTAACTTATGTGAAAATGTGAGATGGTGTCAGAAGCAATAAATTAAGTTCATATGCAGCAACAGAGATGTATTTTAAAACTATAATTATATCATGAAAAATTAAGACCTAGGATGTGATTTGTAGTCACTACTATTTTGTACAAATTAGGAATCACAAAACAATCCAGGCAGTTTTTCAAAAATCCATACAAATAAATATTAGAGATGAGTTGGGAGATTGCATGTGAAGTGACTCAAAGAATGCAATAATGCTACATAGGAGAGAAAAAAGGAATTAAGCTGGCACAGGAATGGGAAGACCAAAAAAAAAAAACCCTATAAAATATTGGGAAATAGATGGATCATATACATTGTTGATAGGGTAATATTAATAAGGTATATGGTCCAATTTGTCTAAGTATCCTAAAAACAAAATAAAGATGCACAATGTGTTAAGACTTATAAGCATTATAAATATATCATCATTGTTCTCATGTCACCCATGCAAAGAAAGCAAATAGAAATCAGCTTTTAAGATAGAGGCTGGTTTTTAATTGTTTTAGAATCATTAGTTAGCATGCCAAGTAAATAATAGTCCATCTGTATCCAAAACATATAAAAAGTTCTAACCCTTAAAATTCCATTCTCTAGAGTAGGGGTGTGTGTGTGTGTGTGTGTGTGTGTGTGTGTAGGAGTCTGTTTGTGATCGTGTTGTTTAATAAACTCAAGGGTACATACTATACCTTACTACACTCTTAACGACTCTTGAGCAAGTCAAATTGAAGGTCAAGAATAAACAAGTAGACACTGCTTGGATGACACTCCAAATTATCTTAATAGTCTGCAGATCTGGCTAGACAATTATGTTTTGCTTTCAGAAATAATATATTTTTGTTTTCTTATAAAAGTCTTTGAAAGACTAAATCTTAGAAGCATTTGTAATTAATAGACTACAGGACACAATAGTAATTTAAGAGATAATAGAACAAGTTTATTCAGGTGTCTGGGGCAAGTTGACTCTTAGTTCTAAACGTTAAACTTATTTAACTTGGATTTTCTGTAACTCAAATTTTTATCTATAAAATGGAGGAATATACTTCAATAACATTAAAAATCTATAAATTTGGGCTTTGGGTTCCAAATTCTTTCTCCAAATGATAAAAAGGTTTAACCCAGACATTGTGGTTGCCTAAAATTTTTCATTTTCTGTATTCATACACAATCTTCCAGCTTGCAATTTGGATAGCTGTCATTTTAAAAAATTGTGCAAAAAGCTAATGCTTTTTTGCCAGAAGACAAAACAAATTTCTGTGGACCTGAAGTAATACAAGGCAATGCCATGTATTAGAAGTATGTGCTTCACGGTAGACATTAATCCGGAGGTTAGGTTAGGAACAGGGTGGTCTGGTTGAAGTGAATAAATTATTTCAAATGTACATATAACATTAACTCACTTCGTAATAAAGTCTTTGTCTTTTCATATAAAAATTAGGTTTTTTTCTCAGTTTAAGCTCAAGGAAATCCCCATACATCTTATCTTCATAGGGCAAATAAAAAAAAGTTCTTAAGACAGACAAGTTCTTATCAAACATGTAGAAAATTAAAAACATACAAAAATGTATAGTCAAGGAGAGTTCAACAAATAGAAACTTAAGAGGACTTCACTGATATTATGATGCTTAGAAAAATACATTATTCCTAAATAAAAAGATAAATGGAAGCAAAAAAGATTAAAGCTAAAATAAAAATTTAAAAATAACAAAAATACTAGTCAACACAAAGTTAAAAACTCATTAATCTTGGTGTATTACCAAAGGCCTCAAAAAGATTTCACATATATTACAAATCAAAACAAAACAAAGAAAAAAATGAAAAGATTTCTCTCTTCAAATTATTCTACATATTTTTTTTTTTTTTTTTTTTTTTTTTTTTTTTTAGACGGAGTCTTGCTCTGTCACCAGGCTGGCCAGGCTGGAGTGCAATGGTGCAATCTCGGCTCACTGCAACCTCCACCTATCGGGTTCCAGCGATTCTCCTGCCTCAGCCTCCTGAGTAGCTGGGACTACAGGCACGCACCACCACGCTCAGCTAATTTTTGTACTTTTAGTAGAGATGGGGTTTCACCGTGTTGGCCAGGACGGTCTTGATCTCTTGACCTCATGATCCACCCACCTTGGCCTCCCAAAGTACTGGGATTACAGGCGTGAGCCACTGCGCCCAGCCTACATAAATCTTCTTATTGCTAAACTGGTAGGAAGAAAAACTCTTTTTAAGCAACCAAATTATATCTATTAATATTTGTACTTCTCAGATGGATCTTGTTGTATAATATGTATGATTAAAATAACTTGTCTGTTAATTATTCATATTTTGGCATCTGTCATTAACTCTTATTTAATTACATTGTCACCCCTGGCTAACTCCTAAATAAAAACAAATGTAAATGTAATATACATCCAATCATTAATTTTAGAGCTCTAAGAGTTAGGAAAACTCAACCTGGAGAATAAACTAAATGAAGAAAACTATTTTCCAGTTTTTTAAATGAGGGGTTATTCAATCTGAGTAGAGCAGGCATCACAAAAATGCAAACAAAATGATCTGTGCCAGGTTCTAATGCCAGAAATACTGTGAATGTTGCACTGGATCTTGTAAAAATAGCCACAGCCTGGTGCTTGCAGGGCTAGGTCGTGGTGTGTTAAACAATAATACCTAGCCCTGATGGACCTTATTTGGGCCAAAAAGCTTTCACCTGCATTATTCTTTTAACCTCACTGCATTGTTATGGGAAATGTGTTTATTTTTTGAAATGACATTCAAATATATCCTTAAAAGAACCCTTTCGGTCTCTCTATAAGCTTCTTCTCTCTTTCAGCCAACACATTCCCTTTTAAAAATCAATAGTAGACTTCTCTTTCTGTATATCATCGCATTTCAAATCTGATGTAGCTAACAGATGTTAATATAATTTTTTTCAAGAATACTCTCCTTCTGAATATCTTTGCCCTCATCTTTATCCTGCCTATTCAGGGCAAAGGTTATCTTTCCTTTTTTTATATAATAATATCAAGATTATGTATTTTGTTCAATTTTAGTTTTAAGTGGTGTCTAAGTGCATAAATTAACGTCTGTGCAAAGAATAGCTTGTATTATTCGCCAGATGGTTGGATTATTTATTGTGCTTTTAAAACAACTGATTTCACGCCCTCCAGTCAGTCCAAATATACAGAAACTGAAGTTTAGAGTGATGTGGCTTTTCTGCAACACTTTCCAGGCTGCTGTTCACATGTCAGCCCCTTGTTTTATTCTTAAATTGTTGTTCAATCTATAAAATCTCTCTTAAAGGTCCCCAAACTGCTTGTAATTTGATCTTTTACTTTTGAGGACACATTGTTCCCAAATTGCCATCTCTAAACATATTCCCCTTTTAGTAGACTTCCAGATTATCTTAACTAATAATTTCCTTACTTTTCACCTTTATTTTGGGATTCTTGAATTAGCTGTTATATCTGTATCCATTATTGCTCCAATTATTTTGTTTTGCCTTTTTCCTGGAAGTAAGTTAAAGCTATTTTTGACAAAGACGTATTTGACTTCTGTAAAGATACTGACTTGAGAATTTTAGAAATGGGTTTATGTCACACACACACCTCTAATTAAATGTGTGACCTTGGATAAAAGCCCCTTAACTTTTCAGATGTTCTCTTTGCTCACCTCTGAAGTTGATTAAAAGTATGAACATCTTGATGTTTAGGCTTTTTAGTCTTAGTTTGGTCAATGAAACTGTCAAAAGTCCATCATATTGTCTTTATTTTTATCATTAGTCAGTTTGTCTAAAATAAATTACAGTTTATGAAGCCAGAGATTTTCTTTTTCTCTGGCATCCAATCACTGTAAACATTTCTCATGGACCTATTTTAAGAAGGCCTATGAGTAACTTGACCTTTTACGACTTCCCATTTTGTTGTCTTAACAACCTGGTTTCCCCATAACTTTCAGAGAAAACTTTTCACCTTTTCCTGCCTCTCCTTTTGACCTCTAGAGAACTTAGCACTTTCAAAAGACATCACACTAATACTATTATTATCACATGCCCTCCAAAAATCCTCAACCTATTTATGCTTATTAAGTTAATATTTTATCAAAAGTTGTCCAATTAAGTATTTTATGCCCAGCTCTTTGTCAGATATTTTACATGCCCTGTAATAAAAAGCTGACAGATTCATTAAGAATTAATTTCCTAGTACATTTTCACTTTGATACTTTCCTCATTAATGAGTCATCAATTGGGTCTTCCCTATAGAAATAGATAAAACTAAGTGAGAAAAGATATGTAAAAGAACTAGCACAGTATCAGGGATATAACAAGCATTCAATGGATGATAGCTATTATTCTTATTATGATCATTATCACCTTAGCTCATGTGTTTTCCGACTTCATTACTGGACTCAACTCTTACCTCTATTTCTTATTAGATCCTCACAGCAACACTTGAGGAAGCTAGATTTTGCCCCTATTTTACTGATTGCAATATGGAAACCTAGAGCATTTAAGTAAATTGATGGAAGTCAAGAGTCAAGAACCCAGCCTGAATTTGTCACAACCACTTGCCCATACTCTACTGTGGCAATACCACCAGTCATGCACCCAGCTTCACCAAGGTCTTATCAGTGCTCCAGTGCTCTTTTCTTTTCTTTCTTCATTTTTTTTTTTTGTTTTTTTGAGATAGAATCTCATACTGCTGCCCTGTAGTGCAGAGGTGCAATCATAGCTCCTGGGCTCAAGTGATCTTCCTGCCTTCGCCTCCAGAGTAGCTGGGAGGTTGGTACCACCACACCTGGTACCCCTCCAAAAAAAATAGCCAAAATAGGTAACCTCAGCCAACCTATTTTTGGGAGGTATCTTTTTCTTGACACTGTCATCCTTGGCCCCCAATTTAAGTTCACTTTTATTTTCCTAGTCTTGGTGAAGAGAGTAGAAGGTGGAAATTGAGGTTAAAGGAGGGAACTCTGATGTTATTCAAATATTGACTTTATCTTAACTTCCAGCCTCTGCCTGTTCCATTTCTGCTCAGTCACACACAGAACATTCACTGTTTCTACCACGTGCTCTGCCCTGCCTTTTTTTTTTTTTTTTTGTCTTTGTGCCATTGCTTTATCTCTATTTGGAATGACACTCTTTCGTCCTTGGTCTCTCACCAATCCCTACTTCATAGTCATCATTAAAACCCAAATTTTCCTTTCACGCCCAATTCAAATGCCAGTTCTACCCTGAAGCTTTCTGGGTCTGCCAAATAAGCACTAACTACTTGTCTCTCTCTGTTTCTGTAATGGCCATCACATGAGAACGACAAGTGATTTTACAGCTGACAATATATATCCTATCAGCCCTTTCGAATTCTTTCTCCATCCAGCTCTGTGCCCTGGATGTCTCGCATGGCCTAACTTGATGGATGTCCTTGCCTTCTAGCTTCTCACTGGGTTCACCAATGGAGAACACCCATGGGAGATGAGAGAAAAGGTGAAAGAAGAGTGAGGTCAGGTGTTTATTCCTTTGGTTTCCTCCCTGCCAAGTTGCTGAGTGATGGATGGCGGCATCCCTCAACTTAAGGCCACAGCCTCTATGGGGAGGCCCCCACTCTCCAGCAGTGCCTTTCTTCTCCTTCCCTGCTAGACCAAGAGTGATAAAAGTGGCCAAGCTTTTGCTGACCCACTAATGCTACACTATCTCTGTTTCCCTACATCCTGCTCAAATTGCCCTTTTCAGAGTACCACAGATTTCCTGCTGAAACCTTGTTTGATGAACTTCTTAATACATTTCTTCTAAGCTGCTAATTTTACAAACCACATTATTACCTTTATGTGAAATGTGTCTTCAGGATGAGTTAATACATTCTGAACGATGATAATGGTAACAGCTAGCATTTATTGAACACGTACTGTGTTTCAGGCACTCTCCTGAATGCACTAATCTAATGTAATTATCCCAATAAGCTAAGCAAGACACAAAAATGGTGAGAAGGTACCAGGAGTAACTTGCTCAAGGTCACTCTAATGGCTGAGTGGAGTTTAAGAGTCAGGTCTGCTCCAAGCTTAAAGCTTAAGCTCTAGATCTAAACTGGTGGTTCTTAAACTTGAGTAGGCATTGAAGTCACCTGGAGCATTTGTTAAAACACAGACACTGGGGCTCAATCCCAGAGTCCCTGACTCTTTCCGTCTAGGGCAAGGCCCAAGAATTTGCAATTCCCCAGTGATGCTGATGTGCTGGTCTGAGTACCACACTTTGAGAACTAGCAGGACAAGCAGTACTGCTTCCCATACACAATAACTAAAGAAGCTGTTCAATAGTATGAGGTACAGAACTTTTAGGGTTCATTTCCAGCTGATTTCCCAGCTGGAATTCAAAAGAACAATGAGATATTATTGTCTATATGTTGGCAATAAAATGTAATTCAATTCAGCCAGTATCCTAGGAGCACCGACTATGTGTTGGAGTAATTTGCTCAGGATAACTGTCAAACAGAAATACACCACACTCAAGAATTCTTTCTGATCATTCAAACACTTAGGCAAACAAATAACCATGATACAATATGATAGCTGTTGTAATAGAGCACACACATACATTCACATGCACACACAATTGTTGGAGCACAGTTGAAGACGAAATAAATTCTCTTTGTGAGGAAGTAATAAATGCAATCTCAAGCAGTCAACAATGGGACTAAGAATTCAAGAAAGAAGAGTTATTTTCCAGGAAAACAAGTGGAGATAGGCATTTTAAGAAGGAAAAAAAAATCTTCAGCCTGCACACAAAGGGAAATGAAGAATAATGTAGCAAGATTCTTGTATCCAGTGTTCACCAGACACAAGAGTGAGTGAATACCCTGCCTCTCTCTAAAGTGGAAAGCAAACCTCACTACCACTTATTGAACATCTCCTAAATGCTAGACGTTGAGCTCAAAATCAGGCCACACTGATGATGCAGGTGCAATGCTTACCCTGCAGGGACTTGCATTTTAGATTATGCACATCAGCTAGGCAGACTGAATTGCAGTTAATATATTGAGTTACAAGTTATATCAAGCAAAATCTATTCATGAAAGTGATCCAGGAGTCAAATGACCTAAGACTTCACCTGAAAATCAAATGTTCATTTTATGAAATGATAGGTAAAAATTATTTTATATGCCAAAACAGGCTTGGCTTAGAAGACACATAATTCTTTCATTCATACTATATGAGCCAGCCCATAAACATGTTACTTTTTACCAGAAGAAACTTTCCCTTCTTTCCTAAGAAGCTAGAAGTAAGGGGCAGGCGTGGGAATACTTTCATCAAAAAAGCAGAATCTCATTGCAACAGCACAGCACAGCTCCAATTCACATCCTTTGGAATGGCTTCCAAACTAAGTAATTTAACAAACTGATGAAGAAAAAATGGCCCATTAATCTTATGCTGCATGTTATAATTTAACTCGGGTTTAGCATAGGAAAATATTTGCATTGATTAGAAATATGCTTTATGGGTGCATTCATTATAGACTCAAAACATTTTAAAATTATTGGCTGGGCTGACATGATGAACTACATAGGAGCACTACTAGATGGCATCTCAATGTCGTCTGCACCTCATGTCATATTGGGTGAGGAATAAATATATATTTTTACTCAATGGGCAATCTTATTCCAAACAGCAAAACATGTTCATTTCCATTCAGTTGTTGTAATCATGAAGCTATCAGCTAAATATTATGTGGATAACTTAGATGCAAGTAAATTCTTGTATTTACAATTCAAATATTCTTATGCCATTTTCCCACTTTGCTTAACCTAATATAATGGCCTGATCAATCTGATTAGGAGGACTTTTTAAAATTAACTTACTCAAATGCTCTGAGATAGATTCTGAAGGACTAAAATTGTGGTCTTTGGTATCCAACAAAAAGGGTTCAGACTTATCTCTTACTAGCTGTGTGATCTTGGCCAAATGACAGTATCTCTGAGCTTCACTTTCCTAATTTGTAAAATGAAAATAATAAGAGAATTTGAGTTGTAAAGTTGAAGAAAAAAATAAGTTTGGTAGTGTTCTTACCATATGGCAGAAAACAGCAGTTATTCTGATGGTCATTATTACAAGTGTGGTTGCTAAGATTATTGAAAACGTATTGTTTGTTCCCTGTTCAAAGAGCTAGAATCTTAAGGCAGCTTTCCATTCTTTTCCTTAATTTCACCCCTCAGATTCTGTCACACACTGGCAAAAACATATTGGCATTTTGGGGGAAGGGATCCACTGAGGCGACACTTTTGGTGTATCAAGTATATAAGGTATAGAAATCTTTGGAGTCTTTCTTTAGACTTCCATTTACTTTCCAGTAGATTGAGTGTTAATAATCGTCCTGTCTCCTGCTGTGGATAGCTGTGACCTGGTTCATCTATTGGCACCTTCTCTGGTTCATAGACAAAGAGCAAGAACCCAGAAAGAGCGGCTTTTCTTTTCTACTCCTATTGCTAAGAACCCTCTTGGATAAAGACAATCTTAAACAGATTATGAAATTGTTACTTGTTATAGGATCAAAGCAATGTCCCAACAAAGAGCACTGGCCTCTGTTTATTACACTTAGACTTCACTTGAGATACCTTTCCATCTCCTAGAGAAAATAGATGTTTCAATACCTTCCAGGCACTGGAATAATACAGCCAGGGCATCTCTACAACTGCATGTTTAATTATAGTGTTCCATCCAGATGAATGCTTTTCCATCAAGGTCAGACTGACTGACCAGTTGAAATGCTTGATTTTATCCTAAAGTCAGAATCGAGTAAAGCTGCTGGAAGCCTACCCAGTTTACATCCTATCTTCCCCACAAAACCTGCTCTGAGGATGCAAGTTGAAATTTTACTTATATGTGTGCACATGTGTGTATGCAATATATATGTGTATATATTTGTATATACATATATACACACATATGTATATATATACACCTATAGAGATGTATGTATATATTACAATTACAATGTATATATTACAATTAATTTGGCTTATTTGCTCCCATTCTAGCATTTTTAGGATAGAAACAATAGATGACATAAATCCCTTTTCTGCCACAATATAATATCACCTAAAGAATCATGTTTCATTAGCTAGAAGTGGGATTTGCTTTCATTATTGCAGTACATTTGATAATATAAAAATATTTCTGATGATTTTTTCTTATGTGAATTTCATAGCATCTTCATCTAAAATTTACTTTGGAGATTCAGACCAAATGTCATATCAATTTCCTAGACTGCTTAATATGTAATTCTGCTACAGATTTTAATCTCAATGTAACAAGGGGGAAAAGCAGAGAGAAATGAACTAGGTGTACTCAGGATCACTATCTGCTATTGAAATTTCCCCAAACCTAAGAGGTTTCATCTGTACATAGAAATATTTTCACCATGGAATGTATAGTGGTTGAACTTTTGAAGAAAAGTTGACTTATTGTCTAAAAGTTTTCCATTTGCCCTCTTCTAGGTTTGCACTCAAGACTGACATTTACCGTAATGGAAGCTGTTCATATGCCCCCAGGAAAGAATGAACAATTTAATAGAAAATGCTAAAGGAGTGATATTAGGTGAGCATCTCATGTCATCCGAAGAAAAACATAGGCAGATTTTCTACTCTTTACCTTATTTCCCACTTTATTTTCAGGATGTGGGGATAAAAATGTAGGGTCTGATGAATTTTTCAACAGCTTATAATTATTAGTGTTATTGTTAGAATACCAGAATATAACTAATAACCAAATGTAAAATGTTTGGTAAGGAAATTGCTTTATTAAAAATATAAATTGTGTGGGTGTTAGTAAATGTTAAAAGGAACTGACAATATAAAAGGCACAAAAATTGATGACTGTATTTCAAATGCTGAGAGGTGTATTTTTGTGTCTTTTTCTCTTTCTCCATCTTATTGAGCACCTATAAAACTAATGGCATATACTTACAAGATGGTGGGCATGTTTTGGATGCTCAGTTTATGTCTGTAGGAAAGAAAACAACACAAAGATAATTGCCTCAATTAGGTCAAATAAACGATGAGTTAGAGGCCGAATTAGGATTCACGTTATGAGTTTCTCAACAGTTACCAATAGAACCAATGACAGATATGAGAGTAACGCAATATATGCCAAGATACTTTAAAGTAATTTACTTTATATTAATATTATCTATTAAGACATCTTAGTTCAACCACACTCAGCTGCTCTACAATAACCCCAGAGCTTCTGAGTTACAATATGCCAGAAATAGGTAAGTGGCTCTGCTCACACAATATAATTCAGGCAGATCCAGTGTCCAGTCATTGTTGTTCTACCACCCAGTTGTGAGCTAGAATAACTTCCTTAATTTTTTTGACCCTCGAGGATATTGAAATAATATAATGCTTACTTCATTAGGTCATAGTGGAGATTAAAAAATGGTTATTAAGATGATATGCCCTTCATCTAGGAAAAAATCAATAAATGTTACTGATGCTATCGTCATCATCATCATCATCATCATTATCATCATCATCAAGGTCATGACAGAAAGAGGACACATTACATGAAATCTCAACTTCATCCCTGGGCCATGCACACCTGTAGCTAATTTTTGTATCTTTCTATTTGAGTTCGGGTTTCGCATCGTTTTGTCCCACACAACAGAAGCTGATCTCCAAAGAGAGGAATGATGTAGCCTCAAGTAACAAAGACATTGAGGGAAGTCTTTCACATCCTGGGATGCCTGTGGCCCAGCACAGAGGGCTGTTGGGTTGCCAACACAGAGTTTACCCCTCAGGTGTCTGTAATTGGGTAAAGAGAGGTGAAGTTTAGCATGTGATATGTAAAACGGGCAGCTACAAATACAATTCTAAAACAAGCAGAATTGGCTCCAATTCTTCCTTCTTTTTCCTCACTCTCAGATGCTCAGGAAGCTTTCCTGCTCTTGTCCCTGACAGGAATATATTATACCTTCCTGGATATGTAGGTGGATATCAAGAAAGTGCTTATTTGCAAGCAACAGGAGCCAGATACAGCTGATTTGAGCAGAAAATGATTTTTGAAAGGTTATTGATTAAGTTTCAGTAACTAGAAGCAGACTAAAGAACCAGAACTTAGGGCACGCTATCAAAATTATAGAATCATGCAAAATTAAGTGTATGTGCAGGCCTGCCTCGCTGACCCAACAGGAGCAGGATACGGGATGCTGACCCAGGCACTGCTGCCTCCTCAATTACTCCTGGAAGGGCTTCTCTGAGGTCCTTGCTTCCTCATATCATTCATTTCTAATTCAAAATATAGGACTTGAGTGTAATTGACCAATCCTAGGTCATCTGACTGTCTTCCAGTTTCAAGGAAGACTGATAAAGAGAAAAAAATTTAGACGAATGTATAACTAGAATAACCAATACAGAGAAGTGCTTAAAGGAGCTGATGGAGCTGAAAGCCAAGGCTCGAGAACTACGTGAAGAATGCAGAAGCCTCAGGAGCCGATGCAACCAACTGGAAGAAAGGGTATCAGTGATGGAAGATGAAATGAATGAAATGAAGCGAGAAGGGAAGTTTACAGAAAAAAGAATAAAAAGAAATGAACAAAGCATCCAAGAAATATGGGACTATGTGAAAAGACCAAATCTATGTCTGATTGGCCTACCTGAAAGTGACGGGGAGAATAGAACCAAGTTGGAAAACACTCTGCAGGATATTATAAAGGAGAACTTCCCCAATCTAGCAAGGCAGGCCAACATTCAGATTCAGGAAATACAGAGAACGCCACAAAGATACTCCTCGAGAAGAGCAACTCCAACACACATAATTGTCAGATTTGCCAAAGTTGAAATGAAGGAAAAAATGTTAAGGGCAGCCAGAGAGAAAGGTCGGGTTACCCACAAAGGGAAGCCCATCAGACTAACAGTGGATCTCTCGGCAGAAACTCTACAAGCCAGAAGAGAGTGGGGGCCAATATTCAACATTCCTAAAGAAAAGAATTTTCAACCCAGATTTTCATATCCAGCCAAACTAAGCCTCATAAGTGAAGGAGAAATAAAATACTTTACAGACAAGCAAATGCTGAGAGATTTTGTTACCACCAGGCCTGCTCTAAAAGAGCTCCTGAAGGAAGCACTAAACGCGGAAAGCAACAACCGGTACCAGCCACTGCAAAATCATGCCAAATTGTAAAGACCATCGAGGCCAGGAAGAAACTGCATCAACTAATGAGCAAAATAACCAGCTAATATCATAATGACAGGATCAAATTCACACATAACAATATTAACTTTAAATGTAAATGGACTAAATGCTCCAATTAAAAGACACAGACTGGCAAATTGGATAAAGAGTCAAGACCCATCAGTGTGCTGTATTCAGGAAACCCATCTCACGTGCAGAGACACATATAGGCTCAAAATAAAAGGATGGAGGAAGATCTACCAAGCAAATGGAAAACAAAAAATGGCAGGGGTTGCAATCCTAGCCTCTGATAAAACAGACTTTAAACCAACAAAGATCAAAAGACACAAAGAAGGCCATTACATAATGGTAAAGGGATCAATTCAATAAGAAGAGCTAACTATCCTAAATATATATACACCCAATACAGGAGCACCCAGGTTCATAAAGCAAGTCCTGAGTGACCTACAAAGACACTTAGACTCCCACACAATAATAATGGGAGACTTTAACACCCCACTGTCAACATTAGACAGATCAACGAGACAGAAATTTAACAAGGATACCCAGGAATTGAACTCAGCTCTACACCAAGCAGACCTAATAGACATCTACAGAACTCTCCACCCCAAATCAACAGAATATACATTTTTTTCAGCACCACACCACACCTATTCCAAAATTGACCACATACTTGGAAGTAAAGCTCTCCTCAGCAAATGTAAAAGATCAGAAATTACAACAAACTGTCTCTCAGACCACAGTGCAATCAAACTAGAACTCAGGATTAAGAAACTCACTCAAAACCGCTCAACTACATGCAAACTGAACAACCTGCTACTAAATGACTACTGGCTACATAACGGAATGAAGACAGAAATAAAGATGATCTTTGAAACCAACGAGAACAAAGACACAACATACCAGAATCTCTGGGACACATTCAAAGCAGTGTGTAGAGAGAAATTTATAGCATTAAATGCCCTCAAGAGAAAGCACGAAAGATCCAAAATTGACACCCTAACATCACAATTACAAGAACTAGAAAAGCAAGAGCAAACACATTCAAAAGCTAGCAGAAGGCAAGGAATAACTAAAATCAGAGCAGAACTGAAGGAAATAGAGACACAAAAAACCCTTCAAAAAATTAATGAATCTAGGAGCTGGTTTTTTGAAAGGATCAACAAAATTGATAGACCGCTACCAAGACTAATAAAGAAAAAAGAGAGAAGAATCAAATAGACGCAATAAAAAATGATAAAGGGGATATCACCACTGATCCCACAGAAATACAAACTACCATCAGAGAATACTACAAACACCTCTACGCAAATAAACTAGAAAATCTAGAAGAAATGGATAAATTCCTCGACACGTACACCCTCCCAAGACTAAACCAGGAAGAAGTTGAATCTCTGAATAAACCAATAACAGGCTCTGAAATTGTGGCAATAATTAATAGCTTACCAACCAAAAAGAGTCCAGGACCAGATGGATTCACAGCCGAATTCTACCAGAAGTACAAGGAGGAACTGGTACCATTCCTTCTGAAACTATTCCAATCAATAGAAAAAGAGGGAATCCTCCCTAACTCATTTGCTGAGGCCAGCATCATTCTGATACCAAAGCCAGGCAGAGACACAACCAAAAAAGAGAATTTTAGACCAATATCCTTGATGAACATTGATGCAAAAATCCTCAATAAAATACTGGCAAACCAAATCCAGCAGCACATCAAAAAGGTTATCCACGATGATTAAGTGGGCTTCATCCCTGGGATGCAAGGCTGGTTCAATATATGCAAATCAATAAATGTAATCCAGCATATAAACAGAACCAAAGACAAAAACCACATGATTATCTCAATAGATGCAGAAAAGGCCTTTGACAAAATTCAACAACGCTTCATGCTAAAAACTCTCAATAAATTAGGTATTGATGGGATGTATCTCAAAATAATAAGAGCTATCTATGACAAACCCACAGCCAATATCATACTGAATGGACGAAAACTGGAAGCATTCCCTTTGAAAACTGGCACAAGAAAGGGATGCCCTCTCTCATCACTCCTATTCAATATAGTGTTGGAAGTTCTGGCCAGGTCAATCAGGCAGGAGAAGGAAATAAAGGGCATTCAATTAGGAAAAGAGGAAGTCAAATTGTCCCTGTTTGCAGGTGACATGATTGTATATCTAGAAAACCCCATTGTCTCAGCCCAAAATCTCCTTAAGCTGACAAGCAACTTCAGCAAAGTCTCAGGATACAAAATCAATGTACAAAAATCACAAGCATTCTTATACACAAATAACAGACAAACAGAGAGCCAAATCATGAGTGAACTCCCATTCACAATTGCTTCAAAGAGAATAAAATACCTAGGAATCCAACTTACAAGGGATGTGAAGGACCTCTTCAAGGAGAACTACAAACCACTGCTCAATGAAATAAAGAGGATACAAACAAATAGAAGAACATTCCATGCTCATGGGTAGGAAGAATCAATATCATGAAAATGGCCGTACTGCCCAAGGTAATTTATAGATTCAATGCCATCCCCATCAAGCTACCAATGATTTTCTTCACAGAATTGGAAAAAACTACTTTAAAGTTCATATGGAACCAAAAAACAGCCCGCATCGCCAAGTCAATCCTAAGCCAAAAGAACAAAGCTGGAGGCATCATGCTACCTGACTTCAAACTATACTACAAGGCTACAGTAACCAAAACAGCATGGTACTGGTACCAAAACAGAGATATAGATCAATGGAACAGAACAGAGCCCTCAGAAATAACGCTGCATATCTATAGCTATCTGATCTTTGACAAACCTGAGAAAAACAAGCAATGGGGAAAGGATTCCCTATTTAATAAATGGTGCTGGGAAAACTGGCCAGCCATATGTAGAAAGCTGAAACTGGATCCCTTCCTTACACCTTATACAAAAATTAATTCAAGATGGATTAAAGACTTAAACGTTAGACATAAAACCATAAAAACCCTAGAAGAAAACCTAAGCATTACCATTCAGGTCATAGGCATGGGCAAGGACTTCATGTCTAAAACACCAAAAGCAATGGCAACAAAAGACAAAATTGACAAATGGGATCTAATTAAACTAAAGAGCTTCTGCACAGCAAAAGAAACTACCATCAGAGTGAACAGGCAACCTACAAAATGGGAGAAAATTTTCGCAACCTACTCATCTGACAAAGGGCTAATATCCAGAATCTACAATGAACTCCAACAAATTTACAAGAAAAAAACAAACAACCCCATCCAAAAGTGGGCAAGGGACATGAACAGACACTTCTCAACAGAAGACATTTATGCAGCCAAAAAACACATGAAAAAATGCTCACCATCACTGGCCATAAGAGAAATGCAAACCAAAACCACAATGAGATACTATCTCACACCAGTTAGAATGGCAATCATTAAAAAGTCAGGAAACAACAGGTGCTGGAGAGGATGTGGAGAAATAGGAATGCTTTTACATTGTTGGCGCAAGTATAAATTAGTTCAACCATTGTGGAAGACAGTGTGGCCATTCCTCAAGGATCTAGAACTAGAAATACCATTTGACCCAGCCATCCCAGTACGGGGTATATACCCAAAGGACTATAAATCCTGCTGCTATAAAAACACATGCACACGTATGTTTATTGCAGCACTCTTCACAATAGCAAAGACTTGGAACCAACCCAAATGTCCAGCAATGATAGACTGGATTAAGAAAATGTGGCATATATACACCATGGAATACTATGCAGCCATAAAAAATGATGAGTTCATGTCCTTTGTAGGGACATGGATGAAATTGGAAATCATCATTCTCAGTAAACTATCGCAAGAACAAAAAACCAAGCACTGCATATTCTCACTCATAGGTGGGAATTGAACAATGAGAACACATGGACACAGGAAGGGGAACATCACACTCTGTGGACTGTTGTGGGGTGGGGGAAGGGGGGAGGGATAGCATTAGGAGATATACCTAATGCTAAATGACAAGTTAATGGGTGCAGCACACCAGCATGGCACATGTATACATATGTGACTAACCTGCACATTGTGCACATGTACCCTAAAACTTAAAGCATAATAATAATAAAATAAAATAAAAAGACTTTAAACTTTACTTCTAAAAAAAAAAATAAAGAGAGTCAACTTTCCTTCACATTGTTTACATGTAAATGTGTCTGGTATTTTCAGTTTAAACAGTGGGAGAAAGGCACTGTCCCTCAACAAGACTCATAAAGTGAAAAGGTCCCCAAATATATAAAGGAATTTCAAATCAGATGTATGGAAGTTAAAAACAACAACAAATTCAGAGGTAGAATGATAGACATTTTGTAGTTAAAAATTATGTTTGGAGTAATTCTGACCTGAGTTCACGGGTTAAGCAAAGTACTCAATCTTGCTGATCCTCAATGTCCTCTGAAAAAAAAACTTGGAAGATAATATCTATATAAAATAGTGTAGTATAGATTAAATGAATTATATATACAAAGTGCTTAGGACATCCTAAGCATTTTATTAAACTGTTTATTATTATTATTATTATTATTATTGTTACTGACCAGTTAAATTACTGCAAGAATTAACAGAGTAATGATATATGTAACACAGTGCTAAACATCACATTTACCATCTCGCCTAAGCAGGTGTTCATTCAACAAATATTCTATATATCAGACAATAATTCATTAGTATTTTTTTACAGAAAAAAAATCATGAGGAATATGAAGCATAAACAATGGACCAGAAGTCACTCAATTAAGACATAATGGAAGTGAGATTCCAACCCAGAATTATTGAGCTTGAGAAACTATACTGTTTTCTTTTACTATTATTATACTTTAAGTTCTAAGGTACATGTGCACAATATGCAAGTTTGTTACATAGGTATACATGTGCCATGTTAGTTTGCTACACCCATCAACTCATCATTTACATTAGGTATTTCTCCTAACGCTATCCCTACCCCAGCCCCTCACTCCCAAACAGGCCCCGGTGTGTGGGTGTGTGATGCTCCCCTCCCTGTGTCCATGTGTTATCATTGTTCAGCTCCCACTTATGGTGACAACATGCGGGACTACACTCTTAACCATAACAATGTAGTACCCTTCAGATCGAATGTACAACATGGTGACTATAGTTAATAATACAGCACTGGTTACTTGAAATTTGCCAAGAGAGAAAATCTTAGTGTCCTCACCATACACACACACACACCCACACACACACACAATGGTAACTATGTGTGGCAATAGATGTGCTAATTATTTAGATTGTGGTAAACATTCCACAATGTATACATATATCAAATCATCTTGTGGTACATGTTGAATATATACAAATTTTAACTGTCAATTATATGTCAGTAAAGCTGAAAAGAAACTCAAACTAACTTGAAAACAAAATATAGCATCCATCAATATGTTAATAATTATAAAATACTTAATAGACTGGAGACCTTCAATAAGTGATATTTCTTGTAACTATTATTAGTTATTAATTGTGTGGCACTGTTTACTTGTAATGACAAGGATGTAAGATGAGGTTGCTGCTACAAAACTTCAGAGCCCCTGCGGGCATTTGTGGGGTAAACACAGAAGGAAATGAGGTCTCTCAATTTCCAACACAGAAACTCTTTAAGTTGGTTGGTCTTCATAATACCTCCCTTATAATAAGAAAATAATGCTTTTCCTACATTTGCACCGGACATGGGAATAAATCCATATTTCTGGGTGTGTGGTAGGAGGCAGGACTAGGCTTTGGGGGTCGGGCTTGGATACCTGACCAAATGATGGACTAGCTCAAACAGGTCAGGGTGGAAACACCTCCGCATAAGACACTCCCACCAATGTGCCATCTTGGTTTATCATTGCCATGGCAATACCCATAAATTACTGCCCTTTTTCACGGCAACAACCTGGACAACCCGGAAGTTACAACCTTCATCCTAGAAATTTCTGCATAAGTTGCCCCTTAATTTGCATATAATTAAAAGTGGGTCTAAGTATGACTGCAGAACTCCCTCTAAGCTACCTAAGCTGGGCACGCTGCCTAGGGGGTAGCCCTGCTCTGCAAGAAGCAGTACCTCTGCGGCTGCTGTAGGCTACTGCTTCAATAAAAGTCGTTGTTTAACACCACTGGCTTGCCTTTGAAATTGTTTCGTGGGTGAAGCTAAGAACCCTCTCGGGCTAAGCCTCAATTTGGGGGTCTGCCTGTCGTGCATCAGGTGTGTATAGAACCTTCACTTAAATTCTCATCTGCTCAGACTTATTATACTAAGAATGCTTTATTTCATTAATGCAAATTTTCCAGGGATAGAAATAATGTATATATGTGGAGTATTGGAAGAGTTCAAGAACATCACCACTCATCATTCTGCAGTCCTTAAAGGCATGTGTTATTTCTACCTCACATGAAGAAAACTGTGTCTGGCCGGGCGCGGTGGCTCACGCCTGTAATCCCAGCACTTTGGGAGGCCGAGGTGGGTGGATCACGAGGTCAGGAGTTTGAGACCAGCCTGGATAACATGGTGAAACCCTGTCTCTACTTAAAATACAAAAATCAGCCAGGTGTGGTGGTGGGCGTCTGTAATCCCAGCTACTTAGGAGGCTGAGGCAGGAGAATTGCTTGAACCCCAAAGGCGAGTGTTGCAGTGAGCTGAGATCATGATACTGCGCTCCAGCCTGGGTGACAGAGCAAGACTCTGTCTCAGAAAAAAAAATAAAGAGGAAAAGAAAATTGTGTCCAAGACAGTGTAGTGACTTGCCCAAGACTACACAGCTAGGTTACAAGAGAAAATAAAGGCATATTTAAATGGTCAAAATGGTGATGTTTTTTATAACTAAAAGATTGTGTCTAATCAAATTAAAATATTTAAAACTGTCCTAATATATTGTGAGGAATTCTTTATACTAACCTGAATGCACTAGTGTGTACAATATTTTAGAAATGATAAATAGGCTCTTTAACTTGCTGATCATACAAACCTACTTAATACTCCCAATGACAAGAAATTAACTACCTGATGAGGCAGCTTCTTCCATTTTTGGACAGTTCCAGGGGTCAAACATGATAACATCTCACTGCCTGCAATGTCATCTAGTTCTACCTGGAGAAATAAAACAGAACAGGTAGCTACTGTACTTGACAAATTGATATAATTTCATTTTTTCTAAATGTGAGTGCCAGATTCATTCATTGTACTGAATAGATCTGTCAAATGGCTCTGCCTATTTACCAATGGATGGCACACTGCAAAAACATGTTGGAATTTTAGAGGACTAAATGTCATCTCACTGATACTGTCATCAATATAACTTATATTGGCATTTTTGTCTCACACTGACTTTAATGGCTATAGGGGGAGTTCCATGTCTCCAGACCTTGTGCTGATGATCTCTGCCCTGCACAGTACGTTGCTGCTCATTTCCAGAAGAGACCAAGATAACTTCTCAGACTTCTCAAATCTACTTGCCCTACTTGACAACACATGTTGGCTGGGCTGACTGGATCAAGATTCTATAAGCAGGATCCTCACGGTTTCAAGTCCTTGCTGTTTTGGATGAGACAGAGGCTATTTCCTGCTCCCATAACCACTCACTTCTTGCTGTGAAGCTTTCCTAGGCTGTTCTTGCTAATACTAACAAAATTAATTATGCTTATCTGATGACAAGTATACAACCTAAAATGCCATCTTTATAAATAAGGCAATATTCAATGGAGTGTGATTTATGGCCTTTCATTTTTCCTATACACCCTATGTGCCATATAAAATCTGGCTTTACAGTTTCATAGAGGCTATAATCCCTTTCAGAGGGAATAAATCATTTCCAAACATAATATAAAATAAGGAGTTATATTCACATACTGGCAAAGGAAATAAATTGATTATAAAATGTAAGAGAGTGACTGATGATTTCTCCCTGTGTCTGAACTATTAAAGTGTTTTTGAATAGACTAGACAATATTAAAGAATTTCTATAAACATGAGATTATAATTTATAAATTAAAAAAGAAAAATTACATTGAAAACTATAACAAAATAATAAACATTATAATATATAAAAAGTTATTGTAAATCAATGTGAATAAATGCATAAAGGTCATAAAGTCACAAAAGAAGAAATACAAACAGTCAATAAATACATTAAAATAAGTTTAATCTCACAATTATTAACCAAAGAAATATAGTTAGAATCATGTAGGTCTCATGTTTTACTCAACAGAGTGGCACAAATGAAATAAATGGCTAATGCTGGTACTGTAGAGAGTGTGAGAATCTACACACGATGTTAAATTGCTGATAGAAAGGTAAGGTAGTGCAACTCTTCCATAGGCTCATACGTCAATATGTACTCAAATTGAAAAGTGGCCCTTCAATTTCTAAAAAGTCATTCTAAGGAAATGAATAAATGCAGGAAGACATATGCACAAAGATGTTTTTCTCATTTTTCTGTAGTACCAAAGAAAAGAGAGAGGTAAACCTAAATTTTGAGTGGCAGGAAACTGGCTACGTAAATAATGAAATGCTGCTGAGCTATTTAAGTTTGTGATATAGCCTTATTAAATGACATGGAATCATGCTCATTATATACTAATAAGCAAAAAAGATACAAAACATTTTTATAGTTTGGTCTAATAATTAAAAGTATTATATATTTGCTTGCATTGTGCCTGTGTGTACCCCCACAAACAAAAATATCTCAAGAATGTTATGAAGATCATTTATTGGAAATGGGATAATGGGATTTTAAGTTATTTATACTTTTTATTTTTTTTTTGGGAAACAAGGTCTTGCTGTGTTGTCCAGGCCGGGGGGCAGTGGTGCAACTATAGCCCATGGCAGCCTGGAACTCCTGGGCTCAAGCAAACATGCAGCCTTAGGCTCTGGAGTAGCTGGGACTAAAAGCTAATGCTACCATGCCTGGCTTATACTTTTTCTTTATGCCTTTTTAATTTTTGTAGTTTCCACAATGAGTTTATGCTACTTTTATAATTAAAAGTATTTTAATTTTCAACAAGAAGCTTTAGATTTCCCGAATTTTCCAATTACCCTGCAACATGGCTCAGAGTATTTGTACAAAAGAAAATCAGCCTTTTTTTCTGCATTAATTTTCCACAAATTCATCATTTGGAATTGGTAAAAGTTGTACAGAGTAAAACTGTTAGGGTCTAGGTATGCTATACCTTTCAAAGAATTGGAGATCTTGGAATAATTTCTTTCAGTTTTTACCACACTGATACTAAGGTGGATGAGAGGTAGAGGATGAAGGAAAACAGTAATCAACTGCAACCAGGAAAGATAACAGTGAACCACAGTTGGATTTATCTATATTTTTAAGGTGGACTTCCACAAGTTTCAGCTCATACTAATACACACACACACACACACACACACACACACACAATTCAATTGCCTTAGACTAATCGATCATTGTGGCAGAAATGAACACCTATTGACTAAACATTTTTAGCCCCTCCAGATTGTAGCAGTGTTGAGATAAGGCTTAGGATAGTATTCCCCATGTCTATGCATCTGAGTGTGGCCACATTACTGCTTACTGGCCCACAGAACGCTACCAGAAATTTTATAAGAATGTATATTTGATTTGCATTTCTCTAATGATCAGTGATGTTGAGTTTTTTTTCATGCTTGTTTGCTGCATGAATGTCTTCTTTTGAGAAGTATCTGTTCATGTCCTTTGCCCATTTTTAATGAGGTTTTTTTTTTCTTTAAAATTTGTTTGAGTTCCTTGTAGATTGTGGGTATTAGACCAAATGCCCATCAACAATAGACTGGATAAAGAAAATGTGGTACATATAAACCATGGAATATTATGCAGCCATAAAATGAATGATATAATGTCCTTTGCAGGGACGTGGATAAAGCTGGAAGACATTATCCTCAGCAAACTAATGCAGAAACAGAAAACCAAACACCGCATGTTCTCACTTATAAATGGGAGCTGAACAATGAGAACACATGGACACAGGGAGGGGAACAACACACACTGGAGACTGTTGGGGGGTGGAGTGAGGGAAGGGAGAGCATTAGGAAACATAGAAAATGCATGCTGGGCTTAATACCTATGTAATGGGTTGATAGTGCAGCAAACCACCATGGCACACATTTACCCATGTAACAAACCTGCACATCCTGCACATGTACCCCAGAACTAAAAATAAAAATTAAAAGAAAAAAAGAATGTGTATTTGAGGAATAATGAGTTTATAATTGAGCTTGCAATTTCCTGTCTCCTTTCCTTTTTGAGACAATGTACAGGCATATAATTGAAACGGTAGGCTCTTGAATCACTGAGCAGAAAACTGATTGCTAAGCCAGTGAAGTCCAAACTGAACTACAGAGTAACTGAGAGATAAACTTATAATAAATTATAATAACATACTGATTATAATAAACTTTTAATAAATTATTAGAAGCATTACACACATTGCTTACCTTTCAAGTTAATTAACATCGCTACCTTTTTTTGCAAAGGGAAGTTCTCCAAGCTTCTGGAGAAACCATAGCCATCTCCTTTTTCAGTTTGAGAGATGAGTCCAAATACGAGACGAGAAGGAATAAAGACACTGAGAAATGCTTTTGACAAAGACGAGTGAGAGATGGAATGCTGAAGGATTCTTAGTAATAAAGAATTCAGACAGGAGAAGTGGATGGGGTGATATCAAACAGATTTGCTCAAAGGCATTTTGGAAAGGAAAATTTGTGAAAATTTGGTGAGAGGGAAAAAAAATCAGATATAA
Source organism: Homo sapiens (assembly GCF_000001405.40). Classification (NCBI taxonomy): domain Eukaryota; kingdom Metazoa; phylum Chordata; class Mammalia; order Primates; family Hominidae; genus Homo; species Homo sapiens. The sequence continues at coordinate 6,880,563 of NC_000003.12, read as the reverse complement.
AGGGGCTTTTGGTCCCTAAATGAATTTTTCTTCCAAAAGATTCATATTGTTTATATGTGAACCATAAGAATTCTCTGTCCACTTCTTCCAGAAGTTTCTAAAGCCCGCCAGGACATCTGCAGAGAAAGAGAATGTCATTCCAGGATAATCAACTGCAAGTTACTAAATTAAGATCAAAATATCCTCAACCTTGAACATTTTTCAAAGAGTTTTTAGAAGAAAGAGGCTCTCTAGGGGGTTGTATAATTATGTAATTGCACCCTTTGTAGGAGGCTATTTACAGATAAGTAATTTTTCCCCACTATTCAAGGTAAAATGCATAAAATAAAGTAGAATTTGGGGTTCTTTGTCGGGGAGACTGGGAATGAAGTCTGTGCAGACTCTGTGAGCCATCTGATTAATTACCCATTCTCCCCTCATTCCCTGCTATCAAAACCCTGATTGCCAAATCCCTAATATCCTCAAAACTAAGGTGGCCAGTTTAAAGCCCTAGCTAACGAGATCTAAGTGAGAGTCTGATGATGAGTTTTGGTAAATACTTTCTTTGCTCCACATCCCCTTTTAAATGTTCTTTCTTCTGGGTTAAACATTGGGAATGCAGCTGCAGATTCAGTAGCCGTCTTGCAACTCTCTTGTAACACAGTGACACACCAGAGGTGAGGGGACAGGAAGATAAGAGAACCTAGTCCCTCATGGATACCACTTAGTGGCTGAATTAACATAAAAACAATCTCCAAACTGTTACATGAGGAAAGTTAGGTAAGTAACTCTTATTCAGGTTCTATTATTGCAGGTAAACTCATTATAAATCGATACTGAATTCTAACCTCAGGTTCCCAGAATTCTTCCTAGCATCCCATAGTTATCCTCCTATTCTAGACTATTAATCATCAGATTTGCTTGAGGTAACTGTGTGGTGAGGTCTGGCTCTTTTAGAAGTCCTGATACTATTCACAACATCTTTTAAAAAATGGTAATATTTTTATGTCCACTCATCTTTCTAAAAATTACACTCAGAGGTCAGTTCCTCCAGAAAGCCTGGGCTGACAACATTTTACCCCTGTATATAAGCAGAATGATTAAGCAAAATAAGTAAAACAGAACAGGTAAGGGTGTAGTGTGTTATATCTTTCAAAATAAGAGAATAAATTTCAAATGTATCGCCACAAAACAACGTCAAGTAAGTGTGATTCCCTTGATCTAATCACTCCACTATGTTCATATATCAAAAACATCACACTGTATTCTATAAATGTAATACAATTATAATTTGTCAATTGAAAATAATATAAGTATAAAAGTGTGTGGGCTCTGGAATCAGACTTTCTAGATTTGAATTTTTAATCTACTACTTACTGGTTGTATGACTTGGGTAAATTAATTTATCTGTAAATTGGGGACATTAAGTAGGACTTACGTATCTTATTGAAAATATTAAATGAGGTAGTTCAATTAAAGTTCTTATAATCTTGCTTGGTTCAATAAAAATCTAGCTAGTTTTTAGACTACCTTTGGCCAATTTAGGGTAGAGGCCCTTTGCACTCCTATGGGTCTCTGTAAACTCATCTTTCATGAAACACACATCCTATACTGAAGGTATTTTCTGTAAGCAATGGGTTTTTAAAGTGTGGTCATTGGACCAGTGATAGCAGCACCTGGGAACTGGTTAGAAATGCAAATCTAGTAATCCAGAAACTCTGAGGGTGGAGCCCAACAATGTGTGTTTTAACAAACTTTCAGGCAGATCTGATGCAGACTTAAGTTTGAGGGCAATTGAAAACACCAATCTCAGAATCTCCTGAGAGCATTCAAGAAAAATATAGTTTCTAGAGCCTTACACCTGGAGAAGGGGCCCTGGAACTTGCCTGCTTGGCATGCTTGCCATGTGATTCTTCAGCACATTGATGTTTGAGAGCCTTTGCTATTTTATTAGTGCGTGATGTATTGGTCCATTTCTCAAGTGGAATTTTCTTCCATGTCTGAGAGGATGTGTTGTTGTTTTTGTATTATTATTATTATTTTATGTTAATCTCTTAAATATCTAGTGCATGCTGCAGTCCCAGACACAAAGCATTTGCTCATTAAACTAGATGTCCCTAAAATCTTAGTAGAGTTTCAAGATCAGTTTCTTCAGAAGAAAAAATACTACACACACACACACACACACACACACACACACACACACGCAAACACATAAAAAATCACCCTTTGAAAGTCTAATCATTTGAATTTCTTGGTCACTTATTTAGTTTTGATAATTTTGAATAATACATATTTAGTTACAACTTTTTGGTCTTTAAGTCAATGTTTGCCATCTTCAATCAGAAGGACAGCAACAAACAAAGTACAATTAAATATTGATTTTTCAAAATCCACAAATGTAAATACAAAGAGAAATTTAAATAATTAAACTTTCAAATGATTTTTGGGGGGCATGTTTGTAATTTCACACTTCTGAAGCTATTAAAGATTAAAACTGGACTAAGACATTTGGGACATGCTGTATTGGTCTTAAATGAATGGAATTTTGCTGTGGAAGGTGGAAGAAATATTTTCTTCAGCAAATATATCTGTAGATAGAGTTGTAACCACAGATCTGTAAAAAAAAAAAAAAGTAAGTTATTGAGTTAAATCTGATCAGCTACTTTCCTGCTTATGTGTATACAGAGCTACTAACAATTTCATTTGTAATTTACTAGCAGAAGTCATATGTGTGTGTGTGTGTGTGTGTGTGTGTGTGTGTGTGTGTGTGTGATATCTGTGTAGGTATATGTGTATATATATCCTCAATTTAAAATTTTTCATGTCCATCTATATGAAAATTTTTTAATTGAGGAAATTATATCCAGTGGCCTATTTTCTTCCCGATGAATTATAAACGAACACCATTTTCTACTCATACAAGCGGAATGTCAATCTACCTCATGGGCCTATCAAAGAGCGAATTTGAAAAACCACTGGTTTAGCCAGTGATATGGTTACTAGGTGATGCTAGGCCCCATTGCCACTGTTAAAAGCTTATCCATAAGCGAGATGAGAAGGCCCTTGCTTGGCATGTAAAAGCAGGAGTAGCAGGGGATGGCAGGTAGCTGCAGGTTGATGACACATGATGTGTCTACATATCTATATAGAACCATGAAGTCCATGAACATACCCACTTTTCATAACAAATCCAAAGCTATTTTATCATCAATCCCAGTCAACAATAGTAAGATCCAAGTGTGCTGCTGTATCCTGGCGTCAAGGTGCCTATGAATTAATGTGAGTTTGTCTTGGTTTTGACACTGTGGAATCAGCTAGGCTCCCTGCATCAAACCCCTCCGTATAGCAGGCAAACCAGTACCAGACTTCTCTGCCTGCTGTGGGAAGTTTAAAAAAGAGAAGCTCACTAACATGATGCAAGTGCTGAGAAATGCCTTTGCACATAGTAGATACTCAATATATTTTGAATGAATGGATTTATTTATTAATGTCATAAAACAGCCCTCCATCCATATTAAGGAAAATTCCATTCAATTGGCTGAAATTCCTCCACACACTCCTCACCTCCTGTAAGCTTGCAATCAGACAAAGACTTCATTACAAAAAGAGCTGAGGAAATTATAGAAGCTACTTAAAATTGTGTCACCTTCGTAGGGTTACACAACTTCAATTTAGTGGTAGGCCGGGGTTGGTGGCTCATGCCTGTAATCTCAGCACTTTGGAAGGCTGAAGCAGGTGGATCATCTGAGGTCAGGAGTTTGAGACCAGCCTGGCCAATATAGTGAAACCCCGTCTCTATTAAAAATACAAAAATTAGCTGGGCGTGGTGACGGGTGCCTATAATCCCAGCTTCTCCAGTGGCTGAGGCAAGAGAATCGTCTGAACCCAGGAGGCGGAGGTTGCAGTGAGCCGAGATGGTGCCACTGCATTCCAGCCTGGGCGATACAGCGAGACACCTTCTCAAAAAAAAAAAAAAAAAAAATTAGTGGTAAAAACCTCTGACTTATCAGTCACATTGACCTGAGTTCAAGCTCTACCATCATCATATTTTAACATGAGTATATAGGCACTTCAAAGCTCTGCTCCATGTGTGCACTATGGGGGTCATAATAACATACATTCTCACTGTATGACTCTCAAAAAACTTGGATGAAACAATCCATTTGCCACAGCCAGCAAAGTTTCTTACACCCAGCAAGCACTCAAGGCATTAGCTAATATTAACTGGGGAGAAGCAAACAAACAGGAAAGCCCAAGGCCCTGACTCCTACCCAGTGGCCCTTGATTCATGCCATAATAATTTTTTTTTTTTTTGAGATGGAGCCTCGCTCTGTCACCCAGATTGGAGTGCAGTGGTGCGATCTCGGCTCATTGCTACCGCTGCCTCCCGGGTTCAAGCGATTCTTGTGCCTCAGCCTCCCGAGTAACTGGGATCGCAGGTACCCGCCGCCATGCCCGGATAATTTTTATATTTTTGGTAGAGATGGGGTTTCACCATGTTGGCCAGGCTGGTTTTGAACTCCTGACCTCAGGTGATCCACCTGCCTTGGCTTCCCAAAGTGCTATGGTTACACGCGTGAGCCACTACGCCCGGCCATGCCATAACTTTCTTCCATTCAACCTACCAGCTTCCCATCAAGACTGAGTAGAGAAAGATGAACAAATTGAGATTAAACCCTTTTAAGATAGTCTGTAAGTAAGAATGAATAAAATTATAAAAATATAACAATTAATGAGTTCTGCAAAAATATGAGAGAACTCCAGTTCTTTATGTTACTTTTCTAGAAAACCAATTTATGGTTCTAAGATGCACCTCCCCACCCTACTTCACCCCTGGCATGATCAAATAATATTTTTGTAAATGGATAAGTCAACGACATAATCAATAAGCTAAGTTATAAGCAGGTAAAAATGTGTAGGCTTGATAAAGAAAACTCAGGTGATTGGTCTGTTCTCACACTGCTAATAAAGACATACCCAAGACTGGGTAATTTATAAAGAAAAGAGGTTTAATTGACTCACAGTTCCACACGGCTGGGGAGGCCTCACAATCATGGCAGAAGGCGAATGAAGAGCAAAGCTACACCTTACATGACAGCAGGCAAGAGAGCTTGTGCAGGGGAACTCTCGTTTATAAAACCATCAGATCTCGTGAGACTTATTCTCTACCAAGAGAACAGTATGGGGGAAACCACCCCCATGATTCAATTTACCTCTACCTGGCCCCGCCCTCAGCACATGGGGATTATTACAATTCAAGGTGAGAGTTGGATGTTGCGGACACAGCCAAACCATATCATCAGGCTTATCAACACATGTTAAAATAAGGTAATATGAAATAATCTAAAAAAAAAAAAAGTGCAGAACCAAGACCTCTGTGATAATCCTATTTAAAAAAATAGCTACAATTTTAGTTAGAATGTTTCCCTTATGAGAAAGCATTTTCTGCATAACTTTTAATGTACTGTTGATAAGCACAATTCAACAAAACTGAAATAAATATTTGCAGAAGTCCTGCCAGATGAAAAGCATAGAGTTAGATGCTATAGAGGATAATTCTACCTCAGGATGAGTAAGACCCCACACTTGACCTCAAATAAATTAACTTTAAATAGAGTGGATGAGTCATGTGTAGAATGTAAGAATACTAAGAGGTCAAGGTAACTAACAGAAAGGAACATGTGGGGATTCTTAAGAAGGAAATAAAATATTAGTTGATTCAGGAAAGGCTGAAAGGAGTAAGTTTTCCTTGAATGGTCTTTGAAGAGGTCCCCTTCACTACCTCCTAGTACTGAGGCTAGGGTGTCATAGGGAATAGAAAGATATGGAAATCAAGAAGCTTCTCTACTCTCACAGGAGTGGCTGAAAGAAAAATTTCTTACCAGGATATAGTATAATAACATTCAAGGGTTCATGAAGTCAGAGAGACAGGGGCTTGAATATCCTAGCTCCGTCTCTCTCACTAATGGTCAAGTTGCTTATCCTTTCAACACCTCAGTGTCTTTATCAGTAAAATGATAAGAATTTTTCCTACCCGAGTGGGAGAAGAAAATGATGTAATCCATATATAGGGATAAGCTTGGTATCTGGCACACAGAAAGTACTGAATATGACCAGTTGATCAGTAAGGATGGCAATGATGATGGTGGTAGTGGTGGTATTGATGTGGCCTGCCCGGAGCTGGCTCTGACTGGGGGTACAGTTTAAAGACTTCTGGGCTCCTGAGGCTTTTCATATAAACGACACTTGATAAATGTAAACTGGTTGTCCCAAAGATCATGTGCAATTTAAGAAAAGGAAGGATCTCGGAGTTGTTCAGCTACTTACTGATAATGAGTTATTATAAGCAGTTATGGCAACTAACCTTTATTGAGCACTTGCTATATGCCAAACAATGTGCCTAGTGCTTTAGAAGGATCTAGTCATTCATTCTTCACAACAACAGTATGCAGTACATCCTAATATTATTATTTCTTTCTTTCAGAGGTAGACACAGGCTTAGAGAGGTTACAATAAACACCTAAGTTCCCCGTCAGTATGTGCTGGAAAGGAGTTAAAATTCAGTCTGCCTGGCTTGGTCTCAATTACTAAACTATATAATTAAGCATTTTGCCCATTGCCTGATTATCCTTCTGATGTATGAATATTTCACTCAATCCCCTAGGTGAAGAAGAGATGAAACAATCTCTCTTTCACCCTGCTTTGCCTTAACATCCAACTTCCCTTCTTCAACCAGGGATTGTTTCAATGGGCAACAATAAATGCCAGGAACTGGCCCAGCCTCAGAGATGACTAGGGGTCAGATACCACCATAGGCAAAAGCTCTGTGACAACCCTGCCCTTATACAGGGTGCATGACAGGAACTGGAGTTAGGGGATAATGGAATAAGGCTAGGAAAGACAGTACCTGGCATGCTGAAAATACTGACGCTAATACTATTAATAATAAATAATAGACCTCACTGTGTGGTAGGCATTGTATTAAGTGCTTGCCATGAAGAACCTCATTTAACACTGAAAACAGGCCTATGCAGACGGATCTATTGTTAACATTATTTCACCATTGGGGATAGTGAGACCCTGATAATCAGGTAAATTGCTGAAGCTCACATGGTTAGCAAGTGGAAAGCAGGAATCTGAACTATGTTCAGCACCTGTACTCTTAACCACTATGCTATACTGTATATATATTTATATACAAAAATTACTGGCTGGCCAAGGTGGCTCACGCCCGTAATCCCAACACTTTGGGAGGCCAAGACCAAAGGATCACCTGAGGTCAGGAGTTCGGGACCAGCCTGGCCAGTATGGTGAAACCCTGTCTCCACTAAAAATACAAAAAATTAGCCAGGCCTGGTGGTGGGTGCCTGTAATCCCAGCTACTCAGGAGACTGAGGCGGGAGAATCGCTTGAACCTGGGAGGTGGAAGTTGCAGTGAGCCGAGATCGCGCCACTGCACTCCAGGGCGTGACAGAGCAAGACTCCGTCATCCCAAAAAAATGTTGGTGGGAGTGAAAATTAGTTCAACCATTGTGGAAGACAGTGTGGTGATTCCTCAGGGATCTAGAACCAGAAATACCATTTGACCCAGCAATCCCATTACTGGGTATATACCCAGAGGATTATAAATCATTCTACTGTAAAGACATATGCACACATATGTTTATTGCAGCACTGCTCAGAATAGCAAAGACTTGGAACAACCCAAATGCCCATCAATGATAGCCTGGATAAAGAAAATGTGGCACATATACACTATGGAATACTATGCAGCCATAAAAATGGATGCGTTCATGTCCTTTGTAGGGACATGGATGAAGCTGGAAACCATCATTCTCAGCAAACTAACACAGGAACAGGAAACCAAACACCACATGTTCTCACTCATAAGTGGGAGTTGAACAACAAGAACATATGGACACAGGGAGGGGAACATCACACACCGGGGCCTGTCGGGGGTTGGGGGGGCTAAGGGAGGGATAGCATTAGGAGAAATACCTAATGTAGATGAAGAGTTGATGGGTGCAGCAAACCACCATGGCACATGTATACCTATGTAACAAACCTGCACGTCTGTACATGTATCCCAGCACTTAAAGTAAAATTAAAAAAAATACAACGATCTTCTCCCGTAAGCCATCCTTGCACTCCAGACTGAAATAATCCATGAAAGAGAGAGAGTGAGATCAAGGCAAACAAAGAGCAAGACTGAGAGTAAGAGAGAGAGAAATGGAGCATGCAAGCTTGGAGAGTGGCAGTTGAGGAAATGGCAATCATTTAAAAACAATGTACTTTGCCTCATATAATAGAGTTTTTGTGATAATCTTCTCAATGAAACAGGGTGCAATGATTAGCATATAAGTATGTCCCTCCTCATAAGGATGGCGGGACAGCATTTTTGACCTTTAGCTTAACTGTTTCAGAAATTGTGGTCCCAGTAGGCATACAAACTAGTGGATCTTTCATACCTCCCAAATCCAAAAGTAACATTTCCTTTCCATGTCTCTTTCCATACTCTTCTCATGCCTGTCATTCATTTACTTGCCTGTTTTTTCTTGATTTCTATACAGAAAGATGCTAACTATGTGTTCTCTGATGTGGAAAGGAGTGGAGGAGAGGGAGCTAGGATGCCTCAATGGTTTGGGGATTTTTTTTAATCTTAATTTTATTATGCCAACTCTACTGAACTTAATTATGGTAAATACAGAATTACACAATTACCCTCTGTTCCGTTCTTCAGAAGCTATATTTTGATAAAATTTACTACACGCTGCTTTCCCCCTGAACACTAGAAATGTATGTGTGTTGATATAAAATGTGTTATAATTACAATTAAAATATAGCTTACATAATGATAGTGTTAAAATAAAATCATAGATGTGTTGAGACAACATGGTCATGCATTTTTATTGTAAGTACATGCTTGGACCAATATCTGGTAGCCAAATGAAAATGGAACAGAATTTTGGTTAAGCCACAAAATCTGTTTAATGGTTTTCAAATACCTAAACGGAGATGACAACCTACGAGATAAAATTTCCCGTCATATTTTTAATTTAAAAAGTCAAGGAAATACATGAAATGCCTGGTGAAATTGTTGAAAGTAAGTATGCATAGGCATATTTTAAGATAAGCCCCTTATTTTTTTCTTAAACACCTGGGTAACTACCTAAATTTCATCATGCGTATCAGTGATGACAAATTTTCAACTAAGTTTAATGAAGAACATAAAATAATAATAATAAATAGTATATTATTGCATTAACTAAGTAGCTCAGAATTGATTGTCATTAAAGAGCCACCCTATCCAACTAATTTAAACCTTACAAAATATGGTTGCAATTATAACATCAGGGAGAAACATAGGAAACTGAAATGCTTCCTCTAAATGTTTATAGTTATGGTGTCTGACCAGAATAATTGTGTCACAAATGTTATTAAAATAATGAGATACTGTTTTGTTCAGTTTTACTGCAGAAACAAACTACAGGATTTTCTTTCATTTCAGATAATTATTTTTCACTAATTACTAAGTGTTTTGAGAACCTACAGTGCTAATTCCACTTCCTCATTCAATCTTTAAAATAACGCTTTCGGATAATTATTCTTAATGTCTCCATTTTACACAATGTATCTCTAGTTCAGATCTTTCTTCGGACCTACAGACTTCTGGAACCTTCTGTCTCCAAAACTGATCCTTAACCCCTAACCCTGTTCCACCCCAATTGAATCTTTTCAATTTCAGATGATAATAATCTCAACTTTCCAGTTGCCCAGGCCCAAAATCTTGGGTTAAGGGGTCTTGATCCTGTTCTTTCTTTCACATCCCACATTCTATCTGCCTGGAAATCCTGTTTCAACCTTCAAAACGTATCCCTTCTTAGAAGCTCAAGCCACCAAACCATCGATCTTACCTGGAAATGCCTCTTCTCTGTTCTCCCAGATACTACTCTTTGCCCTTACCCTCAATACCACAGAGCATTGTCCTTTTAGAACAAGAGACAGCTCATCTCATACCTCTGCTAAAATCCTACCACTGGCTGCCAACATTTAGAGTAAATGACAAAATGCCTGCGATGGCCTTGCATGAACTAGCCCCGTCACATCTCTGACCTCAAGACCTCCTGCTGTTCCTTCCTCCTCATTGACTCTACTCAGCCACAATGGCCTCTACAATATTCTTCTAACATGCCAGGCCCATTTTTGCTTGGAGTTTTGGCACTGGTCATTCCTACTCCCAGGGAGTGGTCTTCCCCTAAATCCACTATGCCAACTCCCTTGCTTCAAGTCTTTGCTCAATTGTCACCTCATCAAATCTACGCTATTACCCTACTTAAAAGTAGAGACCACACTTATAGCCCCTAGCACTACCAACCCGACCATCTTCAGCAAGTTCCACATTCTTTTCCTTATCCCATAATGTTCACCAACTTGTAACATCCATAGGATGTATTTATAACATCCATCTGTTTTCACACATGAGAATGTAAGCTGAGAGAGAGAGGAGGGAGGAGAGAGTGGAGAAGGGAGAGAAGAGAGGGAGAAGCAAAAAGAAAAAAAAAAGAAGAGGAAAGGAGAAGGAGAGAGAGAGCTTTTACTTTTTTACTGATGTGTCCAAGCATTTAGAAAAGCGCACATGGAAGGTGTTTAATAAGTATTTCTAGGAAAAAACAAAGATAAGGAAAGAAGGAGTAAAGCTTATAAAAGTGTAACTTTCCCAAAGCTCTGCAGGTAGAAAGGGTCCACAATGGAATTCAAGCTCAAGGCTGCCAGACTTCCACTGCTCTTAGCCTTGCTGTTATCTTAAGTCCATGGAATTCATTATTTCCTTTAATCAGTTCCATAAAAAGTTTCATTCCACTGAGTAACGTCACTAAAATGTTCTCTCTGTGCACGTGTGTGTGTGTTATCTCTCACTCTCTCTCTCCTTCTATCTGTCTCACTGTTCTCTCTTTTGCTCTTTCTCTCTCTCTGTCTCCATAGATAGATAGATAGATAGACAGATAGATAGATGTAAATTATACATATGTATGTAAATTTTCAATTCAGCAGAAGAAACAGAGAAGAGTGTAATCCAGCATAACTACTATGGTAATTAAACAGCAAAATTCAAAATTAGCAATAATGATTAATTAAGCAATATTGACACTTAATGTCCATCTGATAACTTTAACATAGCTTTTAAATGTATTAAACATGCTAATCTCAGTGGCAAAATATTTCCATGCATACTTCATGCAATCCTTGCAATTACTCTATCAGACAGGTACATTTTTATTATACCCATTCCAAAGATAAGAAAATTGGTGAAAGGTGTGGTACCTTTTTGATCAACGTCAGACAGGCAGTAAGTGGAGTGTGTGGATTTAAATCCAGGCCTGTCTTGCTCCAGAATTTGATTCTTAACCCCTACATGGAAATTCTGATAATTCCTTTGATAGAGTGTGTTTTCTCCTGGGAAACCTTCCCCCTGATGTCTGCATGAGCTAACCCCTTCAGAACACAGTCAAGTTTAAAACATAATAAAAATGTTTAAAGAGCCCTTTAAAAATGGAAATATTTTTATTTAAACAATAATGTAGAAGACTACACTGAGCCCTTTAAGTGACTTTCTTGCTACTTTCCATCAAGAATAAAAGAAAGTCAGCAGCCGTGGAATGACAAAAGCACAACACCCAAAGATGGAGAATTCTGCAAATGACCAATTATAAAACTATTAAGCTGCAGCTCTTTTACAGCAAGAGGCAAAATAACCCATTAAACTGAAAACTCTCCTACCCTTCCCTCCACGGCCCACACAAACATTAATGTTGCATTTATTAGGATGTACTTCCTGTGCTCTATCAACTTGACTTTCAGCAATTGTATTAAAACAGTCCTCTCACTTTGCACATATATCTGAATGATGGATTTCCCTACTTGAGGTTTGTAGAAAGGGTGGAGTGAACGAAATGAAGTTTAGAAAGAGCCATCATAATCCATAATGGTGGGTACTGAATCAAGACAAGATGAAACATCTTTTCTCATTTATTTGAATGAAAAGTCTACTGTATATTTATTTCCTGCATACGGGGCTACTTGTTGTATAAGGGAGAACAAGCATTTTTCATTTGGAGGTAAGGGTTTGTGTGCTCAAGTTTCTATGGGCCTACAAAATTAATCTTGTTGTAGGATTAAAATAAAACATATATTTCTGTAAATAGATACGCTTAAGCAATCAGCAACTGTGATGTCTTTAAACCACTATAAATTCAGGATAGGAAAATCTGCAATTACTTTAAGCATTTATGCATTTGTGCAACAACTGAGCAGTATACGTAGTGGTTTGTTGTCAGACAAATCTGACAAGTTTGAATCCAGACTTTGCCACTTACCAGCTATGTGACTTTGGGCTATGAGAATCACTTTCCTGAGCTGAACAATGGGATGAGAATATGTACATTGCAGGACTACTGTGAGAATTAAATGAAATGAAGTACTTTTAGCACGTGGCACAGTGGCTTATGGTAAGGACTCAAATTATTATTATGGTTACTACTACTTTTATTGAAAAAAGATTAGAAAGTCGGTTTGCATAAAATGTGACATATATCCTATATCATTGAAATTCATATATTTGATTTTTGATTTTGTAATCTAATAATGTGATTCAAAAAACATTTAGTTGTAAATATAGTTGAAAGCAGGTTACTTGTCAAACATGGAAATATAATGTGAAGAAGGTTGACTCAACACTCTTTCAGACAGATATTTACCTGTACATAGGTTTTATTGTTTTGATTTTTTATGTGCAGAAAACATATATATTGACTGTGTCAATTCACAAAAGGTCCATTAATTAACCAGTCAGACTATATGTTGCATAAATATCATTTTACATAGAGATCATATATGCATTTTAGTGGTTGGGAAATATGTTTGCAGCTGTTTTTAATTGTCTACTTAATGTAAAAGGGGACAAGAAGCAGAGTTAGGCTTGTTGCTTACTGTAGAGTGACCCAGGAGTTTAATGTACTTTGTATTCCATTATACCATGAAAATGTTTCTGTGCCCTGGGGATATCAACAAAAGATTTGCTTTAATGAAAGGAACCAAGTGTGGTTCCAAAGCTTTCAGATAGGAGGCCTATACATCCTGCAGTTTACATCAGAAGTGTCTGTCTTCCCTCTCAACTGCATCGAGATAGGGAAGATGTGATCACAAAGGCTGAAATCAATTACAGTAAATGTTGGGAAGAGAAGGACATCGAGTCTTGAATGTCCCGAAGCTGGGCTAAAAGAATTATGTTTAAAGTAAAGAAAGTGTTATCTACAGCCTGATTTTTCACTGAATGAATGCCAGTTAGTGAACCTTACATTAATGCAGAAAATCAGCTGCTTTTGCTATAATGCTTTCCACTGCACATGGCTAAAATCAAACTCAAAATAGTAAAAAGAAATGTGTTTCAAAAAATAACACGTCCTAGAAACTCACAGACATATCTAGATTCAGATATAGTTGAATGTAGGAGTTCCAGAATATCAGCAGGGCTCCCCTCTCTCCCACCACTCAGCCCTACTCACATCTACTTGACTATATGCTACAGAAAGTCTCTCCTTGTGTTGGATGGCCACTGGGAGCCCCAGAATCACATCTCCCTAGCTTAAAAATTCCAGAGAGAGGAGATAGTGTTCCCATTTATCTCTGAGAGAAACATCTTGGGGAAGATTCTAATTGGCCTGGATGAGGTCAAACGATTACAAAGGAACCAATCACCTGCTTCATTTGACCTGGCCACGTACCTCATCCCTGGGGCCAGGAAGATAGGCAGGATGTCATCATTTCTCAGTTTTGGGAGAGAAAAGTCTGATATTTTTGCAAGATGAATGGGAATACTACATGGAGATACGAAAGCTATAGCTTGCTGCCACTGTAAATTCCACAGTTCTCACTCCCTGCCTTGTGTCTTATGATCATTCAGTAAGCTGACCTGAGAGATCATTTTCCCTACCAGTAGCCTTGATATATATGATTGAGAAGTAAATTGTAAGATAATACAAAAGCAGTCTGAATACAGGAAATTAACTTGACTAGTAATGACCAAGAGAGCTGTGTGAAAATATATTTTAAAAGTTCCCACAAACTCACCAAAAGTGGGAGCTGGAAATGCAAAGACAGTTTTGACAAGACAAAGTTTTTTCCAAGCTAAACAAAAAAGATTACAGACTTTTAGAAACTACATTTTTAAAGAAAAAAAAAAAAGCAGATAAGGCAAATGAAGCCTAGAAAAATTAAGAGATTTATTTAGGGTAACTTAGCCAGTTAATGGCAGGATTGAGACTAAAACACACTGTAAAATCCAAGTATGGTCTTTTATATCTATGATATAACCTGTATATATGTAAGAAATATAGCACTTGTAATTTGTTAATCTCCAAATGTTCATGAAGTTGAAGTAAATGCATTCATTGTTTCAATTATTCTTAAAGAGAAAAATGCCCAAAGACATCTTAATTGCATGGGTATGTATACACGAAATACACATGGAGATGTCTTCAAATATAATATGTGCATGTCTTCATTCCTTCCCTCTGCTCTTTTTAAAAATGCCCCTTTAAAAATTTCCCACTCACCATCTGTTAGGTAAATTTCCTAAAACACAGTAAATGTGGAGGCAGAGATTGTTATAGAGACTATTCCAAATGGCAGTGACACCTATACTTATTAAATTATAAAAAGTGTAGGTTAAAGTTGCCTTTCTAATAAATTTCACCACCGTAGTAATACCACACCACCCTATGTGCTCAGCTCTATCGGATTACGATGGAGAGAGAGAAAAGAAAAAAAAATCTAGGTATTTCTGTATAAAATATTATCCCAAAAGTTTGATATTACATTCAAGTTTCAATTAACAGAAGGAAAACATTGACACATTTACTAAAGCATTTCATTTATGATACAAGGTCCACAGACTTAGATTTGCATTATGCTCCGACAAGGGTAGAGTTGACCGCTTTTTCCATCTACTTGCTTTGGGAGGAAAAAAAAAAAAAAATCCACCTGAATCAGATGCCATTCAATTCCAAGTCTATAGTGTAGAGCATGTCACTACACAGGAAATATTATTCATTCAGAGTCAGAATGTAGCAAGGGTAATTTATACTCTGGGAGTGTTTGCTCTCAAGTCAATAATGGAGAGGGTTTGAATGAAAATGTTCCCATGACTTTCCACTGTAATATACCTTACTTATTGCCCATAAGACAGTGGTCAGAGGAGATTTATCCATTGGTCACCGTATTATATAACCTCTCTACTTCCAGCCATCCCAACTCTGTGATGATTTTTTTTAAATATGTTACTTATAGTCAATATTAATTTACGTTTAATCTTTCTTAGCATTAGGAGAGTATTATTTTGCGCAAGCTTAGGAACAAATCTCCAGAAATTCCTCCCTGATGTTTCTTTGAGGCTGAAAATGCATTGCAGGGCAGTTGCAGTGATTTAATTCTAGTTGGCAGAGCCCTGGCCACACACTAATTTCATTAGCCTCAAATTCCTGGATTGATTTGAAGACCCACTGAATATGATTCCTGTCCTCAGACATGTCATCGTACTAACCCACTCAGTGTGTAAAGAGAGGAGAGAAAGAGGACTTGCTAAGCTTATGTCTTCAATCTGGTACACCAGCAGTCAAATGAAAATTCAAAGTCATAGACACTATTTACATCTGAGGAGTCATTCTTGCCCAGGTCCAAATTTCCAGGAAGGAATTTCATTCCTGACTTTGCTGGGGGCAGCAGCATTTGTTACATCTGTTACCATCTCATTTCTCCCTCCTTCCCTTCAGTGCTCAGCACCCCCCATTTAAGTCGCTAAGTATTCCTTCTTCTAGCCTACAGTCTTATCTCACTATAAACGTATATCTCAAGTGATCGGTTTGGCATGGTCCCTAAAGCAACCTGCAGGGAACAGAGGAAAAAGAAAACTCAAATCACTGGAAAGCTAGAAATTCAATCATTTGGAGGAGTTTCTTTTATGTAGGACAATCTTAATTGAACTGAACCTAGAAATCCCCGACAAGATTCACTATATCCTTTTTCTCTCCCTCTAAGTGTGCCTTTGAACAATGGGTGTGTATACCATTATTCTCTCTACTCATTTTGCAGGCTTATAGACACTGGAAACCTGGGGACTGGAATTACATGACAGGAGCGTCTAAGATCACACGCAAAAAGGGCTACTGGAAGAGATTGTTGGTATATGAAACACATATTCCAACATGGGCAGTGATTAACCAGGACACATACAAACCAACTGTTTTATCTAGCTTGCATGCATCCCAAGCTACAAGTTGGTGCATTCCTCAGACTACCAGCCTCTTCTCCATAAACGCAGGTGAAAACTAGGGGCTCTTTTTCCCTCAGCTATTCAATCCAACATGAATAGCTGCAATTTGCAAATTAGAGGAAAATGACAGTGTTTTCTCTGAATGGTTTTACTCCCCAGCCATAACGCTAACGCTAACATTGGGTTACTTTCTCCTCAGCTCAGGGAATGGAGAAATTAGTGTCAGGCCAGCCCCCCACCCCTTTTTTCACCACTAGCAAGTTGCCTCAGGTTCACACACCAGAGAAGGAATCAGCTCCCCCTGGAATATTTTTCAGCAAACACAGTCCCTCAGCCTAGTCTGTAACCCCTTTCTTGACTTTAACATTTCACTCTTTTTTCAGACAGAGACAGGCTGATCCGCAGTACTGCCCAGGGTGAGTGAAGAAACAGGCAAAATAATTTTAAAATACTAAACACAAAACGTTTTGTGCCTTTAACCCCACAGGCTAACAGGGAAAACACTGTAACCTACCCCAGCCCCCAGTGGTTCTCAGGTAATGTCTCTGACCTCATCCTCTCCCGCTGCACTGCTACCTCAACTTGTCTAGCTTTAAGCTCAAAGATGAAGGAAGGGCTCTGGGTTTCAGCTACAAGCCAGGTTCTTCCCAAAAGCAAGGAACTCAGAGTGATGGCTAGCCCCGAAGCACTTTTGGGTTTGCAGACCTGCCAGGATTTCCATGATGGCACTCAGGAAGTGTCAGAGATGCTCAGAGGATCAGAGGGGCCATGCAAGCTGCAGCCTTGGATGGGCACTCCTCTTTCCTGAATGCAAACTTCACACTCCTGGAGGTGATGTGATGACAGCCTGGGTCTCACAGAGTCCCCTTCTGAAGCCCAACACCTTTTGGGAAAGCACTTGAGAGGGGCCGGTTCTCTAGATATGAGGAGCATAAAGGTGCCAGGATCAGCGTGTACATCTGCGGAAGAGATTAACTAGGTTTGGGTACCACCAGCCAGGGAGAGAGCCGCTATGCACTGGAAAAGGGTCATTTTAATACGGAGATGAACCAAGAACTTGGGAGTGAAGACAGAGGAGGAAAGGAGGGAGAGATTGAAAAGGAGAGAAAAAACAGAGAGAAAAAAAAAACAGCAAGGAGACAGAGACAGAAAGAGAGAGTGATGCACATATAGGGAAAGACACAGAGGAGGGAACCTACAATCACAGAGACCCTGAAACTCAATTTCCAAACCCCAAAGCCACTCATTCCTACCCAGTGCAGCTCAGGAGCCATGGGGCAGAGGCTGCTGGAGCAGGAGGCGAGAGAACACTGCGGCAGAACCCACCGCTCAGCGGCCCCGGATCCGCCTTCCTCCCATTTTTTCTCCGTCTCCCTCCGGCACCGGAGCAGGAGGACCACGGGGCCCCGCTTCACGCACCCCTCTGCCTCCCAACGGGCGCCTTCATGCCTCGCTCCGGGAATCGTCCTCCAAGCCGAGGATTTGGCTTGGGGTCTGCGTCAGGGAGATAGTGGGTGAGGGGGGCGGGGGGGAGGAGGGAGGAGGCAGGGAGAGCGATTTCGTTTCGCGTGAGCTCATCCCTGGGCTGAGGTCTGAAGTGGCAGGAGTGGAAAGCTGATCGCCCAGCTCCGGCCAGTGGCCGGATCGCACATGTAATTTAGACGGTGCAAAATATTGCCCGGAGCAAACCAACCGGGGGTCACGTCTGCGGGCAGCATCTCTCCACCTGAGGAAGGTCCCAGCACCTCGCGCCCTGGGCTCTCGCGGAGGCTGGCTACAGGTCGGGAAATCAGCCCGAGGGAGATGCGGACTTAACATCCACATCTAGGTTAAGACGGAGCCCTCGATTTAAGAAGTGCCTCCTTAAGGCTGTCTCCAAATTTTTCAAGGGAGTGCAGGTTGGCAGGCTGGCTTGGGGGTGGGAAGCTGGGGAGTTGGGAAATGCCCGGTTTCCAGGCATCGTCTCATCTTTCCTATTCCATTCTCCTAACCAGCTCTCCTAGGAGCCTGGCACTTTTACGAGCCTGTTTTCGGACCATATTTCACCCTAATGCAAACCCATTTAAATCATCGCCTTGTTTTTCGCAGATTGCTTCTTGTAAATGGGGCCATAAATCCAGATGTCAAGCCGGATGGAGTGGAGCGTGGACAGGGGAGAGATGGAAGGGAAATAAACCAAGCAGGGAAGGTATCTCCTCGAGCGGGGTGGGAGGGATTCGGCAGGATCTCCAGGGAGGAAATGAGCGAAGGCTGACCTGACCCGCACCACCGGAGTCCAAGCCAGCTTTTAGGGTTAAGGGCGCAGGTAGCCACTGTGTGCTCCGCCCCGGAGGGAGCGCATCCCTACCTGGAAGAGCCTCAGGATGTTGGCTACCATGATGGAGACCGAACTCCCCGAAGCCCCAATCACTCCAACTACTTTCTCCGGCTTGACGAAAACCGGCGGTTCGCCGTTGGTGCAGCGCACGTCGGAGGTGTCCTTCTGGATGAGCGCCTGGACGAAAGTAAGCGACTGTTCGAGCGCGTAAGTGTCCCTGGAACAAGTGTCCAGGATCCGCGCGCCCAGCGTCACGTTGGGCAGTAGGTTGGGATCACTGTTGATCTGGTCCAGGGCGTAGAGCATCGCTTCCAGCCTGTGGATCCCGTTTTCCCTCTTGATGTCGCCGCAGGGCACTCCGCTGGGACCCTTGGCGTGCACGGGGAACAGCCCCCCGAGGGTGACGTCCCCCTCGATCCGGATTGAGTGCGGGGCGTACATCTCCTGGCCGCGCGCCGCCGCCGCCAGCGCGCACAGGAGCACCTCCAGCACGCAGCAGGGGAACTTCATCAAAGTCAGGACGCGGAGCAGCTTCCTCAGCTGGACCATGCTGCTCCGGCTGCTGCGGTGGCGGCGGCGGCGCTGGAGGGAACGGTGGTGGGCTCGCCGAGGTCCGGGCCCTTCAGGGCGAGCTCCTCCGGGAAAGCCCAGGGGCTCCTGCAGGCACGGAGGGTGGGGGAATCCGGGGAGGGGCGACCAGAGAGGGTGAGGGGTCCCGCGGCGCCTGCCAGCCTGGGGCGCCTCGCGCTCTCGGGTTAGCCGGCCGGCGCGCCGCGCTCGCGCTCACCGGCTTGCTGCTCGCTCTCTCCAACAGCCCAGCACTGGGGAGAGGGCAGGGACTGCTATCGCTTTAAATGGTCGTTCGGCTCCCTCTCCTCCTCCTCCCACTCCCTCCCTCCCTCGCTGGCTCTCCTTCTCTCCCCACCCTTCCCAGCGCCAGCCCTCCCCACTGGTTTGCATCATCACGCAGGGAGGGGCTGCGTGCTGAGGTAAGGGGGGGAAACGGGTGGGCGGCTGGGGAATGGGGGGAGGTTTCCTCGGAATGGGAGTTTCGTGGTCCCCAGGGAATCTAGGGATTGCGGGGAGCAAGCGAGAGCCTAGCTCTCGACCCTAACTCACTGTGGAAGCCTCCCTACCCACACCCACGTTCTGGGCACGGGTGTCATCAGCCGCGGGATGGGGCGAGGACGTCGTGCTGACTGCTCCCAAACCCTAGGTCCGGAGCCTAGGCTCTTAGCTCTGGGAGAAAGCGAGGCAGGGGCAGAGAAACCAGTGAGGGAGGGGCGCGGGAAGACCCTAGCTAGACTCTACTCCTGAGCCGCCTGTGCTAGTTTTTTGCTAAGAAAGCCACACGTGCACACAGGAGCCTGATTCTTGACTTAAAGACGCTTTACCCAAAGGGGTTTCCAGGGCCAGGAGCTGAGCTTGGCTGCAGGGAAACAGAAGTCAAGAGGAGATGCTAGGCATGGGAGTGCATCACTGGTCTTCAGTAGTCACTAGAGTCAGAGCTCCTTGAACTGACGCGTTTCCCCAGCATGTCTGTGTCAAAAACCTCGGACGCATCCCTTCTTTTTACTTCGTTGCAGAGAGGGAACAACTGAGAACTCCGCAGAGCGCACTTTCTAGCACTGACAGGTGTAAGACTCCCTCCTACCTATTTCCAGAGATGCATCTGGTGCACCTGGTGGCAGTTTTTGCCAGTAAGAAAGAGCAGGAAAGAGGTGATGGCAGGAAGAAGAAAGAGGGGGCAGGCACAAGTGTCCCCATTGATTGGGAATGCCTTTCTTTGTCTTTCTCTGGCTGGGGTTTGGGGGCAAAGTCAGGATGCCAGTACAGGTTGCAGTGCAATTGAGAAGCTCTTTATGAGCGGCGTCTCCTCCTGCAGGTCCAGACCGCATTTGGCCCATTAAAGCAACAAGTGGCTCTACTTCCAATTCAAGGAAAGTGAATGTCTGTCCTTGGGGATGGGAGCGGACTTAAGGAGGTTAAACCATCTCTTCCTGAGGCTTTCTGTTGGAGGGCAGCAAAATCATATTATACAGATTTTAGGGCGGAGAGAAAACCAGAAACAAGACTATACTTTTTGTTTTTGTTGGCAATGTAACGAAGAAACCTATCATCATCGTAGGGGGGAAAACGTCAAAAGGCACGTAGTTGGTTGTCTCCGCCACCGAATACTTGTGTGCTCTCAGCACTTCTGTTCCTCTGTCTGGGTTTTAGTTTCCCCATCTGGAAAATGATGAGATTGAATTGGATGCCCTCCAAGTTATCTTTTAACTCTCAAATCATCTGTTAAAATAGGTCATGTCCCTTCGGCCATGGTGCTCTTTTTAGGCCAATATTTTCTATTGTATTATGTGTAGACCAGTTTTTGTATATTCAAAGAACACTATGATGGTTTCCTGGTATAGAAGGTTTTTGGTTTTTGTTGTCGATGTTGTTGTTGTTGTTTTTCCTGTCAGGGACATCCCATCAATTTTTTTTTTTTTTTTTTTTTTTTTTTTGGATATGCCCCTCTTACTTGTTTCAATGTTCATGGTTTCAGGAGAACTGATCCCACTGCCTGTGATCAAGTCTTGGCTAATCAGAACATCAGATCCTTCTGGCTGTAGTGCTATTCCAGGTTGGGCAGAAAGTCCAACCAGAGCCATTCAGGGATAATCCCTGGACTTTCGCTGGGGCAGCCAGGATGGAGACATAGGGTTATCACTACCACATAGGCCATCTCTGTATAAGTCAGATACAAAGGGGCCCCTTCCACAAAATACTTTGTTTCTTTTTTGGAAAATTGTTGTGCTATTCTGATTTTGTCAAAACAAGATATTTTCTAGTCAGCTTCCAGAAAACAGTGCTGTAATTAATATACAAATCTACTCTGTGCGCAATGTGCCTATGAATCACCTTCAGACTCAATGCCTTGCTACACAAATGCACAAGTTGAATGACCATATGCCATGATGGTACCTGCTCCTTCCTGCAAGTTGTGGAGCTATGAGAATATAAGCCTGAAGCTGTGCCAGGGGCTTCCACAAGAACAGGGAGATATATGAACCCCAAAGTAAGATAAATACATGGAGATAGAGAAAGATAAAGAATGAGAGAGAGATTGAGGCTTAATTAAAACATTTGCATTCCTGGATCCAAACATGCTTGAAGAATTGCCTCTGAACTTTTTAAATTATATAGCACTTTCTTTCTGTTTGAAGCCAAAAGAATCCTCTTCTAATTCACCTGTTCTAATACACAAGACCAAAAAGGTGAAATAGCTGAACAGATATTCTGTTAGGGCAGCATCAACTCATTTGGAAGAAGATATAAATAAAGCAATAGAGAGGCATACTTAGGAACACTCATACTATGATCCTAGTGTTTAAGCATTAGCACCTCAGGCTGTCTTTGACAGAGACTACTATATCCTTATTTCATTTTTAATTTCAGGCTATTTATTACAAACTTGGTGACAAAAATATTTGGAGAGTTGGAGTAACAAGTAATGTCATTTGATTTTTCACCTGCACATGTCTCGGCTCATGCTCTGTGCTTCCATTTTCATTTCCCACCCAATGATTGCTCAATAAATATTTCTTGGCTGACTGTTGAATGCTGCCTTATTCTGCGTTCTCTCTTTGCTCTGCTCCTTCTCCCCAAACATCTGGTAGCAATCATTATCTTTCCTTTATTGCTGTCATCTGTGTGCATGTCTTATTTCCCTTGCCAAGTTGTAAGATCCTTGAGGGTAAGGGCTGGGTATTATTTATCTTTTTATCCGGGACCATGTTTCAAATAATGTTTTGTGCCTAAGAAGCACTCATGTGTTGAATGACACAGAACTGGTTTTGCCATTCTCTACTGCTTTATTTGACAGTGACCAAAACTTAAAGTGGGCAGAGCAGAAATGTTGACAGATAAATCATTTTCCTCTTAGTCGCTATAGACAGTTTCTGGAACTTAAAGATAATTAGTAAATTTTGAAGTGATTTTCTTTTTTAAAAAATGTGCAGGACTAAAATATTCTAACCTTAAAGAACCTGATTAACTCGCAGGTAAAGCTTTGATTGGTCCTTCCTGAGTCAAATGCTCACTTAGGAATTAATAACTGTGGCCATGCCCGTAGGCTGGTTAGAGGAGCTAGGAAGCATAGACCTATTTTTCTAGCCAGGCACCAGCACCACTTAAACTACATGGAAAGAGAAGTCTGTTACCAGACGAACTGGAAAGTGATGCTGAGCTTGCAAAATCACTACACATCTATTACATATGATTTATAATTCATCTTTATACCTTTAACCATGGCATAGGATGTGGCACTTGATAAGGAACACGGTATTCGTTTTGTTTGGTTTTCTGAGATTATATGGACAGAAATCTCTGTTTAAGACAGGTTTATGTAAAACTGGGCCAGGTTCTTTAAGGTTAGAAAATGTCAGGTTTAATTGGAGGGGAACCTAGTTTTAGGCACAAAGATTGTAAGCTATAAAATGTATTCACAGGCTTGATTCTATTTAGTAATCAATCTGTCCTCACTCTGGGGTTAGTAAAAAATAACTAACTAAAGGTCTCAGTCTTACTTCATATTCTTTTGTTTTCTTGATCATCTTAATTTTACTTATTTTCTTTGTTGTTCTGCTGCTGGAAGATGTTCTACTCTTCAATATCTTCTGCATTTCAAAATACAATCTCACATTTTATTGTACTTTTGAATGGGTGTTCACTTTATCTTGGAGAGAGAATATTCCATTTTTGTCTGTTATACTTTTTTGCTTTATCTATTTGTAATAGACAACTTTCGTCACTTAACTAGCATCCATTCATCCATTTTCTGATCCCATTTTGTTAAGAAACCTTGGTATTGTGCAGAGAAATTCACTCCACAGAGCCTGCAATGGGTGGATTGAAATTGATCCCTACTGGTAATCCTATCTTCCTTTCTATTAGTTCACTCAGGAATTCAAGGCAGTGACATCTAGGGAAAGGTTTGATGGGGGTTTCTGAAAGCACTTCTTGCATCTGGCATGATTCTGCGTAGATATGAGACCCAGGATTATTGTAGTTCTTTCGCTAGCTGCCTGAAGATGAGTTCAATACACAGAGGTTCCCTGTACCACTAGATCAAATTATCCCCAATGCTTCCTCTTTTGATTTCCAGTTACATAAGCCAAGAAATCTGCTCATTGCATAGGTAAGTATTAGCTGTGTTTTCTGTTACTTGCAGCCAAATGTATTTAGGCATTACTAAAAGTATTTATATTATTATTAATAAATAGTATATGAATATATTTATATTAATGTACATTTTATATGAATAATGAATATTACCAAGAGCTTATATTTTTCACTTGGTTACTAGGTACCAGGCACAATAGATATCAATTCTCAAGATAACCTCATTTGATATATATCATTATTATTAATGTTATTTTATAGATCCGAAAGTGGAGGCCTAGGAAGGTAAAAAGTATAGTTTAATCAATATGCTGCCATTTGTTACTGCTTCTTTAGTTTATCTTCCTTACCATCTTGTTGCCTTGAAGCTTACATATCTTAAGTCTGGACTCCAGATGCTCTATGAGTGCTCTGTCTCATCGATTGCACTCAATTCAGAAAGACCTTACTTGTTACATCCCTCAGATCTCATTGCCCTTTGGATGCAGTGTCTGGGTAGCCACAAGGAGAGTCTCACCTAAGGACCAAAGGAAACTCACTCCCCAGTTTTCTTTCTTCTGAGGTCTCAATGTTTCCACTCTTTTCTTCTCTCAGTACACAGGCAGGACTGTTTTGTCCTGCCCTTTGGGTAGGTATATGAAACAACAGCTTTGGGGCAAGTCACTCATACAGTAAGTGATTCTCCAGGTACAAATCTCTCTCCATCATATTTTGTACTACAATTTAAAAAAACCAATTGTTCCTTCCAGAGCTGTGACTCAGAAAACAAAATGGCTTTGACTTAATAGGCAAAAACTGTTCTCTGCTTTAGGCCCGTCCAGAAGGTCTTGTACCTCACCCTACCCCTATAATCCTTTCAGTCTCCCTACAGTGCCCCTTAGACGTGTAGAGCACGGAATGTCCCTTCCCTTCTTTTGGTAACATCATCAGCCATTCCTTTGGGAAAGCACCCTTCTCCTTTTTCAGGAGTTGAGATGGATCCTAACGCTCCATCTACCCAAACTCAGATACAGGCACACATCTAGGGTTGGCTGAACTGAGCTCTTTCTTCCCCTGGTGGAGCTGATGAGTCCAAAGATAGATAAAGAACTTGAAATTTTATGTATGAATACTGGAAGTCAGATGTACTCCTCCTAGCTAAATATATATGAAGATAGAGACCCGGTGCTTCTAGCAGGTGTTGTTTCCACAACATGAAGAAAGCCTGTCTGAGAATAAAATCAACCTACACCACGGGGCGTAGTGGCTCACGCCTATAATCCAAGCACTTTGGGAGGCCGAGTCGGGTGGATCACTTAAGGTCAGGAGTTTGAGACCAGCCTGGCCAACATGGTGAAACCTTATCTCTACTAAAAATACAAAAATTAGCTGGGTGTCGTGGTGCATGCCTGTAATCCCAGCTATTCGGGAGGCTGAGGCAGGAGAACTGTTTGAACCAGGGAGGCGGAAGTTACAGTGATCCAAGATTGTGCCACTGCACTCCAACCTGGGCAACAGAGTGAGACTCCATCTCAAAAAGAAAAAAAAAAAATCAACCCTCACAACGAAGCAAATCCAAGATATGAAAAGAAAAGCAGAGCTCTGACAAAGTCTCCCAAGACAGTGGATCCAGCAATGTCTCCAACTGTACTTGCCTTCGAACATTTCCTTTTGTCACCCAATATATTTTATGCTCTGTTTAAGCTAGTGTGAGTCCAGTCTCTCAAAATTGAGGGTACTAATTTAGATGGTTACTGCTTCAAGATAAGCAGCTATTAATTCTTAGCTACTGATTCTTATACTCCTCTGAGAATGAACTATGGAAAGTTTAGAACTCTACGACATAAAAGCGTAGTAGCCCTGGAGTCAGTTCTTGATTTGACTCTAGACCTTGAGGATATACTATCAAACTCCACGTTACACTGGCTTTAAATGACCAGTTGAATGGGAAGTAAAATTAAAACTTAAAAAGGATTGAGTATAACTGATGGACTTTTAAATTGTCTTAAAAATACACTTTGTCATGTTCAGCTCATGATAAGAAACGTAGCAATACTACAAAAAAATACAAAAATTAGCCTGATGTAGTGGCATGTGTCTTTAGCTCCAGCTACTTGAGATGCTGAAGTAGGAGGATGGCTTGAGCCCTGGAGGCAGAGGTTTCAGTGAGCCATGATTGTGCCACTGCACTCCAACCTGGGAGAAAGAGCCGGACCCTGTGAAAAGAAAAGAGAGGAGGAGAGGAGAGGAGAGGAGAGGAGAGGGGAGGGGAGGGGAGGGGAGGAGAGGGGAGGGGATGGGAAGGGAGGGGAGGGGAGGGGATGGGAAGGGAGGGGAGGGGAGGGGCAGCAATAGTATAGATTTTTATATGTGTGTTAGATATGTGGGATATGATATTTTGCCTATTTAGGGCTAGTAGTAATTGTAAAGTAGTACAGTTCGCTTTATTGTAAGAATCAAACCACATCGCCCTTGCATTCTAAAGACCTGCTTATCTATGGGCAATGGAGGCATTTGAATATGCTGGTTGAACCTCATGTATTTCTTGAATCAACTCTGACCAATGTGTGAGGCTTATTCTGTTTATTGGAGACCTACTCTGTGTTAGGCACTGAAATGGGCAGTTTATATGCAATGCATCATTTAATCTCTGCAATGAATCTATGAACATGTTTGCTATTATTGACATTATTCTAATTTAAACAGAAATAATGATGGTAAATAACACTTTTCTGGTAGTTTCTTTGATCCAGGTACTGTTCCAATGACATACACATGCTGATATATTTAATCTTCATAGTAAATTAGGAATTTATTTAATTCCCCAAATATATAAGGTAAGTACTTTTATAATTACCTCTA
The DNA here is from genome assembly GCF_000001405.40 of Homo sapiens. Lineage (NCBI taxonomy): Eukaryota > Metazoa > Chordata > Mammalia > Primates > Hominidae > Homo > Homo sapiens. Next base: position 6,853,933 of record NC_000003.12, on the reverse strand, counting down.
TTTTTCAGATAAAGAAATTGAGCTGCAGAGTTATTAAAAATGTTGCCAATCTCATCAATATAATAAGTGCCAGAGCTTAGATTTGAACCCAGAAAATCTGTCTCCAAGGTCTGTGTTTCAGTCACTGTGCTTCCTAGCTTGTGGATACAGAAGCAGAGCACACTTGTGTCTGTGTTCCCCAGACATGCTTTTAACTACTGTACTCTATTGCTTGTCTGTGTATCAGTAGATGCTGATTTATATCAGCAGGGGGTTCCTGAATTTTTACTCTTTGGGAAGGCACCTTCAGGGCATGTCTAGTGAACCATTGGTACCCGCTTGTTCGATTGCTGTTTTTTTTTTTTCCCTCTTCCCACAGTCATATGTATGGTCCATATAAGAGGTAGAGAATGTCTGTTCTCTATCTGTCTTCTAGACCTGCATATGCTATGAATACCTCTACTGTATCTTAAGGTCCTGGACAAGCTGCTTTGCTTTGTTAGGACCCTCTCTCTGTGTGACGTCCTGTTGTAGCTTATTGAGATGCTACTGTCAACCACCCCTAAAACCCTGAAACTGCCAAGTTCAAAGCCTACCTGCATCGAGCTCAAGTTCAGTGCCTTGCTTGAAGTGAGTTGAGGGTATGTTTTCCTTTCTGGTTATTACTTAATTCAGTAAATATTAACTGAGTACAATAACGCTATTTTCACAATACCAAAACTTGGCCATCCAAATAAGCTTTGTGTCTTTCAGTGTAGTCAACTTGGATATTATAGATCTATTTCTAAAATGTTCAAAATATTGGGTGATTCCCTCTGGGAAATGTCTTAATATGTTTTAATATGTCTTATGAGACCGTCTACTATATTGTTTAATAGTCACCTCATTTAAGAGTCAAACAATATTTCTTTAGTTATTCATGTATGTTCCTTACAAGTTTTGATTCTTTGTGATTTTGGCCCATTTCTCATTATCCTTTCTCCATAGAAATTGTGTAAGACAAGTTGATGCTAGTATCTTAGCCATACCAGTTCTTTATTTTATGACTTTGTTCAGTCCCTCAGATCCCCACAAAAAGAAAAAAAAAACAAGGTATTTATAAACCATAAAAATTGAGATCTAGCCTCATTTCTGTGGGAGATGGTAGAAGGTAAGCTCTTGTGCACATTCATTCAGCCAATCAACCTCGATTGAGAATTTTTGCTTCCTCATGATGAACTAATTGGTCCCAGACTTCCCCTCTCACTTACTCCCAATCATTAGAAAATCAGACAGAATATATGAAAGAACTTGTTTAAGCCATTGGGTAATTAGCAGCTCCAGACCATGATTCCCAAAGAAGGGGAACAAATTAGGAGAGCTCTATGAATGTCATGACTTTCTGCTTCGTGCCACTATTCAGACCCAAGCTGACCATGATAGATTGATAAATTTGAGGAGATAGAGATCAGAGTTCAGAGAGGTTAAGGAGGCTGTCACCTGCATCTTGATGAAGGCTACACACAAGATACGCAAGATGAAGGCTACACAAAAAGAGGACCAGAAACCTGTATGAGGTTCCCTTGAAGTTTATCTGAACAACTAAACTGTGAAAACATAGGATGAGGATCTGGGACATCAGGAAAATAACAACTATTTGGGAAGGGCATCAGAGTTCATGCAGTGCAAGGAGACATTTGCGCTCTGACCCTGGCTGACCAGGAGACATTTGCAGAGCCCTTGTTGAACCCTCAGAGCATTTAGTAGAGTCTCTAGAAAGATTATACTTTAATAGTAGGGCTAAACACCTACCCTAAAACATCTTAGAAACAAGTCTGGAAAGCTTCACGCTGATCTGCAAGTAACTTAAGCCTGCTAAAACAAAATTTAACAATTGTTAAAAGTAGACAGTGAAATACTGACACTTAACCCTGTTACATTTACATTGTGCAGAATCCAGTGAAAATTATAAGGCATGTAAAATGCAGGAGAAAAATAACAGATTTTGGAATTACATATTTTCGAATGAGCAGACAAATATAATAAAACAGCAAGGTAGACAGAATACTAAAATAACCCCAATGGTTCTATTATATTACATGACAATAGGGCTTGTGCAGACATAATTAAGGTTATTAATCAATTGACTTAGATAGAGAGATTATCCAGATAAGCCTAACCTAATCACATGAATCCTTTAAATGTAGAGGCTTTCCTTTGGTTGGTTGCAAAAGAGGAAGTCAGAGAAATTCGAAGCATGAGAGAGATTTCACTCTGTAGTTCAACCTACAGAACGGTAAGATAAATGACTGTTGTTTTAAGCCACTAAAACTAATATAAACGGCTAATGTAAATATTCTCAAGAATTTGAGGAAAACATGAGCATAATGGGGAGAAAAGTGGAAAACACAAAAAAGAACCAATTAGAATGTCTAGAGCTGAAAAATACAATATGGGAAATAAAATATCTGAAATTCATTGCCTGTATGTAATAGCAGTTGCACACTGCAAAAGAAAACATCAAAGAACTTGAAGACACATGGAGCACTGATCAAAATAGACTCCATAGTATTCCATAAAATAAGTCTGAATACATTAAAATATATTGAACTTATTTTGACATGAGAACATTAAATTAAAAATAACGAAATGTCTGAAAATCACCTTGCATTTAAACATTAAACAGTACACTTTCAAATAACATACCGTTTAAACAAAAAATTTATTTATTAAAAAAATACTAGGAAATATTTGAAATGACTGACAACAAAAGCAACCTGTTGAAATTTGTAGTGTGTAGTCTAATGTAGGTCTTGGGAAGATATTGAAAGCTTCAATCCTTATATTAGAAAAACATATTTAAATTTAATGATCTAACCTGTGCATTAAGAACTAGAAAAATATAATGAATTTAACCCAAAGTAGGAAAAATAAATAATAAAAAGCATAACTCAATAAGAGAAAACGTGTAAAAATTGAGAAAAAAATCAATAATACCAAAGCTGTTATTTGAAAAGACTAGTAAAAGTGACAATGTATAGCTGGACATATTAAGAAAAGAGAGAAGACAGAAATGACCGATATAAAATGAGTGGACATCACTCTAGACCCTATACTTATTAAAAAGATAAGAAGGCGGGTGTGGTGGCTCATGCCTGTACTCTCAGCACTTTGAGGGGGCTGAGGCAAGCAGATCAAATGAGGCCAGGAGTTCGAGAACAGCCTGGGAAACATGGCAAAACCCCGTCTCTGCTAAAAATACAAAAATCAGCCAGGCATAGTGGTGCATGCCTGCAGTCCCAGCTATTTGGTGGGCTGAGGTGGGAGGTTCACCTGAACCTGGGAGGTGGAGGTTGCAGTGAGCTGAGATCACAACACCGCACACCAGCCTGGGCGACAGCAAGGCTCTGTCTCTAAATAAATAAGAAAATGATATAAGCAATTTCATGTCCAAAAAATGGATAACTAAATGAAATGAACAAATTTATTAAAAGGCACAATTTACTAAAACCACCACCAAAAAAAACCCAGATCTGAAAATGTTTATGTCTCTTAATTACAAACCCACTGTTTGTAATCATAAAGTACATTAAAGAGACAAACCTTTTCCCACTGTTGCCTGGGGCTGGTGGCAGGAATTAGAATTAACTGTAAATGGGCATGAGAGATCTTATGAGGGAAATGAAAATGTTCTAAAACTAACTATGGTGATGGTTTCACAACTTGGTAACATTAGTAAAAATTATTAAATTGTACTGTTTAAATGAATGGGCTTATGATAAGTGAAATAGATCTCAACAAAACTGTTTAAAATAAGATAAATAAAATTATAAATATATATATTGTTTCCACAAAGAAAATTTCAGGTCTGGATAAATTTCATCAAACATTTAAGGAAAAAATATCAATCCTGGACTCGAATACTTGACCTCAAGCAATCCTCCCACCTGGGCCTCCCACAGTGCTGGAATTACAGGCGTAAGTCACTGCACCTGGCCCATCCTCAAGACTCTTAGAAAAAAATAGAAGAGAGGACAGCAGGAATGGAGAACATTTCACAAAACATATATTTGTTCATTATTGTGTACAGTTAAGTTATATAATACACACACAGGCACACATGCAGAGAAAAAGAATGTTTATGTTTACTATGCAGATGATAATAGGCACACAAAAAGATGTTCAACATCATTAGTTATCAGGGATAAGCAAATTAAAACCATGAAGAGATACCACTACCAGTTAGAATAGCAAAATCTAGAAAAAAAGACTCAGCATCCCAAGAGTTGGCCAGGACTTGGAAGCAATGGTAGTTTTATATACTACTAGTCAGAATGTAAAAGGGTATTACCGCTTCAGAAAACCTTTTATCAGTTTCTTATAAGGCTAAACACACACTTGCTATGCAACTCAACATTTTTGCTTTTACTCAAGGACATAAAAATGTGTGTCAACACAGGTTTCCATTTGAATGCTTATAGCAATGTTATTCAAAATAGCCACAAAATGGAAACAACGAAATGGCCATCAACAGTACAAACACATTGTGTTATATCCTTACAATGGAATATTACTCAGCTATAAGAAAGGAACAAACTGTTGATACACACAACATAGGTAAATCTCAAAAATGTTATAGCAAGTAAAAGAACACAGACAAAAAAGTATGTGTCATATGACACCTTTTATATGAAATATTACAAAAGTCAAAATTAATGTTAAGTAATAGCTTATCAGTCCAGGTCTGGGGTTAAGAAGTGGATTGAGTAAATAAGGGTATAAGACACCTCTATAGGAATTATTCTGTACCTTGTTTGTGGTAGTTGTTATGATATAAAGTTTTACGTTTACTTTATATATTATAAACTCATCAACCCATATTTTTAACATGTGCATTTTTATCTAAATTATACCTCAATAAAATTGATATAAATGGCTAAAAAAATCTTGTAGTCTTATACATTTCTCTCATTTATAAACTAAAGGAATTTTTCTCTCTGAGTTTTACCATTTATTTCAGCTCTAATTACATGCCATGATTCTATAACTATTGATAAAATATAAACTTGTATAATGTCTCCTCATGAGCTTTTATACTTATATTTGTGTTGCTTCTTGTAAAACACATTATTTTCCCATAAATCTAACAGTGATTAATGTTATAACTACAACTTGCAAGAAGGCATTGATAAAAACTGCTATAGAAATCTCTTTCCAACATTGACAAAGTCTTACTTAGGAAGTTAGGATCATATATGTCTTGCTCCTACTTGAGTGGCTGAAGTAAAGAGCACACCTCAGAAATCTTTGAATATAAAATACCATTTGATTCTCTTGCTTTCCTTACTCTTTAGAAGGTAACATTCCATAATTTTATCCCAAATAGCTTGCTCTATGCCATATTTGCCAAAGTCATGCCAGCTTCTTCACATCTTGTCACACACTCAGCAGTTATGAGGTAAGCTATTGGTTCCTGTGACATCTTTGGTTAATCTTTTTTTTTTTTTGAGAGTAGAGTTAAACTTTTGCTTATCATCAATTGATTTTTCTTTTCTTTTTTTTATTTCTTTTAATTTTTTAAAGAGATGGTGTCTGTCTATGTTGCCCACACTGGGCTCGAATGCCTGACCTCAAGCAACCCTCCCACCTGAGCTTCCCACAGTGCTGGGATTACAGGCATAAGTCACTGCACCTGGCCCACCCTCAAGTTTTTACACATGGGACAAAGTTTAAAGTCCCTGGGATGGTAGAGCTGCATTTCCTAGTTAATCCAGTCAGGAAAAATAGATGCAGAAACAACCAATCTGTTAAAGGTAACCCAATAGAATCAAGCAGTTAACAACCAGAATACTTATTTCCAGAGAAACTCAAAATGTGTGATATACCTGACAGAGTTTGGGCATTTATGACTCAATTATAACTAAATGGATTCTTTCGAGACTTCATGAAATCAAAAGATTGAATTATGGGGAGTTAAAACAACTTTAGAGGGTTGATAGAAATGTTCTACGTTTTGATTGGGATAGTGGCTACGTAGGTAAATCTATCTGTCAAAAGTAATGTCTTCATACACTTAAAATGTATGCATTTTCTTCATATAAACTATACTTCGAATAGGTTAGTAACCATTTTAAAACAGTAACAGTGGAGAAACATGACAAATACTACCTACCTCAATCAGGTGACTAAAGTTAACATAAACAGTGGTAAACCAGGTCGATAGTACATACCCTTGATACAATGTGATAAAATTGGCACACTACTTCTGTCGTCTTCCTCCTACAAGACCATAACCCTATTTTAATTATGAGAAAAACATCAGTGAAATACAAATTGAGGGACACTCTATAAAATACCTGATCAACACTTCTCAAAAGAGCCCATGTCGGCTGTGTGCAGTGGCTCACGCCTATAATCCCAGCACTTTGGGAGGTTGAGGCAGGTGGATCAAATGAGGCCAGGAGTTTGAGACCAGCCTGGGCAACATGGCAAAACACTATCTCTGCTAAAAATACAAAAATTAGCTAGGCGTGGTGATGCACGTCTGTAGTTCCAGCTATTTGAGGGGCTGAGGCAGGAGGCTGGCTTGAACCCGGGAGGTGGAGGTAGCAGTGAGCCAAAATCATACCACCGCACCACTTTACTCCAGCCTGGGTGACAGAGTGAGACTCTGTCTCAAAAAGAATAGTAAAAATAAAAAGAGCTCATGTCACCAGAGACAAGGAAAGCCTGATAATTTGTCACAGCTAAGAGGAGTCTGAGACATGATGACTAAATGGAATGTAATTGTTTGGGTGGGATCCTGGGTCAGAAAAAGGACCTTAGGGAAAAATCAAGAAAATTTGAATAAAATATAAAATTTAGTTAACAATAATGTATCAATATTAGTTCATTAATTATGATTTATTAATAAAAATGTTAATAATAGAAAAATCTAGATGTGGGGTATACTGGAACTCAGTGCTATCTTTGCAACTTCTCCATAAATCCTAAGCTCTTCTCTTAAAGTAAAAAAAAAAAAAAAAGTTTATTAAAATTGCCTTGAATAGACATATGTAAAACATCTGCAAATTCATATATGTATATGGAAGAGGCAGTATTAGGGTAATCATATAATTATTGTCCAAACCTGGGCATGTTTTAAAGTGGATGCTGTTAATAACCATTTAAGGATAGGAAGATAAAGTATAGGTCACCCTAAGTGGAAAGCATATTAAATATTCAAGTTTTGATTTTACACTTCCTGTGTTTCAGTCCAATCTCTGCCACTTGCTTGTTTTTATAAATTACTTTACTGAACATTATTTCCAATTTGGGAAGGACAGTAATATTTTCCTTACCACGTTTGGGAGGATTAAATAAGATAATTAAATTAAAGTGTTTAGTTAACACAATTACTGGCACATAATAAATGCTCAATAAATCATAGATGGCATTTATGCATATCTAGACCTTTGTACATTTTGTTAAAAGGTACCTACATAGTTACACAGAATTCTACACTAATGTGTCCTCTTGATTTTCATCCTAACCCAACAGTGGTCATACCAATACTTACTCTTTGACAGTTAGCATAGATGTCACCAACAACATACATGTTCCACTGAGTATTTGTTAGGAGATTGAAGGACATTTGCAGTAATGTTAATGAAGACAAAAAATAATAATAGTAAATAATGTTGGTTACATGGCCTTTTTTCCTTTGAGTAACTCTCCCCATCTTACTTCTCCTGATCTTGTTGGATCTGACAGTCTGAGTTCCAGCACCTAGATGCAGATGTAGCTCATGGACGTGACTGAAGCACATCCTCTTAGATACAATGATTGGTTCAGAAGTAGACTTAAGACTACAGCAGAGTCAATCAGACTCATGTAGGGAAGAGAGGTAACGCTTGTCATTGCATTCATGACTTGTAATGATGTTAACCCCAGGCTGACAATAGTCTTCTTTGCCATAGTATGAAAAGACATTTCCTGAGGATGAAGCCAATTTAGAAGCAAGCAAAACTAAGAGGTTAAGAGAAAGATAGAGTGGGCTGGGCACAGTAACTCATGCCCATAATCCCAAGCACCTTGGGAGGCTGAGGCGGGCAGATCATGAGGTCAGGAAATCAAGACCATCCTGGCCAACATGGTGAAACCCTGTCTCTGCTAAAAATACAAAAATTAGCTGGGCATGGTGGTGTGTGCCTGTAGTCCCAGCTACTCAGGAGGCTGAGGCAGGAGAATCGCTTGAACCCGGGAGGCGGAGGTTGCAGTGAGCCGAGATCATGTCCCTGCACTCCAGCCTGGTGACAGAGCAAGACTCTATCTCAAAAAAAAAAAAAAAAAAAAAAAAAGAATGTGCAAACAGTAGGTGAAAAGAAGGACAAAGTCTTCGGTTTGATTCTGGACATTTTCCTCCTCCATTATCGTCTCTATTTCAATCTGCTATGAGGTCATTTTTCTCTGATGCCTTGTTTGTCCTTGAAGAACAAACTTGCAAGATAACCCATACACTCCCTCTTTATTTGTTCATTATTCCTGCATTAAAATTCAAGGGGATTTCTGCCCCCTCCTTGTTGTACCTGTTTGTCTTTTATCTGTATATCTGTCACTTTGCTGTCTCTTTGCATTTCTAATTTCTTGTCCACATTTGCTCAATGAGAATATTCACTGTAATCACCAGATCTCTTTCCTCTGCAAGTGATAGAAACCTAGTGCAAACTAGATGAAGCAAAAATGGAATTTTGTTGACTCATCTTACCAGATAGCAAGAAAAAACTAGCTTCAGATATGGCTAGATCTAGGTGCTTGAAAAAGTCACGAGACTTTTTTTCTTTCAGAGTCCTCTTACCTTTGCATTTCTTTGCTTGTTCACTTTATTCCTTCTTGCTGTGTGGCCAGGCTCTCTGCACCTGCACACAAGACAGACAAGCATACTACCATCTGCCTTACGGAATCCTTAAAGGTTAAAATACAAAGTAATAGAGAACTCTATGCCAATGTCCATAGAACAAATATTAAAAATATCATAAACATAATCTGATTGGACAAAATTGAGCCATGTTTTCTTTCAGGAAGTGATCAGCCATTGTGGTTGAGACACTCACCACAACTATGCTCATGATAGAGGAGCAATTCCACACTGAAAATAGCAGGTGTTTACTCAATATAAAGTAAAATGTGACTAAAAATAAATAAATAAGCCAAAAAATAACATTTTTATTATAACAATGGGAAACTGATTCATGAATTTCTCTAGTTTTAGGTAGTAAAGGAATAGGCTTGAGACAGAAGCTACATAGAATGCTACAGTGTTCTGTAAAATAGTCCTTTCTTCATGAGGTTTTCCATTTTTCACTATAAAACATGTCTTGCCAAACCATCAAAGATAAATATTTAATTATTTTCTGCCCAACATTTCTAGGGTCACATATAGAAATTAGCAAGAGCTGAGTTCTATTAAATTACAGTACTAAACATTTTTCTTGACTCATCACACCGACTAGGCATATAGTCAACTCACATTCAGCCTGCTTTACCTCTTTGCATTAAACTATGAACCCACACTTTCCTCACTTCTTACAGTCCCAATTATAATTCTTAGAATTCCTAAAATAGCTCATTGTATTCCTTAAAACCCTGGAACAAATGGCCATAAATGAAAATTATCATATGGTCAGATACCTTCAGTCAGGTCTCTCAGTTCTAATTTACATCTTACATCATCAAGATTAGTGATTCTCAGCTAAGATGATGTCACTCCCCAAGGATATCTGGCATTATGTGGAGACATTTTTGATTGTCATGACTGATATCTCTTCTGTTATCTAGTGGGTTGAGGGCTGAGATGGTGCTTAACATTTTATGAAGCAAAGGACAGCAACAACAACAAATTATTCAGCCCCAAATTTCATTGGGGCTGAGTCTGACAAAACCTGGTCTAGATTAATAACTCTCCAGGGATTATGAACAAAATCATCACATCTCCATCACTTTATTCAACATGCACAATATATTCAAATAGGTGGATGAATAATTACATGAAGGCAACATGCAGTAGAAAATAATAACCATTAATGATCTCAGCCTTCTTTATAGCTCATTTCTTTCATTTTTTCTATTTTTGTCAAGCCTTCATGTTCTTTATGGCATTCCAGTTGAGCTCTTAGATCTTCAACAGAATATAAAAGTGAAATAAAAAACATGGTGCACTAAAACTCAAGAAACCCTGGTACTAGTTCCAATTATGTCTTGTATTAGAGTTATGACTTCGTAAAATAATTTACTTCCTTAGAAACATGATTTCTACTTGTTTAATATAAAATATTTAGATTAAATCATTATTTTAAGTACTTTTTCATGTAATAAAGAAAAACAAAATGTAAAAAGAAACCTACAGAAACACAAAGGTGAAAAAAAAAAAATTCAAGAAGCCAGGACCCCTACTGATTCAGCTTGTCTCTCTTTCCCAACAATGGCACCAAAAGGGAGATTCTTCTAAATTCATTTTGTTAATCACTGAATTCGTTGACTTCTATTTTTCTTCCGAGTTCTGTGTTTGATGAATAAAACAAAATTTATTCATTGTAGGTTCCATTTTTTTAATAAAGCAGGAAATTTCCCCTGACTCCTTCACAGATGGGAACTGGAGTGAGGGCAATGGGGCTAGCCCACTGCTTTGGTGCCAGCAGGGTCAAACTCCACTTACTTGAATCCATTGTGTTCAACTCCTTGCAGGAGGGAGCATTTAGGTGAGAGGGTGCAGGATCCAGGGCAAGTGCCTTTGGGCACGGCAGGTGCAAAAATTCCATGTAAGGCCTGTGGCAGTGTCTAGCAGGGAGTATCCACAATCCTCAAAGCCCCCAGAGGGCATGTGTTACAGTGCTCTTTTAGTTTTGCCATCCACAACAGCTTAGGTGTTAGACAACTCAGTGGGCCCTCTGGCTTTTCACGTGAGGTGGTGGTTCTCCACCAGTGAGGGCAGAGGGTCAGGATAACAGCCTTTAGTGTCCATACCTGTGACACTGAGCTCTTATTGGGTGTCCAGGAAAAAATAAGGTCACACAAAAGAATTGAAGGGTTGTCAATGTGGAAGATTTTATTGCTGATGAAAATGACTCTCAGCGGGAAGGGGAGCTGGAGAGGGAAGGAAGAAGGAAGGTGATCTTCTCCCAGCATCCAGCTGTCCGCGGCTGGACTCCTCTCCAAAGCAACACCGGCAAGCCAACCCTCTGAAGTCAAGCTGCTTGTCTCTGACGTCAAACTGTAGTTTCTGACGTCTAGCAGCTTCTCCTCTTCTCTGCCTCTCTTTCTTTGCTGGTGGAGCCTGGGGATTTTACGGTTACAGGCTTGGGGGTGGGGTGGGCCACGGGTGGTTTTAGAAAAGTCAGCGTTCAAGCAGGAAAACAAGAATGCCTGTTCTCACTTTGGGCTGCGGTTCCAGACTTGAGCATGGCGTCCTCACCAGGGAACTGCCCTCTTCTGCCCAGAATTTTCCTGCCTCCTGTCTCTATCAATAACACTTTGTTCTCTATTGAGAACTAAGGCTTACCTAATAAACTAACTAAATGATCTTAGATACCATAATATGGTTACATTTCTGAGGTAAATACATAGGGGCTTCTTCAGAAATGATTCTGAGACCTACAGTCTCACGCACAGTCAATATAGTACAGGTGAGATTTTAGGTGACAACACCATTTTGTTTCTGTCAAATTATTTGAGGAGAAGGCTTATTCAAGGTTTGCCTAAAAGGGACAGTTCTAATATGCCAAGCCACAGAGAAAACCATGTTCCAGAGACAGGGAAAAGAGATGGAAGATCTTTCCCAGCAGCAATCACTTGATACAGGAAAAAATATGTTTAGCAAATAAAACAAAATACTTCTAAATTCTAAAATAATAAAACAAAATTAAAATTACAAAACAAAATTTTCTTTGTTAACCAATGGATCCTTTTAACAATGTTTACACAAAAATCTGCAAAAGAGATTTTGGAATGCCAGAAAATGAGCAACAGTATAAAACTGGCAAGAGTATTTACTAAGATTTTTTTTCTCCATGTTTTCTCTTCTCTTAATCAGCCTTAGCAATTACATCTAACTTAAGACTGCCTGTTAGATTTTCCCTTTGTTGCATCTTTCCTTGATGTTTTGGTGAGGAAAATGAAAATCAATAGAAATTCTGTGGCATGGCCCTGACAGTATTTGACTGTATGCATGGCTTCAGAAGTGCTTTATTTAGACTGAGTTAAAATTGATAGGGTTCAGAACATGCTTCACCCAAAATATGGTGCTTTGGCATATTGAATGTTTGAAGCTGAAGGAATTTGAGAAACAAGAGGTGCAGTAAGGACCTTTTCACCTTCCCATGGAGCAAGTTGGAAGACCCTCATTTGAGAAGTGTCCTCCTTATCTTTAAGACAGAGGCTGTTCCCCTAGCTCACGACTCATGGCTCCTACAACTTTGTCCAATCACATTTTTTCATGGCTTTCTACTGTAACTGCCCAAAGGGTTTTTCATTGCCCATTGCCCAGATAGAGCCAATTTATCAAGGCAGGAGAATTCCAACAGAGAAAGAATTTTGCACACATTGAGTAGACCAAATAGAAGGCTGGAGTTTTATTATTACTCAAATCAGCCTCTCCAACCATTTGGAGGCTAGGTTTCAAAGGTAGTTTGGGGGAAGGGGCAGGGGTGCAGGTGGGAAGTGGTCTTCTTGTGCATTGAGTGGCTTCTGGAGTGGGCCACTTAGGAGCAGTTGGCAGGTGCAGGTGGAGCGATTGGTAGAAGGATTTGCAAAAAAAAAAAAAAAAAAAAAACCTGAAAAGCTGTTTCAAAAGGCCAATCTTAAATTCTACAATAGTAATGTTATCTGCTTGAGTAATTAGGGAAATTGCCTATCTTGTGACCTACAAAATAATGACTAGCAATTGTTTATGTCTATACCTCAGCGGAATTCAGGCTCCTCTATTCACCTAGCCTGGAGGTCTCTCATTAGCTTTACAAAGGCAGTTAAGTTTTGGGGAACGGCTGTTATCATTTATACTACAAACTAAATGTCTCTCATTAGTTTGCTTGGCTTAATCTCAGAAATAATTAAGGGTATTTTGAAGGCCAAAGGCAAGATGAGGATTGACCAGATCAGATCTCCCCCATTGCCATAATTTTCTCACTGATATAATTTGTGAAAAGGTGGTTTTACTACTTTGTTTTTCAAACCTAGTATAAAAACATTCAGGTTTAGCTGTTTATTTGGGTCTTCATTTCTTTATGAAGCTCCAGTGCTACATAAAACCTATATTAAATAAATTTGTACCCTTTTTTTTCATTAACTCATCTTTTATTACAGTTCCCAGAAGAGAACCGAGAAGGGTTGAAGGAAAATATTTTTTCTCCCTACAGTTTCTGGTAATAAGGATGAGATACCATTGTCCAGGACATCTTTCTCAGTCCAGAAGCTGCAGCTGAAATCTGGAAACTTGCCCAGGCGCCGTGGCTCACACCTACAATCCCAGCACTTTGGGAGGTGGAGGCAGGAGGATCACCTGAGGTCAGGAGTTCAAGAACAGCTTGACCAACATGGTGAAACCCCAGCTCTACTAAAAACACAAAATTAGCTGGGTGTGGGGTACATGCCTGTAGTCCAAGCTACTCGGAAGGCTAAGACAGGAGAATCACTTGAACCCAGGAGGCAGAGGCTGCAGTGAGCAGAGATCACACCACTGCACTCCAGCCTGGGTGACACAGAGCAAAACTCAAAAAGAAAAGAAAAGAAAAGAAATCTGGAAACTTTAACAAAGTTGGCAAAAGGTAAACATTCTTTAAAGGGTTAATTGGGCTTGAATTTGATTCACAATTGGAATAGGTATACTTTGAAGATTTGGACTTGTACATCCAAAGGATTTTTCTTTCTTGAGGGCTCCCATTCTAAACAAATGTCCCTTAAGTGTCTATAGAAATATCAAATTGAAAGAAAGGAAAAATGAAAAAGAAACAATTTCTTAACTGGTCTGAGAAAAACACATGAAAACACCAAAAAACTCCCTTAAAAAGATTAGGAGGTAGAGCTCAGACTTAGAACAAAAGTTATGAATTGCAAAAGGCACTCAGAAAGGCTGAGACTTAGGTTAAAAGGGATAGCCAGCAAATAGCTTTGAAAAAGGCCCCAGGGAACCCAGCAAGGCTGTTTTACAGTCCCTTATAAAGTCCACTTATTTCATGAGACTCTATAATCAAACTTTTTCAGCTCTAGGCCTTCCCATTCAAATTACTTTGTAAATGTATTTTGGACCCCAATCATAAAAATGTACTTAATGAGGGGAAAAATCTTTTTTTTTTTTCTGAGACAGAGTCTTGCTTTGTTCCCCAGGTTGGAGTGCAGTGGCGCGATCTCGGCTCACTGCAAGCTCCGCCTCCCAGGTTCCCGCCATTCTCCTGCCTCAGCCTCCCGAGTAGCTGGGACTACAGGCGCCCGCCACCATGCCCGGCTAATGTTTTTGTATTTTTAGTAGAGACGGGGTTTCACTGTGTTAGCCAGGATGGTTTTGATCTCCTGACCTTGTGATCCGCCTGCCTCGGCCTCCCAAAGTGCTGGGATTACAGGCGTGAGCCAGAAAAATCTTATATTATAATTACCCTAGATTTCTGACACTATAATAAGCAAATATGTTTCTTAATTCCTTCTTGGAGAAAACCTACATCATTTCTCTTTCACTTGGAGATATAAATCTTACCATCTCTTTGGAAATGCAAACTTTCAAAAAGGTAACTCTTGCATTCAACTCAGATGGAGAAACAAGGGAGACATTTTGGAAATAAACTGCTAGTTGATATTTTCACAGCATCCCTCACCCCAAATGTAGTCCACAGCTTCCATAAAATTACTTATCAAGCTCATATGAAATTCTTAAAAGTCTTTTTCACAAATATTGCTAAAAAAGCTTTAGCTTCCATTGAGCAAGTAATCTTGACTTATTTGCTCCAACTGCTAGAAATGTAATAAGACAAAGATGAGAATCAACTCTTATATAAATAAGCAAATTTTGTGTTTCTGTATCTATACCTCATTTATGGCTAAAATTTACAATGAAAGCTATAAAATCTCTATTGGCATCTGTCTGTATATTTATGAGTGTATGTATGTTATGTGTAATACTTTCTATCCCTGAATGGTTGAAAATTAATTTTAGAAATTAATTAATTTCTACCATAGTCATTTATAAAATTTTCAAAAGAAATTATATTCAAATTGGCTTTGAGATAAATGCACACTTATATAAATTGTCACAGGTACATCTGGTTGGGACTGGTGTCATGGGCAGTAAAATAATTTACCAAGACAGTCATGGGCGAAGAAAGGCAGATTTATTAGAAAAGACAGGAGATACGTTGCAAGAGTGCAATGGGCAGCACAGCAGAGAAAGGGCTGTCTGCCAAGAGGCAGGGACTGAAGGGAAGTACTAGGTAGGTTGTACTGGAGGGTCTATATGCAGATAAAGTATGCAGATAAGGTCTTGCTGCTGGGGCTGTGTGCAGAATGAGGTATTTGGGAATAGGATGTCATACCAGTGGGTTGTGTGTGATTAGCCGTTTCTCAGAACAATTGTTCTCCTCCATCTGGGACCTCTTCCTGGTTGCTGCTTACTTATCTTCTCAGGACTCCACATTTAGTACTCCTAAAAGTCTCAGAAATATAAAAACTAACCCAAATGCTTTTCAAGTTCATGTGGCTTATTATACTTAAAGTATAAACAAAAAAAGACTTAGTTTGCAAACGAATTAGTCCTACTTTGATTATCTTTGATAGAAATGGAGGTGACTATAGAGACAAAAATTATGTTTCAATGGCAAACAATGTCACATCATCTGAATTATACAATTCCATTCCCCCTGTTCATTGGATTTGAAGTTTTGTTATCTACTGTAAACTGGATGGATCCTGCTCAATTAGTTCGCTTCCTTGAAAATGTGGTTACAACTCTTCCACATTTTACATTTTTCTTTTACCCCCCTGATTTGGCACCTCTGAGAGCTAAAGCCTGATTGCTCACATCCTTATTTGGAATACCTAAAGAAGCCTTGCAAGCTGAAACTGGGCACTTCCATACTTTGTTCTGAGAATAAACATAATGGTGTGGTACAGTTTGGAGATTTCTACCCTCCAAATCTCATGTTGAAATTTCATCCACAATGTTGGAGGTGGGACTTAATGGAAGGTGTTTGCATCATGTGGGCAGACCCCTCATGGATGGTTTGCTGCTGTTCTTGTGGTAATGAGCAAGCTCTTGCTCTATTTGTTCCCATAAGAACTTATTATTTAAAAGAGCATGGCACCTTCTTCCCCTCTCTCTTTTCCTTCTCTCTTGTCATTTGACATGCCTGCTGTCCTTTGCCTTCCAATGGGCGGAAGTTCCCTGAAGCCTTCACTAAAAGCAGATGCTGGTGCCATGCTTCTTGTACAGCCTACAGAACTGTGAGCCAAATAAGCCTTCTTTCTTTGTAAGTTATCCAGCTTCAGGTATTCTTTTACAGCAACACAAACAGGCTAAGACACAGTGCCATCACTAGAGGCATTCAAACTGCAAACCCAAAAATATGTTGGATGTCCACTGTTACTGTCACTCCACCATCTCAGGATACTTTCAGCTCAATATCTAGAAATTTTTAAATTGCATTCTGGATTCAAAAACTGAGTTTATAGCTTGTTTTAACAATTAACCTTTTTTTATTTGTGTTTTCATAGAAATACCCCTACTTAAATGCCTTATTGCTCACACCTCATGGAGGTTTAACTTGGGTAGGCAACCTACTTCTGCCTATACTACTGAGTCCAGAAATAAGACACAGCTCTTTAAGCAGAGGAATCTAATCCCAGGACTGAGAGACTGGTTCAGTGACGTATGGGACAATCTGCCAGCTCACTTTCTGGGCTGTAAAAGCTTTGGGGAAAAGTTTCAGATGGAGATATCATAGGGTTCAGAACATACTACCCCAAAATATGGTGCCTTGATATATTGAATGTTTTAAGCTGAAAGAATTTGAGAAAGAGTAAGTGTGGGAATGACTCTGACTTTTCCCTGAAGAAATCATAAGACTTTTGTATGAGAGGTGCCCTTCCTGTACCTGGGAGAAAGCAGCATCCTTATCTCTGAAGATGAAGAGAGAGAGGATGAGAGGTATCTAAATGAACAAGCCTTGATAAGTCAACCCCAGTTTACCAGTCTTATCTCATACCTCCTAATCCTACCATATTTTTTCATAACTTTGTACTCTTCATCAAACCTAGTATAAAAATAGTCAGGTTTAACCATTTTTTCTTTGGGATCTTCATTTCATTTTGGAGTATCCCATGTCACATTAGACTTATAGTGAGCAAATGCACCAGGTGTGGTGGTGCACGCCTGTAATTCCAGCACTTGGGGAAGCCAAGGTGGGTGGATCACTTGATCCCAGGAGTTCAAGACCAGCCTGGGCAACATGGTGAAACCCCATCTCTACAAAAAATACAAAAGTTAGTTGGGTGTGGTGGTGCATATCTGTTGTCTCAGATACTTGGGAGGCTGAGGTAAGAGGATTGTTTGAGCCTGGGAGGCAGAGGTTGCAATAAGCTGAGATTGTACCTCTGTACTCCAGCCTGGGAGACAGAAAGAGACTCCATTTCAAAACTTAAAAAAAAAGAAAATAAAATGCTTTTTTTGTTTGTTTGTTTGTTTTTGTTTTTTTTTTAGTTAATCTGTCTTTTCTTATAGGCCTCAACTGAGATCCTAGAAGTGTATAAGGAAAATATTCGTTTTCCTCCCCTACAAAACTATTGAAATGTTAATACTTCGAATCTGGTTAAACCTATTCAGTGCTAGAAAGAATTCACGCCTCAACTCATACAAAGTTTTTCTTCAAGCTATCAAATTATTTCTTCTTTCTTTCTTTCTTTCTTTCTTTCTTTCTTTCTTTCTTCTTTCTTTCTTTCTTTTGTTTGTTTTGAGACAGAGTCTTGCTCTGTCACCTAGGCTGACGTGCAGTGGTGCAATCTCAACTCACTGCAACCTCTGCTGCCTCCTAGGTTCAAGCAATTCTTGTGCCTCGGCCTCCCGAGTAGCTGGGATTACAGGCATGTGCCACCATACCTGGCTAATTTTTGTATTTTTAGCAGAGATGGGGTTTCACCATGTTGGCCAGGCTAGTCTCAAACTCCTGACATCAAGAGCTCAAGAGATCCACCCACTGAGGCCTCCCAAAGTGCTGGGATTACAGGTGTTAGCCACCATGACTGATCTCCTTCTTTTTTCTTTCCTTTCCTTTCTTTCTGTGTAGTGTCAAATACCTTGGCTTTCTTAAACTTTCAAAACAAAATTTCCCAAGTAACTATTGTAGAATATTAATCCCCAAATATGTTCATTTATTAAAAACTAGATGACCAATTACACACTCTTGTGGATATTTTTTGTTCTTACTTGCCAAACAAATTTTCTGAGAAGTCTTGCAGTAAAAATAATGTTAAATTGTCTTCCCAAGTTATTTCACTGTGGGACTATGTCCCAACATTTTCCTGTATAGTTTTTCAAGTAATAGCTATTAGCACCTGTGAAGGTAGCAGGAAAAACTGGAAAATATTGGTCTTTGATTTTTATCTTCCTTCCCTTCTCTTTTATTTTTTTCAAAATCTTTTGAATCTGCACTTTGACCCTTTAATATGCTACTCCCTTAGTAGCAAAAGCACTTTTGCAAGAATCTCCAGTGATTCTGAATTTTTTATTTAAATAATGTCTTTTAATTCTCCACTCTAACTGGGTCTCTGTAGTGTATATAAAACCATCCATTACTCATTACTTGATTATCTTGTGCCCCCCGTCAAGATTTAAAAAATATACATTTCTTGATTTTCATCCTATATGTCTTGCTATGATTTGAATGTCCCCTTCAAAACTCCTGTTGAAACTTAATCCCAATGCGCAAGTATTGAGAGATGGGATTATGAAAAGTAACTGGATCATGAGGACTCTGCCCTCATGAATTGATTAATCCCTTCATAGAGTAATGGATTAATGCATTGTCATGGGAGGGGAACTAATGGCTTTATAAGAAGAAGAAGAGATCTGAGCTAGTGTGTGAGTCTGCCAAGCCCGCTCACCTGATAGCCTGCATCACCTCAGGACTCCTTGGAGAGTCTACACCAGTAAGAAGGCTCTCACAGATCCAGCCCTCAACCTGGGCTTAGCCTCCATAATTGTAAGAATAAGTCTCTTTGCTTTATAAATTACCTAGTTTTTGGTATTCTTTTATAAATAACAGAAAGTGAACTCATACACGTCTCCACCAAGAGCATGATTCCATCAGGACTCTATCCTTAGTTCTATTATTTCTTTTGTTTTATTCCCTTTCTTTGTGTGATTTCATTCACTACATGTTTTTTAGTTATAATGATTGGATGCTAATGACTCAAACCAGTATTTCCAGCCCAGACTCCAGTCTTGATCTTGAGAATCAAATTTTAGTCCTTTCCAAATACTACTCAAAGTTTCCTGGGTAGGAAACTTTCTCTCCCTCACTCCTTCGCCTCCCCTCCGCTCCCCTCTCCCTCCTCCTCCCCCTCCCCTCCCTCTCCCTCTTCTTCTCATCCTCCTTCTTCTCCTCCTGCTTCTTCTCTCTGTCGCCCAGGCTGGAGTGTAGTGCCATAATCACTGCTCACTGCAGCCTCAACCTCCTGGGCTTAAGCAATCCTCCCCTCTCTACCTCCTGAGTAGCTGGGACTACAGGCATGCACCACCATGCCTGGCTACTCTTTTCTGATTTTTTTTTAGAAACAGGGTTTCACCATGTTGCCCAGGCTGGTCTCAAACTCCTGGGTTCAAGTAATCTACCTGCCTCGGCCTCCCAAAGTGCTGGGATTATAGGCATAAGCAACTGTGCCTGGCCTCCTTCTTTCTTTCTTTTTTTTTTAGAGCAGCACTTATTATAGTGCCTTTATAATTGCTCAGTTCTAATTCTTGTTGGTTAAATCAAAATTTAGAACCAAATAAGCTACATGGATTAGTAATTCATTTAAGAGTTTGAAGTCAGATTAATTTGCCATTGGTCAAATCACTTAATTTATTCAGCTCTCAGTTTCATCTGAAAATTGGAGAAGGTGGACTGGATAATTGCTCTAGAGCTCACTATTAGCGTTACACTTCTTTTTTTTAATTTTTCTGTTATCTTTTTTTAAAAAATAAAAAAAATGTTAAAAATTATTTAAAACAAGAGAAGCTTTGCCTATGAAGTTATGGTATTTCAGTACAAATATATAAATTTAATAAACTTTTCTGAGTGCCAAATTAGTGTCAGGCATTGGGGTAGACATTTTAAAATGAATAAAACATGCTAAAGATAAGTAGAAAAAAAATTCTAAAGAAAGTGATTTACATCTCTATTTAAAGTTTACATTCTCCATATATGAGTTAAAAAATATGTTCTACCAAGTCTTAATTGAAACTAAAAAGAGCTTAAAAAGTGACTGAAAAACATCATAAATTTATTGTTAAGGGAACCACTGAAGAAATGTATAATACTGAAAGCTTTTATAATTTTGAAACTTCAAATAAAATTTGTCCTAGTTTCAAAGACTTAAGAATACAGTCTTCTTTAAAAAATATTTGGACCATTTTAACCACTAAATAATTATTTCATTTTTGGTTTGTCATAAATTTTGAAAAAATTAAGGAAAGTCAGAAAATAATACTGGCCTAATATTGACCAGAAATGCTGTAAGGTCAGATAATGTCACCTATCTACTCATTTTCCATGTTAATGGAGAGGTTATGAATAAGGCATGTTGCATACAGTAGTTCATAAGTGAAAACCATCTGCAATAGCATTGGACGCTCTGCTGGTGTAAAGTTATCACAGTATTTCAGAGCCACATATATGAATCAGAAATCTCAGGGGATTGAGAGATATTTCAACTTAACTCTTCACACTGGAGTGAAGAACAATAAGAAAAAATTGTAACTGATATAGATTGACAATCAGTGATAAGGGCACACATTTTATCCAGCTATTTTTATGGTTTTAAAACTTGGTCAAAATTATGCAGAAAATATTACATAAAATACTGCAAAAAAATATATAAAAGTAAGTGAGATAGGGAACTATTTCTAATAGTTGAAGCCATATATTTTAAATTTTTGTCTTTATGGAATTCTAAGCATAGAAAATATTGATGGTGTGTGTTATCCCTTTTTGGACCCTTTTTGCATTCAGGGACCAGACCTTATTCAACATGATATTCTCAATACATAGCAGAGTATGTGCCCACAAGAAGGTGCTCCAAAAGCTGATGAATCTAGTTGCGCTGAAAGAAAACAGGAAAGAAATATGCGATATATTCATGATAGTAATTACTATGACAAAAATAAGTGTGTAAATACAGTAGAATCTCTTTTAACTGGTCCCCACTTAAATAACCCATTGGATTAACTAAGAATTATACTTTTCATTATAAAACATAACACTATGTTGATCATCTAAGGAATGCCCAAGGCTACTTAATTATATTCTAGTATTCTCACATTTCTGCTACCCCCAGATAAGCTGTATACTTATCAAGAATCATTTTTCTTCCCAGATCTGTTTTTTTTCTAAGTGTACTTTTTATTACTTCCTTCATTATTTATATAAGCTAATGGAATATGAGCATGGAAAGAGAGCGGTTCCTATGAAAACTATGTTTAATGGTTTCAAAATACTAATAAAGGCAAGTTACAAAAAATATTCTTGAATTATGTGCAGAAAAAGAAGAATAAAAAAGATTGGGAGTGAGAATAAAGATCTCTGAGGACTGTAATCTTGCATTGTTTCACAAATATGTCTGAGTTCTCATTTCACTTAAAAAAAAACAACGGGGAAATAAATGACAATACATTATGAGTATAGTTTATACAAGGAAAGGAACATAGCTCTTTAATCAGCAAACTCATTGAAATAAATTTAGTCCTACTTCAAAATATTGGAAAATGAACGACAGCTTAAATAGTGTATCTTTATAAAACATTTCATGATTTATATGACTTAAATGATTTTTCTTATTAATTGATCAATTAGACTAATCATGTTGAATAGAATACTTCCATTCTATCCAATTTAAGCATGATATATGATACCAAAAATCTATTTTAAAAATACTTCCCCCGGGTACCTCTTCTTTCTGGTAAGTCCATTTCTTTCTTTTTACTCATTCTACCGTGACAACTTGGCCATGAAATTTATCACCCCAGGTAAAAATAGGGTACATTCAGCCCAGAATAATGCAATCACTGTTCAGTTTCAAGTTGACTTCAAAGTGACTTGTTTTTCCCCATGGCAAAAACAGTTTTCATATCCTGACTATGTCAACAGCAATATCAGAATCTCAATATTCCAAAGAATTTTGTACCTAATAAGATAAATGCCAGTGTTGGATCAAAAAATATGTATCAGGTATGCTTTAGTTAGTGGCCTTTCAATCACTTATAGATAATTTTTTAAAAATTCTGTTCTTTCTAAAAAGGTACTTAGAAAGTTTTATTTGCGTTGTTTCTGAGGTCTGCTTTTAAAAATCATGTTGTGATGCATTTTTTCTGCTAAATACCCTGAAAGTTATTCCCTCTGAAAAGGAATTGCTAACAGGCATTTGCATTTGGGGAGCGAGAGATCAGATTGCTTTGTCTAAGAAGAGAGTAGTCACGAGAGGCATCAAGCCTACACAGAGTGGGAGAGGGGTCCAGAAGTACTGAGATGCCTCCAGAGGAAGAGCTGAGGCATGAGGGCCAAACTTGTGGAGGGGCTGGAGCCATTATGGTGAGGGAATAGGTAGAGTTGGTACGGATGCCTTAACATGGATGGTCTATGTTAGGGCCTGAAGGGTGGCATTTCTGAGACTGAGAAGTTCTGAAGTAACAATGGAGTCAAGTTACTGGGGAAAGAGAACCGCTATACTATGAATAGTCCATGAGTGATAAGTCCACGAGCCTCAAGATTCAGCAACATATAAGGCAAGATGTGAAACCACAGCTCAGAGTTCAGCTGAGCCATTACTCTTCTGGAATTTATCTGAACCAAGCAAGAGCAGAGCAGGTAGACTGGGGGCCATTTTCCCAAATCAATGGAGATAGATAGGTATCTCTACGCACCTAAAGTAGACCTGCATTGGGAAGGGGAATGATGGGACACCCTTTGAGATGGGTTCCTACAAATCCATTCTCCCCTACAATGAGTTTATAGGAAATTTAAGTTTTTCTGAGATTCGTTTATGGAGAAATAAGGAATCTGTATTCTATTCTTTCCAATATGAGTGGGAGTGTATACATCATTTTTTTACACATACACATACACACTCATTCAAATATGAAAACTAAGAAAAGGAAATGAAGGTATTGGAGAGGAAAACCATGTTTGTCTCTTCATAGAGAAAGCAATATGTATTCCACTGATTCTGCAGAAATTGCAGTGAACAAATATGTGTAGTACTTGCCTTGGTTTTACCTATTAAAATGATCTATGGGCAGTTCTGACAAATAGAAACTCTCTAATGTGCACCCTCAAAATGTCTTTATTTTCTGCTTATTTATTTATTTATTTTGAGACAAAAGTCTCACTCTGTTGCCCAGGCTGGAGTGCAGTGGTGTGGTCTCAGCTCACTGCAACCTCCGCCTCCCAGGTTCAAGCAATTATCCTGCCTCGGCCTTCCAAGTAGCTGGGACTTCAGGCGTCCACCACCACACCTGGCTAATTTTTGTATTTTCAGTAGAGGCTGGGTTTCACCATGTTGGCCAGGCTGATCTTGAACTCTTGACCTCAAGTGATCCGCTGTCTCGGCCTCCCAAAGTGCTGGGATTACAGGCGTGAGCCACTGCTCCTGGCCTTCATTTTCTAATTTTTTAAAGCTCACGGCTGATACATTGGGCCAGTACATTTAATAAGAACAATGACATCTGATCTCAGGAGACGTTTTATTGGAAGAGTTCTGTTTTCTTGTGAAATGCATAACATGTCCCTAATAAACCAGACTCCACCTTTTTGAGAGCACTAAGGCGTATTTTAAAGAATCAAATATTTAGCAAATCAACAGTTCTATCATCATGGTACCAAACAACCCATTTTACTTTTTTCTCCCCAAATATATTTTTTCATTATCTGAGAGCAAAGAAAGCAAATTGTTTTCTCATATTCTGGTATTAGAGGAATAGAATGTTTCATGTCCAAGCTCCCAAAATTGCTTTTTTTTTTTTCTTAAATTGATCATTGTTTTTTTTTTTTTTTTTTCTGTTTTTTATTGTACTTTAAGTTTTAGGGTACATGTGCACATTGTGCAGGTTAGTTACATATGTATACATGTGCCATGCTGGTGCGCTGCACCCACTAACTCGTCATCTAGCATTAGGTATATCTCCCAATGCTATCCCTCCCCCCTCCCCCCACCCCACCACAGTCCCCAGAGTGTGATATTCCCCTTCCTGTGTCCATGTGATCTCAACAAAGGGCTAATATCCAGAATCTACAATGAACTCAAACAAATTTACAAGAAAAAAACAAACAACCCCATCAAAAAGTGGGTGAAGGACATGAACAGACACTTCTCAAAAGAAGACATTTATGCAGCCAAAAAACACATGAAAAAATGCTCATCATCACTGGCCATCAGAGAAATGCAAATCAAAACCACAATGAGATACCATCTCACACCAGTTAGAATGGCAATCATTAAAAAGTCAGGAAACAACAGGTGCTGGAGAGGATGTGGAGAAATAGGAACACTTTTACACTGTTGGTGGGACCGTAAACTAGTTCAACCACTGTGGAAGTCAGTGTGGCGATTCCTCAGGGATCTAGAACTAGAAATACCATTTGACCCAGCCATCCCATTACTGGGTATATACCCAAAGGACTATAAATCTTGCTGCTATAAAGACACATGCACACGTATGTTTATTGCGGCACTATTCACAATAGCAAAGACTTGGAACCAACCCAAATGTCCAACAATGATAGACTGGATTAAGAAAATGTGGCACATATACACCATGGAATACTATGCAGCCATAAAAAATGATGAGTTCATGTCCTTTGTAGGGACATGGATGAAATTGTAAATCATCATTCTCAGTAAACTATCACAAGAACAAAAAACCAAACACTGCATATTCTCACTCATAGGTGGGAATTGAATAATGAGATCACATGATCATTGTTTTTTTAAAAAAATGCTCTTACATAATATTGTCAGAGAAATGTAGCAGTGAATTTAAAACAAACTTAGAATCTGTGAAGACTCACCTTTTTGAGAAGACTACCTTGGCTGTGATCACGTTCTCCTCATAACCTTCATGCTAATCAGACATGGATGTTTCCTAAAAGATACATAACCCTGAGTCAGTTATATCCTATTTGATGTAAGTAAGAATTACAGATTAATTCCAGAAAAATCCAAGAGGAGTAAAGTTCTTTCCATGAAGCTAATTTTGCTAAAAGAAATTATTTTTATGTCCTCCACTCTTTTATATTATTATCAATCTTTCTAACTTTCTTCTATTATACTTTCTAGTAGTTAATAGAACATTCTCTAGTTGCAGTTCAGTTGTTTTGTTTTCCAAATGTGTTTTATTCCCTGACCTAATGGGAAAATAAAGGTTTGCTTTTTCGCTAGCACTACACTTCCCAGGTAGCCATGGTCTCCTATGAGGTCACTAGAATAGCACAGAGATGTAGCATGTTGTATTGACTTGGTTCTCATTATAGCTGTTCAATTCAATGGTTGTGTTTTTTTTCCCCAAAAATCATTAGTAGTATTCAATTTCTACTATATACTGATAATTCAACCTTGAACAAATGGTTATAATTCTGCTTCTCATGGCAACTACATTCTAATGAAAGAAAGAGATGAAAAATACACAATAAATATATGCAAATATAACCTCTCATAAACTCTCATTTAAATAGTACTTAGGAAAAAAAGGGATATTGAGGAAGATAATACCAGAGGGTATGGTGAGGAAACCTATTTTCAATGAGGAAGGCAGGGAGGTGACATGATGGGTGAGACCGGGAGGCGAGAAAGGACTAATTGTAAGGGGGAAAGAAAGAGAGCAAAAAAGAAAGAAAGCAGGAAAAAAAGAAAAGGAGAGAAAGAGAGGAAGAAGGAAGGAAGGAAGGGAGGGAGGAACGAAGGGGAAAGGAAAGGAAAGGAAAGGAAAGAAAAGGAAGGAAATTGGTGTTTTTATCTGAGGAAAAATGTGAGACTAGATTTAGGAAAACAGCTTGGAGTAAAGAAGAACTAAAACAAGACCAGGGTAGCCACAGTGCCGTAGGAAAGGCAGAAAGTGACCTTGGATGAAGTTGGAGCCTTGGTAAATAGCCAGGACATAAGAGTCATGATAAGGCCTTGCTATAATTGCAAAAATGTTAGAGCTGTTAAATGTTCAGACGGGACAAAAAGTAATGGATTCTTTGTTACGTTTGTAGAATTCTGTAATGATAATTGCCTTCCAAACTCGTAAAATCCCGCCTATCACAAACCCATCTCCACTTGATGTCTCACTTGAAGCCATCCCTATCATCAGCTTCATAAAAATGCGAAGATGCCCATTGTACACGCTGTAAGATGTACAGTGCATTTTTTTCTAACCAGTGCTGTTCTCTTTAGCAGGAACAAGATCTTTCTGAGGTGCAACACTGTGAGCACACACAGTTCAACAGAATTACTTCAGGGCAGTGAACCCAGTCTACCTCTCAGATCTATGCTGCTATCCTCCTAATTGTGGTCCATCATAGCCACAGGCCATGGGTTCTAGAATCTGTTTCCTCACTGTAGTTTAAATTATAATTTCCATATTTATCTCATTTGTTATAACTTTCAAATCGATGATCCACTCTCCCTTTCTCTTATGGATAAATTAGCCAACCTATTTTACACTCTGTTAATTTTACCCTGTTTTTTTTTAGATGGAGTCTTGCTCTGTCACCAGGCTGGAGTGCAGTGGCACGATCTCAGCTCACTGCGACCTCCTCCTCCTGGGTTCAAGTGACCCTCCTGCCTCAGCCTCCCAAGTAGCCAGGATTACAGGCACGCGCCACCACACCCAGCTAATTTTTTGTATTTTAGTAGAGATGCGGTTTCACCATGTTGGCCAAGATGGTCTGGATCTCCTGACCTTGTGATCTGCCCGCCTTGGCCTCCCAAAGTGCTGGGATTACAGGCGTGAGCCACCACGCCCGGTCTGTTTTCATTTTTCTAAATCTCACTTTTGTAAAGCCCAGTTTATTAAATTATTTCCAAGAACAGTCAGAAATAATTGTGGTTATAACCAGAAAGTTTTAAGTGAAATTCATTTCTGAGGAATACATACATTTCTCATGGGGGAACTATGATGGGTTCATTGACCTTTTTGCAAAATTTGGCATTTAAGGAAATAAATTAGAGATTTCAAACTTTTATTAGGAAAACAGCAACAGCAACAGAACAACTCCAAGCACTATGAAATATTACAATTAATAAAAGTTCAAACATCCAAGAATTGTGTCATCTTTATTTTGTTACTATTACAAACAATTATAAAACATAATGTGTTTTAAAATTCTCTTGCTTGCTTTTATTGTGTTTATACTTAATAACCACTGGAGCTGGGTAACCTCTCACTAGACTATTTCTTTCTTTCATTTTATGAGGTCAGATTATAGCATACTAAAAGATGAATGAGCTATCTCTAACTTCTACTAATGAAGACATTTAATTTTTAGAGATATTCTCCCTCCCCCTTTTCCTTCAGGTGTGCTTTGCTTAAACTATTTTTCAACATAAGATAAACTTTTCCAAAATTTTAGTTAGGGCAAGTCCAGCCAAGTTAATTTTATTTCAGGCATGCAATTAATAGTATATTTTTCAAAAGTCCTAGTAGCAATAAATTAAAAAGAAACAGTGAAAACAGCATACTGCAGCCCAGTGGTGTGCCTGTCGTTTGCACGCATTGTTCTTGTCTACCCAACAGTCTATGGGTATCTCTATAGATGGCTTCTAATAAATTATGTCACAGATTCTTATTCCAAAGACATAAGGAGCGAAAAATTTTCACAGTCAAATGAAAATAAAAATCAAAGCTACATCAGAACCCCAAGATTGGGAAGATCAGAATTGTTAACTCACTTTCTGAGTATGGTTTCCAGCAGGAAGCCAGTGTGTACTTCATGCCTAGGCATGAGTATGAGCAATTATCTCTTGGCTGGAGTTTGATGGGCAGAAATCCAAGTGTCATCACTGTATGACACTGAGAATATAGTGACATTTGGTGGCTGAATCAAGCACTACACTGATCTTTGATTCATGGATTTATCTTGTGTCCTGGGATGAGTTAAGAAATCAGTGTGTTCCCTCTCGTTTGTTGAAATGAGCAGCCAATTCTCTGTGGGTGGTTTCCCATTAGGAAGTGGAAAACTCACTGTTCACCAGAAATGGGCAGCTATCCTAATTTTTTATAGGGTAAATTAACTTGGACAATATCATTGGGGTGATACTTCTGCATGGAGTGAGCCAAAGGCAATGACAATGTTGGATCAAAAAATATAGATCCAAGTGCATTTGAGTTAATGACCTCACAATCACTTAGGGATAACCTTCAAAAATAGGCTCTTCCTGCAGAAAAGGTGCCTAGGAGATTTTGTTTGTATTTCTTTTCAAGTCACCTTTCTGAGTAAGGTTGTCATGTCTCTTCACCTGCTAAATGCCCTGAAAGTTCTTCCCTACAAAGAAGATTTGCTAGAAGTCATTTACATCTATAGTGAATGAAAGTCACTGTTTTCCTAGTAAATACATGCTTGTAGCAAGAATGCAGGACAATTTTTTTTTGCATACGTGAGGGCACAGAGCATTGAAAAGAGGGAACACAATGTAAAAAGTAAACAGTGACTAGTAATAATGTGTTGTTTACTTAAGTTTGGGAAGAGAATAAATCTTAAATGACCTCACTACACACACAAACACACACACACATGCACAGACATACACACAGTGACTGTGTGGTGATGGAAGTGCTAATCAATTTGATTGTGATAATCATTTTACAATGTATACATATATCAAATACTCACAATGTATATCACATAATTATGCTGTACATGTTGAATGTACAGCATAATGACAAATAATTTTTATTTGTCAACTATACTTCAATAAAGCTGGGAAAATAAATAAATAAATGAAAAACTTAAAAAGAAGGGATGGGGTTGAGAGCGGAATTAAAAGGGAATTTAGGGAAAGAGAAATAAACTAATTATTTTTTGAACACAAAGTAAGAGACAAATGTGGTACTAATAACTTTCGCATTCCTAATGCCATTTCATTCCCCAACCACGGTTAGTATCTGAGATGAATTCTGAGCTACGACCTGAGATTTTTCTTATCCTAAATTTTCTTGTTGCCCTGAGATCCTTCACCATTTGCATCGGTGACAGGTACAGGATTAGAGGCCCTGTGGAGAATGTCAAGGTAGCAAACATGTCAATTTGTATCTTCTGAGCTTCCCAGCTCATCTTTGGGATTCTGTTGCACAGGCAGTAACTTTGAGAGAAAAGATCTTTTGCGAATCAAGACTCACGTTCATGGTATAAACAATACACTTGGAGGAATATTTACCTAATCAGGTTTTATCCCTAGGACAGTACAAAGGAAAATCATTTTTAGTTCCAGAGAACATTAGAATTAGTTGCTGAGTTGGATCTCATTCTGAAAAATGAAGCCATAATCCCACAGCCCTGTGCCAGGCTCAGGCAGGAAGAGGGTAGAATAATGTGCAAATAGATTTATCATTTAACTGGCAGAGGCTGTCGTTAATTATAATAACATTAGGTTGTCCCTCATTTCACTCTGCATAAAAACCTCAGTGTTGTTAACAGATGACTAGTTAATTTTTTCTGTTATGCACTTAGTAATTATGGATATAAATATAAGGGAAACATAGAATATTTATAATATTTGTCATTTGAGAATTCTGAACCCCTTTATAAATTACCATTTTCAGATGTAAAATAATACACCTTAAAAAGATTAAAAGTAACTCACCCAAGACATATTCTCTTTTTAGAAACACCTAACTTAAAAAAAAAAGAAGCAAAACACTTTCTAAATAATTGTATTTGCCCTCATATCACACCTGGGAAGTCTTTATCTTCTATTTTACAGCAAAGAAAAATGTTCTCGTCTCTATTGTTCTTAAGGTTTACAAGTTTTACTCACTCCTATTATCTAATTTTATCTTCACAACATGTGCGTGTTAAGCTAAACACGTTAATATTTCCATTTTATAAATGATGCAGACACGGCTAAGTTTGTTCACATGCTCTTCTCAAAGGCTCACAGCTAGCAATTGTCAGATTTAAATTCAGACTGAGTCTCCATCTCTAAGACCAACTTATTTTATTCACCAAATCATAGGACACAGAAAGTTGGTGTGACTTGTCCAAGACACTTGGCAGAGCAGGAATAAGAAAAAAATATCTTTAGATTTCATACTTAAGTGTGCCTAACAATCATTGTGTTTTTATGAAAAATGCAAATTGCTGAGACTTATCCCCAGTACTTCCTACTTGGTAGGTCTGGCCGGAGCCTAGGAACTTGCTTATTTAGAAGATCCGGTTGTTTCTCATGGTGATAGACTACAAATCCCACTCTGAAAGACAAAAGGCCCTAGCACCAAAGTCATATTTTATGAAGCAGAGAAGCAAATTTATCATAGACCCTAAGTGACATGAGTGCCCCATATAGTTTATTTCATAGGAATTTTCTTTTTGTAAGAGGGATATATCTTTAAGTATAATAATAGATGAACTATATATAATATAGGTAATTATACATTTATATTATATATATTTGTTGAAAGCAGATACTCTTTTTCATTTTAGAAATATTAGTTAACCTGGCCAGGTGTGGTGGCTCATGCCTGTAATCTCAACACTTTGGGAAGCTGAGGAGGGCAGATTACTTGAGCTTAGGAGTTCAAGTCTAACCTGGCCAACATGGTGAAACCCTGTCTCTACTAAAAATACAAAAAATTAGCTGGGCGTGGTGGCATGCACCTGTAATCCCAGCTACTCGGCAGGCCGAGGCAGGAGAACAGCTTGAGCCCGGGAGGCAGACGTTGCAGTAAGCTGAGATGGCACTGCTGCACTCCAGCCTGGGCAACAGAGCGAGACTCTGTCTCAAAAAAAAAAAAAAAAAATTATCCACCACATTAAAGGCAAGGTGGTAGAAAAGGGCAAACTAAGCAGTCTTTTCTTTTTTTTTTTTTGAATTTGCAAACAATCTCCCATGGCTTGTACATAGGCTTTCCATTTTTTACTACAAAAACTTGTAATCTATCTATCTATCTATCTATCTATCTATCTATCTACCTATCTGTCTAAGTAATCTATCGATCTATGCCTTTGTATTTATTTTGCGGAGACAATACTGTATGAGACCACAAAAAAGCTATAGGCTTTAGATATAAAGCTCAACTTCTAAGGGGAAGGATCTAGATGTATCTATTCCCCTGAGGAAGGTGAACCAATATCTGCTAAGACATGAAACAGGATCCTCAGTAGAAAATGTCATTCACATGAGAGACCCTTCTGTGTGCAGCCCAAATATGGGCCAATGACATTTACTTCTCTGAAGCTTGAGGCAGTTTGAGAAGGTACCATTCTCAACTGGAATACTTACCAAAATGATCAAATGCACAAAGAGCCCAGAAATCATGCTCCCTCTTCTCTTTCTCTTCAAATTAGCCATTGATTACTTTGAATAATCTCATTTAACCCATACACAGAATTCCTTTCTTCTGCACCTAAAGGGCATTCATATGGACATGATGCTCTTCGTGTAAAATTTAAAATAGTGTTCAGATTAATTTTCTGAGGCCACATCTGCACCAGGGAAAGGGAAGTCCAGGATTGGCATTTATCAGATGGTTCCAGCCAACATAGATTATTTAGATAATTCAGGCTAAGGAAACCCATCCTTTACCTAAATTATTTAAGTAATTCAGACCGAAGCGGTTTTCAAGTATGATTATCAGATAATTAAAAATGAGGAAAACCAATTCAAAAGAGAAGTTAGAGGGTCTAGTTAACCTGAAAATATTCTGGATTCTGCTGATAGCCATTTTTTGCACTTAACGGTACCTAGGGGATCCGTTTGGTCATACTATTTTAAGTTTCACATAAGAAAATGTCTTTTCGTATATCAATTATTGAATGAGGGACAGAATTACTCTATCTTGGTTCATTAATTCTACTTTTTTATATATCCCCACCACAGTCATTTGCAGTTGCAGCTGCATGTTATTAGATGAGTTCTTTAACTGTGTATTCAAACGTCATGTCCAACCCAGCAAGCCCTGACTCACCAAGCCTTCACCACCAAAACCAACTCTTACATCAACAAAGAGAAGCCATGATTGCATGCTCCGAAGTGGGAAAGACCTACCAAGATGTGGAAAATTGTCTGTACTCTGTGTGCTCTTTAGTTTTATCATACATGAAATGAGAATTTTAAACCTTATAACTTCTAGATCCATTCCAACTCTCACTTCCTATTACTTCTCTTTCGTGTGATGTTTTAATTTATTTACTGTTCAGACACCTTTGAATCTGTAATATATTACTCTCAGGCCGGGAATAAGTATATAAGTGTCCAGTTACAAAGGTAGACCTTGAAGCTTTATTTTTATGATACTAGTATTTCTTCTATTAATTGCAGAGGTCCAAGAGAGCTAGCTGTCTTTTCTTAATGTCATAAACATTGCCTCCTCCTCCCAATACTACCTGTGATAATGCTTTGTGGCCATCACCATGCAAGAAATCTTTACTGATAATGACATGAATGTTTTTTGGTCAAACAAATCATGAATTGGTGAATCATTATTAAATGTTAGGCTCATCTTTTGCAAAATGTCAGGCACATTGTAGTCATTCAATAAATATTTGTTGACTAAATGAATGAATATGTTAATTCAAGCATGGGACAAAATTTGACACAGGGCAGGGTACCAGTTCCTATATGAGTAACAAGAAAAATACCATGCTGTGCTATAGACAATCTCTCTTGCCCTCTAAAAGGACTTACTATTTTACATTTCTGAATAGATGAGAATCCTTACTGAAGAAAGCAAGATTTTTTATTTTGCTTTTTTTTAAAAAAATAAGTACAGACAACGTGTGTGTGTGTGTGTGTGTGTGCTTGTATGTGTATGTGTGTGTCTCTGTGCTTGTGTGTGTGTCTTGGAGGAGGAGTGAAATGGGAGGGTAAAATAATAGAAATCAGCTTGACTGACGGCAAAGTCCGCTGAGAAAGAGAATAAGGACTGTTTATGGAGATGGGAGGTAAGATAGAGAAAACAGAACATTTACATGCTTTCATGAAGTTTGGTCATGTAGTGTCTAACATAGATTGTTTTTCAGGGATTGTCATGTAATAGTTAGTAAAAATATTCATTTCTCTTTAATATAATGTAGAGATAGCTGTTCCTAGGATATATCAGAATGCTGAGGTCTGCTTCTCCAAAGGAAGTGGATGAGGAGCTTGTCACATTTCGGTTATCGATGCTAACAGTGCTGTTTGCTCCAGGCAGTCCCATGGAAGCCAAACTCATTGTGCCGTTTAGATCAGCTCTTTTGATTTTTAACTTTCTTCAACTGGGAAATAAAAAGTACAAAATAATCTGTTCCTCCCCCCAGCCCCACCACATACACACAAATCTCGGTATGTTATAACATTAAACCAACACATCCCCAGAGGGATGAGTCTAGTCAGGGAACACAATCAGAGGTTTTCCATTAATCTGCTGGATGTCAAAGGAACACTAAGGAAAATGAGGTGGGGGCTAGAAGAGACTCAACTGAAGGGAGTGTTTGCCTTGGGGTTTGCACTTACACTATATTTTAATCTTTTGTATATTGGTCAATACAACACCTGAGATCTTTGACGTGGAGGCTGAATGTTTTGCTGAAAAAGAAATGAGCAGTTTATGCACTTTGAAAGTAAGACATGCTGATAAAAGAATCAGGATAAATATTTAAATATACCACATTTAAGCACATACAAATCAACAGCTTAAAGATAAATGTGAATAAGATAATTACAATAAATTCAAATCAAGTCCACCTGCATACTTGCTAGCTCATGGTCAGCCTGGCTAAGTGTCCCAAATTGTTTAAACACATCTAAAATGGGACTGATGGCAGGTCGTTTAAAACTTTGCTAATGCTAATAAGAAAAAAAACAGATTTATTGAATGATCTATGAGAATTTCACTTCATTTCACAAATGAGCAGCTTAATTTTTACATGTAAGGTATACATTTCAAGGAGAATCTTTTGACTGACATTGCTAGCTTTCCTATCATTTATATAAACTTAAACGAAATCAGATTTCTTTGAAAAATGTATTATAGTTCAGCCTTTCTAGTAATTCAGTTTTCCCTTGTAGACTTCATAATTAGTTTTTTACACTTTGCTAATGACAATAAGGAAAAAAAACAGATTTAGTGAATGATCTGTGAGAATTTCACTTCATTTCACAAATGTGCAGGTAAATTTCACGTGAGGTAAACATTTCAAGAAGAATCTTTTGACTGACATTGCTAGCTTTCTTATCATTTATATGAACTTAAACAAAATCAGATTTCTTTGAAAAATGTATTATAGTTCAGCCTGTCTAGTAATTCAGATTTCCCTTGTAGACTTCATAATTAGTTAAAACTAATGATAGCTTACTATTCCTTTTATTTATGCACTCATCCCAAAAGTTAACTAAGTGCTATCACCTAAGCATTTTGCTAAAGACTGATTCTGCATAAATGAATAAAACAGAACTCTCTTGAACTCACTAGCAAGAGTGGATAAATGAATATGCAAAGAAGAAATAAAGAAACCTAACAAATATTAATTCAACACTTTCTATGTGCCAGATATTACTTTTGGCACTGGGAATATAATTGTTAGTGAAATTCAAGTGTCCCAAACCTATGAACTTATATCAAAGAGGGTTTCTAAGTGTCAAGAATATAGACATATCCAGCACATTATCAAAAACAAAAGTTGTAAGTATTTTGCTTTGTATGTAGAAAATTATTGAAATTCCAATTGAAGTTCTTCAAAAACTGCAGTTATTGCTATAGTATCCCAAAGGACACTCTACCATGTAACAGAATAGATGCTGATTCAGAATCAGTGCTCACCTTTGACATTAACTCAGTTTGTGCAATTAGGTACAATTTAACATAGCCAGATCACATTTCTGTCATCTATTTTATGTGTAAAGTGAGAGGAGGGATCAAATATTCTCTACGATCCCTCTAGCAGTTGAACTCAGCGTTTCTGAAACTACAGCCTTCATCCAATCCAGAGATGTTTGTTGGGATAATTTTAAGCAGTGAGAGAGAAAGAGGGGTGGGGGATGTGTAAGAGCAAAGCGTGCATTTTTAGAGAAACAGTGTTCATCGAGGTGATATGATTTGGAGGTTTGCCCCCCTCCAAATCTCATGTTGAAATGTCATCCTCAGTGTTTAAGGTAGAGCCTGGTGGGAGGTGTTGGGGTCACGGGGGCAGAACCTCCACAAATGGGTTTGTGCCCTCCCTACGGTCATGAGTTCACACAAGATGTGGTTGTTAAAAAAGAGTCTGGGACCTCCCTCCTCTTTCTTGCTTCCTTTCTCACCATGTGACACACTTGCTCCCCTCATCGACTTCCATCATGAATAAAAGATTCCTGAACCCTCACCAGAAGTTGAACAGATGCTGCTGCCATACTTGTACAGCCTGCAGAACTATGAGCCAAATAAACTCCTTTTCTTTATAAGTTACCCAGTCTCAGGTGTTCTTTTACAGCAGTGCAAAATAGAATAACACATAAGAAAAGATGGCTCTTAAGATGTGGCAGTTATTGTGGCCATTTATCAAGTATTTCTGGTTTTCCTCATTCTGATCCTACAGTAGGATTGCACTTGAAGTTGGGCCTGCAGGTGACTTGCTTAGACCTATAATATGTGAGATGTGGTCTTTATGAGCCGAGGCACAATTCATCACATTTTCTTACATCTGCCAAAGTTAAAGAGATATTCCACATAGTGGAAAGACCATCAACTCGTGTCACTGACTGAAGACAATGGAAAGAAGAGACTCCTGCAGACCCAAGATAGACATATGGCATAAGAAAGTCTATTGTCAGCCAGCCGCAGTGGCTCACATCTGTAATCCCTGCACTTTGGGAGGCCGAGTGGGTGGATCACTTGAGGCCAGGAGTTCAAGACCAGCCTGGCCAACATGGCTAAACCCTGTCTCTAATAAAAATACAAAAATTAGCCAGGTGTGGTGGTGCAGGTCTATAGTCCCAGCTACTCAGGAGGCTGAGTCAGGAGAATCGCTTAAACCTGGGAGGTGGAGGTTGCAGTGAGCTGAGATCGTGCCACTGCACTTCAGCCTGTGTGACAGAGTGAGACTCCATCTCAAGGAAACAAACAAACAAAAAAAAAAAAAAAGAGAGAGAGAGAAAGTCCATTGCTGCTTTGAACCACTGAGATATGGGGAATATTTTTTCTTTTTGAGACAGGGTCTTGCTCTGTCGTCCAGGCTGGAGTGCAGTGGTGTGATCACAGCTTACTGAGCCTCAGTCTTGGTCTACTGCAGCCTCGATCTACTGGGGTCAAGCAATCCTCTCATCTCAGCTGGGGGTAGCTGGAACTACAGGGACTTGAGTCCCTGGGACTACAAATGTGTGCCACCATGCCCAGGTGATTTTTTTTTTTTTAGTAGAGATGAGGTCTCGCTCTACTGCCCAGGCTGGTCTCGAACTCCTGAGCTCAAGCAATCTGTCTGCCACAACCTCCCAAAGTGCTGGGATTGCAGGTGTGAGCCACCATGATCAGTCAGTGGGATATTTTTTTAACATAGCAGAACCATACTCATCTTGACTGAACTATATTAGCAAATGGACTATGTTACCATTAGGTCTGTTCTTGTCTTCACTCTTCTTTGCAAAGCTCAAAAGTTTGACTCCCAGTAGTTTATGGCTAACACTAGAAAGGGAAAGAGACATTTGATGTTCTTCTATGCAAAATCTGATACAGGTTTATTAAACTTTTCAAACTTAAAATTGTATGTTCTTTTATCATTCATCCACAAACTCAATTTGGTCAACTTAGGTAGATTTTATGGGCAGAATTATTTAAACATATGAACTCAAAAGGTTTATCGTGGATTGAAAAAGTTCAGCAGAGATTTATTGTGGATTCTGGACATGACATTCCTACTTTGTTTCCCCTTTCCTGCCACAAAAACTGCACCATTTTTATAATATTCTTTCTCTCTATTATAGATCCTTTAAGATTTAATAATTTCAAGGTCCTTGAGACTCAGAGTTAAGTCATTATTATCCTCCAGAAGTTTCCTCAACCATGTAAAAATGCTAACTCTGTATCAGACTGACTCATGTAGAACCTGTCTGTGCGTACACCACCCACCCCTAACATGAGAAGCTCCAGCCCCAAGCTGATGCTCCCACACATCAAATCCCAGTTTACAAAATCCAACCCACAATATAACACCTGCCAGCGATAATATTATGACTGTAACTCACATTGTTCAAGTGCAGACCACAGCACTATGAAAAGCTTATATTTTGAGATATTTTTATGACTGATCCTGAAGCAAAGGAGTGGGGCAGAAAGAACTATGGATGGTCACGAATTGCTGGAAACTGGCTTTTGCTGATCTGCTGCAAGTGTTCAGACCTAAAACACAATTCACAAACTTGTGTGCAGAGGAATAACAATACCATTCATCAGCCTTTACTAATAATTCATAAAGTCTGAACTATGTTACTGATCATGTGTCTTTTTATGCCAGCTTTATATCTGCTGGTAAATAACAATCCATTTAATTACAGAAATAAATCTGCTCTGCCATCATCATGAACTTGAAAGTGATAAAAAGTTTAATAAAATAAGCCCTAGAAATAGAGAACTCAGATGCCATACTTTGGCCTGAACATCTTTTTATTTTAGTTCTTAAAAGACCTTCTGACCTCTCCTAAACATGGCTGCTCAGTGGAGATAATTGCTAGTCCTTCTTATTAGTAGTTTCCATTTCTGAGTTTGCTTTGTTATAACTACTTAGTTTCTTATTATTCTCAAGCTCTTTATCAGACAGCCTGAACTCTTGCCTATATTGTATATTCTTTTCTCTTTCTCTCACCATTTTTTGTCTCCCTTTTTTTTTTTTTTTTTTTTTTTTTTTTGCTATGATCTTCTCGTCCTAGAAAAAGTAATTTCACACATACTGAATTACTGCAATTTAGGTCAGAGAGACCAGGCACCATGAAAATAAGTTCTTTATTTAGAAAAAAAAAAAAGCTTCTGATCTATTTCTCCTGTTAAGCTTGTGAGAGTCTCACCTTCCTCGTGTTATGGATATTGCAAAGAAGATATTTTTAAAGCACCCTTTAAAAAAGTCCCAAGAGGTACCAAATATGCTAATATCTTTCCACAACGCTGTTTCAGAAAAGTAGGAACACGTTAGAGGAAGCAAAAACCTCTTATTTTCATCCTTCTCTTAACGTCGTTGGTAAACCTTCTGTGACTTGATACAAACCAAATCTGATCTTCTGCCTTTTTATGCTAAAATCATGGGGGAGTGTGTATACTTTGATTATATTGGTTTTATGAGCGTTTAGGAGATTATTGCGGAGCGTTAAGTTTTACTTTGCATTTGTTAATAAATATTCATTTGTTATTTGTAGGGGAGTGTGCTTATATGCTCACACACTCCATGGGTATTATGCCAAAACCTTTGCAAAAATTATATCATTTTATTAAATATGACACTATTTAACTAAAATTTTCAGAGTACAAGCAACTGAATTAAGATCACACAGCTCAAAAGTGCCAGTGCCCACACTAAATCCTCAAATTTGGACAGTGCAATGGTGCAACTCCATTACTTCTTTTTTTTTTTTCTTCCACTTCTACCACATTTGCCTCCAAATAGCTAAATAGAGTGACTCAGTTGAAGTCAACAGATATTGCTGAGGGTCTTCTGTGGGCAAAGTGCCATGCCAGATGGTGTGGGGCATGCACAGGGGAACAAATAGGAACTCACAACCAAGAAATGGTGCAGCTAGTCTTGTCTCAGTCAGAAGAGAAAACAATAAAGCCTCTGAACAGAAAAAGCCATTTTCCTTCTTTCGGACGGACAACATGGTCTAGTCAACATTTACTCTTTACCCTGGAGGGAGATGCCACTAACTGAAAGATGAGATGGTTCGCTACATCTTATTTATTATTATTTTTTGCTAGATTTCACTCATATGTTTCCACCACATGACTTGACTCTCCTGAGGGCTTTATAGCATGGATGCCACTTTGAGATATTAAGGATGCCTAAAGGAGCATGTGAAAAAGAAAAGACATTCTGAATTCAACTCCTGTGACTCTGTTGCCAGAGAGAAGACAATGCTGGTGACCTGAGCATCAGCTGAAGACCCGGATTCTATGCTTGGGAACTGCCATGGTTTGGGTATCTGACACTTCCAAATCTCCTGGCAAAATTTGATCCTAATGTTGGAGTTGGGGCTTAATGGAAGGTGTTTGGGGCAGGGGGGTGGGAGGACCCCCTCATGAATAGATTAATGCCCTCCTTGTGGCGAAGGGGCAGCGAGTGAGTTCTCATTCTATTAATTCCTGTGAGAACTGGTTGTTAAAAAAGAGCCTGGCACCTCC
The DNA here is from genome assembly GCF_000001405.40 of Homo sapiens. Lineage (NCBI taxonomy): Eukaryota > Metazoa > Chordata > Mammalia > Primates > Hominidae > Homo > Homo sapiens. The sequence goes on along the minus strand of NC_000003.12, from coordinate 6,814,239 downwards.
CACCTCTCATTCTCTGACTCCCTCTCTGGTCATGTGATCTCTGCACACGCCAGCTCCCCTTCACCTTCCACCATGGGTGGAAGCAGCCTGAGGCCCTCACAAGATGCAGAAGCTGGTGCCATGCTTCCTGTATGGTCTGCAGAGCTGTAAACCAAATACACCTCTTTTATTTCTTAATTACCCAGCCTCGGGTATTCTTTTACAGCAGTAAGACAGGAATGATCCCAGCATTCCTCTCATTGGGTTTAAATGAGAAATCTTTTTCCCAACATGGCAGTTTTAACCCTTCAATAAAAACTAGCAAAGCGCCTATCTATATGCAAAACCCTGTAGTAGTTCCTGGTGATTCAGAGAGAACACGAACTACTCATGGGCTTTCTATCAGGGACCTCTCATACTTAAGAATATGAATACACAGGCTGGACGCGGTGGCTCATGACTGTAATCCCAGCATTTTGGGAGGCCAAGGCAGGCAGATCACCAGGTCAGAATTTCAAGACCAGCCTGGCCAACATGGTGAAACCCCATCTCTACTAAAGATACAAAAAATTGGCCAAGCGTGGTCTCATATGCCTGTAATCTCAACTACTTGGGAGGCTGAGGCAGGAGAATCGCTTGAACCCGGGAGGCGGAGGTTGCAGTGAGCTGAGATCACGCCATTGCACTCCAGTCTGGGTGACAGGGCAAGAATCTGTCTCAAAAAAAGAAAAAAGAATATTAAGACACATATAAATATCTAATTATAGGGGCTGATTAGGACTATGAGAAGGTGGTAGGGGAGAGTGATGACCTGGTAGGAATAAAGAAAAACGACTTTAGGTTTTTGGGTCAGTGTCTCACTGTGTAACCGCAGCACCATCTGAATTTTATCTCCCGCTTATGTGGCCATCTCCACAAACCAACAACATACTTACTGGTCATTCCCAGAATCATGGCAGTCATTTTGAAGAGGTAGTTTGTATATCTTTATGCAGTACTTTTGGTCTGTTATAATAGTTTGCCATATCTGGAATCACCACTAGTAGGTCAATGGTATCAATATTGAATGGCTCATGCCCAGCTTGCTTCTGACACCTTAATCTAAAGGTTGAGTTATACCAATGAAAGCATATATTTACTTTTTAATTCCAACTTATAAACAATAAAACATAAATTAACTTTCTACTTAGAAAACAACAGCTCAAGAAGCATGGTTTAAAATAGACAATGTCTTTGACTATTTAGCCTCTTAATATATGCATATAATATTTTAAAGCCCTCATGGTAAATCTGAAGCTAAGTCAAGAATTTTCTATGCAGTCCGGTGTGGTGGGTTACGCCTGTAATCCCAGCACTTTGCAAGGCCAAGCTCATGAGTTTAGGACAAGCCTGGGCAACATGGTGAAACTTCGTCTCTACAAAAAAAACACAAAAATTAGCTGAGTGTGGTGGTGCACACCTGTAGTCTCAGCTACTGGGGAGGCTGAGGTGGGAGGATGGCTTGAGTCTGAAAGGCAGAGATTGCAGTGAGCCAAGATCATGCCACTGCACTCCAACCTGAGTGATGGAGCCAGAAGTAATTTTTAAATCCAGAGATAAAACTGTGATGTCCGTACAAATCCTATACCGTTAATATATAAGTAAACATAAATTTCCTCACATACTAATAGCATGTTTTTCCTCAAACCCATTCAGGTACATCATGTTTTTATTGTAGTATTGTGACAGCAGGCAGAATGGTTTAGTCAGAAGATATGGGAATGATACTGCTCTCATGTTAATTTGGGGCACTCGGAAGCGTGATAGCTAAATCCTGGTATATGCGATTACTCTTTCTCCTACGACAAAAATTTATAGAAGGGTGATAAGAAGTGATTTAAAAAAGCACATTTCTTTTTTTCTTGACTTCAACCAAAATTAGCAAAATGTAAGCTGTTCTGGAAAAGTCCAAGAAATGCTTGCTATTAGTGAAATAGTCAGGAGTGGTGTGAACAGCTGCAGTCTATTTTGTTGCTCTTCTGAAGTTTGAGGAGTTTCTACTTACTAACAAGATTGGACAAACTGTTTTCTTTGCTTCCATTAAAAAGAAATAGAATTATGGATGACATAGGGGAAAAACGTACAATCTGTAATTTATCCTAAATTACAAGTTCAAGTTGCAATTTTTGGGTCTGAATACGTTTGACCACAAGGACACAGAGCTAAAATCTTGATGGGCAGTAATACATCAGATTGCAGTGGACAAAGGATAAGACACTTCCTCCATGACATTTGAAAGCGGTGATTATATTGGTGGTCTTCCACATACTCCAAGACTAATCAGAAATTATCGTTTGATGTTTGCTATAGCTTTCAATGGGAACACTAAATCTTTTAAATTCATGATTTGATGTTCAACATTCTCGTTGATTATTTTAATCACATCACACACAGAAGTACTTCAGTCATCCAATACCTCCCAGGAGGCATAGCCTCAATTGCTATCTCTAATCTTTTTAGAGCACCCTCTTCTGCTACTGTTCATTAATTAAACATAGCTCTGCTGATGCTTCTTTTGGCTGCTGCTCCCCCAGAAGCTGCCAGATTGCTTGTCGTCATCTTATTCCCTTCATCCCAACCAAGTTCATTATCAATTATTTTCCTCTTTCAGAACTATCTTTCTCTCTTACAATATTCTTTGATGCCTTGATAAGTCTTTACAGTCAAATCCCAACTCTGTTTATTCATATTACTTCTCTCAAAGGCACTACCAATCTTTCTTTGTAATCTTTTCTTTAGTCGCCAAAGAAGTTTAAGACTCCAGTATCAACTGTGGAGATACAAAAGTAAATCCTCAGATTGAAGGGTAAAATTTAAAACCAGGGGTCAAGGTTGATACCAAAACTCAGTGTCAATCCAAAAAAATAGAAACTACAGCAATAATACTGTAACACTGATTTATTGATTTATTTATTTTCATACGCTGTATGTATTTAATGAGCAAATATTTATTAAGGAGCAATATTGTGTCAGACACTGTGCTGGACAGGTGGGCGGGATAAAAATGGCATTTTTGGGAGGATATATTTTTCAAAAACCACTCACATATTTTTCTCATAATGTGACTTAGACACTTTTCCTGTAGAGAGATGAGGGTCTGTGTTCTTTCCCCCTCAATCTTACAACTACGGCTTACCACTATGACAATGCCAATGCTATTCAATTCCTAAAACTAGGTCAAAAAGGCCACAGAGTTTTTTGCTTGGTTCTTTTGGGACACTCATTTAGGAGCTCTATGCTACTGTGTAAGTTGTCTGACTGTCGTAATGTAGCCATGCTATAAGGAAGCCCAAATAAAGAGCTGGCAGGAAATGAGGCCTCATATCCTAAACTTGTTTACCACCAACAGCCACCTTCAACTTGCCAGCTCCAGCCATGTAACTGAGCCATCTCGAAAGTGGCTCCCCAGCTCCTAGTCAAGCTGCCCTAGCTAATGTTGCACAGAGCAGAGACAAGTTGTCACTACTGAGCCCTGCCCAAATTGCCGACTCAATGATAATTGTCTTTTCAGGCACCAGGTTTTGGAGTGGCTACTCAGTAATAGATAACTGATGCAGTCCAAAATGTGTACAATCGATAGTGGAAGACATCATGTTTTCATGTAGTTCATCATGTGTGAATTAGTTGGAATAAATACCTCAAGAAGCCAGACATTACACTGAAACAAGGCCTTTGTGTGCATTAGCTCCTTCCTTATGAACTTCACGGCCATTTGCTGGAACACATGAGATAAAAATCTAGGACTACACATAAGATCAAATCTTATGACCATGAGAGGCACCCTCTAGAGTTGTGTGCACAGTGCAATTATGACCCAAGATAAAAACTGGGCATTCAAAAAGCCACAAAAAGTCAGAAACACAGTCCAGAAAACCAGGTCCAGAACATCACAAAATAACCTAATTCCTTTTGCCAGAACGTACTTCTTGAACTTTAACGTATTCAGGGTCTATTCATTACAATGCTGGGAAGCTTTTTGTTTGACTTCCAAGTCTTGATTTTAGTAATAATAATAATAATACTGCTACTACTACTGCATTTATTAATCAGTTACAAATTCCTACATACTTTACTAGGTATGTATTTTCTCATCAAAGAACCCTATGGAATAGATGCTAATGTTCTCAACATTTTATGAAAAGGAAATTGGAGCATAGTGAAGCGAAATCAATTGCCCAAGGTCATACAACATGCAAACAGTGTTGCAGTGTTTTAACTCAGAGTACCTCAATCCACAGCCTGCATTGTTTACCATTGTGCACACTGTCCTCTTTTGTGCTCCAGCAATGCCTAGTAGTGCCATTCTCAGTTTACTCATCCTAACTGTCAAATTGATGGCAAGTTCCTAAGGGCAAGAGTTAAGCCTTAGGCACTATTTTATCTGTACTCCCTAATGAAATGCACAGCATGGCAATATATTGTTGATGCTCAATAAATGCTTGTTACATAAATGCATGAAGGAACAAATTGTATTAAGTCACCTCTCCTCCCTGGATCATGATATTCTCATCAGGAACATGAGGATGTTGCAGTAGATATATAAGAATATGTCTTTTGGCTGTGAAATTCTGTGATTCCCTGACTTGAACTACCTCTAAGTGAAGCAGGAACTGAGAATTTTCTTTCAATGTTGCCTTGATCCCTAGACTAGAAAATAATAAAAGTTTTATAGGGTTGCACTGAGACTGGCTCTTCTTTTTTTAGCCTTGGGGATTTCCTGTGCTACTTTAGTTAAATAGATCATACGCTCTGGATTCTTGAGAGGAACCCAGTTGAAAGAGTCACACTTTTGTTCTTCGAGATGAATGGGAAAATGGAGCATCCTCAAGGCCCACAGGACTTGCCAGCTCTTAGGGCAGATATGGGTCAGGGTTGGGTTGTCAGTATCACTCTTTTGGGTCTCTTTGTTCCTCAGGGATAACCCATCTGGGTCGTTCTCATCATGTGAACCACAAGGCAAGAGAAATGGGAAGCTGAAGCTCCTTTTGCAAGGTAGCAAAATGGACTCCACTTTTCATATCATAGGGCTTGCAATTTGATAAATAAATGTTTGGAATGTTAAGTGGGCATTAGAAGGGAGATAATCTACCTCTGTTACCTCGTCTAATTTTGCAATTTTTTTAATTGGGGGAAGAAGAGGAAGGTATTAAGTTCATTGCCAAGCAAAATTACTCAGCACAACTCTCACTCTCTGAGCTCTCACAAATGAGAGGCGGCTCTCTGTCCTAGATTCTATGCTCCATTTAGGCGTCATAGTCACCACATCAAAGTCACTTTATTGTTGTTGTTGTTTTTTTGCTCAGAAATGCTCATATTTTCCCCCTCTGCAATCTATTGACTACTCTCCCATATAATTTTCCTGGATATCCTGGGTTGTTCTATTTTACTATTTCCTCAGCAATGACTTAGAAAAGGAATTTGGTATTTATAGGACACAGTTCATACCATCCTTTCCTAACTTTATATTCTTGTCAAGTTGTCTGTAAAATGAGTCACTTTCTGTTCCAGCTAACACAGTAAACTTAAAGTTACCATCTTTGGAGGGAGAAGGAAACAACCGAAATGAGTAGAACCCATTATCAATTCAAGGGTTAATACATGTCAATTTGACACTGTAGATATTTAAACATTTTCACTGTCCATAACCACAAATATTATATTACATTCCTATTGAATCTACCTACAGGAGTCCTTGCCTCTCTTCTTTTCATGTGTCAAAAATATATTTATTTTATTGTTAATGCTTTGGTCAACTCCTGGAATTTGTACCTAGTTTATGACTCTTATTGCTCTGGGATTTTCTGGAGACAACTCCTAGACACATCTTACTACACATTCTTACAGAGCCTTATAAATATCAACCCTTTTTGTCTGTTACTACAATAGTGATAGACATAAGCTATTTTGCAGAGCCTGCCAAGATGACAAGTTCTCCCAGGGGTTATCCAGTCTCTTTGCTCACGTTAAAACTTTGGACGTCATCCAATTTCCTTCAAATGAATGCGAGAGAATACTGAACCATTGCTTACTGAGTTTCTTCTTTTTTTGTCTCTTCTTTGTTCTTTGACAACAATGTTTAATAACCACACTCTCCCTCCTCTGCTTCCATGGCTAGTAACCCCGAGGTTGCTTTTGACTCAGACTCTTTCTTTGAGATTCACATGAGTCATGCGGTTAGCAACTCATATATACACAGCTTGGCACGGAGATGTATAGAAAATTGGAATGATGGCCACACGCTCTCCCGGGTCCTTGGTTTCCCTTATTGCCTTCAGTCTACATCGCTGTGTGGAAACACTGGGCCCCCTGCCTGTTTCTAACCTTTAATGGTTCGGTACATTTTGAATTGCTTGCAGTCAACTTATGAGAGTTGAGTGCACAGATCTTCTTTCATTTATACCTGTCCTACAGAATCACAAAACTTTTGTATCAAGTGGAGAGCGTCTTTACTCCTTGGTCTCCATGAATATCCCTTCCGTTCTTCTTTCCTCCCTCTTTCCATTCTTACCTTCCTTCCTCCCTCCTTCCTTCCTTCCTTTGTTTCTTTCATTTTCATTAGTTCATTTATTGAACACCTGTTATGAACCATGTATTGTTCTAGACACTGGAGAGAGCTTGCTCAAGAAAAAAAAGAGATGAGATTCCTGGTGCTTATATTTCTGGAAGGCAAGAAAAGGAGGTCCCAGGAAACATTTAAAAGGAATAAAACATAAACAGGATAGCTACATGTAGTGATAAATTCTTTAATAGCAAATATAAAGGGCAATGTAATAAAGAGTGACTTGGGGCAGGTAAGATACTCAAGGGAGACTTCTGAGTTAAGTTAAAACTATCATAATAAGGAATTAGCTAATCATGCAAAGCTTTAAAATAAGAACATTTCAGGCAAAGGGAACAGCTTATGCTATGATGTGGAAAAAACTTGGCTTGACCAAAAAGTCAGAAAAAAAATTCATTAAAAGTAGTAAAATCAAACTTGAGAGCAAGAATACACTCATCTTACCCACGTTAAAAATGGTTAAACAAATAAAAGAAATGAGTAATGGCATTCCAAAGAGGATACTGATCATCTGTTTTCTCCAGTCATTTGTTTCAATGATACAGGATGGAACTCAGCTTCACCCATTAAATATTGAACTAAATGTCTGTGGCACTGTAACCAGACGGCCAGTGTAGTATATCTGGCTCTATTACGTTATCCCAGCCCTCCATTCCCAACTTTTTAAAATAAGAAAATAACTTTGGGGAACGATACAGAGGCATGGGTGCCTGCTATAACATAACACCAAAGTCTGAAACTTAGGAACTGGAAGTACAGGCATGCACCTGTGTGTCAAGAAGCAGGTATAAGATTATGTAGAACCCTGCTATTCATAACAAACAACTAAATATCATTCATACTAAACTAGATACATTGTATAATGTCCATACAATGGAATACACTGTGATATGTTCATACAACAGAATGGGAAAGACCCAAGGAATGCTACAATCAAGAGCATGAATGAAAGCCACACACGTAGAGTTGAGTGAGGGAAGACACACATACAAGAATATATACTGTTAAGATCCAATGTATTTAAACTTCAAAAAATTATAAAGCCCAGTATTTTTGAATTCATGGTAATACAGTAAAACTATAAAGAGAGATACTAACCATGACCATAAAAGGAAGGGTAGTAGGTGGGGAAAAAGGTAGCTGGGATTGGGCCAGGCTGTTTAGTGATTCTCAGGAGTAGGCAATGATCAGTTTTTTGATTTAGGCAGCATTACCTGAGTGTTCTTTTTTTCGGGGGACAAATCACTGACCTATATATTTTTATGGTGCACTAATCTATATGTCTATTAAATTTTACAATAAAAAATAGCAACTAGCATAGTTTCTGGCCCACACTAAATGTTCCATATATTAAAATGGAAGGTATTATAAGCTCGGAAAATACATTTCTCCTCCTCATCTAGGAAAGGAAGGATTAAGTGAAATGTTTCCTAAGTGCTTTCCTTTTTTCTTCTTTTATTGAGATGGAGCCTCACGTGTTGCCCAGACTAGAGTGCTGTGGCACAATCTTGGCTCACTGCAACCTTCACCTCCTGGGTTCAAGTGACTCTCCTGCCTCAGCCTCCTGAGTAGCTGGGATTACAGGTGTGCACCACCATGCCCAGCTAAGTTTTGTATTTTTTAGTAGAGACGAGGTTTCACCATGTTGGCCAGGCTAGTCTCGAACTCCTAACCTCAAATAATCCACCTGCCTTGGCCTCCTGAAGTGCTGGGATTACAGACGTGAGCCACGGCGCCCAGCCTCCTTTTCTCAAAGGAAAAGAAAAATTTATTTAATAAATGGTTTATAGCTGCATCCTGATTCCTGGGCATTGGGGGAGGAGAGGAAGAAACAATTTAACCTACTGATTCTACTGGTCTACTCTGGACTCAGCTCTCTATGTATAACATGAAATCCAGATTTATTTTCATCTGAACTAACATTTGGAAATAATAAGTATTAATGAATGAAAATATTTGTCAAACCCCAGAGTAGTTTAAATCTTACTGTATTTAAACCTTACTGTAGTTAAATCTTACTATATTATATGCTCTATAGGTACTAAATTTCTATTTTGCATTTCATTACATGTATATAATTAATAGATTGATTGCAATAGTTTGAAGTGTGTCTTTTTTTTCCTACTACTTTAAGAAGCCATTCTTGTCTGGTTACCATAGAATCCTTGGAATCTACATTGTAAGGCACATAGTAAGCAGTCAAGAATATTTGTGGTTCTACTGACTGAAGTGATCCTATCTTGTGACTCATGCATGGCACGTCTATAAGTCAAGGTAAAACGAGCTGTTGAAACAGATATACCCAAATTCTCAGTGATAAACAATAGTTTTATTGTCAGGGATCTAGACAGGTGATACTCCATGCAGTCACTGGTAATGGAGGCTTTGACAAAACATCTCACTTTTCCCCAGGTTGAGAGGTTAGTGATATCCAGTGCACGGGGGGGACGAAAGAGACATATGGGAGTACACTGCTTGAGTGACAGGTGCACTAAAATCTCAGAAATCACCACTAAAGAACTTTTCCACGTAGCCAAAACTGTACTCCAAAAACTATTGATATAAAAGAATGTAAAATTAAAAAAAAAAAAAAGAAAGGCAGGCACATGGGAGATCACACAGAAGATCTTGTAGGCCAGGCCTGGAAATGGCATACCTCCCTTCTGCTCATATTTTACTGAAGCAAATCCAGTAAGTGGCACCTCTAAGTGCAAAGTCACCTGGAAGATGCAGTTGCTGCCTAATCTGGGCCACTCCTCCTTGGCAGTAGGGTCTCCTAGAAGGTTTTTCTACCATGCAACTCTAGTGGGCAGCTGGCTTTCTATGCCACAAGACCATTCAATTTATTTCTACAGCTTTATATGCCACACACACCTGTCTCAGCTACATTATAAGCAGGTGAAAGGAAAGAGATTAGATTCAAGTTTGAGTTTTAAAAGGATTTTACTTTGTTTTCTCAAAGCCACCATTTTAGTGTGGCCAGTGTAGATTACTGCTTTGTGTTTTAAGAAACTACAGAGTGAACTAACATTTAATTTATATTTTTGCTCAATTGTGAGGACCTTAATATATTATACACTTAGAGACTTACCAGATCCCTTTATAAATATCACAGAGAGAGAAAGAGAGCATGCTTGCTCAGAGTTTTCTAGAGAATATCTCAAACCATTCAACATTCAAAACAGAGAACAGTTCTTTTTTGCTGGAAGATTAATCTTCATTCTCACACTGTCCTTGGTAAAATTTGAAATTACAACCTCAATTCCTTGATTCATACCAACAAAGGAATATTTTCAAGGGCCTGCTTCTCTTTCACACCAAAATTTCAGTTTGTTAAAGCAAACAATATCCTCCCTTTTATCCTGCATTTCAGGCTATTCCTGAACCGTATGTTTCTGATCTTTCTTACTAAAAGTCATCTGTTAGACATTTCGGCCATTCAAAAAAGGAGATTTTGAAAATTCTAATTTCCTAAAAGACTATCTCAAGGTGCTAAATGATAACCAGGAACTGGGAATTGTGGAAATTCTTGCTTCCATGATTTCAAATTAGAGCTCACAGTATCTTTGGCATAAGCTGCATAAAGAAGAGCATCATGGCACTGAGTGATTTAAACATGAAAAACAGGTACGGGTAATGTGGTTCTAACCAAATCACTGATGTACTGCAGATTAGACAGAATTAATACATTTTATGCTGCAGTCTCTATAAATGAGCCAACAAATATGCAGCAAAATTCTGAACTGCAGCCTTGAAATAAAGAGCTTAATGTAATTCAGTGCTTATTGGTTGCCTAGAAACTAACTTGGAAGGGGGTTGGGGAGGGAGGACTAGAAAACATGAAGGGTTCATAGGTTTAATAAGGAAATTATTAACTCTGAACTGCTTGGGGATGTGATAGATATATCCCACAATGCGCTCCTCTCCCAAGAGCTCCGTAATATGTCTGAGAGCAAGGTTAGGGGGCACGCAGAAGAGGCTGCTATAGAATGACAGGGCAGTAGTGAAGGCTTTGGGCAAACACCAGCATATACAAACCTCCACAGTTGCTGCAACCCGAGATCATCTCAACTTGCTGACAACCTGCAGCTATGGGTAAAGCTTGCTTATTTGCTTTTCCTAAATTATTTTTTCTAGAAACATATAGCTTAGGACTTGGTTATTACATGAGACATTTTCCCAATTCATTATATCACTAAGGATATTTTAAAAGCTTATTTGGGGCAGGTAGGGGATGGGGAGACAGAAAATAGCTTAATCAATTTTGTATTAAGAAAAGTGGGCCAGGTGCGGTGGCTCATGCCTGTAATCCCAGCACTTTGGTAGGCCAAAGCAGGCAGATCACCTGAGGTCAGGATTTCGAGACCAGCCTGACCGACGTGGTGAAACCCCGTCTTTACTAAAAATACAAAAAAAAAAAAAAAAAAAAAATTAGCCAGGCATGGTGGCAGGCACCTGTAGTCCCAGCTACTCAGGAGGCTGAGACAGGAGAATTGTTTGAACCGGGGAGGTGAAGGTTGCAGTGAGCTGAGATCACACCACTGCACTCCAGCCTAGGGGACAAGAGCAAGACTCTGTCTCAAAAAAAAAAAAAAAAAAAGTGAATGGGCTGAGAAATGGGGCACACATATTCAGCAGGAAGCCTTTTGGAAGAGAAGAAATTAACCAGTTTTGATGTTTTAATTGTAAACCACGTGATGTGAAGGGCTCATTGAGACCACTCATGTTATAGTCCCATTGTTAGTTCAGCTTCTTTTCTTTATTTGAATATAGAAACGGAGGAGGAGGAGATGATGCCCAGGTGGCAATTCACAAGGTAGCATTTTAGCATTTCCTCTAAAACTGTTAAATAAATGGCCCTCTCAATTTTAGAGCAGTGCATACACAGGAGGTACTGTGCTTTAGCGTCTCAGCTTCAAAGAGTTGCTTAGGGAGGACATATTTTATCCTAATTATTTTTGACAAGAATTAGGTCAGATTAATTAGTTTAAAATTCAGCTGAACAACAACGTCTTTGCTAATTACTTCAGGGTGCATACATAATTCATTTACAATAGCAAAAAAAAAAAAAAAAAAGGAAAATATTGGGAAAGAATGCTACCTAACACTGACCTCTTTGATGGGCCATCATAAAAAGAGGACCCTCTGTGACCCAAAAGGTGTGATGAGGAGCAGAGAGTTCCTTGAGCATTTTATTCAGTATGAAGATGAATATTTATATATATAAATATGCATTTTTATGTAGCTTTATGTTTTTAATTACTTACATTTAAAATAAACATTTATTTATTTATTTGTAAACAGTGTCTCCCTCTGTCACCCAGGCTGAAAAGCAGTGGTGGGATCGCAGCTCATGTATCCTCTGCCTCCTGGGTTCAAGTGATTCTCCTGCCTCAGCCTCCTGAGTAGATTACAGGCAGGCACCACCACGCCTGGCTAATTTTTGCATTTTTAATAGAGATGGGGTTTCGCCATGTTGGCCAGGCTGGTCTCGAAATCCTGGCCTCAAGTGATCCGCCTGCCTCGGCCTCCCAAAGTGCGGGAATAACAGGTGTGTGCAGGACCTAAATATATTTTAAAAAATACTTTAGAATGTAATGTCAAGGTAAGACAGAGTAAGAGAGTGAGTGGTGAGGAAGTGAGTTTTAGAGAGAAGACAGTCCTAGTTCAGTCCCTTACCTTACCTTAGGCAATGCACATACCTGCTCTGAGGTTTAGAGTTTTTTTTGTTATTGCTGTTAAACTAATAATAGCATTTAGCACCTGCTTTATGGCCTGTTGTGAGAATTACACGAGATAATGTATATAAACCTCAGCACCTGACATAGAATAAGTATTTAATGTTTGTTAGTTATTATCGTTTCTGTAGTAGCATAGGAAATTAAATAAATGTTTGCCCTACTGCCTACACACTTCTAAGCTTGCCCCCAAATTACTTTAAAGTGAATTATACCTTTTGGCTCAGATTGCATTAGAAAGGCCACTTTAAATTTAGACTCAATTTTCTACAGGGGAAAAAAAAAAAGACGGACTAAAATATTTCAGTAGATTAAATATCGAGTAATATTAAGCAAAAATCAAAGGTGTTTAGGAGGTCTTGGACAAATATCAAATAGTAGAGTGTAAGTATGCATTATCTGTCCGGTGTCCTACTCAGGGATAAGAAAGCATTTTAAAATCTTTTATTCATGAAGAGAAGCCCAAATAAAGATTGTGGAATCTCTTGATATTTAAAGGCTTGCTCACAGATTTTTTTTTTTAAACTGCATGAGACAAACAAATGTATCTACACTTGCGTTCTGTTAGTCTAAAATTCTGGGCTAAATTATGACTGGATTTGGGGACATATAATCAAGCATCCAAATACATGTAAACTAAAGATGAATTTTGCTGGCAAACTAGTTCCAGCCTCTGGCATTAGAACTACTTAGATTTTCTTTTCAAATACTAGACTATATTTACAGCTTAAAAATTGGATGGAATAGGAGCCATTAAAAACTGATGACATTGAAGGAAATAATAACAATATTTTCCATATGTAAACCCAAGCTGAAAATACAATTGGCATCTCTGTCTGCTCAGTGCAAAGTATTTTGATGCTTCACACATGTTATCATGATTGCTGCTACTTTAATTCCCACATCTCGCTGGCAAAATAATTGAATAGTGAAGAGAATAAATGTCTCTTACAGTATGTGAGGCAAAAACCCGGATGGTTCAGATCACATTTGGCCAAAGAAATGCTTTCTTATTTCTCTTCTAGAACTGTGTGTCTGAACACTATCACGGGCTGTCCAAAGTGTTTTATTAGATTGTTCTTCCCCCTAAATACCTGATTTCTGTATTAGAGGCATGCTCTCTTCCCTGGAAACAATTTTCCTTTTAAAGTTATAAAACACCCATTAAAATGAATAACTTAACAACTGCCATCAGAGAACAGATTCCAAACAAACATAGTCTGCAGCATTGTTAAGAGAAAAACAAAGGAAGGCCTATGTACTTACTTTACATGGATAAAATTTCCAATGAACCTTTGACTATTTCGGGGAGAAAACTTTAGCTATTAATGGGGAAAAGGAAGCAGGTGTTAGGGTGGATTGGGAAGGAGAGTGCAACTATCTTGAATTGCTGAATTGCAAACCGCAGTAATCATCAAACTCAGGTCATTTCTGGTCTTACTTTTTCTCTTTGACAAAAGAGCAACAAAAGATCATGAGAATCCAGATCTGAGCCACATCACACACACTTTTCTAGTCTCTATACTTCTCAATTATCAACCAGCTGTAATTGATATTGTCATTTCCATTGGCAGTGGCAGCACAACAGGTAGTGAAAATGGGTGCAGCGAGAAAGATGTGGCTGAAATATTTTCTCCAACACAGACTGAGATCTTTACCTACCTTATAAAAATGTTTTCTGCATTAAATTTTACATACAGGGAGATTTTAGCAAATGTCCTGATATATTGTTACTATAAAATAATGAAGGATAGTATTGTTGTTACTTTTGTGATTCTTATCAATATCAAATAAATTGTCTACAGTACACTGTAGACTGTCAAATAAATACAGTCAACTGTAGTTCTAAATTCAAAGACATTTCAATTTTAAATAGAGAGCATAAACATAGGATATAAGTAAATGAGAACAGATAAAAAATAATTATATGAATAGAATGTCATTGTAGCATTTGACTACACTCGTGACCACTTTTATTATCATAAAATTTGAATACTTACTTTTTCTTGAATGCCAACTCTAGGTTTAACTATGTTAGGTGCTTTACATATGAAATTTCATTGAATCACTGCAGTATAACTAAGCCTGGTGTTATCATAATCCTCATTGTAGAGATAAAGAAACAACTGAGGTTACATGAAGTTCAGTAACTTTGCCCAAGTCCCCCAGCAGCTGATCCTTAAACACATGAGAGTAAGTGTCCATATCTCTGGTAGACATGACTGGTAGACGGTTTGATACTGGTGAACCACTGCACCTCACTATACACTTTCTAAATTTGTTTGAGCATACTTAAACTCGTTGCCCACTGTTTGGTCTTTGCCAGAAAAGACGGAGGTAGAGTGACAAGAGTGAGTGAAGGAAAGAGTAGATCGCTTAGAAGTTTGGCCCCATGGATTTAGGTTGACTGCACAGCAGTCTGGACCACCACTAGGGGGCAGGCTGATGCTAATTCATATTTCCATCATTTTTGGCCTAACCATAATGCACAGAACCCAAAGCAGCACCTTACTTTGCTCCCCACTATCCAAGAGGGGACAGTTCTTTTTTTTTTTTTTTCAATGAATGCAGGTATAAAAGTAAGTGAATATGTGCTTATTAGGGCAGGGATGAAAGAGTGTGAATGTAAAATATTGCAGCCACGTTAGAAAGACGTTGGACCATTTCTTAGAAAGTTCAACCCAAACTTAACATACAACCCAGCAATCAGACTCCTAGATAACTACCCTGGAGCCATGAAAACCTATGCTTACATAAAGATTTTCATGTGAATATTCATAGCACTATCATTCACGAATGATGGTCAAAAAGGGGACGTTATCCAGATGTCCATCAGCTGATGAATGGATACAGAAAATGCGCTCTATCCATAAAATGGAATACAATGCAGCAATAAAAAAGGAATAAACCACTGATATATGTTACAACAGGAGGGAACCTCTCCAGCAATATACTAAGCAAAAGAACTCTGACACAAAAGAACCCAGACACAAAAGAACACACACGTTGTATGGCTTCTATGAAATGTCTAGAATAGGTAAATCTGTAGAGACCAACAATGCATGTGTATGTGCCTGGGGCAGAGTGTAAGAATGTGGATTAACAGTAAACGGGTATATGGAATATGGAGCAATGAAAATGTTTTAATACTAGATTGTGGTGATGCTTGTACACTCTGTAATTTTATTAAAAACCATTGAATTGCCGGGCACAGCACTGTAATCCCAGCACTTTGGGAGGTCGAGGTGGGTGGATCACAAGGTCAGGAGTTCGAGACCAGCCTGGCCAATATGGTGAAACCCCGTCTGTACTAAAAATACAAGTAGCCTGTAATCCCAGCTACTTGGGAGGCTGAGGCAGGAGAATTGCTTGAACTCGGGAGGAGGAGATTGCAGTGAGCTGAGATTGCACCACTGCACTCCAGCCTGGGTGACACAGTGAGACTCCGTCTCAAAAAAAAAAAAAAAAAAATCAACTGTATACTTTAAAAAGATGAATTTTATAATATATAGATTACACTTCAATGAATCTGTTTAAAAAAACTTTAAAATGAAATTAGGGATGCAGCACGTCAGGTATGAGATACCACATTCACTCAAGTTGTTTCCCTCCTAAAAACATCTCACCCTTCAGTCCACATTCTGCTGCAGCAACTTCCTGCCCTTCTAGTCCGAACTTCTTTTATAACATTTTGCCTCTGCTTCTTGTCTCTTTATCCTCATCTCATATTCAACCCTCAGCCCACTGCAATCTGGCTGCAGCCCACATAATTCTACCAAAATTGTTCCTGCCAACTTTGTGATGACCTCCTTTTTGTTACATCCAGTGGGTGTTTTTAGCCTTTATCTTTACTTTATCTCTCAACACTTTGACCCTGTTCACCACTCTTGTACCCGCTATTTTCTTATAGAATTTGTAATGTTTTTTTCTCCCGGTTTTCCTTCAGTACCTCCAGTTGCTTATTTATAGTCTTCTTTCTGGGTTCCTCTTTCTTTGTCCATCGCTTATGTTCTGATACTACTCAGGACACTAAGCAAGATCCTCTTCTCATTATACTTCAGAGTGGGGTCAGAATATCATCTCCATCAGAACCATTGGGGGTGGGGCCCTACTTTTCAACAAGACAGGTTTGGGAACTACATTCTACACATACTCAATGAGACACTCTGGAGTTGGTACCCAGGATTTTGAATTTTATTAGGTTTCCTGGGTAATTAATCTGACCCCAAAGTTTGAGAATCATTTCTTTATAAATCATCCCCAAGTAATATTATCTACTCCCATATGTTTAATTACCATCTGCTTGCTGACATTCTCAAAGTTTATATCTCTAGCTCAGATCTTGTTCCTGAAAAGGACTTTGTTCATAATCCATAGGTACAAATTTCTGCTAGCCATCTCACTTGAAGTCTTACAGAAAGAAAATCTTACTATGCCACCAAATGATCGCATTACCTTCGCTTGCCAATTTCGTTATGTTTCCTAGTTTGGTTGAGGAATCAATCACCACTGTTACAGGTCTCACAAATCTAGTTAGCTTCCTTAACCCTTGATCCTAACCCTCCTTTACATCCAATCTGAAGCCCTCTCAATTTAATCTTCTAAAAATATGATGATTGCAGCTACTTGTCTCCATCCCCACTAAGAGGTATTCTAGTTGAGGCCAATAGCATCTCTCACCTGGAACCACTATAGCTGGCTCCAAATGAGTTTCTCAGCCTCTGTCTTTGCAGCTCTCATTTGTCTATGATCCTTTATTCGTAATGAAATGATTTTTCTGAAATGTGAACCTAACCAGGCTGCTTTCTTATTTAAAACATTTCTGTAGAATTCCAATCCTCTTAGGAGAAAGGTCAAATTCTTTAACTTGATAGAAAGGAACTTCCATGATGCAACCCCAGCTTACCACTCCAGACTTATTATTCCCAATCTCCATTTCATCTTTTCAGGAATTCTAACTTCTAGTTTCATTGAACTCTTACTTCTTTAAAGAATGCCAACTCTTTTATTGCCCCTATACATCTGTATATAATGCTCACTGAGATGAAGCATTCTGTTCCATGTCTTTGGCTGATTTTTACTGATTTGTCAGATATTACCTTCCATGTTACTTTCCCTGGAAACTCTCTGAACCTGTAAGTTCAAATAAAAGGATTCTGCAATATGCAATTGTAATACACTATGTTGACCCCAGCATAGAACTATTATACTGCATGTTAAGTTTTCAGTTTTAAGAATTTACTGAACTCTTTTTCCATTGGACTACAGGCTTAATGGGGGCTGCACCCAAGTGACCAGAACATGGATTTTGCCAATATAAACCTATTGAATTATTCAACAAGGGAATGATTTTTTTTTTTGTAAACCACAATCTAAAAAAAGTGTTATAGTCACATATGTTTAACTTCCACATAATTGAAATTATAATAAAGACTAAAAAATTATGTTGTAGGTTTTTGGATGACACTGTGGATATCATTTTAAAATACTATTTGAATGTTTTATATAGAATAAATACAAATATATCAACATTTGGGGGAAAAGTATTAGAGAGTGTTAGCATCCTCAGAGCTAACTCACTATAAACCATACTAAATAATATTAAAAAAATATTTTCACTTATTTGGATACAGAAAATAATGCTATAAATTTTAAACTATTTTATTAGCACCACAAATTCAATAGCATTCTTATTTAAATAGACATGAAAAAGAGTCTTGTTCAAGGTCTATTTTCATGTTGCTTTACCTTCTGAATGAATGACATTTTAGAAGTTATAATGGAGATTTCCTTATTTAAAACACGTTTACCTCCTCAGAAGCCTGTTTTTGACTTTGTATATTTTGAGGTGACCTCTTCACTTATAGTTTCAAGGTGTCTCTACTAAAAATACAAAAATTAGCTGGGCACCGTGGCATGCACCTGTAATCCCAGCTACTTGCGAGGCTGAGGCAGGAGAATCACTTCAACCTGGGAGATGGAGGTTGCGGTGAGCTGAGATCACACCACTGCACTCCAGCACTGGCGACAGAGTGAGACTCCATCTCAAAAAAAAAAAGGAAAGGAAAAAAAAAGAAAGTTCGTGAAGATCAGTAAAACAGCCAAAGAAAATATAGGAATGAGAAATTCAAGGCGAAATTTGGCCCACTGGCCCAGAAGATATGGGAATAAACTACTTGTGATGTTTAATGGGAAGCTATAGAGAAGTTAATAGGTTTGTGAACAAATATCCCAAGCTGTCAGCTCGAGGTATGATTTCCCAATTTAAGAAAATTTCTACCCTGAGGGTAATAATTTTTACTCAGATTTTGTCCAAAGAAACTGCCACTCTTTCCTATTTTTCTTCCTTTTCCTATTTTCCTAATAAAAGTGTTCAGTATTCTTTGGTGGAATTCTGCCCTATTGTTTGATGTCATGACACTTTCTCGTCATTTGGAGCCACTGGTGCTAACCAGAGCAGTGTAGGATAGATACTAGAAGATGCATTAGTACATTAGGTTATATCTCATATTCTTATGTAATTCACACATTCAGCTACTTAACAGAACTCAGCTTCAAAGTTGTGTGATTTTATTTGTAGTATTTTTAAGTAATATTTTATTTTTAAATTTGATATATGCTCATTAAGAACGCATACGAACAATTAGTCACACATCGCTGTAACTGAAAACAAAAATTATGTGGAATAACTTCAGACAGGCCTGATAACCAGAAATATTAATAATGTGTGGAGTCCTTCTCAGCTACTTAACAACTGGGGTGATAATTTTGGGACTCCTCACTCTGGTCCACTCCTTTCCCAAACATTCAGATATTCACTTGATCATCTTTGTTTGCCCTAAAACTCTCTGATACAAGAATACAATATTGTTTTGCAAGCAGAAATACAATGTGGAAAATGAAAATGAGAAAGGAACATTCTTGGTTGTAATTTTCTTAGAGCAGAATGACATTTCAGCTCTAAGAAGAAGCATCATTTTCTTAGAAACGACACAGGTCCAGAGAAATACTGTGACTTGCCTAAGGTTGCACAGATCTAGAATCCATGATCCCGGCCAGATATCTTCAACTTCAGTCTTATTTCCACTGTATTGATTCTTTGATTCTATTTTCTAGTTCATTAGTTTGTCCAGTGTGATTCACTAATAACTACAGCAGGGTTAATCATAATAAAGTCAGTGAATTATTCTAGACACTCATGAAGTAACTGCAATGTGAAGCCTCTGTAAAGAACTTTTAAAAAAGTAATCCTGCTTTATTCTCACAACAACAAAGAAGGGAATCATAGGTATTACCCACATTTGAAAGGACACAAGATATTTTTATCCATATGGATGTATTATTTAAGTTTCTGTAGTTAGAAAATGAAGAACCTCAGATAGGAATCTCACATGTATGCTTCAAGAACTTGAAAACCTTAGTCTTTTTTTTTTTGATACTCACTGGTGATTTAGTAAACCTTTTTCTCCGCCTTGAATTTACAATTTGAGTTTCTATATTTAGTCTGTTTTCTCAGAATTTAGCTTTTTACTAGAGGAGCAGGCTACAAAAATGACCCCTATTCTTTACCCCTTCCTTTGCCCTCTGCAATGTAACATTGCAGTTTCTTCCATCAAGAGGTGAGATCCCTTTGTTGACTGTCTTTTGTTTTGTTTTTGAGATGGAGTCTCACTCTTTTTGCTGGAGTGCAGTGGCATGATCTTGGCTCACTACATCCTCCGCCTCCCAGGTTCAAGTGATTCTCCTGCCTCAGCCTCCAGAGAATCTGGAATTACAGGCACCCACCACCATGCCTGGCTAATTTTTTTTGTATTTTTAGTAGAGGTGAGGTTTCACCATGTTGGCCAGGCTGGTCTCCAACTCCTGACCTCAGGTGATCCACCGGCCTCGGCCTCCCGAAGTGCTGGGATAACAGGCGTGAGCCACTGTGACTGTTGTATTTAGACTAGTTTTGTGACTTGCTTGGCCAATATAATGCAACAAAAGCTAGTTAGCACATAGCAAAGCAAGGAGACAACCTACAGAGTGGGAGAAAATATTTGCAAACTATTCAACTGACAAGGGGTTAATAGCCAGAATATATTAGAAATTCAAACAACTCAGTAGAAAAAAAGTCAACGAATAATATGATTTAAAAATGGGCGAAAGATCTCAGTAGACATTTCTTAAAGGAAGACATACAAATTGCCATCATCAATAATCATCTAAAAACTGCAATTCAAAACCACAATGAGATATCATCTCACTCCAGTCAATATGTCCTTTATCAAAAAGACAAAAAATAATGGATTCCAGTAAGGATGCAGAGAAAGGAGAATGCTTGTACACTGTTGGTGGGAATGTAACTTAGTACAGCCACTATGGAAAACAGTATAGAGGTTTCTCAAAAAACTAAAAATAAAACTATCATATGTCCCAAATAAAGGAGATACATATCCAAAAGAAAGAAAAATCAGTATATCCAAGAAATATCAGGACTCTCATGTTCATTGCAGCGCTAGTCACAACAGTGAAGATATGGAATCAACCTGAGTGTTCATCAGTGGATGAATGGATAAAGAAAATGTGGTCTATTGGAATATTATTCAGCCATAAAGAATAAAATCCTGCCATTTACAGTAACATGGGTAGAACTGGACGACATTATGTTAAGTGAAATAAGCAAGGAAAAGAGAGACAAATATTTCATGTTCTCATTTATGTGTGCAAGCTAAATAATTTATCTCATAGACATAGAGGGTAGAATGATGGTTCTCTCATAAAATTGGAATTACTCCATAATCTCCCTGTTAACCTACTTTTTCAATTTACCAACATATGTAGACTTAAAAAATCAATAGGTGTAGACTCTCTTTGTGGTATTAATAGTTATGAAGTACTCATTTAAATAGTTATGAAGTACCACAACACATTTAACTAATTAGTTTTCCTTGATGCTTATGTGGTTACCAACTGCTCACTATTTAAGCATCAGGACAATAAACATCTTTGTACAGTTATCTCTTTCTCAGATCATTTCCTTAAGAAAGATGTTGAATGGTTAGTCAAGGGGTATATTGAAATCAGTGATACATATTGCATGATTATCATCTGAAAATGAAATATCAATTAACATCTGTATCAAGATTGCTGTCTTGAAAAGTTTGTGAGGGCAGAAGACTGAAAATATGTATTAGGACTTCCTTGCATTGCTGTAAAGAAACTATAAGACACTGGGTAAATTATAAGTAAAGAAGTTTAATTGGGTCACAGTTTTGCAGGATGTATAGGAAGCACAGCAGCATCTGCTTCTGGGGAGACCTCAGGAGGCTTCTAATCATGGCAGAATGCAAATGGGGAGCAGGCTCATCACATGCTGAGAAGGGGAGACAGAGTGAGAGAGAGTGGTGGGGGCAGTGCCACGTACTTTTAAACACACAGATCTCATGAGAACTAATCATCATGAGAACATCACCAAGTGGATGGTGCTAAACTCTTCATGAGAAATCTGCCCCTAAGATCAAACCACCTCCCACCAAGGTCCACCTCCAAAATTGGGAATTACAATTAGACATGAGTTTTGAAGAGGGACAAAAATATGAACTATATCAACCATATAGACTAGGTCTGTCTTCCTGTATACACTGATTATAGTATAATGATAATTTCCCATTCATCCATATTGGAAATTGTCAAATGACCATCTTTTACCTTCGCATATTTCTACTGAATTATCTTAAATATTCGTTATCATTTGTAAAAGTGCTTTATATAGTAAAGATATCCCCCATTGTCATATATATTCTCAGACAGGTTACAACCCATATAAGTTTTTAACAATACCTCAAAGCAAATTTTAATTGTATATGTATTCTATCTTCTCGTATCCTCTGTATTTATCACAGCTATTACTGTATATTTTAAATTGTTTGGGTTTTATCATTTTTGACCAAATACTTGAATTGTCTAGAGCATAATAGCACTGAGGCCAAAGTAGTGGAAGCTGGCTATGATTTTCAAAGGTTTTAGAGTAAATTCCTTAGCCAAACATGCCAAGACGATCTTGTGTCCCTGGGAAAAACAATTATGGCTAAGAACAATTAAGTCCACTGGTAGAAAGATAGCTTATTGCATAAGTTTTTATCCTCCAAATAGGTCAGTGTTATCTTGGCATACAAATGATGTCACATTATTAATGAAAACCAATAGAGAAAATATTTTTAAGGCTATCAAATTGCTGAAAGTCAGAGGTCAAACTAAAATGTATTAGAAGCTGTCAAAAACATGTTACTTCCATGATCATAGACGTCTTTCAATCACATTGAAAAATTATCAGAACAAACTGCAAAGTTTTTAACCTAAAAGGACTCTCGAACTTAAAAAAAAAAAAAATAAAAAAAAAATAAAAACCTTCTTTAAAAAGAAACCTGCATGTTGAATTCTGTCACTCTTCTTGTTTAAGAAGTATTAAGCCTTTTAAAAAACCATGGTAATGAGAAGTAGTTCTGTCATCTGTGGCAAGTTTATGTATAAATTTTGTATACCAGCAAATCCGAATACATCTGCTATTAAAAGCACAAGTGTGCCCCCTTCTGAATAAATGAAATATTGAGTCCTGTATTTGCACTTAAAATAACCAACTCCCTTCTTTCTGGACAAAATTGAATAAACAAATCTGGGCAAATACTAATGGAGAGTTTTAAGAGCACTCTTTTCTCGAAACATTTATGATTGGCAAAATTCTAAAAGAATATTCAGATGAAATCTGCTACATCTTTTCATATGTGTTTGTTTGTTTCCACAGCTGGAATCCTCTAAAATAAGTCACATGGGAAAAAATTCTGATCTTATTCTAGACGAAGAATGAAAAGCCAGGAAGCTACATAACCCAAGGTAGGGTGGAAAGAGTTGGGTAGAGAGTTGGCAACTGTTTTGGAAACCGAAATAGTGTTAAAGATGTCAGAAAAATGTGAAGTGACATTCCACTAAGACTGTTCAAAGATATTTTGAAAGACACTAGCTACATAAGCTAAGTACCTTGCGTTGACTTAAGTTTGACTTTGTTCTCTTAGTTCTATAGCTGAGACAAGTCCCAGAAGGATTAAGTAGGTTTTGGGAAATTAATTAATGACTAAGTCATACTTGTATATCTTCATTCAAGTGCTCTATCTGCCAGAAAACATAGTGATCCAAATGACTATTCTGGTATATTAATGCGTGTTTAATAGGTTACATCTATAAAATGATTTATTTCAATCCAGATTCTTCTCTTATTTCTCCTTCTGTAAATTCAGACCTCAAAACAATTTTTGACCAAAATATGGCACCATGTTTGATATACTTCTCTTGGGCAGTGTGACACTTGACTATTTTGAAGTATCATGGAAATAAAATGTGGATGATGATGAAGATGATTATGACAATAGCAATTGTTATCAAAGTGAAAATGTACTTTGTCATAACATTATTAAAAGTTGACAGTTAAATGATAACTTAAATCATAGTTAAATGATATCCTAAGTCAACTGATAAGCAGGAGTGAACTTCTAACCAAGTTCTCCAATTTATAATCAGAGAATGTTGTACTTTGTCTTATATTTGCTGTTACGGTGGCAAAAATAATTTGTCTCATTTTAAACACAAAGGCCGACTGATTAAACCTACAGCTACTATTGCTAGTTTTAGTGGGACTGGTAGCTACATCAGTTACTTTCTAAAATTCTATAAATGTAATACATTAGAAAAATTTCTCTATATAATAATGTATAGAAATTAGAAAACAAAGGCAGAGACTGATGAAATTTGTATAAATATTTAGGATTTTCCTCTCTTTAGCAAACCCATTCACTTTGTGGCCATTTGATTTTGGTCAGATCTATTTTTTCACATGGTATTTAAAATTCATATCCTCTAAGAATGAAGTACATTTTTCTCATTTTCTTTTATTTATTTCCAGTGCATTTCCAGAAATCACTAACTTCTGACATTATCAGAACTTTGGATGAAATAAACACAGGTTTTTGAATGAAGTAAACATAGTCTATCACCAGTTTAAATTCTTTTCCAATACTATTCTTTCATGATTCTATAAAGATTCTACACAGAATCTTTCCAACACTATTACTCAATAAATTCTCCAGAATACTGTTAATATACTTACAAAGTGTTGAATCTTTAAATTGCTGTTCTCAATGGGTAAAACTGACTGATAAAAGCACATTTATAAATGTCAGTTGCCATATGGTTTACACTTTTGCTAATGATCAATCACAAGACTAAATCAATCATTGGACAAATACCATTATAAAACTGTGAAATGTTTACGCCAACTCTCTTCTTCTCTCCCCAAGTAACATCACTAATTTGTGCCAATATTTACGAACATTTAACCCATACTTCCTTTCCTGCTGTAAGATTCAAATTTACCAATTGCATTTAGAGTGGCTACCTATTACTTGGCCAATGTATTCTTTTCAAAAGAACATTTATTGAATCAACATATATAAAATATCTCTTTGATTTAATTAATAGGCATTGTGTATTCATTGCCAAAAATATGTTCTCAACTAAAACATACCCTATGATCATCAACTCACAGAGTTTTGCTGATCATTCATAATTGTGCAATGAACTATCTTGTAGAATAAACAACCTCCACAGTTCTTATTTTGAAAAACTTCAAAACGTTCAGACTAGTAATTACATTGAATAATAGCTTAATTTAAATTGTAAAAGACCTCTAGTGGATTGTTTATTTCATTTACACTGTGTGATATGTTTTATACAGAGAGAAGTTATACATACTCATGAATCAATGTGTACAATGGAGAATTAATACTGAAAACAAATGTATTTTATTCTACTTTTTAAAAAATTGTTGAAATGGAGCCCAGCCTTCCCACTACCACTTGTTGCAACTCCCACACTTCATATGTACACCACCTCTTTCCTTGACCCTTGAAAGACACCATGTGGTTTTCACCTGAGAATGATATAAATATGAACACTCTAATATTACATTTTGTCAGAAGGTTTTGTTTATGTATTTATTTTGTGAATTCCTGATGTATTATCAGTATGGCATCCACTTGTCTTTCTTAACTGTGAATCACTTTTCAGTTGTGAATTTGTTATCTGTAAATCACAAACTATCCTTTTGGCCTGGGCTTAAATAAAAAGCCCAAGATGCATAACTGATTGATCGCTATATTCCATCCCCTAGACTACAGAGCTTGATTCAAGAATGGACACCAACTAAAACCAGTCCAGTCTCATTAGGGTATTGCAAATTAAAACAACAATGAGATACCACTATTAGAACGGTACAATCCCAAACACTGAAAAGGACAAATGCTGGCCAGGATGTGGAGTAAGAGCAACTCATTCATTTAGATAGAAATGAAAAAAGGTATGGCCATTTTTGGAGACAGTCTTGCAGATCCTTAGGAAGCTAAACATAGTATTACCATATGATCCAGCAATTACTCTTGTTGGTACTTCTCCAAATGATTTGAAAACTTATGTCCACACAAACCTGCACACAAGCATTTCCAGTGACTTATTCGTAATTGCCCAAACTCGGAAGCATTCAGGATATCCTTCGATAGGTGAATGAGAAAACAAACTGTGGTATATCCATGCAACACAATAACACCCAGTGATAAAAACAAGTGAGCAAGCCCTCAAGCCACACGGAAAGGAACTTTAAGTACATATTGCTAGGTGAAAGAAGCCAATCTGTGAAGATGAAACATTGTATGATTCCAACTATATGACATTCAGGAAAAAGGAAAACTCGAGAGACAGTAAAAATATCACTAGTGGCCAGGAGTTTGGCAGGAGGGAGGAAATGCTGAATAGGTGGAGGACAGAAATTTTAGAACAGTATTCTGTACGATACTGTAATGGTGAATAAATGACATTACATATTTGTCAAAACACTTACAAACTCTACAACACAGAAGGTGAACTCTAATATAAACTATGGACTTTAGTTTATAATGCTATATCAATACTGGTTCATCAGCTGTAATAAACGTACCACATCAATGCAAGATGTTAATAGGGAAAACTGTGTATGGAGGGGTTGAGAATCTTTGGGAACTGTCAGTATTCACTGCTCAATTTTTTGATAAACCTAAAAGGGCTCTAAAAAATAAAGTCTATTAATTAAAAAACAACTGGTCAAATGAATCATAGTTACAAAAATTCTGTAGGTATTACTTGGAAAGAAAATCACAGGAAAGACTTCTTAGGGACTATCACGTGAAGAAAGCCTGCCCATAAATAAAGCCAATATCAGTTAAATTGAGGTGAATAACAGGAAAAGAGTGAGAAAGAGAGATAGAATCTTGCATATTCTCTTCCCTCTGAAGGCAAGCTGTGCTTGAATCCAGAGCCACCTCTAAGTCTTTCAATCTATGTCTACCTCTAAGCCAATAGAGCCTCTTTAGGTCAGAATGAGTTGGGTTTTCTGCAACCAAAGGATCCTGAATAATACAGTTCCGTAGGTACAGATAAATACTGCAGTGCTAATTTTATTTTTTTTAATAATTTATTTAATTTCTAAGTTGATGGAGATGGAGTGCTAGTTTTAAATTATCAGTTAGAAACACAGCTCATTTCTAGAGTGGAGAAGGGAACATTTCCAAATAATGTTGATAATAGACCCCAAGAAATTCAGTTAAAGACAATGAAACAGCTTTTGTTTAAGTAGTGTTATTAGCACTGGCTATGAAAGAGTTCTAGATAGTTAATGGAATTCCCGCAGTGGCTGCTGTGGAACAAGTGAAGTCAACATGTGGGTATTGACAATGAGCAGGAAAGGCTCCCAAAGTCAGCATTCATAGCTTCTCTATTTCATTTACTGGGCATCTCTGTAAGTATTTCTTTGAACAAAGGAATGTTCAGTCAAGACAAAGTTTGAGAGACACTATATTTGGAACATGGGTAACTACCAAGTTCAGGTCTTGCTCAGTCCTAGACCTCCAAGAGAACCATGGAGCAGGAACTGAAACCCATAAATGATAACCTGGCAATTGAATTTAGTGGGCATTTATTATTACAACAGATCAATTGGCTGCATCAGGATAACCAGCCAACTTTCTCAGAAGAAACAATAAGCCTCTGCAGGGGTGGAGAGAGATTAGCACCTTGGAAGATCCATTCTGATGTCTTAACACAATAGCAAATGGGAGAAGACATCTACACAGAAGTGGGATGAGAGCATGGACAGAGTGACACTGATCTCAATGTGTACCTTATAGACTGGGGTTCTGTTTTTATGAAGAATCTCTCAAGATGGTCTTTCCAAATTGCTGCTTCTGTGTAATACCTTGTATTCCATAACACTTCCTGGAATAAAGGAATGGATGAATGGTGCCCCCTGGAGTTATTCAATCCAGTGACCCTGCTGCTGTCACACTAACATGAGTACTTCAGTCCCCATATTACCAGCTATTTCAGGTGGGCATTTATGTCTCAATGCCATGATGTTAAAATGACTTCCTGCCAAAGTCATGCTCCCAATCATCTTGGGTCCCCTCGGAATCCAAGATTATCTTCCAGTCTAGTTTCAAGTCCTTATTTCCCACCCCAGGTTTTCTCAAGGCAATTTCTAAAAAGTTCAATTTAATTTAGTTTTTATATTAAGTTTCATTCCTGATCACCAAAACCCTTGCTTTGGGAGAAACATTTATGTGTCTATTGAAAGACTTGCATACAGCTATAGTAATGTAATAATGATGATGACAAACACTATAAAAATAATCATTTATTGTTGTACCACACTGTACTTCTTAAAGATTTTGAAATACATCATCCCATTCTAGGAGCTTCTAATTTCTAAATGAAATGTTGACTGACTTTTCTAAGGTGTCCAGAGGATTCCTCCTCCAAATAACTGTCTATTTATCAGGTACAATTGGCAATTCTGCCAACTGGGATTCCTGCTGCTAATGTGGTTTCCCACATTGCTGTGTAGGAAGTAATCGTGACATCAGCTTCTGAACCAGCCATGGAAATAGCAGATCTCACACACACCCACTCTCTGCAAATCATCATGGACAGTTTTCCTCTTTCATGTTTGTAAAAGGGGGAGCAGATGATTTGTGTTACTTGAGGGGGTGGAGATAAAAATTCTCCAGCTATTTCTTGCACATCACAGCCACGGAAAAGATTTCAAGAAAGATTTGAAGCAGAAATGAATAATTTTGAACTCAGCTCCTGCCCCTACTGCTCTCTCAGGAAGGGTGCATAATAATGTTTTTTTCTTTTCATCTCAGAATGCTGGCAAATGTGTCAGGGAATGAGGATTAATTCATTTCAGAAAAAATCTTTTTAGTCATAAGAAACATGGAAAGCAATTTTTATGAGCATTCTGAATGATTTTTTTGATGTCAATAGTATTGAAGATTAAAAAAATTGCAAATTGAAGCTCTACTTCCTTTCTAATTAGTGATGTTTAAAGGCCAATGTAGTTTTTAGAGCAGCATCTGTACTTTGATAAATGACATCCTTCAAAGAATAGTTTCTGATAGATTGAACTATACAGTAATTTTGTTACAGAATTTCTTTCTTACCAACACTTTTATGTGATCATGAACATGCTTCTTCACCATTATGTCTAAAAAATAATCCACATCATAGCTCATTTTTCATCTGTAAGATTTTTGGCTTTCGAGGTACTTATTTGAAAGCTAAATGAGGTCTTACAGAAGACTCAAAAGAAACAGTTCTGCCTGTTAATATCTACACACATAAACTTCATGACATCACATATAAGTTCAAACACATTTTTCTTTACAGACTCTAATATTTTTACTGTTACATGGAAACAATGTCATGTTATATTTATAGGAAAATGCCTAGACATGGTCAGAGGCTCCTGTTGTGATTAAATGAGACATAAGACTGCTACTTTATGAAAGGGGGATGTGGTCGGGACAATGTCAAACAAATCAGAACCAATCATGGGGCAGCAAGATGGGTATTTTTTAAGACTTTATTTTTTAGAGCAATTTTAGGTTCAGAGTAAAATTGAGATAAAGGTACAGAGATTTCCTGTATATCCTCTGCCACTACACTTGCATACCCTCCCCCACTATCAACACCACCCTGCCCAGAGTGGTGCCTTTGTTATAATTAATAAACCTACGTTGATAACATCATTATCACCAGAGTCCGTAGTTTATACTAGGGTTCACCCTTGGCGTTGTACATTCTATGAGTTTGGACAAATGTATAATTACATAAATTCACTGCTGTAGTATTATACAGAGTAGTTTCATTGCCCTAAAAATCCTCAGTGCTCCACCTATTTATCCCTCCTCCCCAAAACCCTTGGCAACTACTGATCTTTTTGCCAACTCCATAATTTCGTTGGTTATTTCTTTTGACCAGCTAAAGTGGTTTCACCATGTGAAGGGTAAAGCCAGCTAGCTTCCAGTGGACTTGACTCACCAGTTTTCAAATTACAAAATTCTAACTATATTTTTGCTTGAGAGATTTTTTTATTCAAATGTTATATATAAAGTAAAAGTATTTTGATATATTTAAGTTGCTCTCTATTTTAAATTCGCGTGGTTCCATTTATAAAAATGTGGCTCCACTGGTGCCCAACACATGGAAGATTCTCTCACAGGATAAATCTGACCTTTTGCTGTAGCTGTCCCCATTCATGTTCTGTGACACTCATCTCTTTGCCCACTTCATGAAAGAGAAGTAAAGACTGTTTTACTAGAACAAATTATCTATATTGTCCTTGCCCCCTACTAAGTAATATTTAATTTATCCTTCTGGCATTTGGTCTACCATGTGAGATCCAAACAGAAGAGATTCCAAATTTTTATTCCTGTGTTTCTAAACAGAGAACACAGAAGCACATTCCATCTATAAGAGCGACTCTTTATAGTTCCTATTTCACACTGCTGTATCAAAGAATGACTTTAGTTCTACGCATTCAGAATGCATCTTAAACAGGCATAAAGAATAATGTAATTGTACGTTTAAAAATAACTACAAGAGTATGACTGGATTGTTTGTAACACAAAGGATAAATGCTTGAGGTGATGGATACTCCATTTACCCTGATGTGATTATTACACACTGTATGCCTTTATTGAAATATCCCATATACCCCATAAACATAAACACTTACTATGTACCCACAAAAAATAAAAATTAAAAATAAATAAAACAAGTGTAAAGAATGATTGAACACTAAGACATTTTGCTCTGGCGTGTTTTGTTCGTTTGTTTTTTGTTTTTTTCCAGAGATAGGGCCTTGCTCTGATGCCTAGGCTGGAGCGCAGTGGCACAATCACAGCTCACTGAAGCCTTGAACCCTGGGCTCAGGCAATCCTTCTGCCTCAGCCTCCTGAGTCCTTTGAAATACTTTTGAGCTAGCAAGAAAGAACTTTGGAGTTTACATAATGTAGGACTACATGCACGAGCCACCATGCCCAGCTAACGTTTTTAGAGACACGGTTTCCATCTCCTGGCCTCAAGTAATCCTCCCACCTTGGCCTCCAGAGTCCTTTGGAGTATTTTTGAACTAGTGACAAAGTACTTTAGAGATTACATAATCTAGTCCATTCTGTTTTATAATGGAAGATCCTTAGTCTCAAGGGAGTAAACTTAATTGTCCCACCCAAATTTCTAATCATATAAGTGACAGTCCAGTCTACCGAATCCTTAAGTCCACACAGTTCACAACATAAGTATAATTTTGCCTACTTGTTTATTAACTTATCATCCCCATATGATATTCAATAAGAGTTACAGTAGACGAAGGACAGACTTGTTTCCAATTCTTTTGGTCCAGATCTTCTGATCTGGAATAAGATCACCTGGGTTTGTAACCTAGCTCTGCCACTTACTAGCTGAACAGGTTACTTAAACTTATCATGTATCTTTTTCCGTATCTTTAAAATGGAAAATTTAGTACCAACCTCTTAGGGGTGTATGTTGAAATGCATAGCAGAGAGAGTGTTTAATAAATTTTAGCCACGACAGTGATTAGTATTAGCATTATCCGGCCAATCTGTTTCTAAATAAACAGGCCATAGTAGAATTTTCATCAGATCTTTTCTGTGTTGTATGCAACCTGCTGGTCTTCATTTCTTCCCTTTACTTCTCTGGAACAAAAAATGTAATCTGAAAAAAATTATAACAAACATCTAAATTGCATGGTCCTAAGCAATATATCTTCTACGGGATGTGTATGGGAATCCTATCGCGTACTATCCAAAAAAATTCATGCAAGAGAATTAAGTATCTAATAAAATAAAAGAAACATACCTAAAAAGAAATGACCAGAATATTTCTCTCTTGACTTGATACTGATTTTTGTCAAATGGTTTATGAGTTCTCTAGGAAACTTCTTGCAAATTTTGTATTGATGACTATGACATTCAGTCTCCAGTGGAAATACTACATAAACACTACTACAAGAAATGACAAAGCCATTGTTTATTGTTCTAAAAAGTATCGTTTTAGAACCCTCTAGGGAAACTATTTTCTGTAGAAAGTGATGTTCATGAAAACTTTAAGCATTGATTCAATCAATAAAATGCATCTATCTGCAAAAGTAATAGATTAAACGTGAAATTGTTGTTAACCAATTGATATGTGCAAATGGAAATGAGAATAATTGTCAATCTGTATTCCCCATGTGGTACAAAATCTCCTTGGGTCACAACGAAGTAAATCATGTTGGCATAAAGTTACTTTTCCCATACTTTGCACCATGTCTCAAATCATAGCACATTATTATTTATATGTTATATATATATACAACACACATACCTGCCAAAAGAAGTAAAAGTGCTGGGAGCTTTCTGTTTGTTTGTGTTCGTTCAACTCTGCATTCACATTCAAAAGCTTCCTAGGATTGTGTACCAAATTATTAGTATCAACTCTCTTAAAATTTGAAGAATGTTTTTACTAAACAATTCACTTATTTCCATTGCTCACAGGCATTCTAGAATACAGCTTTAGAGCACAGGGTTCTGAGTTCTGGCTCTAGGTTCTACTGGAATTCAACTACTTTCTAGATCTAAGCCTCAGTTTTCTGAAATTTAAAGTGAGGGCAGAAATAACATACATGTGGCAAAACTGCTCAGCATAGATGCCTGGAATATAACTAAGCACACACAATATATGTGTGTACCTGTGCATGTGTGTCTGTGTATATTGCATACATGCATGCCTTTTATTTCTGTTTTCAATTTTTTAGGTAATGCTGAAGTTGTATTTGTTCAGAAAAAGTCAATTTTTTGTAACATTAGCCCAAACCAGCTCTTTTTCCTGGTTTCCATTCTCCTTGGCCTTTCAGATTTTGAGTGCTTTTTTTTTTTTTAACAGTAGGCATTTAATAACTATGTATTGCAATGATTATGAGTCCTTTCTTATTTAGGGATATCTGAATCTTCCCTTCCTCTCCTTGGAGACCATATTTATTTATTTTTACTTTTATACCTGACGGTCCTGATTCTTCTGTTACTCATTTATATCTGGGAATCTGCCTCCTTTTCTAGCTCAGTGAAATTCTACTGCTGCAATGCAGTGTTTCCTGGCCTCTGCGCTACTGATATTTGATGCTGGATACTCCCTGGTTGCTGGGGCTTTGTTGTGCATTGCAGGATGTTTAGCAGCGTCCTTGGCCTCTACCCAGTAGATGCCAGTAGCATGCTCCACCCCCTTACAACATTCAGCATTGTCTCCAGACATTATTAAGTAAATGTCCTCTGAAAAAATTGCCTCCAGTTGAGAACCACTGCTGCAATGTACTGGTTGACACATACACTTTAGAGTTAGAAAGCAACATGTTTAAGTCTTGATTCAGTCCTATCACCTGATTTTGAAAAGAGTAGGCGTTTAATAAGAACTTGTTAAATAAAGGCTGAAAACTATGATAACCACTTAACCTTTCCAATCCTTAGTTTCCTGATCTGTGACGTAGGAATAACAAAACACCTATTTTTAGAGAGATGCTTTAATGGCCTTAAGTGGGATTTAGTGAGACCTTGTATTTCAGCTGCTGTGTTTCATTTGGGTATCTGAAGTGGCTATGAAAATGGGATTAAACTTGTAAGAGTTTACCTAGGGGAAATGTCCCTGTGAAGGACAACGGAAGGGACTTAGGGAAGTCTAGAAGAGCAGAGCCATCAGGAAGCAAGTCTGACTCCAAGGAAAGCGAGGAGGAAAGGAAGATTGGGTACAAGTGTCCTGAACTGCCATGCAATCTAAAGAAGTTTCAGCAAGGCTGAAGGGGAGTCCTGGAGCAATAATCAACCATCAGAGGAGTCCTTCTTGCCTTGGAATCCCTGCCATGCTCTCACCTCCACTGGGAGTTGTCCGTGGGAGACCAGGCCCTAGTGCAAAGAGGGTAGTAGATTGCAGAGCGAGGCAGCTGGGGCTCTTCCTCAGTTATGCTCCTTGTGGTGGAGGTCTGCTGGGTGCTTGCTGGTGTCTGACAGCTACCTCACACAGTGCTTAAAATAGATTGGGACATTATTATGATAATTAATTATTATTATCATCT
This sequence comes from Homo sapiens, assembly GCF_000001405.40. NCBI lineage: Eukaryota > Metazoa > Chordata > Mammalia > Primates > Hominidae > Homo > Homo sapiens. The sequence continues at coordinate 6,780,401 of NC_000003.12, read as the reverse complement.
TTGTTATGATTACTAGTATTATGAATATGAAAACCTCAACCTATACCAGTGCCTCAACCCACGGCCATCTTCTGAAATTCTTTATTACATGTTATTTACACCATATTTTGGACATTCGTTAGACATCTCTATTTGGAAGCCTATTAGGAATCCTGAAATTAACATGTCCAAAACTACATAACCTCATTTCCCCCTACCCTGGCCCAACTTTTTCCTTCCCATTCATCACCAGTTCAGTAATGGGCACCATCATCGACTTAGTTGCTCAGATAAAAACTTCCGGAGTCATTTTTGACTCCTCTTTTTCACACACTGTGTCTGATCCCTAAGCAAATCTTGTCACTTGGCCTTTAAAATACATCCTGAATCCAACTATATGTCTCTTCTTCATGTTTTGTCCTTCATTCTGACTGGCAATCATCATTTCTCTCTCTTTCTTCTCCAGAATAAAAATTTGCATGGAGGAATAATAAATGATTAAACAGCAGGGGCCTAAGGCCTAACATCATTGCCAAGGCCAGAGGTTGACAGACTTTTTCTTTAAAAGTTAGATAGGTAAACAGTTTAAGCTTTGCCAGCCAAGAGGCTACATCAAAAATATTATGTAGGTACTTCTATAACCATTTATAGGGGAACCATTAAAAAATGTTAAAAATCATTCTAAGCTCTCAGGCAATGAGCTACATTTGGGTCATGGGCCATAGTTTGCCAAACACTGACCTAAACCATCATCTCTCAACAAACGGGTTACCTTTCTTACGTCTTATTCTCCAACAATATTCTTCGCAGGAGAGCCAGAATAATGATTCTTTTATAATAAGATTTCATTTCATCCTGTTTCCCTAAACCTTCCTATAGATTCTAGTAATGATTGTTATAAGATTCAAAATTCTTCCCTTGGCCCATAAGGCCCTATATGATTTGTCTCCCACTTCACTTCATCTCTCTGACATCATTTCCCACCACATCACATCTTGATTTGTGTCTGTCCTGCAGCCACACGGGTTCTTGGGGTACTTTGAATGCCACTCACATGTTCTGCCTCGGGGCCTTTGCACTGGTGTCTTCCTCTGCTCTTCCCCGACGGCGCCACCTGGCTGCTCTCTCACGTCACATACCCCTCTGCAAAAATCTCACCTACTTGGAGAATCCTCCCATGAATGCCCTAACTTGTATATCACTTCTCTGTCACCCTCTCTCCTCTTACTCTTCATCATGTTCCTCCATTATACTTATCATTGCTAGATAACTTGCTCATTTGTTGGCAGTTTTTGTCTTCCCCTAGAATGTTAGCTGCAAAATATGCTGGGCTTTGATGGGGTTCACAGGATGTCTCCATGCCAAGAAGAGTTCCTGATACTGAATATAAAAAACTCTGATTTTTTAAAATAAACAAACAAGTAGGGTTTAATGTCATTTTGAATGATTTATTGCATTTTCTAGATTAATCCCAAGCACCTTAAGTTTTGAATCCTATCTTTCATTTTCTTCTATTCTGTTACTGCTATGTCTTACACATGATCTGTGCTAAATGTTTACAACCATTAAATACATATGACATATTATATATGTTATATGGATTTACTTTCATTAAAACACATTTTCTTTTTTTGTCAATAGAAAAAAAGTCTTTTTTCTTTTCTTCTGATAATAAAACTAGTGTACACTGACTAGTAGAGAAAAAGTATAGCAATAAGGTATATAAAAATTGAAAATTCTCTAAAATCTCACTTCTAAGAGATAATCAGTGAATGAATTGATTTTTTTTTTTTTTTTTTTTTTTTTTTTTTTTTTTTTTAGGCAGAGTCTTGCTGTCATCCAGGTGAGAGTGTAGTGGCATTATCTTGGCTTATTGCAACCTCTGCCTCCCAGGGTTCAAGTGATTCTCCTGTCTCAGCCTCCTGAGTAGCTAGGACAACAGGTGTGTGCCACTATGCCTGGCTAATTTTTATATTTTTAGTAGAGACAGGGTTTCCCCATGATGGCCAGGCTGGTCTCGAACTCCTGACCTCAGGTGATCCGCCTGCCTCTGCCTCCCAAAGTTCTGGGATTACAGGTTTGAGCCACCGCGCCTGGCGGATATATTTCTTTAGTGTTGTTTCTATGCATGTATTCCTTTCTTTTCTTTTAATAAAAATAAGATAACACGTTCCATAATTCTTTAATGGCTTATGGACTTTTTAAATTCAGTTAACGCTAGGTTTTTAATATCTTTTCATGCCAGGAACTTATAATTTGAGACTTGGATTTTGAAAAATATGTGAGAAAATATAGAAAATCCATTAATTAGGATACTTTGGGATTAAATTATTGTAGAAGTGACAAGTATAGGATTTTTAGTGAGCAAGAGATGGCATTTGGGGATCTAAATGCATAGGCATTGAATTATAGATGGAGTTGGGAGAAAAATGTCATCTGTAGGTTAACAGGCTACCTAAAAGATACAGATTAACAATCTGAATTCTACAAGAATAAGAATGAGATCAAGCAGTATAATAAAGGAAGAAGTAGCAAAATTACAACAGAGCAGTGAAATGGATATGCTTTCTGGCAATAATTGTGAAAGGTCTGGTAATGAGAAAGTAGGAACAGCTAGTGGCTGCCACATAAAGAGAAAATAAACGAGACTAAATAGCTCAAGTTATAGCATGATGACTTCTTTAACAATCTGGAAAAGGTTTTGAGGAACATTTAACCATAGACCAGATATTTTATGTGCAAAATTAAGGTTAGAAAACTTATTTTCTTTTTAATGTGAAGATATACATTTCAAATGCAATGTTACTGCCTTTTATAACCTAAATTATTATTACTAGTATTATCTTCTTCCAGAACTCTTGAGTTTAGTTAGAGCTGCCAAACATTTTCACATGATAGAAGTGATGCATTAAAAAGTAAAGTAATAGAAAAAGAGTTTTGCTATTTTTTATAAAGGGGCTGTTCAAATGGAATAGTTTCTTGCTTATGTGGGATTATAAGAGTTTGCAGTGACCAGTCTTCATGGTGTGCTTTTTCTTTAAACTTCCAATTGCTTTATGCTCAGGTATTGAGTTTCTACCTTGATTTCCTCCCTGTATAGCTGAGATGCTGAGAGATTCTAGTGTAATCCTTTAAGCCAAATGCTATTGTTGCTAAGGCGGGATTGAAGATATATATATAACTCCTATTTGGGATGTGACTGTTTATTTTATTTATTTTCCCCTGGCTGGTGGAGGGAGCCCTCCGGGGACATTCTGAGTCTGTTTAAATGAAGGTATGCTTAGCGTGTGTGGACTCCCGCGTCATCCTTTTCAGCCAGACTTATCAAACATAACTTTACACTTTATTACATGAAGGGGCTCATGTTAAGAATCCAGATACGTATTTTCTCACTTTTTACACTTCCCAAGTGGTCTCTCATCACTTTTCTTCCCAATATTTACATAGATATGGTCAAAAAGGCAGGATCTGTACAAGTTCATCCACCTCCTAAAAAAGCTTAGTGGTCCTGATAATCAGCAATGATAGGAATAGATGCCTTCCCAATGTCTTTGAAGAAAAGTCGCTTAGAGACCATACATTTCATTTCATATTTTCACTTAGACTCTCATTAGTATGTCCTTTTATCCATCAACTTCCTTGATGTGCCATGACAACAGAAAAATTTACGGCAACCCTTTAGTTGAATCCCAATGTATTCAAATTCACAGGAGGCATTTCATCTAGAGCTCATGACGAAATGCCTGGGAAACATAACTGTCTCTACCTGACCCCCAAATTTTGCAAATCCCATTACCTTACTAATGGCATTTTATATCTTTAAATCTTTTTAACCTTTTCAAAGCACTTTCAGATTTATTGATTTTTTGTTCAACTCAATGAGATCATATGACATGCTAAACACAGAGTTGGGGGCAGAAGAAATAGTAAAGTACGGTCCAGCCTAAGAGGCATCTAACCAGCTAAACCTGGGGCAGAATGGATGAACTGCGGTACTGACCATGATTCTCCAAGTGTGCTCCCACATCAGCAGCACCACATTTTAAGAAATATGTTTCATGAACATAAAGATGGTAACAATAGACAGTGGGGACTACTGCAGGGGGTAGAGGGGGAGCAGGGCAAGGACTGAAAAACTACCTATTGGGTGCTATGCTCACTACCTGGGTGATGGGATCATTTGTATCCCAAACCACAGCATCTTGCCATATATCCATGTAATAAACCTGTACGTATACCCCCTGAATCTAAAAGTTGAAATTATAAAAGTTAAAAATAAAAACATAAACTTATAAAAATTATAGAAAAAACACAGAAGCATATAAAATAATTTTGGAAAGTTGCATGGGCATCTCACATGCCTGGATGAGAATATTCAGCATTGGTATTATTAAATCAAGCTAAATTTCTGTATATACGCAAGTTGTTTCCTATCAGAAAAAAAACGTTGATGAAGACAGACGAGAGGAAACTTGCACTTGCAGATATTCCATCTTGATTACGTACTAATCAAGAGAACGGTCAAGAACTGGTGGGGGAAGTAGAAAAGTGACTGATGGGCCGGGCGCGGTGGCTCACGCCTGTAATCCCAGCACTTTGGGAGGCCGAGGCGGGTCTGTCACGAGGCCAGGAAATCGAGACCATCCTGACTAACACAGTGAAACCCCGTCTCTACTAAAAATACAAAAAATTAGCCAGGCGTGGTGGCGGGTGCCTGTGGTCTCAGCTACTCGGGAGGCTGAGGCAGGAGAATGGCGGGAACCCGGGGGGCGGAGCTTGCAGTGAGCCGAGATCGCGCGGCTGCACTCCAGCCTGGGAGAGAGAGCGAGACTCCGTCTCAAAAAAAAAAAAAAAAAAAAGTCACTGATGAATCTACACAGATAGCAGTGCTGCATTATATCATTTATATAATGATATTGATACATCTAAATAGATAAGTGAATACATGTAGTAGTTATACCAGATAAATATTTGTTACTTATATGATGCAAACATTTGTTATATTCAATGATAGCATTTTACTTTGTGAGATTATGACACTTATTAAACAAAGTTTGTGAAGCTAGAAAAAAAAAACAAAAACAAACAAAAAAAGAAAAAAGAAAAAAAAATGTATTAGAAAGGCACTCTTACACCCCCACCCAGAGTAGTGGAATCAGAGACTTGGGGAAAAGCGGCTTGGGGGGCTAGCTATCTATGTGTTAATAAGCTCCCAGGTTTCTCTAAAGCTCATTAAAGTTTGAGAAACACTGGGTGATATATTAATAGTAAGAATATTTTTCAAAGTGAACACTGGAACAATTTGCTCAGGTATGGGGCTCCCCTTAAAAACTGGGTCATGTAGTTACAATGGCTAAAAAACCAAAAGCTTTCAACTGAGGTGATTTTGCCCTGGAGGGGACTTTTGGCAATGTCTGGAGACATTTTTGATTGTCATGACTGGGGGCGTAAATCATGCATTCAAAAAGAAGAGGCCAGAGATGCTGCCAAACATCCTACAATGTACAAGACAGCTCCCAAACACAAAAGAATTATCTGGACCAAAATGTCAAGAATACCAAATTTAAGAAACCCTGAAATAGAAGTAAAAGAGGTTGTGAGAGCAGAAAAGAAGAAATGGTTCATTTCTAAGGGAGTAAGGCAAAAACCTAAAAAGAAATCACAAGGAGGTGGTGATTTGGCTGAACATTAAAGGACTAGAAGATTTCTGACCAGGTTAGAGAAGGTGGTAGAAGGTGGGTGTAGGGAGAGTGGAAGAACGGGGAGTTGAGATTACCACCTGCTGTAAATAAAGCAAGGGAAGTAATGACAGATGTGATTCCAACTCTCTTAGCCAATCACACCTCCCCACTCTATCTCCTTCAAATATATCACTGGACCACTTTTTCCCCTCCTTCCATGGGGACAATGTCTTTCGTGAATTTCTTCGCATTTCTCTATGTCAATTTTTTCTTGCTTAATTAAAGATTCAGTCTATGCATCCATTTCTACACCATCATTGCCTTATAGTTCTGAGTCACTTTGGTATGTCTCAAAATACTTGCATATTTTATCTCATTTGAGGGCAAACAGTATGAGACAATCGTTTAGGAGTGTGAGACCTGGATTCAAAATCAGATTTAGCCTGGATATGAATCATGGCCCTATTGAACTCGAGGATATGGTTTGTGGTGAGGATAGAATAAATTGATACTTATAAAAGAACTAACACAGTGCCTGGAAAATAGGAAAATCTTCATACATGTGAACTGCTATTAATAAAATACTCATATTATTATATTTTGCACCAGTGCTATGAGGCAAATAACAGATGTTCCAATTATTGACCCATGAAGGCACTGAAGCTCTGAGAGTATCAACAGCTGATCCCAGATGACCAAACACATTTTTGTGAGACTAGAATCTGGGTCTCTTGCTGGTTTGAGGTTTTGACTTTTACTCCATGGAGCCAGGCACAAGCACATATTCATTATACAAATTTAAACAAAGATTTGAATCTTAGGCAGCTTAAAATCTACCCTTCAATTAAGGAATGGAATTTGTACAATCAAGCTAGGATGTATATATGTCACTACTTGGTAATGACAAAATGATAGCAGGGAATGGGGAAGTTTTATCCTGGGGGAAGTTGCTTAGATATGGTCATTTCATTAACACTGCTTGAGCTTCTGCTTGTGTCCAGAGGTGGGGAGGTATAGTAGATACAGAGGCATCCTCAAGGAATTTATAGACTAGTTCAACACAATATGTCATATTTAGACACAGGATAGATACTATGGAAACCCAGGAAATGATCATCAAACCTGCCTAAACATGTTGGTCTGGTCAGAATAGGTGTTCCAACTTAAGTTCCTGAACTTAAGAAAGAGCTAACTGCATGAAGAAGCAGTGTGTGGGCTGGGATCCCATTCAGACCTACTCATCTTCAGTCCTTCTCTGTGTACTTCTCAAAGATGTACAGATGCAAGATGTGGGCCTAAAACGCCCACAGTTTGGAAATGCTCCTTCAAGTCCATACTTGTCACAAATTTCATAAATTAAAAGGCAAGACTGGAAACTGCCCCTTCTCAGGGGTGACGATTGGCAGCAAGATGGCGTCTGCCAGTAGGGTCGTTCAGGTAGTCAAACCACACACTCCATTAATAAGGTTTCCTGACAGAAGAGACAATCCTAAACCCAATGTATCAGAAGCTTTGAGATCAGCAGGGCTACCATCTCACTCTTCTGTAATTTCACAACATTCTAAGGGATACATCACCAGATTTGCTAATGTATCAGGGTCCACCAGACACTGCAGAAATAATAAAAACATTACCTCAGAAATACAGAAGCAAACTTGTGTCTCAAGAAGAAATTGAATTTATCCAATGTGGAGGTCCTGAATAACCATGGTGGTTGCTGTTTGTCATCAAACAATAGAATTGTCTTTACAATAAAGGACTCCCAAAATGGCAGATGAGAAACTATACATTAAACGCCTTTAATAAATATTATGAAAAAAATGAAATATAGAAAATTTAGATGGACACTTGTATTTTCTAATTTATGTATCTTGGTCAACTTCTCCACAAGCTTACCTAATTGTTTATATACTTTATACTTATTAAAGTATACATTTCTAAATGTTAGCCTATTAATTTACTCTTGATTATCAAACATTACCAGTGTTGAACTATTAAAAGCACACAATGTATAGTAATCTATCATAGGATTCCCATAATTTCACTTTTCTTTCTGTTTAGACATGGAAAAATTTATCAGTCAGAATTGCTGTTTTAGGGATATGATTTTCCTGAAATTGGGTGAGGATCAGTGAAATAATGACTCTATTACTTGCTCTTAATTCTCTGTTCTCTAATGTTTTTTCATTCACAAGTTTACCGGAGTATAACTGGCTTAGTAAGTATATCCTACTCTGAATGATAAAAATACAGTCAAGCTAAAATAGGTGACTATACTATTAAGACAGAGGAGATCATACAAGAGATTCCAAAGAAAGTCAAAGAGTATAAAATGGAAAATAATTAAGAGACCAAAATGAATATAGCATAAGAATAAAGATTTCACTAGAAACTGCAAATTATTATGTTTTGGAGGTTGTAAGGAAGTCTCGTTCTTTGGTTTATTTTACTGTTTTGTGATCTTGCATGCAAATCCTGATAACTATTAACTTTCTCAAACTTCATGTCTGAAAGCCTTATAAAATCAACATAAATATTTACTTATAAAAAAAAAAGGCAAGACTGGTGACCCTAGTGTATAAATTCATTTGAATGTCTGTGTCTAAGTCAGTACAAGCAGCTTTCAATATATATTCTGATTTTGCATTCATTTGTGTAAAGGTTTGTAAAGTGAAAAATAATAAATTTTCACCTTAGTAAATCAGTATTCACAGTGAATACATTCTGTTCACAACTAAGTAACATATACGATCTGAGGTTTACAATCACATTAAATATTTGTTTTACATATAAGAGTAACAAAATGTCCACAGGACAAGGAAGGAGGGAAACTGGATTCTAGTCTGATGCCTCCAAAGAACTGGCTGACCTTGAGCCAGTCACTTCCTTTTCTGGGTCCCATTATTCCCTTTTATAAAAGAAGGAATTAATAACTTCTTAATATTCTCACATACATTTTACTATACAAGACAGTTCCAATTACATAGAATTAGACATAACATTTAAAGATCCCAGAAACATACAAAGAGTTAATTCTTGTTCTCTCTCTCTCTCTTCCTCTCTCTGTCCCCATTCCTTTTTTTTCAAATCAAATCCTCATCCAAGCACATACTCTTTTTTATAACGTATTAGAAAAAATATTGGGTATCTGAACATTATGACTACTTAGAATTTCTCTATATTAATTTTATAACATGTCTATTGTAAACTACTTATTTCTCAATCTAACTTTTTCTTTTTCAAAACAGAGGCTCACCAGAGGTATTAGAATAGAATAGCAAATGGAGGTTATCTTATTGTAACGCATATGCACATGCACACATCGACACTCATTTACATGCACACACACCACAGCTGGCTGCCAAACATGGACAAAAGGCAATAGGCACATTTTTCATGTGCGTAATTGTCACCATAATAGCGATTGTATTTAAAAGACAATGTAAAATGTCATGTCTGAGTGGTGACTCAGCTCCTGTCGATCTAGATTTATTTTTATAGAAAGAGCAAATGGAAATCAAGATGAAATGTTTGAGCAAAACTTATTGCTGTCTAGAAATCACTCAAACAATGGTTTAATCTTATCGTCTATTTCAACTACTCTCAAATTATTTTATGTCTCCATTCTCAGCTTGTCTAGTAGACCGAATGCCGAAGCAGAGTCTCCAGAAAGGAGGGATAACTAATTTCTGACTTCTAAATATTGAACGCTGACAAATTTTCAAACTATATCCCATATCTTCTTATACTTTCACCTTTATATCTTCCCAGAAGTAGGGCCTTTGAAGAGAATGACAGTCAGAAAAGGGATTAAGTGGCACATTTTTTTCAGACGACTGATGCTCCTGTGAGTGAGAGACTATATAGTGCAATATAAATCAGCTGTTGGTTTGAGTGACGGGAAGGAGCTGGTCTTGTTTATATATCTTAGATATCAATAAAGTGGTCAAAAGGAGGCAATCGAAGTCAGTATTAGAGTAATAATATACTTGCACAGTCTCGTCTCCAGCCTCATGCTATGTGCTTGCCTTTTCACAAAAACAAATAGGAAAACAAACCACAAATAAAAGCTCTGAAATTAAAGTCTCCCACATTTCTTCCCTTCTCAGCCATCAATCCTTTCCCCAGCCCTCACATTAGGAGCCCTGGGAAGACATCCAGGGACCTAACAAAGGAACCAGGAGGAGTTTTACATTTAAGGCAGACAACTATAAAATCACTGAAAAGGTTGAAACAGAACCATTCAAGAGAGGGCCAGACTCAACCACAGAGAAATCCTCATTTTAGTTTTCACAGAAACTTGCATTGAGGTAAGAAAGAATGAAAGACACAGAGAGAGAAAAGGTATGCATATTTCTTTGATACCCTAAACTTACTCCCCGAGGCTAGATAACGAGGGTAGAAATTGTGGCTGAGAACTATGACCCATTAAACTGTATAGCAATAAAAACTGGAAAACTGCCCAGAACAATGTGTCCTAATCTTTGGGTTTACCAGTAACACTTTCTTTGTTTTGCCTTTTTAATGTATTGTCTACATAATCACTTTTTTTTAAATTGAGCTCATCTTTCTTACTGAATTGATTTAAATAAATATATTTAAAGAAAGACACTGCATACTTACGGGGGAGGAGCCAAGATGGCCGAATACGGGTGATTTCTGCATTTCCATCTGAGGTACCGGGTTCATCTCACTAGGGAGCGCCAGACAGTGGGCGCAGGTCAGTGGGTGCGCGCACCGTGCACGAGCGGAAGCAGGGCGAGGCATTCCCTCACTCGGGAAGCGCAAGGGGTCAGGGAGTTCCCTTTCCGAGTCAAAGAAAGGGGTGACGGATGCACGTGGAAAATCGGGTCACTCCCACCCGAATACTGCGCTTTTCCAACGGGCTTAAAAAACGGCACACCAGGAGACTATCTCCCGCACCTGGCTCGGAGGGTCCTACCCCACGGAGTCTCGCTGATTGCTAGCACAGCAGTCTGAGATCAAACTGCAAGGCGGCAGCGAGGCTGGGGGAGGGGCGCCCGCCATTGCCCAGGCTTGATTAGGTAAACAAAGCAGCCTGGAAGCTCCAACTGGGTGGAGCCCACCACAGTTCAAGGAGGCCTGCCTGCCTCTGTAGGCTCCACCTCTGGGAGCAGGGCACAGACAAACAAAAAGACAGCAGTAACCTCTGCAGACTTAAATGTCCCTGTCTGACAGCTTTGAAGAGAGCAGTGGTTCTCCCAGCACGCAGCTGGAGATCTGAGAACGGGCAGACTGCCTCCTCAAGTGGGTCCCTGACCCCTGACCCCCGAGCAGCCTAACTGGGAGGCACCTGCCAACAGGGGCACACTGACACCTCACACGGCAGGGTACTCCAACAGACCTGCAGCTGAGGGTCCTGTCTGTTAGAAGGAAAACTAACAAACAGAAAGGACATCCACACCAAAAACCCATCTGTACATCACCATCATCAAAGACCAAAAGTAGATAAAACCACAAAGATGGGGAAAAAACAGAACAGAAAAACTGGAAACTCTAAAAAGCAGAGTGCCTCTCCTCCTCCAAAGGAACGCAGTTCCTCACCAGCAACGGAACAAAGCTGGATGGAGAATGACTTTGACGAGGTGAGAGAAGAAGGCTTCAGATGATCAAATTACTCCGAGCTACGGGAGGACATTCAAACCAAAGGCAAAGAAGTTGAAAACTTTGAAAAAAATTTAGAAGAATGTATAACTAGAATAACCAATACAGAGAAGTGCTTAAAGGAGCTGATGGAGCTGAAAACCAAGGCTCGAGAACTACATGAAGAATGCAGAAGCCTCAGGAGCCAATGTGATCAACTGGAAGAAAGGGTATCAGTGATGGAAGATGAAATGAATGAAATGAAGTGAGAAGGGAAGTTTAGAGAAAAAAGAATAAAAAGAAATAAGCAAAGCCTCCAAGAAATATGGGACTATGTGAAAAGACCAAATCTACGTCTGATTGGTGTACCTGGAAGTGAAGGGGAGAATGGAACCAAGTTGGAAAACACTCTGCAGGATATCATCCAGGAGAACTTCCCCAATATAGCAAGGCAGGCCAACATTCAGATTCAGGAAATACAGAGAATGCCACAAAGATACTCCTCGAGAAGAGCAACTCCAAGACACATAATTGTCAGATTCACCAAAGTTGAAATGAAGGAAAAAATGTTAAGGGCAGCCAGAGAGAAAGGTCAGGTTACCCTCAAAGGGAAGCTCATCAGACTAACAGCGGATCTCTCGGCAGAAATTCTACAAGCCAGAAGAGAGTGGGGGCCAATATTCAACATTGTTAAAGAAAAGAATTTTCAACCCAGAATTTCATATTCAGCCAAAGTAAGCTTCATAAGTGAAGGAGAAATAAAGTACTTTACAGACAAGCAAATGCTGAGAGATTTTGTTACCACCAGGCCTGCCCTAAAAGAGCTCCTGAAGGAAGTGCTAAACATGGAAAGGCACAACCGGTACCAGCTGCTGCAAAATCATGCCAAAATGTAAAGACCATCGAGACTAGGAAGAAACTGCATCAACTAATGAGCAAAATAACCAGCTAACATCATAATGACAGGAACAAATTCACACATAACAATATTAACTTTAAATGTAAATGGACTAAATGCTCCAATTAAAAGACACAGACTGGCAAATTGGATAAAGAGTCAAGACCCATCAGTGTGCTGTATTCAGGAAACCCATCTCACGTGCAGAGACACACATAGGCTCAAAATAAAAGGATGGAGGAAGATCTACCAAGCCAATGGAAAACAAAAAAAGGCAGGGGTTGCAATCCTAGTCTCTGATAAAACAGACTTTAAACCAAGAAAGGTCAAAAGAGACAAAGAAGGCCATTGCATAATGGTAAAGGGATCCATTCAACAAGAAGAGCTAACTATCCTAAATATATATGCACCCAATACAGGAGCACCCAGATTCATAAAGCAAGTCCTGAGTGACCTACAAAGAGACTTAGACTCCCACACATTAATAATGGGAGACTTTAACACCCCACTGTTAACATTAGACAGATCAACGAGACAGAAAGTCAACACGGATACCCAGGAATTGAACTCAACTATGCACCAAGTGGACCTAATAGACATCTACAGAACTCTCCACCACAAATCAACAGAATATACATTTTTTTTCAGCACCACACCACACCGATTCCAAAATTGGCCACATAGTTGGAAGTAAAGCTCTCCTCAGCAAATGTAAAAGAACAGAAATTATAACAAACTATCTCTTAGACCACAGTGCAATCAAACTAGAACTCAGGATCAAGTATCTCACTCAAAACTGCTCAACTACATGGAAACTGAACAACCTGCTCCTGAATGACTACTGGGTACATAACGAAATGAAGGCAGAAATAAAGATGTTCTTTGAAACCAATAAGAACAAAGACACAGCATACCAGAATCTCTGGGACTCATTCAAAGCAGTGTGTAGAGGGAAATTTATAGCACTAAATGCCCACAAGAGAAAGCAGGAAAGATCCAAAATTGACACCCTAACATCACAACTAAAAGAACTAGAAAAGCAAGAGCAAACACATTCAAAAGCTAGCAGAAGGCAAGAAATAACTAAAATCAGAGCAGAACTGAAGGAAATAGAGACACAAAAAACCCTTCAAAAAATCAATGAATCCAGGAGCTGGTTTTTTGAAAGGATCAACAAAATTGATAGACTGCTAGCAAGACTAATAAAGAAGAAAAGAGAGAAGAATCAAATAGATGCAATAAAAATGACAAAGGGGATATCACCACAAATCCCACAGAAATACAAACTACCATCAGAGAATACTACAAACACCTCTACACAAATAAACTAGAAAATCTAGAAGAAATGGATAAATTCCTCGACACATACACTCTCCCAAGACTAAACCAGGAAGAAGTTGAATCTCTGAATAGACCAATAACAGGATCTGAAATTGTGGCAGTAATCAATAGCTTACCAACCAAAAAGAGTCCAGGACCAGAAGGATTCACAGCCGAATTCTACCAGAGGTACAAGGAGGAACTGGTACCATTCCTTCTGAAACTATTCCAATCAATAGAAAAAGAGGGAATCCTCCCTAACTCATTTTATGAGGCCAGCATCATCCTGATACCAAAGCCGGGCAGAGACACAACCAAAACAGAGAATTTTAGACCAATATCCTTGATGAACATTGATGCAAAAATCCTCTATTAAATACTGGCAAACTGAATCCAGCAGCACATCAAAAAGCTTATCCACCATGATCAAGTGGGCTTCATCCCTGGGATGCAAGGCTGGTTCAATGTACACAAATCAATAAATGTAATCCAGCATATAAACAGAACCAAAGACAAAAACCACATGATTATCTCAATAGATGCAGAAAAGGCTTTTGACAAAATTCAACAACCCTTCATGCTAAAAAACTCTCAATAAATTAGGTATTGATGGAAAGTATCTCAAAATAATAAGAGCTATCTATGACAAACCCACAGCCAATATCATACTGAATGGGCAAAAACTGGAAGCATTCCCTTTGAAAACTGGCACAAGACAGGGATGCCCTCTCTCACCACTCCTATTCAACATAGTGTTGGAAGTTCTGGCCAGGTCAATCAGGCAGGAGAAAGAAATAAAGGGTATTCGATTAGGAAAAGAGGAAGTCAAATTGTCCCTGTTTGCAGATGACATGACCATATATCTAGAAAACCCCATTGTCTCAGCCCAAAATCTCCTTAAGCTGATAAGCAACTTCAGCAAAGTCTCAGGATACAAAATCAATGTACAAAAATCACAAGCATTCTTATACACCAACAACAGACAAACAGAGAGCCAAATCATGAATGAACCCATTCACAATTGCTTCAAAGAGAATAAAATACCTAGGAATCCAACTTACAAGGGATGTGAAGGACCTCTTCAAGGAGAACTACAAACCACTGCTCAAAGAAATAAAAGAGGATACAAACAAATGGAAGAACATTCCATGCTCATGGGTAGAAAGAATCGATATCATGAAAATGGCCATACTGCCCAAGGTAATTTACAGATTCAATGCCATCCCCATCAAGCTACCAATCACTTTCTTCACAGAATTGGAACATAGTACTTTAAAGTTCATATGGAACCAAAAAAGAGCCCGCATCACCAAGTCAATCCTAAGCCAAAAAAACAAAGCTGGAGGCATCACACTATCTGACTTCAAACTATACTACAAGGCTACAGTAACCAAAACAGCATGGTACTGGTACCAAAACAGAGATATAGATCAATGGAACAGAACAGAGCCCTCAGAAATAACGCCGCATATCTACATCTATCTGATCTTTGACAAACCTGAGAAAAACAAGCAATGGGGAAAGGATTCCCTATTTAATAAATGGTGCTGGGAAAACTGGCTAGCCATATATAGAAAGCTGAAACTGGATCCCTTCCTTACACCTTATACAAAAATTAATTCAAGATGGATTAAAGACTTAAACGTTAGACCTAAAACCATAAAAACCCTAGAAGAAAACCTAGGCATTACCATTCAGGACATAGGCGTGGGCAAGGACTTCATGTCTAAAACACCAAAAGCAATGGCAACAAAAGCCAAAATTGACAAATGGGATCTAATTAAATTAAAGAGCTTCTGCACAGCAAAAGAAACTACCATCAGAGTGAACAGGCAACCTACAAAATGGGAGAAAATTTTCGCAACCTACTCATCTGAGAAAGGGCTAGTATCGAGAATCTACAATGAACTCCAACAAATTTACAAGAAAAAAACAACCCCATCAAAAAGTGGGTGAAGGACATGAACAGACACTTCTCAAAAGAAGACATTTATGCAGCCAATAAACACATGAAAAAATGCTCACCATCACTGGCCATCAGAGAAATGCAAATCAAAACCACAATGAGATACCATCTCACACCAGTTAGAATGGCAATCATTAAAAAGTCAGGAAACAACAGGTGCTGGAGAGGATGTGGAGAAATAGGAACACTTTTACACTGTTGGTGGGACTGTAAACTAGTTCAACCATTGTGGAAGTCAGTGTGGCGATTCCTCAGGGATCTAGAACTGGAAATACCATTTGACCCAGCCATCCCATTACTGGGTATATACCCAAGGGACTATAAATCATGCTGCTATAAAGACACATGCACACGTATGTTTATTGTGGCATTATTCACAATAGGAAAGACTTGGAACCAACCGAAATGTCCAACAATGATAGACTGGATTAAGAAAATGTGGCACATATAAACCATGGAATACTATGCAGCCATGAGAAATGATGAGTTCACCTCCTTTGTAGGGACATGGATGAAATTGGAAATCACCATTCTCCATAAACTATCGCAAGAACAAAAAACCAAACACCACATATGCTCACTCATAGGTGAGAATTGAACAATGAGAACACATGGACACAGGAAGGGGAGACATCACACTCTGGGGACTGTTGTGGGGTGGGGGGAGGGGGGAGGGATAGCATTGGGAGATATACCTAATGCTAGATGACGAGTTAGTGGGTGCAGCACACCAGCATGGCACATGTATACATATGTAACTAACCTGCACATTGTGCACATGTACCCTAAAACTTGAAGTATAATAATAAAAAAAAAAGATATACTTAAAAAAAAAGAAAGACACGGTATCATTACTATAAAAGCAAAACCTATACAGCTGGCATAAATTAAAGATAACTTCCAAAGTGATGTCATTGAAAGGAAAATGGTACTAGGAGAGGCTACCTCACACAAAAGGCTGGAAACTGCAGGTTTGTTATTAAAAAAGAGGTGAGCATGTATTACAGAAGTGCTGAAGACCTGAATGGTAGGACCAGACCGACACTATCCCCTCCCAACAATGATGTGCTGTTCCACGTTTAACAGCTATGTGAGACAAAGAGTCTGACTTGCAGAAATTTCTGATTTCTGTCTGTAGATCTTTCCACCATGGATAATTTCAGGCTATCGAGGTAACATCACTGGATATGGTTGGGAGGAGATGCAAACAGCCTCCTCTTGTAAGCATCTAAGGGGCAACCCAGCACACAACTGCTTTTTTTTTTTTTGACTTTTATTTTAAGTTCAGGGATACACGTGCAAGTTTGTTACACAGGCAAACTTGTGTCATAGGGTTTCTTGTACAGATTATTTCATGACCCAGGTATTAAGCCTAGTACCCATTTGTTATTTTTCCTGATCCTCTCCCTTGTCTTTTAAGTAATTAGAAGTACTGAAAGAATTGAAACAAGAAAACTTTTCTTATTATGTGTTTCTAGGTAATTAATTCCACCTTAGTGTTATACTCAAAACCATATTCATTTATCAGCAGTGCTACATGTCCCCCCTTTTGGAAAACGTAAGTCTTAGGCAACCTCCTAGGATATCTTTTTTTTTCTTTTCTTTTTTTTTTTTTTACACGGAAGCACTTTAGTAGATAAAATCATGTTATGAGGATGGTAATATTTTTCTATTTTGAAGCATGATTTCTCTGGTACAGTTGTATGTACATGATGCCTGCCTCACCTTCTATGAGATACCAAATTGGATCTATCTGTAGAGAGTACATAAAGAATAACACAGGAATACTGTAAGAATAAGCATCCATTTCATCTTTGTGAAATACAAAGTGAACACAAATTAGAAGAGAAAATAATGCTAATATCCTTAATCTAAACTCTTTTTCTATGGGAAGGAAAAAGGGGGTTGTTCTCCGAATTGTTTAGAAATTTTTAACATGGCAGCATGAAACGAAGTTTTCAGAAGAATAACGTGTATCAAAATCCCTGCATATATTTTGCATCCTCTTTAGATTTCCTTGTACCCTTCCGGCTACTCTTCCTATTGTTTACAGACAGAAAGTAAATTTTAAGAGAGTTTTGTTTATTTTTCGATGAATCCTGATGGCATTTTTAGGCAGCAGAGATACTGGCACCAAATGACACAGCTGAGAATAATGAAGCTCTTACAGTAAATCAAAAGGCTCATGATTTCATCTCAACAATGCAGATTCAGCAACTGAAACCTTGAAAGCATCTATATGGAATACAAATGCGTAAAAGCAGAGATGGAAAATGTGGTGAATCTCTTTAGAATGCCACAGCAAATCAAATAAGAAAAAGAAAATTACGGGATTTTTAAGAATGTGCTGTTCTTTTCACGGATAAAGATTCAGTGGCATCCAGAAATGAGATGTGAACATTCAGAATATGTGGTGTGCAACTTTGTCCTGTCACTTCTATTCTATGAATTTATGTAGAGATTAAATTATTATAGCCTGCTTCAACTCCCAACCAGTTCCTCGGGAATAGAGGAGAAATTCAAGGGTGATTTAAGGGAGCATTTACATCGACGGAGAGAAGGCATAATTCGTCAGTGGAGACTCATGCTTCCTTATTCTTCAGACTGCTCAACTGAGCTGATATTTTAGCAAGTTGAAAGGCTTAGCTGTTTAAGGAGAAGTTCTGGATATAAAAAACTGGGGAAAGGGGCTGTGAGTAATGGCACTGCGCTGTTGCATGCTCATCTTCTTTTCTCCCTGCTATCCCTGTTCTCTCCTTTGGGGATAACGGCAAAAATCGCCTGTAAAGCTGGACTCCATGTGACCCATGGCTTCCCCCATCTTTCCACAAAATACAACGAATTATCCACTTTGACTTGATAATATTTCCCCACTAGATATTCCTTAAATTGCTTGCTTCCACTCTGTTCTCTAGCATTGTTCTTCTAGTTCAGACTTCATCATTTCTAGCTAAACTGATCCATCACTTTGTGACTGCAGTCTTCTCGACTGCAAACATCCAGAGTGACAGCTCAGCCAGCCAAGTCTGAGCACATCCTTCCCCTGCAGAGAATGAGAATATCCCCAAGTCATGATGACCGTCAAGTGCCTAAGGAGGGCATTCACAGCCACTGTGCTCTAGTCCCTGCCTGCTTCTCCACATTCATCTCTCGCCATTCTCTAGCCTGAACTGCACCCTGTGCAAGGCTGTTTCTTCTGCTTCTGTGTCCTTCCTGTCACTCTCTTGTTTGTAAGGCTCTACCTCCCTTCTCCCACTCTACCATACTTGATAATAAAAACAATAGCATGTCTTCCATCGATGACAGACTGGATAAAGAAAATGTGGCACATGTACACCATGGAATAGTATGCAGTGATATAAAGGAATGGAATCATGTCCTTTGCATGGACATGGATGGAGCTGGAAGCCATTATCCTCAGCAAACTAACACAGGAACAGAAAACCAAACACTGCATCTTCTCACTTATAAGTGGGAGTTGATCAATGAGAACACATAGACAATTGAGGGGAGCAACACACATTGGGGCCTGTCAGGGCGTGGGTGTCAGGAGGGAGAGCATTAGGAAAACTAGCTAATGCACGCTGGGCTTTATACCTAGTTGATGGGTTGACAGGTGCAGCAAACCACCATGGCACACGTTTACCCATGTAACAAACCTGCTCATCCTGCACATGTACCCTGGAACTTAACAAACAAACAAACAAACAAAAACCCAATAGCAGCTTGTTTTTATAAGCTGCTTACTAAACTCCAGGTACTGTTCTAATCATTTCATGTAATCCCCAATCCATCTTGACAGGCATGGACCATTATTATCACCATTTTAAACAGAGAAGTAAAGTAACTTGCCCATGGACATGGAGTTAGTAAGTTTTAGATTCTTGGACTCTAAACTAGCACTCCATCACCATGCCATACTCACTGTGTTTGCCCTACTTAAATTCAACCATCTCTTCAGACACAGAGTCACTGTCTCCAGCACCCTCTCCCCGCTCTCCTGACTGAGTTGGGTTATGTGTTCTTCCTTTGCTCATGTGAGTCTTTCTATAAATTTATTTGCCATATCGAATTGTAATGAACCATTCATATATCTCTCCACCCTGCTGGATTGTCAGCAGCCATGGCTGATTTGGTTTTATATCCCAATATCTGTTATCCAATAAATGTAAGTTGAATGTGAATGTAAATAAATATCTTACATTATAGCAAAATATCAGAGGCTTATAAGGCACTACAGAACATAATATTTATATGTAATTCTCACTATCTTTTATACAAATATCCCCATCATCACATAAACCCAGAGAGCTTAGGTCAATATTTGTTGAGTGAATGAAAATGTCCACGATGAAATGTTAAGGGAAACTACAATCTTTGTAGTAAATATTCAGACTGTTCTAAAAAGAGAGTATCAAATTAAATCAAAATAGACCAATGCTTCTGGGTTAGATACATCATGGATACAAATTAAATATCTGCAAGGTTTATTAACTGACCTATGCAAATGGACAGAGTTAAACAGTTGTGCTTCAAATATAAATAGGTACGTCAACGGGAAATGAGATTTGATGACTGCAGTTTAGGAAAAAAATTCATCTTGATCCAATATCTTAGCATAAACAGAGCAGCAAGTTAATGATAGAAGAACTGATTACTTTCAGATTTAATCTAAGTATTGTGGAAGCTTGTATGCAGTCAAACAATTCAATATATGTATCAGCCTCTAAAAAATTAAACTGTTCTAATATACAAAATAATGAAAAGGACAGTTTTGAGCCAATATTTCACACTAATTTTAAGTCAGTACAAACTGCATTTAGGAAGTACTTAGTACAATCATTTCACTTCCATTATTATTTTGTCTTCTTTTTTAAATGGATAATATGTGTACATGACATGCCATCAAAAATTATGAATGCACACATAGGGAAAGTAAGACTTTCCACTTGTTTGTTTTCCTGTTTCCTTCCCTATAGGCTAGCACTATTACCCATTTTGTGTGAATTTTTCCAGATATAGTCCTAACCAATACCAATGCACGAATAGTTACATAATCAAGCTGTATTATAATATTGAATTCAGTTTTCTATTATTGAACATTTGAAGTGTTTTAAGTATTGCAAACAATTTTTCAGTGATTGTTCTTGTATATATGTCTTTGTTTATACCTATTAAATACTAGAGTACCTGAAGAAAAAAATACCTAGGAGTAAATTTGCTAAATTAAAACATACCTACATTTTAAATTGTGGTGTGTGTTATCAAATTTGTAGTCAAGCTGACCTTTGCAAAAGTTTTGCAATTTAAACTGTCACAACAATAAAGGAGAGTTTTTTTCCTCTATATCTTCATTGATAAATGAAAAGTGATGTCTCAATGTAGTTTATATGTGTGTGTGTGTGAGTGTGTCTGTGTATCTATATATAAGTAGAGCTTAGCACCTTTTCAAATATTTAAAAGACAAATTTTAGTTTCTTATTTGTCTGTAAGCTTTGTTTACGCCTATTTTTTCCTGTTGGTTTGTTTTCTGATACATAAAAAGTTCTTTATACAGTAAAAATGAATAGCAGTCACACTTAAAGTACTTGTTGGAAGTATCTTTTTCTAGTTTGTTGTGTTGGCTTTTGACATTGTTTTTTTTCTATTCAAAATGCTTATGAAGTTATAAATTCTTAGCATGGTTTCTATGATTTGACCAATACTAAGAAAGGTCTGTATCTTCAAAAAAAGGCTTCCATGCTTTCCCCAGGAACATTCGTGTTTTCATTATTTCCATTTATATCTTTTCATGTTTTATCCAGTTTTCTCCATCAGATTTATCAAATAACCTATCCTTTCTTCCTTGATATGAGTTCCATTTTTGATATATAATGAATTCCCTGTGTAATTTGGGTCTATTTCTGGACTCTCTTGTGTTCCAACACTGTATTTGCCATTTAATTAGTTTGATAATATCTATAGTATGATTTGGAGAGTATATTCTCACCTCTTTCTACTCCTCTTTTGGAGATACTGGCCATAACTAGTTTTCCATATAATCTTTAGAATCTAAATCCCTTATTCCAGAGAGAAAATTATCCTTTCAACTGTTTTATCGGAATTGAATTAAATTCATAGAATAATTTAGGATGAGTTGAAATCTTCATTGTATAGAGTCTACCTATCCCAGATCAGTATGATTTTCCTTCTATTCAAGCACTTTTTAGGTGTCTTAACAACCTTCTACACTTTCTTCAATAAATATGTCTTCCAATATTTTTAGTTTATTCATAGGTATTCTATGTTTCTATTTGTATTTAAAATGGAGTCTCTTCTGTCGCTTGAAAATTTAGTTTTTTGTCTATAGCAAGGCCGTTAATTTTTGTTGTTGATTAATTTTGTTCCCAATCATGTCACTGTATTCTCTTGTTATAAGACGTCAAGATGATTTTCTTGAGTTTTTCAAGTATGTCATATCTTTTTCAAATAATGATAGCATTATTTCCCTCTTTCCCATTTTTATGCCACACTTATATTTGTGATAATGAACGTCCTTGTTTTCTTCCTAACTTCAATGAAAAGTTATAATATTGTATTTCTATTCATTCTGTCATCTTTTATGCTGTTTTCTGTTTTATTGCTCTATTTTTTCTGTGTTGTGTATATTTCTTTGCTTTTTTGTGTGTGGGTTGGGTATCTTACTACCATTCTGGAAACTTTTGTTTCTGTTTTGGGTCATTTTCGTATTTGATTCTATATCTATAACATGATTTAGTGTACTTATCTCCTATTTTGTAGACACTAGAACAATGATGTATTGATACATCTCCAATTCATTCATTTTCTCCAATATGGCTTAGTAGATACTACTATTAGTTCTACTTGTACTTGTTTCACACCTTAAAATATATCCAAACCTCAGTTGTTTGAACTATCAGCTATAAGTGAGGCTTTTAGACTTCTGATTATAAAACATGAAATAATCAATATTCTTACACAACTGCCTAATTTCTTGCCAACTTTTATTAGTTACATTGTTTCTCCGTTGTCATTCCATTCACATTGTACTAATGAAGCTGTGATTCCAAGAGTTCTTTTTTCCTTACTTTTAAAGTCAAATGGAGTTTAGGTTCACCTTTGTCCTTGTGCTACAGTGTTTCTATTCAACAGGTGTTCAACTGAGATTTATTTTTTTAAACAATTTCTTCAAGTTGGCTTTAGAGGAAATATATTCTCCTAGTGCTTGCATGATCAAAAATGCCTGCTGTTGCCTTTCTATTTCAGCAATTTGTCTAGGTGTGTATAACATTTTTGCTCACACTTTATTTCCTGGAGGACTGTGCATTTATCTCTCCACTGATTTCTGATGATGTATATTGTTGTGAATGCTAAGGCCAGCCTGATATATTTCTCGTACAAGTTTTTGATCTTTCTGTCTGGATGTTCAAAGAATTATATTTTTAAAAATCATAACTTTACTGGGTTGTATTTCAGTAATTTTTAAACTGTGTTTTTATTGACAGATAATAATTGTACATATGCATGAGGTACAGTGGGATGTATATATTATGGAAAAATCAAATCAAGGTATTTACCACACCCATCACCTCATACCTTGTCATTTTTTTGTGATGAGAGCATTCAAAATCGTCTCTTCTACCTATTTTGAAATATAGAGATACAGAATACTATATATATACACACACATATATATATATATATATTTTTTTTTTTGAGACAAAGTCTCACTCTGTTGCCCAGCCGGAGTGCAGTGGTGCAATTTCAGCTACTGCAACTTCCGCCTTCCAGGTTCAAGCAAGTCTCCTGCCTCAGCCTCCCAAGTAGCTGGGATTACAGGCGCCTGCCACCAGGCCCGGCTAATTTTTTGTATTTTTAGTAGAGGCGGGGTTTCGCCATGTTTGCCAGGCTGGTCTCAAACTCCTGACCTCAGGTAATCCACCCACCTCAGCCTCCCAAAGTGCTGGGATTACAGGTATGAGCCACCACACCCGGCCACAATATTGTTAATCATAGTCATCCTACTGTGCAATAGAACACCAGAACATATTCTATCTATCTACCCATAAATTTGTACCCGTTGACCAATCTCTCCCTATTCCCCCTTCTCTCTCCCTTCCCCAGCCCTTGGTGACTATTATTCTAGTCTTTACTACTATGAGACTTACGTCTTTAGATTCTGCACATAGGTGAGATCATGCGGTATTTGTCTTTCTGTATCTGGCTTATTTCACTTAGCATAACATTGTCCGGTTTCATTCATGTTACTGCAAATGACAGAACTTCATTATTTTTATTGACCAAATATTATAGTAGCCCATTGTGTATATATACCACATTTACTTTATTCATTCACCCTTTAATGAACACTTAGATTGCTACCATATATTGGCCATTGTGAATACTGCTGCAATAAACATGGGAAAACAAATATGTCTTTGAGATGCTGATTCTATTCTCTTTGGCTATATACCTAGTAACAGGATTACTGGATCACATGATAGTTCTATTTTGAATTTTTTTGAGGACTCTCCTTATTATTTTCCTTAGTGGCTGTACTAATTTACATTCCCACTAACAGCATGTAAGAGTTTCACTTTCTCCACATCTGCACCAGCATTTGTTATTGTTTGTCTTTTTGGTGATAGCCATTCTAACAAGTGTGAGGTGGTATCTCATTGTGGTTTTGATTTTGCTAATGATTTGTGATATTGAACATTTTTTCATATACTTATTGGCCATTCGTATGTCTTCTTTTGAGAAATGTCTATTCAGGTTTGTTTTTTTGTTTTTTTGTTTTTTTTTTTTCCCACAGTCTTGCTCTGTCACCCAGGCTGGAGTTCAGTGGCACAATCTGGGCTCACTGCAACCTCCACCTCCTGGGTTTAAACGATTCTCCTGCCTCAGCCTTCCAAGTAGCTGGGATTACAAGCATGCACCACCATGCTCAGCTAATTTGTATTTTTAGAAGATACTAGGTTTCACCATGTTGGCCAGGCTGGTCCCAAACTCCTGACCTCAAGTGATCTCGGCTTCTTAAAGTACTGGGATTGCAGGCGTGAGCCACTGAGCCAGGCTATTCAAGTCTTTTGCCCATTTTTAAATATAATTATTTTTGTTTTGCTATTGGGTTGTTTCAGTTCCCTATCCATTCTGGTTATTAACTTCTTGATGCATAGTTTGCAAATATTTTCTTCCATTTTGTGGTTGTCTTTTCACTCTGTTGTCTGTTTGCTTTGCTGTGCAGAAGTTGTTTGATGTAATCTCATCTGCCTATTTTTGCTTTTGTTGCTTATACTTTCAAGGTCTTTTCCAAATTGCCCAGGCCAATATGAAGCATTTACCCTAGGTTTACTTCAAGTAGTTTCATTGTTTTGAACCTTACATTTCTGTCCGGAATCCATTTAGAGCTGAGTTTTGTGTGAGTTTGTTGAGAGATAGGAATCTAGCTTTGTTCTTCTACATGAAGATATCCACTTTTCAAGGCACTGTTTATTGAAGAGACTGTACTTTCTACTGTGTATTCTTGGCAACTTTGTCAAAAATCAGTTGGCTTCTAGATTTGTTTCTGTGCTCTCTATTCTGTTCCTTTGGTCTATTTGTCTATCTTTTAAGCCAGTACCATGCTGTTTTCTTTACTATAGCTTTAGTGTATATTTTGAATTCAGGTAATGTGATGCTTCTAGCTTTGTTGTTTTTGTTCAAGGTTTCTTTGGCTATTTGGGATCTTTTATAACTCCATGTCAATTTTAGGATTTGTTTTACTATATCTGTGAAGAATGTCATTGGTATTTTGATAAGGATTGCATTGAATCTGTAGATAGCTTTTGGTAGTATGGACATTTAAACAATGTTATTTTATCCCATGAGCATAGACTATCTTTCCATTTACTTGTGTCTTCTTTAGTTTCTTTTATCAATGTTTTACAGACATCAGTGTAGACTTCTTTCACCTCCATGGTTAAATTTTCAGGATCTATCCATTTTTTTCCTCTAACCCTACTTAATTCATTATTAGTTTCTAGTGTATGTGTTAATTTTATTCAATCTGTCCTGTTCTCCATATTTTTATTTTGTTTTAAACAGTCCCTGAAGTTACTTGTTTTTGCTTTTTTCTAATATAGTCTTCACTTATACTATGGTTTTATTTTTGTCTTTCACTGCTTTACTGGGCTCTGTCTGCCAATTTAATTTTCATCTGTTTCCATTGAAACATATTTCTAATGTCTTACCTGGCCCATATCTCTGTGAACTCTTATTTCTTTAAATTTAGGAACTCTTTTTAAAAAAATTTAAGATTGTTTTTTAAAATTACTTAAATCCATGAAAATGCATTTGGACACGAGATTCTCTGGCCCTGGTAATATTTTTCTGATGTGTAGTCTCTGACTTTTGTTTTTCTGGTTCTAGTCCTCCTCTTTTCTTATAATATATTTACACAGATGCAGTCATGTATCACTTAATGATGGGGATACATTTTGAGAAATGCATTGTTAGGTGATTTTTGTCATTGTGCAAACATCATAGAGTGTGCTTATACAGACCTAGATGGTATAGCTTGTTATACACCTAGGCTGTATGGGATAGGCTATTGTTCACAGGTTGCAAACTTGTATAGCATGCTACTGTAAAAATACTGTAGTTAATTGTAACACAATGGTAAGGATTTGTGTATCTAAGCACATATAAATATAGAAAAAGTACGATAAAAATACAATATGATACAGTATTATGTTATGGGACCACTGTTGTATATGTGGCCCAGAGTTGACAAAAACATGATTATGCTGTGCATGCCTATATTGTGCATCCTTTTCAAATATTGTTCACTTTGAATTAGGTGAGCCCTTTCTGGACCAGCTATTTTCTGGGCTTTATGATGGAGAGAGGACAGAGCTGCAAAATGTCTCTCTGCTTCAGAGCAGAGTTCTTCACGACACAGGGGGGTGTATGTGTGTGGGAGGGATTGATTTAGCCTTCTGTTTATCCCTAACTTTTAGAGACTTATGGCTGCAGATCATCTAACAACTCTGAATCTTTCTTCTAGACCTTGACTCACAGATGACTTACTCCTGGCAAAAATGTCATGTGTCACCTAATTCAATTCCCTGCACCCCTCCAGTCCCTAGAGTTCTGTGGTACCAAACCAGGAAGCTCTGTACTAGCTGTGTGTACTGATCTTTTGTAACAGAAAAGGTGTGGCCCCTTGGCATGCTCCTGAGCTTTGGAGTTTGGTCCTCGCCAGGTTCTGCTGCCCTTGGCTGCTGCAGTGTTTCTCTTTGGTACCTTCCTGCACACCAGGCAGATCCTTTCTTCACGTAGCACCCCTTCTTCACCATTTGTGATTTTTGTGATTGAGGATTGTATCTGTTAGTTTGTTTTTTAGTCTCTGTTTGTTTTCTGATCAGTTGTAGATAGATAAGGATGGTGGTATCTGTAGTCTGCCATTGCATACGTGATGGTATTTATGCTTCTATCCAATATCCAGCACATTTAGTGCAAGCCTACTCTAAGCCTTCTACTGCTTTAGCTGCTGGTAGTACAGCGGCATCAAGAAACAAAAACAACAATAAAAACAGCAACAAGCAAAACAGACTCACATCTTTGTCCTCATTTAATAAGAATGAATAATTAACATAAATAAGGTAGTAATTTAATTACATCTTGCCCTCTGCCCTTCAAGTGTTTGACTTGGCCTGCATAAAATATAATATCAGTTAAAAAAATATTGCAAACTAAGGTTAGGCCCCCAAATCTACTGTAATTACCTCTGAGTTAAAAGGCCAGCCAGAATTCAGATTGTCTGTTGAACTCCTTGGCTGGAAATTCCGTTTACCTGCTTCACTAAGTATTGCTATTTTCCTTCTTCAGGGGTTATGTGTGACACAGGCACTGGGAATGAGCGTAAATGGCCCTGGTAATTCAACTTTAATAACCTATTGGTGCCTTTCTCCCTTTACAAAACACTCGTAGTGATTTTTGTTTGCTTGTTTGCTTTTGTTTATGAAAGCAGAACTGCGGTGATGACTCTTCAAATTCAATCCCTTTCTACTGAAATTTGAAGAAAAATTGGAAATATTTTATGACAGAGAATTATGCCATTTGGAAGTATACCCTGGAGAGTAGAAGATGATAGGAAATTTTCCCCCAATCAATGGCATGAGATTCAAAATGGTATATAAATCGACTTGGGGTAATTAAAACCTTTTTCCTATAAATTTTTGTCATCATCATGGAAGGTTAATAATAATGATGATGACATTTACTATTTTTAAATTTGTTTTATCTATTTTTTATTTTTAAATAATGTATTATTATGCTCGAGTGCTTATGCTGTGCCTGGACATCATACTACGTGCTGTATAAGCTGTATAAACAGTGCTTCATCTACCCTGGCAATTAAAATAATTAGCCTCATTTTATCTATTTTTTTTTCCTTTTTTAGTAGACACATAACTGCACGTATTTATGGGGTACACAGTGATATTCTGATACATGTATACAACGTATCATGATCAAATCTATTTAGTCTCATTTTAGAGATAAGAAAGTCAAGGCTTAGAGGAAATAAAAAGATCCTTGAAAATTATCCAGTTACCAATGGCAGAACTGGAGTTCAAATCCAGGTCTGTTAAATACCCAGTCCAACACCCCCACCTGTCATGTTGTACCATCTTGGTTCTAGTTCCAGAGGTTCTTCAGAACTTTGGAAGAAATGAAAATACTTTGACCCCACTTTAGGATTTCTGACTCAGTAGGCTGGGATGGAGCCTAGGAATTTGGTGTGCTCTAGATAATTCTTTTCTGTACCAAGTTTCAGAACCATTATTTTAGAAAAAAG
This sequence comes from Homo sapiens, assembly GCF_000001405.40. NCBI lineage: Eukaryota > Metazoa > Chordata > Mammalia > Primates > Hominidae > Homo > Homo sapiens. The sequence continues at coordinate 6,752,112 of NC_000003.12, read as the reverse complement.
AAATCTCTTTATTATAATGAAAATTATAACTTAAAAAGTTTTGTTTCCACTTATAACTTTACATATTATTAAAATGTGAAAAAATAGAAAATCAGAAAAAAATTTAAAAATGAATTCTTTTGATCCTACCATCCAAAAATAACTATTTTTATATTTCCATATTTTTCTTCTTTTTTATGTATTATGTATATAATTTCTTTTTGGTGTGTTTTCTCTTTTGGGTCATCTGCAATAGTGTTCTACATAAAATGTTGTATCATGATTTTTATACTTAGTGTTCTATAATAAAAAATTTTAACATTATTATATAGGTTTTTATAAAGCTCACATTTGTCAAGATACTATAGTTGCAAAAAAACATGAGTCCAACTTATACTGGCTTTTGCAAAATGAGAGTGTATTGGTTAATATAATACACCAGAGAAAGAACACAGTAGAGCTGGATTCAGAGACAAAACACCATCCAACCTGTTTCCGTTCCTGTCTCTGTCTTGTTGTTTCTGTCTTATCACTGTTCTCTTTTTTCCCTGCTTCTGGCTGTCTTTTGGATTTAGCCTCTCAGGCTGTCAGTTCTCATGATTCCCATGTGGCTATAACCGTAGGTTCCCATCTAAAGAACAAGGCAGAAATTGCACAGGGCAGAAAGAAATTTACTGTGCTTATTTCAGAATGAAAAGCCCTTTGGATCTTTGTCATGGGTTGTGTGGTCAGCCCCTGGACCAACTGGCATAGTCAACGAAGCTGAAGTTTCATGACTAGTATAACACAGGCCCACTCTTGAAGCCGGGAGATGATATGCTACAATTGTCACCTCCCATAACCACCAACCTTGAGAAGAATCTACTGTTTAATTTTTTTTACATGAAAAAGATGTAATTATATGTATTTTTCCAGAAGTAAAATCACTAAGCCAAAGTGTTGACAAGGTTTAAGGATCTATTATGTCTTTCCTAATTGTAAAAAATATTTTGCCAGTGTACACTGCTACAAACACTGTTTGAAGGCACTGTTTTTCCCATACACCTGTCATGATTAACTTCTTTTATGATTGCTTAAAGTAAATCAAATGGGTATATATACTGTAAAAGTAAATCTTAGTAATTACAGCAGAGACAATGTTTAGGAGACTATGTGGTTTAGCTATTAGACCACTCCCATGTGTATTCTACCTGAGGATGTTTACATACATGAATTTTTTCCTGAAATGTTATGGTATAGTAGTTATTTATTAGCTACACTGTGACATCTGGCTTGAGTAAACTTCAACTGCATTATAGAAAATTGTTTCTAAATTTGAAGGAAAATTGTTGCACATCTCCTAGTGTGTAATACGGTACACTATGATTTTATGTGGAATAATATATGTGACAGTGTAGAGCCTAGGTGAATAGATTATACACAGCAAAAACAAGGAAGTGTGTTCAGAAAAAGAGAGAAGAAAAGAATAAAAGGATAATAAATTCAAATAAATTGAAAATATCAGCAGGTACTCATGCTGTCAAAAGCAAATAAGAAAATATAATTTTCCTATTGTGTTATTGAATTGGTTAGAGGCTTGTGTGTTACCTAGCTCTAAACCATTGCTTATAGGAAATAATACAATGGAAATAACCCATACTTAAATCAAAATCTGTATAGTAATAAGCAATAAAAAGAATTAGGGCTGTAAGAAATTTTGAGACTGCAGGAAATTCAAGGTGGACCCTGTAAAATTTGTGGTCATCAAATAAGCGACTTCAAAAATACAGAGAAATAGTGGTAATGTGACAAAAGTGTCAATTTCAAAAAGGTTTCACTCTCCAAATATTAGCAATGCCAAAAATAAATGAAATAAGTCAAAGCTATAAAAACTTCCATGATACTACACAAAAGGGGAAAACAGTATTAATTGGAACTCATACATAATTTTTTTTTTTTTAAGATGGAGTTTTGCTCTTTTTGCCCAGGCTGGAGTGCAGTGGGGTGATCTTGGCTCACTGCAACCTCTGCCTCCCAGGTTCAAGCAATTGTCCTGCCTCAGCCTCCCGAATAGCTGGGATTACAGGCCCCCGCCACCAGGCATGGCTAATTTTTTTTTGTGTTTTTAGTAGAGACGGGGTTTCTCCATGTTGGTCAGGCTGGTCTCGAACTCCTGACCTCAGGTGATCTGCCTGCCTCGGCCTCCAAAAGTGCTGGGATTACAGGTGTGAGCCACCGCACTCGGCCTCATACATAAGGTTTTAATAATATTCACACACACATAAATTACAATAAAATTTAATGAGTTTTACAACCAAGATTTCTGGCCAAAATTTAAGTTGGCAATCATAGATGGTAAAAAGAAATTCTAAGTGATGTAATAAAGGTGTTATTAAATTATAACCCCTGATATTTCAAATAAAAATGTATTTCTGTTTGTAATACATTCACAAATGGAGCCATCTAAAACAGAAAAAAACACGGATAACTATCAATGAGTAGGAAATGAAACGTCAAAATTAGTAGTGACATTGTGAGCGCATACTATATTACTTATTCAGAGGAGCTTTAAACAACTTCTATGAGAGCTTTCTTTTTTAAACTACTAACAGCAAAAACAAAACCATTAATTGAATGCCATCTTTTTATTTTATTTTATTTTTGAAATGGAGTCTCGCTCTGTCGCCCAGGCTGGAGTGCAGTGGCGCGATCTCGGCTCACTGCAAGCTCCGCCCCCCGGGTTCACGCCATTCTCCTGCCTCAGCCTCCCGAGTAGCTGGGACTACAGGCGCCTGCCACCGTGCCCAGCTAATTTTTGGTATTTTTAGTAGAGACGGGGTTTCACCTTGTTAGCCAGCATGGTCTCGATCTCCTGACCTAGTGATCCGCCCGACTTGGCCTCCCAAAGTGGTGGGATTACAGGCGTGAGCCACAGCGCCTGGCCGAATGTTATCATGTTTTAACATACAGCGAAGATACAATTATCCCAGATATATTAATAAAGAAATTAATGTTCAGTGACTTGTCCATGACTGCATAGCCAATAAGAATTATGATGTGAAATTAATTCTGAGACTTATTCTAGGTATCACAATATGTGATCTTTTATGCATCAGGTCCATTATTAAAAGAAGCAATTTGATACTGCTGGAAAAATCAAATCAATAAATGGATTTGAAATCTAAAAAAATGTAATAGGGAAATAAGCTTTCAATATGAATACACACACAAACACACCCAGGTTGCTTCAGGATATTGCTTCAGTGCTGCTAATTTCTAAAACATTTGGAATAGTTATTTAGAATTCGGATAAAGGTCATGCTAGACCACATTACTCAGTAAAAGCAGTAAACATGGGGAATGACTTCAGGAGTCCCATATCATGCTGTGGCTACAGCCTCTGCTACTCAAGCTGCAAAGGCTAGCTGATGTTCCGAGCCTGGCTGCCTCCACTAAAAAAAGGAGGAGGAGAAGGAGAAGGGGAAGAAAAAGAAGAGAAGGAAGATGAAGAGAAAGAAGAAGATGAAGAAAGAAGAAGATGAAGAAAGAAAAAGAAAAACAAAGCTCATGCTAAACACTTGAAGTAGTACATTTTACATTAATGCTAAATAAAATATTAAAAGTATATCCACAAAATTTAGGAGAAAGTAAAAAGGTTAAAACAATACCAAGTCTAAAAACAGTATATGAAAATATTTCTTGATCAGAGAAATATTCTGTAAGAGATTCTATAGAATCTCTTAATCTGTATAAAATAAAATTAAAACATCTTATTTGCAATATATAAATTTTATAAAATAGAATATTACTATAATTTAAAATTAAACTATTCCAAAATTAAAAAATAGATTGCACAAATTATTAATAATGTTGAGACTTAGAAATCTCTGCTTATAAATTGTCAGTGTGATAGGACACTTTAAATTCTGGTAATCTTTACTTTGTATACTATGGTCCTCTTCAAATTGTTACCACGAAACTCAAGGTATCGAACAAATGAGTACCAGCTACTCATTTTTATTTTGCCTTTATTAGGTCAAATAAAATATACATTTTAAAGTATCTTGACTTTCTTGTCCAGGTGATGGGAAAAGAAAAGAAGAGCATTGTTCTAGTAGACCACTGGACAAACTTCTACTCAAGACTAAAGTTTCTGCATCATACTTTTTCCTATTCTCTTAAAACATTGTTATTCCTTAACCATGTCAAAGTGGTTTCAGTAGAGTGGGGAAGGCCAAAATTGTCAGGAGGGGATTGAGAAGCAAAGGAGGGGTGAGGTGAGGAAATAGAGAAAGCAGGTACAGACATTTTCAAAAACTTTATTGTAAACAAAAGAATGAAATAAGATAATAGTTGAAAGGGGTTGTGGGGCCTAGCATGGAATTTAATTTTAAATACGTGAACTGTTTTTCATGTTCATTAGATTAAAAGGCATAATTGGTTGTACAAGAATGAGACACCAGGAAAGTCCGTGAATGAGCAAAATGGAATAGGAGTACTATATTTAATGTTGCCCTTACCTAGTTGCAAGGAGAAATCCATCATCATTATAGGAGGGTGGACAGGTGCCCTCCTCAGGGACAGTGAGGCAGAAGTGGAGGAAGTGACGCAGAAGATGAAGTAAGATAAGATGACTATTTCTCTACTGACGTGAGTCAAAGAAGGACAAGAGAGAAGATATAAATCTGTTATCTCTGAAAGCAGGAAGCAATCAGAAAAATGTAAGAAGCCAGCTAACAACCCAGTTCAGGTCTGAGGGTGTAAATTTAAATGGCATCCACCAGCCACATTGGCTCCTCAACTGTAGACGCAGAGTAGGTAGACGTGTAGATGTAGTGAGGGTTGATATCTTTTTGGCCAAACTCAACAGAGGTGGTGCAAAGGAATGGCGGGTATGTGCAAACAAATGCTTATTCTGATAGGCCTTGAAATCTGTGCTGGATCAGAAGGGAACAACATGTGAGGGCTGACTGTGGAAGCCTCTGATAACATGCTGTGGAGGGGAGATTTCTGTCACCAGGAACGGGAGAAGGTGTGGAATTACATTCCCTTAACCAAAAACAGAGGGAGGAACAGGAAACATGGTTTTGCTGCAGTGAGAAGGAAGAAGGAAACCCATTTACTTGCAGGTCTTAGGCTGTGAAAGAAGAAGAAGGAAAAATAGCCACCAATGAAAAAGGCTACAGAGGAGGTGGCTGGACCCAGTGGATGGCAGGCTTCAGGTAGAGTACGAGAGGTTAACGCAACAGGAGAGTTTGCCAGTGATGGACTGTGAATCCTTGCAGGTGCAGCGGAGCCACTGGGGAGTCCCCATGGGGTGGGAGATTGGATCTAAAAGGTAGTATTAACAGCTTACAACATATAACATTGCTGAGGGAATTTGCGTCAACAATTGTGCGTACTTTCATGTCAATTTCACTTGATGGGCTACACGCAGTTAAGAATGATGCTTTCAAGACTTCTCGGAAAACTCTAGGTTCACAGATGATGCCACTTTACTATTGATGTGGCTAAGGTACAAAGAAGGACCTGCCTGTGCCAGCTGCCTTAAATGGACTGAGAATTTCATGTTGCTACTACCCATCTGTAGCCTACACGACGACTGTTTAAAAGTCCCAGATTCCTCTGCTCTCTGACACAGATGGTTGGTCGACACAACATGATTCTCTCTAGGGAAATGGAGGTTCCGTTCTGATCGGATGTGTGAGAAAAAATAATAAAATAAACCCAGAGATCTCATAGGGAGATGAAATCAATATTAAACAGAAAGCAAATGTACAACATAATGAATCTTTGGTGGTCACAACCTTTTGTTTTCTGCCTTTTATCTTTGTTGTTAGCCAAGATTTAAGTTTATTCTAGTGAAAAGAGTCACTCTGAATTTTGGTAAAATCTCTTCTCGTTAAAAAAAGACGAAGAAAAAAATTATTTTAACCAAAATGTTATAAAAAAGTATATAAAATTTTCCCCTAATTCCACCAGCTATTGTACACCCTTACCGTCATTATGGGGTATTTTTTTCCCTCTTTTTTTCTCTGCACAAAAATACATGAAGCCACGTTTGCAAAAATTATGTAAGTAAAAACATTATGGCAGTTAGGGAGATCTGATCTAGCCAACCCCCTCCTTGCCTTTAGCTTTCAAACTGCCTTAATTATTCTTGGACTTAGGTCAAGCTAACTTTGGAAGACGTTTAGGTTACAGGCTAAATGATAATAGCCCTTCCCCCAAAATCAACCATCTTTGTAAAGCTAATGAGAGACCAGGGTAGCGGGAGGAGAGGAGCCTCAATTTGGTAAAATGTAGACTGGTCACAAGATATGCACCTTCCTCAGTTACTCCTGCAGACAACATCACTAATGTAGATTGGCCTTTTGAGATATCTTTTCAGGGTTTTCGTATGTCTGACACGGATGGATCCACTAGACCCACCAACTGGTGGTTTCACTGCTCCTATAACTTCACCCGGAAGCAACTCAGCACAAAAGGACAGCTTAGACCCCTTATCATTTCATTTCCACTCCAACCAGTCAGCAGCAAGCACCCATTTCCTAGCCACCCCACCATTACCTCCAAACTGCCTTTGAAAAGCCTCTACCCTACAAGCCTTCAATGAGATTGATTTAACTGTCTCCCGCATGGCATGGCTAGCCTCATATCAATTAAACTCTTTATTTACTGCAGTGCTGTGGTTTTTATTTGTGCAGTGGGCAGGAATAATCTGTCAGGAGGTTACATACATATATATATTTTAAATTGGTATCATAAATGTAAACAAATTTTTTTTTTTTTTTTTTGAGACTGAGTCTTGTTCTGCCACCCAGGCTGGAGTGCGGTGGTGCAATCTGGGTTCACAGCAACCTCGGTCTCCCAGGTTCAAGTGATCCTCCTGCCTCAGCCTCCCGAGTAGCTGGGACTACAGGCACATGCTGCCATGCCCGGCTAATTTTTGTATTTTCAGAGATGAGATTTCACCATTTTTGCCAGGCTGGTCTTGAACTCCTGACCTCAAGTGATCCACCCGCCTTAGCCTCCCACAGTGCTGGGGTTACAGGCATGAGCCATCACTTTCGGCCTAAAAATTTTTAATAGTTTTACTTTTTTTTTTAAGTTGTATATTTTTACTTGAATTTTGTGTACCTTTTTCCAGATTATTACCTATCATCAAATTCATAATTTTTAAAGACTGCAGAGCTTACTATTGGAAATCCATATTTTATCAGTTTGCTGTCATTAGATATTTTCATTGTTTCTAGTGTATTTGCTATATAAGTAAGACTGCAATAATCCTACTTTTTAATACATCTTTGGGTGTTTCTCTAATTATTCCTAGAAATAGAGTCTTGAGGTCAAAAAGGAAAAGGCCTATTGTGAATATGATGGTTTTTCCTCAAGGTTTGTCTCCTTTTAAAGTTCACCACTGTTTTAAAGCCGGTGACTCTTATGTCTCCTTATGTTAGTTAAAAACAGCACCTTCACTGGCAATTATTTCCACAAGGGCCTTAAAAACATACCTAAAAATATATCCATTAAATCGATAAATAGTCTCATTTTATCAGTTCCTCACTTCAGGGGAACCACTCTTCTGACCCAGAGTAATTTAGAGACCAATAAGGAAGCTAGTCCTATAAAAAAACTGGAAAGAATTAATTCAAACAAAAGTTGAGTTTCTATTGTGTTTGAGGAACAGGACCCCAGTTGACGTCAAAACATGATTTCCTTTGGCACCTGATATTATTTTCCCCTTTGACAACAAAGATTTTGCTTTTAGGACACAAATAAGATATTCCAATTTTCTGTTCAAATAACGGTTTACTTGGTATTAGATAAACTGGGATCGGTTTCAAAAGCAAATTAATGACAAACCTCAATTTGAGGCAAGTCAAAGCTACAAATGCATTATGGAGTTCATTTCAAAAAATACACAAAACTAAAATGAAATAGGCTCTAAAATTTGAGAACCCTTAGGCACAGTAAATCTTAGTTATAGCAGAAAATGAAACATTCTGTGACAAGATTGGGTCTGATAAGATGTAATAAAAACATGAGACATGATACATAAGGGCAGGAGGATTGATATAAAATGTGAAATGATCACAAAAATAGCATAGTCCTAGTCCGCCAAAGTATTTGGTAGTGACAGGAGAATTAAATAGCAAGTAAAGCTGAATAGTAAATGAGGGTGAATGTGCAATACATCATCCCTAAATCTATCTAGGTATTCCTAAAATGCATGTCACATTTTTCATGGAAATAACTAATGTCTAAGACCAAGGTTAAATTTTTCAAAAATGAGAGCATAAACATCGTGGAATTTCAACAATGGTATCATGTACTTATGATGAGAAGGAGATGAGGAGAAGGTATGGTTATTTGGCAGCAGTAAAATATGGTTAAGAAACCAGCAGAAATGTACTCTTATAAAACAGTGTGAGACTTACTTTTATGCCTAACCTTGAAATTAGGACGGCAAAACCCACAGGTGCTGAAATGGCCAAAAGCTTACTGGCATTGCACCATAGAGCAGCGTGACATTTATCCCATAGGCCCCTCTGATTAATTCACGTGACCCTTTAACAAGTAAAGGGCCACTTTTTACAATTTTTGCAATGCATTGTTTTCGCAGTACAAAGTTCCTTAGAATGAGGAATAATAGTTTTGCACTTCCTCATAGCGGGATTTCAAGTCTGTCTTTGATCCTTACTAGTGTACGATCTGGAACAATTTCCAAACTCTTCTGAGCCTCAGTTTCTTCATCTGTGAAACAGAGATTAATCTTACGAATGTTAACCAACTAAAATATGGAAAGTTATAAGCACAATATCTGTTATTCAGTAACTTTCAAAGAACTTCACTTCCTTTTCTGCCACTCCTTAACCTCTCCTGGCTGCAGAAATGTGAATTGATCTTGATTAGTCAGATACTGTCTTTATTTGTGGTTAACATCAGTAGCTATGAGAAAGGATGCAAAAAGGGGAGAAGGGGACTAAAGATGAAAGGATAAGGCATAGAAGTAGCTTAATGTTTCCTCTTAGACATTTTACAGCACCTGGCTTTCATCTTATTCCTCATCTTTTCTCTTTTTTTTTTTTTTTTGCCAGAAGGAAGACACTGTGATATTAACATTCAGAATTCAGGAGGACAATAGTCTTGAAAACCAGGCTGTTGTCCTTCTAAGAGACTAGCTAAATTATTATTTCTTTTCTTTTAACTGACGCAGCTGGACTCATTGTGAAATCTCCTCATTGTATTGAGGAGATCAAGGCTTCCAAGTTGCACAGATACAGCAGGCATCATCTACATTGTATGCAATGGTTTTCTCCGGGGGTTGCCATTCATGTAATATACAATTTAAATAATATTCAGGGAGATATTTCTGTTCCCCATTAAAGATGGTTGAAATCAAGTAGAAGGAGCATAAGATGGGAGGGAAGTCAAAAGAAAACAAATAATTTTATCTGCCCACTAGGGTGGTACAAAGAAGAGAAGACCAGGGAAGAGAAGCTCATGAAGGAAACAAACATGGCTGTCTGGTTTGGAAAAGCACATTTGATAGTTTATGAAGTCACAGAGGAGAGTGACTCTTGCCTCGCCACCCACTTATTCATCTGGAAGGAGGCTTCCATGTAGGTTGCACTCACACTCACAGGGAGGGCAGTCACATGAAAGCAGAGGTCAGGCAGAGGTTTAGTTTCCTGGGTTGCCCTTGGGTCTGATGAGGCAAAGGCATATCCAAAGCAGCTAAACACTTGGCTGGCACATTGGGCAGAGGGGCTTCCCTTAGGGGTTCTGCTCCAAGGGCTACGAGCTAAATGAGATTCCCAGTCAGACAATCAGAGGGTGGATAGCACCAGCAAGAGCTCAAATAAAGCTGAGAAAGTGCAAACGTATTACATGGCCTTGACTACCCCCAGACAAAAGATGCTGACCATCACTGGGCATAGTGGCTCAAACCTGTAATCCCAGCACTTTGGTAGGCCAAAGCAGGAGGATTGCTTGAGCCCAGGAGTTCAAGACCAGACTGGGGAAACATAGTGAGAACTTGCTTGAGAAAAAAAAAAAAAAAAAAAAAGATGCTGACCACAGTCCTAAATGCCAGCAGGGCTAACCACCCCAAGGTGGTCAAAGGACATTGTTTTGGAGGTCAGGGTAAGGCAGGAATCGCAAGAAGTATAAACACCTACTCCCCTTCTACCCAGATGCCATCTTTAGCGGATAAGCAGAGATGTTTGAGGTAGAGCAATCTCTGAGAGAGAGCAGGAAATTATATTTAAATAATCTAAACCATTTTTAAAAGTCCTTGACTAGTTATTGGTTTAAGTTTTATTTTTTTGACCACCTATCCCCAAGTTATGTGAATAACCTGAAAATGGGGTTGTAGGAGGCAGATAGTTACAGGCAATATTTAAAAGCTACATTTTTCCCTCCTGTACCTAAGATGAGTGAGAATTATAAGAGAGACCCTGCTACCTACAAGGCATGCACAATTTACATTTGTATGATTACTAGAGTTTACAAAACATATCCAAATGTATTTTTGCTTTTAGAAGGAAATTATCAAGGTAGAAAATATAGATGTTGTCAAGAGATCTTCATAAAGCAATCTTGCATGAGGTTAGTTTAACAGTCTTGAAATAGCAGAATAATGACTGAGATCTTGCTCTACTACATGTGGAAACGTGCCATGCAGCTATAGCAATTATAGCAGTGTAGTTCTGAAGTGAAAATGATGGATCAGTGAAACAGTAGAGCCCCAAAATGCACATACATAAATAGATGGATATAAATAGTTAGGTATCCATACAGTCATCACATCTATCTATCTATCTATTCATCTATTTATATTCATATATGAATATCCTTATGTGAAAAAGTTACATTTCAAAATCAACAGGTAGTGGATGGACCATTCAGTGGAGTGGATAGCTACAATAGGTTATCAATTTGTGGTGAAAAACTATGTTTGATTCCTACCTGGCATATCTTCCCTAACATATATGTATTCATTTGACACACATTTATTCCAAATAAATACATGACCAGAAGGTAGAAAAAACATCTTAAAATATTAGATGAAAATAAACATTAATCTGGAGAATGGGTACCTCTCCAGGAATAAAATAAAAATCAGAAGTAATAAAGAGATTAAATACTGGAATTGTTTAATGAAAAAAAGTTAAATTCGTTTATGGCAAGTAACACAATAAACAACTTAAAATTAAAGACAGACTGGAGAATTATTTATAAATACAAAAGCTCATATACCTGGTCATATAGAATGTTGGCTGGACTATATATTATTACAACTTGTACTAATATAGGGTAATTTGGTAGTAACTACTAACATTTTGATAGAGGATGGATAAGCTGCACATACGCATTTATACCAAGACATTTTGAGAGAGAAGCAGGGATATTGGGGAGGGGGTATTTGTGAGAAACTAAGGATTTACATTCAGTAGAGGCTAATATTTTCTAAATGTGCTCAGTTATGTATTGATTTAAACATTTCTTACTAATCATTAGGTGCCTTTCTAGGATTTTAGCACATGGAAGAAATGTCCCTACCCATGCATACAGAAACGCATAAGAACAGGAAGTGACGTATTGTTTATCAGGAAAAACAGTATTCATGTATTATTTACAAAAATTGAGGCTGATCTCCAAGCTCTACTGTGGAAAGAGTTCATCAAGTTCCTAGACTGAAGAAAGCTAATTGTAAGAAATACATATGTAGTATGCACAAGTTTCATTATAAATAAGAGTAAAAACGTGCATTGTATATGTACATCCTTGTGAGTGTCTGTGTGTATGTGTGTGTAAATGTGCTTTTGTGTGTATAAAATCTAGAACAATCTTCACCAGTCTTGTAAAGTATTTATGTTTGGGAAATGAAAATGGAGAGGAGAAATTTCTGCTCTAACCCTGACTTTGTTTCTTTCATTGTTTTTGTTCTTTGAAAAGTAATTTACAATGTGCAAGCACTTGACATTTTAAAAAATATTAAATAACTAAACCACCTGTGTACAACAAAGCAGAATGTAATTCTGTATGTTAATTAGAATCATAATTTTAATTAGAAAAAATTAGCATATATACTCAAAGATGTAGTCTTGATTGGAGGTGGGGCTAGCGGTAGTTTTTGGAAAAATTTACCAAGGTATAAATAGAAACTACAGATAATGTAATTTACCTTATTTTTGTGCATTTTCTAAACTCAACAATTAATATAAGCTACTTTTATTATCCAGAAAAAGTCATTAAAATGACAAAAATCTAGGACACCTGTGCATTTTGAAATATCTCATTTTGTATCAAATACTTTGGCAGTTCTGGATTGATAACCAAGTTTATATTTCAGCAAACAGGTAAGAAGGTGTCCGTCTTGGGTTGATTCCCTAGAAGCAGACTGAAATTGGGATTTATTACAGAAACTGTTTATTCCAGAAGTGCCCCCAAAAGGAACCAGTAAGACACAGGGAAGCAGAAAAGAGAAAAGTGGAAGAAACTCAATAAGTGTGTGGTTTCAGGTGATGTCTTCCCAGAGGTTTCTTGTCTATTCCTGCAGGGGACCTCAAGAGCATAACTTAATCTCAGAGTTGTTCACCTCCGTGCAACGAAGTTGGGCTTTCAAGTATTCTTTGACTAAGAGCCTGTGCTGGAGAAAGGGGCCACGCTGGGCAGGAAGGAAACCCCTAAGAACTCTGCAGCAGGTGGTAAAGGGATTCCAGCAGTTGAGGCAGCCTTCCTAAGAGAAATGCAGGTGCAACAGAAAAACAAAAGCAAACACAAGCCAGGAGAAGGATGCAGCCAAGGAGAAAAGGGGATTGGAGGAGATTTAACAGAGTATCAACAGGATCCACTGCAGAAGAGGTTTTATTTTATTTCCAAATATATCTTCATTTGTTTAAAATATTGAATTGAACAAATATCTTTTCCAGTTCTAACATGGAGAAAAAAAAATCAAAAATTTCAAATGAACAAAATTTCAGAGTCAGCCGTTGTAATACAGGGAAGTTCTTAGGAATTCCCAGAAAAGCATAACAATTTAACAGCTTAAATTTAGTGAGATCAAAGTTCAAAGTACTCAATATTTTACAGACTTAGATGTTCCTGTTCTGAAATCAAAACAGTGATTCAGCTCCTGTGTCTATTTTTCTTCAGGATTTATTTTCTTTTTCAGTGTTCAATGTTCTTTTGTACACTCTGGGAAACTCAGTAGAGAAAAAGTATACTTTTGTTTTAGAAAGATAATTTCAGTTATTTACTGCTAAATTATCCTAAAGCATCCCTGGACACAAGGAGAATAAGTGCTTTCAAGATGATCTAACACACAACTTAAACTATAGTGCAAAGGAAACAAGAAAAACAAGCTGTATTCAAAGATACAGATTAAGTACTCAGAGACCCTACTGGTTGGGATGTCACACAAACATGACTCCATTTTCCCCTACAGCATTCCTGTATTCTTATATAATTGTTTTTTTGTAAACTTGCACAAGTTACTTAAGCTCTCTTAATTTTCATTTCCCCCATTGGTTTCCTGGTCAAGTTTTAACACACAGTAGGTTCTCAGGAAATACTTGTTCAAAGGCCGGGTGTGGTGGCTCATGCTTGTAATCCCAGCACTTTGGGAGGCTGAGGTGGGTGAATCACTTGAAGTCAGGAGTTCAAGACCTGCCTGGCAAAACCCTGTCTCTACCAAAAATACAAAAATCAGCCAGGCATGGTGCCTGTAGTGACAGCTACTTGGGAGCCTGAGACAGGAGAAAGGCTTGAACCCAGGAGGCGGAGTTTGCAGTGAACCAAAATTGCACCACTGCACTCCAGCCTGGGCGACAGAGCAAGACTTCGTCTCAAAAATAAATAAATAAATAAATACTTGTTCAATATTCGGATCAATATACAATATGGAGTATTAAAGATAAGTATATTCCGGATACTCTATATGTATGGAACCACATGAGCTTAAGTGCAGAGGTCCAAATAAGAATGTCCGTCTTATTCTCTGTACTTAACTCGTGTGGTACCATACATCTAGAGTGCCCAGGATATACTCATCTTTTTCTCTAGCCATCTATATTATTTTTCTATTGATACATAATAAATTACCACACACGTAGTGGCTTACGACAACACACATTTATCATCTCACAGTTTTCATGGATCAGAAGTCCAGATATGGCTTAGCTGAGTCCTTTGATCAAGGTCTCACAAGGCTACAATCAAGGTGTCAGCTGGGTGGCGCTTCTTTTTGGAGCTCAGGGTCCTATTCCAAGCTCACATGATGGTTGGCAGAATTCAGTTACTTGCAGCTGCAGAGCTGAGGTTCTGCTTTCTTGCTGGTTGTTAGCTGGGAGCCACTCTTAGCTCCTGCAGGTTCCCACAGTCCCCTATCATGTGGCTCCTTTGTAGCCCACCTCACAGCATAGCAGCTCACATCTTCAGGGCCAGCAAGGCAGGGTCTGTCATCTCATCCTTGTCTGCCCACAGTCATACATCTATATCTATGTCTACATTTATATCTGTATCTATATATACATCTATATCATCTATATATATCTATACTATATCTATATATAACTTATACCTCAAGGGAGTGACATTCCACCGTTTTTGCCATATTCTATGGGTTAGAAGCAAGTCTCAGGTTCTGTTCATGCTCAAGGAATAGGGATCATCAACAAGTATGACTCAACTGGGACTCCCCTTATGGTATATTCGCCACACTGTACAAGTCCTATTGACTTCAAAGTCAAGCTCAAGTTACAGTCTTCTCCTTTGATCTCCTAGCACTAGACACTAAACAGAGCAGAACTAAGAATTTATCCAGGGTGGTGTTTTTTTTTAAATCATTTCTCATGTCCTGTAACACACACACATAGGTGCAGGACTAAATGCTGAATCCCTACGGCTTGAGATCCCCTGAGGCTGGGATCTTGCAGCTATCTGCAATCTTTATCTGTCTTTTGACACACTCTCCAAATCCTCAACAAATTATGCTAAATTTTCTGCACAGACACTTAGAATCCTCACTTCTTCCCCATTTATGGGTCTTCACTCTATTTCAAACTTCAAATATATCTTGTGTCTGAAAAAAAACTTTTGGCTGTGCTTCATGCTTCTTGTCTTTGCTAACTCCACAAACCCCTACACATGCTACTCTCTGAAACTGTCACCACAGTGATTATGCGATCCCCAAGACACAGGCCAGATGTCTTCCTTACTTGAAGCACTTACCGGCACTTATATATCTCATCTTTCAACAAGTACATATATAAAGGCTGAGAATAATTTGTGTATTATTTTTTGTTTAGGTAACAAATTAAAAAATTAAAATATCATATCCCAAAATGGAAATAAAACAGATAGAATGCCGAGTATATATTAAATAAGGCAAGCTATTTATGATGAGGTAAGGAGAGTATATAAAGCTTTATTTTTAAGATATAAAAACAATACTAGTTTGAAACTACTTTGTTTTATTTTTAGTTTTTCTGAAATTAATATATGTAAAAAAATTCATAATTTTGTAGATAAGAGTGTGGAGCACAAAACTATGCAACAAATGGGCGTTACCTACTCTCAACTGTGATGGTTTCCAAGGCCGCCTGTGTAGTTTGATACAACGGTGAAAGAAAAATAAATCTTGGGCCCCCCAAATCCCTCAGCTAAAGGGAAAAGTCAAGCTGGGAACTGCTTAGGGAAAACCAGCCTCCCATTTTGTTCAGAATCAAAATAATTGATTTTGTTCATTTTGCTCACTCTAATTGCCTCCTTTGGAAAGGCTAATCAGAAACTCAAAAGAATGCAGCCATTTGTCTCTTATCTACCTATGACCTGGAAGCCCCCTCCTCGTTTGAAGTTGTCTCGCCTTTCCAGATGGAACCAATGTTCATCTTACATATGTCGGTTGATGTCTCATGTCTCTCTAAAATGTATAAAGCAAAGCTGTGCTCTGACCACCTTGAGCACATGTCCTCAGGACCTCCCGAGGCCGTGTCACAGGCACACATCCTCAACCTTGGCAAAATAAACTTTCTAAAATAATCGAGACCTGTCTCAGATATTCAGGGTTTACACAACTCAAATCAGTCCTTGACACTAGAGAAGTTCATCTCAAATATTGATGTTCTGAAGTACCATAATTAGAAGAATTGAAAATTAAATTATATCCAAGGGCAAAAAACCTTCATCACAACAGGACCAGTGATGGCCAAGACCTATACAATTTGACACAGTTAATGGAAGCCTATTATTTTCTTCCATCTGCTTCAGAGGCATTAAGATTTAGTTGCAGTTTTTAAATATGCAAAAAAATCTACATGTTGTTAACTTCACAGATTTGAAAAATATGGAGGCATTTATTCATTTATTAATCTCACAGCAAGAGGCTATCTTGGTGCATTCAAGAATGTTGGGAAGTCCAACAGGGAAGTTTCGTATTCCGGTGATTCTCATTCTCTCTCTTGGGGACTGGAGTTTATTCAAAGCTAAGAAAGATGAAGAGGTAAATTGTTAACAAATTAGTATGCCTTGCCCAAAGAACTAAACAGGAATGAAATAATTGATTCTCAGCCTTTCCTTGGTTTCAGCAATATTTCTTTGTTAGCATCCATTGTTAAGAATTAAAAACTACTAATTTTTTTCATAGTGTCATAGTGTTTTAGTATATGGTTATAGCAGCATTTCCTTTTTCTTTTTTCTTTCCTTCTTTCTTTTCTTTTCTTTTTTCTTTTTTTTTTTTTTTGACAGAGTCTTGCTCCGTCGCCCAGGCTGGAGTGCAACGGCATAATTTCTGTTCACCGCAACCTCCGCCTCCCGGATTCAAGCGATTCTCATGCCTCAGCTTCCCTAGGAGCTGGGATTACAGGCAGGCGTCACCACACCCAGCTAATTTTTGTATTTTTAGTAGAGACAGGGTTTCGCCATGTTGGCCAGGCTGGTCTCGAACTCCTGACCTCAGGTGATCCACCCGCCTTGGCCTGCCAAAGTGCTGGGATTACAGGCATGAGCCACCGCGCCCGGCCTATAGCAGCTTTTCTTTTCAATGGTCAAAGAGAAATCATTTTGTAAACATGCTACAAAACTGCAGCTAACTCTTTCCGTACAGTTGAAAACATTCTTTGATCAGGAAATATATACATGCACTTCAAAACTGTGGCAACTGATTGTATATTCTAATATTTGTTTGTGTATTTAATCTGTTTTGTTTTGTTCGACACAACACAAACAGAGTTGATACTATACTGCTGTGTCTTAAAAGGTACATTCTTGGACCAATATTGTCCTTTAATTAAATTTTACTGTGTTTTAAATGAAGTGGCCAAAATAGACACTTCCTTTGACTGGACCATTTACGCAGTGCCCAATTCAATTTATTTTCTAAGTTCCAATATCCAAGCCTCAAAAATCATGAGCAATCATTCTATCCAACAGAACTGATTCCATAAATAAAATTGTGAAACGTCAAACAAACAAGAGTCGCGGCATCCTTGCACATTACCTTTTACCTATAGATATCATCATGCTTGCCCCAGCCAAGCAGATTTTAGAGGAAACTGCTCTGCTCATCTTCCTCATGTCGGGAGCTGGGGGTTGTGGGGGCATGTTTTGTACCTTGTAATGCAGCCACTTCCTGGTCTTGGCTACAGAGCTGTGGTGAACATGTAACAAAGGATGAACTATCTACAGAGTAGCAGTGTCTAAAAATAAGAAGTTGGCTGATCCGATCTTCTGAAGAATTTGAACTCAAAAACACAAAGAAATTACAACAATTAATAGTAAGAAAAGAGCACAAGGGAAGAAGAGGGAACAGAAAATACCCCTGGCCAGAAAAGGAAATTAAAAAACAATGAAAAAATATGGGGCAGCCTGATAAGTAGGTAGTGTCAAAGAGATACGGGTACTCCCTTGACAGAATCCATGTGTGTCTGGAGGGATAAAAGCTGGTTCTTAGAATTGTTGCAGCTTCTGAAGTTTCCCATAGATGGGAATAATGTTTTACTTGAAAATTTCTTGAATATCTGTTTCTAACTATATGACAACAAAAGCAACAAACGGGTACTTTGATACTAATACCCTGGTATGATATTCAAATTATGAAATAATCAGTACAACATAGGCAGTGATCAACCTGAATAGATGCTGAATATAAATATCCACTACTTGCACACCCAGTGGCCTAGCTGAAACATTCACTGTACTAGCACCATGCAATGTACGCAACACTAATTCAGAGGTGGTAACATTACGCAAAGTCATTCGGCACTGACCTTTGCCTTTGCTTATCAGGACAAAAACAGATGCTCATAAAGTTTGAAAGTAGCAACAGGATTCTAATCTGGATCTCTTTGACTTTATTATTAATTAATTAATTAATTAATTAATTTTTAGAGACAGGGTCTTGCTCTGTCACCCAGGCTAGAGTGCAGTGGTGCCATCATAACCCATTGCAGCCTGGACCTTCTTGGCTCAAGCAACACTCCCACCTCAGCCTTCTGAGTAGCTGGGACTACAGTATATGCTACCATGGTCAGCTACTTTTAAAAATTTTTGTAGAGATGGGGTCTCACTTTGTTGCCCAGGCTGGTCTTAAACTCCTTGTCTCAAACGATCTTCCCGTTTTGGCCTCCCAAAGGGATTGCAGGTGTGAGCCACGGCACCTGGCCCTCTTTGACTTTAAAGCCATATTAATTCTAATTGAAGATTAGATTATACAAACAGAAGTGACTGACATTTAGTTAATGCTTAATATATACAAGACACTTGATTTAGTCTTCACCATAATAATACCCTATTTGCTTGGTATTATTATGGTGCCCATTATAGAGAAAAATAAATGAAAGTTTGAACAATTTGCTCAAGATCACACAACTGATATAATTCGGAGTCAAGTTGTAACAACAATGTAACTCTCGAGCCACTGTATTTACTGTACTGCCCCTCACTCTAAGAGCATACTTGCTATGTGGTCTTCAAAAATCTGACAGAAAGTAGGCAATGGTGATAGTTCAATAATCACAGCAGTAGACATGAAGGGCTTCCAGGAAAGGCTTTGTTTGTATCATTTGAAAGCTCTTCTGAGATCAAGTCAATATTAACAGCCAGGTGAAGACTGAACCCAGCGTGCCATTGTACTTGTTGCAGGCTGGGGCTTCAGGTTGGCAGGACATAATGTTAAGACATAATGTGACATAATGATGGCTCAGATAGCTGCCCCAAGCAGTCTCAGAGACTGAGAGTCACTAGTGACTTTAAATTGCCTAGAACATTTGAATCATGACTCTAGAGAGAGCAATAAGCAGTGCAGAGCACAGTGAAAAGAGACTGCTCGAGGGGATAGCCAACAATCAACAAAAGGGCTTCTTTGGCTTTCCCATAATAAAAAACTACATTTTTCCAGCAAGTCGTTTCTATGCTTTTATGAATTAATGCAGAGAATCTCTAAGAGTCAAGACAAAGATTATTAGAAGATAAATATCTGTGATAAACCAGATAATGTCTTCAGTATTGATGTAGTATATAGGGACTTACTCAGATAAATTAAATGTGTAACAATGCTCCTGTGTGTAATATTATTTTTGAAACTTTTAAGGAAAAGACCAGAATTGCATGTTCCTTTCATTTTAACATTCCATGATCACTGAGCATATTTACCTGACAAGTATCAGATGAGCTCCTATCATCTCTGCAGGAATGTGCTGAGCTCCTGGGACAATACAGAAGTAGTAATCTACACCATGCCTGCATCAAGAAGCCTAAATTTGATCCACTGTTACTACTCAGAGCTGTTTTATTAAAGCTCATGAACAGAATTCATTCATTCATTTATTCTTTCAACAGTTTGTGAGTCTCTCCTTTGTTCCACAGCCGTGCTAGATACTAAAATGTAAAGACAAAAGAACTGATTAGTATAATATATAGAAGTGCCAATGAAAGATTCAAAATGTCTACAACGAGATCCCCACTTTCCTTGGCTGACAAAGATGAGAATTTAGCCAAATTAAGGCCTTTTGGAAATAAGGATATTCTGCCTCTTGTGGCAAGTATAATGGTCCACCTGGGTAATGCAACGGCTAGACTGCAGACACTATATGCCCATTACCTTTAGAGCCATGACTCTCCTATGGGGTTAGTATACCTAGACTGATTAGGTTTGATGAGGGCAGTACAAACAATGCCACCATTTGTCAGAGTTAGTGGCTGAACTATCAGTGATTGTTGTTTAACACACTCCAAGCCGTGAGAAAGGATTAGTCTGTCAATGACTGCATTAATTCGGTTTACAGTATTCGTTTGGTCAGGTTAAGTTTGTTTATTGAATACAGGTTAGGTTTGTTTATAGACTAATGTTCTAATCTTCGTGCTGGCATAGAAATAGTCTCATAATCTTGTTTGTCATTGCTAATTTGACTCCATTTCTCCTTGTGCTATTTTAATCAAGCAGATATCCCTACTGTCTCATTGAATATTTAGCAGTGACAGATGAAATTTTCCATGCACTTTTCCCTTCACCTGGAACAGCAATCTATTTCTCATTCCTTAATCATAATTCCTCCCTATTCTTGAAGCTTAATTCTATTTTTTTCTAGCAGGACTGTAGATGTTATCAATCACATGTTGTTTGAAATCTTATTGCATTTTTGTTTGTATAAAGCATTTTAGACTGTCCATATAGAAATATGCATGTTGTATTACAACTTTTTTCCATATGCACATGCTATAATACAACTTTTTCCCTGTGTTTATGTCTTTATTTCATAGCTAACTCACTTGCAAGTTACCAGAGAGCATGGAGTAAATCCTTTATTTCTCATGTCCTCATTGTGCCTAAGACTGCGTTTCTGTACACACATTAAAAAAACAGGAAATCAATGGTTCCCAATGGTGATGTGTGAACTCTTCAGGATCTGGAGGAACATTATTAAATTGCTCCATTAGCTTTCTCTTGTTTGGGTTGAAAATAAAAATTGTGATGCCATTTCTACCTAGTTCATTCTTCCCAAGACTAAACTAAGTCATGGTTTTCTTACTAATTAGGCAATAATGAGGATCTTAAAAATATTGTAAGAGAAAAATGTCTTAGCAATGGAATAGGCAATCAGACTAGCAATCATGACAGTGCCTGAGGAAGAAAGGAAAGAAATTTTAAGGTGGGTAATTTTTGTAAATCCATATCTCTTTTTACTTTGGCCTAGAGGCAAATATTCTCTACTAATTTAACTTTTGAAAAAACTCATTAGATTATGTAGACGAAAGACCAGATGAGGAGAAATAAGTAAATGTTAGAGAAAATTCTGCCATGTAATATTTATAGGACTTCAGCAGAGCCATTTTTAACATTTACAAAATGACAGAATTGTACTATATATCTCTATGTTTATTTTCTGTTCTGAAATTTTATGCTGAAGTAGGTCCAACTTTTAACTCTTATACAGTTGTCCCTTTGTATCCATGGGGAATTGGTTCCAGGATCTCCAAAGTTATGAAAATCCAAGGA
This sequence comes from Homo sapiens, assembly GCF_000001405.40. Lineage (NCBI taxonomy): Eukaryota > Metazoa > Chordata > Mammalia > Primates > Hominidae > Homo > Homo sapiens. Next base: position 6,730,652 of record NC_000003.12, on the reverse strand, counting down.
TGCTCAAGTCCCTGATATAAAATGGATATAAACCTATATCCAAAGGTTATATGCAAATACTATGCAAAGGTTAAATAATCTTTTCTATACACTTTATCTCTAGATTGCTTATAACACCTAATATGGTTTGGATTTGTCCTCTCACTCAAATCTCATATTGAAATTTAATCCCCAATGCTGGAGGCGGGACCTGGTGGGAGGTGATTAGATCATGGGGGCAGATTACCCTCAGTTGCTGTTCTCATGATAGTGAGTGAATTTTCATGAGATCTGGTTGTTTGAAAGTGTGTGGCCCCTCCCCTCTCTCTTCCTCCTGTTCCACCCATGTAAGGCATGCTTGCTTCCCATTCACCTTCCACCATGATTTTAAGTTTCCTGAGGCCTCCCCAGCCATGTTTCCTGTACAGCCTGCATAATGGTGAGCCAATTAAACCTCTTTTCTTCATAAACTACCCAGTCTCAGGCATTTCTTTATAGCAGTGTGAGAACAGATTAATACAATACCTAATACAATATAAATGCTATGTAAATAGCTATACTGTATTTTATTTGTATTATTTTTCATTGTTGTAATGTTATTTTTATTGTTTTTTTTCTAATATTTTTTGATCCCCAACTGGCTGAATCCACAAAGGCAGAACCAATGGATGAAGAGGGCTGGCTATAAATCTATGTCAATGTGGGAAAAATTGGCTGAAAATCATATGTGTTTACACGGATCTTCTTTTGCATTTTTTTTTTATTTTTTGGTAAGTGCACTTAACAGGAAATCCATCCTCTTGACAATTTTTTTAAGTTCACAATACAGCATTGTCAACTATAGGCACAATGTTGTGCAGTGGATCGCTAGAATTTATTCATCCTGCATAACTGAAACTACACACCCATCGAACTGCAACCTCCCATTTCTCCCGTCCCCAGGCCGTGGTAATCCTCCTTCTATTGTCTGTTTCTATGAGTTTGACTATTTTAGATACCTTATATAATTGAAATCATGCAATATTTATCTTTGTGTGCCTGGCTTATTTTCTTAGCAAAGTGTCCTTCAGGTTCATGCATGTTGCTGCATATGACAGGATTTCCTTGTTTTTAAGGTTGAATAATATTCCATTGTATGTACATACAACATTCTCTTTATTCATTCATCTGTCAATGGTCATTTAGGTTGTTTTTACATTTTGGCTATTGTGAATAATGCTTCAATAAATATGGGGATTGTAGATACCTCTTCGAGATCCTGATTTCACTCTCTTTGGTTATGTATCCAAAAGTTGGATTGTTAGATCTTATGGTAATTCTATTGTTCAGTTTTTTTAGGAACCTCCATAGCATTTTCCATAGTGGCGATAACATTTTACATTCCCAACAACTGTTTAAAAGAATTCCGATTTTTTCGTATTCTTGCCAACACTTTTTATCTTTTGTTTTACAACAATTTTTGATTAGCAAAATCCTTACCTAGTATTTAAAATCTTGAAGAAAAGAACCACCATTTGACTTCTTTTGGGTCACCTTTCCTTATTAGTACAGTGTTTAATAAATAAAGATAGTTTAATTTGACTTGGTTTTCTCAAAATACTTCTTAAAATAGCAATCCCCATAATTTCTTCCATACTCTGGAGTCTAGAGCTATGGCTGTTATGCCTATTCTAAGTTCTTGGACTAGCCTGATACTCTGGAAAAAGAAATGGACTACTGAACTAAAATCTTTTCATTCAGTATTATTTTGGTTTCATAGCTGATATTGAATGGACTCTTCTTCCAGTGGTCAGGATCTAGCCTTCTAACACACAATCTAAATTCTGAACAACCGCTATTCCCTATAAATGGAGTTGTAGCTGTTGGCTATTGACACGTAATAAACATTCTCCACATTTAGTAGCCCAAATCAGTATCATTTATTAAGTATACAATTCTATCAGTCAGCAATTTGGAATAAGAAGTCCTGCTGGTCTTGGTTAGATTTAGTCATGAATATGTGATCAGCTAAGGATGGGCTGGACAGCTTCAGAAAGTATGAATACCCTTGTCCCACAGAGTCCCTTGCTCTCCAGCAAACTTCCCTGAGCTTATTCACCTGGCAGCAGGAAGAGCTTGAAGAGAGCAGGAGGAAGCAGGCAAGCTCTTTTAATGTTTAGGCTTGGAACCAGCTGATATCACTTCTGTGATACTCTGTTGGCTGAATCAAGCCACAAGCTGTGAGGCCAGCCCAGATTTAATAGATGGAAAAAAAGGCTCCACTTCTCAATGAGAGAAGTGAAGACTCATACTGAACACAGCATGGATACAAGAAGGCAGAAATAATGGTGTCTATTTTTATAATCAGCCTTCTACATGACATTTTTTCTTATTTTGTTTCATGCCTAAAATCCCATCTTGACACTGTGTTCTGAGAGTCCAGGTTATCCTGCAATGTTGTCATGGCTCAATCTAAATACAGATCCATTCTCCAAAGCCAGCCTCCATGGTTTGCTTTCCTACCACCTGTACTGGTAGTTTGCTATGTCGGTTTTGTGTTTCCTTTTATTTACAGTTGACATGTAATAATTATACATATTTAAGGGATATGGAGTAATATTTGGATACATGTAAACAAGGAATAATGATCAAATCAGGGTAATTAGAATATCACCTCAACCATTTACCATTTATTCATGTTGTGAACATTCAAAATCCCCTTTTCTAGCTTTTTGAAAATATACAATAAATTAGAGTTAACCATATTTTCCCTATAGTACTGAAGAACACCAGAACTCATTCCTCCAACCAGGCAGTAACTTTCTATCTGTGAACCAACCTCTCCCTGACCTCCCTTCTCCATGCCTTTCCCAGCCTCTAATACCCACAATTCTCTCTACTTCCATGAGCTCAAAATTTCTTTCTTAACTTTCATATATAAGTGAGAACGTGTAATATTTATCTTTTTGTGCCTGACTTAACTTTGTTTAACATAATGTCCTCCAGGCCATCCATGTTGAATGAGAATGGCTATTGTCAAAAAGACAAAAAATAACAAACGCTGGTGAGGATACAGAGGAAAATGGTTCCTTATAACTGTTGATGGGGATGTAAATTAGTACAGCCATGATGAAAAACAATATGGAGGTTTCTTTAACAACTAAAAATAGAACTATCATACTATCCAGCAATCCCTTTACTCTGGGTATTTATCCAAAGAAAAGGAAATTAGTATGTCAAAGGGATACCTGCACCACATGTTTATTTCTTCCCTATTCACAACAGCTAAGATAGGGAAATAACCTGGATGCCCAACAGCAGATAAATGAGTAAAGAAAATGTATATATACACAATGGAATACTACTCAGCCACAAAAATGAACATGATGTCAGTTTTTCATTGGATTATTTCACACTGTGACCTCCTCTGTTTTCCTCCTACCTACCTGCTCACCAATGCTCAATGAACACAGTTCATTTATATTGTGCAACAGTGATTTCATTTATTCTGTGGATTTTAGCCATGTCTTTTGTCTTTCTTATCATTGAATGAGTCTCTATCATCCAACTAGTAGAGGCATACAATAAATGGTTGTAAAATGGTCTTGTCATGAAGAAAACAGGGAAGTGGCAGGCAGAGAACTTAGAGGGAAAGCACAAGCAATGACTAAATAGTGACAACAGAATAAAATGCAGCAGGATCTTTAATACTAAGGTTTTATTGCATTACTCTCTCCATAGGAGGCAATAAATCATGAGTTAGCTGGACTGACATCAGTCCTGTCAACCACTATTTCTACAGTAACCTATGAGAGGAATAAGAGCCTTGTAGTTTGATTCCTTTAGTAATTCCCAAGTCAAGGTTGAGATGAGATGATGCAGAGTGACCTGGAAATAAGAATCAAACTAGCCTATGTAAGTGCCAAACCAAAAATGCTGCTTAATGGAGCCTTTTTTTTTTCTCAAAGCCCCAAAGAATAAATGTTATCAAATATAGGTTCTTTCATTTGCAGATTGTATAGCAGCTGTCAATTTCAATATGGAAAGGTAGAGGACAAGGAGCTGTGAAAAGCAGGTATTTTATATTTATGGATGGTTCGGGAGTCGGAACAATTCAGGTCTAATTACATTTTCATCATGGACTCACTTTATCAGAACCCTGTGGCCTGAAATATGCCTGCTTAATGGATTTATTGTGGTGAACCAGAGAGTCATTTTCAGTGGGCCAGAGAATGATTGATGTAAGCTTCAGGGATACAAGTAGATTTTAAACCATTTATTAACCAATGAAACAAATAGATTTACGGACAATTTAAAGAAGAAATCTGCTAGAGGGAGGGGTTGCAGCTTTTCTCTCTGAACAGTGATTTCTTGTTGACTTGATACCAATGCAGGGTCAAAAACAGAAAGGTAAAACTACTAAATAAAGGCCCCATCAGGAATTAAGATGGTCAAGATCATGCAGCAACGCCAAACTCAGAAAAATTAAAGCCAACGGGGAGAAATGGGAAGGCAAGAAACTAACAGGGAAGGGTAGGAGCAAAACTCAGACATGTGTTTCCCAGACCCGTAACACAAAAGCAAGCATTTCTCAGGCCCAAACCCTTCATGGTCACTATAGAGCTTGTGGAACTCTCAGGGTAGGAACGTTAGCAATTTGTCCAACTACAAATCATATTGATTTGTATCAGCCACTCAAATAGTACAACCATGTGAGTATACCAAAAGCAAATGAAAATCCAAATGTAGATGAAATGACTTGTAAAATTTTTTATAGTTTTCTTTTTAGACATGGATCATTATAATATGATGGACCCTTTTCTTAAGAACTCTCTAAATTATTGATGGTTTTAATGTAGTTATTTTGTCTCTTTTTCATTTGATAATGAACAATTAGGAAAACACCAGCATTCAAAGAGAAACGAGTCTTCTCCTATCCCTAAACAAAAACAGTAGTATGCTTCATCGTTTTTCCATTATATACACATATGAGAATTTCTAGTTCAGGATTTTGTCAGTCTAAAACATCCAGTATTTCAGAAATAACATTATTGAACATAATTACTGAAGCCAAACCTATTCCCAACTCAGTGAAAATAAACTATTATTATAAATAAGTACGATATAATAAAATAAAACTATGAAAACAACCAAAAACTTGCTAGCAGACCATAGGAAAATCCCTTAAAATTTAAAAAAGAAATTATTGACAAAATTTAAACTTCCAGTGTTCCAATTCATGTGTGTATATATGCTAATTGATTATTATCATTTTTCAGAATATTAATTTATTTTCCTGTTTGGTTACTGTGTGATGCAAATAAACTTCAAGGAAAAATGATTTTGTGGTCTTTAATTCAATAATAGTATCGGTATCTGATTAAAATATGCTTAAGTGGAATGGTTGAGAAGGAAACAGTCTGAAGAGGATTTCATTTGAAATATTTATTACCACCATCTGTAAGATATGTCTTTCTTCTTCATCTTTGTTCACTGCCTGAAACCAATAAATCTACTGGAAACGAGACATCTTTTGTTTCCTTGTTGGCTAAGTATTGAGTTCATGTTTGAGAGGAATTCTTTACTTTCAGATGTATTATGTTCAGGCTAAAGGGTTTCAGACCCATAGTGGGAAAAGCATAATGTCCTTAGCCTTTTAAAAACTGTGTTCTTTGATCAGAATGATATGAGTTTGTTTACTTATGCATAAGAATTAGAAGGGAAAGCACAAAACTGGAAATAATCTATGTGTTAAAATGGTGAGATTAGTGGAAAGCCTTTCTTCTCTTTTGTCAAGTCATTTTAAAAGCTGTTGGAATATTGATTTGTTAAGAAAAATAAACTCTATTTGTAATATTCTTTAGATATATAAAAATGATAATTCTTTTATTTCAGTTGTCTTAAAGCTATAATTAAGTAATTATTATATCTTAAAATAAAATGAAAACCTTCGTATTGCCAAAACAAAATGTATAGGCTGTACATAATGATAAATCATATAGTTGTATGTGTATACTTTTACCACATTTAACAATAAACCAGATTTCCAAAAACTGCTATAATAACAAATTCCCAAACTCTAAATATAAAAATAGACTCAGATCCAAAAGACTTACCCTTAAGTCCTATGTTACAGCTACAGGCTTACCTCTTTTACTTAGAGTCGATTAACTCCTCCAAAGTTTGTTATACTCTGTAAACTGTTTTTTCTAGTTTTCCAATCCATGACAGATTATAAGCAGAGGCTGAAAGGATTTGGGAAAGGAAGGTGAGTCAGGGGATAATGAAAAATGCAAGAAAAGAAATCGCTGACACTTCGGCCAGGATAAGAGAGGGCTGTATACTAAATCATTACCATAAGAACAGCAACACCAAAAATATCTAATATTTACCAAGTGTTTCTTTTATACTCAATACCAGGACCTAAGTGATTTGCATGGGCAATTTTATTCTAATACTTGCAACAAATTAATGGGATATATACTGTAATTATTTTCGTTTTATATATGAGGACTCCAAGGCTCAGAGATGTTAAATAGCTTGCCCAAGGTCACAGAGTTAGCATGTTACAGAGCTGGAATTTGAACCCAGACACGTGAAGGCTCAAAATACAAATGGCTAATCATACTAATGATGTAATTGTACAGAAAAGTATGTATATGTACTTAAAAATTATTCATCTTTGCAAAAAACGTAATGTATACATGTGTAAGTTTCAGTTAGTAGAAAATCCATGTATGTGGGTACTCAATTCCTAATCGGTGAAGCCTTGCTGTTTCTCTCCACTCTCTCACTAATTTTTACTTCTAAGCTAAAATTCAACTCCTGTTGAGTAAAATTAAATGTTATTTTTAACAAAATGTAATTACAGTGCCCAGTATTTTTCTTTGTAGACATTTTGAATTCTTTCAAAAATTTCCAGAAACATGATTACAGTTCTCTCAAGGGTTTTTAATAATGTCTAAGTAGATGTTCTAGTATTAGCTTGTAAAATGCTGAGTCAAAAACTAAAGGTAATTTAGTCTTGAGAACTTTTGAAAGAGTTATATAGTTAAGTCACCTCAGGGCCATAACTATCTGCTAGTTCTATCTTGTTATAGGTTTAAAAAAAATACAGTAGTGTTTTCTCTCCTCAGCCATATAAAGAAACTGGCAATAATAAAAAGCATGGTTGTGTTTGTGTAGTTGAGGGTTTTTCAAGCACTAAAGCTTTTCAAAGCATATCTACCTGACAGGCAAAGCTCTTTGTGCATTGGTAGGTTTGTCAAAAGTTATTGCCAAGGGCACCCTTGAGTATAGGGAGTTGACTCATCTCATTGGAGTTGATTTGCTTCAAGCTTTATTGTGTTGAATAGGTAATCTTTCTAACATGCCATTTGCCCAGAGTTTTCTGCAATATATTCTGACAATTTTGCTACTCCAAAGAGAAAGCCAATTGGTTTAGACCTGGTCTGAGTCTCTTTAAAAAAAGAGTGTGGGCAAAAAGACATTCCCTAGTAGAGAAGAACATAACTCACACCCTTATAGAGAAGAACACAACCCACATTTGGCAAAACATTCCAATTTCTAAGCACTGTTGGGAAAACAGAACACGTTTTACTGCTGGAATCAGCATAGTCAGATATGGAAGACTGACATGTAGGTGTGTATTATTTAAATTGGGTTCAACATCTAACTGAAACTGGCATCCAAAGCCAATGAAAAATAATAAAACTTGTTCTTTAAAACAAATTCCAAGCTACATGATCTGATATTTGTGGTGGAAGGGAGAAGGACATAAATAATAAAATTTATTGATAGTATTTGAATGGTTTTCAGCTCATAAACTGAGCTCACCTGTTTATTAGAAAGAGAAAGATACAAGACCTTTAAAAGTTTAAATTTGCTACCATCATTGACACTCATGTTGAGAGCAAAGTGAGATATCATTACTTGTATACAGTACACAGAACTGGGCATCAGAATGACACACACTTCACCTTTTGGAGCCTCAGGAATCTACTCTGTAAATTGAGGAAACTGAACTAGTTTGGTGGATTAAATGCTTTTCTTAGCATTAGAAATCTTTGTTTACATGTAATCTTACATTGAAACACACATACACTCATGCATTGATATGGTTTGACAGTGTCCCCACCCAAATCTCACCTTGAGTTGTAATAATCCCCAAGTGTAAAGGATGGGGCCAGGTGGAGATAACTGAATCATGAGGGTGGTTTCCCCTATACTGTTCTCTTGGTAGTGAGTAAGTCTCATGAGATCTGATGGCTTTATAAATCAGAGTTTCCCTACACAAGCCCTCTTGTCTGCCGCCATGTAAAACGTGACTTTATTCTTCCTTTGCCTTCTGTGACGCTTGTGAGGCTTCCCAAGCCACGTAGATTGAGTCAATTTAAACCATTTTTTCTTTACAAATTACCCAGTCTCTGGTATGTCTTTATTAGCAGCATGAGAACATTCTAATACATGCACACACACACACATACACACACACATGCACACACACACAAACAATTGGTTAAATTGGATCTGTGATTGAAGCAGAGCGGATTCACGGAACTCATTCCACTCTATCTTCCCCTAAACATCAAGGAAGCCTCCCAAGAAATATGTAGCACAGAGGGAAACCACTAGACTGGATAATCTCAAAGGTTTATGATTCTGTCATTTTTGTTTCTGCCTGTAATATGGATCTGCTGTGAAATGAGAACCCCATATCTGCATAGAAAAAACAGCTGGCCACAAGTAACTTGTATAAAAATACAGGTAGTCACTTTTATTTCAGTTGCCACCTTTGAAGCACCATAATTTTGGGGATTGAATTATCCTTCTGAATCATAGTTTCAGCTAATAACTTCTAAGTCTTCTTGTTTGTTCGGTTTTCAAATTTAAGGAACCGTCACCTGTTACCACAGCATAACTCAGATTCTCTCAGGAAGGCACAAAACCCCTGAAACTAACTTATGCTTGTAGCTATGCTTGCTTACAGAAACAACAGTCAGATGCCAATAACCAGGAACCACCTGCAGGACAAGCTAAGCCCAGAAATGCTGCCTTCACCTGAACTTCTGCCTCAGTGCGAGACCTGACCTGATTTCTTGCCTCTTTCTCATACCAACATTTCCATCCAGTGGGGAGAAATGTACCTTGCTGGGTGCAAAAAGTGCCAATGCAAAAGAAAATGCAAGACTGCGCATACTTAACCCCTCCTGGAAGAACAAACTTTTTTCAAGGAATCCCCACCCCTGTCTCCACCTACCTGCCCAAAAGTCCTTAAAAATTTCCCTTTACTCTACTTCCAGGGAGAAGGTGCTTTGAGCATGAGCTCCCGTTCTCCATTACTTGATCAATGAATGGAATTTCTGCACTGTTTTGCCAAACCTGGTCTCCTTATATTAGTGTGAAAGGCACCAGGCACGGGGAAAAAAAAAAACCATCAGGGTCAAGGGAGGCCCTTTGAGGGTCAGTTGATAAGGGGACTACATGAATTTTTTTTTTTTTTTTTTTTTTTTTTAGACCGAGTCTAGTTCTGTCGCCCAGGCTGGAGTGCAGTGACGCGATCTCGGCTCACTGCAGCTCCGCCTCCCGGGTTCACCCCATTCTCCTGCCTCAGCCTCCCGAGTAGCTGGGACTACAGGCGCCCGCGACCATGCCCGGCTAATTTTTTGTGTTTTTAGTAGAGACGGGGTTTCACCATGTTAGCCAGGATGATCTCGATCTCCTACCTCATGATCCGCCCGCCTCGGCCTCCCAAAGTGCTGGGATTACAGGCGTGAGTCACCGCACCTGGCAAGATTTTTTCTTGTTTTTAATTCACATCAAGGCATTCTATTAAATTTAGTAATGTTTTCCAAGAGTTTTCTCAATGCTCTTATGCTCAGCTTCTCCGGAACTTTCATACAAAATGAAAATAGTTTTGCTGATTATTGGTTGCAATAAGCTATAGGGAAGAGTACAGATCTCTGGGCTGAAAAGGGATATCTTAGGGCCTGAAGTTGTGCCATGGGATTAGCAAACTGGATGGATATCATTTCTTATTAGATATTTATTAAAAATGCCTGGGGCTCTTTTAAAAGCTACCAAGCACTCAAGCTCTGCTCACCCCAGACAAATTAAATCTGAGTCTCTGAAGGTGTTCCAGTAGATAGATATTCTGTTTTATTTTCTTTGCTTGTTTTTCACATAAGTTCTAATTTTAGAATAATGTACCTTCACAAAAAGTTTCAAAGTCCGGAGAATTCTTATATACCCCATACCCAATTTCCCCTATTATTACCATCTCATATTAATACTTTCTTTTACAGTTAATGATTCAAAAGTCATATATTATTATTAGCTAAAGCCCATGCTTGATTCAGATGTTTTTAGTTTTTATCTAATGTCCTTTTTCTGTTCTAGGATCTCATCCCACATACCACATTACCTTTAATTATTATGTTTCCTTAAGTTCCTCTTGGCTGTGACAGTTTTTCATACTTCTTTGTTTTTGATGACCTTGACAGTTTTGAGGAGTACTGCTCAGGTACTATGTAAAATCTCCCTCAGTTGGGATTTGCCTGATGTCTTTTCTCATGATTAGATTGAGGTTACAGGTTTTTAGGAGGAAGACTGCAGAGAAAAAGTGCCATTCTTATCACCTCACATCAGGAATAAATGACATTTACATGACATTATTGTTGATGTTGACCTTGATCACCTACTTAGCTGAGGTGGTGTTTGTCAGATTTCTTCACTGTAAGGTACCCTTTCTTCTTTTTTATACTGCACTCTCTAGAAGAAAGTTATTATATGCAACTCACAATTAAGGGAAGGGGAGTGATATTCCAACTCCTTGAGGGGGAAATATTTACGTAAATTATTCGGAATTACTGTAATTGGGAGACTTGTCTATTCTCCCCACTTATTTATGTACATATTCAATCATCGGTTTATATCCACGTGGGCTCAAAATATTTACTTATACCTTGGATTATACTCCAATATTAAGCTATTTATTTTGCTGCTCAAATTGTTTCAGCTTTGACCATTGAGAGCTGTTTTAGTTGGCTTCTGTGTCCCCTTTATATGCTTCCATCATTTTGTCTTTTAAACACCAGCCAGGCACATCTTGCGTATTCCCTGCCCCAGCCTTAGAAGCAGCCATTTCTCCAAGAAGCCCAGGTTCCTTTTATTGGAGAATGGAACTGGAAACCAGTATCTGGGCACTTAGTGTGCTCACTGCTTCTGGGGTGTTATTGGTGCTTCTAAGACTTGTCAGTAGACAGAACTAGAAAATATATGTTGTATGTTTATTGCAGCACTATTTACGATAGAAAAGATTTGGAACCAACCCAAATGCCCATCAATGACAGACTAGATAAAAAAAAAAGTGGCACATACACACCATGGAATACTATGCAGCCATAATAAAGAATGAGTACATGTCCTTTGCAGGGACATGGATGAAGCTGGAAGCTGTCATTTTCAGCAAACTAACACAGGAACAGACAGACAAATGCTGCATATTCTCACTCATAAGTGGGAGTTGAACAATGAGAACACATGGACACAGGGAGGGGCACAACACACACTGGGGCCTATCAGGGGGTGGGGGGCAAGGGGAAGGAGAGCATTAGGACAAATACCTAATGCATGCGGGGCTTAAAACCTAGATGATGGGTTAATGGGTGCAGCAAACCACCATGACACATGTATACCTATGTAACAAACCTGCACATTCTGCACATGTATCCCAGAACTTAAAGTAAAATTAAAAAAATTAAAAATAAAAAAGTTTTAAAAAAGAAAATATACGTTGGCACTATTAACCTGTGAACACATACATATCTACATTAAAAGTAACCTGAATTCATACTGATGTCTCCTACTTGAATCCATTACTACGTGGACCATTGTACTTTTTTCCCCTTGCCCATCTATAACCTCCCACTTCAACAGTGAGAAATCTGGCACTGTTCAGCATCTATTTAAATACTTGTTCAACCCTATATACATGTAGAGTGGTTTCAGAATTGTTAGATTGTGCTTTTGTAGGAAGTAACTTTACCAATTAAAGTGCAGTGCTTATGCACACTTCCTATTGCCTTCAGTCTCAGCCTACTCAATTCCAAAAAAACTTAGATCAGCACCTTGTTTCTCTGCCTCCTTCAGTGCGGTTATGCATACTTTTGTAATACAGTTAGATTCCTTAGTCACCGTCTACATTCCATCTTGGAACCCTCTGACCTCCTGAATTGATTTTTTAAATTTACATATATTAAAGTTCAGCATTTGAGCTGTAAACTTACGTGGGTTTTGACAAGTGTTTAGTATCAAGTATACACCACTAAAATATAGCAGGGGGGCTTTCTGGAAGCTTACCATGAGATTCTAGTGTTCATCTAGCATTAGGAACCACTAGACTTTTCTGCCAAGTTCAGGTTCAGTTGTGTCCAACTTTAGTTTTTGTGTGAGCAGGATCGAGAAGACTGGTGTGTCTCTTACTGAGTAAACTGGCTAAGTTAGTTAACCTTTTTGTCCAGGTAATGTGTCCTCACATGGAGCCTCACAATACCTGCCTCAAGAGTTGTTAGAGGAATTAAATTGATCAGTAAAGATAAAGCACAGTTTAAGTGATGAAAAGCAGTAGGTATTTAGTTAATGTTAGCCATTATTTTATTTGATGTCCTCATAGTTTTTTAACATGACTCACAAAGAAAAAATTCAAAAAGCAAAGGCAAGAAAGCAGAGAGAAACAGAGAGAGAGAGAGAGAGAGATCTTTTCCTTTTGCTTTCTAACTTTCATGCATTCTAGATTAGACATTTACTAGGTTGCTTCCCCATAGAATCATTTGCGGTTATATAACAGTCCTAATGTCCAGTCTGCCCTCAGAATCACTAAATTAGAATTTCTGATGGTGGTGGTGGGGTAGAGAAAATAGCTTCAGTAGTTTTTTAAAAGATCCCCAGGTGATTTCAATGATGTCTTAGTTTGGGCTGCTAAAACAAATATATCACAAACTGGGTGGCTTTAACATTTATTTCTCACCGTTACGGAGGCTGGGAAGTCTAAGATCAAGTTGCTGGCAGAGCTGGTGGCTGGTGAGGGGAAATTCTTGGTTTGTTTTCTTGTTCTGTCTTCACCTGTCTGAGAGGAGAGAAAGAGGAAGTGAGCTCTCTCATATCTCTTTTTATGAGGGCACTAATCCCACTCATGAGGGCTTTACTCATGACCCAATCTCCTCCCAAAGGACTCACATTCAAATACCATCATAGTGGGGATTAGACATCAACATATGAATTTGAGGAGGACATAAACTTCCATTCTATAGCAAATGTGCAGCCAAGTTTGAGAACTACTAAACAGAGTAGACAAGTTTCACCTTTACTACAATTTCTCCAGATTCTCTGACTCACGGCTTTGAAAAAGACTCCAGAATATGATGAGAAAGAGCAGCTTGGCTGAATGTGTACATGAAGGTTAGAAAAAGAGTTTCATAGCTGTGATGAGTAATTTTCGTTGTGTTTCCAAATCCAATTCTTAGCACTGTATTTCATTTGATTAGCTCAACACAGTCAAGGTGAGGGCAACTTAAGTGTATTTGTCTCCCTCGGGTCTTCCTGATCAAATCTCTGGCTCTCTCTCTCTTTCTTCATTGTTTCCTGTTCCAGATAGTGGCTTTCCCCATTCTTGATGACATGTGTTTATGCCTTAATGATTATAGGTATAGCATTTCATTTGCACCTGGTCATTTCACCTTGTTTCATGGTGAGCAGGTATATAAAAACCTACCCCCGAAGGCTGAGAGGGAGCTGAGAGACCAAAGAAAGAAGCTGACAAATAGTTTCTCAGAAAGAAAATATTCAAGAGGGGCTTACAAATGAAAGGAATGTCTTGGGTGGACTGGAGATGGTAGATCTCAGCTCCAGCCTTCCAGAAAATTTTCATTTCTGTAGAAGTTTTTAGCATAAAACATACAAAGCTGGTCACATCTCATGCTTTCTTGTTACTGAGGAAGTTAGATAAGCATCTTTCTGAGGGGTGATTTATGCTGTAGGCACTGTTTTAAGACCCTGCTGCAGAATAGCTTGATATGCAGGATTCAAATGTCTGTCATCATCATGGTTTCTTTTCAAGACAGTGTCACTCTTGTCATGCCACAGGCTGCTTTCCTGCACACCTGCCTGGGGATGATATGAATATATTTTTTCCGTCTGCCTTTCTTCCCTCCCTTTCTTCCTTTCTTCTCCTCAGCATTTCCCAAACTATGTTCAAATAATTTAGTTTAATGTGAGATGTTAAAAGACATATTGAAAAAGAGGGCTGCCATAATCAAATACCTTTTAGAAAATACCATATCCTCTGTCCAACATCTGCAGCACATATTAGCATGTTAAAGACAAGGTGATGTTTGTCAATGACTTAAGTTGATTTACATTAAATTGTCCATACACATTTTTTGAGGAATACTTTTGGAGGTGGTGAGAAAAAGATGAACACTTCTTGTAAAAAGTTTTAGTCCATGCTGCTACAGAGTAGGAAATACTTATTTACTTATAATTACATAAAATGCAAAAATTTACTCCTTTCTTCTACCTGATGCAGTTTGATGTAATTTAAAATGTGAAGCTCCTTACACTCAAAATCCTATTCCAAACTGCTTCATAGACTTAGAATCACATTAAAATTTGACAAGCATAGTTTTAAATATTCATTTATTCATATTCAGGCCTGGTATGGTTGCTCATGCCTGTAATCCTGGCAATTCGGGAGGCCAAGGTGGGCAGATCACTTGACTCCAGGAGTTTGAGACCAGCCTGGGCAACCTAGTGAGACCTCATCTCTACTAAAATTCAAAAGAATTAGCTGGGTGTGATGGCTCATGCCTGTAGTCCCAGTCCCAGGGGACTGAGGCAGGAGAATCGCTTGAACCTGGGAGGTCAAGGCTGCAGTGAGCCATAATCATGCCATTGCACTCTGGCCTACACAACAGAGTGAGACCCTATCTCAAAAAAAAAAAAAATATATATATATATATATATAATATTCAAAATGCAGTGACTACCTACCATTTTTCAGGCACTTGTATGTATTGATTCATCTTATTGATTCTTTACATCAACCACGTAAGATATTATTCTCTTGTAAGGAGAGGACAAAAAAGACAAATAAATGGAAGTATTTGTCTAAAGCAGGATTCTTCTCCTTGGCGCTGTTGATATTTTGGGGCAGATGAGTCTATGTTGTTGAGGAGCCATGATGTGCGCTGTAGGACGTTTAGCTGCATCCCTGGCCTCTACTATCACATGACAGTAGTGACCGCCCCTTCCCCCTCAAGCTGTGACAATGAAAAGGCCTGTATACATTGTTAAATGTTCTCTGTGGAGCAAAAGTACCCCATCAGTTGAGAACCATTGGTCTAAACCCATGCAATGAATAAAATGCCAAAGTTAGTGCTTTTAGTTTCCTTTCTAGACATTTATCTACTTCTCAAAGACAATGCCCTTATGGTTCAAGACCCATCACGCATAATCACTTGCCATGCCCCTTCTAAAATGTCATTATCTTTATTACATGATGCAGTATCTCTTACTGGTTAGCCCAGCCAGTGCAAATGACCCGAGACTGAGTTCCATTCTCATGTAAAAAATTGATGTCGGCTAGAGGAACAAATGAGAGCCACAGGCTCTTGTCTTGAAAATGTGTGGTAGGGGTGTAAACTGGAATGTCCAAATGAATCCTTGTGGCTGCTAAAACAGATGGTAGGTCAGTAATTTTGTCTCTGGATATAGAGCAGGACACTATTATTGGAGCTCCACAGTGTGGTAACCTCCTAGAGTATGTGCCATTTTGCAATCTGGCATCTAGTTTCTTTATCATTATTAAATCCTTTGCACACAATGACGATTATTAGATTTTTCTTTGTCTCTTTGGCATTTGGTTTTTCCCTTCTAAATGTTAGCCAGATTTCGGTTTCAGAAATTCTTTTTTTTCCTATCAGTTATGGGATTTCTCCTAGAACTATAATCTCATTTCATGTCAATCTCCTTAATTTCCTCATCACCTATGTTGTCTTCATTTACCTTTTTAAAGTCTTGTATCTCTTTAGCCCCTTGGGAACTTAATACTTGTCTCTGGTGTTTCTTCCCATTCTCCTTTATACACAGAGGACCATAGATCATTTTTTGTTTTGTAGACATAGGTGCTTCTTCTGTCAATAAATTACCTCCTTCCTGCTTTTGAGGAATCTGAATGCCCAACTACTATCTCCCCTCATCAGATAAAACCCATCTTTAACATTTGTATCTATAGGCAGAGAGAGTGAGGAGAGAGAGAGAGAGAGAGAGAGAGAGAGAATTTTTTTCTTAAAATAAAAAATAAATTCTCGGCTGATATTTCCTTCCAGGTAGTTTTCCTAGATAAAGGTAGAACAGTCCTGTTCAATCTCTTCTGACACTGAATTTCAGAAGACACCAAAGGTAGGGCCAAAATCTCTGAGTTGACTATGATGTGTTTTGGCCCAAGGCTGAGTTATGCGAAGTCTAGGAAATGAAAATTAAAGATGTGCCTTTCAGTTCTCTTGCTCTCAGTAGCTTTCCAGATGGGCCAGAAGTGTTCTGCAGCCCCGGAGCCAAATTGCCTATGGATGAAAGATACCCATGTGGCATAACAGGGAGGCTTGCTCCTTTTCAACCTCTTTGCACAAGTTCACAGGGACTGGAGATTCTTTCCTTTTAATCTAGAGGAAAAAATCCTCAAAATAGAAAAAGGCATCAATAGTTAACTCCCAGCTAGAGAGAAGAAGGTGATCTTTTATCAAATATTATTTGAGAGGTTTAGAGTGTTTCTTCACACTCCATAATCACTTTAAAAATCTCCCTCAACTACCTCTACTTATCTTCTTAAAGATTGCTTTCTTCTTTTAAACATGGATTTGGTCTAAAAAGTTCACTGCTGGAGTGAAAATATGTCTTACTGGTACCATCTTTGAACAACCATAATATTTCAGAGTAGTGTTTTCTAAAACTTTATTATAAAATGTAGTTATTTTAGTAAAAAGGAAGAAGGTCATTCTTAAACTGCTAAAAATGCACCTTCACACTTCTCTCTTCCAGACCTGCTCCATAAGAATTATGACGTGATCCTCTCCATCCCTATGGATCTATGTATTTTTAAAAATCCTCTGAGGCCTTGAAATATATCACCAGATTTAAGATTCACTATTTGGAAGATTCTATGCCTGGAAACAAAACTCTGGCATAGAGAATGGAGCTCCAGTACTATAGGGCCAGAGGAGAGGATCCGGCAATTTGCTGATTTCAGCATTTGCCTTGCACTGTGCCTGATACATTATTAGACAGCTAATTAATAATATCTGCTGGATGAAGAAATAATAGCACTAACACAATATGACCAACAGGAACAGGAGTAACTCTTACTTATTTCGACTAAGGAATAGGAGAAGACCTTCATATATTATATTATTTTATGTCATTCCTACAATACTTTTTTTTCCCAGGAAAACAATATTACTGACATTCATTTTATAGTGTATAAATTAAGGCTCAAAAAGGTATTACTTGACTACGAGTCAACTTGACCCAAGACTGTCTTATCTCCAAAATGTGTGCTCTTGCCTAGTATACTATACAGCTTCTCTGTCCCTCCCTTCCTGTCTCCCTTCCACAAATATTTATTGACTGCTTAGTATGTGTTAAGAATTCTTCTAGGTACTGGAGATACACAATTAAAAGTGGGCAAATAGCCTGTCTTATGAAACTTAAATTCTTATATGAACAGACAGAAAATACCCATTAAACATTATATATGTATATATAAAATATCCATTATACATCATATATGTACATGTATGATATTATTAATGTGTAATAAAATACCTGTTATACTATTATATAATCTAATGTATAATGGGTATTTTCTGTCTATATATGATTAATATAAGATATATTTTATTACACTATATATAATGTATAATGGGTATTTTATTACATATTATATTATTATATTATACATAATATAATCATATTATATATTATATATTAATTATAATCATATAATAATTAATAATTATGTAGCTATATATGTATTTAATATATTACATAATATATAATTTTATATATTATATATAATCCTCATTATATTATATTATATATAATTAATTATAAATATAATTATATATTCATATATTTTATATATTATATATAATATAATGAGATTATATATAAGTAATTATAACTATATATAATTAATTATATATTATATATTATATATATTATGTATATTATGTATAGATAGATAGATTAGATAAGGTGCTAAGAAGTAATAATCACTGTGGAAACTATGAAATAAAAGTGGAGCTGGGAAGTGGAATGAAGAGTGAGCAGATGTCAGGTTTACAAATGAACTGGTCAACATAGGCCTCATACAGATAGTGGCACCCAAACAAGAACTTGAAGAGGGAGAGGGAGAAAGTCATTCAGGAGTGTTCATAAGAAGCCAGGTTACCTAGAGACAGTCCTATGTTTAACGTCTCATTTTATTGGCCTAAATTTCCATTATAAGTAAGACCATGTCCTAGAATTAAGTAATTATACAACTGAATCAGACATTTATCTGAAAATTTATCTCATTCAGGCTCTTAGCCAAGGCAAACATTCATCCCATACCATTTTCCTCATCTCCTTCTCCTGCTTTATTTGTCCCCATGGTACCCACACTATTTGATGTATATTTTACATATTTATTTTCTTTCTGTATCATTAGAATGCACATACAATGAGAGCAAGACTTTCTGTCTACCTTGTTCACACATATAAAAAGTACTCAGAAGATAGCCTGACACAGAGTGGACCTAAATAAATATTGTGTAAATGAATCTTATACAAAGCAGCCAACAGCTTCATATATTGCTTGAGCATTTTCCATGAGGCTGTGTTCCCTGTCTCAAAAGGCATGTCATTCCACCGATGCCCTACTTTAAAAAAGAAAAAAGCTTTCCTTATATGACTTCAAGGAGTAAGAAGTGATGTGGCGAAGCCAGTAAGAAATGCAACTGTAACTCTGCATGTGCAGGTGCTATCTAATTTATCAATGAAGCGTTTCTTTCATCTTGGTACACATTCCTCATTGTCCCCATTTTGCTAAGTAGAAACCTCAAGCAATCACTCAGAAGACTAAACACCAAAGAGATTAAGAATTAAAGCATGAGTTCTCTGAGAGCAAGATCCGGGATGTGTATTCTAGGTCAATGACTGAAACTCAAACTCAAGACTGAAAAGATGACTGAGAAAACTTTCTATTTCCCCAATGTTAGAAATAAACCTTGACATCTTATTGGCTTAATAAAATTAACATTTCCTTCTGGTCACATAAATGTAGTTTTAGAACAGATGGTCTCCTTCCATCTTGTAGCTCTGAAACGTCTCTTTTTCATCTGTAAAACGATGGGGTTGATGATATGGGTATCTTTTGACTTCTTCCCCAGCATCCATTTTCCCCACTTCTTTTAGCATTGTGAATTTCCATTTGTAGAGAAACCATATGGTCTGGGTAGTATTGGCTGTACTGCCCAAAAAAAGAATGGACTCCGTGTGGCTAAAGTTAATCAGTGCATGCCGTCTTCTCATGATGGGAGTCATAAAGACTCCAAAAATGAGGCACATACTATAAACGGAAGAATAAACTAAGGGAAAGTGATGCTGGCCTTCATGAGCTTTTTGAACCACTAGATCAAGCCTCATCTGAAGCATGACATATATTTGAACTATTACTTTACAGAGATAATCAATTTCTTTTTTGCTTAAGCAAGTTTGAGCAGTGTTTTCTGTTGCTTGTAGCAGAAAGAATTCTGATACAGATGATAGAACTGATATAACCTCTGAAGTTCCTTTCAGCCGTAGAGCATTGAGCCTCCATTTTTGTTTTCTGATTGAGGATTATTTGGAATTAAACACAAAATAAATTCAAAAGGGCTGCCAGAGACAGATCAAGAGTACTCCAGAGAGATATGGCCAAGGTGAAGAAACCTTGGCAGAAAGCCTCTCTTAAGGCATATTCATCTGAGGAGAACTGATTTATGTTAGGCTCATGTCTGCAGTATTTTACAACTGTAATGGCCAGTAAATAAAAAGAAATTTTTTCTGTCAGCTTACCACCTCTCTTTTCATGAGTGGAAGAAGTTGAAGTGCTCCATCTTCTAAAAATTATATGAAGGTCAACTAGGACTCCCATTCTATCTTCCGCCTGGAGGAAAATGATTTTGCATTTTCAAAGTGTAATGTGGCATCATGTTACTATCTCTAGAATCAGTAACGCCTATGTTTTTAATAAATTCAAAAATACACTTAGGCTGTACTTCACAATGATGTTTGCATTTCAAATGCAAAGATTAAAATGTATTATATATTTGATTGCATTGTATTATACAACTTGTGGATAGTAGGCACCTTCTTTCTGTGTTCTTGGTTATTAATAACACTAGAGCGCAAAACTTCAGAAAACACTGTGAAAAATATACGTGTGTGTGTGTATACACACACACACACACACACATATATATATGGGATATTTCTTTTTCTCATTTTAGATGCAGACTTTTAATTTTTTTAGTTAAAAAGAAGATCACAGCTAGCTAATGATCAGGTCTCTTCAAAGCTGATCATTAGCTAGCTGCCTGCATTCAATTTATATTTTTTGAATTGAATAAAATTGAATTCTGGTTACTAAGTTATTTCTTTTAGTTCACAAAGAATTATCTGAAAACCTTGAAAAGGTAACACATGGGATAGTGCAATGTATTACTGTGGCGTGTGGTGCTTAAGAATAATTCTGAAGCCTGTTTTCAATTTCTCATTCTATCCCTTCCTTACTAGCCGTATGACTGAAGACAAGCCGTTTCTTTCCTCCGTGTCACATTTACTCTATTTCTAAAGTAGGGATGATAATAATAATAGTAGAAAGGGTTATTTTGAGGACAAAATTTGTGTTAATATGTATAAATACTTAGATCAGAAACTGGTACAAGTATTGCTATTTTGGTTCCTGATACCACATTTCCATTTGTGGTAGGTTTTTATGAATTTACTTCAGTTTGATAAAATACAATTGTGGAAAAAAAAAACCTAAGTGAAGACTCATACAGTAGTATGTAGAAATGAAAAAAAAAAAAAAAAATCATGTGCTGTATTGTCCCAAAAGGAAATAACAGAAAGAATGAAGGGGAAGCAGAATTTGAAGAGCAAATATTAAATACGGACATTTGTGTATCTTCTTTAGATAAATATCTTCTGGCCAGGCGTGGCGGCTCATGCCTGTAATCCCAACACTCTGGGAGGCCGAGTCGAGTGGATCACTTGAGGTCAGGAATTCGAGATAAATATCTGTTCATATTGTTTGCCCACTTTTTAATGGGATTATTTGTTTTTCTTTTTTCCTTTCTGATTTGTTTGAGCTCCTTGTAGATCCTAGATATATTAGTCTTTTGTCAGAAGTACAGTTTGCAAATATTTTCTCCCATCCTGTAGGTTACCTGTTTGTTGAATATTTCTTTTGCTGTACAGAAGCTTTTTAGCTTAAACAGGTCCCATTCATTTGTTTTTGTTTATGTTCCATTTGCTTTTGGGGTCTTATTCATAAATTCTTTGTCTAGGCCAATGTCCAGAAGAGTTTTTCCTAAGTTTTCTTCTAGAATTTCTATGGTTTGCAGCCTTGGACTTAAATCTTAATCCATCTTGACTTAATTTTTGTATATAGTGAGAGATGAGATACTACTTTACCCGACCCAGAATGGCCATTATTAAAAAGTCAAAACACAATAGATGTTAGTCCAGATGTGAAAAGGGAGTGCTTATATGCTGCTCCTAGTCATGTAAATTAGTACAACCTCTTTGGAAAACAGTATGGAGATTTCTCAAAGAACTAAAAGTAGATCTATCATTCAATTCAGCAATACCACTAATGGGTATTTACCCAAAGGAAAAGAACTCATTATACCAAAAAGACATTGGCATGCATATGTTTATCACAGCATAATTCACAATTGCGAAGATATGGAATCAACGTAAGTGCCCATTAACTGATGAGTAGATAAAGAAAATGTGGTATATACCTATACCATGAAATACTACCCAGCCATACAAAAAGAATGAAATAATGTCTTTTGCAGAAACTTGAATGGAACTGGAAGCCATTACCCTGAGTGAAGTAACTCAGGAACAAGAACCTAAATACCAGGTGTTCTCACTTATAAGTGGGAGCTAATCTGTGGGTACGCAGAGGCATACGGAGTGATAATAATGGTCAATGGAGACTCAGAAATTGAAAGGGAGAAGAGGGAGGAAGAATAAAAAGTTATCTATTGGTTATAATGTATGCTATTTGGGTGTCAGGTACACTAAAAGCCCAGACTTCACCACTATACAATTCACCCATGAACTTCACCACTGTACAATTCATGCATAAACTTCACCACTGTACAATTCATCCATGAACTTCACCACCGTACAATTCATCCATGAACTTCACCACCGTACAATTCATCCATGAACTTCTTCACCACTGTGCAATTCATCCATGAACTTCACCACCATACAATTCATCCATGAATTTCTTCACCACCGTACAATTCATCCATGAACTCCACCACCGTACAATTCATCCATGAATTTCACCACCATATAATTCACCCATATAACCCTAAATCACTTGTACTCCTAAAGCTATTGAAATAAAAATAAATAAGTAAATAAATAATACTTGGGAAGAAAATAATAATATGAATTTGAGGAAAGATATGTATTCTATGAATGATTCAGGATGTACAACAAATTACAAGCATACACACACAAAAAACAAAAGTAATTCAAATCTAGGCACATTATAGAGAAACTTCAGAATACCTATAGTGGATCTTAGAAGGAATCAGAAAAATTAGAGATGAATTTCAAAAGCCAGAAAGTTAAACATGTCTCAGTCTACATCACACTTCTACCCCAAAAACTTTGTAAATCTGCAAACCCATTTGATGTGCCAGCCATTTTCTTCAATGAAAAGAGACAGATTAAGAACACAGTTCAGACATAAAATATCAGGATTTGGTGGCTCATTACCCAGAGAGAGAAAGAAGAGAACAAAGATGACTGGAAGCTTTTGAACCAAGGCACTCAGGAGGCTATACTCTAAGACAAGAGAAGACAGCATGGGGTTGGCAAGGTTATGAGGTTTTACATGAACTAATGAGTTCGAGGAAATCTATGAGAATCCAGAGTAAAAGTCTCTTACAAAGAAGAAGCTTGAGCCTGAAGCTAAGTAGAGAAGTCAAAACTTTAGAAAAGATTTTGTAGTTATGAAGACAGAGTTGGTAAGTCAAGCTGTAAGGTGAGTGGAAGTGCTAAGACAGCTGGCAGATTATAAGAGGACCAAGAAGAAAACCTTAAGAAAAGTCTGAGATACACAGAAACAAACTGTTAGACACACAGAAGGAAACTGCAACTAAATAATTATAAGAAACAGGCAAGCCCGATGTCATATAAGCCTAAAGAATAAAGAGATTTTTAAAATACCTTTATTGTGTGGTTAGATTCAGTTAGGCTGTAAGAAAGTTCAAATTTAAATAGATTAAATCGTAAGGCATTTTTTAAAAACTTCAGAGAGTTCAGCTGTGTAAGTGACTATTTAGATAGCTTGAAATTGGCAAAGATTCAAAGTTCTGCAACATTTCTGCTGTGCCACCCTCAGTATGTGAGATTGTGGCTTTCAGATGCCTCAGTTCCAAGTGTAACACACAAACATGGCAATGCACAGTGAAAAATAAAATGTTTTACTTTTGTGGCTCTTTTTCTTCGCAGAAAACCTTTCCCAGACACAATGCCCTCACTGCCAATGTTCAATCTGTTTCACAGCTCATTGTCCAAGGCATAGTCAGATATTTATTCCCAAACCAATCAATGATAAGTGAAACGGATTTTACCTATGATTCATTTAAATTAATGAAGATCCATCATCTTTCCTGGGCATGTGCTGTAGCAGAATTGACTAAATTGGGACCATGATTGAAAGTTACCTGGAAGAAAAGGAAGGTTTTAGGTGGAAAACAAGAACATCTGATAGAACGGTCAGTAGGATGAAATGATAAATAGCAGTCAAATACGTTGGAAAATAGCAAGAAGCTGTTGGACTTGCTCTTAGACAGATGTAATTTAGGTTCCTTTCCTATTCCAGGCACTGCTGCATGTCTGGAATATAAAGAAGAGCAAGGCACACCTCCTGCCATTGAGTTGTAGTGGTTTAGAGAGTGTATTGCACTAAAATCTTAGCGCTGAAGACCAAATAGAAGTACAAACTGCTTATTTTATCAAGATGATTGCACCACAACAAATTTCCAAAGGAAAGAATGTCCTCAAAGATAGTACAAAACTCTATTTAAGAACATTATCTTGCCCAATTAACCAATCTTTTGTGAATCTTTCCTTCTGGTCCTAAAATATTTAGAGAATTTATCTAGATATCTCTGATCTGGAAGAAAGTAAAATCACAAGAAAATTTATCATTGATCATATTCCTTTTTACGTATAGTATGTGTACACAGTGACATTCTACTTGAGGAAATTGAAATAAAGTTTATTTCAATTCAACAACTTGTCTTAATGATATTGGGTCTAATACATGGTAAGTTGGGGAGAGTAATACATTTTTTGCAAGTAAATTTATAAGAAAGAGAAGAATATAATTTAAACAACTATGCAATCCATAAAGTCTCTCAAGCACTTTTAGATGTATATCTGAATCCATAAATATAGACTATTCTAACACTAAAATTTTAAAAAAATCAAAATTCAACACCAGAGATATTTTGTGTTGTTTATATTTATTTAGCCTCATGCAATTCTCATTGTTTGGTCATTAGACTAACAAACATTTTGTTGACAAAGTTAATTTTCAATATATTTTTATTACTTTTATATTATTATTTTATTTCCTTTTTCCGATGATTTTATTTTATTTCTCTTTCAACTTTTGTTTTAGTTTCACGGGGTACATGTGCAGGTTTGGTACATGCGTAGATTGTGTGTCGCTGGGGTTTAGTGTCTGAATTATTTCATCACCCAAGTAGTAAGCATAGTGCTTCATAGGTAGTTTTTTGACACTCACTCTCTTCTCACCTTCCCCCCTCAAGTAGGCCATGGTGTCTAATTTCCCATCTTTGTGTTCATGTGTACTCAATCTTTAGCTCTCACTTATAAGTGAGAACATGTAGTATTTGGTTTTCTGTTCCTGCATTGATTCGCTTAGGATAATGGCCTCCAGCTACATTCATGTTGTTGCAAAGCAAATTATTTTATTTTGTTATGGCTATGTAGTATTCCTTGATGTATATACACTACATTTTCTTTAACCAGTCCACCGTTGATGATTATCTAGGTAGATTCACTGTCTTTGCTATTGTGAATAGTGCTGTGATGAGCGTATGCATGCATGTGTCTTTTTGGTAAAATGATTTATATTCCTTTGGGTATGTACCCAGTAATTAGTCAAATAATAGTTCTGTTTTAAGTTCTTTGAGAAATCTCCACACTGCTTTCCACAGTGGCTGAATTAATGTACACTCCCACCAGCAGTGTATAAGCATTTCCTTTTCTCTACAACCTTGCCAACACGTTTAGTTTTCATTTTTTTGACTTCTTAGTAATAGCCATTCTGACTGGTGTGAGATGGTATCTCATTGCGGTTTTGATTTGCATTTCTCCAACGATTAGTGATGCTGAGCATTTTTCATATGCTTTTTGGCCACATGCATGACTTCGTATCTTCTTTTTTTTTTTTTGAGACGGAGTCTTTCTCTGTTGCCCATGCTGGAGTGCAATGGCACAATCTGACCTCACTGCAACCTCCGCCTCCCGGGATCAAGTGATTCTCCTGCCTCAGCCTCCTGAGTAGCTGGGATTATAGGCATGCACCACCATGCCCAGCTAATTTTTTTATTTTTAGTATAGATGGGGTTTCACCATGCTGGCCAGGTGGTCTTGAACTCCTGACTTCATGATCCATACCCCTCAGCCTCCCAAAGTGCTGGGATTACAGGCATGAGCCACGGCACCTGACATGTCTTCTTTTGAAAAGTGTCTGTTCCTGTCCTTAGTCGGTTGTTTGTTTTTATGCTTGTTAAGTTCCTTATAGATTCTGGATATTACACCTTGGTCAGACACAGTTTGTAAATATTTTCTTCCATTCTGTAGATGATCTGTTTACACCATTGATAGTTTCTATTGTTGTGCAGGAGTTCTTTAGTTTAATTAAGTCTCACTTGTCTATTTCGTTTTTGTTGCACTTGCTCTTTGAGCCTTCATCATGTAATCTTTGTCAAGACCTATATCTAGAATGGTATTTTCTAGTTTTCTTTTGGGATTTTTATAGTTTTAAGTCTTTCATTTAAGTCTTTAATCAATCTTGAGGTGATTTTTGTATACGGTGAAAGAAAGGGGTTCTGTTTCATTCTTCTGCATGGCTAGTCATTTATCCCAGAATCATTTATTGAATAGGGAATCCTTTTCCCATTGCCTGTTATTGTTGACTTTGTTGAAGATTAGATGGTTGTAGGTGTGCAGCTTTATTTTTGGGTTCTCTAACCTTCTCCATTGGTCTGTGTTTCTGTTTTTGTACCAGTATCGTGTAGTTTTGGTTACGATAGCCTTGTAGTATACTTTAAAGTTGGGCAACTGATGTCTCTGGCTTTGTTCTTTTTGCTTAGGATTACTTTGGCTATTCAGGCTGTTTATTGGTCTATTAACTTTAGAATAGTTTACTCTAATTATGTGGAAAATAATTTTGGTAGATTGATAGAAATAGCATAGAATTTGTAAACTGCTTTGGGCAGTATGACCATTTTAACAATATTGAGTCTTCCTACATGAGCGTGGAGTGTTTTTCCATTTGTTTGTGTAGTCTCCGATTTCTATCAGCAGTGTTTTGTAATTCTCATTGTAGAGATCTTTCACCTCCCTGGTAAGCTGTATTCCTAGGTATTTTATTCTTTTTGTGGCTACTGTGAATGGTATTGTGTTCTTGATTTGGCTCTCAGCTTGGACTTTACTGCTGATAGAAATGCTGCAAATTTTTTAATGTTAATTTTGTATCTTAAAACTTCACTGAAGTTGTCCATCAATTCTAGCAGCCTTTGGGCAGAGACTGTGGGGATTTCAGGGCATGAATTATATTGTCTATAAAGAGAGATAGTTTGACTTTATCTCTTCCTATTTGGATGCCTTTTGTTTCTTTCTCTTGCCTGATTGCTTTAGCTAGGAATTCCAGTACCATGTTGAACAGGAATGGTGAGTGTGAGCATCGTTGTTGTGTTCCAGTTCTCAAGGGAAATGCTTCTAGCTTTTGCTTATTCAGTCTGATGTCGGCTGTGGGTTTGTCACAGATGGCTCTTGTTATTTTGAGGTATGTTCCTCCTATGCCTAGTTTTTGAGGGTTTTTAACAAAAAGGGATGTTGAATTTTATCAAAAGCCTTTCTGCATCTATTGAGATGATCATTTGGTTTTAGTTTTCAGTTTTGCTTATGCGATGAATCACATTTATTGATTTGCATATGTTGAACCAACCTTGGATCCCAGGAATAAAGCCTACTTGATTGTGGTGGATTAGCTTTTTGATGTGTTGCTGGATTCGGTTTGCTATTATTTTGTTGAGAATTTTTGCATCTATATTCATCAAGGATATTGGCCTGAAGTTTTCTTTATTGTTATGTATCTGCCTGGTTTTGGTATCAGGATGATGCTGGCTTCATAGAGTGAGTTAGGGAGAAGTCTCTTCTTGATTTTTTGAAACAATATAAGTAGGATTGGTACCAGCTCTTTTTTGTATGTCTGGTAGAATTTTGTTGTGTATCCATCTGGTACAGGGCTTTTTCTGGTTGGCAGTTTTTTCTTTACTACGGATTCAATTTGGAAACTTGTTATTAGTCAGTTCAAGATTTAAATTTCTTCCTTATTTAATCTTGGGAGATTGTATTTTTCTAAGAATTTATCCAGTTCTTCTAGCTTTTCTAGTGTGTGTACATGGAGGTGTTTCTAACAGTGTCGAGGTTTTTTTTTTTTTTTTTTTTTTGGTATTTCTGTCGGGTTGATGGTAATGTCATCTTTGTCATTTCTGATTGCATCTATTTGGATCTTCTCTGTCTCTTTTTTTTAATTAACCTAGCTACTGGTCTATCAATCTTCTTTATTGTTTCAAAGAACACAAAGAACAAACTTTTTGTTTTTATTCATTCTTTTTATGGATATTGCATCTCAATTTAATTCAGTTCAGCTCAGATTTTTGTTATTTCTTTTCTTCTGCTACCTTTGGGGTTGGTTTGCTCTTATCTTTCTAGTTCCTCTAGGTGTGATGTTAGGTTCTTAATTTGAGATCTTTCTTCTTGATATAGATGTTTAGTGCAATAAACTTTCCTCTTAACACTGCTTTAGCTGTGTCCCAGAGATTCTGGTATGTTGTATCTTTGTTTTCATTAGTTTCAAAGAATTTGAATTTTGCCTTAATTTTATTTTTTACCCAAAAGTCATTCAGGAGCAGAAGCAAGAAAATTGTTTAATTTTCTTGTAATTGTATGGTTTTGAGAGGTCTTCTTCATACTGATTTCAATGTTTATTGCACTGTGGTCTGACAGTGTGATTTATGATTTCAATTGTTTTGAATTTGTTGAGAATTGCTTTACAGTTGAGCATGTGCTCAATCTTAGAGTATGTTCTGTGTGTGGATGAAAATAATGTATATTTTGTTGTTCTTGGGTGGAATATCCTGCAGATGTCTGTTAGATCCCTTTGGCCAAGTATTGAGTTTTTGTCCCAAATATCTTTGTTAGTTTTCTGCCTTGATTATCTCTCTAGCACTGTCAGTGGGGTGTTGATGTCTCCCACTATTATTGTATGGTTATGTGTGTTTCTTCATAGGTCTCTAAGAACTTGTTTTGTGAATTTGTTTGCTCCAATGTTAGGTGCATATATATTTATGATAGTTCACTCTTTTTGTATAATTGAACGCTTTATCATTATGTTATGCCCTTCTTTGTTCTTTTTGATCACTATTGGTTTAAAGCATTTTTTTTTAATCTAAAGTAAGAACATCAACCCCTGCTCTTTTTTGTTTTCTGTTTGCTTGATAGATCTTTCTCCATCCCTTTACTTTGAGCCTATGGGTGTGGCTGCATGTGAGATGGATCTCTTGAAGACAGCATACAGTTGTGTCTTGCTTCTTTATCCAACCTGTTGCTCTTTGCTTTTTGAGGGGCATTTAGCTCATTTACATTTAAGATCAATATTGATATGTGAGGATTTGATTGCCATTGTGTTGTTAGCAGGTTATTATGTACACTTGATTGTATAGTTGCTTTATAGTGTCAGTGGGCTATGTACTTACATGTGGTTTTGTGGTGGCAGGTATCAATCTTTCATTTTCACATTTAGTACTCCATTAAGTACCTCTTGTAAGGCAGGTCTGGTCATCACAAATTCCTTTAGCACTTGCTTGTCTGAAAAGGATTTTATTTCTCCTTAATTTATGAAGCTTAGTTTGGCCAGATATGAAATTCTTGGTTAGAATTTCTGTTCTTTAAGGATGCTTACTATAGGGCCCCAATCTCTTCTGTCTTATAAGGTTTCTGCTAAAAGATCTGCTCTTAGCCTGATGGGTTTCCCTTTATAAGTGACCTGTCCCTTTGCTCTAGCTGCCTTTAAGAGTTTTTCTTTTGCATTGACCTTGGATAATCTGATGACTATGTGTCTTAGTAATGGTCATGTTGTATAATAGCTCACAGGGGTTCTCTGAATTTTCTGGATTTATTGTCAGCCTCTCTAGTAAGGTTGAGGAAATTTTCATGGACAATATACTCAAATATATTTTCCAAGTTTCTTTCTATCTGTCTTTTTCAAGAATGCTAATGAATCATAGGCTTGTTCTCTTCATATAATCCCACATTTCTTGGAGGTTTTGTTCATATTTTAATTCTTTTTTTTGGATTTGTTTGCCTGTATTGATTCAAAGGAGTGGTCTTTGAGCTCTGAAAGTCTTTCCTCAGCTTGGTCTATTTTCTTATTAATGCTTCCAATTGTGTTATAAAATTCATGTAGTAAATTTTTCATTTACAGAATTTCAATTTGGTTCTTTCTTAAAATTGTTATGTTATCTTTCAACTCATGGATCATTTTACTGCTTTCCTAGAATTAGGTTTTAACCTTCTTCTGCATCTCATTGAGTTTCCTTGCTATCCCGATTCTGAATTCTTTGTCTGTCATTTCAGCCATTTCAGTCTGGTTAAGAATCATTGCTGGGGAGCTAGTGTGATCATTTGGAGGTAAGAAGACACTTTTACTTTTACAGTTGTCAGAATTCTTTTGCTGGGTTTTTTCTCATCTGTGTTAGCTGATGTTTCTTTAAATTTTGAAGTTGTTGTCCGTTGGATGGTGCTTTTTGCCTTTACGCTTTTTGAAACCTTTGAGGGTCTGACTGTGGTAAAAGTTGTGTTTGGTTGATGGAGCTCATTTCTGGGTGCTTTCATGGACCAGGGCTCAGCTCGGCATCCCTGGACTGGTAAAAGTTGTGTTTGGTTGATGGAGCTCATTTCTGGGTGCTTTCATGGACCAGGGCTCAGCTCGGCATCCCTGGACTGGTAAAAGTTGTGTTTGGTTGATGGAGCTCATTTCTGGGTGCTTTCATGGACCAGGGCTCAGCTCGGCATCCCTGGACTGGTAAAAGTTGTGTTTGGTTGATGGAGCTCATTTCTGGGTGCTTTCATGGACCAGGGCTCAGCTCGGCATCCCTGGACTGGTAAAAGTTGTGTTTGGTTGATGGAGCTCATTTCTGGGTGCTTTCATGGACCAGGGCTCAGCTCGGCATCCCTGGACTGGTAAAAGTTGTGTTTGGTTGATGGAGCTCATTTCTGGGTGCTTTCATGGACCAGGGCTCAGCTCAGCATCCCTGGACTGGTAAAAGTTGTGTTTGGTTGATGGAGCTCATTTCTGGGTGCTTTCATGGACCAGGGCTCAGCTCAGCATCCCTGGACTGCATAGTCTAAACTTGGAGGGTTGGGACCAGGTTCACAGGTTTGTTCTCTGGCCCCTTTAGGTCAAGTTCCTGCTATGCTGGGGTGACTGAGGTGTCCTCAGTCCACTACTAACAACATTTTGGTGGGGGCTGCCAGTCAAAGCGCTCCAGTGTGGTGATGGGGAGCCGCAGGAGAGTGCGCTGTAGTGTGGAGGCCATGGGTGAGCATGCACTGGCAGGGCAGTGGGCAGTCATGGGCAAGTGCATGGTGGTGGAATGGCTATGGGAGTGTGTGTCCTGATGAGAGTAGAATTTCAAGGAAACTGCAGAAGTTTTAATGTAATACCATTTCCTGGCTTCTTGGTCATGCCAGCATCCTTTCTACAGATCTCCCAGTACTTGCAGGTTACAGGGTGACAGAGGTGGTGATGGAGCCACATTGGGACTTCTGGAGCTAAAGAGACAGAGCAGTAGAGACGGGACCCTGATTTTGGTGGATTGAGAAAAAGGCTTAATTTTAAAAATTATCCCAGTTACATCAAATCATTCGGTACAGAGAATGGTCTATTTTTTCCTTAAAACTTAGTGCTCTATCTACTTCCTTGTTAATTTTAAGTTTTCCAACACATTAGCATTGTCATCCAAATTTGACAACATTTATAAGTGTGCCAAAGATAAAATATTAGGCAAGTGAAAGATAATATGATGTTCTACTAAAAAATATAATAGGAAAGATCCTGACCTGAACATCCGTAAATATTTTTTTCCTCTTTTGCTTGATGAGTATATAAAAGGCCAGTGAAAATCTCATGAGTGGAGATTTTACCAAGATACTTCTTTAATGGTCCATTTAAGTAATTATAAATTACTGTGTACTTAGAATCATAACCAACTTATCAAGGCATAAGGGAGCTAAAGGTAAGGTATATGCAAATTGAAAAGTCATTTTGATCTTGGTTTGTGAGACTGGATAGTGTTGATGAGAAGAAAGTTTGAGTATTGTTATATACCAGTTCCTTTGAGTAGGTTCTAGAATGGCAGCTGTCTTGTTATTCTCCCATTACCAAAATTCATGGATATACAGTAACTGGATTAAAGTGTATATAATAGATGAACATTAGTCATAATTAAATAAAAAATTTTTAAAAAAGAAATCCAGAAGCCCAGTGCCGAGAACCTATTAATTCAGACTAAATATCTTCACAGGACTTGCTACATTTTAATTGTGCTGAAACCTATACAATGATTACTTGTTGTAAAGTAAGGTAGAAGAACAATACTCTGCATAGAATTCAGGCTTCTGTATAATTGCCTTTATAGAAAGACCATGTCATATAAGCTTACATGTAATTGGCAATGTGCAGGGGGAATAAAGTTAGTTGGCTTGCATATTTTTCCAGTGTTGAGAACTTACCAAGTGAAAGGCACCATACAAATAAAATAGTCAATGCAGATGGGTACTAACATAGCAGAGAAAAATAGGTATACAGGTAATTACCACATAGGTAAACAATGATATTTCTTAAGAGAGGCAAGTGGTAGATTGCGTTGTTGGCTCCTAAAATTCATCTGTTCCTGAATCCACAGGCTTTCTTCATCTTAGGACCATGTGGCTTTGGGCTCTTGACTTTGTACCTGATGACCTGTTTTGGCCAGAGGCAGAAACGACAGTATGGCAGTTCTGAGAATAGGCTTTAGAAGGTCTCTTACGTTTCTGCTTCCTCTTTTGTGCCTCACTCATCATTATAAGAAGTACATACTATTAATAGATTAGTCCTCAGGGTGTCGGGGTAGAGTAGCAAAGCCGTATCAGTGGACCTATAGACCTGCAGTAGGAAGATGAGTGCTATTTAGACCAGTGGACGCCCTGGCAACCTGGAGGTACATAAACAGTAATAAATTATTGTATCAAATTATTATTGGAAAGGTTTGTTATGCAGCATTATTTTAACAAAATCTAACCAATAGAAGGCACAAAAAATACACCGGAATTTAAAAAAGAGTTACTTAAATCTAAGGAATTTGTTATAGGTGGCTTTGCTTTTCATGATAGGCAGATAGAACTTAGCCAGTTAAAAAATGGGGAAGATAGGTGTGTTCGCAGAGAAGGGTGTGAGAAGAATATATAGAAATCAAAGATTTATACCTTTGTAAATACAGGAAGCAATCTGGAAATAACATTCTGGCATAGTTCTCTGGCCCACAGATGTTGTGGCAACTTCCTTGTTCAAGTTCATAAAATAGGCACGATGAAGGAGAGAACTGAAAGGGAAATTAGGTAACTTTTCTCTCACCTTTCTCCCTCCATAATGACTAGGATGGTGATATTACCATTCAGTATCATTTCAAAGGTATCTGTATTTTATCCTGGCTCTCTGAAATGGATGGTTCTAAGATTAAATTGTAGATTTGTAATAGTGAGAGAAAGTTTCTCATAAATTATATCTTAATACTATGTTACAGTATTAATGGTAATTATATACTATTAATATGGTAATTTGGTGCTAAGATAGTGACAAAAGTCTATTTATAAAATAGTGTATAGACCAGGAAGTTGAGTATGATTCATCAATCAATTGGTTTGAAGATAAATATCTTTTACTGCCTCATAATACACATTTTTAAGAGCTCACAGGATTCTCCAAACAATTTATGTATAATTATGCCATTAAGGTAAATATGATGAAAATGGTAACACTACATTAGGGAAAACTAACACAAACTGTTTTTAAAAATAATTTTCAAATAAATTACATTGTACCTGGTTTCATTTTCATTAGTCCAATTTCATTGACAAAATGCCTACACAAATTTAACTGGCTTTAAGTTGCAGGGAATCTCATATCATTAATACGCCATTTTTATTTGTGTGACATAACACCTTTTATGGGAATGCTTCTTCAGACAAGGCCTTGGGCCCTACTACGTAGAGACAATGCACTGAAAGTAAATTAGTAAACTTAGAAAATGTTCTCTAAACTTTTAGGTTGCTAACAGAGTTGTGAGAGAACAGTCTTATTTATTTGTGACAAGGTATAAATAGAATTGGTAGATAATCTCAATGTCATTTTGGCCAGTTTTGTCGATTTTCTATTCATTTTTCTATGCTTACTGTAAATAGGCAGTGAATAGTTGATACAACTGTGTGAATATTTCAGACTCTTGTGAACCCAGACATCAAGCCTGGAAAAAAATTTGTTTTAACTTATGTTCTCCAGAGTCACTCTTCAAATTGCTCTCAACCTTGATCCACTTGGCCAATGGCACGTGGGTAGAAACTGTCTAGTGGGCAAAGTTTAAGCTTCTGCTATAGGAGGTCCTCCATATTACTAAACCCAGTTAGCAATTGTTTCATACTGTTTGTGCGCATAGCCTTTAGATGGTCTTATAATTGCTAAGAAACAAGTAGTCTCCCCTTAGGCACTCTTCTTTCAGCCTCAAATTTTAATTATGGCATCTAGTGACACAAGCCCATAAGTATTACACCAAACATGGGAGATGTGAGAGGCTGGGGACTTGCTTGGGTTTTAGAGAAACTCAGAGAATAGATGAGGGAAGAAGACTAACCAATGGCCCTCTTGGATTTCTTGCATATTTCTTGTCATTGACATAGAGAAACATTTAGATGACAATTCAAATTATGATTAGCATTTAAGCCTGATTCAAAATCTCCATCTCTGTATTTGCAATCTGGGTTTTTTGCTGAAGTAGTAGACATTATTATTTTCAAAGGAGACCAGATGGAGTGGTAACACTGCTACAGAAACAACAGAGAACAGGGATTCTTTTAAGATTATTATTACTTTTAAAAAATTCAGGAAGAAAGTAGATACCAATGTGGACGCTACTGAATAGAGTGAACCCTTGCAGCTCTCAGACTGATTTCTTTGAGGTTTCTGGGAAAGAAAGAGTGATCTGTGAGCATTCAGAATCACAGTAATTTAGACATTTAAAAACAATATTTTGTACCTCAAGATGGTAAAGGGTATTAAACCTATAGCAACTGTTAATGGGTATTTCAGTGGCACATAATGTTACATGGGAAAGGAAATAGAAGAATGCACATTTTCACCTCACTGAGAAAATATATAACAACAGTGTGCCTTTTACATTGTAGCTATCATGCTTGCTTTAGGAACTTCCCATACCAACACCCCAATACAGACACCACTAAGCTAACACGCAAGCACACTCACATCTTCAATCAGAGGGACTCCTGGTTGTTATAGTGTTCAGAGCTATACAAAGAAAACTGATGGGCCGGGCGCGGCAGCTCATGCCTGTAATCCCAGGACTTTGGGAGGCCGGAGCAGTTAGATCACGAGGTCAGGAGACCGAGACCATCCTGGCTAACACGGCGAAACCCGTCTCTACTAAAAATACAAAAAATTAGCCGGACGTGCGTGGTGGCATGTGCCTACAGTCCCGTCTCAAAAGAAAGAAAGAAAGAAAGAAAGAAAGAAATCTAATATATCCTCTTGAAAAATAATGTGTTTTCAGAAGTAAAGAGCAAAAAGCAAAATAAAAACTAAATCAAACCAAACCAAACCAAAAAAAAGGATGGAAGCTGAAGAGGAAACCCTGCTTAGGAGGCCTGTCCCAGGCAGATCTGCTAATACAGAGCACTTTCCCCATTTACTCTCCTAATTCTTCCCAGTCATCTACTTTGCTAAAAATATTTCATTTTCTTTTGATAATCTGAATGAAATTCCATCAAAGCGAGATTAATCTCATTAAAAAAAAAAAACACTTCTGGCCAGTTTTTCAGGTATTTACTCACATATTCATGCCAGCCATCATAAATGCTTATTTAGATTCTTGATGCTTCCAACTTCGGAGAAGATGAGAAGTGATTCATTCAAAAAGCTTTTCTTCTTCCTACTGTTTTAAGAAAATAACTAGTTTTGCCATGGGTTGCTTCTTTAATGACTTCCTGAATAATATAAAGATAGAGATTGTATTAGATATCTATCGCTGCATAACAAATCATCCCAAAATGTGGTGACTTGAACCCACAACATTTACTATCTCATGGCTTGTGTAGGTCAAGTGTATGGATGTGGTTCAGCAGGATCTTTTGACTTAGGATCTGTCAGAGGGCTGCAGTCATGGAGTTGGCTGGAGCTATGGTCTCATCTCAAGGCTCCAGTAGGGAAGGGTCTGTATCCAAGCTCCTTTACATAATTTTATGGCAGGATTCAGTCCTATACCTTCTGCCCTCTCCATGAAGCAACTCATATCATATCAACTTGATTTATCAGAGCAAGCAAATGAGAAGAGCCAAAGAGAGGACCCTCAAGATTGGCTGATTAAGTTTTAAAGGTTTATTTTATTTTATTGTTGCTTATTATTGAATGATTCTGAAAGTTTATGTGTCACGATAACATTTTATAGTATTTTACAGTGCTTTTTTTCTTTGTATACATTTAAGGGGGAATATATTTTCTATGTAGATAATCATGATATCTACAAACAGAGACATTTTTATTTCTCCCTTTCTAATCTGTATGCCTCAACTGCAATAGCTAAAACCTCCAGTACTATGTGGAATAAGAGCAGAGAAAGTGAACATCATTGCCTTGCTCCCAATCTTAGGGGAAAGCATTAAGTCATTTACCATTAAGTACAATTTTAGCTATAGATGTTTTATTGTTGTTCATTATTAAATTGAAGTAGTTCCCCTCTATTCTTAATAGGTTGAGTGTCTTTAATATAAATGAGTGTTGAATTTGGTTAAATGCTTTTTCTGCACCAACTAATAGAATTACATGGTTTTTAATCTTAATTTGTTATATGGTGTACTTATATTGACTGATCTTTCTTTTTCTTTCTTTTATTATAAAAATTTTTATATAATATAGTTTTTATATAAACATTTTTATAATATAAAATATAATATAAAAAAATTTAGTATAAAAAAATTTTCTTAGGAAGGGAAGCTGTCAACTTAAATACTGCAAATGAAGAGTGAATAAGGAAACTTCCTGTTGTCACAAATATAGATGACCTTCATAATATGCTATATAGTAGGCATTTTTAATATGTGACCCTTAATTTAGAAATATTAAATACTTTTTCATTCAACCTAATTCACCTGTTTACCTGTTAAAAAAGAAATACATTAAAAACATGAAAATGTTGTTTATTGAAAGAAAACTCCCGAAAAAGAATAGGGAGGGAATGTAGAAATTAAAAAGTTATGTAAGAACACTCAATTGTAATTAAGTATGTTTTCATATCTTCATAGTAATACAATAAACTGCTACTTGCAGAATGGATTCAGATTGTTTAAATACTACATACATTTTAGACTTATACATAAGTATTTGGAAATTACTTCTATTTATATGAAATGAAGATTTGAATGCCTCTCTGCACACCAGGCAAACCAAAACAAACACAAATCAAGCAGCGAAGTTTTCCCAGAACTACAGTGTGAAAAGACTATAAACAATTGATTCCATACGGAATGGGTTTTATTGTTGTCGTTACAGGAAATCCAAGTTGCATAAGAAATGGAGAGTGTAAAAGGGTTGTGTTAGGAGGAAAAGGATGACACCTGTATGCATTTAGTTTTCTGCCCTTACGCCACATCATGTTCCTCCCTGCACTGTCTGATGTCCATAAGATTAGGTTGTCTCTAAGCAACTTCATGATAAGGATGCTGTCTTTATATAAATCTTTATTCAGTGTAGGGCTGGGTGCAGTGACTCACGCCTGTAATCCCAGCACTTTGGGAGGTCGAAGTGGGTGGATCACCTGAGGTCGGGAGTTTGAGACAAGCCTGACCAACATGGAGAAACCCCGCCTCTACTAAAAAAAAAAAAATAGCCAGGTATTGTGGTGCATGCCTGTAATCCCAGCTACTTGGGAGGCCAAGGCAGGAGAATCGTCTGAACCCGGGAGATGGAGGTTGTGGTGAGCCGAAATTGCGCCATTGCACTCCAGCCTGGGAAACAATAGCGAAATTCTGTCTCAAAAAACAAAATAAAACAAAAAAAAAAACCAACAAAAAAGTCTTTATTCAGTGTGTGAAATTCTGTGATGGGCTTATCAAAAGTTATATTAACCAAGGTGCAGGAAAGCTCTGGGTTATTAAGGATCTCACAGTAAAATATAGAAATGTTAAAAGCCAGCCCCAGGCAGATTAAGTGTAACAGTTTCATCCCTTTCTTACTTATATCAAAAGCCTCTTGGTAAAATCTTTGGATATTATCTGTCATTTGTTTTGAATGTCGACACATGCAACTTCAACAAGATACTAGAAGTAATCTCCATTTTGATATAGATGACCTTAACTGTCTGGAGTTGCACTGACTATTAAATACTTATCTACCAAGTTGAATTACAATATTTAATGTTTATAAAGTATGTATTACTTCCCTCCTGGAGTTTCAATCAGGTACAATAGTTCCTTGCCATATGCCAATAGCCCTCTACATATTGATTGATTTTTGAATGGTGAGCCAGTATTCCATACCTGAAGCAGATCTCATTTGATCATGGCATAGAATTCCTTTTATACATCATCAGATTCAGGTTGCTAATATTTTGGTGTGGATGTTCACATATAAATTTATAAGAGGTATTGGTCTGTAGTTTTTTGTTCTATTTTGATTGTGCTATCTTTGGTATTGCTATCCGGAAAAACTGGCCTCATAAAATAAGCTGAGCGTGTGCCCTCCTCTTCTATTTTCTGGAGTATTATGTAGACTGATTATTTATCCTTTAAACCCTTGGCAGAATTCTCTAGTCTAAGCATCTAGACCCAGAGATTACTTTTTCAGTAGTATTCTGGTTGCACTTAAATTTCTTTAATTGTCATATGACTATTTAAATTATCTATTTTATCTTGGTTGAGTTTGGGCAGTTTGTGATTTTTCAGCAATTGGTCCATTTCTTCTAAGTTATTAAATGTTGGGGCATAAAGTTGTTGGTATTATTCCTTTATCATTTTAATTGCTGTAGGATCTGTAGTAATATCCTCTTTTTCGTTCCTGATATTGGCAATTCAATTTTTCTCTTTATTTTTGTCAGTCTTGCTATAGGTTTATCAATTCTATTAATTCTTCTGGAACTAGTTTTTTGTTTCATTGATTTTTTTTCTATTTTTTTCTTACTTTAAGTTTCTAAGCAACCTGTTCTTATATTTATTTTCTAACTTCTTACATGGGACTTATTTTGCTTTTCATTTACAATTTTCTTGAAGTAGCAGTTTAGATTATTG
This sequence comes from Homo sapiens, assembly GCF_000001405.40. Taxonomy (NCBI): domain Eukaryota; kingdom Metazoa; phylum Chordata; class Mammalia; order Primates; family Hominidae; genus Homo; species Homo sapiens. Next base: position 6,691,430 of record NC_000003.12, on the reverse strand, counting down.
ATTTGAGATCTTTCCTAATTTCTAACATAGCATTCAGTTCTCAGATTTTTCTCTCAACAGCTTTACTTGCATCCCACATATTTTGAAATGCTGTATTTTCATTTTCATTTAACTCCATCTATCTTTTTAAATTTTTATTTAAACTTCCTCTTTGACTATAAATTATTTAAAAGTATGTTTTAAAATTTCTATTTGATTAGATTAGAGATTTTTCTGTTCTCTTTTTTGTTATTGATTTCTGGTTAGATTTCATTATGATCAGAAAAGACATTCTGTATGATTTTATTTTTTAAAAAGTTGTTGAGGTTTGTTTTATGGCTCCAAATACAGTCTACCTTGGTGAAAGTTTCATAGCCATTTGGAATAATAAAATAAGCATTTTACTGTTGTTTGAAATGGACTGACTTTATATAGAGAGAGAGGAAGAAGGAATATGCATATTTGTGCATGTGTGTTCATATATGTATATTTATTCATATATATGTGTGCATATATAGTAATTGCTGTTGATTGAGTATGTTGTTGAGATTGTATCCTTGTTCAGTTTTATGTCTAGTGATTCTATCTGTTTTTTAGTTCTGGGAAGGAGATGATAAAGTCCACATGTATAATTATGGATTTCTCCATTGTTCCTTTCAGCTCTGTCTGATTTATTTATGTATTTTGAGGCTCTGTTGTTTGGTATATACACATTTATAATTGTTATATCTTCCTGCCAAATTGAACCTTTCATTATTATGTAATGTAATGTTCCTCTTTGTCTGTAATTTTTTTTGCTCTGAAGTATGCTTAACCAGATATTAATATAGCTACTCCTGACTTTCTTATTAATGTTTGCATCAACATGTGCTGAAACTCTTTTTTGGGAAAAAAATGAGAAACAAAGGCATTCTCAGACAAAAGAAAACAAAAGAAAGTATTGCCAGTAGACTTGATTTAAAGGTTAGATAAAAAATAAATAAATAAAAATAATAATTATTTAAAAATAAATGATAAAACAAAGAATTTTGAAGCTTCAAGGAGGAAAAAGGAAAAATGGAAAGAGCATAAATGTAGGTAGATACAATAGACTATATCTTACTTATGAGTTTTAGTAATTATATTGGATAATTAAAGCCAAAATTATAATACCATCTTACACTAGATCATTTTATTTAAAAGTAGGGAGGGTAAAGGGACCTAATTCATGGTTGAGAGTTCTTTTCATTTTATATTTGAAAAATGTACCACTTCCTTCTTCTCTCCATGATTTCAGATGAAAAACCCTTTGACATTAGAATTGGTATTGTCCTGTAGATAATATTTCATTTCTCTTTTGCTGCTTTCAAAATGTTTTCCTTGTGTGTGATTTTTAGAAATTTATTTATGATGTGTTTGGCATTAATTTCTCTGCATTTAACCACTTTGTGTTATTTCTTTCATGAAGGTTTGTGTTTTTTTGCCAAAGTCGAGAAGTTTTCAGCTATTATTGCTTTGAATGCTCTTTCAGACCCATTGTCATTTTTCTCTTTTTGGGGGGCTGTGGTAATATGAATGCTGAACCTTTAGTTATGTTCCCTCAAGTCCTTGAGGATCTGTTCTCTTCCTCTTCTTTTTCCTCCTTCTCTTCTTCCTCTTACATTTCAGCTGCTCTTTTTGCCTATTTTCTCTCCACTTTTCAAATTGGGTGAATTACATTGATTTGTCCTGTGTTCTTTTATTCTATCCTCCGTCATCTCAACAACACTATTAAGCCTACACAGAGTTTTTTTTTTATTTCAAATATTGTATTTTTCCCTTTTATATATTTATTTGGTTCCTTTTTTATATAACTTCTGTGTTTTTGGTGAGATTTTCTACTTTTTAAATTTGTTTCAAAAGAATTTGTAATTGATTGTTCCGAGATAGCTGTTTCAAAATCCTCATCTATTCAACTATAATTTCAACATCTGATTCATTTAACTGCCGATGGTTGTCAGTTGATTGTCCTTTCTCATTCAAATTGTAATTTTCTTGGTTCCTGGTATGATGGGTGATTTTTCAGTTGTATCTTAGACATGGTTTAGTCTACTCTGTGATCTGCAGTTCCTTGATGGTTTAATTTTTACATCCTTTGTGCTATTATTTTGGCTTGTTTGTTAGTTTGGTCTGATGCTTGTTGAGCTCTCACTGGTTCTTGTTGATGCTGCCTCAATAGGAAACTAAAAGATTACTCAGGTGGGGCTACTGGGTGTCTCCGGGTAGAGGAAAGGACACCCAGGTTCCCTCTCTGGATGCTCATTTATTGCTGGCCCCTAAACCTGGCTGCCCTAGTGTCTCTGCTCTGCATAGAGGAAGGGAGTATCAGGCCCATATGTACACAAAAAGACCTTCTGGATCAGGATGCCTTCCATGTGTGAGTTCCTCCTTTCAGTTCTGTCTGCCACATGGGGGTCTCCTAGTGTGGGTAGAAACTCTTAAGTCTGTAAGGGGCATCACTGTCAGGAGCTCGCTATGGCAGGATTCCCCTGCCTACGGGGATCTGGAGAGCTATCCTGGGAACCGTCACTATGTGGTGGGATCCCTATACCTGTGCCCCTTCCCCTTTTGGTGTCTCTGGGAAGGGAAGTCTCAAGACCATGGTGACAAGCAGGCTTCTCAAACCCATCTGCTTGCTGTGGTCTCTCTTGCAAGTAAGTGCCATTGGCAGCTTCACTATCTCTCTGTGGAGGAGTTGTCTCTGCCCCAGTGGGTAGAAGCATGTTTCCTTGGTTGTCCATTGTTTGTGGGCCTCCAGGCTGAGTTCCTTGCCAGCTCTGCCAGTTTTGTGTTTCCTGTGGGGTTCTGGTTCTATGTGCGGAAGGAATGGGCCTAATTCTGCTACTTTTTATTGTTAGGTCGGTGGTCAGGAAATGCTGGCTCTGAGTCTCCTTTCTCTGTGGGTTGGGGACCATAAGACACCCTTTGGCTGTGCTGTTCCTCCAGTCCTGGGTCCCTGACCAGTACACTGTCTTATCACCTTTCAGAGATTTCCCTGGTTGCCTTGCTATGGTCTGAATGTTTGTGTAGCCCAAAAATTCATATGCTGAAACCTAATTCCCAAGGTGATGATATTAGGAGGTAGGGCTTTTTAGGTGGCAGAGCTCTCACAAATGGAATTAGTACTTTTACAGAAGAGGCTCCAGAGAGTTTTCGCACCCCTTCTCCCATGTAAGTTCACGGGGAGAAGACAGCTGTCTATGCACATAGATGTGGGACTCACCCTGCACAAAATCTGCCAGTAGATTGATCTTGGACTTCCTAGCCTCCAGAACTGTGATAAAAGAAAGGTTTCTTGTTTATAAGCTATCTTGTCTGTGATATTTTTTGATATAAGAGCCTGAATGGACTGAAATATACCTCTTGTGCTATTTCCTGGGCTTATAGTTGTATTTAGAATTTAATTTATGAAATTTAGAAATTTTAATTTATGGGAGGAACAAAAAAATGGCTCTATATCATCTTGTCCTAACCTAAAGTCCATAATATGTTTTTCAAAAAGACTTTTTTTGTCTGAAAATTCCTCTGAGTATTTAAAATCAGATATCAGTAAACATGACATCCAAGTTGGGTAAGAAAAACCATATAGCATCAGCTTTTCCCACTCACTTCCATCAGATTTTAGAGATGTCAAGACAAAAAGGCACTCTTATAATTAAATCCACAATGAAGAATCTTAAAATTCTTTACAAAAAGCAGTTTGCCTTTGTCACTGTGCGACTCTGTATGCATTTTATTCTCCCAGATGAGTGAGGCAATAAATTCAGACAAAAGAAGAAAGTACATGAAGTTGTGTAACAATTTAATATGACATAAATTATACAACTAATTCCTATATTGCTGGCAGTTCCAATATGCTTTAAATGGCCACATCTAAGCAACCTAATTTTACTTGTGAGAACTACCTGAAAGGGCTGCATAAAGAAGTTTTTGAAAGAAAAATATGTATATATATACATATTTATGTATATTAATGCAATACACACATATATATATTTATTTATAAATGGAGATAAGATGCCTATTGCCAAATGGAAAAGAACCCCATGCATCTGTTGACTTTAACTCATGAATGTTGATGACCTCTCTGCTCATGATGAAACAGAATTTATTCCCTGATTGCAAAGTCATCCACAGCTACACAAACAAAGGGTGATTTGAAGAATGGATTTTCTTTTGCTTTTAGGGTACCTGAGACTTCTGAGGTAGTATCCAAAATTTGTCCTACAAACTTGCAGTAAATGTGCAAGTCAGAACCTGAATATTTCATCCAATACATCAGTCTCTATGCTAGACAGAATAATGAGTCTCCCAAAATATGTACTTAAAGTAAGGACCTTGAGATAAGATTATCCTGGATTATAGGCTGGGATCTACATATTTCCAAGGGGCTTTATAAGAGAGTCTTTATAGGAGGGTCAGAGTCAAAAAGATATGACCACAGAAGCAGAGGTCTGTATTATGTAAGGGAGGCACCACAAGCCAAAAAATGCAAGCAGCTTCTAGAAACTGGAAAGGCAAGGAAATAGATTTTCCCCTGGAGCCTCCAGAAAGAACGCAGCCCTGCTGACATGTTGATTTTGTAACTCCTGAATTCCAGAACTATAAGTGATTAAGTTTTCTGGTATTAAGCAACTACGTTTGTGGTGATTTGTTACAGCAGCAATAAGAAACAAATAAAGCCTCTGAGTTAGTTTTCTTTGAAGCATGTTCACTGGCACAATATCATCAAATCCTCCTTTTCCATCCCTTTGCCCAAAACCTTACTGTTCTTTTGCCTAACTGACAAATGGGAGAAATAAAAACTATTTTCTGGACTTTGTTTTGGAAACTGTACTTCTGCTAAGATTCTTACTCCGAAAATCCTCTGAAGGCACAAAGATTTTTTAGCTGAAAATGATTTGTGTGTGTTTGTGTGCATGTAAGGGCAAAAGTTTCTTTCTGATCACACATACACAACATATGCACACATGTATATATATATATATATAATCTATATATTTATCTATAAATTCTTCTTAGACAATGTATGTTACTACATTAATATGACTTGATGTAGATAAAAAAATTTTTTCTGTTCACTACTGGATTTCCAGCACCCAGAACAGTCAATGTCTATTGAACAATGAAAAATCCAGTTGAGTGCTAATACAAACTATTATTCTGTTTATCCCCAGTTATCAGAACTAGGTGTCTTCCAAGCTCAGAGTCACCAGCTAAAACTAGTTCTTTATATATATATATATATATATATATATATATATATATATATATTTCTAAAACTAGTTCTTTATATATAATTCATATATATATATAATTATTTCATGCTGACACTGTGTGTGGCTTACTACTGAAAAGCTTAACTCAGACTTACAGTCTAATGCATATGGTTTTGGGGGATTTTAAAATTTTGATTCAGTTGTATACTTATTGGTGACAACTCTAGCTTAGTTGTGGTAATCAAAAGAGACGACAAATTCATGTTAAAGAAGAAGTGATGAGTAATATTCTCTAAAATTACTTCAAAATGGTTCAGAAGGGAGCCATGTAGGGTACAGTATACCCCAATTTTTTTTGAGAGAGAGGAATTAAAAATTCAGGATGGAACACAGTACTCATATAATCAAATGCCATTACATCTAAACCTTTGGGGTATCTGGAATGTTTGCTGTGATGCAATTTTGTCATGAAAACATAGCCGGAAATCACATTCCCAGATCAAGGAAGTTAAGCTAATGTCACCCTCTCTGGTGAATTTACAAGCATAAAAGTTTAATTTTTTTTTTTTTTTTGAGACAGAATCTCCCTGTGTCACCCAGGCTGGCATGCAGTGGTGCGATCTCGGCTTACTGCAACATTTGCCTCCCAGGCTCAAGCAATTCTCCTGCTTCAGCCTACAGGTGTGCACCACCATGCTTGGCTAATTTTTATATTTTTAGTAGAGACAGGGTTTCACCATGTTGGCCAGGCTGGTCTCAAACTCCTGACCTCAAGCAATCGGCCTGCTTTGGCCTCTCAAAGTGCTGGGATTACAGGCATGAGCCACCACCCCTGGCCCTAAAAGATTAAATGGTAATGGCATAAGGAAAGGAATGGTTTCATACATCAGTGTTCATCCTTTATCTTGTTTCTGCTCTCCAAGCCCCTGGATCATTTTAGGCAGGCTCTCTGACCTTTACTTTGGGTGCCTGTAAATTCAAATCATTTTTTTCCCAGATAGGTTTTTGGAATTTCAGAGATGAGGGGGAAGAGAAAGAGAGAGGTGAGAAATGATTTTAACAGCTAAATATAATACGGATTGTTGAATATCATGTGCGGTAGTATTTTCTTCAGTTTCTTTTGTGTTGACATTAGAAGTGCTTAAAATAAGAAAGAAAGAGAAAGAGGGAGAGAGGGAGGAGAAAGAAAGGAGAAAGAAAGATAAAAACAGAAAAAAGAAATAAAAGAAGAAATTTGTTGAGTGTAATAGTAATTGTAAAGAATATGGTAATATAATAAATGTCATTATGTCATAGAAAATAACTTTAATTAGTTTTCACCCTAATTATATCTTTAAAAGAAGCATTACAACTGAGAATATAAACTGATTTACCTACTGTGTTTAAAAATCAATTAATTACCCTTCCTTACACCTTATACAAAAATTAATTCAAGATGGATTAAAGACTTAAATGTTAGACCTATAACCATAAAAACCCTAGAAGAAAACCTAGGCAATACCATTCAGGACATAGGCATGGGCAAGGACTTCATCTCTAAAACACCACAAGCAATGGCAACAAAAGCCAAAATTGACAAATGGGATCTAATTAAACTCAAGAGCTTCTGCACAGCAAAAGAAACTACCATCAGAGTGAACAGGCAACCTACAGAATGGGAGAAAATGTTTGCAATCTACTCATCTGACAAAGGGCTAATATCCAGAATCTATAATGAACTCAAACACATTTAAAAGAAAAAAACAAACAACCCATCAAAAAGTGGGCAAAGGATATGAACAGACACTTCTTGAAACAAGACATTTATGCAGCCAAAAGACACATGAAAAAATGCTCATCATCACTGGCCATCAGAGAAATGCAAATCAAAACCACAATGAGATACCATCTCACACCAGTTAGAACGGCGATCATTAAAAAGTCAGGAAACAACAGGTGCTGGAGAGGATGTGGAGAAATAGAAACACTTTTACACTGTTGGTGGGACAGTAAACTAGTTCAACCATCGTGGAAGTCAGTGTGGCGATTCCTCAGGGATCTAGAACTAGAAATACCATTTGACCCAGCCATCCCATTACTGGGTATATACCCAAAGGATTATAAATCATCCTGCCATAAAGGCACATGCACATGTATGTTTATTGCGGCACTATTCACAATAGCAAAGACTTGGAACCAACCCAAATGTCCAACAATGATAGACTGGATTAAGAAAATGTGGCACATATACACCATGGAATACTCTGCAACTATAAAAAAGGATGAGTTCATGTCCTTTGTAGGGACATGGATGAAGCTGGAAACCATCATTCTCAGCAAACTATCACAAGGGCAAAAAAACCAAACGCCGCATGTTCTCACTCATAGGTGGGAATTGAACAATGGGAACACATGGACACAGGAAGGGGAACATCATACACTGGGGCCTGTTGTGGGGTGGGGGAGGGGGGAGGGATAGCATTGGGAGATATACCTAATGTTAAATGACGAGTTAATGGGTGCAGCACACCAACATGGCACATGTATACATATGTAACTAAGCTGCACGTTGTGCACATGTACCCTAAAACTTAAAGTATAATAAAAAAATCAATTAATTAAAATGTCTTAATGCTATATATATATGTGAAGCATATGAAGCATTCTGAAATACCTTCCCAATTAAGATGACAGATTTTAAATAAATATTTCATAGAACGTTATTTAGCATTAAACCTAATATTGCAGGATGTTTTGCTTACAGTATCACCGGATTGATTTTACTTTCCCACAAACATCTTTATCATGTTTTTTTCTGTCCTCCCTTCTGTGGCTTTCTGGGATCTGGGATGTTCACATCAAACATAGCAAACGATTAAACATGCCAGTAGAGGCTTCACAATGTTTTCTTACTTCATTTTTTCCTCCCTTCCCTCCCCTTCTCTTCATCTCCCTGCTTTCCTCTCTCTCTCCAATTAGACAGTGAGTCCTTGCCAGATGTGGGCATTATTCTTAGTATTGGTACCACCGTAGGGAAAAGGACAATCAGGACCTCTACTTTTGTTGACACGCTGTAATGATAAGGGATGTTGAATAGAAGAGCAATACTGGGCTTACATCAAAGAAGCCCAAATAAAAGAGGTAAGGCACAGATTCTGGAGCTGTTTCAATCTCAGCTCCATAACTGATAAATGCATGACTTGAGAGAGTGTGTAATCTTCCTGAGACCATTTTTAAAAAATCTACAGACAAGGAATAATAATGAGAAGGAGGAGGAGGAAAAGAAGAAGAATGATAATAACTGCTTTATAAGTTCCCCAAGAATACTAGTTGAGATAATATTTATAACTATGCAATTGAATATTAAAAAGTCTCAATAAATGTTAGCTGCTATCATTACCATTATTATTATGTGTTGTTGTTAGAGGTTGGGCTAAATAATGTACATGTGCTTAAGGAGTTCAGTTGGATTTGAGAGCTACCAACATCTTCCTCTTAGTTACAAAAATAGTGGTTTTTAATGACCAAAAAAATATTCATCTGGAATCCAATAGACTTGGAATAGGTAACCGGTAGAGTTCAAAATGGCCAATAGTATGATTTTCTTCCCAAGGTGCTTCCAAATTAGGGGGACAAAGGTGAGTTTATCAACCAATACATAACATAATGCACTTGTGCTGCTCCAGAGTGAAGGAGCCCCTTACAGCACATGCCTCCCAGCTCCTCATTGGCTGCCTCTTTCATCTGCTTCTTTACAACCTGAAAGAGGTCAATAAAGCATTGCAGAGAACAAAGAGCATATGCAGTATAAAAATGACAATGGAGAAACTGGAAATCTTGAATCATCTGGCGAATAAAGGGCTGATCATTCATTCCTGGACATACATTTATTTTCAGTTCCAATTATTATTGCTGAATCCATGCAAGAGGTAACATATGAAGCAAGGCTGGCAACTTTGTTCATCGATGACCCAGGGAATGAGAATAGGGAAAATAAAAGATAGCTTGTGAAATGAGTCACTGCTGGGTTTTATGTTGGCATTTCTCAACATACTATTTTTGTCTAGATCCTTTTATGCTCATTACTGAAATTATAGGGAAAGATAAATGAAGGAAGCCTACACAAAGAGCTTCAGGATCACTACGGCTGTTATTTGAAGAATAATGATTTGCATTTCATTGCAGAGATAGAGTGATTCCATTAACACAAAATAGTTGGCAAAAAAGGATGTAGGTCATAGAGGAGGTGACTTAGTTTGATGAGTAGTGCCATTAATAGCAACAGCACTGGACCAGGAATTGGGGATCCTGGCAGACATTCTAATACATCTCTAGCTGGAAGGACAGCCGTGGACCACTGAGGAAAGAAATCCTTGAATCCCCCCGCCCCGTGCCTTAGTGCGTCATGTGCGGGGAGCCTTTAGAACCTTCCTCATATTTCTCGAAAGGATTGTGCCAATCAAAGGAGAACCGGCCCCTGTGCTTCTCCTCATCAGCTTAAACAACAAACTGCTGTGAGGATATCAACAATACATTTAACTAAATCTTATCGGTGTTTTCGTTTGAATGTATGCTTTTATCAAAGGATAGTTTTGTTTTTAAATCTATAAGTCTCAACTTATACTTGATTTGTAAATACCATATTTTTTTAAATCAGTAGATCATACTTCCCCCACTCCTTTTTCTCGCCGTCTTTTTCCTCTGGATGTATTTTGCTGGAAACATACACTGAATTCTAAACCCTTTCTACTCCTAGTGTCCAAAGTATGGCTGGGCATGGGCGGCTTTGGTATCTATCAGGGGTTTATTAGAAATGCAGACCCTCAAGCTCCACCCTTCGTCTGCTGAACCAGACTTTGCATTTTAACAAGAATCCCAGGGGATTCCTTTTGCACCTTAGGTGTGAGGAGCACTGATCTAATGCAATTTAATTGTCAGGTTTGAATCATCATTTGTTACATAACCCAGTGGCAGAGAGAAGAATAAATACTGAAAACAGGCCGGGCATGGTGGCTCACGCCTGTAATCCCAGCACTTTGGGAGGCCGAGGCGGGCGGATCACGAGGTCAGGAGATCGAGACCATCCTGGCTAACACGGTGAAACCCCGTCTCTACTAAAAATACAAAAATTAGCCGGGCGTGGTGGCGGGCGCCTGTAGTCCCAGCTACTCGGGAGGCTGAGGCAGGAGAATGGCGGGAACCCGGGAGGCGGAGCTTGCAGTGAGCCGAGATCGCGCCACCGCCCTCCAGCCTGGGCAACAGAGCGAGACTCCATCTCAAAAAAAAAAAAAAAAAAAAAAAAAGAAAAGAAAAGAAAAAAAGAATAAAGACCAAAAACAAAGCACACAAATGCTCAAAGCTGGGATGGGGGTTGGGGAAGTCTCTGGTGGTCTAGTCTAGATTCCTCGTCTTAAATCGGGAGGAATAATAATAATATGGCCAAGGTTATTTTCTTACTGAGCCAGGAGCAGAACTTAATCTGCTGAGTTGAGTCATGGGTATTTTTCAACAACACCATTGTGGCAAAAATTTACTTTGCTACTGAACTTTTCCATTTTCTCTCTCTGGCCACAGAAAAGTTAATCACAGGCTCTCTGGGTCACCTTTGGTGACTTGGTCTGTGACTCTCATGCTCCTGCGTGCATGCCCTTATTTATAGTAGAAAACAACTATAAACTGCTCAGTGGAGACCAAGGCCATCTAGGCTGCGCTGGTGGTGGCTTGGCTAATTCACTACCCTTTGCCTCTGGCTCCTCAATTATGGAGTAGAATATGTTTCATCTTTCCAGAGACCTTTGACAGTCTTAGCTGAAAAGCCTCTGAGAAGTGAAGAGCATTACTGTGCCCTGCAAGTGAAAACTCCACCATTCTGCAAACTATCTCTGTATCTGGAAATGAAACTGAAATTCACAGCTGTCATTGGTCTAAGTCATATATTACCCAGCAGTTTATTTCCACAGGCACAGCCAAATTTGCTTTGCAGTTTATGAGCTCTACGCACTTGGTTCTCTGTGGAAATAACAGTATATGTGAGAAAGAACAATAGATTTGGGGTTAAGAGTTCTGCCTTTGAGTCCCAGTTCATCCACTTACTGCTTGTGTGCCTATAGGCTGCTATTCCAACTCTCTGGGCTTCTGTTTCCTCCTTTTAAATAGCCTTAATGCTGCTTATGTCAAGATATTCTCCTCCAGTGTTTGCTATTGACACTGTATTTTTCATCTGCCTCAGTGTAGAAGTTATCTTTTCACTTTCCCAGTGTTCATAATTTTTTCCCTTTTCTAAGACCACTAATTTTTCATTTTGCTGTCCATGTGGCCCCAAGGAATGCGACTCTACTCTCAGCTCTTCCAGAAGAGTATGTGACCATGCTGAAGCCAATGAGCACACTCAGTGCCCTCTGGTCTCAAAAACTGGGTTCAGTTGACATGTGAACCAATGCACTAGCCCAATCGGATGGTCCCAGGACTGGCCAGTCAATGCTGCATCCAAGAGTTTCACTTCCTCTTCACTTTGCAAGGAACAAGATACATGAAACTGTTATGACCATTTGCTTCCACAAGAGACACCAACTTGAGGACAAAACTGACACACTGAGGTGGCAGAGCTGAAAGAACCGGCGCCTGGGAGCCACAATTAACTTCTGGATCAAACCACACCTAAAAGCAACTTTATCTCTGTAATTTTCAGTTATCTGAACCAGTTCTCTTCATTGCTTAAACAAGTTTGAGTGTGTCTATTTATACACCAGGAAACCTAATCATGTGGGCTAATATAAACATTGTGGTCACGACCATGTTTTCTAAGCAGCCAACTTTTCACACATTTTAAAAAATATTATTTATAATTTGCTCCATTCCAAAAACCTTAGCATGGGATGTTGTTTAGACAACCAATGCTAAAGGTTCTTTGAATACTGAGGTTAAATGTATATATGTGTGTGTGTTTGTGCATTTAGTAAACTGCGAAGTACAAATCTAAAATATCATTGTTTCACAAAGCAGTGAGTCTTAAGGAAACGCACTGATCTTAGTTTTACTTTATTTGAGGTAAATAAACTAAAGGAATCTGTAGGTCTTATTCCTCAAATAGTGAGAACACACATATATGAAATTTCATAGAGTTCATGGACAAACCTCAGAAGTCATTTATTATGTCTTCAGGACTGATCTTTTAGAATTGATTCTCAATGTATAGTTTATGGGCACATAACAAAGATTTTTAAAACCACACATTGTCCTAAGCACCAATGCACTCTAAGAATTCCTCTATTGAATATATCTTATTAGAAACTCCCATCTCTAAGCTCTATGAGAATTCAGTCAAAGCTCCATTACAATTAAAGCCACAATTAGAGATGTTCAGCTGAAGTCGATGGTCCCATGCTTTTCTTGTGACCTGCCTTCACATTTCTCCTTAAATTATTTCATAATAAGGTGGGGAAATGTTTGATGGCTGTCTAAAACACAGATTGAAGTGGAAACAACCACAATAATTGAATTCAAGATTTTATTCATGGAGTCATTTTATATCCTTTTGAAAGCAACTCAAGAGATTCCTATAGCTCCTTCTTCCAATCAAACCTCATAAAGGAGAGGGGAGAGGGCAGCAGACAAATATGGGAAGAGGTTACAGGTTTAGTGTGGGTAACAAAGTTATTTCCATCCTTCCCCCAACTCATCCACTACAAACCTTATGCCACAAAAAAGTCTTCAGCACAGAAAAGCAACAGTGAATTTATGATGCAAGCTTGGGCCAACAGCTGAAATTATGGAGTCAGGAAAACCATGATTTGAATTCCAATTTTCCCACCTTCTTTCTATTTAACATGGGGAATTTTCTTAATTGATTTCTAACTGCTACCCCTGCTTTTGCTATTTCCTTTCTCTTTAAAGCCTTTTCTCAACATCCTTCTCATTGCCTGTGCCTCTCCAGCTATGCCAAAATGTGCTAGCATGTTCTTCCCTAATGGACTGCCTGTAACAGTCATCCTCAGACAGTTACAGGGCTCACTCCCTCACCTTCAGGCATTTGCTTCTATCTCACAGTTTCGTGGAGGGAAGCCCTGACCACCATGTTTAATACTGCAACTCCCTCATGTTGCTCTAAATTTTCTTTTCCTTAGTCCATATTATCTTGAACAGCCTATATGATATTAATATATACGTAAACATTGTGTTTATTACACCATTCTTTGCCAGATTATAAACTCTGGAAAGGTAGGAGAAGGTGGAATTGATCTGATTCTCCAGTGTTGTCCCACCACCTAGAAGAGTGTCTGGCATAGTAGGAACTCAATGCGTGTTTGATTTACATAATTCAATATATTAATCTCTGTGAATTTTATTAAATCTGGAAATTGGACAATATAACATATTCTCACAAAGTTTTTCACACATTAAAATATTTTTATTTGCCTACTATGTTGACCAAATAGTTGGTTAATAACTGTATCTTCTCTGTATCCTTCCCTAAGCACATTATAAGAGATTTGACAGGTTGATACTGTGCTTGAGAAACCAGAATCTTCGTTCTCTGAATCTTCATTTAGTGTTTGGGCGACCAACAACTCTATATGATTTGGTGAAGATCATGTGTTATGTCTTTAGGACAAAGTCAGCGTGTGATTATTTCAAGAAACAGGAATGCTGAAATATGAAAGCAAGTGAAGGTCTGAAGCACAAATAAAAACAGGAAAAAGAAAATGTTAATGTGAGATGGTTACAAGTGCTGTTTAGTTATGTTTTAGCTGAGTCCTTCAATTCATGTTATCCCTTGAAGCAAGAAGAGAACAATGAAGATCAAGGAAACAGTTGTTAGGACCCATACTGAGAGATAATTGGGACAAGATTTTTGTTTGAGGGAATTTTATTTCTGGAGATATAAGGATTCTTATGGCTTTTAGTAGAAGTATTAAAGGTTTGTCTCCATCTTTCACACTGCTTTCTTATTTTTATACAAGGTTGGGTCAAGATTAGAGAAAAATCTCACAATCCCTGAAAATTAGAAGTGCTGACATAGATTGGTCATATTCATGGAAAATTATTAATCCAAGTGTGAAGTGTATGCTGTTTATAAAGCACTTCCCAATTTGGGGTTATTTCTAGGGAGAGTGAATCTTGGTAACATTTAGACAAATATGGAAATGGGGGTAGACGCAAGTGACTTCAAGAAAGACAAGGATACAATGCTCAGGACCAGGAAGACAGAAAGGGGAGGAGAGGAACACCTGAGGGGTAGGAAAAAGCAGCTTGAGGCTAGAGCTATTCTATGACTAGAGTAATTTTTTCTAGTTTTTCAGGTTTTAAAATTTTTTTATTTTCACTTTGATAATTCTGTCCTTTGCTAAGCAAAGGTTATTGTGATTTTGTAGTATAACTTGTCAGTCTTTTCTGGTATTGTTTGTGATTTTGAGTCATAATTGGGCAGTTTTTCCCTCTAAAAGATTATAGCAAAATTACCCATTTTCCCTAATACCAGTATGAGTTTATACTTTCCATTAAAATCAATACTAAGCATTATTTTCTTTCAAGATATTGGATAATGACTGTGTGCTTAGAACTGGACATGAACTAGCCGACTTAAGTCTTCACTACAATTTTGAGGTACGGATTTTATGTATTCTATGAATGTATGTATCAAAGGAGAAACCAAGAGTCAGAGAATTTAAGTGAATTCTAAAAGGTCATGAAGCTCATAAGTAGCAGTGCGGCAGAGCCATGAGTTCAGTCCACCTCTAATTCTGGAGTATTTAAAGGCCATGGGATGCTGGTTTCCTGAAAGACACACATTCAGAATAAGAGATATATAGGGTGGGGTAATGGTGAAAGAGAATGAGTAACAAGTTGTACCATTTTATAGAGAAGAGAGACACAATAAGATAAATTCCATAAGTCCTAAAGAATATTACCTTGTTTGGCTTTGGATATTTCCTCCCACCAACACAATAATTTACAAAAGTGACTTCTTCCCCAATGCATCCAATAATTGCTCAACAATTAGAATTCATCAGTTTCTCTGTTATCTTCCACTAATATCATTTCTCTGTGTACTTTCTGAATGAGTACTACCTACGTTTACTTTCAAGAGGAAAGAGAGCTCACATATAACAAAACCTCAGAACTGATTAAAGAGTGCCTGAAAGTATATCTCAAAATCCAGGCTTATTATACATTGGGCTCAGAGCTTTAGATGTGATAAATTATACATAATGCAAGAGCAAAGGAGTTAGAGAAAGTTCACCAAAAATCATTTGAACTTCCATTAAGAGAGTGTTACAGCTGTCTCTCCTCCATCACACCATTAAGCATCTCATTATCATTAGCTCTCTTTGTGGGTTTTAACAATTGTCTTTTCATCTAAAGACCACTTCATGCTCTGACCCAACAAATGCAATTTTGACCCCATTAACCTGGTTGGTATTAACCTTGGAATAATAAAAAGTTGAAACTAATCTCCATATTGATGGTGAGTTGGAGCCTTATTTAAGTTAGATAGTTGAGTTTTCTGACCATGGTCAAGGGCTTTACCCTCCAACTAGGTCAACCAGCATTACTTGGAGACCCAGAGTCTGTGTAAAGGCACGGCAATGAATAAATGGATATGAAGTCCCATTCATCAGTAGAAAATACAATAGAAGTTAATGTTCTTCAGCATAGTGGAAAGAGCCTTAGAGATTATCCCACCTTAACCAGGTGGCAATGAAATCACAGAGGAGGGGGTAGATTTGAGGGTAGTTGTACATTTTTTAACAGCTATATGAAAAAAAAAAAACCCAGCTATAAGAATTTTATTGTTGTAAGGTTGACAGATTTAGTAAATAAAAATTTAGGATTCCCAGTTATATTTGAATTTCTGATAAGCAAAGAATAATTTTTTAGTACATGATCCAATGCAATATTTAGAAAATATTTATACTAAATAAAAATTTTTGTTTATATGGATTTGAAGTTTACCTGGGCATACTAAAGTTGTTTTTTTTTTTTTTAGATGGAGTCTCACTCTGTCACCAGACTGGAGTGCAGTGGCGTGATCTCGGCTCACTGCAACCTCCACCTCCCAGGTTCAAGTGATTCTCCTGCCTCAGCCTCCCGAGTAGCTGGAACTACAGGCGTGTACCACCACGCCCAGCTAATTTTTGTATTTTTGGTAGAGATGGGGTTTTATCATGTTGGCCAGGATGATCTCCATCTCTTGACCTCGTGAACCGCCCACCTCAGCCTCCCAAAATGCTAGGATTACAGGCGTGAGCCACCGCACCCAACGGCATACTAAAATTTATCTGCAGTCCTAGTCATGGGTCAGGTCTGGTTTTAGGATTTTGGCAGCTACACACCTACACAATTATCTGGGTAAGAGTGGAATAGGCTCTCCCTCTATGAAATACAGGAGATGTAATAGAAGCTGCTTTCTCTATGTTCCCAGTATTTCACCATCTGCCAGATTTTGAGGGACAGAATAAAACCCTGCCTGTAAAATCATAAAGTTTTCACTTCTCCAGTGCAGTTGAATATTTAGTCTTGTTGTTCACAAAATGGTATTAATGAGAAAACAGGTCAGTGGGTTATTTCCCTTGAGGTCCAGTTAGCACTGAAAAGAATCATGACATTTTACAGCTCAGAGGGATCAAACCATAATTCTGCGAAACTCCCATCTTTTCAAATAAAGAACTGGAGTTCCCAAGCAGTTGAGAGACTTGTCCAAGCTCAAATGGTAAGTGGCACTGATTCTGTAACCCACTGCAGTGGGTCAAATATGAACATTTTGGTATTTAATTTCCATCGCCAGTCTGAGAATAAGTAATGTTAGGGTGGTGCAAAAATAGTTGCCCTTTCAGGCTGTGAATTTTAAATCATTACAACTAGGCTCAAACACATCTCTGTTAATCAAAATAGGGATCATTACAATCAACACACATTTTTGCCAATAATAAATAAGGGTTTATCGCTGTAGTGTAAAAATTTTTGCTTCAGGATTCAACAAACTCTTGGAAAACATTTTCTGCATGCTGCTGGTTGTGGAAGCATTTTTTCTGCAAAAAGTTATCGAGATGCTTGAAGGAGTGGTAGTTGGTTGGCGAGGGGTCAGGTGACTATATCGGATGAGGCAAAACTTCGTAGCCCAATTCATTCAACTTTGACAGCATTGGTTGTGTGATGTGTGGTCAGACATTGTCATGGAGAAGAACTGGGCCCTTTCTGTTGACCCATACCGGCTGCAGGTGCTGCAGTTTCCAGTGCATCTCATCGATTTCCTGAGCATACTTCTCAGATGTAATGGTTTGGCCGGGATTCAGAAAGCTGTAGTGGATCAGACCGACAGCAGACCACCAAATGGTGACCATGCCCTGCTTTTGGCGCAAGTTTGGCTTTGGGAAGTGCTTTGGAGCTTCTTCTCAGTCCAACCACTGAGCTGGTCAGGTAAAATGCAATTTTTGTCCCATGTCACAATCGAAGAGAGAAATGGTTCATTGTTGTTGCGTAGAATAAGAGAAGATGACGTTTCGAAACGCCGATTTTTTTTATTTTCACTCAGCTCATGAGGCGCCCACTTATCGAGCTTTTTCACCTTTCCAATTTGCCTCAAATGCTGAATGACCGTAAAATAGTCACCTCTGAGTTCTTCGGCAACTTCTTCTGTAGTTGTGAGAGGATCAGCTTTGACAATTGCTCTCAATTGGTCGTTGTCAACTTCTGGTGGCCGGCCACTACGCTCCTCATCTTCAAGGCTCTCATCTCCTTTGCAAAACTTCTTGAACCACCACCGCACTGCACATTCATTAGCAGTTCCTGGGCCAAATGCATTGTTGATGTTGCAAGTTGTCTTCGCTGCTTTACAACCCATTTTGAACTAGAATAAGAAAATTGCTCGAATTTGCGTTTTGTCTAATAACATTTCCATAGTATAAAATAAACATAAAATAAACAGCAAGTAATAAGTCATTAGCAAAACAACACAAAGTGAGAGATGACCATTAAAATGATGTATAACATAACCACATTTATTTAAGAATGTATTCCAATATCAAAAGGCAAATTCCAACAAGGCAAAAATTTCGATTACTTTTACACTCACCTAATATTAACACAATTTTATAGATAAAAAAGAGTCTGAGAGAAGTTAATTTTTATTGAAGAAGAAGGACAGAAAACAGCAGAGCTGAGATGTGAAATGAAAATTGTCTGAATCTTCAGTGCATTTTCTCTTAATCTCTGCAAAATCTCTCTCTCTCTCTCTCCACTTCCCCCCTTTTTGTATACACATACACTCCATGTCAACCTCTCCATGGGCATAAATAGTTCCATTGCATAATTTGTATAATGTACCAGTGAAGGAGCCAAAACAAAATTTGTAGATTTCTTAACATAAATCTAGCACCACGACAGAAATAAACAATTTGAGATGGGCTATGAGTATCACTCCCACCCAGGTATGTCAGGGTTTCAATACCAGAGGATAGTGCCAGGGTTGGCCTGTGAGTTCTTGAGTGGAACACCGCTATTCTGCTATGTTTTTTCTAGTCCTAACTTCTACCTCATTAACAAAGTTTTCAATGAAGTTGAGAATTGTACTATTCCTTGCATTTTTAATAGACTTTATCTTTTAGAGCAGTTTTAGGTTCACAGGAAAATTGAACAGAGTATACAGAGCATTCCCATATATTCCTTGACCCCACATTTGCACATCCTCTCCTACTATCAACATCCCTCACCAGAATGGTACATCTGTTGCAGCTGTTGAATCTACATTGGCAAGTCATTACCACCCAGAATCTACAGTTTACATTAGGGTACACTCTTGGTGGTATCTATCATATGGGTTGTGACAAATGTACAATGACATGTATCCATCATTATACTTATTATTGCCTGCATTTAAAGTCAGCTTCTGAGTTAGCAATTGCAAGTCTAACTGAAATTTCTCTTAGAAGATAAAGCATCTTGACATGCTGTCAGAAATCTTGGGCCATAATGTAGTTAATGAAGTGTTTGAGCAGGAAATAATACGATTTTATAAAAGCAACTGCTATTGGCCAACAGAAGTAGCTTTGACAACCTCTACTAGATTTTCCAAATATTATGTCTTAAAATTTGCTTTAGGAAATGTATATAATATTACAGTATTAAGTAAATATATTTAAATGTCTAAGTAATCAATTTTTATGGGAGTCCAGAGTGAGTCTAAGTTGTTTCTGTTCTAAATATTAATTTGTGTTTTAGTAAATATTATTTTGTTCACTACAGACCTATGAACAGTTAGTACAGCAGGAAAAAAAAGACCAAATTTTATACTTACCACAAATATAATAATGATATTTTCACTATAATTTCTTCTCAAAAATAAAAAGATTCAACTACAACTACAGAGGGTAATTTGTAGTAAAATGACCTTTATTAACCTAAACACTCTTGTGCTGGATAACTTGGGCAGAGCATGCTAGGAAGCTCATATTAGTCAGCTCACATTTAATGTTGGAAAAGAAACAGCTTTCAAGGTACTGTCATTAAAAAAAAGGCCACGTTTTAAATTTTATCAGAACATTTATAAGGAGTTTAAGTTTCTTAATATTTTCCCCCCTAAAACATTTTTATTGACTTAATAACCAACTCCCTGGATTATTTGGAACACTCAAGAATTTTAAATGAACCTAGGCCAGACTTTAATGTGTGTGACAAATTCTGCTGGCTCAGGAGTTTTTAAATAAACTAAGATAATATAATTATAGAATGAGAGTGCTGGTAGAATTAATAGTGTTGACCCTATCAGTTCAGTTATTAACAGATAGCCATATTCAACTAATTGAAAAGTTCTGTTGATGATATCACCAAAGAATATTTCATATCTTTCAATTTGTTTCCATCACCACTTTTACATTCCTGTCCAAACTTATTTCGGGTCTGGTCTGCAACAGCCTCTGATCCTAGTTCCCACAGCCCAACCTGGTCCATTGCCCCTCCCTTATATTAATCTCATCTGTGGTTGCCTGCTAGTGTAAGCTTTATAAAATACATTTGGATAAATTATCTCATAGTCTCCCATTACCCTTATGATGAAGAAAAAACAAAAAAAAAACCTTCCTCTTCCCTGGAAGCCCCCGAATGATTTAGCCACTGCTGACTCCACCATGATTTTTATACTATAACCAGCTGCTTATTCACTAAACTCTACTTACACTAGTCTCCTCTCTCACCCTTTAACTCGTTAAGACCTTCCCAGTCCCAAAGCATATTGTTCACCTTCCTTCTTCTTTTCCTGTATTTTCTGGTTAATTTCTCTTCATCCTTCAAGTCGTACCCTACCTGTCTCTTTCCCAGGGCATCCTTCTCTGACATCCCTAACACAGAAGTTAGGTAACTATGCTATAAGCTCTCACAGCACCCTGAAATTTTACTTTGTAGAACGTAACCACAATTTTATTCTAACAAGTATTATTGTATTGGCGTAATGTGTTTGTTTTTTTTTTTTTTCCCTCCACTAAGCTCCTTGAAACCACATGTGTCTTGTTCATCACTGACTTCACTAAAATCCTGGCTGAAAAATTAAAATCGCCTGAAGAGACTGAAAAGAATTCTAATACCTAGACCATGCCCCAGGTCAATTAAACAAAAGTTTAAGTGCTGGCCTGAGTTTCAGTACTTTTTAAAACTCCCCACTATTTTATTTTAAAGCTCTCAAAGTGATTCAAATGAAATTCAAGGTTGAGAACATCTGACTTTACACAATACTTGTTATAAAATAGATGCAGCTACTCGGGAGGCTGAGGCAGGAGAATGGCATGAACCCCGGAGGCAGAGTTTGCAGTGAGCCGAGATTGCACCACTGCACTCCAGCCTGGGAGATAGAGTGAGACTCAAAAAAAAAAAAAAAAAAAAAAAGAGAGAAGCATTTGTTGTAATAAAGAGTAGATTAGAAATATTAAGATGGCTCCAAGACAAGGCATTTAGAGAGAAGCAAAATAAATAGCCAAGTTTAAATAAAATAGAAAATCCTAAAGAACCCTCTAAATAGATTAGACATCTTAACCCATGGAGATTTAAAAAAATCATTATTCATACTCACTAAGAAAACACAATCTAAGTAAAGCTATATGTGACAAGTAAGTAAAGTAAGTATAACAACAAAATGGAAGATAAGAAACTTGTTATAAACAAAAGAGTCATCTCCCAGAAAAATAAATGTTTGTTTGGATTGGGGAGCAGTAAAAGAGAAATTACAGAGGTATGACATTTGGGACCGTCTGTATCTGTAGAACTTAACTAACAGGACTGAGAACTGAAGCCATCTCTGTCAACATGACTTAACCACTTTTTCCAGGGAAATCTTTCTCAGAGAGATAAGACTATAAACCAATAGACAGCTTCCCTGTTTGCTTCACTAGATTCCTACAAACCAATATATCTGAGCAAACAGTTTTCTCATCTGGGCAAATCAGTTCTCCTATGAGGACATTAGATTGCTCATGTAGGCAAACATCTCATTTGTCAAACTCACTTCAAGACTCTCATCTTACTGAGACCACCAATTGTAAATTATTATATCTTTACTTTGTCCTATCCTAATTAGTTTCTCACCTTGAGGTGCTTGCCTTAAGCTACTTGAGCCCTGATATCAAAACCCTCAAAATCTTCTGCTGACTTCCCTATTTTGAAGACCCATTAAGATTCTTTCAAAATGAGAAAGCTTTCTGAAAAGTCCTTTGACATTGATCAGATTTGAAAAACTATATCTTCAGTGGAAACAGGCTTTGCTAATAAGAATACTACCTATTTTCTATCTACAATATAGACAAATACTAAGAAAAAAATTATGATCAGGGTTTGCATTTCACTTCTAAGCCAGGACTTTATTACATGTGCATAAGAATTTAACAAGTGGTGCATCAAGACATGAATGGGCCTAAATGAAATCAAAAGAGGAAATCTCATCATTAATTTGGAGAGACTTCTGCTTCATAGAAGGTAGAGTGGTTCATGGTATAGAGTGCCTTGAAAACAAGTGTGGTCTCTCTATAGTGAATGTGCAAGATAGTACAGAGACTTGTTATCTGAGGCCCTGAGTACCTTCAACTCAGAAGGGGTGTATACTCTTCTTATGTTGATATCACAATTGGTTAGGACCCAAAGGGAAGGCAGGGTAAATGATTAGCATCCTCTATCCTCTGGCAAAATGCTACACATCAAGTCAATATCTCTATCTTACTAGTCAGCAAATAGATCAACAAACCAAGTTTTTATTTGGCCAAGATAATTAGAGTAAAAGCAAGACAAGAAAATTAGGTTGTGGTTCAAGTTATAAAACTCTATTATTTTTTAATCACATATCTTAACAAGGGCATTTTGAATTTATATTAGGCAATTATTGCATTGCTGTAAAGAAATACCTGAGACTGGGTAATTTATAAGAAAAGAGATTTAATTGGTTAATGGTTCTGCAGGCTGTGCAAGAAGCACAGTGGCATCTGCTTCTGAAGAGGCCTCAGGATGCTTCCAATCATGGCAGAAGGTGAAGGGGGAGCAGGCACATTACATAGCAAAAGCAGGAACAAGTGAGGGGTGCGAGGTGTCACACTTTTAAACAGCCAGATCTTGTGAGAAGTCACTCACTATGGTGAGGACAGCACCAAGGGAAGGACGTTAAACCATGCATGAAAAATCTATCCCCATGATTCAACTACCTCCCACCAGGATCCATCTCCAGCATTGAGGATTGCACTTCAACATGAAATTCGGTTGTGGCAAATATCTAACCCATATTATTCCACCCCTGGGCACCCCCCCCCCCCCCAAATCTCATGTCCTTCTCATATTCAAAATACAATCATCCCTGCCTAATCGTCCCCACAAAATCTTAACTCATTCCAGCATTAATTCAAAAGTCTCAAGTCCAAGTCCAAAGTCTCTTCTGAGACTCATCTCCTACCTATGAGCCTGTAAAATCAAAGCAAGTTGCTTATTTCCAAGATCCAATGGAAGTATAGGCATTAGATAAACACTGCCATTCCAAAAGGCAGGAATCAGCCAAAGGAAATGGGCTACAGGTCTCATGCAAGTTCAAAACCCAGCAGGGCAGTCATTAAATTTTGAAGCTCCAAAATGATCTCCTTTGACTTCATGTCCCATATCCAGAGAACACTGCTGTGAGGGGTAAACTCCCAAGGCCTTGGGCAGCTCCACCTCTGTGTTTTTGCAGTGTTCATGCCCCATAGCCACTCTCACAGGTTGGGGTTGCATGCTTGTGACTTTTCCATGTGCAGGTTATAAGCTGCCAGTGGCTTTACCTTTCTGGAGTGTGGAGGTTGGTGGTCCCTTTCTCACAGCTCCACTAAGAAGAGCCCTTGCAGAGACTGTGTGGGGGCTCCCACCCCACACCCACCTCCCACACAGCGCTAGTAGAGTTTCTCTGCCAGGGATCCACCTCTGCAGCACCCTTCTGCCTGGACATCCAGGCTTTTCCATACATCCTCTGAAATCTAGGCAGAGGCTCCCAAGCCTCAACTCTTGCACTCTGTGCACCCACAGGCTTAAAACCACATGAAAGACACCAAGGCTTATGGCTTGCACCCTCTGGCGCTGTAGCCCAGGTTGTACCCAGGTCCCTTTAAGCTAGGCTGGAGCCAGAGAGGCCGGATGGAGAGCAGTGTTCCAAGGATGCACAGGGCAATGGTATCCTGGGTATGGCCCATGAAATCATTCTTTCCTCCTAGGCCTCCTGGCCTGTGTGGTAAGGGCTTCCTTGAAGGTCTCTGAAATGCCTTTGAGGCCTTTTTCCTACTGTCTTGGCTATCAGCCCTTGCCTTCTTTTTAGTTACACAAATTTCTCTAGCAAATGGCTTCTCAGCACCCTGCCTAACTTCTCCTGAAAAATGGGCTTTTAATTTCTACCACATAGCCAGCCTGCAAATTTTCTAAACATTTATGCTCTGCTTTCCTTTTAAACATAAATTCCAACTTTAAGTCATTTATTTGCTCCTATATCTGAGCATAGGTTTCTAGAGGCAGCCAGCCCACTTCTTGAATGCTTTACTGCTTATAAATGTCTTTCACCAGATACCCTAAATTATCACTCTGAGGCTCAAACCTCCACAGATCCCTGCAGTAGGGGCACAATGCAACCAAACTCTGCTAAGGCACATGTGTGACCTTTGCTCCAGTTCTCAATAAATTTTGTTCACAACCATTCAACCAGTTTCCCTCATATTCCTGTCTTCTTCTCAGCCCTCCAAACTTTTCCAACCTCTACATGTTGCTGAGTTCTAAAGCTGCCTCAACATTTTCAGGTACCTTTATAGGAATGCCCCACTCCTTGACACCAATTTTCTGTATTAGGCTGTTCTTGCATTGCTATAAAGAAATACTTGAGACTGGATATTTTATAAGAGGCTTAATGGGCTCATGGTTCTGCAGGCTGTACAGAAAGCATAGCAGCATCTGCTTCTGAGGAGACCTCAGGAAGCTTCCAATTGTGGTGGAAGGCAAAGAGGGAGCAGGCATACATGACAAAAGCAGGAGAAAGGTACAGGGTGAGGTGGCACACACTTTTAAACAGCCAGATCTTGTGAGAAGTCACTCACTATGGCAAGGATATCATCAAGGGGAGAGTGCTAAACCATTTATGAGAAATCCACCCCCATGATCTGATCAGCGCCCACAAGGCTCCACCACCAACATTGGGGATTACATTTCAACATGAGATTTTGGCTCAGCAAATATCCAAACTATACCAGAATCATAAAAAAATTGCCCCTATGAGATATTGATCAGAAATTAACACCATGAAACTTCATCTGTATCAGCTTCCTAGCCTCCACCGATATGAAGCTTCTGATTTCATATTTTGAGAAAGAATGTTCTTGAATTCTAATTACTGTTATTTATTGTTTAGTCCAAAATTTTTGTAGATGTAGGTCTGAGCAACAAAAAGAGGTTGTTTTTAATTCTTGTCTTCCTTCTGTTCTTTTCTTTCCTCATTCTTTCTTCCTTCCTTCCACCAAGACCATAAGAACTCTTAAGTAATGATTACCTCAACTGAATTTTTTTCATTCGCCATGAGAAAATCTGTACTTGAAATCATATACATTTATATGTAATTTAATTATCAAGTTGGATTTACTTTAGGCTTCCTGTTTTTTGTTTAAGAAGATAAGTTTGTTTAAGAGTATTTCATGCAGGAAAATTATGAAACTACAAAATTCTTCACTAAATAAAATCAAAGTCATCTGAAGAGTCTCTTGGGCCATCTGTGTTTGTCCAGAAGGTTTAGTTTACTGAGCATCTTCTCTTTGACAATGTGGTAAGAGCTGAGCGCTAAATTCTGCCATATTCACTCATCACAGCAAAGGTATAACATTTATTCCAGAGTTACAAATGGCATCATACTTCCTTCTGGTCCATGTTACCTCTAATCTTAACATAAGTATATTTTTATGTTTATTATTTTAATCTCTCTAACAGTCTTAAATCTCTTTAAAAATTTTTAATCTCTTTAGCAATTACACTATCTAAAGCAATAATGAGAGTCTCTTCCAGAAAGAATAAAAAAAAACAAACTTCTTTAACTTTTCCCTTCTCAAATAATTTCTCTTTGATAAAGAAGTTACTTTTCTTCTTTGTTTCTTATCTATTCATAATGAAGGCTGTAGTGCATGTGCACAGGAATTCAAAAAGATGTCATAACATGTGAGAAGATGAGGTCAAAAAGATGGACGTGTTAAAAGGAAACTTTTGTGAATGAGAGATTAGACTTTTCAACTTTAATAAAGATGGCTGATCTAAGACTGATGGTTACAGAAATAGACATTAGCTCAATTGAAGAAAGAGCATTCTCACAATTAAAGCAATAAATAAAAGGGAATGTGACTTCTCATGAAGTCTTTGTCTCTGGAGTTATCAGGGAGAGACCAGGTAACCACTTAATGAGTACATTCAAGTGAAAGAACAGGGAATAGGATTGATTTAAATTGTTGTTTACCAAAGTGTGAGACTTTTAGGCAGTAGTTGTTAAGTAAGTGGCATCTCTTGCTTGTTACCAGGAGTGGATGTTTGAGCACTTCTGCCCACTGTATCTTGTTATCAGAGTCACCAAGGAAGACATAACTTAGTCAAACACTGAATGGAACAACATTTTATTCACATAGAGAAGCAACAGAGCAAGATTGGCTTCAGGAGTGTGCACCGGTCCCTATGGCCATTGGATCCCTTCTGGCAGCCAATGCAAGGCAATTAACACTCCTCTTGTGTCACAATAGAGGACCTTGTTCCCTCCACACAGGGGACAGATATAGCAGTTGGGTTGGCCAGATGCTGCACAGTGCACATGCTTAAGCAGAACAGAGAAGTGAAGACTGAGTCTGAAATGGGAAAGATATCCCCACACAAGTCCAGCACAGGCTGTTAGAACTCTATATCTCTTGGTAAGGAAGTGCTCCAGGTCCAGGGCACATCCTTAGGGGGAAAACAGGGAGTTGAAAGACTGTATGTGTGAGACTGCCTTTCCCCAAACTAGCATGTTACCTTAACTAAATAGGAGAGTTTGCCTTCAGTCTTCCTAAATCCCACTAAGAGAAAGACTGAGTTCAGAACTAGTAGAACTTTAACACTTAGTAATCTTCTTTTTAACCAGGTGAAGGAAGGCCCCAGGCCTGTTATGTTTAATGGGAACAGTCATTCAGTAGAACTTAATTACATTGTTTTTTTATATTCATATTCATTTTTATTATTACCTTTTATTTATGACAAATGAGTCTGGTTTTTTTTCACTTAAGATAATAAGACAAAGTGTACTCTTTAAGTAAATGTGTAAAATGTGATTTAACTTTAAAATACAGTAGTCATCCCTTATCTGCTGCTTCACTTTGCAGGGTTTCTGTTACCTGGGGTTCACTGTGATCCAAAAATGGTAAATGGAAAATTCCTGAAATAAACACTTCATAAGTTGAAATTGTGTGCTATTCTGAGTAGTGTGATGAAATCTCATGCTGGCCAGTGTTAGCCCACCCAGGATGTGAACCCTCCCTTTGTCCATGGTATCCACACTATAGATTCTACCCATCTCTTGGATCACAGGAACCTTAAGTACAGTAAAATAAGATATTTTGAGACACACAGAGAGAAAGAGACCACAGTTACGTAACCTTTATTATATTGTTATAATTATTTTATTATTATTAGTTATTGTTAATCTCTTACTGTGCCTATTTTATAAATTAAAATGTATTATAAGTATGTATTTATAGAAAAAGCATAGTATCTATAGAATTCAGTACTACCTGAGTTTCAGGCATCCACTGAGGGTCTTGGAACATATCCCAGGATAAGAGGAAACTACTGTATTAAGTAAATTAGAGTATAGGTAGCAATGTTTATGTCAAAAATTGTAAAGTAATATGCAAATAGTGAAGTTTGGAAAACACTAAATGAGCTTATAAATGAAGTAACTTAATTCTGAAATTTTTTGGCACAAATTGCATTTCATTTTACTATTAAGTATTAAGGAGGGTGAAAGATATTGCTATTGGTCTTAACCCTTAAAAATTTAACTTAGTGATATGGTTTCACTGTGTCCCCACCAAAATCTCATCTTGAGTTTCCATGTGTTGTGGGAGGGACCTGGTGGGAGATAATTGAATTATGGGGCAAGTCTTTCCCATGCTGTTTTTGGGATAGTGAATAAGTCTCACGAGATATAATGGTTTTAAAAAGAGGAGTTTCCCTGCACAACCTCTCTCTCTTTGCCTGTTGCCATCCATATAAGATGTGACTTGCTCTTCCTTGCCTTCCACCATGATTGTGAGGCTTCCCCAGCCACATGAAACTGTAAATCTAATTAAGTCCTTTCTCCTGTATAAATTACCCAGTCTCAGGTATGTCTTTATCATCAAAGTGAAAACAGAGTAATACGGCTGGGCATGGTGGCTCACCTCTGTAATCCCAGGACTTTGCGAGGCTGAGGCAGGTGGATCATGAAGTCAAAAGATCGAAACCATCCTGGCCAACATGGTGAAACTCCATTTCTACTAAAAATACAAAAATTAGCTGGGTGTCATGGTGTGCACCTGTAGTCCCAGCTACTTGGGAGGATGAGGCAGGAGAATCACTTGAACCCGGGAGGTGGAGGTTGCAGTGAGCTGAGGTCACGCCTCTGCACTCCATCCTGGCAACAGAGCAAGACTCTGTCACAAAAAAAAAAACAAAAAAAAAGAAGAAGAAGAAGAAAGAAAAGAAAACAGACTAATACAGTAAACCGATACCAGTAGAGTGGGGTGCTGCTGAAAAGATACCCAAAAATGTGGAAGTGATTTGGAACTGGGTAACAGGCAGAGGTTGGAACAGTTTGGAGGGCTCAGAAGAAGACAGAAATATTTGGGAAAATTTGGAACTTTCCAGAGACTCATAGAATGGCTTTGACAAAAATGCTGATAGTGGTATGAACAATAAGGTTCAGGCTGAGGTGGTCTCATATGGAGGTGAGGAACTTGTTGGGAACTGAAGCAAAGGTGACTCTTGTTATATTTTAGCAAAAACACTGACAGCATTTTGCCACTGCCCTAGAGATTTGTGGAATTTGAACTTGAGAGAGATGATTTAGGATATCTGGCAGAAGAAATTTCTAAGCATCAAGGCATTCAAGAAGTGACTTGGGTGCTTTTAGAGGCATTCAGTTTTAAAAGGGAAACAGAGCATAAAAGGTCAAAAACTTTGCAGCCTGACAATGTGATAGAAGAGAAAATCCTATTTTCTGAGGAGATATTCAAGCTTGCTACAGAAATTTGCATAAATAATGAGGAGCCAAATGTTAATCCCCAAGACAAAGGGGGAAATGTCTCCAGGACATGTCAGAGGTATTCACTCATGACAGCCCCTCCCATCACAGGCATGGAGGCCTAGGAGAAAATGGTTTTGTGGGCCAGGCCCAGGGTCCCTGGGCTGTGTGCAATCTAGGGACTTGATGCCCTGTGTACCAGCCACTCCAGCTGTGACTAAAAGGGGCCAAGGTACAGCTTGGGCTGTTGCTTCAGAGGGTGGAAGCCCCAACCTCTTACAGCTTCCATATAGTACTGAGCCTGAGGGTACACAGAAGTCAAGAATTGAGGTTTGCGAACCTCCTCCTAGATTTCAGAAGATGTATGGAAACACCTGGATGTCCAGGCAGAAGTTTGATGCAGGGGAAGGGCTCTTATGGAAAACCTCTGCTAGGGAAGTCCGGAAGGGAAATGTGGGGTCAGAACCACTATACAGAGTCCCTACTGGGGCACAGCCTAGTGGAGCTGTGAGAAGAGGGCAACCATTCTCCAGACCCCAGAATGGTAGATGCACTGATAGCTTGTACTGTGCTTCTGGAAAAGCTGCGTATACTCAATGGCAGCCTGTGAAAGCAGCCAGGAGGGAGGCTGTATCCTGCAAAGCCATAGTGGGATGGAGCTGCCCAAGACCATGGGAACCCACTTCTTGCATCAGCGTGATCTGGATGTGAGACACAGAGTCAAAGGAGATAATTTTGGAGCTGTAGTATGACTTCCCTGCAGGATTTAGGACTTGCATGGGGCCTGTAGCCTCTTTGTTTTGGCCAATTTCTCCCATTGGGAATGGCTGTATTTACCCAAGGCCTGTACCCGCATTCTATCTAAGATGTAACTAACTTGCTTTTGATTTTATAGGCTCATAGGCAGAAGTGACTTGCCTTGTTCTGGATGAGACATTGGACTGTGGACTTTTGAGTTAATTCTGAAATGAGCTGAGACTCTGCGGGATTCTTGGGAAGGCATAATTGATTTTGAATTGTGAAGATATGAGATTTGGGAGGGACCAGGGGTGGAGTGATGTGGTTTGGCTGTGTTCCTACCAAAATTTCATCTTGAATTCCCACGTGTTGTGGGAGGGACCTGGTGGGAGGTAATTGAATCATGGGGGCAAATCTTCCTCATGCTGTTCCTGTGATAGTGAATAAGTCTCATGAGATCTGATGGCTTTAAAAAGAGGAGTTCCCCTGCACAAGCTCTCTCTCTTTGCCTGCTGCCATCCATGTAAGACGTAACTTGCTCTTCCTTGCCTTCCACCATGATTGTGAGGCTTCCCCAGCCACATGGAACTCTAAGCCCAATTAAACCCTTTCTTGTATAAATTACTCTGTCTTGGGTATGTCTTTATTAGCAATGTGAAAACAGATTGATACACTTAGATATACATAGAACACAATTCTATTAGCAACAAAATAGTTGTGAAAAATCGTCTATAAGCTAGCTTCAACTATACAGCCAAAACGTGCAAAATATTTATATTTTGAATGAGGGAGTGATATTTTCTACACCTGGTTCCATTTGTAGCCTTTCATTAAAAGTAACCATTTGTGCTTATTACAGAAATGATAAGACTTAAAACTTAGTAGAAATATACCATCTGTAAATATAATCATATTAATTATATTTGACAAATTAGTCAAATGACAAATTAGTCAACCTTGAAGAAGTTGAAATAAGTTAGCTAATTAAAAAATATTGTGTAGACCCAACATTTGTCAGAGTTCCTCAGAGAAGCAGAATCAAGTGTGTGTGTGTGTGTGTGTGTGTGTGTATGTGTGTACTAAAAGTTTTTTTTCTTTAAGAAATTGTGTAATGCCATTATGGGAGCTAGCAAATCTGAAATTCACAGGGCAGATCATAAGGCTAGAAACTCAGACAGTGGTTTTGTCATGTGAAATAGCGTGAAATTTGTAGGGCAGGCCAGCAGGCTAGAAACTCTGAGAATTTAAATGTTACAGTCTCGAAGCAGAATTCCTTCTTCTCTAGGACATCTCAGTTTTTGTTCTTAAGGTCTTCAAACAGGTCAGACTACGTAACCTGTTTTAATTAAAGACAACTAATTATATATGTTAACCACATACACAGAATACCTTCACAAGAAAATCTAAACTAGTGTTTGACTAAGCAACTAGGTACCACAGCCTAGTCTAGTTGACACAAAAGATTTAAGCAATATGGGGTCTAAGGATGGCATTACCATTTGTTTTTTTGAAAGGGGAAGAGTTTGGAGCTGGGGCAAACACTAATTTCCAACTACTCTTTTCAACTTGCAGGTTTATATAACCTTGAAACAATTACCACCCTTGAAAACCTGTTCACTCATCTGAAAATGAGAATATACTACTGTCTATTTTACATGGTTGATGAAAGAGTACATGGAAGAATTCTTATAAAGTATGAAATAATGTGCATAGCCCTTAGTAAATGCTCAATAATGGTGAAAATAAAGAAATATGTAGACATTACTTTCAACTTGACAAGAGCTATTTTGACATCTATGCAATCAACATTACTCTGAATTGAAGAAAAATGTGTTCTGAAATTTATTAGTATTTCTCCCATAAGCAAAAGCCTGGGTTATTAACAAAGTACTAGTCCAGTTTCTAATTTAGTAAAATATTATTTCAATCCACTACTGGAATACATTTTCTTACTGTAACATACAATATATCAACTCAACTGCAGAATTTTAAAACTCTTGTATTACTTGGAGTGAGTTATATTGTGAATTTTCTATTTATTTCTCTTATTTTATCTACATCTAACCTAGTTTATAATCCACTCAGGTTTGAGAGGTATTTTTTCATATTATACATGAAATATATCTAATGTATATTTTATTAATTAAGGAAAGAGTTCATAATAAATTTGAATTGATATTTTCAATCTTTAAAATATTTATCCATATAGTTTGAAATCACTCAATTTTTAAAAAGAGGTTCTTTTGATAAAAATGCTAAAATAATAAATCATACTGGTTAAAAATGCAGGCAATATGTAACAATCCAAAAAAGTTAGAGAAAGGGAAAAACTAAATTTCACCACAAGACAGCTTATTAACATTTGTCTACATCATTTTAGATCTTGCTTATGCAAATATGCAAATAGGTCTTTTTGTGTATTGCAGTTCTTATGGAGAAATGAATGAATAGATGAATGGGTGGTGGAGAGAGAGTAATAAAGATAAAATAAATAAGTGATGAGAAAGAAACACAAAGAGATAATCAGGTAAAAATGGGATCATTCTACAATGATTTTGAAAGTTTCATGGTAAATTTAGTTTAACTTAAATTTAACAATTAAGATATTGTAGAGAGGATGAAGTAATTGCTAATTGTAAACATTCTTTACCACAAGAGAAAACGTTCTTAAAGTAACCCTCTAAAGTTAATAAAGATGTGATTTAAAACAGCAAGAGGTAGTCTTATTTTTACTAATACTACATGATTCATGATTGGACCCTTCCTGTTTACCAGTGAGACACATTGCTGATTTCGGCAAGAAAGATAAAAATACTGAAGATCAGACATTGAGATGCTTACTTGTGTCTCAGGTCCATGCTTCGTCTGCCTAGCACATAAGAGGTGTTGTAAGAATTTCTTAGCATTTATCAGTGAATGAACTTCTGGAAAGTGGAGGGAGGAGACTATTGTAAGCTCCACATAGTTTTGTTAAACAGAACTTTTTACACTTCAACTGGCCTCTAGAGCTTACTTACCTTAAGAGGAATATTGTTATCATTACTTACTAACATGATATGGTGGGCAAATGAACTTAGAATCTAGGATTTTTATCTTCTTTGTGCTATTTTACACATATTTGACCTTGGGTCAATCAACTTGTCAGGTAAAAATGTCCCCAGCTTCAAAATCAGGGTTATTGGGAGGACTAAATTATGTAATTGACTCTAGATCAATGTCTGGAATATAAAAATATTCAATAACTATCATTTTAAGAGACTGGTAGGGATAATATAAACAAGCATATATCTTTATTTTTTAATCTGTGAAATTCTTTAAGATAAAGTTCTATTATATCTGAAACTGTAAGCTCCATTCTCAGTGGAGTTTGAATTATGAACTAGGTGAGCATCATGAATAATGCCAACTGAAATTGATTCATTTCTCTCTCCATATCGAGGATCCAAACAGTTAGGCAAAAACCTTGGGATCTGACAACTAGTAAAGTAATTATGTTTTAGAGTAGCTTAATACAAGGAATTCATTATTTGAACATTGTGTGGAACAGTTATAGACAAATTCCTTCTGGCTATACTGGCATCTTTCAAATATATTGGGAAATGTCAGCAATTTGCATGTTAGAAATATCTTCTTTCATTTAGAATTTCAAATAGTTTGGTTATGAAATTATACTCCCCACATTCTGCAAAGACTTGGCATGAATGGTTTTGAATATGATTTACAGATAATCTAGGCAAAGCTTATATTTTCTGATCAAAGAAGCTGTGGATATGTAAACATAAGGCATATGTGAATGTAAATAGAAGGTGTCAAGAGATTCTGTTTACCCTGGAAGCATGGTTTCTAAGTATCATCTCTATGCTCTATCAAACCTCCCTATAAATCCAAAGGAGTCCAGTGCTTGTTGTCACAAGAGTAGAGAGGACTAAGTAGTGCAATGGGTTACAAGATAGAAGAAGAAAGAAACTGAAAGTTACTAAATAGCTAGGGTGTATCAGGGCTTGGTTCTCCACCTTCATGATCTTGAGTAATCTTCGTCAAAATACTATAAATTCCTCTAGAATGCAGACAAGGAAAGAGACGCTTTGAAAAATTAATAACTTTCCCAGAAGCAAGAAACAAGTTGTTCCTGGGCTTGAATTAGCACTCAAGTCTTTTGACTCATAATCCTAATTTTGCCTGAAATGTAAATTGTGTATATTTCATTAATGCAGAAAAAATTTCATAATCATTCTGAATTTATTTTAAGCCTTTAAAACATTTATTATGTAGCGTAGACCCATTATATTAAAACATTTTAATTGCTTTTTTCAAAAAAACAAAATAAGAAATTATAATCTTTTAAAATTGAGACAATACATAAAAATGTTCTTCCTACTATACTGTTCTGACTCTTAAAAAAATGCTTCTAAAATGTTCTTTGGCTATCTCTCATGATAAACAATTAAGAAAATAAGCAACCAAATGTATTTTACCATAGTAATTTATGAAATCAGAATTCAAATTTTGAATATAGCTGATTGTAAAGTTCATTTTATGCTACTTATCTGCCCTTCCTTTTAGAGTTAAATACTGTATATTAACCTCATAAAAATAAGGAATGTATTCCTGGGTTCTTCTTTGTTGTATTCTTCTTCATTGTATCTCCAGTACCTAGTACAGTGTTCGACATGCAGTTTTTGTTCAGGCAAATGTATATTAAATTGGCGTAAACCATTGAAGATATGGCGTCCATGAATCCCATCTGGGAATTCTGGAATTTCTCCCTCTCCCTCTCTCTCTCTGTCTCTCTCTCTTGCTCTCTAATTCCATTGTATTCTATCCCATTGCCTACCTTCCCACAAGCCCTAATTGGTTAAGAACATGGAGAGCAGAAGGAATGATATTTAGGCTGTCCCCAGAATCCAAACCCAAATGAAACAATGAGTAACAGGAAGAAGGAGCCTATCGTAAAAACAGAAACTTGAATACTTGTAATGCTGGAATTGCGAATGCACCTTAGAGCAATGGCTATAGTTGGCCTTGCTAACTTTTCTTTATCTTCAACTCTAGAATGCTGGGGTTCCTCTCTAGGGAAGTAGGTCTGAAGGCTCTTGAAAGATTTTCACTGCCTCAATTAGTGGGAAAAGAGATGAGATTATCTGATGCAGTAGGCTTGAAAAGACAAATAAGCAATCCCCTTAATTTAAACTAAGTAGGGTGAACAGGTTTTTAAGTGTACAAATTTGGGCTTCTGGGTAGGCCGACACAATGAAAGATAGAAAGAAAGAGATAAGACGACAGCAGCTGGAAAAGACAGTCTAGAAATATATCTCTGTCAAAATAGCCTAAAAACGGTGAAATAATATTCTTAGGGGAGGTGATGCCTGAGACAGAAATGAGTAATTAAATAGCAATCAATTTAGATGATTAGTATAGAATTAGCTGGCAAAAGGAAAATTTATGTATTACATTGTATTATTTAGAAGTTTTTTCCATAATAAGTTATTGATATGGTTTTGCTCTGTGTCCCCATCCAAATCTCTTGTTGAATGCTGATCCTGAGTGTTGGAGGTGGGGCCTGGTGGGAGGTGATTGGATCATGGGGGTGGTTTCTAATGGTTTAGCACCATCCCCGTAGTGCTGTCTCATGAGGAAGTTGTCACAGGATCTGGTGGTTTAAAAGTGAGAAGCATTTCCCCCTTCATTCTCTCTCTCTCTTCCTCCTGCTCCGCCTTGTGAAAATGTGCCAGCTTCCTCTTCACCTTTCAGCATGATTGTAAGTTTCCTGAAGCTTCCCCCAGCCATGCTTCCTGTACAGCCTGCAGAACCATGAGCTAATTAAACCCCTTTTATTTATAAGTTACCCAGTTTTTGGTAGTTCTTTATAGCAAAGTGAGAATGAAATAATACAGAAAATTAGTACTAGAGAAGTGGGGCATTGCTACAAAAATATCTGAAAATGTGAAAGCAACTTTGGAACTGGGTAACAGGCAGAGGTTGGAACAGTTTGGAGGGTTCAGAGGAAGACGGAAGATGAGAGAAGGTTTGGAACTTCCTAGAGACTTGTTAAATGGTTTTGACCAAAATGCAGATAGTGATGTGGACAATGAAGTTCAGGATGAGGTGGTCTCAGATGGAGATGAGGAACTTATTGGGAACTGGAGTAAAGGCCACTCTTGCTACGCTTTAGCAAAGAGACTGGCAGCATTTTGCCCCTGCCATAGAGACCTGTGGAACTTTGAACTTGAGAGAGATGATTTGGGGTATCTGGTGGAAGAAATGTCTAATCAGCAAAACATTAAAGAAGTGACCTTGCTGCTTCTAAAAGCATACACTCATATGAATGAATGAAAAGATTAACTGAAACTGGAACTTATATTTAAAAGGGAAGCAGAGCATAAAAGTTAGGAAAATTTGCAGGCTGACCATGTTGTAGAAAAAAAAATTCCGTTGTCTGGAGAGAAATTCATGCAGCTGCAGAAATTTGGACAAGTAAAGAGGAGCCAAATGTTAATAGCCAAGACTATGGGAAAAATGCCTCTAAGGTATTTCAGACCTATGCAGCAGCCCCTCCCATGACATGCCCCGAGATCTAAGAGGGAAAGGTCGTTTTGTGGGTTAGGCCTAGAGATCTGCTGCTCTGTGCAGCCTTGGGACATGGCACCCTGCATCCCAGCCACTCAAGCTTGAACCGTAGCTAAAATACACAAAAGTACAGCTCAGCCCATTTCTTTAGATGGTACAAGCCCAAGCCTTGGTGGCTTCAACATGGTGCTGGGCCTGTGGGTCCAAAGAAGGCAAGAGTTGAGGCTTGAATGCCTCCACCTAGATTTCAGAGGATGTATGGGACTGCCTGCATGTCTAGGCAGAAGTCTGCTTCAGGGGTGGAGCCCTCATGGAGAACTTCTACTAGGGCAGTGTGGAGGGAAAATGTGGGGTTGAAGCTGCCACACAGAGTCCCCACTGGGTCACTTCCTAGTGGAGCTGGGAAAACAGGGCCAGCATCCTCCACACCCCAGAATGGTAGATCCACCAACAACTTGCACTGTGTGCCTGGAAAAGCTGCAGGCACTCCACACCAGCTTATGAAAGCAGCTGCAGGGGCTGTACCCTGCAGGACCACAGAAGCAGAGCAGCCCAAGGCCTTGGAAGCACACCCCTTGCATCACTGTGGCCAGGATGTGAAGCATGGAGTCAAAGAAGATTATTTTGGAACTTTAAAATTTAATGACTACCCTGCTAATTTTGGGACTTGCATGGGTCCTATAGATCCTTTGTTTTGGCAGATTTCTCTCTCTTGGAATGAGTCTATTAACCTAATCCCTGTACGTCATTCGTATCTTGAAAGTAACTAGCTTGTTTTTTTATTTTACAGGCTCATAGGCAGAAAGGACTTGCCTTGCCTCAGATGAGACTTTGGACTTGGACTTTTCAGTTAATGCTGGAATGAGTTAAGGCGTTAGGGGACTGTTGGGAAGGCATGATTGTGTTTTGAAATGTGAGAAGGGCATGAGATTTGGGAGGGGCCAGGGATGGAATGATACAGTTTGGCTCTGTGTCCTCATTGAAGTCTCATGTTGGATTGTGATCCTGAGTGTTGGAGGTAGGCCCTGATGAGAGGTGGTTGGATTATGGGGGTGGTTTCTAATGATTTAGCACCATCTCCTTAGTGCTGTCTCTTGAGGAAGCTATCATGAGATCTGATTGTTTAAAAGTGTGTAGCACTTCCCCCTCACTCTCTCTTTCTCCTATTCCACCATGTGAAGTTGCACTGGCTTCTCCTTCACCTCCCACCATGATTGTAAATTTCCTGAGGCCTCCCCAAGCCATGCTTCCTTTACAGGCTGGGGAACCATGAGCCAATTAAACCTCTTTTATTTGTAAGTTACCCAGTCTCAGGTAGTTCTTTATAGCTATGTGACAGTGAAATAATGCACTACTTTATTGTTCAATTATATTTCTGTTCTGGTATTTTAACAGATTTATTTTATGCCTAAGACTTAACATATGGTTGGTAAATAAAGTCTAAGGTCCTCCAACCAGAATTTCTCTCTCCCTTATTTCTCTGTGCCCAAGGTGCTGAGTTGCAGTCTGTAATGACACTACTCTGTGTGAGAATCCTGAAAAGAAGGACAAAGATTTTGAAAAGGATAGTAATAAGAATAGTGATTGAAAAAAGGGACTGATTTGAGAGATTTCAAAGAAAGAATTAAGAAGAATGATGCGGGGGGCAATGGAATCTGGGGGGATGTGAATAGGTGTAGAGAGGGAGAAGAAATATTCCATAATAATGGCCAGGTTTGGCTTGAAAAGACTATTTTAAAGGAGCTAAACTATTAGTTCCCCTAAAACAAAGTCACCTAAACGGTAATATTTGGCACACCCCTTGTCAAACAAAAGTGCTCAATTGGTTAAACTGTTTTAAATAGTGTACACTAGTGCCAATGATGAACACGTGATTAAAAGCATGTTTTAGTGAGAGGTCATAAATTCAGATTTGCATATGACAAATTTGAAGTTCTTAGGATAATACTAAGTGAGGATGTCCCATTGTGTTTGGAAAATGTAAGTTTAGGGCAGATGGGAAATGCAGTTTGCATATGTAGACATGGTGATAATGAACATATAAATGGCTACTGAAAGCAACACAGCAGAAGGAGTATATATAACCTGAAAAGGGAAGAAATTACTGGATAGATGACATAGGAACATCGATGTTTACTGAAGCAATAGGTACCCATAATGAAGACAGAAGATAAATAGGCAGAGATGTAGGAGAAGGATAGGGCAATGTGTTTTTTGTGGAATTCGTGAGGGAATAAAAGTACTTCATAAAGAGGAGAGGACTCATCTATGGAAGGGCTTTTGAAAGTTTTAAGACAAAAAGTGAAAATGGCAATACGATTTAGACACAGTTACTTGGTGAGAGAGATTTCAGTGAGGTATAGAAAGACAAAGTCAAATTTCAAGCCTAGATTTGCTAAGGAAGTGGGAAAATGCAGGTGGCTATGAAAGGAAACTACAGAATATCATTTGGTGGGAGGGGCTATGATGTCAGGGCAACTCTGCTGGTGAGTTGGTTGCTTGGTTAAAACAGAGCAGACCTAAACGTGTTTAAATGCTGATAAATGCAGTCAGGATTGAAAAAGAAGTTGAAAAAACATGAAAAACAGAATAGGCCTCCCTCGGAGGAAGTGGGAATAAACGGAATTTCTTATATAAAAAACCCAAGTTCTAACCCTATGTCAAAGAGGAGAAAAAACTTCCTTTATTTAAAAAAAAAAAAAGTATAGATTCATGGTCCTGCGGCTACATTTACAAAGTTGGTGTCAGAATTTGAAGGCTTTGCTTTCTACTTATTTGTGAAATGAGAGGTGAAGACACTTTGATGGTAAATAGGTAAGACGTAGGAACTGAAATTTGATGATAAAGTAAATGCATCAAGTCATTAGGAAGTATACATGCTTGTAATGTTGTTCCATACTATCTTGTAATGTTGTTCTAGAAGCTTTATCTGAATTACTTAATTTTAGCCTCAAATAATTCCATGAAATAGGTACTTTATTATTTTGCTTTTACAGGTGATAAAACTGAGAAGACTTGAGAGAGCTTTAATTAGCCACTGTAGAGAATGGAACAAATACCTAAGAAGGCACCTAGAGTTTGCAGGGCAGTACTGAGGAGTCAGTTGCACTGAAGATGACAAAATACTACTAATATCATCTTCACAGCGGTGTCATATTCTCCAGCAGCATTCAGGGTTCCAGAGCAAGGTCCAGAGAAAGCTGGAAACTAGATCATGCCCAGGGTTTACCCAATTGAGTTTAACAGAATCCCAATGAGGCTAAAGCAACAGGCAAAGGTAACGATGAGCCCTGGAGAGGACGTTGGGTGGGGAGAGAGAAAAAACAGATGGGGACCAGTAGAGAGAAACCACAGTGATCAAGGGCTGGATGTCTTTGGGAGATTGTGTATGCTATGGGGAGCTACCAAATGACAGAGTTGGAAGAATAAAACACTGCGGACAGATGGTGAGTTGTCTGAATTCATGGCTTAGAGATGGTTCTACTTGATGGTTGGATCATAGCAGTGAGGTGTGAGTGGGGATTAAAAGTAAAGAGAAGGTGACATTTATGTTAGTCGAGGAACTGAGAAACTTGTGCAGGGAAGCACCATGAGTTTATAAAGAAGATGGCACAGCTTTGAATAAAGAGGAAAACAGATTTTACACTTCAGAAAAAAAAAAAAAATGAAAGCCCCAGAAGTTGTCTGTTGCTGACTGACAACTAAGTTAGGATGTCCCATTGTGTTTGGAAATAAGGTGACAAATTAAGGGCCGAAAATAATCTAGCATGAGTCTAAAGGGGACATTGAAGAGTTAAGAAGATGCCAATTGTACCATCCAACCCTAAGAATGTCTAGTGTAGTGTAACGAACAGTAAATACCCAATTCCAAGGGCTACAGAGGAAAAAGAGTACTCCAGAGAAACCCAGTATTAGGTCACTACAAAACAGGGTTTGGAGTCTGGGAGTTAGTTCTCGGGGAAGGTCAGTAAAGAGGACACCATGGAGAGGATGGAGAGTGTAGGAGAATAGGTCATAAGAAAGAAAACAGCTCCATGAAAATGAGTGTGGGAAAATGAGACGCCCCAAAGAACTGTCCTTAGCTGGCCTACCATAACTGGGAATGTCAGGGTGGCAGATTTTGCAGACAAATTTTCAAACTAAAATTGATCCAAGAGGAAAACAGCTCAGGTCATCAAAAGGAGAATAGATAAACTGTAGGATATTTATACAATGAAATACAACTCAGCAATAAAAGAATCTACACATGCAATGACATGGAGAGGTCTAAAAAGCAGTATGCTAAGAGGCTAGGCATTAAAGGTTGTTTACTTATAAATCTATGATATTAAAAATAAAATAAAACCCTAGTTAAGTAAATAAATACAGTAAAATAAAGTAAAACTATAGTTACAGAAAGCAGATCCATAGTTGAGTCTTCATGTGGTGGGTAGGTCTGACTATGAGGAGACATAAGAAATTTTCTGTGAGGATAGGGGTGTGGGTTGCATGTGTTTTGGCATCTGTCAAAATTGAATGAACTACATATCTAAGACCTATGCATGTCAATAGATACCAAATATGTATCAATTTTAAAAATAGCTCCGGCCGAGTGCGGTGGCTCACGCCTGTAATCCCGGCACTTTGGGAGGCCGAGGCAGGCAGATCATCTGAGGTCAGGAGTTCAAGACCAGCCTGGCCAACATGGCGAAACCCCATCTTTACTAACAATGCAAAAATTAGCTGGGTGTGGTGGTGGGCGCCTGCAATCCCAGCTACTCGGGAGGCTGAGGCAGGAGAATCATTTGAACCCGGGAGGCGGAGGTTGCAGTGAGCTGAAATTGCACCATTGCACTCCAGCCTGGGCGACAGAATGAAACTCTGTCTCAAAATAAATAAATAAATGAATAGCTCCAAAGCCCTTTAATAATCTATTTTGATCTAGGTTATTTTGCTTCTAATGACTTATTGCCTCAGTGATATGTTGAAAATTGGTGTGTTGGGGGTTGATTGCTGACAACTGCCCCCAAAATTGGAAACACCAATACCCTACAGTGGTTGTGTAGAACTCTGAGATTTATGGATGTGATACTGTTTGTTTGGTGGGTTTATGTAGTAGATGCTCAACAAAAGTGAGCTGCAATAAGTTGACTATTCTTCAGTCACAAGAAAACAAGTGCTTTGTGTGATGCTCTCTTAGGACAAATATCTAATATTAACTCACTGGCAATCCTGGGATTATGCTGGTAAGAGAGTCAAGAGGGTTTGCTTGAAATACTGATATATGCTACTATCATCGTTTTTTAGATCTGTGGCATTTTGAGGTTGACAAGATTAGCATCTTTGTTCTCCCTTCTCTGTAATTTATGTGTTCTGACAAGAAGATTGCATGCCAAGAGTTACAATTAGGTCTGAGTTTATGATCAGTTATTTCCTTTGTTATAGTATTTACTTTCTTAAACAGCCAACAAGTATATTTTTGCCCTAATAAAGAAAATATAATTTTGCATTTGCAACTAAACAGAATTTATTGAAGTTATGTTTCCAGGAAAAAATGGCTGCATTCCTAGTTGACAAAATTGACCATATTGGGAAGCATAAACATTTTTATATTGGTAGCTACATTACCTCACTGTTTTACTTATTTTACTGGAGAAAAAGGAAAATCCTGTCTGTCAGTTAAAGGAAGCTAAGTAAGAAAAAGTTATTTTAAAAGTAATAAAAATATATATCATAAGAAAAAATAGAGGTTGAGAGGCATGCAGGAATTTCAGAGCTTTCTTAAGGTACATTAAAGCATGGTGGAAAGCAAGCTAGACTCTAGGTGGAGTTCTGTCACCTACTCTACCCGTGCTTTTGGAAAACACACAAACTCTACATACTTCACAGGATGCTGTCAGCACCAAACAAGATAACATACCTAAAAGTGTCCTGTGTACTCCCCAAATTGTTGTTAATTTAGTTATTTAGATAGCATGGAAACAAGTAGATAAATCAAGCACCAAAAGAATTGTTTGATTTATTTGTTTTTCTGATCAGGTTCTATACTATGATCCAATACATCATCTAACCTCCAACTGTTCTTATTCACTTTAGAATACGATAAGTACTTTAGTTCAAAACCAAATCATTTTTTCTTTAAATATAATAACTCAAATATTTTGTAATTTAAAAAGCTTGGACTGGAATATTTATGTAGACTTTAATTCTAGCCGTTGGTGCTGACATGCAAAAGGAAGGTAAGCATGTCATCAGTTTGGTTCCTCATTTATACCATAGCTAGCAAATGGCCGACTATGTAATAGAGATTTGAAGCTTAATGGCATAAATTAATGGATGAACGAATGAACAACGGAATGAATGGCACGCAGAAGTTCTAGCACATGGAGGCAATGAATACATTAGGCGGTTAATAGGAATCATCAGGTTGTTTGAAATGGCCACCTCCTATTTCATTATCTGGCCACCTCCTACTCATTTTGAAGGCCCAATACAAAAATATCTTCCACTAGAAAGCTTCACCTACCCCAGGTAGAAAGGACTCACTTACTCAGAACTGTGTATACACCACTGTAAGAGCACCTATCCCATTGCATGACCATTAGCACTAGCAGTCAGCCCTGATAACCCTAGTCTTCCTGGGGCAGGGGCTGTGCTTTGTGAACACACAGACCCTGGGACAGTGCTTGATACAGAAGGTCTTAATGAAAACTTAAAGAGTCAGTTTAATAGAAGAGTGCTTTACATTTTCTTTGAATTCCTTTTTGAAGAGAAAAAGAGAACCTGTCAATCAAGTCATAAGCTCAGTAGACTTGGCAAGGAGAAATAGTTAAACAGGCAGTCTTAGGATAGCTGAAAAGCTGCCTCGACCTTTTTTATTTTCCTCCTACATTTCAGACATTTGGGGCTGCCATCACCCAAAAACTTAGTACAAACATCTTCATTTTTATAACAGGAAAAGCCTGTTTGTGTTTACATTCTGTAATTCTTGACTTACATTAAGATTATAAAGAGAGCCCATTCAGTGGCTCTCCCTTTTCTTCCCAAAGCTACAAAGACTCCTAATTACCTTTTGGTCATTTTCCCAAGGATGTGGAGACTAGTTTAAAAGAAAGTGAGCTCCTCCTCTTTCCCTTAGAATATGAATTCTTTGTGGGCAGAGTTTTCTTGTCTGTTTTGTTCACTGTTCTTCCTCAGCACTTAGAACTATGCCTGGCACAGAGCAGATACTGTTGTTTGAATGAATAAATATTTGATAAAAGCTGAAAGTTTTCTCATTTGAAAAAAATCTTTGTGTTCCTTTCTAAGTATTAAAATGATACCTAAATGGAACTGCAGAAAACTAATTAACAGAAATCCTAAAAAGATATGTATTAAATTTCTTGTCATATGCTTTGCTGATTCTTATGTCCATTCATACTTGAAAATCCTATCAAGCAGTTTGAATTGTCCTAAATAAACTCAAGAAAATAAAGACAGTATCTTCAGCTTTATTAGTTTTACAATCAGTGTGCAACTTGATTAAATTTGTTTAAAGAACTTTTTATTGAACGGGAAGGTTTAAGCATTCTTAATACTTCTATTGTGTAGCTTAAGTGTTTTTATTTTTTCTTGTAAACATACAAAATGCAAATATGCAGTGAATCCACAAATGATCTGAGTCC
The DNA here is from genome assembly GCF_000001405.40 of Homo sapiens. Taxonomy (NCBI): domain Eukaryota; kingdom Metazoa; phylum Chordata; class Mammalia; order Primates; family Hominidae; genus Homo; species Homo sapiens. The sequence goes on along the minus strand of NC_000003.12, from coordinate 6,647,532 downwards.
TCTCAGTTTACTTAGCCTTCACACCAATTGTGTTTCCTCTAGCATTATATTCAAAGCAAGGCTGTTCAATATAAAAGTCATGAACCTAGCTACATGGCTCCTGCAGTTTATGGAAATGAATTCCAGGTGAAACTTTACAACCTGTTGTTATAATTGGAGATGTGAAATATAGGATCATCTGCCCTGTTGTTGCTATACATTGCACAGAACTGCTAAGTTAATACATTGCAAAAATAACTGCAATGGCAAATTTAAATTTTCTAACCATTTGGAATACTCCAAATATACCAAAAGTTATCTAGGGAAAAAAGTAATGTATATTCATATACCCACCACATAGTTTCAGTTTGCCATATTTGCTTCACATTTTTCTTAAAGGACTTGATATTTACAGATAGAGCTGAAGCTTTCTGTGAACTACACAATCAATCACATTTCTCCCCTCCTCAACATCCCTTCCTGGGGGCCTACTCTCCTGAATTTTGTGTGTATTGTTCTTATGTATATTTTCATTCTTTTACAAAATGATTTCTCTGAAGGATATAAAACAACATTTTGCCTGTTTCTTTAAGCTTTATATAGATACCATATTTACATTATGCTCAGCACAGAATAAGGACCCAGTAAATGTTACTCTGTTTGATATTCCACATGCTTTATTTCCTCTTAACATTGCATCTGAGACTTAGCCAAGTTGATACACATAGTTCCAAATAATTTGCTTCAGCTGTGTTCTTGGGCTCTATTGTGTGAGTATGCCACAAAGCCAATCAAGTATTTCCTATCTGAAAGTGCCCTTTTCTTTTTCCCTTTTCTTTCCTGTTTTTTAGGGAGAGGGAGACAGGGTCTCACTGTGTCATCCAGGCTGGAGTGCAGTGATGCTATTACAGCTCACTGCAGTTTCAAACTCCCAGGCTCAAGCGATTCTCCCACTTCAGCCTCCCAGGTAGCTGGGAATACAGGTGACAACACGCCTGGCTGGGAATACAGGTGACACCACGCCTGGCTAATTTTTTTTTTTTTTTTTTTTTAGTAGAGATTAGGTCTCACTAGGTTGCCCAGGCTGGTTTCAAACTCTGGAGCTCAAGTGATCCTCCTGCCTCAGCCTCCTGAGTAGCTGGAATTACAGGTGTGAGCCATTGTACCCAGCTTGAAAGTGCCCTTTTATTTCTTTCCTGCAGTGACCCCTGACACCCAGCCATCAACTAGAGGCTGTTCCCCTACTGCCACCCCCTGCAGCCTGCCTACTGGTTTTATAAGGTACTGGGTGGGTGTAAAGTGATGTTTTTCTCTTGTAATAGGAGAAAATTGTTGGTTCTACTTAATAGACATACTGTTAGAGTTCTTAAAGTGATTAAGTATGCAGACTATGTAAATCAAATAAGTATATGAAAGAACAAGAAAGACCTTCTAATAAGCATATTTGTATTATATTATTTTTAATACAAATAATGCCATAATTAAGTCTATTTATATTTCCTTGCACACATACCAGTGAGTTTTTCTTGAATCACAGTTAATAGAATGGCTAGGTTGAAAATATGCATATTTTTACTTACTAGATACTAAAAAATTGCTCTGCAAATTGGTTTTAGTAATCTATTCAGACAATAGGGTCTAAGAATTTCCCTTTCTAAGTATATTTGCCAACACGTGTTATTTTAAGAATTTAAAATGTTTTAGCAGTCTGATAGGTGTGAAACATTATCTCAATGTTTTTACATAAATTTCAACAATTTCTAGAAAAGTCGAGCATCTTATTAATTTCTTGATTGGTCAGTCCAATCTGGTCTCTTCTGGAAATTGCCTGCTTGAATCTTTTGTCTACGTTTCTATTAGTTATTGTCATTTTCTGTGTTAATTTGTAGGAATTCTTTATAAATTTGAAATACTGATCCTAGGTTGTTTATATATGTTGCAAATATCTACCCCCAGTCAGTAACTTCACTACCTTAGTTTATAGGATTTTTGGTTGAACAGCACTTTTTTTTTTTTTTTTTAGAGATAGACTCTCTCTCTGTCACCCAGGCAGAGTGCAATGATGTGATTATAGCTCACTGCAGCCTCAAACTCCTGGGCTCAAGCAACCTTTCCCTTTTCAGCCTTTTGAGTAGCCAGGACTACAGATGTGTTCTACGATTCCTGGCTAATTTCTAAATTTTTGGTAGAGACAGGGTCTCAGTAGAACATGATGTTTTAAAATACTAATGTAGACCAATTTATCAACTGTTTTACTCAAGTTCTGTAATTTTATATTTCATTTAAAAAACCATTCTGTATTCTGAGTTTATAAAAAAGTTACATATTTTATTTTTTAGAAATTAATGTTTGCTTTATATAATTAGGTATTAACCTACATGTAAGTGATTTGTGTGCACTCGAAATGTACAGAATTATTTATATGTTCTAGACGCATAGCAAAAGGCCTCCAGGTTATTTATTTGCCCGTCTATGTTTTATTCACTGATTTCTAATGCCATCTCTACTATGCATCCCATTTACATTTGCATGCAGACAGGCAAGGTATTTTTTTCCTGGATTAAAAAATCTAGATCAAAGAGATAGTAGGTTATTTTAGTCAGCTCAGGCTGCTATAACAAAATACTATGGGCAGCTTAAACAACAGACATTTATTTCTCACAGTTCTGGAAGCTTTGAAGTCCAAGATGAAGGTGGCAGCAGCTTGAGTGTCTGGTGAGTGTCTGCTTCCTGGCTTGCAGATGGCCACCTCTGGCTGTGGCTGTGTCCTCACATGACCTTTCTAGGGTGTGCTCATGGAGAGAAAAAGCAAGCTCCTCCTCTTCTAATAAGGACACAAGTCTCATTATGAAGACACCTCTCTCATGACCTCATCTAAACCTAATTATTCCCTACAGGCCTAACCTCTAAGTCGCATGACATTAGGGTTTAGGGCTCCACCATATGAATGGTGGGGAGAGACACAAACATTCAATCCATAACATGGATATTTAATAAATGTTCTTTGACTCGTCAAAAGGTAACTTAAACTGATTCCCTGCAGCAGCCTATCATTCAAAACTCTTAGTTCATCTCTTCCCTCAATGGATATATTGCTAACCTTAGCTATACAGGAGTCACATCACTGTGCATTTAGCTTACAATATTCCAAATATAGACATCTGGGGAATCAAAAAGAGAAGAAGAGAAACAATATTAGTGTCTTGAGTGACTCTCTCTTCCCTTTCCTGAAATGAATATAACCCGAAGGGTCATGAACAGTGAACAGGGGGACATGAATTAGCTGTGCCTACAGTGGGTATGTTTCTGGGAGCCTCTGTCAGTGTGAGCGTCTTGCAGTGTGTTAAGTCTAGTTTAGAAATACGGTAGTCCATTCTTATTGTGGTTTTGCTTTTTCATGGTGTCAGTTACCTGTGGTCAATTGCAGTTCAAAAATATTAAGATATTTTGAGAAAGAGAGAAACAGAGAGAGACCACATTCACATAACTTGTATTACAGTAGATTGTCCTAATTTTTCTACTTTATTATTGTTGTTGTTCATCTCTCACTGTGCCTAATTTGGAAATTCATCATAGGTATGCATGCATGGGAAAAAAACATGGTACAGTATATATAGAGTCTGGTAAAATGTATGGTTTCAGGCATCCATTGGGGGTCTCGGAATGTATCCCTCCAAGAATATGAGGGTTCTACTGTAGTATCTTAATTTTTTTTATTTTTATTTTTATTTTTTTGAGACAGAGTTTCACTCTTGTTGCCCATACTGGAGTGCAATGGCATAATCTCTGCTCACTGCAACTTCCACCTCCCAGGTTCAAGCGATTCTCCTGTGTCAGCCTCCCAAGTAGCTGGGATCACAGGCATGCGCCACTACACCCAGCTAATTTTGTATTTTTAGTGGAGATGGGGTTTCACCTTGTTGACCAGGCTGGCTCGAACTCCTGACCTCAGGTGATCCGCCCACCTTGGCCTCCCAAAGTGCTGGGATTACAGGCATGAGCCACCGTGCCTGGCCTACTCTACTATTTTTAAATACTATTTTGCTACTTAAGATTGCATACACAAATCTATTTACAATGCACTTTATGTCCAGCTTAACGGATTTCTAAGGGCAATTTTACTAGACATGGATTTCACTATAACTACTGACTTTAAACCCTAATTTCTGAGTCAAACATGGCTCCACTGTAATCAACGTGTCAATGGACCACCAAAATACTGCTTTATCTTGAATAAGAGGTACAGATAAAAATACAACAGCTTTTAGCATTTCCTCATAAGCAGTGGTGAATGGGGAGACGCAAGGGTCTGCCATTAGATCAGCATGTCTTGGTTCCCAAGGTAAACACAGGCAATACCAGGACACTACAAATGTGGAAGCACTGTTTACCAGCTACATCTGGGCAATAGTTTGACCTTTTCCTCCTGGATGAAAATATGACCTGTTGACACTGTGTTCATTTCAAGAACCATGAAGTACCTGCAGTAGACTGAGTGTTCGTGCACCTCCCACATTCATATGTTAAAAAACTAACCCCTGATGTAATAATACTCCCACTGTCTCTGGCAGGTAATTAGGTCATGTGGGTAGAGCCCTCAGGATGGAATTAGTACCCTTTTAAGGAGAGACACACAAAGCTTGCCTCCTCTCCCTCTCTCTACCATGTGAAGATACACTCTGTAAACAGGAAAGGGATCTTTACCAAGAACATGACCAAGTTGGCACCCTGATCTTGGGCTTTCAGTTGCCAGAACTGTGAAAAATAAATGGCATTGTTAAAGCCACCCAGTCTTTAGTATTGTGTTATGGCAGCCCAAACTGACTAAGGTAGTGTCAAACATTATAAAGTCACAGAAAGGGACGCACTAAATTTAAAAGAGTTTGACTCTACCAAGAAGTGAGTTTCTCAAAGCTGGAGAGAACTGCTTTGCACAGACAATGGCACTACTGAGTGACTAATCCCTTTAGAAACAGGTGACCAATGAAAGCTATTCTGGTATTGGCTGCAGATGCCAATTCTCTGTGTGACCAATTCACTTTTGATATAATTTTGTTTATTAGCTTATTATATCAGAAACTTAATCTAACTCAGCCAGGTGTGTGGTCTTATCCAGACAATCTATACCCTACCTGAAACACATCACTGGATTCTTTCTCCAATGGCAAGTATAATCAGAATAACTTTACTGACAATTTATTATACCATAATGGTTTGTCTACTTGAGGAACTGAAGAGAACTCATTCTCTAAAGCATAAGAAAAATGTCCTTGCAGACTTAATCATAAGATGTTAGCTCTCATAGACATCTCAGAGACTACCAAGTCCTACAAAAATGGATAAAGATCTGAAAAACAGACACTGAGCAGTCCAAGGTCATCCTACTAAGAGGCAGAGCTGGTCTTGAACACAGATTTTCGAAATCTTTGTGCCGCTGTTGGACCCACAAAGCCAAATGCCAATAAGCAAACCAGAACCTATCAATGTAGCTATTTTCTTCTTAAACAATTTACTGCCTCAGGACATGGAGACCTAAATCTTTATGTTCCTAAGAGTTCACAGTGAAGGACACAAGAACAATGATGTCAACTGTGATTATCCGTACGACTCACTTATAATTTTTTTAAATGGACACGGCCCTAATTTTAGTCCACTAACTGTATTTTCCTAGAGTTATTTACTGTCTCAGAGAGTACCAGGCGTTATATGGACACTCAGGTCTCAACAACATGGAAGTAGGATGTGCAATTTTTCTTGAAGATTATTAAAATAATAGTGACAATAATAGCACATGTAACAATATAACTGCTAACACATATTGAGTGCTTACATTTAGTATTAAAGTTATATCTAAGTACTTAATATGCATACAATTATTTAATTCTCACAATAAACCTGTGCAGTAGGTATTATTTACCTCTGAGGAAACTGAAAAATAGAGGAGTTATATACTTTGTGGAGAAAGGATTTGAATCCAGAAATCCTTCCTTAGAATTCACACGCTTAGCCATTTTTACTGCGATAGTCCTATACAAAAATAGGGAGAAGGAATACAGACCACTTCCTTACCTTTCTGAATGTAGAATTTTAGTTCAGTAAAGAGGCAATTTGCTAACCAGATTGCTGGTACCATGAAAGAGTTAATGATGTTTCTCAGGTGGAAATTTCCTGAGCGGGAGTAATTCACACTCTGGAAAAATGTGGCCCAATATGTTAACATGATGAGTAAGTAAGTTCTATCTATTGAGGTGTTGAGGTTGACATACTACTTAGCATATTCTCTACACCCTGCGGATAGCAGCATCTGTATAATGTAGTCAAAATAAATAAGGCTTTGAGTGTATGGGAAAGATAATCACATATCACTTTACACATAAACATAAACTTGTCTGCTGTACCTGCTTGTGACAACTTGAGTTCTAAAAGAAGATGAGTCATTTCCAAAGAGCATCTGCCTCAGCCACTACCTTTATTGTTTCAAATACAGCTGTTTCCCTCTCAGATGTCACAAGTGCCACCACAGCTGACAGGACCCCCTTCAGGAGGGAAACAATATATGCTCAAGTTCTCAAAGACTCCCATGAGTATAAGAAGAAGGTCCAACTAGTGTATAAAGAGGGGTAAGATAGTTTCCATTGTCATTAAAGATGTCTATTCTAAAATGCAATAATTGTTCCTATTTTGGTATTTAGTCAATACATTGTTGAAGCCAATACAAATAGATACAGAGTCTTGGAGCTATGTCTCAGAAACTTTTCATTCCTGGGAATCAGTAGTTAAGAAATGATTCCCAATACAGGAAACGATTCATGCTGAAGGCCACATGACATGTAGTTGTGTGAAAGCAGAAACTTCTTTGCTGAACAAAAATGGAAAAGCTATCAAATAAATATGGTGCATCTATGTGAAGGAATACCATGCAATAACTAAATGTCACACTTAAAAAGTGAAAATCAGGGACTAGAAAACTATAAATATAATATTATATGATTTTGGCAAATTTTTGTAGTATTTTCTTAGCTTTTTAAAAATTTATGTTTTATTTATAATTGGCGCATAATTACTGTACATGTTTCTGGGCTGTAGTGTGATGTTTCAGGGAATGTATACATTGTATAATGACCAAATCAGGATAGTCATTAAATCCATCACTTTAAACATTCATCCTTTCTTTGTGGTGATAACATTAAAAATCTTCTCTTCTAGCTATCTTGAAATATACATTACATTGCTATTTGCTATAGTCACCCTACTCTGTAATTAAACATCAGCACTTATTCTTTCTATCCAACCCTAATTTTGTACAGTTGACCAACCTCTTCAGGTCCTCCCTCCCATGTACTCACCTCAGCCTCTGGTAACCACTGTTCTACTCTCTATTTCTATGAAATAAACTTTTTTGGATTCTACATGTGACTGAGATCACGCAGTATTTGTCTTTCTATGCCTGGCTTATGTCACTTAATGTAGTGTTCTCCAGGTGTATCCATGTTGTTGCAAATTATAGAATTTCATTCTGTTTTATGCCTGAATAGCATTCCAGTGTGTGTGTGTGTGTCTGTGTGTGTGTGTGTGTGTGAGAGAGAGAGAGAGAGAGAGAGATCACATTCTGTTTTATGGCTGAGTAGCATTCTATTGTGTGTGTGTGTGTCTGATATATCTATATCTATATCTCTCTCTATGTATATATATTGCATTTTCTTTATCCATTCATCTGTAGATGGGCATTTACTTTAATCCATATTTTGGATATTGTAAATAGTGTGCAATAAATATGAAGTGCAGATATCTCTTTGACATATTGATTTCATTTCCTTTGAATATATACCCAGTACTGAGATTGCTGGATCATATGACAGTTCTATTTTTCTTAAAATCTTTGGGAGGCCGAGGCGGGTGGATCACGAGGTCAGGAGATCGAGACCCTCCTGACTAACACGGTGAAACCCTGTCTCTGCTAAAAATACAAAGAAGTTAGCCAGGAGTGGTGGCGGGTGCCTGTAGTCCCAGCTACTCCAGAGGCTGAGGCAGGAGAATGGCGTGAACCCGGGAGGCTGAGCTTGCAGTGAGCCCAGATAGCGCCACTGCACTCCAGCCTGGGCGACAGAGTGAGACTCCGTCTCAAAAAAAACCAAAAACCAAAAAACTTCATATTGTTTTCTATAATGGCTGTACTAATTTACATTCCCACCAACAGTGCATAAGAGTTCCCTTTTCTCCACATCCTTGCCAGCATTTGTTATTTTTTTTGTCTTTTTGATAATAACCATTCTAACAAGCGTGGAGTAATATCTTCTCTGGTTTTATTTGCATTTCCCTGATGATTAGCGATGTTTTGCATTTTAAAATATATCTGTTGGCTATTTGTGTCTGGTTTTGTTACTTGCCTATTTTGGTCTTTTGCCCGTTTTTAATCAAATTATTATTATTTTTGGTACTCATTTGTTTGAGTTTCTTATATAGTCTGGATTTTAACCCCTTGTCATTGCATACTTTTGAAAATACTTTCATCCATTTTGTAGGTTCTGTCTCCATTCCGTTGATTGTTTCTTTTGCTGTGCAGAATCTTGTTAGTTTGATGTAATCTAGTTTCTAATTTTTGCTTTTTGTTGCCTGTGTTTTGAGGTCTTACTAAAAAAAATCCTTGCCCAGTTCAATTTCATGAAGTGCTTCCCTTATGTTTTCTTCTAATTTCATAGTGTCAGGTCTTTCACGTAGGTCTTTAATTCATTTAGAATTTATTTTTGTATATGGTGGTAGGTAGGGATCTAGTTTCATTAGTTTGCACGTGGATATCCAATTTTTCCAGCGCTATTTGTTAAAGAGACTGTCCTGTTCCCAATGCGTGTTCTTGGCATCTTTATAAAAAATCGGTTAGCTGTGCATGCATGAATTTATTTCTGAACTCTATATCCTGTTCCACGGGTCCGGGTGTCTGTTTTTGTGCCACGTGACATGCTGTCCTGTTTACTTTGTGGAATATTTTGATGTCCAGTACTGTAATGCCTGCAGCTTTGGTCATTCTGCGCAAGCCTGCTTTGCCTATCCAGGGTCTTTTGCGTCTTCAAATAAGTACCAAGGTCCTAGAAATTTTTGTAATCCACATTCTCATTTTCTCCCTTCTTTCCTTCGGCCCTTCTTCTGTTTTCTTCCCCATTTCCTCCCTCAAACATCAGAAAAATGTACTGGAGAATGTTTGGTTAGAAAAAAAAAAAAAACAAAATGGTGAAAGTAGTTTTCTGTAAATGAATTGGTTATTGTTGTTTCACCTTAAAAATGTAAAAAGTGAGAATTAAAGATGTAAAACAGCTTTGCCCAAGGAATACAGAACTACTAAGCCTGGGTGGTGCCATGCCGTGTTTCTTCCTGCCTACCCACTGAATTTAATCCTCCAATTCCTCAGTTGTAAAAGGATGATCTTTCTGATCTCTTCAAACGCTGATATAACCAAGTCCAGTCTGATAGGTTTGTATGATTTTCATATTCTCACCACGAAAAAGTGTGTCAAGTAAGTTAATAAGGTAATTGAATTATGTTAATAGAACTATCAGGTCTTTAATGTGTATGTATGTGAAAACAAGTTTGAATTGAAATGAATTCTTTTAAATAAATGAGCAGATATAAAAATACTTCCTTCAGTCATTTATTTATTCACTTGCCATGTATTTATTGAGCACCTTTGGTGTCTCAGACCTTGTGCTTGATACTAGTGATAGAAAAATCAGTAACATAGGTCTTACTCTCAAGAAGTTCACTGTCAAGTGAAATCTCTCTGTCTCTCTCTCTCTCTCTCTCTCACACACACACACACACACACACACATTAAAGCTACACACATGCTGTGGTAATTATAGTGATAGTTATGTGCCCAGGTGTCAGAGAGGCAAACAAAATATTAACACAACTATCCAGCCTGTGAAGAATTTTTGGAGGCAAGAAGAGAATGTCTTAGTGAAATTACAGAGTATGAATAGTTATCTAAAAAGGGATAAGAAAGAATATTCCAAAGACAAAAACACTCTGAGTTTAAAGTGAAGAGTGGCAAGACATGAGTTTGGCCAGCTGGAGTAGACAACAGAGAAACGTGTTCACCTGTGAAAAAATTCAGACTTGAATCACTGGAGAGAAATGACAAAAAAAATTTTTTTTTTTTGAGACAGAGTCTTGCTCTTTCGCCCAGGCCAGAGTGCAGTGGCGCTATCTTGGCTCACTGCAAGCTCTGCCTCCCGGGTTCACGCCATTCTCCTGCCTCAGCCTCCCGAGTAGCTGGGACTACAGGTGTCCACCACCGCACCCAGCTAATTTTTTGTGTTTTTAGTAGAGACAGTGTTTCACTGTGTTAGCCAGGATGGTCTCGATTTCCTGACCTCGTGATCTGCCCGCCTCAGCCTCCCAAAGTGCTGGGATTACAGGCGTGAGCCACCGCGCCCTGCCTACACCTTTTATTTTCAACAGCTGCTGGAGAGAATGGCTTTATAAGAGATAGCCTTTAGTGGGCCAAGCCATGATCCAATAGACCAGTTCATGTAAAAGACATGGAGAATCTAAATTAGGGTGGTGGCAGCAGGGATAGAACAGAAAGGATAAATCCAAACACTAATTAGATTAATCTACATTAATCTAAAGGTATGGGCATTTCCAATATATACACATCCACAGCTTTGCATATAATTTTAGAGAGTTCAAATATCTCAGAGCTCATCTTGAGAGTCCATTAATCCTCAATGAAGGCTCCTTTGTCTGCAATAAGTAAAACTGTGATGAATGCCTATGGAAATTAGTTGGAATTAATTTTCAGTTGAAATTATTAAACTACCATTGCTTTGAAGCACTTAATAGTTAAGATGGCCTACTCCTCAAACTAACTGAGTAAAATTTTATTTTAGATATGATTTCTTAGGAAATAAAAGTATTCTGCTTTTCCTATAAAAAGAAAAAAAAAAAGATATTCATTATTTCATTTTCCCAAGGTACATAAAAGCTTGGCATTCCTAAGGCACAAAACAAAACACGTAACCGATGCATGAAAAAGCTAAATGAATTTGCACTAGGTCATCTATGTAGTATATCTTTAATACCTTGTTAAGTGAGGACTTGCTAAGTCCAAAACTATAACTGTAGAATACTTACTTAATTGAGTAAGTGGACAGAGATATTTTAAACTTTAAATCATAGGTGTCAACTCTATGAAATGCACTTTTTAAATATCACACACAGTATAACTATTATGTATTTTACTATGACACAATTGAAAGTTATATTGATCAAATTTTGCATTCTTAAATAGCAAAGATATAGTATTGAAATAAAGAAAATACATGGATGACCGTATCATTTAGCAGATGTGTGGTTCAGATTTTCAGCATATTGGATGCCAATAAATAGTGACAGTGAAACCACCAAATGACAGCATATGATTACTTCAGTTTTGATTATTTGGCCTTTGACTATTTCCTCCTTGACTCTATCCACATGACCAAACTATGGACAGGGGAAGGAGTGAGTTACTATAATTAACAAAAGAGGCTAAAATTATTAGCATAGTGACAGAGAAAAATAAGAAAAATGAAAATTGATAATTTATAAATTGGGTATTTCATGAATAACCCAAATTTACTCTACAAAACTTTTAATTTAATTACACAAAATGGTAAGAACCTAAAAATCTCTTTAAAAATTACTCAGTAAGTAAAATTATAATAAGTGATGTTCTATTTATTGACTTTGGTGAGGGTTACATGAGAATGTTCATTTTGAGATTATTTATTGAACTACATGCACCTTTCTATACTTATTTTAGCTTCCTTAAAGACCTTTAAAATCTGAATACATAATGAAAAGTAAATACGGTTACAAGGGCTTTTCAAGGTGTAGACCTTATTTGAAGAAGAAAACTTTGGAAGAGTTTATATCTAGCTAAAGCAATAACTGAAGTTCAAAAATTTGTTCTTTGAAGTGCAATTACAAAAAGAAGTTGTCCGAATGGTATATGACAAACAACTGCTATTTGGGGAACTTAATAGATGTGACTTTACTGTGATCAATGGAACAGTCAGTGCTTTCTAATAGAACTTTCTGTGATGTTGGAAATTTCCTTTATCTTCATTGTTCAATATAGTAGCCACTAGCCACATGCAGCTACTGAGCATTTGAAATATGGCTCCCGTGATTAAGAAATTGAGTTTTAAATTTAATTTAATTTAAATTTATTTACATTGAGAGATTCTATGTGGCTAATGGCTACTGAATTGGACAGCTAGAGTAAGCAAACTGAAATCAAATGTTTACCTTTAATTTTCAAGTTAATGAAGTTGTACCTATTGAAAAAAAAAAAAATTCCACTTTTTGGTTTCCAGGGTCCCCAGTTTGAAATGTCTTGTTACTGCTGACAAGACCTGCATGACTGACCATTTGCTCCCTAAGAGATGAAAACTGACATTGCTTTGAAGTTCAAAATGACATTGCCAGTGAGTTTTACTTTAAAATGGAGCAATTGCTTTCTAGTTAAAGGGATTTCTCAAAAGGTCTAAAAATTTGCTGTCACGAAAATACATAGTCTGCCACCATCTTTTTTTTTCTTTTTCTTTTTCTAAGCAGTAACAGGCTACAAGTGCTAGAAAGTTATTTAATTTTTCTTGAAAATATTGGGATACTAATTGCAATGCTTCTATGTAAAGCTCCATGAAGCTAGAAATGTGCATGTTAATAGCTAGCTGAATGCAAAATGCAATTCTTCTAAATGCCTTCCATAATACTGTTTGATTTTGTTTCCCTACTCTGACCTACATAGTTATATAGTAGTATGTAGTAGTTATGAGAGTGTATTGTAATGCCTACTTAACTTTCTGTCTTCTTCATCAAACTGTAAACACATGAGGGCAGGAGCTGTATCTTATTTACTGTACACAGAGTTTATTAATATTCATAGGTTAGAGTGAATGAAATAAATCACAAAGATCATTATGTCAACAAATATAGAAAAGTGAAAAATGAAGGGCAGGTATTAATCTCATTTAAATTCACTTGATTACATACACAAGAACCAACATGCTCCTCTCTTGTGCCCATGCCACATGTCATTTTAGAGACCTCTTAATTTATACTGTAGAAGAATGTGATTATTTATAAGAACTCAAAAGGGAGGGCTAGAAAACAAGAGAGAGCTAAGAGATTGCAAGCCCAAGGCAAAAATGTAAGAGCTGGAAATTAGAGTTACAAGAGGAACACTTAGTATGCTTGTGTGTATAAATACTTTCATAGGACAGCAGGTGTCTACCAGACTTTTCTAAGGGAGTCAGATAGTGAGTATTTAAGGCTCTGTGGGCCATAAGGTCTCCATTACATATTCTCTTTTCTTTTTTTTTTCTAAAAAACCCTATAAAAATGTAAAAAATATTGCTGCATCACAGATTATCAAAACAGAAGTAGGCTGTGATCTTGACGATCTTGATTTGGCTCACAGACCGTAGTGTCCCTACTCCTGACATAGAAGATTGACATTATTGTTGTGAAAATTTTAGTGATTTGCTTTTTTTGGCCTCAAAGAAGAAAACTGGCACGTGATGTTTAGCATTTAAAATTCTACATTCACAAGAAAACAAAACAAAACGAAACAACAGCCAATGGCCAATTCAACTTTGAAGTCAATTTGGAAATGATGTTTTGGAAAATGTTGATTTAGAATTCAGATACTCCCACAACTATGACTCCACACGTTCCATATTTAAACAGGAAAAAGAAAGAAGAAAAGGAAAATAGTCAAGAAAAATTAATCAGAACAATACTGAACCTAGTTACAGCTGTGTTTGCAGGTGGCACAGGCAAGGAGTAATAAATGATCTCGTTAATAAAGCCAGACATTTAATAACAACAGTAACCCACATTCTATAGAATGCTAAAATACCTCAAAATGCAAGTTCTGTATAGAAAAGGATATCTTCCTATATGCACAAGGAGCCTCGTTAAAGTGGAAGAATCCTTTTTTGTAAAGTCTCATCACTATTGCTAGCTATGAAAGATATTGTACCCCATGTCCAAATTTTATTTTTACTTTTCATGTAATTATTCTGCACATCATAAAAGGAAATACTTAAAAGGGAGACAATGTGCCTGTTCTTTGTTCTGCCTATAAAATCAGTACATAGGCCACGCATGGTGGCTCATGCCTGTAATCCCAGCACTTTGGGAGGCCGAGGCAGGCAGATCATCTGAGGTCTGGAGTTCGAGACCAGCCTGGCCAACATGGTGAAAACCCACCTCTACTAAAAATACAAAAAATTGACTGAGCATGATGGCATGCACCTGTAATGCCAGCTACTTGGGAGGCTGAAGCAGGAGAATTGCTTGAACCCGGGAGGCGGAGGTTGCAGTGAGCCGAGATCGTGCCACTGCACTCCAGCCTGGGCAGCAGAGCGAGCCTCCATCTCAAAAAACAAAAACAAAAACAAAAACAAAATCAGTACATTATTCTCCAAATAATGTGTGATTAATAGATTTTGTTTTAAATGAACATGTTATGCCTTCTAAATGTAACAAAAGATAATTCTTTTCTTTTTCTGGCTTATCGAGTGAATTATCCATTTACATGTTCATTGTAAAGGCATCTTAAAGGTTTAACATCAACTTACTAGAAAGCACTTAGAATATACTCATCATTTCAATACCTCCAACCATATACAGTATTTGTATATTTTAAGTACAGAATAGTCACCTAGGTTTCAAAAAACACAGTGAAGTGGTTTTAAAATAACTCCTTAATTTTGAGACAGGCAAATGTCTAGGGGGAAAAAAGTGTTACCCACTGAATAAAAAATAAAGTAGCTAATAAGAAATCCATCCTTTTTTTAATTTTTTTTCCTCTTAGCTCAAATTGCTAAAGTGGTTAAGGTAGTACATAATTTTTCTTTTTGAAGAATTTTGTCCAGTTTGACAAGTAAATACATGTTTAACTCTCTTTCTTCTTTTATTACTGCAGAAACAAGAAGAAATGGAAAATAACTGCAGCACGTTTATGACATTCGTTTCTTTCTCCACATGAAACATACAATGAGAACACTTTATAGATGAATTGTGTCTTCGATTGAATAGAGAATGGTGGACTAGCTTTGGTTTTATGGAATTGGATAATTTGTCATAGTTTCTGTCCCTGGAAAAATGAGAACCCAAAGGAAAACAAGTGGAAAGCCTTTAAAAAATAGTGATATAATACACAGCTGATATTTTTGGTTCATAGAATACTTTAAAGTACATCATTTACAAAGCAAATTACTAAATTATAAGAAATGCTGTCATCATCAATAAACATTCACAGAGCTTCAGGTTTTAACACAAAGCATTCCTCATATTTCAGGTGATATTATTTATGAAAAAATTACTTGGAGATTGCTCCAAGGTTATCACATTCTTTTCAAACCATCAATTCCCTATTATTATTTACTATTATTAGTTATTATTTATAAATACATATGAATACACAATGAAAGCATGCTTTATGTATAGCATATAAATATATTTGAACTTTACTTTCCCCACATACTATCTATCCTGCAATATTACACCACCAGTAAAAGAGTATCTAAATATTAATTGCTCCTATCACAATAGTGGAAACTAGAAGAGATAAGTTTTCCCAAATCTGAGTAGAAAACCATGGTTAGCGGATATCCATTTGTCCATTTACGGAATTATAGCAATAAAATCCAGCCAATAATTTTTAGTTTGCTTATTATGTAGTGGCAAAACATAATGTCTTTTTCTCACCCATTACAAGGGTCACAGCTGACATACCTATAACAAAAACCAGATGAACAAGAAAAATGCATAATGTGTTCATTTAATAAAGTTTTAAGTGACGTGGGAGCCTTCAGAAATGCAGACCCAAACCCAGGGAAAATTTTGAATTTGTATGCTTCTGAAGAAAGAAGTGAATAGTTGTGGAGAAACGTGATTCGACAAAAAGAGTATGACCTAATGATAATAAACTGTAGAGAATTTAGCAAAGCCTGTCTCTTCAGATTCTTCTCGACCTTGCTGTGTAGCATACCTTCCCCCCATATAAGGAAGAACAACTGCCAGAAAAGGGTCTTCTGATCTATTTTCTGGTAAAATAGGTCAGAGTGACCCTTTTAGGTTTTACGGCTTGCTGTGAGGTCAAAGAATTCTAATTTCTATGGGCCGCCTTGGGAGAGAGGAGAGCTGGAGAAAGGAGAGTGAGAGAAGGTCAGAGGGGCCTTCCTTCTGAGGCCCTTCCAGTGCCCTTCAGTTCAAAGTACTCTGCATGCCAAGACACCATATATTGGGGTATAATGTTTTGAGTCCTAGCAGTTAATAATATAATATTTTTCAAAAAATCTAGAGAAGAATTTATTTCATAATGTTACTAACCAGTTTTTTAAAGTCAAATTTGAAAATGATGCCAAAAATTATACTGATTTTTTTTCTTCAGATAATTGTGAAATTCTACTGTGTCTTCTCTTTAAAGATGAAAAAATAAGATAAAAAACATGAGCTGGGCATGATGGTGTGCCTGTAATCCCAGCTACTTGGGAGGCTGAGGCAATGCAGGAGGATCACTTGAGCCCAGGGGTTCCCAGACTAACCTGGGAAACATAGTGAGGCCCTAGCTCAGAAACAAAACAAAACAAAAAACTTCTAAAATGCGTAAATTTGCTTTCAATATCAGTATCAGTTCAGTTGGAGGGGAAATTCTTAAAAATCTCATAAATATTGGTACAAGAGCCTTTCTACTTCCTTCTCTTTGAAAAATTAGTAAACTGTTAGGTTACAAAAACTGAAAAGTCTGGGTTTGATCAACACAGGTCTCTGTTGATCAATCAATAACAGATTGAAGTTATTCTGGAAGAGTTGTGCCTGTCATACATTGTCTTATTCCAACATCTCCTGAAGTTGTCATTTGGAAAATTATTAAAAAGGATATAGTTTCTGTCAATTCAGTTGATATTTTAAGATGATGTATTATTATTATTTAATTTTTATTTATTATTATTGAAAATTATTATTTAATTTTTTTGTCTCTGTCTTATATGCTAATTTAAATTCATTAAGCCTACACCAATCTTAAAGGAAAAGCTGATATTAAGCAATTTCTTCAGTACTCTTTGGATATAACTCTTTGTCTAGCTGAAAAACCTACAATTAACCCTGGGCCATTTCACCGCTGTGAAGATTAAAATTACTTTTGGATATATTCATTAAGTATTTTCTATATTTAGGTTATAGAGTCTCAATCTTTTTTTTTTAATTAAAAAACCCTCTTTAAGTATATTTTTGTTCTAATTGTCAAACTAACCACTTATGCCCTAAATAACATCAATGAAAAAGAATTACCTCAAAAAATTTGTAATTCAGGTGAGCAATAATTGACCTATGGCCATTTGCTGGAAACCAGGCAAGATACAATTCAGCCTTTCTTTCCAAAAGGCATAAGAACATACTAAATTGCAAATATCGTAGACCAGACATCTATCCTATTTTGACATTAATATCAAGGAGTTTATTTTACAATAAACCTTACGTCAGTTGCCTTCCATGTTATTTGTCTCAAAATATTAGGCTATCTAAGCTACTTTTCTTCCGAAGGAGCTCTGAGACCTCCAGGGAAACAAAGTACACTTTAATCTCCTCTCCTCTTCACTATCCACACACTTTCCTGAAATCTGAGATTGGCGCTCAAACTAAGAGAGAAGAGAGTGAAAAAACTTCTTATTACTCCCTGTTCCCAAATCTTTTAAATATAAAATCTGTGTTACATTACTTAGTCAACTTATAACACCCTCACTTTGCAGGATAGGTAAAAGAAAAAAGTAGCAAAATTTTTTGAAATAGAATCATAAACTAAACATTGCCTGGTTCAATTTTTGATTTAAGAGAACTTCTCTATAAAATACTTGTTATGGAGTCAAGACTCTCTAGAAACCCCCATACAATTATTTAACTTTTTTTTCATGGGAAGCAAATGGGATTGACCAAACATTATTTTTTCCCCCTTAAAGAAGAAGCACGTGATTTTATCTGGGTGCACTTTCCCAGAAGATAGTTCTTACATATAGTACCAAAATAAAAGAACATGTAATTTTTAGAGACATCCTTTGAAAACTGTCTTTCATTAGAAATAATGTTAGTTTCATTTATGCCTCCTAAGGTGCCAAATATAGTAAGACAGTTGTAATTCTTTATCACCATGGATCCTGGAAAAATTAGAAATGGTGTCCAATTACTTCATTTTTGACCTTGTTATGGCCCCTAGAAAACATACAAAGACTCCTCTGCAAGGCGAAGACATGCCTATGTGTCTTCTCACCAGTCATCAGAACAATGTAGGTCTTAAAGCTAAAGTGGATAATACTTGTAAACTTGTAGGAATCTCACCCTCAAGTAGAGAATTTATAGAAGTGAGAAAATTGTCATTTATTGCTTTGTACTTTTTGTTTGTTTGTTTGTTTTTGGAGACAGTGTCTTGCTCGGTCGCTTAGGCTGGAGTGCAGTGGCACAATCAGAGCTCACTGCAGCCTCAACCTCCCTGGGTCAAGTGATCCTCCCATCTGAGCCTCCCAAGTAGTTGGGATTACAGGCACGTGCCACATGTTCAGGTAATTTTTTAAAACTTTTTGTGGAGATGGGGTCTCACTATGCTGTCAGGCTGGTCTGGGACTCCTAAACTCAAGCAATCCTCCCACTTCAGCCTCCCAAAGTGCTGTGATTACAGGCATGAGCCACCACACCTGGCTGTTTTTTGCTTATTCGAAAGGAATATAAAGTCAATACAACATGTTGTCTAATACAAGGAGCAGAGGAGGCAGCCCCACATTTCCAGAAAATAAAACTAAAATTTTCTCTTTTACAGATAAACAAACACAGAGGAGAAGCCCATAGTCCCCAGAACTCCTCAAGTCTAGTTGTCTATAGTCTCTCAATGACAAAGGAAATATTTTATTTAAAAATTGCCCAAAATATACCAAAAATGTCAATTTATTCTGGAAAAAGCAGGTTTAAGCAAGAAAGCATTTTACATCTGAGAAGTTTTGTGTAACATTTAAGTTTGCATTATTATAATGTCAGAAAAAAATTGGTGATCATTAATCTATCTCATAAGTCTACTTATGTTTGTGATACTCATAGAGATCATAACTACCTTAGATATATTATTAAATCTATGATTTTTTGTTTAGATTCTCAACTTGCAATGAAAGTTCTGTTTATGCCTACTATTTCTCTAAAATAATCTCTTCAAAAGTTGATTTATAATATATTAAAATAACTGTTACGGTTTTACAGGGTTGGTCTAAAGTCAAGATATTATAATAAAATAAATGGACAATTCATTTTTGTAAAATAATTGTTCTTATTTAATGTTCAGGATGTAATATTCTAAATGTTATTAACTTACAGAACTAAATAATGCTGGAGTAGTTCAGCAAATGCTAGCCCAAAATATGCTGCTTTTCTATGCTGATTATTTCAAACTGAGGGGACCTGAGGAACAGTAAATTAAGGGAGAAGCTTCCTCTGAACTTCCTTTATCTGTCTAAAAGCAGATCTTCTGAAAGGAACTCAACTATCATGAATCTCCTTCACGGGAGTCTCATTAACCAGGGAAGATTAAACTTGTATCACAGGAGAGGACACTGGAGGTTGACACCATGCTCAGACAGACTTTGCCGTAGTGTAGTACTTATTCTTCTGAGGGCCTCTTCATCTTTCCCCCAAATCATTTATACTTCCCTAAGTTCGCCTACATCCCCCGCTTACCCCTCTCTAATGAAGAGGGTGTAGGATGCAGAAAGGGGTTGATCCCTTTTCTCGCCATCATGATGGTCATGGCCAACATCCCTATAACTAAGATTAAAAGGAGAAACGCATAAAAATTTTATTTGATCATAGCTTTGTGTGACGTAGGAGCCTTCAGAATGAAGATCGAAATACACAGGGAAAACTACACATTTTTATGTTTAGGTTCAGTGAAGTTTAAAGAGCTCTGTAGAAAATTGTGATTGGAGAAAAAAAGATATGACCTAATGTTAATACACTGAGAGGGAAAACCCAATAAGGCTTATCTGTTCCTATTTTTTTTTGGCCCCTCTGTGCAGTATTCCTTTCTCCTGGGTATGGGGTAGGAACCCTCTGGAATGAGGGTCTTAATTTCTTTATGACCACTTGTTACACAGAATGGTGGGGGGAAGATTAGAGTATTATTTTAGGTTTTATGTCTGGCTTTGAGGAAAGGGGGTTCTGGTTTCTATGGCTTGCCTGGGAGAGAATGAGAGGCAAGAGGCAGGAGAGCAAAAAAGTTCAGAGAGACACTTTGCTTCTGAGGCTGTTTCTTAAGCCTTCACTTTGGAATATTATTTTCTGAACCCCAACAAGAGTATATAAGCTTCTAGATCTCCCTGGGTTTTGGGGTGTTCACTTTTCTTTTGTGTGATGTCCCCATGTATATAATAAATTTGTACAGACAGTCCTCAACATACTATAGTTCAATTGAAATTGACAATTTCTTGACTTTATGATGGGTTTATCAGGGCTTGAGATGCATTTTCAACTGACGATAAGTTCATCAAGATGTGAACCCATCATAAGGTGAAGAGCATCTGTATACCTTTCTCCTGTTAATCTGCCTACTCTCAATTTCATAAACTCAATTATTGAACCCTCAGAGAAAAGAGAAAAAACGTGCCCTCCCCTACAACGCTCTACTATCAATTAATGTTACATGAGTAGGAAAAGTGTTTGCCCAAATACTGGTCTGGGAATGATATTAGATCATTACCTTTTTTGAGTTATGAATGATAATTTTCTAAATATTTAAACAGCACTTTTGCCAAAGATGCCATGTTTATGTTTTCCTCATCAATGAAATCTGTTTTCTTCTTCCTTGACAAGATAAAACAGGAACCACTCCAATTTATGAGTCAGAAGCTAATCATTTTTAAAAGATAGTTTTAGAATATAGCTTTAAGTAGGGTTTCTTTAAAAAATAATGAGTTGCAATCTCTCAGAATCTTAGCCACTAAAGTATTCACTTCTGAGAATAGAGACAAAATGTGAATTTGCTTGGAAACACTCATTGATGTCTTTCGTTATTGACGAGGTAATTCTGTTGTTCAGCAGTGTTTGGAATTTTAATAAAAGGCTTGCAGAACCTCTAAGATTGATAGTTAAAACAGCTAAGAAATTCTCCCCTACCCCTGGAAGATGTAATGTTCCTGGTGCTGAGGTACAATCTGAGTCATTTGACTTTTTTTTTTTTTTTTTTGACTGAATTTTGCTCTTGTTGCCCAGTCTGGAGGGCAATGACACGATCTCAGCCCACCACAACCTCTGCTTCCTGGGTTCAAGCGATTCTCCTGCCTCAGCTTCCAGGTCATTTGCCTTTTGAATTTATAATTGTATTGGTAGGATTGAGTCTAGCTGATTCATATGAAAGTCTAACATTTTTCAGGGAAATTACCATTATATGAAATAAATGTGTCAAAGTCACATTATATAAACACAGGATTTAGAAGATGTAAGTTAACAGCAATCCATTCAATAAAGACATGGGGTATCATTTGATCATGAGAGCACTATGAGTCACTGGTGAGATATGTATTAAGAGATAATTTTCAAATAAAGGTCAAATCACGATTCTTACACACATGTAAAAATGAACAAGTCTTAAAGATTTTATTTTACTCATACGATATTAGGAAACCAGGGAGATGTTGTAACAGATTCAAAGGAAAAGTCAAAAAAGCAAAAATTACATAGAATAAAAAAAGTTTGGATGGGAAATGTTACAAATGGGAATAGAAGTGGTTTTCCATAGGAAGGAGGAAATTAATTAAAATCACTATTAAACAGGAAAGAATTTATGTATCTATCCGTTACCTATTTACAAAGAGTTGCAAAATGGCTTAAATACAATAAATGGAACTAAACTCTAACAGCCAGGAGGGCTAACACAAAGAGGATGCATAGTTTGCTATTGAATACAATGTTTTTCTACCTATGACTACTAAGTAAACAACCATAACCTGAGACTGATCTAATAGAAATAAAGTCCCAAGTTTAAGGAGACTATATTCAATCTGCACTGAATGTAAGTAAAAACGTATCTAAAATATTATGTGAATTCTAAGTATGAATTTTTAAAAATAGTACTATTCATTCTCACCCAGCCCCAAGACCTTCTCTCTCACCCTTCCTTTTTCCCATTTCTGATAAGAACAATAGGGTCGACCCAGTTATTCAAATCCTAAAACTAGGAAGCATCTAGTCCTGTCTTTCAATCATCACTGATCCCAACTGTAACACAAGAAATCCATCATCAAGTACTGGCAATTGAATAATTTATCCTAATTTGGTCTATTTTCAGTCTTCACTATTCCACCACAAATTTAAATTATGATCTCTCTCTTTTTCTCTCTCTCTCTACTGAATAACTCCTCACAAATTCCCAACCTCCACTCTTGCCTCCTTGTAATCTATTCTCCATAAAGCAGCCAATGAAATCTATTAAAAACTATATATTAGATTAAATTCTTCCATACTTAAAGCCATTATATATCATTGGGCTTTAGAATAAAATCTAAATCCCTCACTAGACCACATAATGCCTGTCTCTGTCTCTGTCTCTGTCTCACACGCTGATTCTTCTCATTTAATCCTATGTTCTACTTAGTCTATGCTTACTGAATTCCCTTATCTTTTGAATATACTACCCTGGGTCTTACCTTTGCCCTGATTTTTCCTTTACTTAGCCCCTTTTTGTCCCAGATTTTTGAATGTTTGACTTCTTTTTCATCATTCAAAGGCAATTTCCTCCAGGAGAACTTCTTGCCTCATTCAATGTAATATTATGTAACACTCCAGAACATTCATTTTTTTTAAGTCTCCTGAATAACTTACTGCTGAATAAAATTTAAAATTATTTAATTTCTTGGTTATCACCTATCTTCCCTGCCCTACTATGCAAATTACCTAAGATCAGTGATCTTCTATTTCCTGCTTACGGCTGAGTATAAGAACACAGAAAAGATTCTAATACTACTGGCAATTGTCAATGTTAGTTGAATTAATTAGTCAATTATTCCATTTTTTTTTCTCAAGGAGTTAGGTAAACTACATTTTTTTTCTGAGGAGGTAAAATTTATAGGATTTATGATAAATTCAGACCTATTGAAGGAAGCTTAATTTAAAGAAAAGAGGATTCAGGTCTACAGGTACTGCTAGCTTTAGGGGTAGTTGGGAAGAATAAGTAGACTTGTTTACTTAGGTCTTCCAGCATCTGATGCAAGAAAGGTTAGCAGGGATTTATTTTAAAGGAGTCAGATTAAAGTCTACACAAGGAGAGTTCTCTGGGCTAACATGGATAGTAAGAGAAGACATTCCACATGACAATGAAGTCTGGAATCACTGACTACAGGTTAGGCTAAAAAACATCTCTCGTGTATATCTGATAGAGAAGCCTCAGCTTTCCAGTTTGTAATGAGGAGGTAACAGTTTTGTATTCCTTCCCTTAAAAGACAAAAATTAAAGCAAATTTAGTCTAAAAATCTTAATTGTTTTTTATCTGCAATTCTGGAATCAGTCGGGCAACACCTCATCCTATAAAACAGAATGAGTGAACTGAGCAGAGGTTAGCTTTATAGGCAGAAAGGGGCTGAAGAAAGCAGCAACTGAGAACAAAAAGCAGATTAGTAATTTCAAAGTCACTTCCCTTATAAAGGTTAAAGCAGAAGAGACTCCCTTATCATGCGGGCTAAAAACTGACCTGTTTGATATTTTGCTTATTATTTCTTCCTCTCTTGATTTTTTGGAAGGTCAGATAAACAACTTAGTTTCAGTTGGTGACTTGGAAGTTTAGCGTGAGTAATTCCATTTTGGTTTGGTCTGTTGGGCCTAGTCTAACAGCCTTGTCCAAATCAATAGCCTCCTTCAAATTTTATTTAACTCCACTTATATTTTATTTGGTTGTGCAGATCCTAGGAGATTAGTTACAAGAATACATTTTGAAAAAAGGAATCTTGTGCCAACATGAGGCATCATTGTCATTAAAACCACTATGTAATCTCAAGATCTCCATTTCATCATTTACACAATCTGTCTCAAAATGCCTCTCTCCTTGCTTTGTGAGGTACAGATGCATGCAAAGAATTTTATTTTGCTGCTTATGGTAGCAATATAGGTTGCATTAGAAATGAGCATGATGGAAGGATTCTGTTCATTTGGTTTAACCCTGCAAGGGGATTCACAAATGTGCAGAAAACCTATACAGTGTAAATTTGTGCCAGAAAATGTATATGAGCCATTTACAGTATTAAGGTAAGTCTACTTTACAAATATTCACAGAGTGTTCAATTATTTTCAAGTTGTGTCTCCAGCGAAAACTCCATCCAATTTACCAGTATGACGCTCATGTTTACTGAAAAGCCTTCTTCATTTGCCTCATCTTTCCTGCTTAACTGATGGCTTCCCACTAAGCCTAACCATTATCACTAAGCATATGCTTATTTAGGCAACAACAAACCTTCCTAGCTCATTTTTCAGATTCTCCCTTGCCATAAATCCATATAGTTCTTTGTTTCTATTAATAATGATACCTGACTGTGTATAAAAATAGTTACTATTGACTGAATGATTGCCAGGTGTCAAGCACTGTGATGAAAGCTCAACATGCATTAATAATAATAGCTCACGTTTGTGACAGGCACCATCCTAAGTGCTTTGCAGACATTAACTCATTTACATCTCAAGAAAACTTTGTGAAGCAGATACAATCTTCCCCAATTTACAAATGAGAAAATTGAGGCAGGTAGGGGGAAAAATTAATTTTTCCTCTACATTTTATAGTGTTTAGATGGGATAGATTGCAAAAGAAAGATTGACAAGAGAAAAAGACACAGAAATTTAGTAATGTATATACTTCATGTAGATAGAAGAGATACCCAAAGAAATGAGTAAATCTCAAGGTGACTTTGAATTCAGGTTTAAATACTACTGTCCACTGAAATAAAAAAGGTGTGGAAAGGGCTGGTTATGGAGAGATGCCCATAAAATGCAGAGTAAACAAAGGTAAAGTTTGTTATGCAGACTTAAGTTGATGCTTTCCCATTGATAAGAGTCTTTGGCAATGCAGAATCATCTGTGTTTTCCTGGTACAGAGAGAGAGTGATATCCTTACAAATGGAGATACCTTTTAAAGATATAAGTAGATATAACTATAACGCTGATCTGCTGTAGACAGATAATATTACAGAACAAAACAGCATTCACAGAACTAGAAAGTATCGAAGCTCAGTTAAAAGCTGTTAAAAATCTTAGCACAATGCTGAAAACTAGGTATTACCTTCAAAATAAAGACATTGAGATTAGAGCCCAAAATGCTTAAGTGACTTGCCCTATTTGCATAGTCCAAGACTGGGAGAAAGCAAGGACCTGAAGTAATCCTTTCCAAAGTCATGTTCTGGGCTCTTGCACATACCTCATGGGCTTTAAATTGTGCTAGAATTTAAATGAGGGCTAGAGTCAGCAAGTGTTTCCCAACAAACAAATAGTACCAAACAGTAGAGTGTTTTAATTCCAGCTCATCATTCATTTTAATCACTGTATTCTCAGGGGCAAATATGCAGTAAACTGGGAACAACACACACCAGTTCCATTAGTCATTACAGGACTGGAAGGAGCTGGAAGTTCCTTCTCACTCCCTGGAAGATAGTTCCCTTCTCCTCTTCTAGTGAATATTAGGATCTAAGCAGAATGTCTTGCCTTGCCTCTGCACTCTTGCTCTGAGATTCGTTCTGTAAAAAAGCTTTGGAAGGTTTCTAGAAATGAGGGTCATGGCCCTCCAGGGTGCCTAAGGAACAGGAAAGTCACCAATTCATTTACTACATTGTTTGTCTTTCCTTTTTCTCAAAGCTAATAAAAATGAAAGGTTCTCAGAAATACGAGAAATGAATATCTAAAATAATTTGAGTCATATTGGCATGGGGTTATTCCCTTGACCTTGAACCCATTTGTGGGCAGGAACTGGAGTGGTTCGTTTCACTCATCCTGTAGTCCATGGACAGCTAAGTGTTAACAGCTCAGTGAAGGGTCAGGATGACAGCCTCCAGCACCTGCTCTTTTTGACACCTGAGTTCTTGTTCAGTATCCAGGAAGAATCAGGTCACACAAACTATTTGAAGGGTAGTGTTTGAAAGGAGGATTTTATTGGGTGATAAAAGTGTCTCTCAGTGGGATGGGGAATTGGAAAGGGGATGGTGCAGGAAGAAAGTCATCTTTCCCTGAAGCCGCACTGTCTGAAGTTAGACACAACTATTGCTAGTCTCCAATGCTCAGCCTCATGTATCCCCAGTGTTCAGCAGCCTGTATTCCCAATGCTCAGCAGCTTGCATCCCCAACCACTTGAATCAGCCACTTGTGTTGCTCTTTTCTTCTTTTTTCTCTGCCAGTTTGTCTGGTTTTTATGGGCACAGGATAGGGGGCAGGACGGGACAAAAAACAGTCATTTGGGAGGAAAAATGGGGTCAGCTGCTTTCACTTAGAGCCAAGGTTCCAGGCTTGGGGATGGAGTTTAGCCAGGAGCCCAGCCATTGTGTATCAATATCATCATAAAAAAAAATGATGCAAGACCCATTTGGGTTTTTTTTCATCAATAAAAAGGTAGTAAATACTGAGGTAATTATACTTTTTTTTGTTCTATAGATATTTTATGATTTCTGTCTAATGATATCCATTTTTTAAAAAAAAAATTACTCTCCCCACCACCTTTTAAAAACATGATTGTTAACATGCCCATGTTGTATATCATGTATCACATGATATCATGTATCACATCTATCACATGATATGGATATCATGTATCACATCTATCACATGATATGTATATCATGTATCACAGCTGATGCTGTATTGGACCATATCTGTGTCAGGGCTCGGTCTGTGTCAGGGCTCAGGACATGATAATCCAACATATGACACCTTGGGCAATTGAGAAAGCCACAGAAGCCAGAAGTTCACTGTGACTTTCCCCTGGCTTTCTGGTGTGAAGCATGGTCATAAAGGAATTACCTGACCTCCCTCACCCAAACGTAGATTATAAGACCCTCATTCCAGAGGCTTCCTGCTCCATACCTAGAGGTGATTAAGTGTTGTTCAGAAGGGCCAAGAAGAATCTGAACAAACAAGATTTGCTGAGTTCCTCCCAGTTTACTACCATTAAATCATACCCCTTTCTTTGTTCAATCACATTTCTCAATGACTGTCCATTCTTCATTGACCCTAAGCATAAAAATACAGTTTTCCCTGGGTCTCTGGGTCTTCATTTCTGAAGGGTCCCATGCCATCTAAAACTTTGTTAAATAAATTTGTTATGCTTTTCTCTTGTTAATCAGTCTTGTCTTATGGGGTGTCACCCATGACACTTGCAATGGGTAAGGAAAAGATATTAATTTTTCTCCCATTCACCTGCTTAGACAAGACTAAGGAACTTGAATCCAAACATTGGTAGAATTCTATGTTTTGTGGAGCCTGGCCCCAAAATCAGCTTCACCAATTATGCCTTGTTCTGGGAACCTGGAAGGGTGTATTTGAGAGATTAGACAGTTTGAAAAGGAAACAAAAACTCAAAACCTTACTGAGTATAAATAAAATAATTCATCTCAAACTCTTCACTTCCCTTATGGCAAAGATTCTCAACTTTGGTACTACTGACATTTAGGGCCAGATAATTATTTTATTATTATTATTTTTTTAATGTGGAGGTTGTGTGCATTGTAGGACGTTTCCCAGCATTTCTGGACTCTACATGCCAGTAGCACCCATGTCCCTGTGCTGACAATAAAAATGTTTCAAGACACTGTCAAATGTTTCTGGGGGGCCAAAATCACCCACAGTTGAAAAATAACAACCCCATGAATCTTAAAGTAGTAGATAAACATACACATAAATCAAAAAAAGAATGTTGAACAATCTGTCATTCTAGCAAAACCAGAATAAGTTGGTGTTAAAAATCAAGGTTTCTTTCTCTATAAACTGAAATGATTAAGAAACAGGAAGAGCAAGAGAACAAGACAAAGACGGAATATGAATGAGTGATGGATGCTCAGCAGCCCTAATCTCAAGTTCCTCAGTCTTATTAGTCATGTCCTCCCAAATAAAGGAGCTGTTCTAAGAGAAGCATGCTCTTCTTTCTCCCACAGAGACAAGATTCCTATTTTTTATATAAGATTAAAATACCAGTTAGAGAAAAATTGTGTGATGTAGAAAGGGGACAAAGATAATCTAGAAAAGATGAAATGTACGAATGGGCAAGCTGAATAATGAAGACATAGAAAATAAGGGAAAGGAGACAACTTTAACTGGTTGGAATAAGAAACAGGATGGCTGGTCACAGAGAAACAATGACTGAGAGAGATAAATATTTATCTCTAGGCTTAGGCTTACAGTTCCAATCAAAGTTTATATGTCAATAATAACAATAACAAAGCCATTTTTTCCTTGGAATAATTCTATTCAATTCTTCCTCCTTGCAATCAAATAGATAGATGCAAACATTGCTACTGCTATCATTTGTATTAAGAGAAAACTGACTTGTCAGTAGTGTCAACCCAAATATGAACTCATGTCATGTTTTTAAAACTCTATTTAAACAGCTTTGATATATCCCTAGAGATTTTTAAAGCATTGGCAGAGAGAGAGAGAACACACAAACATTACCTTTTGCATGTTCCTAATATCTACCAAGACCTTAAACTTCTACAAGACCAGAAGATAACTGTTTCTCCTCTGCTTTTTCCCCTTTTAGCTATATGTATTTATAGTAAGTTCAGCCAACTGTTTTTCTTCTGTTATATTTTTTGAAATCTGCTTTTCTCTGCATAGATTGAATCTACTTTCTGCACCTTTGAAAGACTATTGTCTTAGATATCTTTCGATTCCACACAGTACTTTGAAAAAAATTTTCTAAATTTTAACTATACTCAAGATTTATAATTGTAAAAAATAAAAATACAACAACAACAAACAGGTGTATTAAGGTTTATAATCTTAGAATAATTACCACTTGTCACCATGGAAAATCCCACTGATATGACAAACTAAACTAAGTTCAATTCCTCTGGTCCCCTGAAAATTACACAATGTATAGACTGAGTCTCCCTAATCTGATGTTCAGAAGTTTGAAACTTTTTGACTGTCAACATGATGTCACAAATGGAAAATTCCACATCTGACCTCATGTGATGATGGGTTACAGTCAAATCACAGATGAACAATACACAGTTTATTCAGTGTCTCTAAAGGAGAGAAGATCCTCCCAGGCCCCTTCAGCTATGATATATCTTTTTCACAGGTACCCATATCCCCCCAAGCAAGCACATGCAGAGTGTAATAAAATGGCATGTGTCCAGACCAGTCTCACCAACAGCAAGCTCTTCACGATGCCCCACAGCTACTAAAACATTATATAAAATGACCTCCAGGTTATGTGTATAAAGTGTAAACAAAACACAAATAAATGTATTTAGACTTGAGTCTCATCCCCAAGATATCTCCTTATGTAAACAAATATTCCAAAATCTGAAAAATTCAAAATCCAAGACACTTCTTGCTCCAATCATTTTGGAAAAGGGATGCTCAACCTGTACCATTCTCACTATATATATATTTACATTGTTTCATTCACCTTTCATGACTTTACTACAATTGTTAGGCACGTTTTTAAAAGAAAGTCTCTTCATAGTTTGCCATCACACTCCTTCAACAATGAATCATCTAAAGTGAACACTCCTCATGTTTTAAATCACTACTGTAAATTGGGAGTAAATGAAGCTGGAATTTGAGTCTCAGAATTGTGTTTAAAGACTTGTTGAACATTAAATATATATAACCTAATCCATCTCTCATTACAGATGGAACAAATAAATCCCAGAAAACATTGCTCAAGGGCAAATGATTAAGTAGTTCTGAGAGTTAAACTTAGATAAGCTTAGATCATTTTGCTCTAAATATTGTTCACTCTTCTATGTCTCTATCATTATAACACACTATCTCTATGTCTTTCTGTATTAAGTCATATGTAGCCACCAACATAATTAAAGAGTATATCAAAATGATTTAATTTTTCTATCTTCAGGCAAGTTCACATCAAACTTCATTAGGCATGTAAACTATCATAAGGGGAAAAGGAGAAGCTAATACTTAGCTCTTACTCTGTGATAAGCATTGGACTAAACATTTTACATGTAACTATCTCATTTAATTACCAAAATAATGCAACTTATGGGTCAGAGTTAAATGCTGTCTTGTTTAGGGTTCATCTGTAGAGACTAGATTTTTTTTTCTGTTATAAATACCTAAATAAGAAAAGCTTATCATCATAGAAAAGTAAAGGAATAGACTCCAGACTCAGGCTGGGGCCATACCTGGGCTGCCCAGGTAACTTCTGTGTCTAGTGTGGGAAGGGAATTGCTCGGCCGTTGATCCACTTGTGCCAGGATCTCCGTGAGTCAAATGGAACTCCAAATTCCAAATCTGAGACTCCAAGGAGTACATGTGATCTGCAAAACTAAAATCACATCCAGAACTGTAGCTGCAAGTGAGCCAGGAAATGCACTGTAGAGGCTGGGAAGGCTCAAAAGTAACAAAGGCATGCATGGAATCGTCAGAAAGAGTGTTATAAAGCCAATACAAATGACCCTCCACAATTATTACCTCATTTAAATTGAGAAATTGTGGGAAAGAATGTTCAAGTGACCAGAATTAAGTCACATAGCTTGTGTGAGCTGAAATGGGTATTCAAATGTAGACTTATATGATTCAAATATCCAGTCTTTTCTCTACAACAAAATGTTTCTCGATTCCTTTGATTGGCCCATCCAAACCACAGAAATTTTCCTGATTTCTTTACCCACCATCTTCCAGGCTTAAATTTCAGCTTTTTCTGCCTTAGTTCCTTGAAATACATTGAGCAAGTGTTCATTCATAGTTCGTTCTATGCATCAACTATTCACGGGAAAACTGTGCCCTCATCCTGATTATAAGGCATGAGATAACACACCATGCTGTCATTTTATCATTTTCATAATTAAATCAAATAGTGACATATCAAATGCTTAGTCCAATGCTTGGCACAAAGTAAGAAGAATCTCAAAGCAGCACACAAATATGAGTTTGTAAGAAAGGTTATGTTCAAATACAGTTAAAGAATCAATGGCTAATTTAAGATACTTGAAATATCTGGACTATTTAATAGGCATATACCTCTTTTTGGGAAAAAATCTGAAAAAAGTTAATCAAATAATAAAAACGAAATATTTAAGATAATGTTTCTAGTTATCATATGTTCCATTTAAGAAAGTAAGACCTATGTCTTTTAAAATTCAATGTTTCTTAATGTTTCTGTGTTAAAGAATGTTTTTCCTCTCTGGACCATAGCAGATGACAATATTTGGAAAATACAGTAAAAATACTATGAAAATATCAGGTTGTTATAAAAATTCCTAATGCTGCCCCTTGGTTTGTGTACTGATTAGTCACAGGTAACAGAGAGCTCTCAGACCAAAAGCTCTCTACAAATCAAATGTTCACTAGAACTGTTTTAAATTATGCTGTAAGTCATTTTTCTATATTTTAGAAATTTTTTAAAGCTGCAACTTTTTTTTATTTTTCTTCCTTTTGGAGTAAAACTTTAAAAGCATACAATAATATTACTTTAAAAGTAAAACAATAAAAGCTAATTTGAAAACAATATTAGATTGAAATTCAGAGTAGGAGGAAAAGGGTTCCCTAAAATAAAATTGTAATTTGGGAAAAGTAAGATGTTTCTCTTCTGAGTTAATGCCATGATAATAAAAGTCTAACTTCTGGCAATAACTTGAAATTACATTCATTTATTTCATTCATTATTTTTTGCTTTTACTAAAATGAATTTAGTAGGAAGTTAGGTTTTGGATACCTGCCATCAACACTAAAATCAACAGTAAATTTGTTATTAGTGTTTTTTAAGAGTGTGCTAATGTTACTCATTAAACACTGGATGGATTGGTTTTTAGCCCAGTTTCAATGGCGGTTGCATTTTATTATGTGGATGTTGCCTGGTGTGTTGGCAAATGACATATGCTGTCCTCCTAGAATACTCATGGAAATGAGGTGTGTCTACTCAGAGGCAAGCTGGGTGACCAAAATCTGGCACTTAATGAAATCAACAAAGACCCTGTTTGTCAAGGGTGACTTTATGTTTACGTAAATGATTCTCACCTCCATAAGGATGATGAGGTGTTTTACCATCAGTGATTTTACACTTGGAAGAGGTGATTAAACACCTCTGGTCTGCTGCTCACATTAAGGAAGAATATTTTTACATTCATTCTTGCAACAAAGCTGAAGTTTATGCTACATTTGGGAGTCTGTGGCAACGAGATGATGTTTCATTTGCTGCTCTACCATTCATTGCTGGATTTGGAATTTTTAGTTAAAATAAACATAGTTAACTTTTTCGAATGACTTCTCGATTACCACTTAGTGTGTTTGTTCTGTTTTATTCTCAGGGAAGCTCACACTGTTTATGCCTCCAGAACTTTTTACGACGTATCCTTGAATAAAGATTAGTTAAAAACCTTTTGTACCTCCTCCAAAGAGTGGCTATAAGACAAGGGCAGGCCTTGGAGCTCAGATTATTAAGTATTAAACTCTCTTGGATGATTAAGGTTTATATCTCAGTATGACAGGGACAAAGCTGATAAAAGGACCAAATTTCTCTGGGTAAGCTCTGTGAATGTAGTTTTAGAGTATACAAGAATTATCAATGATTATGCTTTCAGGTGACAAAACTAAATCCAAGTCTCATTCTTAAAAGCCTATTGGGCTGATGAAAACTACAACATTTGTCATTATTGGATGTATTGTGTTCCAGAGTTCCTTCCTAATTTAGGACAGTTACAGAGAAAGGGCTTCATACTGTAATCTGGTGTGACTACCATTGACATACTCATTATACAAGCCAATCATGGAACAGCTATTTGCTTTTATGCTATGAAGCCTAAAGACTGAGCCTGAAAGCTTTTAAAAGTCTACCTACAAGGCTGGGCACAGTGGCTCATGCCTGTAATCCCAGCACTTCAGGAGGCCGAGGCAGGTGGATCATGAGGTCAAGAGATCGAGACCAGTCTGGCCAATATGGTGAAACCCCGTCTCTACCAAAAATACAAAAATTAGCTGGGCTTGGTGATGTGCGCCTGTAGTCTCAGCTCCTCGGGAGGCGGAGGCAGGAGAATCGCTTGAACCCAGGAGGCGGAGGTTGCAGTGAGTCAAGATTGCACCACTGTACTCCAGCCTGGCAACAGAGCAAGATTCCTTCTCAAAAAAAAAAAAAAAAAAAAAAGTCTACCTCCAAACAACTCATCCCCTCCAAAATCCTTTTGCCTCTTCATAAATATCAGTGCTCAACTTGGACTTGGCCTTGTTGGGGCCAAAGAAAGACTTCCACTTGACCTCTGAAGGTTTATCTAAAATCACTGACAAAAAGCAGATTCATGGGAGAAAAGACATAAAAATTTGTGAATGTGTACATGGGAGCCTTCAAAATGAAGACCCAAAGATACAAGAATAATTGTTCTTTTTTTTATGCTCAGGTTCAACAAGTATGGCCAGCTGTGTAGAAATATGATTGGACAAAAAGGATATAATCTAATTCTAATAGACTAAATGTCTATTAGAGGCCTGTCTGTCTGGATTCTTCTTGGCCTCTCTGAGCATGCATTTCTTCCTTCTGGGTATTGGGCCAGACCCTTTCTGGACTGGGGGAATCTTATAACCTACAGGCCAACAACATAGGTCAAATAATTTCCTTATGGCCAATTTTTTTGCACAGAAAGTCAGGAGAGTTAGTGTAGTAATTTTGAGGTTTTATGGCTGGCTTTGGGGAAAGGTGTTTCTGGTTTCTGTGACCCACCTTGGGGAAGAGGGAGTCTAGTTTCTATGGCTAGCCTAGGAGGAGAATGGGACTAAGAGACAGGAGGGCAGGAGAGGGTCAGAGAAAAACTTTTGCTTCTGAGGCTTTCATGTTGGGGATGTTGCTTTCTGAATCTCAACAGTACCATCTTTTCAGAATATTCAGTCTTTAAAAAACAAAATTCAGGAGAGGAAAATACCTTACAGAAAACTCCTGCAGTTGGCATTGAAATACAAACTTGCCCTGAGGCAAAAGAGCGTAAGAGGTGCCTCTATATTTTTGTGAAATGTTGTAAGGGAGAATTTAGAAATGGGGACAAGAAAGAAAGAAGAGATATTTCTATAAGTTATTCTTTAAACATGTTTGCATGAGTTATACATATTGTGATTTCTAAGGAGACCACTAACTTACATGATACCTTCTTGTAAGTTTAATGCAAAAGTTTACCTTTGAATATAGAAGTTACCAAAAGGGGCAACCTCTGGGTTGAAAAATAATAAAAGGTGTTCCTTTCTTATGGATGACACAACCCCATCCAAAAGCTTATGGATCAGTGATCAAAAGTGGGATGGATTTCATCTCCCAGTTGTGCTTGCTTGTCCAAACCTTCAACGTTCCCTTTTTAGTTTTAGTAGTAATTGTCTTCATCAATTACATAATTATCATCACCATCATCATCACATTATCACCATTATCATCACCATCATCACTATCATCCTCATCATCGATGATATCTGAGTACTTACTGTGTGTCAGGCATTGTCATAAGTGCTATACCTAAATCATTTTTACCAAACCCTCAAGATGAGTTCCCAGTGAGAATTAATTGAGATATTACTAATCTGTTCCAGGCAGTATTCTAAGCTCATTTAAATTATAATGATCTCATTTAGTCTCCCAACTCTGTCAGGTAGGTACTATTATTATAACTAGATGAAGAAGTGAGGCATAGAAAGATTAAATCAGGTGATAAAATTTGTCAGCAGACCTGTATATTAAAAATCTGCCATCTCAAACACTCAGGAACTACTATAGGGTAAAGAGGACATCAATTTTTTGAGACAATTATTTTAAAGTTATTCTATACAAAGCTATATGAATGTCCAAAGTAGGCAATTCATCTATGCAAAAAGATATTTTATCCCGGAGCAGTGAACAATTACCACTCTTAACATATGAGATATTTTAACAGTTTTATTCTAGTAGCCATTAAAACTGACTCATCATATCCGTGGTTCCACCGGATTTAATTATACAAAGTTATTCTTATAAAAGCATTTAGAAGACAATGAGGTAATTGCAGTGAATGATGTAATATTAGAAGTTACACGTGGGTTTGTAAAAAACTATAATGATGCCACACTCTCCCTGAAGCTCAGTAAACCCTGCTCTTGGTGTTGATAGGCAGAACTCTTGGATATGTGAAAATATGATGAAAGATAAAGGACACATGATGGTCTTTAAAGGAGGCCAGGATTCAGAGAGAACACTACACATTAACTTGATTTTCAAGGAAAAGGAAGATCACTTTGGTCAAAACAAAGTTAGAGAATCATAAAAGCAAGTTGCAATTAACGTTGGGAGTCATATTGCCTCACCTTCACCCTAACAAAGTGAGTTATAAAGGTGGAAATATCAGCAGGGGCCAAATTGTGAGAGGCTTTGAATGTAAATTTCATACTTGTATAGTTTACAAAGACTCACTGCAAATGTCATTTTTTTTGTTTCAATGTTATATGTAAAACGGATACATGTTCCTTGTGAAAATTTCAATCAATAACTAAATGCACAAAAAATTAAAAAATCTTTTTCTATCTACTTCTAAGATATAATTCTTTTAAATTTAGGGGCACAGTCTTCCACTTTTTCTGTACATACACAGGCACAATTTTGTGAAAAATTGTGAATCTACTCCAAAATCCCTCTATAGCTCTACAGCTTGCTTTTTAATTTAACAACTCATCTTGGGCACTTTTGTATGTTATGGAAAAAAAAAAAAGAAAATTCCCTATTGTCAGATGGTAAAGGAAAGTAAGAAAGGCAGGTATATGACAAAGGACCAAGACCTTATAAACGCACCAGGACTCTTCAAGAATCTGATACACAGGGGCAATAATTGCTGCATTGAGGGGAAAGACTGTCACTCCAAGGCAACAGGTATTATTTACCTAAGATATCAAGATGCCATGGAATCTTCTTTTAACATGATTTGAACCACTAGGTTTCAGGCAGGCAGACAAAGGAGCCCTTACCAATAAAACTTGCACTCTTTAAAGTTTTCTTTCAAATTGAGCAAATTGAGATGAGCTGAAAGGAAACCATTTCATTGATCTAAGCATATCAATAATTCACAGGTCAAGATCAAAAACAATCTGCCCACGCTGATCTGTAAATCAAAGCTGTAACATACAGCATTCTATTGTTCTCCATCAGCATGTTTATACATTGCAATGCAATTGTTATTGTGTGCTTTCAATAATCAAATCTACTGATATAGGATTTGGTTGCAGTTTCTAAGAACAAAATTTCATGTGCAGTTCTAAATTATTTAGTGCAGTTTTAAAATGCAAAATGTTCATTTTTCTTCCTCCAAAAAAAGAAAAGCCTCAAACCGAACGTACAATATCTTGTTGAGAACTAAATGGATGATATTAAGATTACAAACTAATGATTAAAAATACAAAAGCAGATAGAAACTCTGCTCCTGGTAGTTATAAAAGGAGTGATGAGGAGATAGGGTATAGAGTGCTTCAGAATTTACAGCTCATCACCATTTGTTGGAAACAAGAAATCAATAGGATGTATTACCCTGATGAAGATGGGAAATATTTTTGAGCCATTATATTCACCCTCTCTCACAAATGAATGGGAAACAAGCAAATAAGTGTGGGTTTGTGTGTTTTCCAATGACTTACTGGTTTAATAAAACAGAAATAACCAATTTATCCTTTTTATGGGTCCCAAAATATGGATGTTCATAGATGAAATTGTAGCACATAAAACATCACCTATTCATTCACTATTTTAATTTATTGTAATTGCATGTTTCTAATAATACATTTGTTTTATCATTTTTCAGACTGCTGTTCCTTTTAGTTGTACTTTCTCGCTAGCAGAATTCACTGTGGAAAAATATTAACTATTTTTCAATTATTTCCAATTTTATTGTGTGAAAAATCTCCATGGGTGTTTTTGGAGTAGAAATTGGTTTAAACACAGCCTGTCTTATCATGTCCAATTACTCTTCCTTATCTCCCACTATCTCTTAAGTCAGGAAATTACCAGCAATGAAGTGATAAACGCTGCACCCACAAAGTTTCTCCCCAAAACTGCTGTTAAATTACCCAGTGGAGCAGATCATGCGATGCGTGTATTCATATTTTTTGAAGACAAGTGTTAAAATAGTCTCAGAACAGAAGAAATGGGTTTGTGTTTTCTAGAATAATTATCCATGTGAGATTAGAATAGTCTACCCATTAAAGGCAATTTTAGTGTAACTAAAGTTTATGACCTTTCAAGCATGTTTGAGGTACCATAGGACAATGTTGATTGTTGGTGGTCAAGTTAAAAAACCAACTAACAATTGTCATTTTCTGTCTTTAGAGATTTCTAAGACAAACAGTTCCCTTGGAAGCATGTTGTGAGTTTCTACCACATGCCAGGAGCTCTGCAAGTAGTTGAAAATGCAGCAGAAACACAAGAGAAAATTTTTCTGCTCTCTTGGAACTTAACAGTAAACACAAAACACTAAGCAATCCCTGACCCTGCTGTCCATCCATTTCCTCTTTATTCTATGAAAAGGCCAATATATATAAAAAGTCCAAAGGGCACTCAAAAAACTCTCTACTCTATAGTAGCAATTAGACCCAACCAGAAATGTGAACCTAGGGAAGGCATTTAAAAATAACTTACTTAGAGACTTTCACTTACAGACAAATGGAGCAGATATATTTTCCTTATTTCTCTTGCTAACTGCAACTAAAAATCCTGGATGATATATGTAAAACAAAAATAAGAAGACTCTGAAAGGCAGACTAACTGGTGACCTCGGGACGTGGGAAAAGCTAAGGTAGTGACATTCCTGGTGCCAAAGAAGGCAACAACTCAAAAATACAACAGCTACAGACAAAACAAAACAAAAAAATATCCATCAGAAGCCTGTCGATCTTGTCAAAGGACCAATAAAAAAGAAGACAGGAAACTTTAGACAATACATGTTTTATTTCAGCCAACATCACAGAAAGAACAGTGTCTCTGTCCACACCCACATTAGCAAGGGATAAGTAGAGAGCCAGATTGCACCTTCAGGAGGGTCTTAGGTGCCCTAATACCCCTGCAAGGGAGATCAGAGAAGGCCAAGTAGGGTGGCTGGTCAGTAAACAGCAAATGCCTCATGAGGTCAGTGCAGAACAAACAGGGAGTCTGGATCTTTACGAACTCTCCCTGCATTGTGGTAGTATCAGAAGAGCACTAGAGGAGAGTGCAGGCTTTCACGGTCATCCAGCAGTAACAAGCTGACCTCCACCACAACGTCAGTGGAGACCATAAGGCACCCCAACTCTAATCTCCACTCAGCAGTGAGGAGGAGCACCCTTCTCAGATGTCAACAGAGGTTGACCTGGAAACCTTGACTCATTCTTCCATAGGACAGTAATGCAACAGTGCCCTTTTTCCTTTTCCCCGGGGGAGCAGTGTCAAAAAGAAAGGAAAGAAAACACAGTTAAAGCTGAAGGTATACATAAGATCCAGAAACTCAGTACATAATACAAAAATATCCAGGCTAAAAATTACTTATTACAGCAAGAAAAAGAAATATCTAAAATTAAATTTAAAAAGACAATTGATAGATGCAAACACCAAGGTGACAGAGATGATAGGAGTATCTGGCAGAGATTTAAAGCAACCATGACAAAAATGCTTCAACAAACATACACAAACACACCTGAAACTATTGAATAAATAGAAAGTCTCAGTAAAGAAACAGAAAATCTAAGCAGAGAAAAAGATGATCTTAAGAAGAGCCAGAGGCCACGCACAGTGACTCACGCCTGTAATCCCAGCACTTTGGGATGCCGAGACAGGTGGATCACAAGGTCAGGAGATTCAAGACCATCCAGGCTAACAAGATGAAACCCTGTTTCTACCAAAAAAAAAAAAAAATTAGCCAGAAGTGGTGGCACACACCTGTAGTGACAGCTACTCAGGAGGCTGAGGCAGCAGAATCACTTGAACCTGGGAGTTGGAAGTTGCAGTTTGCCAAGATCGCACCACTGCACTCCAGCCTGGGTGACAGAGTGAGACTCTGTCTACCTTGCCCCCTCAAAAATAAAAGAAGAGCCAGATGGAAATATTAGAACTGAGAAACACAATACTTGAAAAAAAATCTCAGTAGATGGGCTCAATAGCAGAATGTAGGGGATAGAGGAAAGAATCAGCCACTCTCACTTGTGATACCAAATAATAGTTCTGGGGTCCCCAGGACTACCTTTACATTTAATAATTTGCTGAAAAACTCACAGACTCTGCTGACAGTTGTTATACTCATGGTTGTGGTTTATTACAGTGAAAAGGATACAAATTAAAATCAGCTAACAGGAGAGATGCAAGGGGTAGAGCCTAGAAGGGTTCCAAACCTGTGGCTTCTAGTTGTCCTCTCCTAATGAGATAATGGACAGTGTAAACTCCTCCCATGAATAATTTATGGCAATATATATGAAGCATTACCATCCAGGAAA
Organism: Homo sapiens; assembly: GCF_000001405.40. NCBI lineage: Eukaryota > Metazoa > Chordata > Mammalia > Primates > Hominidae > Homo > Homo sapiens. The sequence goes on along the minus strand of NC_000003.12, from coordinate 6,607,869 downwards.
ACTCACCTGAGCCTTAGTTTCTAGCATTTGTATTAGGTCACATAAACCTGGATGGCTGCTCACACAGCTAATCTCAGACTTCAGCAGAGTCAAGCTGATACCTTGTGGCCCCAAACCCCTACTCTAATTCACATTATTAGACTATCTGGTGTGGCCCAAAGTCCTCACTCTAGATTACATTGTTATACAATTTGGTGTGATCTAAGGACCCCAGATAAGCAAAGATACTCTTTTCAGGCATGACATTCCTAGAGCTCACCTCCCAAAATCTTAGTTAGATCAAAGGCCAGACCTCTCTTCGGGCAAGGTTAATTTTTTTGCGATACAAATACCTACAGAAACCACTGAAATACTAAGGAAATAGAAATAGCAGGAAACAGAAAACAGAGAAATTAAAAAAAAAAAAGCATAATAGGCCAGGCGTGATGGCACACGCCTGTAATCCCAGCACTTTGGGAGGCCAAAGCAGGTGGATCACCTGAGGTCAGGAATTCGAGACCAGCCTGACCAACATGGAGAAACCCTGTCTCTACTAAAAATACAAAAAATTAGCCCGGCGTGGTGGCACGTGCCTGTAGTCCCAGCTACTCGGGAGGCTGAGGCAGAAGAATCGCTTGAACCCAGGAGGCGGAGGTTGCAGTGAGCCGAGATCACGCCACTGCACTCCAGCCTGGGCAACAGAGCGAGACTCTGTCTGAAAATAATAATAATAATAAAAAACAGGGAACAAAAAATAAATGATGAAATTTATCTCTAACATATAAATAATTATATTAAATAAAAATGGTTTAAATATAACAATTAAAAGATAGTTTTTGGAACACTATTTATAACACTAAATGCATATGTTATAAAAGAGAGAAAGTTTTATATCAATAATCTAATCAACTCAGAAACTTAGAATAACCAAAGTAAACAGAAGGAAGGACATGAGAAAGCTCAAAACAGAATTTAATTAAATTTTAAACAGAAAAACAATGGAGGAATTCAATAGAACAAAGGGCTGTTTTTTGAAAAGATTAATAAAATTAACAAATGTCTAACATTTCTAACAAAAAAAGATTAAAAAAGTCACAAATTATCAAAATCAGTAACAAAACAAGATAACCACTGCAGAACACAGAGATAATAAAAGGATTTGGACAGAGAACTAATAAACAACTTTACATGCATAAATTTGACAACTTAGATGAAAAGGTTTCTCAAAAGACACAAACTACTATAACTTACTCAATATAAACTAGATAATTTGAATACTCTTACAACTATTAAGGGAATTGAATTTACAAACCGTCCCCCTAAATGTTCAATGAAACAATTAAAGCATAATTAACACCAATTATTCACAATCTCTTCCAGAGAATATAAGAGGGAGACATTTCCCAAGTTATTTTATGAAGCGCAAACTACTCTGATAGCAAAATGAGACAAAAGGTACAACATAAACAAACTACAGACCAATATATTTTATGAATTGCAATGCAAAAATCTACAACCCAGAAACAGATTTATTCAAATATGCCCAACTAATATTTGATCAAGGTTTAAAAACAATTAAATGCAGGAAAGATAGCTTTTACAACAAATGGTGCAGGTTCACTTGGATATCCACAGATAATCAATCAATAAATCAATCAATTAATAAAATAATCTCTTTCTAAGTCTCATACCTTGTACCAAAAGGAAAACAAAATGACATTATGTTAAGTGAAATAAGCCAATCTTTTGTATTAAAAGACAAATACTGTATAATTCCATAAATATGAGGTATCTAAAGTTGACAAAATCTAGAAACAGAAAGTAGAATGACAGTTACCAGGAGCTGGGCAGAGGGACAGAAAAGAAGTTGTTTAATGGGTATAAAATTTCTGATTTTCAAGAAGAAAAAGTTCTGATGATCTGTCTTACAATAATGTAAATATGCTTAACACCATTGCACTACACACTTAAAAATGATTCAGATGGCAAATTTTATGTCGCCTTATTTATCACAATAAATTTGAATGCAAACCAAAATATATCACAAACTTAAATGTAAAACACAAAACTATAAAACATTTAGGACAAAATGCAGAAGCAAATTTTCATGATAGAGAGCTAGGCAAAGAGTTCTTGGACGTAACATCAAAAACATGACCCTTAAGCGAAAAAATGGATAAATTTGACCTCATCAAAATTATGCTACTTTGCACAGTAAGAATCCCTTTCAGAGATAAAAAGACAAGTTGCAGAATGGGAGACAATATTCAAGAGCCACATATTCAACAAAGGACTGATATTTAGGATATATAAAGAACTCTTAAAACCCAATAGTAAAAACCAAGCAAACTAATTATAGCATGGGCAAAAGACAGGAAGAGACATTTCACTGAAGAAGATATATAGATAGAAAATAAACACACAAAGAAGTATTCAACGTTATGAGTCATCAGAGAAATGCAAATTAAAACCACAGTGAGATATCACTATACATCTATGCAAATGGCTACAATAACAATAGTGACTACACCAAATGCTACTGAGGATGCAGGGAAACTGGATCTCTCGCACATTGCTGGTAAGAATGTAAAACGGAATGGTCACTCTCAAAAGTTGGACAGTTTATTTAAAAAGTACATATGCATCTACCATATGACTCAGCAATTGCATTTCTAAGCATTCAGCTTAGAGAAATAAAGACTTACGTTCACACAAATATCTGTATGTGAAGAGATATAGCAGCTTTTTTTCATAATAGTAAAAAACTGGAAACAGCCCAGATATCCTTTAATATGCAAACAGTTAAACTATGGTAAATCCATGCTGTGGAACACTACTCAGTCATATGAATTATGCTGAGTAAATATGTCAATCCTGAAAGGTTACATGTTATGTGTTTCCATTTCAATAACATTCTTGAAATGACCAAATTATATAAATAGGGAACAGATGAGTGACTCCCAGGATTTAAAGAGAGTGTGCAGATGGAAGCAAAGTGGATGTGGCTATGAGAAGGCAACATGAGAGGTCCTTGTGATGCAAATGCCTCATTTGATTGTGTTAATGTCAGTATCGTGTTGTTACACTTACTATAATTGGGAAGATATTACTATTAGGGAAAACTGGGTAAAAGGTACATATGATCTCTTTGTATTATTTCATGCTGTTGCTTGTTAATCTACACTAATCTCAAATTAAAATATTTAAGTACAAAAATAAGCAACTTACATGCAGAAGTCTTATTTTTAAACATGAAGGAAGCGAGGCAAGAGTCATTCATAGATGCTAAATTTACTAGGAAATTTTAAGGAGAAGCAGGACATGTTTATGGTTCTCAGAGTATGTTCTCACAGATTATTAATTGCAAGGTAGGAAAAAAAGCACATATTGGAGAAAGCAGGAAACACTTTTTTGACTGGAGGATCAAAATTATTATCAGCACCGTCTCGGATGGATGGTGTGTGGCTCTAGATGTGATGGATGAGATTCGCTGAGAAGGACTCAGTATCCCTATGTATTATCCCAGCAAAGAATGCGAAAACTCAATCTAATCATGAGGAGGAAACACTAGTCAAGCAAAAAACAATAAATTTTATATTACAAGTTATGGCTGGTACTGTTAAAAACTGTTACCAGAAAACAAAGGCCATGGAATTGTTTCAGGCAAAGGGAATCTAAAGAGACATAGCAAAATCCTGTGTAATACCTAAATCCCATCCAGCTCCTGAAGGAGTAGGGTGGCATGATTCTATAAAAGGCATTATTGTAATTGAAGAAAATAAAATATGGCTATAGATTAGATAAAATGAGTAAATCTCAGATTTATGTAAATCTGTAAAGTTTATGTGTACAATGATGTGATAATGTAAGAGAGTATCTGTATTCTTAGGAAATACACATTGAGCCACAACTACATATCTGACTTAGCCTGAAACAGTTCAAAAAATTAGCTGTATGTATATATGTATATGTATTAGAGAGAGAGTAGAGGGAGAGGAGAATGAGAGGGAGACAGAGAACAGAAGATAAAGCCATGTACTAAAATGTTCACAAAGGCAAAATCTGGATAACTGTATATGATTTTTGTTCATACTATTTTTCTTATTTGGCAAATTTTGCAAATTTGAAACTATTTTGAAATAGGAAACAGTCTAAAACTGAAGACAAAATATTGCTCATGTTCAATCCTGTTTCAAGGTGAAATAACAAAATATTTCTGTATAAGTGAGGCTTCATTCAACTGCAGGTGACAGCAAAAGCTCAAATGAGCTTATACAATAAATAGAAATGATGAGAAACAGGAGCAATTTCAGGCATTTTTGGATTGAGGGATTTCAAAGTTCTATGTGTCATAGAACTTCACCTTGGATTAAGCACCCAGGATTAATCACTATGGGCAGTGTGGTGTGGTGCTCTATATGTCCAGGTTTGAATCACATGGCTACATATGATGGCAACTGGGGAGAGGGAGGCAGAGTTGTGGGTGTCGATCACATAAAAACCACATGACTAAGAGGTGGAAGAGTTGTTCCCAAAAGAAAATAAGGAGTTCTGTTATTATGTAAGAACAGCCAAACAATAAAACCCCAAAAACACCATGACCAAAATTCAAAGAACTTTGGATCAAACTCCATGATCCCCTACCTCTTAACACTTTTCCTTATAGCAGCATCTTTTGTTGAGCCTGAGGAAGAGCCTTTGTATTACAAGGCTGCCCACAGCAAGAGCTCAAGGTATACTTACATGTTCCATAAAGACCCTCTCTGTGAACACAGTAGCCTGGGGTCTGTAGGGGTTGGCACTGCAGGAGTTGAGAAGTAGGCAGACCATTAACTCCACAGGCAGAAGTAATTGAACAGTTCTTCCTAGTGAAATTCACGACATTCATGAATCCACAAGCAGTCTGAGATTTTCCCTTTTAAATTGGCAATCTATAAAACCTAAGCTTCTGGATGAGACTGGCAGGTAGTTTATTTCAATTGAAAGTTGTATTGATTTTAACATCTACCTGTGTTCCATTTATCACACAATAAATGTACAATATATTAATATTTAATGAGCATTCAAAATATGTTGAAATTGTCAAATATTTATGGATAAATATTCATAGACAACAAGAACAATAGAACACATAACTAGGTAACATTATTTTCTAGGAGATGGCAATGTAATTGTCTTACATGGGACTTTTGGTTAATTTATCTTTCATCACAATAGTGCAAGGATTTAAACTGATGCAAATTTTGTTTTTTCTGAACTTAATGTGACTATAATACCATTGTTGGAAAAAAATGATAGAAAAAATAATTATACATAGTTTTTTTGGCAGCAGGCCAAAGACTTGGTTCTAAATTGTAGAGTCAAATAATTTTTTAAAGGAAGAACCACCAACTCTAACCAGTGATGCAATAATGTCTTTCTTTTTCTCCACAAAATGGCACCAAAAAAAACCCCAAAACCTGCAATCAAACATCAGAGTCATCTGGTGATAGTTAGTGGCTTTATAAACATAATTGTCATAATACAAGATAATTTTTGGGTCACTACACATCTAGAATAATGGAAACAAAACTATTTTCATCTGTAACTGAATTCTCTTTTTGTCCCAAGTATTTCAGATGAAACTCTCCAAAACAGCAGGTTATATGTCATAAATAAATACATACGTAGAAATAAAAATAAAAAATAAACAAAGTAAAAACTTATTGGTTAAAAACAAGTGAGAGTAAATTCTCCCATCTCACAAATGGGGCCACAGATTTTGTTTTTGTTTTTTTTTGCCTGTAACCACATTATTAAAGTACACATGTCTGCCTTCATTTATCCATATTCGCAAATCCCTGGGACAGTAATTGGATGTAATTGTGAAACAGAGAATTTGGCAAAAATAAAAACTCCTTGCTAATTTTTTAGTTGATTCACATATCCTGTATCCTGACACACATTTTACCTGCAATGTCTTTCTATATCTCTGCAAAGACTACTGAAAGATGCTCACCAATCACTTCTCAGAATGGTGATAAAGGTGAAAAGAGAAGGGTAGAAAACTGAGAGCTGTCAGTTGGTACAGATAGAATGGTGACTCACCTATAAGTGACTGAATAATTTCAATTCAATAAGTATTTATTTTATGAGATTTATCACTTACATGCTATGCTCAAAGTCTCCTTCTAGCTAAACAGTTTATTTGCTCAGGCAAAAGATACTGGGTTACTGTAATGCAGAAATTGAGCACTAACTATAATAGAATGGCTACCGCCCATACGCTGGGATGACTCATGAGGTGGCCTGTCACAAAGAGCTCTCCACTATGATCAGAACAATGCTAATTAACGTAGCCTAATAAATGGGTTGACTTCCTCTTGGGTATTGATTGCAGAACAGAGAATACTGGGGTAGTCAAGAACAGGAAGAAGAAAAGAGAGAAGATACAGAGAAACAGAGAAGGGCTAGAAAGACCTCTGCAAGTCCACAGGGAATAATGAAATAAGAACAGGCACGAGTGGGTAAGGAATTGTGGACAAATTGAATGGTATATTCAAAAGACATGGAGCTTGTTTCAGACATTTACAGTAGTTAGAACTTGTATAGGCATGAACTGAAGGATGGAGTTTAGTTTCACTATTTGCTTCTCCTCTCATTCCAGACCTCTAAATCTTGTTGCTGTTGTTTTAAGGGCTACTTCTTGGGCCACTTTTATTTTCTATTTATATTCTTTACTTAGCAACTTCATTTTTACTCCAGACTTCAAGGTTATCTTAATGTTACCACTTTTCAAATAAATGTCTCCATCTAGCCCTCTGCTCTGAGCTGCAGACTCAAATATTCCCCTGCCTGTTTGAGCTCACCATCTGTATGTCTCACTAGCACCTCCATAAACATGTCTGAAATGGAATCTTTGACTCCTATGCCATTTCTGCTCCATCCCAAAAAAGAATACCGCCATCCTCTGGCATCCTTTCTAATGCCAGGAATCTAGGAGACATGCCTCCCTTCTACCTTTTCCTCATGCTCACTCTGACATCCACTGCCAAGCTATAACTGGGATCCATCCACTTTTTTCTATCTCTTCTTTTAGCAATTTAGGTCAAATCACTGGCATAGTCTAGGCCACCGTAATAGCTTCTGAATTTGTCTCTCCAATTTTCTTCTTGTCTCCATACTCCACCCATATGTCCTACAGTATTCCACGCTATATTTTCAGAGATAAGCCCCAGTACTACCTACTACTATTAACTTATATGTAGCTCTTAATATAGCTACACATTTTCTACATGTTAACTCATTTAAAGTAAACTAAGTCACATTGTTCCGTTACTTACAACTTTTCTTTTTTTTCTTTCTTTCTTCTTTCTTTTCTTTCCCTCTTTCTTTTCTTTCTTTTTCTTTCCCTTCCTTCCTTCCTGCCTTTCTTTCTCTTCCTTTCCTTTCCTTCCTTTTTTCTCTCTCTCCCTTTCTTTCTTTCTCTCCCTTCCCTCCTTCCTTCCTTCCTTCCTTCCTCTCTTTCTTTTCTTTTCCCTCTCTTTCTGTCTGTCTGTCTTTCCGTCTTTCTTTCTTTCTCTGTCTCTGTTGCCCAGGCTGGGGAGCAATGGCACAATCTCACCTCACTGCAACCTCCACCTCCTGGGCTCAAGCCAGCCTCCCACCTCAGCCTCCTGAGTAGCTGGGACTACAGGCACATGCCACCAAGCCCAGCTAATTTTTTGTATTTTTGATAGAGATCAGGTTTTTTTCATGTTTCCCAACCTGGGCTTGAACTCCTGGCCTTAAGGGATCCTCCTGCCTTGGCCTCCCAAAGTGCTGGGATTACAGGTGTGAGCCACAATGCCTGGCCTTTTTCCATGTATTTCTATTGTATTTAGGATAAACATAAAAATAAATAAATGCTCCCCCACCCCGAATTCTACATGAGCAAGCCACTGCCTGCTTCTCCAGTCTAAACTTGCCTCTCTCCCTTCCTATACTTAAGTCATACAAATCTCTCTTAATTTCCAAAATGTATTAAGTTCTTCCAGATGCAGCATCTTTTTGCCCCGTTTCCTGTGCTAGGAGCCCTCTTGTCTAGATTCTTTTGCTTTACTATTTCTTTCTGTCCTTTAAGTCACAGTTTCATTGTTACCCCCTTCTACAGACATGCCCTGACCATTCCATGTGAAAGATCCCTAAATCATGTAACTGACTTACTCTGAGTCATACAATCTGGCTTACTTATCACATGGCTCAAGACATAATTAATAACCATTATCATTATTTAAATACATGTTTCTTGTGTGTCTCCCACACTACAATGTATGCTTTGAAAATGAAGACTCTTGTCTATCTTGTTCTCCCTTGTACCCTCATGTTCTTAGCACTGTGCTTGCCTCCTAGTAGGTGCTTAGTAAATTTTTTTTTTGAGTGACTAGAGTATGTTTAGGAATTAGTCAGGGCATATGAGCAGCTACAATAAATCACTCCAAAATATCAGTGGTTTAGCAAAATATATTTATTCCTGGGTCAAATCAGTCCAATGCAAGTCAGTGAGGGTGGCAGAGACTCTTTCGTCGACATATAACTACTAAATTTATTTTAGAGACTCACATCTAGTTGGCTGATGGGAGAGAGAGAGAGGAAATGGTAAAGGCACACTTTCTCTTAAGTTTTCTAGGCAGAAATTTTTTGCCTAGTACAGCCAGTCCCCTCCTGGCTATATATAACATGTACAACATCACTGTGTGATTTCTCATGTTGCACCCTCTATCCCCATAAGATGTGGATCTTTTTGAAGTCAGGGACCTCAATTCCATCCTCTACTTCCACTTAGCACAGAAAAGTATAATGTTTGTATTATAAACTTAATTATTTCTGTTGATCAATTGATCAAAATGAGTATAAGAAGACTGAACACAGCCTGCTGGCAAAGAAAAATTCTGGAATAATCAATATACATAGGTTTAAATTACTTTCTTCAGTAAATTCTACTTGCTATATGGAACTGGGAAAGTAAATTTGACTGATCTCTTATTTTTCCTGTCAATAGCTTCTTATGTTATCATTACATTATAACAAATTAATAGCTTTTAATGGGTTGAAGCATGTTTTAAGTGTTACAGGCTATGCAAATGCCAAGTATCCCTCTAAACTTAATTTACAACCAGGATGCTTAAACCCTTTATCTTTAAACAAAAGCATGAAGACTTCATTTTCGTATGGTGTTCATTATTTGTATAGAAAGTAGCAAGTGAAGCATATATAAAGTTGTCTCAGAAAAAAAAAATAAAGAAGTGATATCACCACAATGGCAGAATAGGAAGTCTCAGATGCCACTCCCCATCACAGAAACTTCAACTAGCTCAGATCAGACGATATTTTTGAAAACCCACTACTTGGAAAGAAGCCTGAGACACCTATTGGGTCTGCAGAACTGAAGAAAGTCTGAATTAGAAAGGTAAGAAGAAAAGTCTCACTCCAACAGTGCTGCTCCTCCAATTTGGCAAAACATCAGACAGAGAGAATTTTCCTGGGTCCGCAATTTATGAAAGTGGGAAAAAGAACTGAAGGCAGTCATCTAGCTTCTCTAGCACTTCAAGATGCTTCCCAGAAAGCCCACTTCAAACTCACCTCGTGGGTAACACCAGGGGAAACAGCAGGAACAGACCACCAGGAGTCAGGTACAAACAAACAAAAAAAGAAGGCAAAGGTCACATAGTGACCAGTATGCAGATCTTGTACTTCTGGTAGTGCCAGCTGTGGCATTCTATTGCAGATACCAGCCAACTTTGCAGCCTATCTGCAAAAATGAGCTGGTTGCCTTCAGGAGCAAAATGGGAAGTTCAACCATAATTGGAAAAATGTAAGCCTGTAAAGATGTTACATAAGGCAATTGTATCCTTAGGAAGAGGATTAAAAGACAAAACTATTAATAATGATTATAGCTAAAATAAATGCTCAGGGATACAAGACACAAAATGATGGAAATTCTAGCATCAAAAACATAAAATCTGAAGCAGAGGAAAGTAAAAGTGTAAAGTTGTGGTATGCAATCAAAGTTAAGTTTTTTCAGCTTGAAATGGACTGCTATAGCTATAAGACATTCTATGTAAGCCTCATGATAACTGCAAGGCAAAAATCTTTATTAGAAGCACAAAACAACAACAAAGCGTTCTGTGCATATTACTACAGAAAACCGTCAAACTACAAAGGAAGATAGCCATAGAAGAAGAAAAAAAGTATTTACAAAACAACCAGAAAGCAATTATCAAAATGGCAGTTGTAAGTCCCTATCAATAATATGTTGAGTGTAAAAAAAATTAAATTATTTAATAAAAAGACATAGAGCAACTGGATTGAAACAAATAAAGGAAACAAGGCTCAATGAAATGCTGCCGGTAAGAGACTAACTTCCCTTTTAAGGATACACATAGACTGAAGGTGAATGATATGGTTTGCCTGTATCTCCACCCAAATTTCATCTTGAATTATAGCTCCCATAATTCTCATGTGTTGTGGGAAGGACCCAGTGGGAGAAAATCGAATCATGGGACATGGGCCTTTCCCACGGTGTTCTTGTGATAGTGAATTAATCTCATGAGATTTGATAGTTTTATAAAGGAGAGTTCTCCTGCACATGCTCTCTTCCTGCCACCATGCAAGGCATGCCTTTGCTTCTCCTTTGCCTTCCACCATGATTGTGAAGCCTCTCCAGCTATGTGAAACTGTGAGTCCCTTAAACCTCTTTCCTTTATAAATTACTGAGTCTCAGGTATGTCTTTATTATCAGTGTAAGAACAGATTAATACGGTGAAGGTATGAAAAAAGATATTCCAAGAAAATAGAAGCCAAAAGAGCATGGGCATCTATACTAACATAATAAAAAATAAACCTTAGGGCCAAAAACATTAAAAAAAAGACATAGGAGGGCATTATATAATGATAAAGGATCTATTCATCAAACAGATACAACCATTGTAAATATATATGCACTCAATATCAGAATACTTAAATATATAAAACAAATATTAGAAGATTTGAAGAGAGAGATAGATTGCAATTAAATACTAGTAAGATATTTCAATATCCCACTTTCAGTAGGGAAACATTAATAAGGAGATACTGAACTTAAACAACATTTTAGACCAAGTAGATCAAACGGACATGCATACATTTTACCCAACAACAACAGAATACACATTCTTCTCAAGCACACATGGAACATTCTCCAGGACAGATTACATGATAGGGCACAAAACAAGCCTCAGCCAATTTAAGAATAGCAAAATGATATCAAATATTATTTTTAAGTACAATGATAAAAATTAGAAACAGTAATAAAAGGAATTTTCTGAACAACAAATGGGTCAATAAATAAATTAAAAGAGAAACTGCAAAAGCATCTTGATACAAATAAAAATGAAAATATTATATAGCAAAATGTAGGGGATACATCAAAATCAGATCTAAAAGGGAAGTTCATAACAATAAATCCCCACATCTAAAAAGAAAAAAGACCTCAAATAAACAAGCTAACATTACACCTAACAGAATGAGAAAAAGAAAAACAACCCAAGCCCAAAGTCTGAAGAAGGAAAAAAATAACAAAAATCAGAGCAGAAATAAGTGAAATAGAGCCCAGAAAAACAACACAAAGCTCAACAAAACTAAGAGTTGTGTTTTGAAAAGATAAACAAAAAGTGAGGAACCTTTAGCTACACTAAGAAAAAAAAAAACAGGACTGGAATAAATAATATCAGAAATGAAAGATGAGACATTTGTACTAGTAATCCAGAAATACAAAGGATCATAAGAAACTACTGTGAACAATTACATCATCCCATTGGATAACCTAGAATAAATAAATGAATTCCTAGACATATACAACTTGCCAAGACTGAATCATGAAGACATAGAAAATCTGACAATTATAGCATACTTTCAAAATAAAAACTCTAACCAAATTAGGTATAGAAGTAATATACTTCAACATAACAAAGGCTATATATAAGAAGCCCACAGCTAACATTACATTCAGTGGTGAAAAATCAAAAGCCTTTCTTCTAATACCTGGAACAAGATGAGGATGTATGTTCCTGCTGAATCTATTCAAAGTTCTATTTTCAAAGTCCTACTTCAAAGCTACTTCTACTGAAAGTCCTTGCCAGAGATAAAAATAAAAGTCATACAAACAGGAAAGAAAAAAGTGAAACTGTCATTGTTTGCTAATGACATGATCTTAAAAAAAGAAAATCCTACAGACCCTACCAAAAAACTATGAGAACAAATGAGTACAACAAAATTACAGGAAACAAAATTAACACACAAAATTTGTAGCATTTGTATATACTAACAACAAACTACTTAAAAAGGAAATCAAGAGAACAATTTTATTTACAATAGTTATAAAAAGGTACTTAGGAATAAATTCAACTAAGGAGGCAAAAGACCTGTATATTAAGTTATAAAATGTTGATGAAAGACATTAAAGAATTCACAAAAATGAAAAGATATCCCTTTCTCATGGATCGAAAGTGTAAACATTATTGAAACATTCATACTTTCCAGAACAGTCTACAGATTTAATGAAATCTCTATCAAGATTCCATTATCATTTTTCATAAAAATAGAAAAACAATCTTAATATCTATATGGAGCCACAAATAAAACAAAAAGCAAAAGCAATCATGAGCAAAAACAACAGAGCTGCAGGTATCATACACCTGATTTCTAACTATACTACAAAACTATAGAAATTAAAACAGCATGGTACTGTTTAGAATAGACACATTGACTAATAAAGGAGAATACAGAGCCCAGAAGTGAATATACACATTCATATCAATTAATTTTCTACAAAAGTGGCAAGAATTTGCAATGGGAAAAGGATAGGCTCTTTAATAAATTTTATTGGGAAAATTAAATATCCACATATAGAAGAATAAAACTGAACCCTTATCTAATATCATACACTAAAATCAACTCAAAATACATTAAAAACTTAATTGTAAGGCAAGAAATTGTAAAACTACTGGAAGAAAACAGATGAAAAACCATGCAATGTTGAAAAAATCATCTGGGCAATAACTTTTTTTTTATTTGACTTTGAAAGTGCAAGCTACAAAAGCAATAATAGACAAACGGGATTACATGATACTAAAAATCTTCTGCGAAGTAAATAATTAACAATATGCAGAGACAACCTACGGATTGGGAGAAAATATTTTCAAGCCATGTATTCGATAATGAGTTAGTACTCAAAATATATAAAGAGCTCAAACAACTCAATGGGAATCAAACAAAACAAAAGAAACCAATTTTTAAAAGGGCAAGGGACCTCAACAGACATTTTTCAAAAGAAGACCTACAAAAGCCAAACAGACCTATGGAAAAATGCCCAACATTGCTAATTATTAGAGAAATTTAAATTAAAACCACAATGAGATATAATCTCAAACATGTCAGAATGGCTATTATCAAAAAGATAAAAGATAAGTTTGGGTGAGGATGTAGAGAAAAGGGAACCTTTGTACACTGTTGGTAGAATTGCAAATTAGTACAGGCATTTTGGAAAGTTCTATGGAAATTTCTCAAAAAAACTAAAAGTAGAATTACTATATGATCCAACATTCCCACTTATATTTACCCAAAATATTTAAAATCTATTTGTAAAGATGTCTGCAATCAGATGTTCATTACAGCACTAGTTACAATAGCCAAGAATGGATAAAGAAAATGCTGTATATACACACAATGAAATATTATTTAGCCTTAGAAAAGAAGGGAATTGTCATTTGAGGCAATGTAGATTAACCTGAAGGACATTATGCTAAGTGAAGTAAGCCAGCAACAGAAAGACAAGTACTCTATGTGCTTACTTGTATGTGGAATTTAAAACAATCAAACTCATAGAAGCAGAGAATAAGAATGGTGGTTACAGGGACTGGAGAGTAAGGAGAATGGAAAGATGATGATCAAATGGTACAAAATCTCAGACAGGAAGGATTTTTTAAAGATACGTTTCACAGTGTGGTGAATATAGGTAATAATAGGTACAATATTAATAGGTAATTGTACATATTATTATCCATATTATTACTATATTATTACAAAATAGGTGAGAGAAAACTTCAAATGTTCTCCCCACAAAAATGTTAAGTACTTGAGTTGATAAATATGTTAACTACTATAGTTTATTTCACATTGTATTCATAAATCATAACATCTTTTTATTCCATAAATATACACAATTAAAAACTGTCAATTTATAATGTTAAAATAAAGACAATCAAATGTTAAATGAAAAATTAAATTTGTCTTTGAAATAGAAACGATGTCATTTTATATAAGCTTATAAAACTGTATAAAAATTTTTTCAGGCAAGTGTTTGCCCCATTTAAAATAAATTTGATGAAAAGTCCTAGCGTTCAGATCCCTTGATAATATTTATAGTTTTCACACTCTACCCTTCAGTCTTAGGAAGGTTCTAATTATTGAATTGCTATCTTTTAGTAATATAACACTCCCCAAATGATTATATTATTATTAGCATTTTTGACATAGAATATAGCACAATAGTTTTGTTTCTCTTTACAATTTAAATTTACTTTGAATGATTATTCTAGCTTATTTTACTTATCTTATGACTGGCATCATTTATATAAAAGAAACTCAAGGTAAAGTCAACAAAATGTGAATCTCAAATTTCAGAACCTAAACACCAATATATCCCAACAATATTATTGATAAGTATTCCATTAAAGGTTGTGCACCAAAAAGGTAATTTTTTAATCTTATAGTTTTTAGTGGGCATTTGCATATGACTTCCTTTGATCCTTACTGAAAGCATGAATTAGTTGACATGTACAAGTGGTACCAGTTTTCCAAGGTCCATTTTGTAAATTAGGAAAATTTTAGAGGGATTAAATTTTGCTCCATATTTCACTAACTGTGAAAGTTAGATACTGTGCAACCAAACATTCTAAAATGCAGTAACTTAAAAAACATACATTGTTCATGATTCTCTTCTTATTTATTATTTTTTAATTTAAGTTCTAGGGCACATGTGTATGTATACATGTGCCATGTTGGTGTGCTGCACCCACTAACTCGTCTTTTACATTAGGTATATCTCCTAATGCTATCCCTGCACCTTCCCCCCAACCAAGGACAGGCCCCGGTGTGTGGTGTTCCCCACCCTGTGTCCAAGTGTTCTCATTGTTCAATTCCCACCTATGAGTGAGAATATGCAGTGTTTGGTTTTTTGTCCTTGCGATAGTTTGCTGAGAATGATGGTTTCCAGCTTCATCCATGTCCCTACAAATGACATGAACTCATCCTTTTTTATGGCTGCATAGTATTCCATGGTGTATATGTGCCACATTTTCTTAATCCAGTCTATCATTGATGGACATTCGGGTTGGTTCCAAGTCTTTGCTATTGTGAATAGTGCCACAATAAACATACATGTGCACGTGTCTTTATAGCAGCATGATTTATAATCCTTTGGGTATATACCCAGTAATGGGATGGCTGGGTTAAATGGTATTTCTAGTTCTAATCCTTGAGGAATCACCACACTGTCTTCCACAATGGTTGACCTAGTTTACAGTCCCACCAACAGTGTAAAAGTGTTCCTATTTCTCCACATCCTCTGACTCTTTAATGATCGCCATTCTAACTGGTGTGAGATGGTATCTCATTGTGGTTTTGATTTGCATTTCTCTGATGGCCAGTGATGATGAGCATTTTTTCATGTGTCTGTTGGCTGCATAAATGTCTTCTTTGGAGAAGTGTCTGTTCATGACCTTTGCCCACTTTTTGATGGGGTTGTTTGTTTTTTTCTTGTAAATGTGTTGGTGTTCATTGTAGATTCTGGATATTAGCCCTTTGTCAGATGGGTAGATTGTAAAAATGTTCTCCCATTCTGTAGGTTGCCTGTTCACTCTGATGGTAGTTTCTTTTGCTGTGCAGAAGCTCTTTAGTTTAATTAGATCCCATTTGTCAATTTTGGCTTTTATTGCCATTGCTTTTGGTGTTTTAGACATGAAGTCGTTGCCCATGCCTATGTCCTGAATGGTATTGCCTAGGTTTTCTTCTAGGGTTTTTATGGTTTTAGGTCTGACATTTAAGTCTTTAATCCATCTTGAATTAATTTTTCTATAAGGTGTAAGGAAGGGATCCAGTTTCAGCTTTCTACATATAGCTAGCCAGTTTTCCCAGCATGATTTATTAATAGGGAATCCTTTCCCCATTGCTTGTTTTTGTCAGGTTTGTCAAAAATCAGATGGTTGTAGATGGGTGATATTATTTCTAAGGGCTCTGTTCTGTTCCGTTGGTCTATATCTCTGTTTCGGTACCAGTACCATGCTGTTTTGGTTACTGTAGCCTTGTAGTATAGTTTGAAGTCAGGTAGCGTGATGCCTCCAGCTTTGTTCTTTTGGCTTAGGATTGACTTGGCAATGCAGGCTTTTTTTTGGTTCCATATGAACTTTAAAGTAGTTTTTTCCAATTCTGTGAAGAAAGTCATTGGTAGCTTGATGGGGATGGCATTGAATCTGTAAATTACCTTGGGCAGTATGGCCATTTTCACAATATTGATTCTTCCTATCCATGAGCACAGAATGTTCTTCCATTTGTTTGTGTCCTCTTTTATTTTGTTGAACAGTGGTTTGTAGTTCTCCTTGAAGAGGTCCTTCACATCCCTTGTAAGTTGGATTCCTAGGTATTTTATTCTCTTTGAAGCAATTGTGAATGGGAGTTCACTCATGGTTTGGCTATCTGTTTGTGTGTTATTGGTGTATAGGAATGTTTGTCATTTTTGCGCATTGATTTTGTATCCTGAGACTTTGCTGAAGTTGCTTATCAGCTTAAGGAGATTTTGGACTGAGACGATGGGGTTTTCTAGATATACAATCATGTCATCTGCAAACAGGGACAATTTGACTTCCTCTTTTCCTAATTGAATACCCTTTATTTCTTTCTCCTGCCTGATTGCCCTGGCCAGAAGTTCCAACACTATGTTGAATAGGAGTGGTGAGAGAGGGCATCCCTGTCTTGTGCCAGTTTTCAAAGGGAATGCTTCCAGTTTTTGCCCATTTGGTATGATATTGGCTGTGGGTTTGTCATACATAGCTCTAATTATTTTGGGATATATTGTATCAATAACTAATTTATTGAGAGTTTTTAGCAGGAAGGGCTGTTGAATTTTGTCAAAGGCCTTTTCTGCATCTATTGAAATAATCATGTGGTTTTTGTCTTTGGTTCTGTTTATATGATGGATTATGTTTATTGATTTGCAAATGTTGAACCAGGCTTGCATCCCAGGGATGAAGCCCACCTGATCATGGTGGATAAGCTTTTTGATGTGCTGCTGGATATGGTTTGCCAGTATTGTATTGAGGATTTTTGCATCGATGTTCATCAGGGATATTAGTCTAACATTCTCTTTTTTTGTTGTGTCCCTGCCAGGCTTTGGTATCAGGATGATGCTGGCCTCATAAGATGAGTTAGGGAGGATTCCCTCTTTTTCTATTGATTGGAATAGTTTCAGAAGGAATGGTACCAGCTCCTCTTTTTGCCTCTGGTAGAATTTGGCTGTGAATCCATCTGGTCCTGCACTTTTTTTGGTTGGTAGGCTCTTAATTATTGCCTCAATTTCAGAGCCTGTTATTGGTCTATTCAGGGATTCAACTTCTTCCTGGTTTAGTCTTGTGAGGGTGTATGTGTCCAGGAATTTATCCATTTCTTCTAGATTTTCTAGTTTATTTGTGTAGAGGTGTTTATAGTATTCTCTAATGGTAGTTTATATCACTGTGGGATCGGTGCTGATACTCCCTTTATCATTTTTTATTGTGTGTATTTGATTCTTCTCTCTTTTCTTCTTTATTAGTCTTGCTAGCGGTCTATCAATTTTGTTGATCTTTTCAAAAATCCAGCTCCTGGATTCACTGATTTTTTGAAGAGTTTTTTGTGTCTCTATCTCTGTCAGTTCTGCTCTGATCTTAGTTATTTCTTGCCTTCTGCTAGCTTTTGAATGTGTTTGCTCTTGTTTCTCTAGTTCTTTTAATTGTGATGTTAGGGTGTCAATTTTAGATCTTTCCTGCTTTCTTTTGTGGGAATTTAGTGCTATAAATTTCCTTCTACACACTGCTTTAAATGTGTCCCAGAGATTCTGGTATGTTATGTCTTTGTTCTCATTGGTTTCAAATAACATCTTTATTTCTGTCTTCATTTTGTTAGGTACCCAGTAGTCATTCAGGTGCAGGTTGTTCAGTTTTCATGTAGTTGAGCAGTTTTGAGTGAGTTTCTTAATCCTGAGTTCTAGTTTGATTGCACTGTGGTCTGAGAGACAGTTTGTTATAATTTCTATTCTTCTACATTTGCTGAGGAGTGCTTTACTTCCAAGTATGTGGTCAATTTTGGAATAAGTGCAATGTGTTGCTGAGAACAATGTATATTCTGTTGATTTGGGGTGGAGAGTTCTGTAGACGTCTATTAGGTGTCTATTAGGTCTGCTTGGTGTAGAGCTGAGTTCAATTGCTGGATATCCTTGTTAACTTTCTGTCTCATGGATCTGTCTAATGTTGACAATGGGGTGTTAAATTCTCCCATTATTATTGTGTGGGAGTCTAAGTCTCTTGTAGGTCTCTAAGGATTTGCTTTATGAATTTGGGTGCTCCTGTATTGGGTACATACATATTTAGGATAGTTAGCTTTTCTTGTTGGATTGATCCCTTTACCATTATGTAATGGCCTCTTTGTCTCTTTTGATCTTTGTTGGTTTAAAGTCTGTTTTATCAGAGACTAGGATTGCAACCCCTGCTTTTTTTGTTTTCCATTTGCTTGGTAGATCTTCCTCCATCCCTTTATTTTGAGCCTATGTGTGTCTCTACACGTGAGATGGGTCTCCTGAATACAGCACACTGATGGGTCTTGACTCTTTATCCAATTTGCCAGTCTGTGTCTTGTAATTGGAGCATTTGGCCCATTTACATTTAAGGTTAATATTGTTATGTGTGAATTTGATCCTGTCATTATCATCTTAGCTGGTTATTTTGCTTGTTAGTTGATGTAGTTTCTTCCTAGCCTCAATGGTCTTTACAATTTGGCATGTTTTTGCAGTGGCTGGTAACGGTTTTTCCTTTTCATGTTTAGTGCTTCCTTCAGGTGCTCTTGTAAGCTAGGCCTGGTGGTGACAAAATCTCTCAGCATTTGCTTGTCTATAAAGGATTTTATTTCTCCTTCCCTTATGAAGCTTAGTTTGGGGGGATATGAAATTCTGGGTTGAAAATTCTTTTCTTTAAGAATGTTGAATATTGGCCCCCACTCTCTTCTGGCTTATAGAGTTTCTGCCAAGACATCCGCTGTTAGTCTGATTGGCTTCCCTTTGTGGGTAATCTGACCTTTCTCTCTGGCTTCCCTTAACATTTTTTCCTTCATTTCAACTTTGGTGAATCTGAAAATTATTTGTCTTGGAGTTGCTCTTCCTGAGGAGTATCTTTGTGGCATTCTCTGTTTTTCCTGAATTTGAATGTTGGCCTGCCTTGCTAGGTTGGGGAAGTTCTCCTGGATAATATCCTGAAGAGTGTTTTCCAGTTGCTCCATATTTTCTCCAATACTTGGTTTGATTGGTCTTTAACTTTTTAGACATTAGAATTGGTTTATAGTGATTCCTCATTGCAGTTATAATTTGTATTTTTCTAATGAAAGCATATATATTCATTTCCTAGTGCACCATTCTAATATCAACTTTGGTGAAGTGTCTGTTCAGAGCTCTCATCCACTTTTTATTAAAAGAGGTATTGAAATTTAAGAGTCTTTATATAATCTAAATACAAATACTTTGTCAGATATTTTGCTTTATAGATATTTTCTTCTAGATCATGGCTTGCCGTTTCATTTTTGCAAGAGTGACAACTTTTTTCATTTTAGAATCAGGGGTACATGTGCAGGTTTGTTACATGAGTATATTGCACAATGCTGAGGTTTACAGTACAAATTAATCTGTCACCCATGCAGTGAGCACAGTACCCAATAGGTAGTTTTTCAGCCCCGTCCCTCTCCCTCTCAATATCTAAGTCCCATATGCGGCATTGGGTTTTCTATTTTTTCTTTAGTTAGCTTAGGCTAATGGCCTCCAGCTGCATCTATGTTGCTGCAAAGGACATGATTTCAATTTCTATGGCTGCATAG
The DNA here is from genome assembly GCF_000001405.40 of Homo sapiens. Taxonomy (NCBI): domain Eukaryota; kingdom Metazoa; phylum Chordata; class Mammalia; order Primates; family Hominidae; genus Homo; species Homo sapiens. Next base: position 6,587,727 of record NC_000003.12, on the reverse strand, counting down.
TAGTCCACGGTGTATATATATGAAAACGTCATATATATTTATCCCATCCACCATTGATGGGCATTTGGATTTATTCCATGTCTTCGCTATTATGAAGAGTGCTGCAGTGAACATATGAGAGTGCATGTGTCTTTATGGTAGAGCAATTTGTTTTCCTTTGAGTATATACCCAGTAACAGTATTGCTGGGTCAGATAGTGGTTCAACTCTGTTCCTCAAGAAATCTCCAAACTGCTTTCTCCAGTGGCTAAACTATTTTATATTCCAACCAAAAGTTTGTAACTATTTCCTTTTCTCTGCAGCCTCATCAACATCTGTTATTTTTGGCTTTTTAACAAAAGCCATTCGACTGGTGTGAGATGGTAACTCACTGTGGTTTTGATTTGCATTTCTCTGATTATTAGTGATGATGAGCATTTTTTTCATGTTTGTTGGATGTGTGTATTACTTCTTTGGAGAAGTGTCTGTTCATATCCTTTGCCTACTGTTTAATGATGTTATTTCTTTTTTGCTTGTTGATTTGTTTAAGTACTTTATAGATTATGGGTCTTAGACCTTTGTCAGATGTATTGTTTGCAAATATTTCCTCCCATGATGTAGGCTGTCTCTTTACTCCCTTGATAGCTTCTTATGAGTGATTATTGAAAGACTAAAGTTTTTAATTCTGAAGTTCAAACTGCTGATTTTTTTCCACTGTCATGTTTACTCTTTATACCCTATTTTAAGAAATCTTTGCTGAATGCTTTCTTTCAGAAATTTTCTACTTTTAATTTTTTAAACTCATATCTATAATCCATTTGAGTTAACTGTTGTATGTGGTGTGAGATTTTAAAACCGCCTATATCAATAATTACATTTAAGTAGTCTAAATGTTCCAAATAAACAACAGAGAGTATCAGATTAAATAAAAGGGTAAGATTGAATTATATATTGTCTACAAGAAAGGGGCTTTAAATGTAAAAACAGAGATATATTAAAAGTAAACATAAAGACATAAGATACATTGTGCTAATGAAGGGCTGTGTAAATATCAAAAAAATATATTTTAGGACAAATAATATTGACAGATAAGAAATATTTCAGAAGAAATGATACAAGTGTAAAATTATCAAAAATACATAGCAATTATAAATATGTGTGCACCTGCTAATAATACTTTAAAATATATGAAGCAAATATATTAAGCAAAACTGCTCAAAATTAAAAGAATCAATAGATAAACCTGCAACTACAGTTAGATCTTTCTACCCACATATAATTGATATAAAAAGTAAGCAGAAAATAAGGAAGTGTTTTAAAAACTTGAAAAACATCAAATGGATAAGTAGACTGAAAATAAGTAAGTACATAGAAGACTTAAAATCAGCCTAATTGAGCTGATGTATGTAGTTGGCACACTGCACTCAACAGCAACAGAACTTATGCATGTTTTTCACGTGCACATGAAATTTCACCAAGATAGACCACATGCTGTGCCATCAAATAAATCTCAATAAATTCAAAAAGATTGAAATCTTACAGAATCCATTCTCTGCCCACAATGTGTTAAATTAAGAATCAGTAGAAAACAGATATTTGGAAAAGCACTAAATAATGGGAACTTACAAAACAAAATATCTACATAAGCAATAGGTCAAAAAAGATCAATTGGTCAAAAAACAGATACTCCTGGAGAAATTGGAAAAATATTTTGATCTTAATGTAAACAACATCACAAGATATCAAAATCTGTGGAATGCAGCCAAAGCTGTATTTATAACTCTAAGTGCTTAGAAATAAAAAAGGCAAAATTAATAATTTAAGTTTCCAATTTAATAAGCTGTAAAAATTGGCAGTAGGAAGTGAATAATAATACAAATAAAAATTAATGAATTAAAGCAAAAAGATAAGCCATTAAAAACAATGAATACAAAAGTTGCATATTTTAGATTACTAATAAAATTGAGAAATTCTGAGCAAGACTAATAGAAAAAGAGATAAAATGATAAATTATTAATACCAGAAAGATATTATCACAGATCCTATAGCTATTAAGACGATAATACCATATTATGCATAACTTTATATCTATGAATTTGACAACATAGATGAAGTTGCTAAATTTCATGAAAAATATACTTAGAAAACCTTCCACAAGGCCGGGCGCGGTGGCTCACGCCTGTAATCCCAGTACTTTGGCAAGCCGAGGCGGGCTGATCACCTGAGGTCAGGAGTTAGAGACAAGCCTAGCCAACATGGTAAAACCCCGTCTCTACTAAAAATACAAAAATTAACCCGGCATGGTGGCGGGCGCCTGTAATCCCAGCTATTTGGGAAGCTGAGGCACAAGAATCTCTTGAATTTGGGAGGCAGAGGCTGCAGTGAGCCCAGAGAGCGCCACTGCACTCCAGTCGGGGTGACAAGAGCGAAACTCCGTCTCAAAAAACAAAACAAAACAAAACAAAACCTTCCTCAAGAAATCAGGAAAATCTGAATAGTTTTTATGTTTATTAAAGAATTTTTATTTATCAAAAACCTTACTGTAAAAAACAAAAAGCCAGGGTGTTTTTATTGTTGGTTTTTAGAAATGATTTGTGAAGAAATTATACTAATTTTACGCAAACACTTTTAGAAAATAAAGGAGGAAACACTTTGTAATTCATTTTAAGAGGCCAGAATAATAAAAGTAGAGAAAAATATTACAAGAAAAGTACAAACAAAATTCTCATTAGCACTGGCACAAAAATATTTAACAAAATACTAGCTAATTAAATCCAACAATACTTAAAAAATTATATCATATTAAAGTATGACTTCTCCCAGGAATGTAAGATTTAATAAACATGAGAAATCAATATACATAATTTACAAAGAAATCGATACGTATAATTCAATACATATAATTCAAGAAAGTGAAGAAGAAATTTGATCACTCTGTAGAAGCAAAGAAAACATAAGCCAAAATTCAATGTCCATTTATGATTTTAAAAAACCCTTTTAACAAACTGTGCAAAAAAGATACCTTCCTCAAACTGACAGAGTCTCTACCATGGAACCATCACTGGAACCACTTTAAGTGATGAACACAAACACTTCACTCCTAAAAGACTGAAAAACATAAGAGCATCATATTTACTACTGTTGAAATATTGTAATGGAGATCCAGGTGAATGCAATAAGGCAAAAAAAGGCAGGCAGACTAGAAATAAATAAGTAATATTGTCTTTATTTATAAGTGACATAATCACAATTATGTATGCCAAAAATCCTATGAAATGTACAAAAAAATTTATCAGAACTAAAAAGTGAGTTTAGCGTGGTCATGGTCGCAGCATATAAGCTTCACATATAAAAATCCATTGTCTCTCTCTACAAAAGTAATGATTAATGAAAAAAATAAAATACACTGTTTCCCATAGCATCAAAAATCAAGAAATATTTAGGAATAATTTAAATAAAATACTGAACAGATAACTGCAAACATTGCTAAAATAAATTAAAGCAAACCTATCTAAATAAATGAGATATATTGTATGCATTTGATTGGAAGATGTATTATTAAGATGTCAGTTATCTCCAAACTGATATTTAGATTCAATATAATTCCATTCAATATCCAGCAGGGCTTTTTGAGAAATTTGGCAAACTGATTATCAAATGTATATGGAGAACTCAAAGAACCAAAGTCAAAAATACTTAGAAACAAAAGTATACATTTAGATCACTTACCCTAGACGATATCAAGATATACTGTAAAGATTCAGTAATCAAGGTAGGGTTATATTGGCACAGTGATACACATAAGATCAATGGAACAAAACAGAGGCCAGAAATATACCTTCATACATAGGGTCAAGTGATATTTGACAAAGTGTCATGGTAATTCAATGGGGACATGATAATACCTTTCATCAAATGGTAGAACAACCAGGTATCTATATGGCAAAAAATGAACACTGACAATAACCTCTGACCATACACAAAAATGAACTCCACAAGGATCTCAAAATAGTATTTTATATTTGCAAATACTGGCTTTTATCCTATTAAAGGCAGATCATCCGTTGTTTCGTTGTTCCAGTGAAGATCATTCTGCTTCTTAGTGAACAGTTAATTTCCTATACCCAGAGACAAATAGATCAGTAAAAATTTTAAAAAGCCAACATGACATTGCAGAGATTATACTAAAATTGCAACTGCAAGTTTGTCGGAAATTGTACTGTTCAAGCAGAAAATCATAGTTTGGGGCATTATGTCTACCGATTAAGACAAAGTCTGAAAATATTTCTGTGAAAATATGCATAATAAGTTAATCCTAATGTATCTTTTACTCAATTACACTCTATTGTCACTGGTGCCTTTTATTTAAATTAGTAAACTTTATTTTTTAAAACAATTTTAGATTTACAGAAAAATTGAGCAGACAGTACAAAGATTTCCCATATATTCCCCTCCCTCCAGCAATTTCCCCCACATTAACCTGTTACATTAGTATAGTATATTTGTTACAATTAATAAACCAATATTGATAAATCATTATTAACTAAAGTGCAATATTACTATGGGTTTGGACAAATGTATATCATCATTTGTATACCATTACAGTATCAGAAGGAACAATTTTGCCACTCATATTGGATTAGAAGAATAATAATAGGCTCATCACTTTAAAAATTCCCTGTGCTTTCCATACTCAGCCCTCTCTCTTTTAACTACCATTCCCCTACCCACAACCACTGATCTTTCCAGTATCTATAGCTTTGCTTTTTCCAAAATACCATATAGTAGGAATCATAGAGCACGTAATCTCTTCAGGCTGACTTTTTACATAACAATATACACTTAAGGTTTCAAACTCCTTGTCGTGTTTGTTCTTTGGTAACTCATTTCTTCTATCACTGAATAATATTCCATTGCATGGGTATACCATAGTCTGTTTATCCATTCACCTATTGAAGGACATCTTGATTGTTTTCAGTTTTCTATTCTTATAAATTAATCTTCTCTAAGAAATCACGTGTAGGTTTTTGTATGGTTATGTTTTCAACTCAATTGGGTAAACACCTTGGAAAATGGTTGCTGGAATATATTGTAAAACCATGTTTAGCTGTGTAAGAAACTGCTAAAAGGAATTCCAAAGCGACCATTTTACATTCCCACTGGCCATTGCTCATGCATTCATGAGTGTCCTTGCTGCATGACACCCGTATTAGCATTTTGTATTACCAGTTTTGGGGATTTTAGTCAATAGGTATGTAATAGTATCTTATTGTTTGATGTTGCAATTATCTAATGTCCTATGACGTTGAACATATTTTCATGTTTCTTTATCATGTGTATATTTTTGGGGGGGAGGTGTCTGTTCTGATCTTTTGTCCATTTTTTAATTGGGTCATTTATTTTCTTTTTGTTTCAAGAGGTTTTTTGTACATTTTGTATACAGGTTCTTAATCAGATAGTATTTTGAAAATACTTTCTCCCAGTCTGATTTGTTTTTCACAATCCTAACAGTGTCGTTTCAGAGCAGAAGTTTTTAATTTCAATGAAGTCCAAATTACCAATTTTTTTCTTTAATAAATGGTACTTTTGGTGTTATATCAAAAAAGACATCACCAAAGCCATCATCTAGATTTTCTCCTGTGGCATCTTCTAGAAGTTTCATTGTTTTGTGTTTTGCATTTATGTTTCTGATTCATTTGGAGTTAGTTTTTGTGAAATATATGATGTCTGTGTCTAGATATTTTGCATATAAATATCCAGTTGTTCCACACCATTTGTGGAAATGACTATCCTTTCTCCAGTGAAATGCCTTTTCTCTTTTGTCAAAGATCCATTGATTATATTTGTATGGGTCTATCTGGGGGCTATCTATTCCATTTATCTATTTGTCTTTTCTTTTGCCAATATCATGTTGACTTGTTGACTGCAGCTTTATATAAGTTTTGAAGTTGGATGGTGTCAGCCTTCTGACTTTGTTTTTCTCTTTAATACAGTGTTGACTATTCTGGCTATTTTCCCTTTCAATATAAACCTTATAATTAGTGTGTCAATATTCACAAATTAACTGGCTGGGATTTTAACTGAGATTGTGTTGAATCTGTAGACGAACTTGGGAAGAACGGAAATCTTGATAATACTGAGTCTTATTACTCATGTAAATAAAATTTCTCAATTTATTAAGATCTTCTTGGATTTCCTTCATCAGAACTTTGTAGTTTTCCTCATACAGATCCTGTAAATATTTTGTTGCAGTTATACTTAATATTTCATATTTTGCATATTAATATAAAGTTTTTTTTATTTTTATTTTTAATTATTATGGATCCATAATTGTTGCATATATTAATGGAAAACATATGATGTTTTCACACAGGCATACAATGTGTAATGATCAAATCAGAGTAATTGGAATATCCATCACCTCAAACCTTTGTCATTTCCTTGTATTGGAACATTTCAATTCCACTCTTTTAGTTACTTTAAGATATACAATAAATTATTGTTAACTATAGCCATCCTATTGTGCTACCAAATACTATAACTTTTTCATTCTAATTGTTTTTGAATGAAATTCCAATTGTTTCTGGTTGGTATATAGGAAAATGATTGAGTTTTGAATATTACTCTTATATCTTGCCACTTTTCTATAGTTTTTTTCCTTCTAGGATTTTTTCCTAGTACTTCTACTGCAATGTTGAATTGAAGTCGTTGAAACAGTCATCACCTTGCCTTGTTCTTGATCTTAGAAGAAACGCATTCAGTCTTTCACCATTTGGTGTGATGTTAGCTGTGCATTGTTCATATATGGTCTTTATTATGTTGAAATAGTTTTATTTTATTCTTATTTTAGGGCTTCTTATCATGAAAGGGCATTGAATTTTGCCAAATGCCTTTCTTCATTAATCAAAATGATTATCTGTATTTTGTCCCTTCATTCTCTTCATGTGATGTAATAAATTGATTAATTTGTATATGTTAAACCATTCTTACATTCCATGAATAAATCCCACTTGGTTGTGGTATATAATTTCTTTAATGGACTGTGTAATTCTGTTTGCTACTTTTTTAAAGGGTTTTTGGATCAATACTCTTAAGGGATATTGGTCTATAGTTTTTTGTAGTGTCCTTTTCTGACTTTGGCATCAGGGCAATGATGGCCTCAGAGAATGAGTTAGGAAATGTTCTCTCCTTTTCAATTTTTTAAAGGATTTTAAGATGGATTGATATTAATTTTTATTTAAATGTTTGGTAGAACGCATTAGTGAAGGTATCTGGTTATGGGCTATTTTTTGGTAAGTTTTAGAACACTGATTTAATCTTACTACTATATAACTATAGGTCTATTCAGATTTTCTATTGCCTCTTGAGTCAATCTAGGTTGTATGTTCTTAAGAATGTGTCTATTTTCATCTAGGCTACCCAATTTGTTGATATGTAATACAAGAGAGTAATATATGCATTACTATATATATATACATAAATAAATATATATAATATATACAAATATATATAAATATATCATATATACATATATAAAGAGAGAGAGAGAGAGAGAAAGAGAGAGAGAGAGATAGTAATACAGCCCTCTCCTGGGGTAATCTTTTAATTTTTTTTTATTTCTGTAAAATTGGTAGTGATGCCACAACTTCAATTTCTGAATTTAGTAATTTGAGTCCTCTCGGGTTTTTTTTCTACTCAGTCTGAGTTTGTCAATTTTGGTGATTTTTTCAAAGAATCAATTCTTATTTTCATTGATTTTCTTTATTATTTTCTATTCTCTATGTTATTCATTTCTTTTCTAGGCTATATTTCCTTCTGTCTCCTAGCTTTGGGTTTAATTTTTTAAATAGCTTCTAGAAGCATAAAGTTACATTGTTAATTTCAGGTGTTTCTTCTCTTTTAATATAATATAATGTATAGCTATAAATTGTTCTCTAAGCATTTCAGTGCTACATGCCATATGTATGGGTATATTGTATTCACATCTTCATCTGACCAAAGATATTGTCGAATTTCTCTTAGGATTTCTTATGAGACCTGTTGGTTGCTGAAGACTGTATTGCCCAATTTCTACATATTTGTGTATTTTCCAATAGTCCTACTGCTGTTAATTTATAGTTTTATTTCACATGGTCAAAAAGAGACAGTTTGTATGATTCAGTCTTTTAAAATGTATTAAGACTTGGGTTTTGGCCTAAAAAATGGTCTCTCCTGGAGAACATTCCATGTGCTTTTGGGGAAATACAATATATCCTGTTATAGCTGGGCAAAGCATTCCTTATATTCTATTAAATCTTATTGGTATATAATGTAATTTAAGTCTTTTACTTCTTTATTGATCCTCTGTCTTGTTCTATTCATTATTGAATGTGTGACATTGATGTATCCTACTCTTATTGTAGATCTATCTATTTCTGTCTTCATTTCTGTCAACATTTGCTTCACGTATCTATGACCTGATATTTAGTGCATATACAAGAGTTCCTTCTTATCTGCAGAAAATAAGTTTCAAGACTCCTAGTGGATGCCTGAAACCCATGGATAGTGCTGAATTCCATATTTAATATTGTTTTCAATGTGATAACAGAGACAGCTATGTTTCAAGACTAACAGTGGTTGCCTGAAACACATAGATACTGCTGAATTCCATATTTAATATTTTTTTCAATCTGAAAACTGAGACAGCTATGTTTCAAGACTGCCAGTGGATGCCTGATACCCATGGATAGTGCTGAATTCCATATTTAATATTGTTTTCAATGTGATAACTGAGACAGCTATGTTTCAAGACTAACAGTGGGTGCCTGAAACCCACAGATACTGCTGAATTCCATATTTAATATTTTTTTCAATCTGAAAACTGAAACAGCCATGTTTCAGGACTTCCAGTTGGTGCCTCAAACCCATGGATAGTGCTGAACTCCATATTTAATATTTTTTTCAAACTGATAACTGAGACAGCTACTAAGTGACTAATGGGAAGATAGCATATATACAACATGGAAACAGTAGAAAAAACTGATGAGTCACATACGAGGCAGGACACAACAGGACAGAGTGAGATTTCATCACACTACTTAGAATGGCACACAATGTAAAACTTATGAATTGTTTATTTCTGAATTTATTTAATAATTTTGGACAATGGTTGACTGTGTGTAACTGAGACCATGAAAAGCAAAACCATAGGCAAGACAGAAATACTGTCTGTTTATATTTGTTGTATCTTCTTGCTGAATTTACCTTTTTAATCAATATAGAACATTCTTTGTTTCTCATAACAGTTTCTACTTAAAGTTTATTTTGTGTGATATCAGTATAGCCACCATTGCTCTCTTTTTGTTACTATTTGCATAAAATAACCTTTATCTTTATTTTTACTTTTAGCCTATGAACGTTTGAACGTTCTTAGATCCGAATTGAATCTCTTGTAGACAGCATATAATTGGATTTTTTTAAATCTATTATAGCAATCTATATCGTTTGTGTATGAGTGTATTCGTCCGGATTCTCCAAATAAATTGAATAGGATACAAACACACACATACAAACACACACACACATACACACACAGAGATTGAGAGAGAGAGAGACTTATGAAAATTAACTCACAATGTTGTGGAGGCTGAGAAGTCCTGTGATGTGCTGTTGGCAAACTGGGAAATCAGGAAAGTTGGTGGTATAATTCAGTTCAAGTCTGAAAGCCTAAGAGCCAGGAGAACCAATTGTATAAGTCCTGGAGTCTGAGGCCCAAGAACCAGGAACTCCAATGTCCAAGGGTAGGAGAAGATATATGGCTTCCTTGCTCAAGAAGATAGACAGAGAGAACTCACCCTTCTTCTACCCTTTTGTTCTATTTGGACCTTCAACAGATTGAACCAACACTACACACATTGGTGAGGTCAGATATTCTTTACTCAGTCTACTGATTCAAATGCTAATCTCTTCCAGAAACATTAATACAGACACACCCAGAAATTATGTTTCACCAGCTATCTGAGCATGTCTTAGCCTGATCAAGTTGACACATAAAATTAACCATCATAGGGGGTTTAATCCCTTTGAACTTAAAGTATTTACTGATAGGGAAAAACTTACTTTTGTCAATTTGTTGTTTTCTGTGTCTTATAGTTTTATGCCTCTCATTGCTTTAATTACTACTATCCTTTGTGTTCAGTTCATTTTTTCTAGTGACACATTTTTATTTCTTTCTCATTTTCATTGTGTATATTCCATATATATTTTCTATGTGGTTACCATGGGTACTACATGTAACATCTTAGAGTTATAACAATCTATTTTAATTCATACCAACATAATTTCAATGGCATACAAAAATTGCACAACTTTAAGCTTCATCTCCCCTTTATGTTTTTGATACCCCAAATTACATATTTATAAATTGTCTACACATAAACTTAAGCATATGATTATTTTTATGCATTTGTTTTTTAAAATCCTGTGGAAGAATAAAACACAAGAGTTAAAACCAAAATTACAAAAATACTGGTTTTTATATTTGTTCATATATATTGCTTAACCAGAGAATTTTAGATTTTTGTATGGCTTTGAGCTACTGTCTAGCATCCATTTATATGAACTAAAATGGCTCAATTTAGCATTTATTGTATGTAATCCAGCCCTGATAGTACTGAACTCCCTCAACTTTTGTTTTTCTTGAGTCTCTTAATTTCTCCCTCATTTAAAATAAGGAATATTTTAAAGAAATATTTTGTTATCAGATATAGAATTCTCAGTTGACGAAGTTTTTTTTCTTTCTTTTTCCTTCTCTCAGCCCCTTAAATATATCATCCTACTGTGTCCTGTCCCCTAAGGTTTCTCCTAAGAAATCTACTGATGATTTTACAGAGGATCCCATGAACATGATGAGTCATTTTTCTCTTGCCAATTTCAAGATTTTCTGCTGTTTGATTTCAGCAATTACATTATAATATGTTTCAGCATGGATCTCATTGGGTTTATTCTACTTAGACTTCATTGAGTTATTGACATTGTATATTCATGCTCTTTCTCCAATTTCAGAAGTTTTCTACTTTGTTCCTTCAAATAGTCTCTCCATCTTGTTCTCTTTATCTTCTTTTGAGACTTCTATAATTCATATATTGGTCCATTTGTCAGTGTCTTATAATTTCATTAGGCTCTTTTTCACTTTGTTTCTTTTTTCTCCTCACGCTCAATTTCAAATGAACTGTTTTTAAGTTTGCTAACTCCTTATTCTGCCTGTCTGAGTCTGCTGTTGAATCCCCACTAATGACTTTTTCAATTTATTATACTTTTCAGCTTCAGAATTTCTCTTTAGTGCCTTTTTAATTTTTGTTTATTATTATTATTATTTTTTGAGACAGGGTCTTATTCTGTCGTCCAGGCTGGAGTGCAGTGGCACAATCTCAGCTCACTGCAACCTCCAACTACTAGGTTCAAGTGATTCTCCCATCTCAGCTTTCCCAGTAGCTGGGACTAAAGGCTTGCACCACCATGCCCAGCTAATTTTTGTATTTTTAGTAGACATGGGGTTTCATCATGTTGGCCAGGCTGGCCTTGAACTCCTGACCTCAAGTGATCTGCCCACCTCGGCCTCTCAAAGTACTGGGATTACAGGCATGAACCACTGTGCTCAGCCTGATTTCTTCTTATAATCTCTATCATTCTATTAATATTCTAATTTTGTTGATACGTAATTTTTTTTTATTTCCTTTGGTTCTCTGTCCATTGTCCATGTTTTCCTTTTGTTTTTGAACAATTTTTGGAGAGTTGTTTTAAAGTTTTTCTCTAGAATGTGCAATGATTTGTTTTTTTAGGATTAGTTTCAGGAGATTAATTTTGTTCCATTGAATAGGCAATCTTTTTCTCTTTCTTTGTATGTCTTGTGATCTTTGCTGAAATTCAGACATTGCAAAAAAGTATTTTATCAATCTTTTCAGACTGTCAGGAAAGACCTTTACTAATTAGCAGGAAATGTTCTGAACCTTGACATCTCCCCAGAATAAAGTCTTAAAGGTCTTCTCAGTCCTTTTCTGAGCATATGTATTCCCTGGGCTTGCATGTGTGCTTTCTAAAATTTATTCTAGTATAGGCCTGGTGTGGTGGCTCACACCCCTGCAATCCCAGCACTTTGGGAGGCTAAGGTGGGAGGACTGCTTGAGCCCAGGAGTTGGGAGACCAGCCTGGGCAACATAGTGAAACCCTATCTCTACAAAAAAATTAAAAAGTTAGCCAGGTGTGATAGTGTATGCCTATAGTCCCAGCTCATTGGGAGGCTGAGGCAGAAAGATTGCTTGAGCCCAAGAGTTTGAGGATGCAGTGAGACATGATTAGGCCACTGTACTCTGTTCTGGGTGACAGAGCAAGACCCTATCTCAAAAAAATAAAAATGTACACCAATATATGGCATAAATTAAATATCTTAATTTTCCAAAGAGTCCCACTCCTGGTTTATATTGGGTCTGTAGATATGCTATCATATCCCTCCACAAAAAAATCTTGCCCCAGGCATCTGTGGGTCTGTACACCTCCTGAAGTTTTCAAAAGCTACTTTGCATGACTTTTCCCAGCCTGAGACCCAAGATATGCAGCTTTTCCCCAAATGAGTTCAGAGGGAGGAAAAATAGAGACTCATCTTTCAGGCATTCCCTAGAAAGATTTCAACAGTGCAAATAAAGTCTTCTTTGCTCCCTCCAGTTTGAAGGAGGAAATCGGAAGCTGGACAGCTATTTCTCCCACACTGGGCCAGGGTGGATCTTGTGCAGTGGGAGTAGGTAGTAAAAACTCCACAGAATTTTCTATCATTCTAAATGTCATTTTTTCTTAATTGGACATTTGATTGGTTGTTGTAAATCATTCACCTTTTCAGCATTCCTACAACGTTATTTAAGTCAGTTTTAGTTGTTTTGTTTTGTTTTAATGTTTTTATGAGGGAACAAGGTGCCTGGAGCTTACTATTAATAGTTCATCATCTTGCTGATGTCAGTCCAGAAAATCCATAGGCATCTTTTAGCCTTTCCTTCCTCTTTTACGTAAGACCACAAGGCTAGAAGATGTTGGAGTTGTGTAATACCCTTTCTTCCAAGTCAGGTAAGGGTTAGATAACTCAGTTTCCCATGGAGGGCAGGCTGTTGTTAAGAAGAATGTTCTGGCAATATCTCAAAATAATAAAATTTCCCCTAGGGTTATTTAAAAATGGTTATTCATTCCCTATCTCTGGCTGAAACAGAAGGGTATTTGTCTCATTTCTTCATCTTAAAAACTGGGTGGGATGATTAGAGGTAAAACCCAGGAAAGTGTGAGACCTCCCCTTAAAGACTGTGTTTCCAGATGTTTTTAACTTTTGATCTAGCCCATGTTCAGTCTCCATTAATCTGACAATTACTGTTTAATTGTTCAATGGCTTCTGCTCTGGGTAAGTTTATCCCGGGTTTGATATTATCCATTGTTACCCACTTCTCTAGACTTCAGAATGGTGGTTTGCTCTGTGACATTAATTCTCTGTAGAATCTAAAGAAAATTATTCATGTTCAGTTTGTTAAGTTTTTCTTTTCTTATAAAGATGGGAATGGTGGCTTCCAAACTGTGAATGTTGCTGCTGAAACTGGCAATCTTCCTTTTTTGAATATAGCTAATGCCTTTTTCTGTATCCACATGCTATCTTTTTTCTTGGATTCATTTTATGTTTGGTAGACATGCCCCTTCAAATTATTAGAGATATTTGAATAAGCCTTGTGGCTAAGTTTATATTAAAAAATAGAAAACATCTCAAATCATACTTTAAGTCTTAGAAAAGTACATCACAGTCTGGCAAATATTGTGCTAAAAGAAAACAATATATTGGTTTAATCTAGGAGCATTAGTGAAAACCATATATAAACACAATAAAAAAAAGAATGCTAAACAAAGAATAAAATGCCTTACAAAAACAGGATTTGTCCCAGAAATGCAAATTTGAGAACATATTTAGAATTTAATACATGCTATGTTACTAAACAAAAGGAAGAAAGACATCTAACATTTTCTTTTAAAAAGGAGTACTTTATAAAATTTAGCATTTATTACTGATTTGACTAAATACAGAATAAAACTGTTTGTAATTAAAACTATTCATGCAAAACCAATAGAATATATCAATTTCAATGAAAAACATTAATCTAAAAGTGGTGAGCATAGCTCCTATTATTATTTTTATACAATATTATTATGGCATGTTTATCAACTGCAAAACTGAAGAATAATAAATAGTATGCATAATAAAAGAACATAAAAGTATTTTCAAATTAGCTACATTAACTCCATGAGAATAATTGAAGAGTACATTAATGTTGATCAGAATATAGTAAGCTATCTGTTTTGAAAAGCCATTTAAAAAAGTAATATCTTGGCTGGGCTCGGTGGCTCACACCTGTAATCCCAGTACTTTGGGAGGCTGGGGTGGGTGGATCACCTGAAGTCGGGAGTTCGAGACCAGCATGACCAACATGGAGAAACTTTGTCTCAACTAAAAATACAAAATCAACCAAGCATGGTGGTGCATGCCTATAATCCCAGCTACTCGGGAGGCTGAGGCAGGAGAGTTGTTTGAACCCGGCAGGTGGAGGTTGTAATGAGCCAAGATTGTGCCATTGCACTCCAGCCTGGGCAACAAGAGCGAAACTCCGTCCCCCGCCACCCCAAAAAAGTAGTATCTTTTCTATAGAGCAACAGTAAAATATGAAAGTTGATGTATTAGAAAAAACTATGATTCAAATACCAAAAAGAACTTCAAAATATACAGGACTAAATCACAAAATAGTCAAAACAATATGAAGCAAAAAATAAGTAATTGTTTATAGTCATAAAATAATCCAAAACAGCAGTTTTAATATTGTAGAGATGTCATTACTTTTCAAATTTATTTATAAATTAAATGATCTTTTGGTCAAAATCTCAATAAGATTATATAGAGGAAAATTTGGCAAATTCAATTTCAAGTTAATTTCTAAAAAAGAAATTCATGTATAAGAATAGCAAAGAATATTAAAAAAGAATGTATGACATGACCAATGAAGTAATAAAAACCCATACAGTAGCTGAGAGTGAAATAGCTTAGATCCACAGACATGGAGCTCAGTAAAAGAGAAAAATAGAATGATTCTATTTATCCAGCTAACTAGCTAGTTAGCTGTCTATCAGAATAATCTTATAAAACACAAACTAACTTTTCAACCCATGAGGAAAGAATAACTATTCAATATGTAGTAAATGAATAATTGTTTATCCAAGCAAAAATGTGCATGTACACACACACACACACACACACACACACACACACACATCTGATTTCCTTCTATATGCTATCAAAACTTATGCAGATGAAATAAAGTTTGAAAGTTAAAACATAAAACCATATAGATTTCAAGTTATAGGAAAATTTTGGGAGACATTATAAGCTGTCTCTTTGGATGTTAAATGCTCTCTTAAAGTTAACAAAAAAATTTGAGAAAAAATCATAATATTTCATTAAACATAATTATATACCTACTGAGATTATTATTGATATTTGCCTTGCAGTACTATTGTGAAAAGATTATTTAATGTAAATAAAGTTCAATATAGAATCTAAAAAATATTTTAAAAATATTTATTACTTCTCCTTCACACATCACTTCTGCTTTTTTGTGATATACCCAGGAAGTAATTTTTCCCAAATAATGTAACCCTTGCTACAGCAACGGAAGCCAAACAAACAAAACCTATGATGGCTACTGGCTTGGCAAGATCCCTGCACCAAAAACACAACAAGACTTCCTCTTATATTATCAACTTCCACTTATTTTTAATCTCCAAAACTTATGTTTATTACTTAATATTTGCCTTGAAACATTCCTGCACAAAATTCGTTCTGTTATATTTCTATAGATGGTATACAGATCTTTAATGTTCATTTGAACACAAAAACTAAGTTCTCCATTTTCTGAGGTCCATTTTCATTTGTATTTATATGGCTGATTTTCCTTACTGAGTTTCTTTTCTTTTCTTCCCCTCCCCCACAAAAACTCATGGGCATAGCACTTCCGGTATACCTTGAGGTTTGACCATTTGTTTGTCCCCAAAACACCTCGGCTGGCTGTTTACACACTGTCCTTTCTATTGCATGAGTACTGTTGACATTGCTCCCTAGTCCTCTAGCATGGAACACTGATCTGAACATTTCTTAACTCAACCTCATGTTTCTTCTTATGGTTGGTTTGCTTTTGTTGTCCAGATGGCTAAAAATCTCCCTTTTTTACCTTTAAGCTAAACGATCTTACAAAGGTACATCTCACTAGCCATTGCATAGATGAATCATTCCTGGACTTGGTGTTCCTTCTCAATGTGCAGATTCCGTTCCTTCTGAATTTCAGGAAGAACCTTCTGAAATGAGGGAGCAATGAGACAGATTACTAGTGGAGACTGAAGCCAGGAGGCCTGACTTTGACATATGGCACCATCATCTACTAGTTGTGTGTTTTTTAGACATTAAATAAAGTCCTATGTTCTTCAAGTCCTTCGTGTGCAAAATGGAAATTGACATTACAATAGTATCTGTTAGGTTATTGGGAGGATCGAATAAATGAATACATATAAAATGATCAACACAGTGAGTCTGAAAAATAAAGAGTTGTAGAATACTCTTTATTTGTTGAGTTTTTTCAAAGATGTCCATGCAATTCTTTCCATCCTGCATGCCTGTTTACAATGCAACTTTGCCACTCCTTCTATCAAGAGGTGGTGTCTATTTCTTTTCTTCTTCAATATGGTCTAAACTTTGTGCTTAGCTTTGAGCAAATTAATAAAGTTGTGTTAAGAAAAACTGAAACTGAACTATTTCACTGTTAGCAGTCTGAATTAGAATTACCGTGAGTTGTTTAAAAATACTGTGACGAGTTCGGCTGGGAGCGGTGGCTCACGCCTGTAATCCCAGCACTTTGGGAGGCCGAGGTGGGCAGATCACGAGGTCAGGAGATCGAGACCATCCTGGCTAACATGGTGAAACCCCGTCTCTACTGAAAATAAAAAAAATTAGCTGGGCATGGTGGCGGGTGCCTGTAGTCCCAGCTACTCGGGAGGCTGAGGCAGGAGAATGGTGTGAACCCGAGAGAGGAGCTTGCAGTGAGCGAGATCACGCCACTGCACTCCAGCCTGAGCGACAGAGCGAGACTCCATCAAAAAGGAAAAAAAAAAAAATACTGTGACAAGTTCTTTCCAAGGGACAATAATCCCATATTGAAACTGAAAATGCAGGAAGGAATGAAAGGCAGTAGAAAAGATAAGATAAAGATAAAGATAAATAAATATTGTTTTATGAAGCGATTTTAGAAATGTCTTATGGAGATTAAAATATATGTAAAATTAAAGTGCGTGACAACAGTAAGACAAAAGTCAGGAAAGATTAAAATAAAATTTTAAGGTATTAGTAGTGTGGGAGAGGTGTTAAAAGTAATTGCATATTAGACTATATTAAAGAAAGAATTTATGATTTAATAGTGTATCCAAAGATTTTCATATGATTGTAACTAATGAATTTATACAGGGAGCAACGAAATACTAAACCATTTAGTTCAAAGTAAGTCAAGTAAAGAGACCTACAGAACCTTAGTCAAAGTATAGGGAAAGAGTAAATTATTGAAATAATCTCAGGTTTACTGGTAATTCTATGAAATGTAAATGTACAAAATTTTAATTTCTTTATAATTATTGTGTGATATATGCTATAGAATTGTTAAATGTTTGGACATTCTTTTATGATTAATATTTAAATGGTCTATATGTTTTTCCTATTAAAACAAATATGTAAATTTTTTAAAAAAGAAAATATGGCAGAAGTTAATACTAGACCTCAGCTTTAAGCATGTTTTCACTCTGTTTAAATCTAATCACCAAATTATTTAATTATAAGAAATCATGTGAAGAGAGAGGTCACAAAGAAGCCATCAAGAACAAACACATGTAAATTACAACACTTTGGATCCTTCATTCCCCTTTGAACTTTCGCATCTGATACTATGCAACAGAGAGCTCATAATCAGTGAGTCCTGCCTGAACAACTGTCCTGCAGAAACCAAATGATCCTAGTTTTAAGTCCTTTGAGGGGCGTTTGCAATGCAGGAAGAGAATTGAAACTATTTTAGTCATATTTATCTTAATCTTTATATTTTACCCTTTAGCTTCGGGTTTATTAGCTTCTATTTCTTGCACTTCTAATTTTATGCATTACTTCTTTTACTTATCACTTATTTTCTTACATCTGCAATATACCTTTTTCATGTGATTTTGTATTAATGGACATTATATCATAGCATCTAAAAGCACATACTCTGGGGCTACAGTGCTTACACTTAAATTCCAACTCCAACACTTACTTATTGCAAGGCTTTGTGTATCATGCTAAAGCTCTTTGTGACTCAGTTTTCTAATCTGTAAGATGGGAATGAAACCTACCTTATAGGGATGCTGTGAAGATAAAGTATAATAAGTGAATATATCTAAGCTGCCAAAAAAAAAAAAAAACCACACACAACAATCATTGTATTAACTATGATGTCATCTCATCTCATTTTATCATTTTACAGAAAATACCTTTTATTCAAGTTGAAAATGCCTACTACTGAAGTTTCACCTCAGCGTAAAACACTCAGAAGAACGTTTTCTAACTCTTTAGGCTTTACTTTATTGTAGGCTGAAGGCTTCATGGTTTTGGCACCCTCTTCTGTTATCGCTGCCCTACCCCTTAGCCATATCATATTGATCTTGTTTCTGTGATCCTTTATTTCTTCTTACCTAACATGGATAGCTTTGTCCAGATTTTGTATCTCTTCTGATATAAATCAGATTAATTTTATTTATTACTTTTATAATTTACATGGCCCTTGCCTTCTCTGGGTTGTAATTTAATACTTGAGAATTGCAATCTCTTCTGTAGTATGTGGGACAAATAAGGGATTAAGGAAAGTTAAAAACTCAGCTGGCACCTTGGGCATTGTTAGTGGGAATACCATATCTCTGTCATCTTTTCTGATCAATTAGATAACCTCTAACATTTGCTTTGGCTGACTATAACTCTGCCCTTGGTACAGAAAACCCACTCTGCCTGACATCATCACCACCAAAGCTGAGACTGACTTGGAGCTTAGGTCTTCATCTGAGACATTCGGATTCTTTTATTGACATCTATCTTCATGCTTATCTCCCCATCAGTAGTTCAAACTATACCCCCATGCTCTATATAATAGAAAGGAAGGGAATAATATTTTTCTCTCTTGAGATTTAAGGATATTAGAATTCACAGGATTTTGCAACTCATCAAAACAGATGCAGAATATAATGTCATGACTAAATATAACACATTGTTGCCCTGAAATTATCTTTATTTCCTTAGTTAACTTTTTTGAAATGTCTGACATAAGGTAATATCTTACTTCCAGCTTTGTTGCTTCTCTTTCTTGTGTTTGTTTATTGGTTGTGTGTAGGTTTGTTTGTAATGGTAGGCGTGAGGTTATCTCACTCCTCTCATCTCATTACACATTTTTGAAGAAAGAAGAGTAGAGGCCCTAATTTTGTACACTATTTGTTCTTAGAAATTACGACTCCCTTTTGAATGCAATAAACTCAGGCAAAATTCTGAAATGACCTCAAACAAAACAGGTTGCCGCTTGTAACAAAAAAAATTTTTTTTCATATAGACAACTTTGCCTTTGGGTAATTGCTTTGAAATAATTAGAAAATAAATTGTACAAAAGTCTATAATACTTTTCTAAGTAAATCTATTACATTGACCATAAATTCATTCTTACGTACTTATGTTTGACCTGAATCATCTCAACTACTATTCACTTTAGCCCCCAAAAACACTCTGCTTGACACATTATAGTATCAATATTTTCCTAACATCTACACCATATTTGAGAATATCACAGTCATATCCCTTGGCATTGGGACCACAATATCTATCATCACATTCATCTTTTGTCAGTTGGGAACCTGACATTTATATATCAGAAGATCCTTGGGGGTAAGCACTTCATTATTTCTGAAGCCTTTTTCTCATGATAATTCAAAAGCATAAACTTTATTAGCTAAAAAGAGGAGAAAATGAGATAATTACTATACTTATATTTGTATAAAGATTTATCATTATATTTGTTTGTAATGTAACTCCTTTAAGAGTTTAATTAATCCCACTTAGTGTTTAAGTATCCTATATATCTGCCAACAGGAGTTCAATTTCTAGTTGCTGTTTATTAGCAAGATAATTGGGTTTATTACTTAAGCATGGTAGCTTCCTGGCACTCAGCCCAGATAGGATATTTTATATGTATCATATCCAGGAAAAAAAATACATTTCCTCAAAAGCAGATGTTTAAACAATATTAAAAGCTTAGAATTTTTCAAACTACCATAATACACCATATTGGGGTTAAAACAACATAGCAGAATCAAATAAACTGGAACATTTTCTCCTAGACTATTAAGTTTATAATTATTACTTTCTCAAAGAGTTTTTTTTTTTTTTCCGGAGTTTTCACTCGTTGCCCAGGCTGGAGCGCAATGGCACGATCACGGTTCACCGCAACCTCCACCTCCCAGGTTCAAGCAATTCTCCTGCCTCAGCCTCCCAAGTAGCTAGGAATACAGGCATGCACCACCATGCCTGGGTAATTTTGTATTTTTGGTTGAGACGGGGTTTCTCCACGTTGGTCAAGCTGGTCTCAAACTCCCGACCTCAGGTGATCTGCCTGCCTCGGCCTCCCAAAGTGCTGGGATTACAGGCGTGAGCCACCATGCCTGGCCTCTCAAAGAGTTTTTGAGTTTTATTTAGATACACAGACACAAAAATATTTCTAAAGGTATTTTACATTTCAAGTTTAGTTGATTAAACTATTTTTTGCCTGCTTATAATTTTTCCCCGAAAAATAACAACCTTGGTAAAAGTTTTCTTGCTAATGACTTGCCAAGTTTCCAGTTTCTAATATAAATTCATTTTGAGATACATAGGCTATCCGAATACCAAAATGAAAGAAAGAAAAAAATGCTACTAAATTTTGGGAAGGAATTATGTCAAAATTTAACTCTAAGAATTAAAATGGAGGTCTGATAGATTCGCTGTATAATTTCTTTTTTGCTACCTTTATTTCAGCAACTTGAGGACAAGTTGGGTTTTGAGATAATTTCAAGGTAAAATTTTTGCTAAAAAAATTTCAAAGTTATAGTAGGTGAGCAAGAGACTTGAATATATATTACTGTGGTCTATGAAAATCAGGACAAGCATATTAATTCCAGGTAATCAAGGGAAAAAGAACTTCATAGAGGTTGGGCTGGGCCTAGATTTATTTGGCAAAGAAAAGGGTCACTCTCCACAGAGATATAATCCCTAGGATCTATCAAAGACAAAATATTCACTTTCCTAACCCCAGTAATCACCTCCTATTAAAACATCAGCTTTCTAGAAAATGGGAAAATATTATTCATTATGATATCCCCAGCATTGAGCAAAATATCAGTCCTGGAAGAGACTTACCCAGTGATTGCTGGATGGAGAGATGAACAAAAGGTGGAGGGGTTGATAAGCAGCAGTGTTGCATTAAGTAATTTTATATTGTGTGTTATCTGACTTACTATAGAATTCTGATCATCAAAACGCATGTCATTTTTGCCATGTAAAATGAAATATATACTCTGAATTATTTAAGCTACAAACTCTCACAGCAAAAGAATAATTTTTAAAAAGGCATATTTTAAGTCCTATGAGGTCTCAAATCACAATAGTATGCATTCTCAAAAGCATCTGGCAATGTTTTAATTTTTATTTTTTAACACCTCATTTTAGAAACCATTTTACTGTTGATGAGATGGAAATACAGCTTAGGAAAAAAGCTATTTATTTGGTCCTTTAAAATCCACTTGCCCTTAAAGTGTGATGATTCTTGCGGCTATTGTGTTACATTTATATGTACCAAGAAACAGGCTTCAAGAGGAAAAGAAAATCTATTTCTCCGTTCTCTCCTCTTATCTTCTTTTTCTTAGTTACCTCAGAAGCACACGAGATAAATATAACATGGGAGGTTAGAAAAAAAGTCTCTCTAGGCCTTCGAAAACACTTCATCAAAATGAAATAGAATTTCTCTTATCCAGTATGAATTTCTTCTCTTCTTTGGCTTCAATTTTATTTTTGTGTGTCCTCATTTCTGCCTGCTTTTTCCAAACTACCCAAAATATCAGTAAGAGTCTGTATGACACCTATAGTTTAAAAATTCAAATGGTAAATTTTTCTCAAAGCACTTTTTTAGGCTTTATGTCTCTAGATTTCTGTCATATATACATAGATGTACAACACATATGGCAATCTTTGATTATATGTAACAATATGTTACTGTAAGCTGCATAGACTTGCAGAAAACAGATAGGTTGAATATCAAAGAAGGAAATAGAATTAAGAGGCTCGGGGTAGATTGTGAAGGATGAATATGCATCAGGATTAAACTTTTCTATAAAAATGAGACGTTTGAACACCAGAACTAAATCTGAAGTTGGCTGGATATATGGATGGCATAAAATGGTTTTTTTTTTTTTTTTGAAACGGAGTCTCACTCTTTCGCCCAGGCCTGACTGCAGTGGCGCGATCTCGGCTCACTGCAAGCTCCGCCTCCGGGGTTCACACCGTTCTCCTGCCTCAGCCTCCCGAGTAGCTGGGACTACAGGCGCCCGCCACCGCACCCGGCTAATTTTTTGTATTTTTAGTAGAGACGGGATTTCACCGGTTAGCCAGGATGGTCTCGATCTCCTGACCTCATGATCCGCGTGCCTTGGCCTCCCAGAGTGCTGGGATTACAGGCGTGAGCCACTGTGCCCGGCCGTAAAATGTTAATAAACACCTGTTCTTACATGCTTCTGTGCTCTAGGTTTGGTTGGTCCCTTACTGGCTTCCATAATCTTGTTTATTTACGGGACACCCATATGAAATGCCATTACTGGAAGAAGTCTTGGGACCATGTGGTTGCTCACTCTGTGCTGCCAGATATACCACTGGTGATTTACATTTGCTGAATTGTTTCCCTTGTCACCTGTGGCCAATCCATTGTTAAGTCCTCTTCTCAAGGGGAAAAGACCTCAGCATAACAAGGTATCAGGCTTAACAACCTCTGATAGATAATCTTATACAGGGGCTAGTCCTGGCTATTTGGAGTAACCAAAAAGAATGGAAGTAGTTCAACAAGAAATCATTGAATTTAAATGTACCGGGCTCTGATACCACTCACTGGGATTGTGGCTAAGTCTCTGTGCTTCTCTTTGCTTATCTGATTGTTACAAAAATTAAATAAGAAAATATACAAAAGTGAATGTAATAAGAACTCAAAAATTTAGTAATGGTTTTCAGCATCAATGAGGAGTAGTGTTTATGATGCTTACATTATGAAGTCTAAATAGCTACTCTCAAAGTTTCTAATAGATCAGGAACAAAGAAGCAATTCAAGGCCAGAGAATCCCTCCCTCCCTCCCTCCCTTCCTCCCTTCCTTCCTTCCTTCTTTCCTTCCTTCCTTCCTTCTTTCTTTTCTTTCTTAATTTTTTTGAGACACAGTCTCCCTCCGTTGCCCAGGCTGGAGTGCAGTGGTGTGATCTCAGCTCATTGTAACCTCCGCCCAACCCTGGGTTCAAGCAATTCTCCTGCCTTAGCCCCCTGATTAGCTGGGATTACAGGTGCATACCACTGCACCTAGCTAATTTTTGTATTTTTAGTAGAGACGGGGTTTCACCATGTTGGCCAGGCTGGTCTCGAACTCCTGACCTCAGAGGATCTGCCCGCCTTGGCCTCCCAAAGTTCTGGGATTACAGGTGTGAGCCACCGTGCCGGGCCAGATAAACCTTTTCACTGAAAGAGAAAATTTACCATGTGAAATAGAGAATGGACTCTGTGCTCCAACATTTAAATATAGTCATTTGTTACCTCGTTTTATTCCCCCAAATTCCAGTTCTGAAAGCCTGTCAGCTAGAGAATGATCTTCCCAGAAACCTGATAATGAGAAGCAATGGCCAAAATGAGTATGGAAAATACAGCTGGTCTAGCACAGAAAGTCATTTTTCCCAGTTGTGTTTAGATATTTCAATAAATGGCCTGTAACATCATTGTGATTTTTATAACAAATAACATATGGCAACATAATCCACCAGTGGTATCCTGTCACAGAATAACTTATATGTACCATAACACCAGTTTGTAGGGGAAATAAAGTTGTCAAGTGGTATATGGAGCGAATTCTTTACATTATACTGTAACCATCTTCCTTGCATTATAACTGTTATTTTCATAAATGTGATCAATTGCAATAATAAACTTGGGGGACAACTGTAGTGCCTCCTGACAAACTTTCATTTTTCCTTTTTCTTGGTTGCCATTCCATATTATTTCTGCACTGATCTGGTGTTTAGCTTGTTGACATTCTATACTGTATTTGGTAAAAAATAAGACACTTAAGCTTCTAAATGTTAGAAAATGAGGCTACATCAGACTGCTTAAAATCTAAAGAGCTAGTTTTAATGTAAGAATGGCTTACTGTAGCTGAGACGATATTCTAGGCTCTTTATTTAAGCCCTGAAGGTTCAGGGCCAGGCAGTATTGCTGCTCTTTAACTTGCATTTCTTCCTCTAGCAGCAAAAGTACTGGAGAATCACCACCTGGTTTTTCACCCAGTTGACATAAAGAATCTTTACTGAGGGTAGACATGGGTGGGATAGAGAGAAATAGAGTTCTGTATGCTAAAATGACAACTCCTTAATGATCCAAATAGACCCTAAAGATTGTAAGAAGCAAGAGTTTACAAACAAAAATACATGTTCTAGGACAAAGTATAGCTGACATAACAAATGAAGTTAATATTCTATATTTCCATTGATAGGTGGGGAATGGATCAAAATTAAGAATATCATTGAAAAGTCACAATGATTTTCATGATTATAAATTCTTCATTGAATTAGTTTTGGCCAAAACAAATTGCCAATTACTTTTAGCAGCATCTGGTTATAATATGTGTACTATAATCCAAAAGTCAATAAAATTATTTAACAGCCACGTTAACTCAAGAAAAATGAAGGAATATGGCAAAGTGGGTGATCGTGTTGCTTAAACATTGTCATATTTAAACATGAGTTCACAGTATACTACAATATGGTAAATCAGCATAAGCACACATCACTAGCGTATCTGCCCATACAATGTAAATATAATGCCATGCTTTATTCCTGTTCCATAATTCTCATGCTCCTCATTGTGGAGGTGAGTTGATCCCTTAACAGTAAATCAGTTTTAACTTAGGCTCTGGGATGCATGGTGTCCTTAGCCATACATAACCTAAGGATTCTAAGGACAACACTTTAGGGACTCATCCTCAAGTCAAATTTGTTCCAGTTTTATGTCCAATATTGAAAACAACTTGTACGTTCTATTTCTATGAACTTGTCACCACCTCACACTGTAGTTTTATTGTTTTTAAAGCTGTGAAATATTTTGAGTAGGAGTCTAATACTCCTTTAATGCTTTAGAAAGATGTCCATAAAGGAATATGTAAAATAAATTGATAGTGAGAAAACAGAGGCAGAGAGACCATTGGAAAGGACTTACACAAAAATGTAGGGTATAAATCAGGATCAATGTTGCAAGGTAGAGAGATAGGGGAGGTTGGTCAGAGAGATGCTGGATTTGAAATATGATGGATATAAATTGAGCTATTGTTCAGAAGGGAGTAAGAGAGATATTTCTAATGTGCTAATAATAAATGCATGGCAACACCTTTGCTGGAAAGGGGAATACAAGAGAAAACAAACTTTTATGCCAAGGTTAATATTTTCTGATTCAGTCATCTTCAACGTTAGGGATTTAGACACATACATTTAGAAATATTTCTCAAGGAAGTAAATATGAGGGTCTACATGTGGAGATGCAGATCAATAAAGGGGAATGAAAGGAAGCCACTTAATTAGACATTAGGAAACAATGGTCATTCTAAAAGAGTAGTTGGGTCAAACCCAAATTGGAAAAGGTTAAGAAAGAAATGAAATGTAAGACAGGAGAAGGAGCCAGTCCTTTGACAATTTAGCAAGAAATGCACAAGTATTCACACACACCTAGAACTAGTATTTTTAGGTTTTATTTAAAGGGAATGAAGAATAAATTTCTTGAGTTATTATGATCATGAATTGATTCACTATCATCCACAACACTTTCATTTAACGACTATGCTCCAGTCGTGATTCTAGATGTTGTAGATTTGAAGTTGAATATGAAGATGTTCCAATACAGATATCACCATCTTCTGCAAAATGACAGTCAAGCTGAGATATTTTCCCACATAATTGAGAGAGAATAAGTATCAATTAAAGATGGGATTTTGTTTGGCTAAATTGCTCACATTGGTTTCTATATTTATCAAGTTCTTTGCATAATTATTTTACCTTTGATATGGTTTGGCTATGTCCCCACCCAAATCTCATCTTGAATTGTAGCTCCCATAATTCCCACATGTCATGGAAGGGACCCGGTGGGAGGTAATTGAATCATGGGCTCAGGTCTGTCCTGTGCTATTCTTGTGATAGTGAATATGTCTTATAAAATCCAATGGTTTTATAAAGGGGAGTTCCCCTGCACACACGCTGTCTCTTGTGTGCCACCATGTAAGACGTGACTTTCCTACTCCTTGCTTTCTGCCATGATTTTGAGGCCTTCCCAACCATGTGAAACTGTGAGTCAATTAAACCTTTTCCTTTACAAATTACCCAGTCTCAGGTATGTCTTTATTAGCAGCATGAGAACAAATACAACACCGAACTTTACTTTGCTTGTGATAGATACAGTCCATAACTTGGTAGCAGGGCCTGCAGCCAAAGCTTTGAAGAGAATGGTGCTGACTGATAAAAAGTGCTAACATATGTGAAAGTGCCTTGTAAACTGTAACATACTAAATAAACAGAATTGCTATCTTTCTCTTAGAAAAGAATTTATTCATCCAAACAAGACTACCACTAAAAACATAATTTTATCTCATTTGGCTTCACGAATCATGCTGCTATAAAATAAAATTTTTCATAGCTTTCTTGGCGGACATGTAACATGAACCTGTAAAATCATACCTCACCTACTATGTTTAATTTTATGTGTCAGCTTCTCTGAGCCATGGGGTGCACAAATATTTGGTCAAACATTATTCTGGGTGTTTCTGTGAGGGCATTCGTAGATGAGGGTAACATTTAAATTGGTCACCAAGTAAATCAGGTTGCCGTCCATAAAGTGGGTGGGCCTCATCCAATCAGTTGAAGGCCTAAATAGAACAAATGACCAGGCTCCCCTGCGCAAAAAAGAATTCTCTAGCAGATAGCCTACAGATTCAAACTGCGGCATTTGCCATCCTAGGCCTCGAGCCTGACAGTCTTCACATTAGAGCTGCAGTATTGCCTCTCCTGGGTCTCTAGCCTTCCAGCCTACTTTGCAGATTTTTAATTTGCTAGCTTTCAGAATCCTTCTAAAGCAATTCCTTGTAATAAATCTCTTTATATATGCGTATATATATACACACACACACATGTACACACACACACACACACACACACACTTATTATATTGGTTCTGTTTCTTTGAAGAAGCCTGACTGATGATAGCAACTCATCCTAACTAAAGTATAGACACATGCCAAAGTAATAAAAATAATAATTTGTAAAAATTCAGTGTGAAAGTTAATGAATATTATTCCAGAGGAAATTTTTTAAAAGAAGCTATTAAAACACATACAATAACAGCACTAAGACGAGAAGTCTATTTTTCAACTGATGTTTTAAAAACCCATTTGGGGTCCAACTAAGCCAAACCTAGTTTTTTTTTGTTTTTGTTTTTGTTTTTAGTTTTTAGAGTTTTCCAAAGGCAATTTATTTTAAATTTTATACCCAGTAGCAGTTTAAACTTTGGTGACATCTGAAAAATGGCTTATAGAATTAAATAAAATAGGTTCAATGCACAAATATAAAAGGAAGCATTGGTATTTTATTCTTGTCTCAACACCTATTTCCTTTCTGGCCACTGGACTTAAGTTTTCTTCCCAAGCTATGTCCACAGAAAATGTACCATTTTTGCTTCTTGAAAAATGTCAAAAATATGCCAAATATAAATGGATGCAAAATAAAAAATCATTTTATTTGAAATAATTGTTGTGTACACCATAAAACACTAAGTTATTGTTCAAATAGATAATTAGTATGATTCATTAATGTGATTCTTGATATTTGCTTTATTTCATTTTCTTTTTCATAGGGATAAAACTATGAATGGCAAGTTACAG
Source organism: Homo sapiens (assembly GCF_000001405.40). Classification (NCBI taxonomy): domain Eukaryota; kingdom Metazoa; phylum Chordata; class Mammalia; order Primates; family Hominidae; genus Homo; species Homo sapiens. Next base: position 6,559,405 of record NC_000003.12, on the reverse strand, counting down.
CTTAGAAGAACTTTCATATATTTATTTCATTTCTTTGGCATAAATAAATTCCAAATAGGAATTTATTTTCCCAGTCACCAAATACAGTCATGCCTTGCTTAACAATGGGGATATGTTCTAGGAAATGAATTTTTAGGCAATTTTATCATTGTGTGAACATGATAGAAGGTGCTCATACAAACCTAGAGTACATAGCCTACTCCACCTCTGCTGTATGGTACAGCCTGTTGTTCCTAGGCTACAAACTGGTACAGCATGTGACTGTACTGAGTACTTTAGAAAACTGGAACACAGTGGTAAGTACTTGCATATGTAAATATACCTACACATAGAAAAAGTACCGTAAAGATACGATATGAAAGATTGAAAAATGGTATGCATGTATAGGACACTTATCATGAATGAAGCTTGCAGGACTGGAATTTGCTCTGGGTGAGTCAGTGAGTGAGTGGTGAGTGAATATGAAGGCCTGTGACATTACTGTGTACCACTGTAGACTTTATAAATACTGTACCCTTAGTCTACACTAAGTTTATTAAAAATATATTTTTCTTTCCTTAACAATAAATTTTAGCTTACTGTAACTTTTTGCTTTATACACTTTTTAAAACTTTTTGATACTTTTGTAATGACAGTTTAAAACATAAACACATACGGCTGTACACAAATATTTTTTCTTTCTTTATATTCTTCTTTATATTCTTTTTTTTAATTCCTTTTTTTTTTTTTTTTTTTTTGAGGCAGAGTTTCACTCTTGTTGCCCAGGCTGGAGTGCAATGGCACAGTCTTGGCTCAGTGCAACCTCCACTTCCCGGGTTCAAGTGATTCTCCTACCTCAGCCTCCCGAGTAGCTGGGATTACAGGCATGCGCCACCACACCCAGCTAATTTTTGTATTTTTAGTAGAGATGGGGTTTCATCATGTTGGCCAGGATGGGCTCAATCTCTTGACCTTGTGACCCACCCGCCTCAGCCTCCCAAAGTGCTGGGATTACAGGCATAAGCCACCACACCTGGCCTATATTCTTATTCTATAAGCTTTTTTCTGTTAATTACTTTTTACTTTTTAAACTTTTTTTGTGGAAAACAGAGACACAAACAGACATATTACCCTAGGCCTACACAGGGTCAGCATCATCTATATCACTGTCTTCCACCACCATATCTTGTCACACTGAAAATTCTTTAGCGGGATTAGCATGCATGGAGCTGTCATCTCCTATAATAATAATACGTTCTTCTGGAATACCACCTGAGGGACCTGCCCGAAACTGTCTTATAGTACACTTTTTTTTTTTTAACGAGTGGAAGAACACTCTAAAATAATGACAGAAAGTATAGTATAGTAAATACATAAACCAGTAACATAGTCATTTAGTTTATCATCATTGAGTATTATGTACTGTACATGATTGTATGGGCTACAGTTTTATACAACTGAAAGCACAGTGGGTTTGTTTATGCCAGCATCACTGCAAACACAAGAGCAATATGTTGCACTATGACATGAGGACATGAGGTGGTAAGAAATTTTCAGCTCCTTTATAGCCTTATGAAACCACCATTGTATATGTGGTCTGTTGTTGAGTAAAACATCATTATGTGGTGCATAGCTGTAGTTATGTGGACATCATGATTCAGATATTCAATGCCAAGTGTCAAATATCATCCTTTTTTGCTCACTATTGGCATTCTGGCCTCAACCCAAATTAGTTGAGCTCCTGCTTCGTGCAAGGTATCATGATGAGGTTGAAGAGTATGAAGAAGCATCATTGTTCATAGCTTCCAGGATATATAACAAAGTGAGGAAAGTAATCCCTCTGTGAAGATAAAATAATTAACAATTTAAAAAATGAAGAACATAATGTTTTAATAACACCTCTCAACCCATTTTCTTTCACCAGTGATGTGATTTTATTCCTTGAAGTTCTGATATCATATTTATCCCATGAATAGGAAGGAAAATATCACCTAGGAAGATGTCAGGTAGAGCCTCAGAGGGAATGATGAGAAAGAGAGACTGACAGAAGACAGAGGTAGGGAATGTTCAAAAACGAGCATTCCAGCTTTGCCTCTCAGTTTCAAACATTAGAAATGGAGGATATTAAAAACTTCAGAAAGGGTGTCAAAGATGACAGAAAAGGAGATCCCCAGGAAGTACCCCAAATTTTGCTTTAGATCTGTAGTTACTAGGACCGATTATGAATTTTGGAAGCAAGTGACAACTCAATGACCCCAGAGACACAAATATATAGACAGAAATATACATATCTACAGTTGACTCCTGAACAATGCAGGGGCTAGGGGCTCTGAACCTGTATGCAGTAGAAAATTTGTGTATAAAATTTTGACTACCCACAAACTTAACTACTAATAGCTTCCTTTTGACCAGAAGCCTTACCGATAACATAAACCATTGATTAATACACATTATGTATGCTGTATATATTACATATTGTATTCTTACAATAATGTTAGCTATAGAAAAGGAAATATTATTTTAAAAATCATGAAGAGAAAATTATTTACTATGCATTGAGTGGAAGTGTATCATCATAAAGATCGTCATCCTCATCTTCCTCACATTGAGGAGCTGAGAAGGGGAAGGAAGAGGAAGAGCTGTTTTTGCTGTCTCAGGGTGACAAAAGTGGAAGAGGTAGAGGAGATAGAAAGGGAGGCAGGAGAGCCAGGCACACTTAGTGTAACTTGTATTGAAAAAAATCCACATGCAAGTGTTCTTACATGGTTCAAACCTGTGTTGTTCAAGGGTCAACTGTATATACATATATAAAAATACAGGAGTATTATAAATAAGTGTATCATAGGTGATTATTAAAAATGACTATTATGCATTGGTGCTTCCCAGATGATAACCAGTGACTAGAGCTGGTTTATGATAAAGTTCTCACTGGTCTATAGCAGAATGACAAAAATAAGAACAATGTAGTTAGGTTTTCATAAAGTTCAATTTATTTCATGCTTTCCATGATAATTATGATGCTGTAATGCAGGTTATAAAATGATGGCATTATTAGATGATTTGTTCATCAGAAATTATGTTTAAAAGAATGTTAGCAACATTAAGTGACCTTCATATTTTTATTTGTGTGTGAGAGGGGTCTGCTTTTGGCAAACTGTGTTTGTCTATTAAATCACAAGCTCAGGGAACCAGTGATTTTATATAACTGTTTTCCTGGGCTGAATAACATTCTCCCCACCATGCTAAAGTGTATGTGTTCGAAGCTCCAATACCCAGTGTCTTAGCATGTAGCTGTATTTGGAGGTAAGTCCTTTAAAGAGGTAATGAGCTTAAAATGAGGCCATTAGTGTGGGCCCTAATCCAACATCACTGGGTCCTTATAAGAAGAGATTAGGACATAGAGAGAGACACCTGGGGTACATATGCACAGAGGGACTACCTTGTGAAGAAGCAGCAAGAGGGACGCCATCTGCAAGCCAAGGAAAGAAACCTAGAAGGAAACCAACTCTGCCGGCTCTTTGATCTTGGATGTCTCACTTCCAGAACTGTGAGAATATAAATTTATGATGTTGAAGCCACCAGTCTGTGGTATTTTGTTACGGCAACCCATGAAAACTAATACAAGTGTTATTAGGAGTAAGGAGTTGTTTAAATCTGGAGTCAGAGGCTGCCTCAAGGAACAGGTAGGAGGTGAGATAGACCGAATTTATGTGGAAACTAGGAGGAGGACATTCTAGGAGAGAAGAATGCTGGTAAAAAACATGCAAGAGCTACTCCATGTAGCATCTTAAAATAGGGAAGAATAGTCTAGTTTAACTTGAATAAAGTGTGTAATGAGAGTTCAAGTTGGTGAAAAGTAGGTTCAAGTTAATTAAAAAAATTTTGAATATCATTCATCAAGAATTAAATGTTTAGATTGTGTTAGGCAGCTCCACTGTATACAAATGAGGAGGAAACAGATACTAAGAAAATAAAGGCATCGACTACAAAACATTGTTTTGAGAAGTTTAATAATTAAATGCAAAGAAACATGACAGAATGTCAAGGCATTGATAAAATGTAGAAACCATTACCAAAGAAAGAGTTCACCACTCAGAATTTGAAACCAAAAAGGCTTATTGCTGAAACAAAGGTGAACTATGGTGACCAGGAATTGTTTCATTTGGCAGAGCAAACTGATGATCTACTATGGAATCTGGTAGAAGAATTTGTTTGCAGTTGGGTTGCTAACAGATGTGAAAGTGTGGAAGAAAATGCATGTTGACTTTATCAGTGTGTTTTGTGCTGTTGCCTGATGGGCATGATCGATTGAACAAGTTGTTTGCTTGGCAGTTTACTCATCACTGCAGCTATAGAAAAATCAGTCATGCCCAAATTGTTTGTGGGCTTCCTTATTTTCAACATGAAGTAATAGCCAAGACTTCATGTCTTTCTTCTAAATGTTGTTTAGTTCAGTCATTCCTCTTCCTACCATTGTTAGATCATGCTGAGAGCTCATCTTTGCTAGATCACACTGAGAACTTATCTGCTGTTATGTGCATCCCCAGCGCTTTCATACCACGTTATTCTCTAGGTCACCCTCAGATTAATTGTGCTAAAATAAGTATTCAATTACATCGCTGTCCTTTCCTACCAACTCTAATAATTCACAACCCTCTAAAAACTAAAATTTGTCCTTCTTGCATCTATACTTTTCATGATGCAGTCCAGCTTGCAATCTAGGATTAGCTTCCTCTATTGCCCACTTCATATACTGAACTTTACTAGGGCATTTTTATCACTGTGCCCTGATATGATACATTTTAAATCCTAACTTCAAGTTTGTGTTTACCATTTCTTAAAGCAATTTACAATGGCATCCATTTTAAGAGATTTACAAGAATAAAAGCTACAGAGTATCACACAGATTTATGATGACTATGTACACACACAACACACACTCACACTCTATTAAAGTTTATCTTCAAATGCAAGGATCAGACAGTTATCAGTTACCTTAACTTGATACTGTTTTCAACAGCTAGTGCTTTAACTTAAATTATTTAGGAAATCATCTCAAATTACTATAATACTTTAAATTCTCCTTAGAGATACAGAATCCAAGTCAACAAAAACAAAGTGACCTTCTGAAATCAGAATTCAATAAAATGTAAATCATTTAAAAATAACTCAAAAAAGGCACTGATCTTCTCCCAAACTCCCCACCCCCGATTAGTGGAGTAGCTTAGGTCAGAGATGGATCATCTTATGAGATGGATCATCTTATCTCAACGGATTCATAGGAAAACAAATGCCTCTGAGTTTTTTCTCCCTTTCTTTCTTCATGCTCCATTAAGAAGCAAAAAAAAATACATTTTCATTTTTCTGCTCATTAAAGAAGAATGAGTGTGGTAGAAAATGAAATTTAGCTCATTTGGACTGTGCTCAATTTAACAAGATTGACCTTTTCTATTCATTTTGATATGGTTTTTGGTTTTAAATGGACAAACAGACTTATTTTCGGGAAATATTGTAATTATTTCTCATCTCAGAAACAGTAAATCTTATGCAGATCAACTGCAGAACTGCCACCACCTTCACAGATGTTTTATCACCTCAAAGTTACCAACATTATATTAAATCTTAATTTTAATTAAAAATATAAAACTCAGCAGACAGATATTTATATAAGTTAAGCTTAATGACAAAGACTGATTCTAGCTTAATTATGTTTTAACTGCAGGATAGTCCAGGTGATATGGCTCCAATGAGTGGAGGAACACCAGGGTTCCTGGTCCTCATGCCGGTTTAGGTAAAATGACAGGGACACACACGGAGTGGTTTTAAGGAGTGGAAAGTTTAACAGGCAAGAAGGAAGGGAGAAGGAAGAAAGAAGAAGCTCCCCTGTACAGACACAGAGGGAAGGGGGCTCCGAAGCTGAAAGATGAGGTCCCCACCTGCCAGGGACACCAGCCAGGTATACATGCAGAGGCTAGAGGAAGCAGTGTTTGATTTGCATAGGGCTCAGGGGATTGGTTTGACTAGGCATGTCATTCATGTAGCCCGCAAAAGAGCTGGCCCTCCCACCCTACTCTTTTAATCTGCAAATGTGGGGTGCCATGATGTTCTACACACATGGGGATATGTGGGGGTGGCCATGTTGCCAGGAACATGCTGGGCAAGGGCAAGAAGGCCTCCTAATAGCCATGTTGGGTGGACCCAGTTTCTAATGGCTGGTATTTGCATACCAAAGTTTGCCTGCCTGGATCTAAGAGCCTGGGCTTTACAAGAAACTTTTCTGGAGATGCTTTAAAAAACAAAAGCTTCCCAAGGACCCCTTTTCCTCTCTATCTGCCTAAAATAATTTCTTAATAACTCCTACCACACAGGTTGGTAAAAACATGTTTACCATATATATCACAGATGAGAGCTATTACCAGCTTTATCATCTGGATAGCCCTCATGAAGCAACCCAATATTCAAAATATTTTCATGAAGTGTCCACTGTACAGCATTTATTGCATAACTGATTGTGACAAAACTAAACAATAAAATAATTTTGTAAAATTAATTTATGTTTTGGTTGGAAAATAGTCACATGAAAAACGAGCAGTTGAATTAAATTAGAAAGTACAAGATAATGGAGGCAATAAATTCACGGAAAGGTTCAGAATATAGAAAGTCACAGAGTTGGACAAACCCAAAGATAAGATTCCAGAAACAAATAAGCCAGTTTCACAAAGTTGGGAAAACCCAAAGATACGATTCAAGAAACAAATAAGCCAGTTTGACAAAAGCAGAAGATGTATCAGAACAACAAAATAACTGGTTAATTATTGGGACCAGATATTAGGGGGTTTGAGGGATCACTTCATAGAATTTGAACTTTGTTCTATATAACACAAGAAATAAGCCAATGTCCTCTGTGAAGAAAACTCAAATAACTTAAGTCACATATAATTCATTAAGACTTCATTACTCAAGCTTAAAACTATTTTCTTATTCTTTCTTTCTTTTTTTTTTTTTTTTTTTTTGAGACAGGGTCTCACTCTGTCACCCAGACTGGAGTGCAGTGGCGTGATCTTGACTCACCACAACCTCCACCTCCCAGGCTCAAGCAATTCTCCTGCCTCAGACTCCTGAGTAACTGAGATTACAGGCGCATGCCACCATGCCCAGCTAATTTTTGTATTTTTAGTAGAGACGGGATTTTACCATGTTGGCCATGCTGGTCTTAAATTCCTTACCTCAAATGATCCACCTGCCTTGGACTCCCAAAGTGCTGGGATTATATGCGTGAGCCACCGCACTCAGCCCCGAACTATTTTTAAATATGGTGAGAAATTTAGAACATTCCCAGGATTCAGCTAAACCATTAGTATGCTAACTAACAGGTTTCATACCACATTTCTTATGCTTTTGTTTCACCGGCATTTAAAAGACAATGGATTCGAAAAGAAAAATAACTTATCTCAGCTTACAAATTAATATGTCCATTAATATCTTTTAAACTTCTGTCTTATTCTTTATATCCACAGTATAACAGCAGCTAGGCCTGGAAGGCAATCACCTAATCCATTCAACTAATACTTGAGTGCCAGGTATTCTCCTAGTCTGGTGATAAAACAGTGAAAAAAGGCCAAAGAAAATCGATAAAAAAACAACAATAGCAACAACAACAATACAGCAAAACAGAAACTGTTCCTGTCCTGAAGAATTTCCATCCTAGAAGATGATCATTAATCAATAATCTTAAGAGTTAATCAACTAGTGATATAAATGCATGATTGTTATGAATGCTGTGAGAAAGATAAAATCATGCAGTTCAGGAATTGACCTAATCAAGGAATCTTTTTTCGGGGGGATGAGATGCTTATGGGGAGAAATTAAAAATGAGAAATAATTAACTAGGTGCGAGGAGAGGTGAGAAATTTTCAGAGAAAGATAGCAACACGTGCACAGGTCCTGAGAAAGAAGGAGTCATGGTATCACATCACAAAACTGTCCCTATGTTTTGATGTGATTGACAAGCATCTGCACACTTTCTTCAGACTAAATCAGGTCACTTAACTATTTATGTAAATAAAGTTTTATTGAAACACAGCCACACCCTTTCATTTGCATGTTTTCCATGGCTGCTTCATCCACTAATGAGGCCACACTGGGTAGTTGTAAGAGAGACTGTGTAGCTAACAAAGACTAAAATATTTGCCATCTGGTCCATTGCCAATCTCTATTATAAGACTCTTAATCAGGTATGCAAAACATTGGCCAGTTGAGGAAAATTTCATCAAGGATCTTGTGACTAAATGGATAACTTCTTTCCAAAAGTATTATAATTTTTAGAAATAAAATCGTAAGGAGGTTCCCAAAATATAAATTAGATTAAAATCTATCCTACCTAAAGTAAAGACAGGGGTTCCAGCCCTCTCTACGTGAATATTGAACCAATCAAACAAGGCAAAACACATATTTCAGAAAACACTGCTGTAGACTATAAAATTAAGAAAGTATCCTACATTTCCAAAGCAACCATAGCCATCTATTTTTCTCTAAAACGTTTAAAATAAATTTTCTCATTAAGAAAAAAATGAATTAATAAAATAATGATCACCTATATACTCTACAAATAAATTCAATGCTTAACATTTTGCCATATTTTGATATGCCACATTAAGTATTGTGACTGTGTGTTAACAAACTTATTTTATAGAATTTATGTAAGCTGCACATATCATAATCCTTCATCCATAATTTCTTTAGGATGCCTCCCTTACAAAGGTATTCTCCCACATAATCACAATGTCACTATCATATCACAAATAAAACAGTAATTTTTTAAATAGTTAATATACAGTCAACATTCAATTTTAACCCATTTGACTTTGGACAACTATGAAAATCATTCATTGAATTAAAAATTATTTCCCTTTGGTCTATATTATCCTGTGACAGGTATCCATTTGTTTTCTCATTATATTGACTTTTGGTACAGATCAAAACAGTTATTTTGTAGAACGTCTTACATCTAGAATTGTCTCATGTTGTCTGTCTTTTAGCATTTTTATTCTTTCTTCATTTCCTGGAAGTTTGATTGTAACATATTGAATAAATACTAGCTCATGTGTCTAGAGTGACACTTTTTGGAAAAAAAGAAAAACGGGAGACAAGAAAATAAAAACAAAAACCAAAAGACAAAAACTTAAATCTCCTTGGAAGCAATGTTATATTAATTTTTACCTTGAATATTTTTAATCAAATGGAAATAAGTATTCAGTCTGCTTTTTTAGAAGAAGCTATATTTTACCCTTAGTTAATGAGGTGAAGTGCTTCTTTATAGGAAATTCAGTCAATAATATAGAAGGACAAAGAGTATTAAAAAGTCACCATTTTACAATACCCAAGAAATGATTGATTGAGCAAAGGACAACCAAAAGATACTAAAACTATTCGATGCCAGTGAAACAGGAGAGTTCCCTTTACCTCTTCATGGGACTTGTGACAGAGGTGGCTTGTTTACTCAGCTGCCAGTCTCAACCCCTTATGGGAGGGAACATGCAAGCAGATGGGTGCGGGAAAAGGAGCAAATGAACATTGGAACTGCCAGCCACTTCTCTCTGGTGGCAGTGTCAAAGTGTGTTACAATGATCTTTTAGCTTCGTCTTATGGGAGGTGGTGCCTTGTGACCCCCCCAGAGCCCCAGAAGGCATGTTACCAGCTCAGTGGGCCTTTTGTCTCATTGCATGGGTTGGTTGCCCTCTGTCAGTGAGGGCAAAGGGCGAGCGTGACAGCCTTTTTGGGTTCCCACACCTAGGGCATCCCAAATTCTTGTCAAATGCCCAAGAGGAGTGAGGTCACATGGATTCGAAGGATGGTGAATGTGGAGATTTTATTAAGAGGTGGAAGTGGCTCTCAGTGGGATGAGGAGCTGGAAAGGGGATGGAGTGGGAAGGTGATCTTTCCCTGGAGTTTGGCCAAACTCCTCTCAGACCGTCCCCAGCCAAACTCCTCTCCATGCTTCCTCTCTTCTTGATGTTCAGACACTTCTCCCTTCTGTCCTTCTCTGCCACACCACTCTCTTCTTCTGTCAGTGGAACCTGGGGGTTTTTTGGGCACAGGATAGGGCATGTGGTGGGCCAAAAGGCAACATTCCGGTGAGAAAACAGGGATATGAAGTTCTCATTTAGGGCTGTAGGTCCAGTCTTGAGGGTGGAACTCTAGCCATGGACCCCACACTTTTCTACCCAGCATTGCCCTGCCTCTTGTCCATATCATAAGGTTGTTGCAGAGCCAGTTCCTAGGCCAGGACCAAAGAAATCCCTCCATCCCCTTCCAGAGTATTTATTCATTGCAAGGGGAAAAATACAGCCTTAGACTAGAAAAAAGTCTGCTGGCACCACTTTAGCTTATGAAAATTAGCATCACTGGCTGATTTTATGGCCTCCTGATATGGTGCAATGTAAAATACGCAGAATCACCTATGGAAAATTTCTGCCAAACATTTATTTATCTGACTATTCAAAAGAAGCTCATAAAAACAACTGGACAAAAACAGTTTTGCAAGTTTTATATATACTTGAAATGATGATTAATCATTCTGATAATGAGTGTGACTATTCTTTTCACAGCTGACCTGGAAATTAACTAAGAATGTCTCATAGTCTAGAGAAAAGAACAGTGAACTATATGTAAGGAGTCTCATTTCCATGTTCAAGCCATTTTTAACTAAAAAATCCTGGTGACCTTCAGCACCGCCGTTCTTTCTCAGGCCTCCAATTCCTCCACTTGTAAAAGAAATTTTGAGTAACTTTTCTCTTACCTCATGCATTAAAGTTCTATAGACTTATATCTCAGGAAATAGTCTGGAATACACAGTTTAATGTAGTGGTTAAGAGCAGAGATTCTGGATGCCAAACCCTACCTTAGCCACTGCCATACTTCTCTACACCTCAGGCCATTAACCCATAAAATCGTGGTATCACAATCACTTTACCTGCTTCATAGTGTTATTGCAAGACTTCATTCAGATAATGCAGATAAAATGCCTAGAAAAACCTGTTTTGGTACTAGTACTATGCTGTTTTGGTTACTGTAGCCTTGTAGTATAGTTTGAAGTCAGGTAGTGTGATGCCTCCAGCTTTGTTCTTTTGGCTTAGGATTGCCTTGGCGATGTGGGCTCTTTTTTGGTTCCATATGAACTTTAAAGTAGTTTTTTCCAATTCTGTGAAGAAAGGCATTGGTAGCTTGATGGGGATGGCATTGAATCTGTAAATTACCTTGGGCAGTATGGCCATTTTCACGATATTGATTCTTCCTACCCATGAGCATGGAATGTTCTTCCATTTGTTTGTATCCTCTTTTATTTCCTTGAGCAGTGGTTTGTAGTTCTCCTTGAAGAGGTCCTTCACATCCCTTGTAAGTTGGATTCCTAGGTATTTTATTCTCTTTGAAGCAATTGTGAATGGGAGTTCACTCATGATTTGGATCAATGGAACAGAACAGAGCCCTCAGAAATAATGCCGCATATCTACAACTATCTGATCTTTGACAAACCTGAGAAAAACAAGCAATGGGGAAAGGATTCCCTATTTAATAAATGGTGCTGGGAAAACTGGCTAGCCATACGTTGAAAGCTGAAACTGGATCCCTTCCTTACACCTTATACAAAAATCAATTCAAGATGGATTAAAGACTTAAACGTTAGACCTAAAACCATAAAAACCCTAGAAGAAAACCTAGGCATTACCATTCAGGACATAGGCATGGGCAAGGACTTCATGTCCAAAACACCAAAAGCAATGGCAACAAAAGCCAAAATTGACAAATGGGATCTAATTAAACTAAACAGCTTCTGCACAGCAAAAGAAACTACCATCAGAGTGAACAGGCAACCTACAAAATGGGAGAAAATTTTCACAACCTACTCATCTGACAAAGGGCTAATATCCAGAATCTACAATGAACTCAAACAAATTTACAAGAAAAAAACAAACAACCCCATCAAAAAGTGGGCGAAGGACATGAACAGACACTTCTCAAAAGAAGACATTTATGCAGCCAAAAAACACATGAAAAAATGCTCACCATCACTGACCATCAGAGAAATGCAAATCAAAACCACAATGAGATACCATCTCACACCAGTTAGAATGGCAATCATTAAAAAGTCAGGAAACAACAGGTGCTGGAGAGGATGTGGAGAAATAGGAACACTTTTACACTGTCGGTGGGACTGTAAACTAATTCAACCATTGTGGAAGTCAGTGTGGCGATTCCTCAGGGATCTAGAACTGGAAATACCATTTGACCCAGCCATCCCATTACTGGGTATATACCCAAGGGATTATAAATCATGCTGCTATAAAGACACATGCACACGTATGTTTATTGCGGCATTATTCACAATAGCAAAGACTTGGAACCGACCCAAATGTCCAACAATGATAGACTGGATTAAGAAAATGTGACACACATACACCACGGAATACTATGCAGCCATAAAAAATGATGAGTTCATGTCCTTTGTAGGGACATGGATGAAATTGGAAAACATCATTCTCAGTAAACTATCGCAAGAACAAAAAACCAAACACCGCATATTCTCACTCATAGGTGGGAATTGAACAATGAGATCACATGGACACAGGAAGGGGAATATCACACTCTGGGGACTGTGGTGGGGTGGGGGAGGGGGGAGGGATAGCATTGGGAGATATACCTAATGCTAGATGACGAGTTGGTGGGTGCAGCGCACCAGCATGGCACATGTATACATATGTAACTAACCTGCACAATGTGCACATATACCCTAAAACTTAAAGTATAATAAAAAAAAAAAAAAAGAAAAACAACTACTGCATAGGAAGCATTCCCAACTCTGGTTCCCGAGTAGCTAATTTGTCTTTTTTCTGTAGAGATGGGATTTGCCATATTCCCCAAACTAGTCTCAAACTCCTGGGCTCAAGCAATCTGCCTTCCTTGGCCTCCCAAAGTGCTGGGATTACAGGCATGTGCCACCTTGCCCAGCTTAAGTGATATACTTCCTGATAGTGAAAATCAATTGCTGGAGCATCTAGCAAAGCTTTCGACAGGACAGACTTGGACATCACTGCTTTCATTCTTTACCCTTTACCATGTTTTCTGTCCAGAACACAAACACAGTGCCAGAAAGTGCAGCAGCCATCTTGTGAATGTGAAGTTAAAAGCCAAGGTCTTTTGGATGGGAGAGGAGATGGAAGAGCTGGGTCCCTAATAGGACCATTGAACACCTACAGTAGTCATACTATATGCTTGATTTCTCATTATATGAAAAAACAAGTCCTAAAGTGTTTAAATCATGATTAATTTGGTTTTCCATTGTTTGCAATTGAAGGAATCCCAAATGATATACTTACTCTACTTCATTTAATGTCATAAAAACACTAAGAGGGAGGCAAGATTATTACTGCTGTCTGACACTTGCAATAAATATATTCTTTAAAAACCTTGTTTTGAAAGGAGCTGTAAAGATTGATCCTATATACACATTTCATTAAGATTTAAAACTTTATTTTGCTGTATAGGTTCAAAGATAATTATCTTGCATTCCAATTTGTATACACTTCAACAGAAACTATACCAGCAGCAAACTTAGGTGTGTTAATACAAATGACTTAGCTTCAAAGCTGTTACAACCACCAATGTCTTATTAGATGTTCAAAAGACTATGAGAAAGGTCTACTGAATTAATGGGAGGATTTGCAGAAACATAAATAAGAGTTTACTGTGGCTTATGAATTGTAAAGACTTTAAGAACTGTCTAGAAGATTCATCCCATCATGACAAAAGCAATCCATAATTGTTCAGGCAATTTAATAAGCCAAAGAAAACTTTGACAGTGTGATAGATACTAAAATATATTTATCATTCAGTCCTGGAATATGGAGTCCACTCTTGGGTATGTTTTGGACATCTGGCTCTATCTTATGCTAAATAAATATGCTAGCATTGCTCATCTTTTTATGCTGTTAAGTAAACATAATAAAAATGCCAGTTGAAACTCAGTTTTGAGTAAAATTCAAAGTTACTCCCACTGCAGACGATGCCAAAAGGAATGTAAAGGCAATTTCTATATCTTGAAGCCTTTTGTTGCAGTTTGCTGAGTTTCAAGAGTATTTGCTTTTAGTTTTTTCTTCACCCTCCCAACCTATAAATTTTTCTCTGCTTCTTTTCCTTGAAGTTTCTTTCCTCAATATCCTACTCCAAACCACACAGTTAAATATAGTCACAGAAATCCTTCCCCTGGTCAGCTCACTTTCAAGACCGATAAATAATAGAATCACCATCTAAAAAAAATTTGTGAAACTCTTTTGTTATTAAAATTTCAGCAGTGTCCTGAGTCTGTACACAGTAAGGTTTAGGAAAAATTATTTTCATTCTAAGGCATCCCAGAAGCCCTAGAAAGCCAATAAGTGGTGTATTTTTGTTTAACACAAAATTCTCAATTATGATAGATTTTTCACAAAGTGTTCTGTCAACTCTTTCCACAAACAACCGAAGTCGAATTTTTATTTTTTTAAGACGGAATCTCGCTCTGTCGCCAGGCTGGAATGCAGTGGTGCCATCTTGACTCGCTGCAACCTCCACCTCCCAGATTCAAGCAATTCTCCTGCTTCAGCCTCCCAAGTAGCTGGGACTACATGTGTGCACCACCACGCCCAGCTAATTTTTATATTTTAGTAGAGATGGGGTTTCACCAGGTTGGCCAGGTGGTCTCAATCTCTTGACCTTATGATCCACCCACCTTGGCCTCCCAAAGTGCTGGGATTACAGGCGTAAGCCACTGTGCCCTGCCTTCCAAAGTAGAATTTTTATATTCAGCTATACACTTTTAAGTTGTATGGTATTCAGAAGATAGAGAAGGGTGAAAAGAGAATGTTCCAAAATGTAAAAGCGTAATGTAAAAATAGATGTTTTGACTAATTCAACCCAAAGCTATTTCAATTATCAATAATAAACAATTTTTAAAATTTGTTCGTGTCCTTGGAAGTATGCAGAACACTTCGTTCCTGACAAAAGCATGGCAAGGTATGTGCAAAGACGTACTACAAGTGTTTACACTGTCTATTCTTCTGACACTACCTTTCATTCACTACATACTAGTAACATTGGGGTACAATATTTGGAATGACAAAATAAACTTCGCTTCTCTATATTCTACCCCCTTGATCCTGAGGAATATTCTCACATTGGAAACTTGGCACATTTGTGCTTTCCCATGGACTGCTCCAAATGCATACACATACATACATGCAAGCCTGAGTCCTGAACTAATTGGATTCCATGATAAGCAAAGAAAACCATAAGCTCTGAGTCCACCATATCCACCACCTCTTCCTTATCAAGTCTGTAGCTAGAAGTAAGATGAAATCTCTGTCCTCCCAAAATTCAAATTCTAGTGGAGAATAAATATATTAAACAACTAAAACAAGGAAACAAATACATGATTTAATTTTAAACAGTACTAATTTCAATTAAAATATTAAGAATACCAATGAGGTTGGGATACCATATTAAAAAGTAAATTCACTGAAGTCTGTATTTAAGAGAGCCACAATTGAATATGTATCTAAATTGTGTGTGTTGGGGAGGTAGGATATTCCAGTGCATGCACTTGGCTACTTCAAAAGCTCCAAGGTGAGAATGAAGCTAATGAAATTTAGAAGCAGAAACAAGACCATTGTGGCTGGAAAAGAAAGACCCAGCAGGAAAATAAGTGGTAAGAGATAGGCCAGGGCTGGCTTCCACCAGGCTTTGTAGACTATGAAGATGTGGGAGATTACTGGAGAATCTCACATAGGGGAGAAATTAGATCTTACTTGTATATTAAAAAGGCTTTTCCCTGCTGTATAGGGATGCAATTATGGGGCTAACTTACAGAGTTACACTGAAGAGCTCACATATGTAAAGGATTAGACCAGTGTGTAGTATATGGTAGGAACTCAGTTAATATTAGTGCATTATTATTTATTTGTTATGATGATACAAGACCACAATATATTCCAAATCTATAGAGAGGAGAGTGACCAAAGTTTTAGAGTCTTATAAAAGAGAGACACACACATTTATAGAATACACAAAACTGAAGAACTATCATGAAGAATTAGAAAAAATCATGTAATTGTCATTTCCTCTTTCAGGCACAAGTGTTAACAGTTTTTTTTTTCTTCTATCTTTTTTTTCTTCTGTGCAATCTATATAGCTGAGCTCTTGCTGTGTACACACTGCAGTATGCTGTTAGGTTTTTACAGATTAATTAAAGTGGGTTAAGCTTTAGGAGTTTCTAACTGCTCACATAATCTCTTTCCAGAAACAAGGTACTATACAAAATCAATAGCATTACCTTCACATATTTGTTTAACTGTCGCACACGTCATACATTGAGTGTGTATGTCTTCTCACGGGAGCCTCAGCTCAACTCTCTGATGTGGGTAAGGCAAACTAGAATTTTTATTACAATTTAACAGTTGGGTAAACAGACTTCAGGAGCTAATTGGAGGAGTTGTAGCTCAAATAACATGTGGAAAACTGGCATCTAAACCTCAGCTCTTTTTGTTTCTGGCCCATTGACTTTCTCACTGATCCCACCATTGTCTCCTTCCTCAGCTCATCCTCACATCCTTTCTACTCAACTCACTATGGACCAGCAGTGTTGGTGTCGCCTTGCAGCTTGCCTGAAATGTGGACTCTCTGGGCTCCTATCAGATCCACTAATGCAGAATGGGCCATTGAATGAAACCCTTAGATGATTCCTCTAGGCATTAAAGTTTGAGAAGCATGAAAAGCACACCTCTAATCTCTTACAGAAAGAGGCTAGAATGATCAAGATAACTAATGTGGACTGGGAACAGTAGCTCATCCCTATAATCCCAGCACTTTGGGAGGTTGAGTCAGGAGTATCATTTGAGCCCAGGAGTTCGAGACGAACCAAGGTACATAGCCAGAATTCAACTCTACTAAAAAAAAAAAAAATTATCCAGGCATGGTTGCAAGCCTCTGTTGTCCCAGCTACTTGAGAGGCTGAGGTGGGAGCATAGCTTGAGCCTGGGAGGTTGAGGCTGCAGTGAGCTGTGATCATGCCACTTTACTCCAGCCTGGACAACAGAGTGAGATCCTGTCTCAAAAAAGAAATAAAAAAGATAACTAACTTGATGACCATGCCTAACCACATCTGCACGCTAAACAAGAGGACTTATTAGTTTCATACAGAAGACAGGAAAAATCGTAATTTGGGGCTATAAATGTCCTACTGACCATACTTTTTTTTTTTGGTCTACTAAAGTACAGATTAAAGCCATTTATTCACTTAGTTGGAAACTATCAACTAAAGTGGCCTGCAGAACTTGCATTTAAAAATAATTCTTGCCTATAGATAACTAGTTTGTGTACAAAAATGATATTCATGAAGAAATATTTATCTCATCATTGATTGTTTTAGCAAAAAGCTGTTAAAACTCTAAATGTGGGATTGCTGGCAAGATGGCCGAATAGGAAGAGCTCTGGTCTGCAGCTCCCAGCAAGATCGACACAGCCGGTGGGTGAATTCTGCATTTCCAACTGAGGTACCCAGTTCATCTCATTGGGACTGGCTGGACAGTGGGCGCAACCCAAGGAGGGCAAGCTGAAGCAGGGCGTGGTGTTGCCTCACACAGGAAGCTCAAGGGGTTGGGAAACTCCCTTTCCCAGTCAAGGGAAGCCATTAGGGACTGTACCGTGCACTCTGGCCCAGATACAACAGTTTTCCCATGGTCTTCGCAACCTGCAGGCCAGGAGATTTCCTCTGGAGCCTACGACATCAGAGCCCTGGGTTTCCGGCACAAAACTGGGTGGCCAATTGGGCAGACACTAAGGTAGTCACAGGAGTTTCTTTTCATACCCCAGTGGTGCCTGGAATGCCAGCGAGATAGAACCATTCATTCCCTTGGAAAGGGGGCTGAAGCCAGGGAGCCAAGTGGTCTGATTCAGCAGGTCCCACCCCCATGGAGCCCAGCAAGCTAAGATCCACTGGCTTGAAATTCTTGCTGCCATCACAGCAGTCTGAGCTCGACCTGGGACGCTCAAGCTTGGTGGGGGGAGAGGCAACCACCATTGCTGAGGCTTGAGTAGGCAGTTTCACCTTCACAGTGTAAACAAAGCTGCCAGGAAGTTAGAACTGGGTGGAGCCCACCACACCTCAGCAAGGCCGCTGTGGCCAGACTGTCTCTCTAGATTCCCTTCTATCTGGAGAGGGCATCTCTGAAAAAAAGGCAGCAGCCCCTGTCAGGGACTTATAGATAAAACCCCCACCTCCCTGGGACAGAGCACCTGGGGGAAGGAGCAGCTGTGGGTGCAGCTTCAGCAGACTTAAACGTCCCTGGCTGGCAGCTCTGAAGAGAACAGCGTATCTCCCAGCACAGTGTTCAAGCTCGGATAAGGGACAGACTGCCTCCTCAAGTGGGTCCCTGACCCCTGTATATCCTGGCTGGGAGACACCTCAGAGCAGGGGCTCACAGACACCTCATACAGGAGAGCTCTAGCTGGCATCTGGAAGGTGCCCCTCTGGGACAAAGCTTCCAGAGGAAGGAACAGGCAGCAATCTTTGCTGTTCTGCAGCCTCTGCTGATGATACCCAGGCAAACAGGGTCTGGAGTGGACCTCCATCAAATTCCAGCAGACCTGCAGCAGAGAGGCCTGACCGTTAGAAGGAAAACTAACAAAAAGAAAGGAGCATCACACCAACAAAAAGGACATCCACTCAGAGACCCCATCCAAAGGTCACTGACTTCAAAGACCAAAGGTAGGTAAATCCATGAAGATGGGGAGGAACCAGCATAAAAAGGCTGAAAACTCCAAAAACCAGAATGCCTCTTCTCCTCCAAAGGATCACAACTCCTCGCCAGCAAGGGAGCAAAACTGGACAGAGAATGACTGTGATGAATTGACAGAGGTAGGCTTCAGAAGGTGGGTAATAACAAACTCCTCCAAGCTAAAGGAGCATGTTTTAACCCAATGAAAGGAAGCTAAGAACCTTGAAAAAAAGTTAGATGAATTGCTAACTAGAATAACCAGTTTGGAGAAGAACATAAATGACCTGATGGAGCCGAAAAACAGAGCACGAGAACTGTGTGAAGCATACACAAGTATCAATAGCCAAATCAATCAAGCGGAAGAAAAGATATCAGAGATTGAAGATCAACTCAATGAAATAAAGATAAAAGACAAGATCAGAGAAAAAAAAAAGAGTGAAAAAGAAATGAACAAAGCCTCCAAGAAATATGGGACTATGTGAAAAGACCAAATCTACATTTGATTGGTATACCTGAAAGTGACAGGGAGAATGGATCCAAGTTGGAAAACACTCTTCAGGATATTATCCAGGAGAACTTCCCCAATTTAGCAAGGCAGGCTAACATTCAAATTCAGGAAATACAGAGAACACCACAAAGTTACTCCTTGAGAAGAGCAACCCCAATACACATAATCATCAGATTAACCAAAGTTGAAATGAAGGGAAAAATGTTAAGGGCAGCCAGAGAGAAAGGTCAGGTTACCCACAAAGGGAAGCCCGTAAGTCTAATAGCAGATCTCTCTGCAGAAACCCTACAATCCAGAAGAGAGTGGAGGCCAATATTCAACATTCTTAAAGAAAAGAATTTTCAACCCAGAATTTCATATCCAGCGAAACTAAGGTTCATAAGTGAAGGGGAAATAAAATCCTTTACAGACAAGCAAATGCTGAGAGATTTTGTCACCACCAGGCCTACCTTACAAGAGCTCCTGAAGGAAGCACTAAACATTGAAAGGAACAACTTGTACCAGCCACTGCAAAAACATACCAAATTGTAAAGACTGTCAACGTTATGAAGAAACTGCATAAACTAACGGGCAAAATTACCAGCTAGCATCATAATGGCAGGATCAAACTAACACATATCAATATTAATCTTAAATGTAAACAGGCAAAGTGCCCCAATCCAAAGACACAGACTGGCAAATTGGATAAAGAGTCCAGACACATCAGTGTGCTGTATTCAGGAGACCCATCTCACGTGCAAAGACACACAAAGGCTCAAAATAAAGGGATGGAGGACTATTTACCAAGCAAATGGAAAGCAGAAAATAGCAGGGGTTGCAGTCCTAGTCTCTGATAAAACAGACTTCAAACCAACAGAGATCAAAAGAGACAAAGAAGGCCATTACATAATGGTAAAGGGATCAATGCAACAAGAAGAGCTAACTATCCTAAATATATATCCACCCGATACAGGAGCACACAGATTCATAAAGGAGGTTCTTAGAGACCTACAGACAGACTCCCACACAATAATAGCCGGAGACTTTAACACCCCATTGTCAATATTAGACAGATCAACGAGATAGAAAATTGACAAGGATATCCAGGACTTGAACTCAGCTCTGGATCAAGTGGAACTAATTGACATCTAAAGAACTCTTCACCCTAAATCAACAGAATATACATTCTTCTCAGCACCACATCACACTTATTCTAAAATTGACCACATAATTGGAAGTAAAACACTCCTCAGCAAATTCAAAAGAATGGAAATAATAACAGTCTCTCAGACCATAGTGCAATCAAATTAGAACTCAGGATTAACAAACTCACTCAAAACCACACAACTACATGAAAACTGAACAACTTGCTCCTGAATGACTACTGGGTGAACAACGAAATGAAGGCAGAAATAAAGATGTTCTTTCAAACCAATGAGAACAAAGACACAACATTCCAGAATCTCTGGGACATATGTAAAGCAGTGTGTAGAGGGAAATTTAGAGCACTAAATGCCCACAAGAGACAGCAAGACAGATCTAAAATCAACACCCTAACATCACAATTAAAAGAACTAGAGAAGCAAGAGCAAACAAATTCAAAAGCTAGCAGAAGACAAGAAATAACTAAGGTCAGAGCAGAACTGAAGGAGAGAGAGACACAAAAACCCTTCAAAAAAATCAATGAATCCAGGAGCTGGTTTTTTGAAGAGATAAACAAAATAGATAGACCACTAGCCAGACAAATAAAGAAGAAAAGAGAGAAGAACAAAATAGATGCAATAAAAAATGATAAAGGGGATATCACCACTGATTCCACAGAAATACAAACTACCATCAGAGAATACTATAAACACCTTTATGCAAATAAACTAGAAAATCTGGAAGAAATAGATAAATTCCTGGACACATACACCCTCCCAAGACTCAACCAGGAAGCTGAATTCCAGAATAGACCAATAGCAAGTTCTGAAATGGAGGCAGCAATAAATAGCCTGCCAAACAAAAAAAGCCCTACACTGGACAGATTCACAGCCGAATTCTACCAGAGGTACAAAGAGGAGCTAGTACCATTCCTTCTGAAACTATTCCAAACAATAGAAAATCAGGGAATCCGTCCTAACTCATTTTATGAGGCCAGCATCATCCTCATACCAAAACCTGGCAGAGACACAACAGAAAAATAAAATTTCAGGCCAATATCCCTGATGAACATCGATGCAAAAACCCTCAATAAAATACTGGCAAACCAAATTCAGCAGCACATCAAAAAGCTTATCCACCATGATCAAATCGGCTTCATCCCTGGGATGCAAGGCTGGCTCAACATATACAAATCAATAAACGTAATCCATCACATAAACAGAACCAATGACAAAAGCCACCTGATTATCTCAAAAGACACAGAAAAAGCCTTCAACAAAATTCAACAACCCCTCATGCTAAAAACTCTCAATAAACTAGGCATTGATGGAATGCCTCAAATATAAATAATAAGAGCTCATAAATAATAAGAGCAGTTTATGACAAACCCACAGTAAATATCATACTGAATAGGCAAAAACTGGAAGCATTCCCTTTGAAAACCAGCACAAGATAAGGATGCCCTCTCTCACTACTCCTATTCAACATAGTATTGGAACTTCTGGCCAGGACAATCAGGCAGGAAAAAGAAATAAAGGGTATTTAATTAGGAAAAGAGGAAGTCAAATTGTCTCTGTTTGCAGATGACAGGACTGTGTATTTAGAAAACCCCATCATCTCAGCCCAAAATCTCCTTAAGCTGATAAGCAACTTCAGCAAAGTCTCAGGATACAACATCAATGTGCAAAAATGACAAACATTCCTATACACCAATAACAGACTAACAGAGAGCCAAATCATGAGTGAAGTCCCATTCACAATTGCTTCAAAGAGAATAAAATACCTAGGAATCCAACTTACAAGGGATGTGAAGGACCTCTTCAAGGAGAACTTCAAACCACTGCTCAATGAAATAAAAGAGGACACAAACAAATGGAAGAACATTCCATGCTCATGGGTAGGAAGAATCAATATCTTGAAAATGGCCATACTGCCCAAGGTAATTTATAGATTCAATGCCATCCCCATCAAGCTACCAATGACTTTCTTCACAGAATTGGAAAAAACTACTTTAAAGTTCATATGGAACCAAAAAAGAGCCCGCATCGCCAAGACAATCCTAAACCAAAAGAACAAAGCTGGAGGCATCATGCTACCTGACTTCAAACTATACTACAAGGCTACAGTAACCAAAACAGCATGGTACTGGTACCAAAACAGAGATATAGACCAACGGAACAGAACAGAGCCCTCAGAAATAACGCCGCATATCTACAACTGTCTGATCTTTGACAAACCTGAGAAAAACAAGCAATGGGGAAAGGATTCCCTATTTAATAAATGGTGCTGGGAAAACTGGCTAGTCATATGTAGAAAGCTGAAACTGGATCCCTTCCTTACACCTTATAGAAAATGAGTGAACTCCCGTTCACGATTGCTACAAAGAGAACAAAATACCTAGGAATACAGCTTACGAGGGATGTGAAGGAACTCTTCAAGTAGAACTAGAAATCTCTGCTCAAAGAAATAAGAGAGGACACAAACAAATGGAAAAACATTCTATGCTCATGGACAGGAAGAATGAATATCATGAAAATGGCCATACTGCCCAAAGTAATTTATAGATTCAATGCTAGCCCCATCAAGCTACCAATGACTTTCTTCACAGAACTGGAAAAAACTACTTTAAATTTCATATGGAACCAAAAGGAGCCCACATAGCCAAGACAATAGTAAGCAAAAAGAACAAAGCTGGAGGCATCACACTACCTGACTTCAAACTATACTACAAGGCTACAGTAACAAAAACAGCATGATACTTGTACTAAAACAGATATATAGACCAATGGAACAGAACAGAGACCTCAGAAATAATGCCACACATCTACAACCATCCGATCTTTGACAAACCTGATAGAAACAAGCAATGGTGAAAGGATTGCATATTTAATAAATGGTGTTGGGAAAACTGGCTAGCTATATGTAGAAAGCTGAAACTGGATCCCTTCCTTACAAAAATTAACTCAAGATGGATTAAAGACTTAAACGTAAGACCTAAAGCCATAAAAACCCTAGAAGAAAACCTAGGCAATGCCATTCGGGACACAGGGATGGGCAAAGACTTCATGACTAAAACACCAAAAGCAATGGCAACAAAAGACAAACGGGATCTAATTAAACTAAAGAGCTTCTGCACAGTCAAAGAAACTATCATCAGCGTGAACAGGCAACCTACAGAATGGGAGAAAATTTTTGCAATCTATCCATCTGACAAAGGGCTAATATCCAGAATCTACAAAGAACTTAAACAAATTTACAAGAAAGAAACTAACAAACCCATCAAAAAGTGGGCAAAGGATATGAACAGGCATTTCTCAAAAGAAGGCATTTATGCAGCCAACAGACACATGAAAAAAAGCTCATCATCACTGGTCATTAGAGAAATGCACATCAAAACCACAATGAGATACCGTCTCATGACAGTTAAAATGGCAATCATTAAAACGTCAGGAAACAACAGATGCTGGAGAGGATATGGAGAAATAGGAATGCTTTTACACTGTTGGTGGGAGCGTAAATTAGTTCAACCATTGTGGAAGTCAGTGTGGCGATTCCTCAAGGATTAGAACTAGAAATACCATTTGACCCAGCAATCCCATTACAGGGTATGTACCCAAAGGATTATAAATCATTCTACTATAAAGACACATGCACACGTATGTTTATTGTGGCACTGTTCACAATTGCAAAGACTTGAAACCAACCCAAATATCCATCAATGATAGACTGGATTTAGAAAATGTGGCACATATACACCATGGAATACTATGCAGCCATAAAAAGGATGAGTTCATGTCCTTTGTAGGGACATGGATGAAGCTGGAAACCATCATTCTCAGCAAACTAACACAAGAACAGAAAACCAAACACTGCATGTTCTCACTCATAAGTGGGAGTTGAACAATGAGAACACATGGACACAGGGAGCGGAATATCACACACTGGGGCCTGTTGGGAGCGGGATGGGGACTAGGGGAAGGATAGCATTAGGAGAAATGCCTAATGTAGATGACAGGTTAATGGGTACAGCAAACCACCATGGCACATGTATACCTATGTAACAAACCTGCACGTTCTGCACAGGTACCCCACAACTTAATGTATAATAAAACATAAAATAAAATAAATAAATAAATAAATAAATAAATAAAAAGGAGGTATGAAATATAAAAAAACTCTATATCTGGTCACACAAAACATGGGATATTTGTATAGTGGCAAATAATGCAGTCATTTAAAAGGATGTAATATTATGGAACACCCTCCTTGGTGTTACTAAGTGAAGAAAAGCAAGATGCTTTGTGTGTGTGTGTGTGAAAATGTATTTAAAGACATAAATATGACCATAAAGATATGGAATATTTCTTGAAGCATACACAAGATACTAGCAATTTATTTTTGTTGGAAGGGAACAGAATGACTGTGGACAGGGGGAGGAGACCTACATTTCACTGTACATGTTTTTTATATATTTCAAACACTGTATAATGTGCATATATTACTGTTCTATAATATCAAATAAACACCTACAGAAATATTTTTAATTTTTTTTTATTTTCAGAGACAAAGTTTTGCTATGTTTCCTGAACTGGAATGCAGTCACCACTGGATTCACAGGAATGATCACAGCTTACTACAGGCTCAGACTCCTGGGCTCAAGTGATCCTCCTGCCTCAGCCTCCAGTCCCCAGTCCTGTGGCTGAGACTACAGGTGCAAAACATCATGCCCAGGTTAGAAATCATTTTTATTCAGGATAAGGAAAATGAGGGAGACTAATTTAATTATCATGTATGGTGACAAATGTTAACCTTCACAGGACATCAAAGCAGAGAATAGTAAAAACAAGCAATTTAACAATTTGTGTCCATTTAGTGAATTAGTTGAGTGACTTTAGTTGAATCTTGTTTTCGTGCTATTTTCAAGTGTCAGTAATACTTTTATTTTAGAGGAGAGCAAACTCTCCCTCCTCTCTACTACCTTACAATACTGTGAGGATGAATTAAGGAAGTAGATGGGAAAATTCATTATAAACTGGGATATGCTATACAAAATTAAGTCTGTATTATTGAGCCTGGATGTTTAATACTTTGATATTCTCTAAATGGAACCACATCAAATATTAACTACATTCTTTATTATTCCTCTTCAATACAACCTACATCTTGGTAATGAGTTTTCCTGAATCACAAATCGTAATATGAATCTGTCTAAAAAATTCCAGGGACATGTTAGATTCATTTGACATCACAGCTCCACAGTGCTCTTGCACAACAAAAAAAATTGAGCTTTTCTTTCATTCTAATTTTTTAAAACATTCTGTCTGTTCCAATTTAACTGGTGTATTTTCTTTTTCCTTGAATAGTACCTTCAGTTTTCTGACTCCAAGTTGTTAGAAATTGGTTTGCGGCAAGAATAGAAAAAAATCTGTTCTTTCTTATATGCCAAATGTAAAGTGCACAGACTTTGAGGGTGAGGATGAGGAGGTGATTATGGTGATGATGATGTGATACTACAAAGTATTTCCTTACACATGCTAGGATAAGTGGCAAGTAAAGCTGACCTGAAATACCTTTAAATGCCTCGATTTTTTTCCTACTCCAGTGACACCAGGGAGGCTATCAATATCTAAAGAGGGTAGGTTTTGTACTCTCCTTCTAGATTGTCTGTTTCCCTTCCTCTGATGGTAGAAAATCTTTAAGGACCGTTTTAAATGCAACTTCCTTCTAGAAGCCATTTCCAATGACCTCAATTTAGACTTTCTCTGAATCACTACTGTATACTCTACCTGTCTTCTAATGTATTCTGTGTTATAATGCACGGAGTTATATTTGATCTCCTACTAGAGTGTGTGCTCTGTGAGGACAAGTTTGTGTGTTGTTCATCTTTACATCTGCAAAAGCATTTTATACGGAGTAGACATTCAACAAAATGTTAATTCATCAAATCATACAAGAAACAAAAAGCCTCTCTGTTCAAATCTACTTCTATCGATGTGTTAAAAAAAATTCAGTCTCTAAGTGAAAAACAACTAACTACAGAAGAAAAAATGTCAGATCAACAAAGGCATTGCTTTTATAAAGACCTTCTCTGCACAGGGAATTTATTTTCTGCAGCTACCCTTTTAGTGAATTTTGTCAAAAAAAAAAGAGCACTGATTGTATAAACTAAGGCAAATTATTTTCAAAACCTTGCAATACATACAGATTAGCAGGTTATTTTCAAATTGCTAGCTTGCTTGGGTTCTTATTTGCATTTGTTTAAAAGTTCATCCTCCTGTATACATGCATTTATTGAAAAATAAAATGCTCAAACAATTTCAGACAAACATAGAATAGTGATTTTTCTTTCAAATTTGAATCCCACCAGAATGGGAAAATGCAGTGACATTAATCACTAATGACTCAATCAAAAAATGATTTAAGGCAAATTAACAAAGATGAAAGTCAGATTTAGACTCGCTTAGTCTGTCTAGAAAAGTTGAAGAATGAAAGCCAGTAAGTGCTGAAATTTTGAAAGATATTACATATTTAACTCATAATCTCTAGCTTTATTTTCAAAATCATTTCAGAGAATTATGTTAAAGTGCACCAAAACTTATAGACAATTTTTCTAGTATAAACACTGAGTCAATATTCATCAAGCCTCCATATTGAGCAACTCTAAAGAGGTATCTGTTGTATACCTGACTCTCAGGTATACCCGGTGAGTCACTAAATAGAATGTAGTGATTTGGCTCTAATCATGAGTCGCTAAATAGAATTTATAAAGATGAATGGAGAACTGAAAAGATGAAACTCCAGCCAGTAGCTCCTACCACCTTACTTAGCTATGATTTTACTTCAAGCCTTAACTTTAACCTTTACTTAGCCAAACCTCGTTCTTTCTATGCTTATCTTCACCATCCTTTTAACTTGCCTGAGGGAGTTATCTCCTTCATTACTAAATAAGAATTGCAAAAAAAAAAAAACAAAAACAAAAACAAAAAGCAACTCTAGCTAACTCCAACAAACAAAGCAATTTACTGTTAGGAGAAGGTGGAACTAGCTTCCAAGCACTCTGGCTTTCTAGGAGGCAGAATAGATGATTTTTCCAGGATGAGACTGATTTGACAAATGACTCCATCCCTTTTTTTTTTGCCTTGGTGTCACGGATGCTCAAGAGTTGGATTTATGAGAAAGAGTACTTAAGTGGTCTAGTTTGTTGTCATATGCCCCTTCCCCGTCACTGCAACCTTGGCATTATCGATACGGCACAAAGCCCTCTTCAACAGACAGATACACATTATTCTATAAAATCTCCAGCAAGCCTTTGTTTCCTTGCAGTCAGCCTCTCTTCTGCTGATCCTGCCCGTTGAGAGAAGGCAATGTATTTTTCTACTTTCTTTAATAAATATGCCTTTCTCTACCTACAATTGTCTTGATAAATTATTTTATCCCTGTGCCACCGGCCCAAATAGTTGTTGCTCCCCCTCGACATAAAACTTCTTTTCATAGCCATTAAAAGCTCAAATTTGCAATAAAAGAAATTTTTACACTTGAAATAAAGAAAAACACTGCAGAGTTTCAGGTCTCCCTGCCTTTGCTCATGTGACTCCCTCTGACTGGAACACCATTAATCTTCACTGGGTGAAATTCCAGCCCTTCTTCCAAATCCATTTCAAATAGTACCTCCTCTGTAATGATTTTCCTGACCTCTCTCATGAGGAATTAATCAATCCTGCTCCTGTACTTCCAAAGTGCATTCTCCATAACCCTATGGACTTGCCCCAGCGTTAACAGTTAATTATTTAAGTCTGCTCTTCGTGATGGGATCGTGAGGGCGCTGAAGCTATGTATCTGGCTTCAGGAACACCTCCGATCATGTGCTCCAACCTGACCAGCAAGTCTTCCACAAATGTCCCTTGAAGATGTTAATAAAATTTTTAGGGTGGTAAACTGAAAAGTTTCTTCCAGATATTCTCTGATTCTATTCTGTATATATGCTGGATATAATTACAAAATAAGCATGATTTAAAAACCCCACTTACAAACCATAGGTCATTTTGAGAATTAGGTTGAGTTACTTTAACATTTCCACATGGTGTCTATCGTGATAATTATTTTAAAAAGAACCAAAAATAACGTATCAGGAACTCCAAATTCTCTAGGCTAGACTTTACAAAGAAGAAATTCAATAAATACTGTTTATACCTCCTAGAAACTTAATATCTAACATGAATAATAATGACAAAGAGAGGCAATATGCAAAGGAAGAACATGTAATAATTTTTAAATTATTACATACTAATGGACAGGTAAAAATAATTACGTTTATTTATTTTTTTTAATTTTTTTTTTTTTGAGATGGAGTTTCATTCTTGTTGTCCAGGCTGGAGTGCAATGTCGCGATCTCAGCTTACTGCAATCTCCACTTCCTGGGTTCAAGCGATTCTCCTGGCTCAGCCTCCTGAGTAGCTGAAATTACAGACGTCTGCCACCACGCCCAACTAACTTTTTGTATTTTTAATAGAGACGGGGCTTCACCATAATGGCCAGGCTGGTCTTGTACTCCTGGTGATCCACCCACCTCGGCCTCCCAAAGTGCTAGGATTACAGGTGTGAGCCACTGCACCGGGCCACATGTTTATTTGTATTTTTAGTTATTATTTTAAAATAATTTAAATTTTAAATTATGTACATGCTAATGAACACATAATAATTTTTAAAAATGAGGAAGCAAAGTAAATTACTCATATGTCCAAGAAGTAATATATGAACATCCATGAGTTCAGGACAAAAAATATTAGTTTAAAAGATGAATTTGTATCAAATAAAGTAATGGCAAATATCCACTTTCCTGCCTGTTTAAGATAAACTAGAAAGTGTTTACTTCTTCAGAATTCTTACCAATGCAAATTACCCCATATATTTGGTTCTTAATTTTTCCATTCTTTAAAAAAATTATTTAACATTTATTCAGCCTGCTTTGTCTCCCCAATGACATTTTAAGCTTGTGAAGACAAGAGACATCGCTTTTGCTTCCCTGATATGCTGGAAAATCCACCACACAGTTCCATAAACTTAAAATGCTCAATAAATGTATTGGGAGGAAACCACTTTCACTATCTTTATATTTCTCAAGTTTTAGGGAACAGGTTAGTAAAAACTTTTGGTTAAAGTCTTCAGGTTCTTGTGTTTATTTTTGACTCTATGTTAAGGTTGACTTTTCCCTCACTCTGAGGAACATATAAAGTTATTGATATTAATGTTTACATTAATATGGAAAGCATACTTGGGTAAAATAATCAATCTCCTAAAGAAGTTTTATTAATTTAACAATATGAATGTTCTAAATGGATATAAATCCAGAGGTCCTCTAAAGAAGACAGGGTTACTGCTGTCTTATTTCCTCAAAGCATTAACATTATGAATTAACATTATGAATATTATTATCAATGCTCGCTTTGATCATCACCTCCAAATATTCTGCATTGCACTAAAAATCCTGTGTTTGGAGGACACTCACTTTAAATTATCTTCAAGGCATGCTACTAAAAAAAAGTAATAATAAAATAAAATTTAAATAGTGGTAACAGAATCGGCAAAGCCCATAGGATTATTGAAAAGATGATCGTGGGAGACCATCTTTCTAGCTCATTTCAGCTTAGTAGCAGATATTAGACTTTGAATGGTTCTTGTATGTTTCAGCAATTCTGCCAACAAACACTGAAAGAGAAAAAACCAATTTTCTCCTGACAAACACAGACCTTTGACACTACATTCTTACTTGTACATACATGGTTTAAATTAACTGCAGTTACTCATGATCTATTCAATCTCTTAACTCTCAAATGAACCTGTGATGTTTGGGTATGAATCACTTTCATACCTGCTTTGAAGTGGCCAGGAATTCAATCAGTCATGGGTTTTATTTCATTTCAGTCAGACAGTACTAGTACTATACTTGAGTTACAATAATTTCTTCTTAGTGCTGAGAAGAAATTTGTGTTTAGTATTAGCACAAGCTGTCAAAAATTAAATAAATCCAATATAGATAAATAGGGGGGTGCATATTAATTTAATTCTAGAGAAGGTAATAAAAGTTTTATGGCCAAAGCAAATTCAAAAAGTTAAGCACATTTCCATGTTGCCTGAGTCTCAAGACATCACAGGCAATAATTTTTTTCTCTGACCACTTAGATATTTGCTAGCCCTGTTGAGAACCTGTTGGATGAAAAACAACATATTAGGCATAAGTCCAGATCAGGAAGGACTGTAGAAGATATGAAATGCATGCGAGTTTTCTGATTTTCAGTTTATTCACAAAATCAGGGCCATGGAAATGGTCAAAAAATTCATGAAAACATTTACAAGGCTTGTAACAATAAATTCTTTATTAAGATATTTAACAAATCCTGGTAAATTATTTTTCCACATTGTGCTTTACTTAGTATTTGTATGTACATACTCTCATTTGAATCTCAAGAAAATGTGTGTGTCATTACTTCCATTCACGGCCAGCTTCCTGGGCAAGTTACCTATGCAGTGGCTCAGAGCTACCTATGCAGTGGCTCAGAGCTACCTAAGCAGTGGCTCAGAGCTATCTATGCAGTGGCTCAGAGTCCAAGATCAGAAGGGCCCCAGGCTTGCATTAACGTTCTGATGTTGATATCTTGGACTTTGTAATACTGTTTGAATAAAGGGCCCCATATTTTCATTTTGCACTGAACCTTGCAAATTAGGTAGCTGCTGTCAAATGCAAGCAGAATCAGCTACCTAATTTTCAGAGTTCAATGCAAAATGAAACTATAGGGCCCTTTATTCAAAGGACCAGAAGAGGATCATATTCAAACTCATGGAAACAATTGAATTGTCTAGAGAAGAAAAAAAAAGACAGGTATTTTACTGGGTCTTGAATAACACTGTGGAAATAGATGTAATCTGGGTGACAAAGGGGAGGGGAACAGACTAATTCCAGGTAGACAAGCCTATGCTTTGTCTCTGTAAGGGTACTAACTTTATAGTAGGGAACTAGAGTCCATCCACAGTCAGGTCTAGCTGTACCTGACAAAATCCTGACAAAAATCTCTCATGGAAATTTTAAAAGAAAAAGCACGAATTGGAACTAAGTCGGTCGCACCACGATAAGAGACCTATAGCCAACCACATGCCATATACCTATTGTTAACATCCAACCCTCCTTTGATTCACAGGCTCAGGGGCTGTGTCCTCAGTTTAGGGAAACTCTCTCTGTTGTTTCTGACACTGTTGAAACCAAGATACTCTGTGTATTTGTGAGGACCATGCGCAACACATGATCCTTGAAATCTGGCCTTCCAGAGTATTCCAGGCTGTCCCCCCACTGTCATTCCTCATTGCATTCTTCCATTCATCTGTTTGTTTGGGTCACATATAGTTTGGAATTGAAATGCTCTAGATTAGTGGCTAGTAAACTATGGTTCAAGGGTGAGATCCAGTCCAGGACCTGTTCTTGTATAGTCCTCAAGGTAAGAATAGTGCTGATATCTTTAAAGTGTTGTAAACAAAACAACATTAACCAGTAAAAAAAAGAATATGCAACAGAGAGAATGCTGCTAATATGTGTGGCCTGCAAATCCTAAAATATTTACTATCTTGACTTTTATAAGCAGAATCAGCTTATATCTTCGACCAGGATCTAAGTAAACTCAATCATTTTCAGACATGTCATATTTCTTCAGAGTCTTTTTCTGACCAAGAATAGTTATTAGGGGGACCTTAAAGGTAGCATTCTCTAAATTTTTAAGAGCTAGACTCACCATTAACAGGACATGGTAGGCCTTAAGACCTCTGACAGGTTGGTTGCTTTGGTTTTAGAGGACACAAACCACATTAACCTCACCACAGAGCAAGATTCAATTCAAACTTGCACTCCTCTGTGACCTTGATTCAACCTTGGCAGACTCTGGTCGAGTGTTAGTCTCACTTGGAGCCAACTGTAAACAAAAGACTTGGTAGAACCCTCTGACTTAGTCCTGTCTTCTCCCTTCTTCCTCTTTCTCTCCACAGGCAGTCTATTCATGACGACCAAAAATAAGCACATTTTCTCATCACCCACTTCTCTTTTTTTTTCTTTTTTTTTTTTTTTTTGAGACAGAGCCTTGTTCTGTCAGCCAGGCTGCAGTGCAGCGGCGTGATCTTGGCTCACTGCAATCTCCACCTCCTAGGTTCAAGTGATCCTCCTGCCTCAGCCTCCCATGTAGCTGGGATTACAGGTGCGCACCACCATGCCTGGCTAATTTTTGTATTTTTAGTAGAGATGGGGTTTCACCATGTTGGCGAGGCTGATCTCCAGCTCCTGACCTCAGGTGATCCACCCGCCTCGGCCTCTCAAAGTGCTGGGATTACAGGTGTGAGCTACTGCACCCGACCCACTCACCACTTCTGTAGAGCTTTTGCTATAGGCTGTGAGTCTTCACCACACTGCGAGCCTTTGAGAAACGTAATCAGTGGAATTCCATGGCCCACACCCTAGATTCTGAGTCAGCCTAGATGAATACAGTACAAACTTCCACGCTGGCAGCTGCAGTTCCTTTTTGCACTTACCTGCTTAGTGGCAAGTTTTTTTTCCCAGGTGCAGAAGAAACTCATCAAACTCCATATCCTGGCCACCACCAAACCTTCCGCAGCTGCTTTTGTCACTAACAGATGGGTTCTCAGCTATGGGTTGTTCTGTCTCTGCAGACAAACCATCTTGGTCTGCCCCAACATTTTGGTGTAGAATATTAGAAAAATTGGCCCACAACATTGCAGCTAAAAAAGACTATCTGGAAACATGCCTATTTTTCATCAGAGAATAGACTTTCACTTCAGTGCAAATAGATTTTTTAAATTATTTACTTCAATAAAAACCTGCATTAATTTTTTTTTTCTATCCTAGTACTTTTTAAAGTATAGATAGAAAAGCAAAGGAGAGATGTGGGCAATTTAGATTTGGATAATGTAATTGAAAAGAGTCACAAAGGGAAATATGAACTATTAAGTAAAATGCTCTTAATATATTTTCTTTGTCCTTTTAAAGTTGACTGAACCAAATGTTCCTTCTTTCTCTTTCTTTTTTCCTGACACTTAGGATATTTTGTGCAAGAATAATTTACTGAGAGATAAACTTGTATTAGTTCTTCTTCTTTTTCCTTTCCCTCACTGCAAGCTAGAAGACATGTCTTAATCACAGATGTTTATACAGTAGAAAACAGATGCCACTTACAGCTAAAATCTTTTTCCAGTCTTTTATAAAAAACTTTAAAACAATTATGTTAGTGAGTGCCTTCAAGGGCAAGAAGAGAAAAGAAATTTTCCAAAGGCTAAAAAGACATTAGAGGTTGTGGAAGTAAGAAAATAAGCCAGAGAGAATGGGATCCTTTAGACTTTGGTATCAATATCTCAGGCAGTAGGTAAGAGCTGACTGAAAGGAGATGGTTTTTTGGTGTTTCTAAGGATGTGGAAGTCTAGATACAAAGATTTTATTTTCCCAGTAATTGCCTTTTATCCAAACAGAGCATCAAAGCAGCAAAGGTATGTCCAAAGGTATCATGGAGACTGGTACAAAGGGCATCTCTATCAACGCTGTGGATGGATCATCAATGACCAATGACTTATGGATGGGCTGAATTCCATAAGCCTGAAGAATCTCTAGGAATGTTGCACAACTGTGGACAAAACAACCCCAATAATGGTTTATATCACTTTTTCTGCCAGCTGATAGATAGTATGGAACCCTTGAGTCAGAATGATTTTGATTTTAAAACAATGAATAAATAGACTTTCTTGAACATCTGACTTTGCAGACTATGTTCTGAGCTGGTTATGCCTTTCCATTTATAGATGATCAGAATGAATAATTAAGGCTCTTGGAAGGATAAAGTTAATAACCCTTGTACACAGAAACCTCCTTCATGTTTCCATTGACTTTGGACTTTATTGCCAGTGATGGTTCATCGAGAAAGCTGCACTTTGGAGCCTTGTTTTCCCATGACCCTTTCCTGCCAACCTCACAGCATTAATACTCCAGGCTGCAAAATCTTCTAAATGAAGGATGTTTTAGAGAGAAGAGGGAAACAGTCTCCATCTGAATTGATGTTGTAGGTTGTGTAAAGGGAATGGGTTTCCCTTTTTCATACACCAGAATCAAAGAACTTCAGCCTACCTGGTTATAAAGTCTTTGCACTTTTGGTTAGCTGATGTTTCTAGCCCATCTAAGTTTTCAGTTGGTCTAAATGCTGAATGCAGAAACAAGCCTTGGCTGGAGAAGTCCATCTGAGGTCACCCTGCCTGTCTCCCTGCCTCCAGGCAGATTAGCAACTAGACCTTGCAACTCACTAAAGTACCTTCTATTTTTAAACAGCTCCAAGAAACAGCATTATGTAACTTTACTTTGGTAACCCAGTTTAGTGTTTACCAAGCTGTCCTTATATCTAGAGTTAACAAAATCTAAAAAAAAATAATAATAATTAGAATAATAAAATTAAGTAAACGAAACAAATTGTTCTAACTTAAGCTCTGTTTTATTTGTTGCTTTGTACCCTCACTCAAGTAGACAGCATATATTAAAAATGTCCATTAGTCAACTTTAGACAGCTCATTCATGAATATATTCATTAATTTATTCACATTAACTCTATGTGTTCTAACACAACTTTCTGAAATTTTCTTTGGTATTCATTTTGTTTATTTTTCATTCTGTGTTCTCCTACTTCCATCCCTACCTCCACTGAATGGGAAGTCCCAGAAGACAGGGATATTATCAGCTTAGTTTATGGCTCTGTATCATATTGCCAGTTATCAATAGGGTTATGGCAGGTATGCACCAAATATTTTTAAATGTGAAGAAATTGAATGGCAAGTTGATAAATGATGCCAGCATGATTAAGCATCTACTTCATACAAAGCATTTTTGGATTACAAAGATGGGCTGATGCAGCAGCCCTAGGCAGAGGACATGTGCCAAAAGTTAAAGCATAATTTGGTATGTTCTAATAGAGACATATGTAAGGAGTTCACAAAAGATAAAATTGCAATAAATCTGTTTTGTTTAATTAATACTACTTTTCTCATAACATTGCTTTGAAACTCAGCCTCAACTTTTGTTTTGGCACTCTGTCCCAGTGTCTGTCACTGAACCTGCCAACATAAGCCCCCAATCTATTAAGGAGCGACATGTTTCGACTTTGGTTACACAGTTTCTGGCAAGATTTCTGTGAAGGTTGTTCAGAAAGAAGAGGTTTCATCTGGGGCAGTGTGTACTAAGTCATCATCCCCTTTGAAAAGAGAAATGTGTAGCTTGTCTACCAAACCACCAGGAAACCCACACCCCAGGAATGCCCCATGGGGTACTTACTTCAAAGTGATTCATAACACCTGAAGTATAGTTCATAAATCAGCTAATCCACAACTTAATCAATCAAATGTTTATAAGCTCTATCCAGACCCTATTTAGCTTTAAAAAGCCATCTACTGCAAAATAATTTAGAACTTAAGTTCCACGGTGCACTCCTAATATTTTCTAGAATTGATAATACATGATTTTATAGCAGCTTGTACACTGAATAAGCATATCAGGACACTGACGGGTTAAAAGGAGTTAGCATGTTATGCACACTGGAGCTATCTATGATAGTTGTTGCTTGGTTGGTATGACAGTAGCCTTAGTGAAAACTCACACCAATTTAAGGAAATGTTAAACATTCTCCCCAGGGGTGTGTGAATGACATATTCTGAAACATGGAAACTGTTAAGTTGCTTGTTGAGCATTCTGGTCACAGAGAGGCCCATGCTATAGTCAGCATTGTGTTTCCACTAGAAGGATAAATCAATGATAGAATGTGAGTGCATATGCATCCCCCTAGAAAAGCAGAGGAACAGTGAAGGAAGCTAATCGTTTTTAATCTCTCTCTTACAGGAGGTTTTATGTTTTAAGTCTCATTCCTTTAAATTATTTTCCTAAAGTAAAACCTTAGAGTAGGCTTCTGATTCTTGCATTTTGAGCGGACCATTTCACTCACCACTTGTTTGAACGTGTGCAAATAACAAAATCAGGAGGTATTTGCATTCTGACCCTGGATGCGTTCAAGTGGCCAGGAAAATAAATATCTTGCATAGCACTATGAACAGTACAGAAAATATCCTTCTGTTTCTTTCGCACTTTATCAATGGCTACTATTTAGCTGTTATGCTGTACGGTTATATGGACTTCCTGATAGTTTCTCTTTTTTGATGTATGAATTCATGATTCAGATGCATTTAGGGTCACTGCATACCCCATCTCCTTTATCAAATGGTTTTCATGGACCAAGGCTGAAAAGAGGAGATTTTTTAAAAGCTTTTTTTTTTTTTTTGTCAAAAACATTTTCTTCTATTGACTTTTTTTCTTGCCCTGGCAAAAGAAATTTATTCACATGTTTGGCTTATTTACATTAAGCTTATTAACATGGTGTGCCACATAAAAACTATTTAAGGTTTTTGCTTTATTTCAACATTCTTTAACCCTTTTTCTAAAACATTATCTATATGTAGTCCATTTCTTTATCCTAACTTTCCTCTTTCTTGGCCTCACTCCCCAAACATCTGGACTCTTCAGGCCTTTTGGGAATTTCTCTTAGGAAACCTTCTGCCCTCTAAATTAAGTCATCCTTCAAATTCTTGTCCCTTAATGCCCAAATGCACAACTGACTTCATAAGCATCCTCTGTGGCTCTCACCTGGAAATTGTAAATCAGTGGGTTTGAGTAAGAACTTTGGAAACTTAACTGATATAGGTTCTACATGAGACAGAGAAACACAGCCAAATTGGGAACCACTGCTTTTTTTTTTTTTCTTGTAATCTTACTTGTTATCACAGTTTTCTTACAAATGACTTTCTTATTTTAGATTCCCAAATGCATGTCTTCAAGCCTGGTTGCTCATCTGAGTTGCAACCTTCATTTCCAAGAGTGTGCTGGACCCATTCATATGACTATGCTACAACCCTTCAAAATACTAAATTGTGTGTATGTCATATACCAGATACTGTTCTACCTACTTTACATACATCACCTCATTTAATCACTATAATGACTCCATGAGGTATATGTCATTAGTTAATCAGGAAACACTAACTCAGAGAGGCTGCATGATTCACCCTGCATTATACAATACATGAAGCCAGCTGACATCATGAATTTTTATTTTTCCATTAAGCAACACTATTATTAGACACAAACATAAAATTAATTCTGGGTTTCTCTCTTCTTCAAATTTACCTCTTTTTCTAAATTCCATTTTTCTGTGCATGTTCTTACAAGTTTTACAAGGTATGCTAGAAACATTATTACGGGCTAATAATCATGGTGTTAGCTCATGTAATCCTTCCAATAATATCATGAGCTAAATAATATCACAGATGAGACAATTAGACTCAAAGAGGTTATGTATCATTTCTGATGCAATGAGATAGGCTCTGGCTGGCAGAACTGGGCTTTGCCTGAACTGTCAGCTAGTTTTACTCAATGAGAATGTACACATAATAGAAACTAAGGGTTCTTCTAGCTATCCAATACAATAACAAGCAGGACCACAGAATGTAGTGCCGAGGGTACTGCTATGGTCTAAATGTTTGTGTCTCTTCAAAATGTATACGTTGAAAACCTAGCCTCCAAGATAATGGTATTGGGACGTGGTACCTTTGGGAGGGTATGGGTCGTGAGGATAGAGCCCTCATAAATGGGATTAGCCCTAAAAGAGAGGCCCAAGAGGGGTCTTTCCACTCACCAGGCACTGAATTTGCTGGTGCCTTGTCTTGGACTTCTAGCCTCCAAAACTGTGAGAAATAAATTTCTGCTGTTTATAAGCCACCCATTTATAATATTTTGTTATAAAATCCTGGAAAGGCTAAGACAGAAAATTGGTACTGAGAATGGAGTGCTGTTGCAGCAAATACCTTAAAATGTAAAAGTGGTTTTGGAACTGTGTAATGAGTAGATGCTGAAAGAGTTTTGAGGTGCATGCTAGAAAAACCCTGCATTACCAAGAGCAGACTATTAAGGGCTATTCTGGTGAAAGCTCAGAAGGAGAGGAGGAGAGTTGTACAGAAAACTTCCTTTTAGAGATTACCTACGTAAACATAGACAGAATGTTGGTAGAAACACAGACAGTAAAGACCATTCTGATGAGGCCTCAGGTGGAAATGAAGAACATGTTATTAGGCAATGGAGGAAAGGCCATCCCTGTTATAAAGTGGCAAAAAACTTGGCTGGATTGTGTTTTTGTTTTAGTGTTTTGGGGAAGGTAGAGCTTTTCAGAGGTGAAGATGAATATTTGACTGGGGAAATATCTAAGAAAAGCTTTGAAAGTTTGGCTTGGCTCCTTTGGACTGCTCATAGTAAAATGTAAGAAGAGACAAATGACTTAAAGATGGAATTGGTAATCAGAAGGGAAGTAGAACTTAAAGACTTGGAACATTTTCATTTTATCCATATTGAAAAGAATGAGAGCACATGTTCAAGAGAGAACATAAAGGTTGTGGCCAAACAACCATCTGAGAAGGAGATTATAGGCCATCTAAACAGAAGTAAGTACCTATTGTCCAAGACAATAGAAGATTAACCCATTAAGGAATTCAAAATTCATTAGAGCTGCCCCTCCCATCACAGGTCCAAAGTGCAAGAGTCCCAGTGGGTGAAGGGCCACTGCAGAGAACTACCATTAGGAAAAAGCCCAGCAAGAACATGTGGGTGTGGCCACCCCCAAAACCCCAGACCAGCAAGGACATGTGGGTGTGACCACCACCACCGGAAACCCAGACCCCCACTCCAGGCTCTAATTGTACACCCGATACTATGCTACCCAGTGGGCAATGGAGGAAAGGTCATCCTTGTTATAATGTGGGTAGCACAATATCTGGCCTACAATTAGAGCCTAAAGTGATCTTGGGGCATGACCAATGCACACAGTCTTGGGGAGGTGGGGCCATCACAGAGAACCACTTTAAGGGGAGGGCCCAGGCA
This sequence comes from Homo sapiens, assembly GCF_000001405.40. NCBI lineage: Eukaryota > Metazoa > Chordata > Mammalia > Primates > Hominidae > Homo > Homo sapiens. Next base: position 6,519,996 of record NC_000003.12, on the reverse strand, counting down.
GAGTTGCCACAGGGGTGGGTCATTCAAAGCCATGGGAGCAGGGCCACTGGGACCCCTGGAGGGTCTTGGCAAATCTGTGGGGCCACATTCCCAGTGTGCCCCTCCACGTCATTGTATCCAGAAAGTGGCAGTGCATACCAAGTGGGCCTAGAGAGCGGAGCATCAAGCCAAAGAGAATTATTCTCTAGCCTTGAAGTTTAATGTATTTTATCCCGTTAGGTTTTGGACTTGTTTGGGATCTGCCACTCCTTTCTTCTTTCTCATTTGACTCTTTTGGAATGGAAATGTCTGTCCTATGCCTGTTCCATCATTGTATGTTGAAAGCACATAACTTTTCTCGGTTTTATAGGCTCACAGTTGGAGAGTAATTTGCCTTAGAATGAATAGTAACTTGGGTCTCATCCATATCTGACTTAGACGATATTTAGATGAAACATTGTGCTTTAGACTTTTGAGTTGATGTTGGAATGAATTAAGGCTTTGGGGATTATTGGGCTTAACTGAAATAAAATGGATATATTTTTTCATGTGAGAATAACATAAATTTAGAAGAAGCAGGCCCAAATGCTATGGTCTAAATGATTGTGTCTCCCCAAAATTCATATGTTGAAATTCTAGCCTCCAAGATGATGGTAGTAGGGGGTGAGAGCTTCGGGAGGGTATTAAGTCATGAGGGCAGAGCCATAATGAATAAGATTCATGTCCTTTAAAGAAGACACAGAGTGGCCTTGTCCCTTCTACCAGATGAAGACACAGCATAAAGACAGCTGTATATGAACCAGGAAGCAGACCCTCACCAGACACCAGACAGCAAAGAAAATTTACTTCTGCAGAAGGGTGCTTCTCGCAGGTCTGGATGCCACAAGAGCACACTGAACAAAGGAGGGAAGGGGTTTTTATCCTTAACGCAACTTGTCCCTGCTACTGTGTCCTGCCTCCACTGGCTGGAGTTGGACCACACAACTTAAGCTGAACCTGGTTGGCTAACTTGAAAAGTGCAGGAATGCGGTTACACTGGCAGGAAGGACAATTTTGGCGGGAAGGGCCATTGTGATGGGAGGGGTAATTTACAGAATGGGTAGCAGATGTGAGCTCTGTAGATAACAACTGGAGGGAGAGTTGTTTACTGAAACCGAGACAGGGAGGCATAGAGAGTAAGGAAGTTTGGCCTTGAAAGTAGAGAACAAAGAACAAGGAAACTAAACAAGCTAAACCTTTGAAGAGGAACTTCTTCTTATATCTGACACATAGCTTATTAGAACCCAAGAATGTGTGATGACTGGGGACTAGAAAATGAGCTGGAGAAAATTTTCATGATTAACATTTCCTATTGTAATTATATAAGTAGTGACAAAATCATTGCAATATTTTCCAAATAGAATTGTCAAGAATGATACAAAATAAATATTATTATCATAGCAGCCACTAATAATGACAGTTGGAATATTTTAATGAAGTTCCTGATTCTGTTTGTGTTTGACTAGGGGAAAAAAAATTGACATAGATTAAGAAGTGATGATAGGTTAATTAGAAGGGGAATAAAGTAAGAATATAAATAATTTGCTAATAATGGTAGACTAAGGCTCATCCACATGCTCACTCTGGAAAGAAATCAGGCTATTTAAGAAAGTGTTTTCAAGTACTAATTTTTGAAATGACTTTAAATTCTAAGCCGTTGGTCAAATTGTCCAATACTTGGAATCTGGCATTCCAAGACAAACATTTATTTATTTTTTATTAAAAAAATCCCATGTTTACTTTTGTATGAATCTGGAATTATTCCAAAATGTTTTTTAAAAGTAGAAATTCTCACGTTTGGGACTATTGGTTGACTACCTTCATCCGTAAAAAGACAAGGTGAAACAAGAACCTTTTCTTCATTCTTCCTGTTTTTACACAAATCTTGAAATGGCATATTCCTGGGGAAATGGAATTTTTAAATCTCTGTAAACATAACCATTTAGTTTCATCCTTGTTAATATTCTGGCATCTACTGATATTTTAAGCTGGTCAAGGGTTTTGTTGGTCAAGGGCGGAAGGAACTGACTTTGTTTAAAGAATAGGTAGGAGTAAAAGACAAATGAAACTCTTCAAAAACAAGGAAAAGAATGTGTATCTGCCACATACATGTGCAGAATCTTTGCTACTATATTAAAATAACCTATGAGAAAAGGGGAAAAAAAAAGAAAATAAACACTAATAGTATTCGTTAATAGGTTGTACCTTTCATAAGGATAGAGGCCATGACTTGTTTTTCTTTACATTATCAGCAGGCAGCTCTACTTGGCAAATAAATACTAGATGGCCAAATATTGGTAAAATATTATTTTAAATACTAAGTGTTTTTCTATTTTTTACTCAAAATTTATATAGGATATTTTAATATTGTTATGTAAGTAAGAACAACTAACTGTAACAAAGAATATTTAAAATATGTATTTCCTATGGGTTTAGTGTTACTAACATCAATCACCCAGTGAGGGGGCTTTTATTAGCCACTTTGTCAGATGAAGGAGGAACAGAGAGATTTGGTAATTTAGTAAAACCCCACTTGTAATAACCGGAAAAACATGGGATGCCTCCTTTTAAAATTGCACTCTTTGCAAATTTGATTTCCAAGCAATTTTAATAGGTTTTTTGAAAAGATCCTTTCTCTGTCATCCCTGGCATCCTAGGGTCATATTGCTCAGTCTGAAGATTCCTCTAGCGACATGCAAACGAGAAAGAGATCCAAGCAAACTGTCATTGCTGGAGGCTTGTTACTGAAATTTCCAATTGCACACTTCTCTTTGCCTGTCTCTCAGCACAACTTGCATCCCCCAACAACACTTTCTTCTTTACCTCCCCACCTTTTAATGTGCCTACCAACCCCCATCCTTAAACCCAAAAAAGGCCTGAATTCGTCATCTCCATTCACTAAACAAATACATACCAAAAATGTGCTGAGCTCCCCAAATGAATCTTCTTTGGCTAGGACAGAATCAGGACAGGGGCATCATATTTTTCTCTATAGCCAAGGAGACAGAGTTACTGCATCATCCCAGGCCAGAAGAGAGACAAACAGCCTCTACCCAGCAGTACCAAAACCATTCTGCCTGTTTCAAGATTAGACACAACGGAATATGATAATACAGTTTCTAGTCAATGTGATTCATCCAACCTCATTCTGAAACCAAGTCCTGCTCACTTTCCTAATGTTCAAGAACAAAGCCTGCTGAGGTGCATGAAGTAAATATGATAGCTCCTAAAGGCAGCATCTATCATTTTTTTCTTACAAATGAAGAGTTTGCCTGCTCTGGCGTCAGTTCAGAATAATGTGCAGTTTGACCCTTAGAAATATTCCACAACAGATGCCAGCATACCTCTCTTTGAAATAAATGAATCAGGGTCATGGATGTTCCCCTGACTTTTAGGACAAAAGATCTAAGAGAAAGTTAGAAATTGGAACTTCCTACAACATATATAGATACATGCAGGCCTTATATGCCAGTGAATCTGTAGAAATTACCTCCCACTCCCAGCATCAGAGACCTTGTCACAAATGGTATCACTTAACTTTCTCAAGGCAAAATATATCCCTGTTTCCATCTGTTGTTACTCTTCCCTCTAACTTGTGCTAAGTTTCTTAAGCTACAATTATCCTCCCTAATTGCCTTGAAAGTAACAGGAGAAAGGTCAATTAGCACTATCTGTACAAGATAGCAAAGTGTTGTTTGGTTTCTATTCTCAGCATCCTCTTTTGATTTTCTAAATTTGTTTTGAGACTTAGCAGAGAATTAACTGATCACCTGGGCACAATTAGAAGAATCTAATCAAATAATGAAGTGATCAGCTTTGTCTTATTTCAAAAGAGCCACTTATTACCTGGACAAAATATAACTGAGCCTATTGCTAAATTTACCTAGCCCCCATTTTCTAAGCGTCTCCATTATTGCCATGGCTTGATTGTACTAATCTGAACAATACGAAATATTATCTTCCTATTGAAAACTGGCTCAGCAAGGATTCAAAGCAGGAATTCATAGAGACTCTGCCCACCTGATGCTTGGTACAATTCCTTCTGAAATAGTTAACCTCCTATGTCTGTTAAGGGCATGAATACACAGGAAAGGAGAGTGGGGGTGCTGAAAAAATATAGTGGGAGTTGCCAAGTGCTCCTGGATAACAAGAGGAAGTGATGTAGACAGAATGTTATTACAAAGTAACATCATCAAATCCAACTTGACGCCAGATATTTCATAGAAAGTGTAACAGATGGACCTAGGCCCACAAAGGGGGCCTCAGAAGGATTAAGACTTGAGTGGGCTGCTCATACTGAGGTGTGCCACCTTCTAGAATGCAATGAATGTCTGTTGAACTGAATTAAAATTCCTGCACTGACTTATCTTTGGTTTTTATATATCTTGCTTCAAGCATATGTCTCCCTACCTTTTATTTGCTTGATTTTAATTTAGTTTTGTTTTTGCGAGTAGAGTTATTAAAATGTAGATCAGGGCCGGCGCAGTGGCTCACACCTATAATCCCAGCACTTTGGGAGGCCGAGGCGGGTGGATCACGAGGTCAGGGGATTGAGACCATCCTGGCTAACACGGTGAAACCCTGTCTCTACTAAAAAAAAAAAAAAATACAAAACATTAGCCGGGCATGGTGGCGGGCACCTGGAGTCTCAGCTACTAGGGAGGCTGAGGCAGGAGAATGGCGTGAACCTGGGAGGCGGAGCTTGCAGTGAGCCAAGATCGCGCCACTGCACTCTAGCCTGGACGACAGAGCGAGACTCCGTCTAAAAAAAAAAAAATGTAGATCAGAAGAATGCCACAGCCTCAGTGCATGTATATTTGATAGTGTTTTCATGATTTCCTTATTGACATGGTGAGATCTTACAGCATGGAGAAGAATGCAGATGGGTAGATGAATTAATGACATGTTGAATGAATTTGTTGAAGTGTAGGAGAAGCAAAATTTTACTTCTACCCTCTTAGGATTTTGGGGTGGGCCTGAGAATGAAACTGACATAACACAGATTAACAGGAAAAAAAGCTTGTAAATATAACATAAGCTTTATGTGACACAGGAGCCCTCATAAGGAAATGAAGACTCAAAGAAGTTGTACAATCTGAATTCTTTAGTATTAGGTTGAACAAAGAGAGGTAATTGTGGAAAAGAAAGTAAATTATGTGAAGAGGCTAAAGAAAGATAAGAATTATTTGGGCAAGTTCTGTTTGTACAGAATTCTCTCATCTATGACTCTTTAATGAAGAATATTTCTTTTCTCCTGGTAGAGGGAGGGCATCTTTCACATGCAAGTTTTTATCTCCTGTTTTCAGGGGGAAATAAGAGGGTGGATGAGAATGCCTTTATTGCATCGGCTGTTTTTCAAGTGCGTTTAGCTCAAATTAATTCTCATGTCAAAGGGGCATAGTGTGTAGGGTGGCATCTTCTGCCACCCTTCAAAAGTAATGCTAAATACTCAGGTAGGGATAAAGGAGGCTTCTAGGTAACTTCCAGAGCTCTATCATAAGGCCTGTCTTGTTCAACATCACCTTTATGCAAAGCTCATCAAATGGGAATATAGCATGGATTGGGAGAGATATAAAGAGATTGGGTGCAGTAATTCAAAATACATCGTGTAAGCTGGGATGAATAAAACAAATACAATAACACGACATTTAATTAAGAAAAGATAAAAAGTGCAATACATGAAAATTTTGGAAAAGAGTAATAATAATCATAGTAGCTAGCATCAACTAAGCAATGCAAAGGCAATTGTAAGACAAAGGTATTAATGAGTTCCTGTAACACCACCATGAGGTTGGTATAGGGTTTATATTTCCACATTTTATGTGTCCTGTGCTGGCTGCAATGCTGTAGAAAATGACACGAAGAAAAATATTTTCTTGACAGATGTAGAGTTTATGTGATTGTGTTTCAAATTAAAAACATATTTATCCAGAGCATCTTTATAAAACATTGTAATTGCCTATCAAATCATTACTTAACCAAAAAAAAAAGGCAGTTGTTTATTTTCCACTTATTTTAATAAACTTGTTTAGGGTCAGGTGTGGTGGCTCACGCCTGTAATGCCAGGCCTTTGGGAGCTGAGAAGGGTAGATCACGTGAGCTTAGAAGTTAGAGACTAGCCTGGGCAACATGGCAAAACCCTGTCTCTACAAAAAACAGAAAAATTAACCAGGCTTGCTTGTAGGCCCAGTTACTCAGGAGTCTAAGGTCGGAAGATCACCTAAGCCCAGGGAGGTGAGGGCTGCAGTGAGCCGTGATCGCACCACTTAACTCCAGCCTGGGTGAAAGAGTGAGACCCTGACTCAAAAAATATAAATAAATAGGCCAGGCACAGTGGCTCACATCTGTAATCCTGGCACTTTGGGAGGCCGAGGTGAGTGGATCATGAGGTCAAGAGATTGAGACCATCCTGGCCAACATGGTGAAACCCCATCTCTACTAAAAATACAAAACTTAGCTGGGTGTGGTGCACGCCTGTAGTCAGAGCTGCTTGGGAGGCTGAGGCAGGAGAATCGTTTGAACCTGGGAGGCGGAGGCTGCAGTGAGCCAAGATAGTGCTACTGCACTCCAGCCTGGCAACAGAGCAAGATTCCATCTCAAAAAAATAATAATAATAAATAAAAATAATAATAAAATAAATAAATAAACCTGTTTAGTTCAAAAACATCTGGTGTACCAAAAGATGTGCCTCATAAAATAAGTTTTGTGATGTTCCAAAGTAAAAAGAAGTTGACTTGAGGGCACTTAATAAATATAATTTTATGTAAGATGTGTGCATGTGTGTGTGTGTGTGTGTGTGTTTATGTGTGTGTTTACCTGAAACTCACTGGGCATTAAGAAATGTGAAATAAAATGTGTTATCTAGAAACCAAGTAATACTCACTCTTTTGGGGAGAGAAGCATCATTAGTGAATTTTGTTTGGGGAGATATTAATCTCTCTGCTTCTCAGTCACTGGCATAGAAATCACCAGTTGTTGTGAATTCAGTTTACTTTTTTTTTTATTACAGCCGAAGTGGCAGGGGAGGTTTTCAGATCATCAACAAAACTAGGAAATTTCTTGTTTAAATATCTTTCCCTTTTTTTATTCATAAATGAAATAAATTTCCTAGGGGAAAATACTGGCTCTTCAGTCATAAATCATGTCTTTCTCTTCTAGGAGCAACTCTGTATGAAGATGTAGCCAAATTTCACTCTGCATCCCCTGTGCTTACCAATGGTGGTGGTGACATTTTCTCCTGGAGGAAATTAAATGGGCCTTCACCTAGCCCTTCAAAATGATGAGCTTTGCCTCTCAGCAACTGGTTGTCCTCGGCAGAGCTCCATCCCTAAGATAAGGCAATGCATCACTGTGACATCCACAATGGGTTTTCAAAGAGCTGTCTTCCAAACTGTACAGGGTGGCTTTCCCTTGCTGGCTGGAGCCTCTGAGTGTTTGTGGAGAGAGTCCAGACAGCAGCCTTTTGAGCAGGGGGCTGTTTACACAGGTGCCTTGTTGACTGAGACATGCTCTAAATTAAAGCTTTATTCCTCAGTACAATAGAAGGTGCCAAAGAGTTGGACCTGTGAAGACAGACACATCCAGATGGCATGGGAAGCTTCAGTCCTCCCCATTTTGTTGGGCAAGCAGTGGGTGGACTCTGCATGTCTGAGCCACATCAGCAGATCAGACTAGGACTTGTCATAGAGATCCAGAGGCTTTTTACCAAGGAAGCCACTTCCTTAGCTATAAATTACCATTGTTACAGCATCAAAGAGATGTGTCCTACCGCCCTGTTCCCTTTAAATCTGAGGGGCTTGAAGGAATAGGAGCCCTGTGTTGGAAACTTCCGTGCTATATCCAGCTCAACCACACCCAGCCTAAGCACATTTTTGTGTGGAATAATGAGACCTCGGGGGAACCTCTGTAGTGCTTTTCTGCTTCTAGGTTTTTCCTCACAATAAATTCTGTTTTATATTTATACTCCATGGCGGTAGACTGTGTGCACCTGTACCCACTGCACATTGTACAACAGCTTTTCTTCCAGAGTTGTGGACATGTTAAATTCATTCCACTGGTTGGCTTTGCTGGCCACCTGAAGGTAAGCAATGGACACAAAAATCTCCCCCAAATCCGTGGGATGCTGAGCAAGTAAAATCTACTTCAGTGTTTTCCACTTGAACACTCCTTCTTTTGATACTTCTTGAGTTCCTTCTTTTTTAAATACAGGACCGGCAGAAAAGTGGTCAAATTAGACTTAGGATCGGTAGAAGACAAAGAAGAAGGGAAGTTGGATGAAAAGAAATTAGTTCATCAGTACAAAAACACAATTAGATAGAAAAAATAAGTTCTAGTGTTCAATAGTATATTAGTGAGGTTATAGTTAACAATAGCTTATTTTATATTTCAAAACAGCCAGAAGAATTGTAATGTTCCCAAGACAAAGAAAAGACAAATGTTTGAGGTGATAGATATCCAAATCACCCTAATTTGATCATTACACAACGTATACAGGTATCAAAATGTCACATGTACCCTCAAAATACGTACAACTGTTATATATCAATACAACTTAAAAAATAAAGAAAAAGAAATAGGGAATTACCCTACTTCCTTTTCTTTACTCTCTAGCCTGGACAAAGAATACAACATACACCTAGAAATCTGGTCCTATATTAATAAAATCAAAATCATGACCAACAGCATTACGAATTGGGCACCATCCACTTGGTTTGCGACTATAACAAAAAATATTTATTTGTCTCTGCCCCTGTATTTTTTCTGCTATTCACAGTCCAGCCTCTCACATGTAATCATGCCTCCATTGGTACACATCTGTCTCTGAAGCAGGTTTCAAACTATTGAAGGAAACTGATGACAAGCTAAGCAAGTGTGGAAAGACTACAGATAGTATCAACAGCAGAATGATATCCAAAAATATGGATATTGTGGCTGGGAATTTAGGTCCTCTCTGTAGATATTTCATTTTTATTTATTCTGCAAATATGTAGGGAGTCTTATTATTTAAGATAAGATTTTTTTTCCTTTTCACTTCTAACCCTCTGGTTGCAAAGATAGCTGTTGCTCTGTAAATCAACCTAGGATTATCTGCTTTCTTTGTCAGTTCATGAGTCTGAGACAAAATACTATCGTGTTAACTGAAGATGAACAATTCATCTTAATTTTGTGTACTTAAAGTCAGCTTTCCAAAGAAAATTCACAGGAAAAGATATGTAGAGAAACTATTATAGTTAAATACCTGGAAAAATGTTATATATTTATCCAATTTAGTTTCTTAAACATTTATTTTCTTTCCTAAGTAAGTTTTCTTTTGAAAAGTTTAGTGTTTGCACAATTAGCTGACCATTGGTTTCTGAACGGTTCTCCATGTTTCTCCAAACTGAAAATAAGTGGGCTATAAATATAGAAAGCCTTATTTTTGTTCTTTACATCAAGTTTAGATTATAGAATCTAGCAAAAGTTAACTTTGAAGTTGACCCATGTTAGTTAATAAGTAAGAAGACTGATATGGTCTCCTACTGATGAGATTAATAAGTTTCAAGAAACTTAATGGAAGATACTAAGAAAGAGGGAGAGAACAAAAACTGGGATAAGCTTGTCAGCTAAATCTGAGTTTGGCTAACGGTCGCTGAAATGGAGAATATGTAAATTCTTGAATATTTTCCTGCTTATTCACATCATTTTTTGAATTAATTACAATTTAAGTAATTAAGTATACTTGGATTAGATAAAGCACCTGATGCTTAAACAGATATGCTGGGTCTGGTTTATAGTGTGAAATGCAACATATTAGTATGTAAAAGTATGCATTTGAGGATCTTTCTATTAGCTTTGGAAACAATGGTAAACTGATGCACACAGAAAAGTTGTACTCATTGTCTTTGTTTTTCGCTGGGGTATTAAGTAGTCACTGGTTCTTTTTAAGTGATTTGTGTCTCATCCAGAGGGAATGACATTTGGAAGTGTTAATAGTCTCCATACATTTAAAATGACTACAGATGTTGGCTTGGGACTTTCCACAATATCTGGATTATATACTTGCATGATACACGCAATGATAAGAAGTGACAATGTCTAAATGTTTACAACACTCTGCATTTTATAAAGTATAGACGTATGCATTATATCATTGCAGCCGGACTAATCTTGCAATTTCAGGTATTTCCATTCACCAATCTACAGAAGAATCATAAAACAATAAACAATGGAAACATATACACAGCACAAAAGTTCTGAGAAACTGGAATGACAAATATTTCACTTGCGACTTAATTAAAACTGGCAATACACTTACTAACATTATTATTTTTGGCTGGCCACAGAATGCTAAATGTCACAGAGCTGGGTGTATAGTTAGCAGTTCCTTGCCCTGAGGAACTGTATCCTGCTCTAATTTCTCTCTGGGCATGAACTTTTTACATAATAATGCCTACACAGTCTTTGGTTTGCACTTATTATGTATGTCAATAAGTTTTCCATTATTTCATTCTTTTTCTGCAAAAAATGAGATGTAACAACCTTTTGAATGCTTAGTACCCAGTTCAATGTGGTCAAACTGAAAATGAAATCTTTATCAGGCAAAATAGAGATTTGAGCCAATATCCATGGAATATGAACTATACAGATAAATACTCTGAATAATTCAGACCTCAAATCCCTGACTATATGCATAAACGTTTTATTCCTTGTGAAAGTTTTAAAATAATGATTTCTAACTTTTCACTTTCATAGTAAAAAGCATGGCTCAAGTAATAAGCTTATTTTAACATTTTTTCTCAGCTAATAATTTTCTGCTACTGCAAATTCTCCCTTTATTGTGAAAGCATTTCTTTATTTTTTGTCATCTTTTCTTGGCAAATAAGAGTTGCCACTTGCGTTTCAGTAAAAATGGTGAATGTAAGAAACACGCACCCATAAACAGAAAGATGAGATACAAGTTCATGTTGATAACATAAACATACAGATTTGTAAATTAGAAGCTTATATATTTCTATAGGAAAGAAATGATATTTTGCTATTTTGATAGACTGTGTGTGGGCTGATTATAGGTTACAGAGCATTCAACTTTTGCTTTAAATCGGGTCCTTCTGGTAAAATATAAGGCCTATAATATTAAGGTATACTTAAAGAAACAGAAACATTATTCTTTACTGAAAACATGCATATGTTTAATTAAAGCAGAGGAATATTACTTTCTTCCGAAAAGCACTGTTCTTAATAGATGTAAATACATGTAAACATGTAAACACAATGCTAACTGGTGAATTCCATAACTGATCTTCATGTCAGATACAGTTAACATTCAAAGCAGGAAACAAGCAAACTTATTTCTTTAGTCAGAAAAACTAACACTGAGTACTTAGCGTGTGCTGTTACTATTTTGGAAGGACAAAGACAAAACCCAAAGATAAATTAGACTGTCACTCTGTCTTGAGGATAATCATGGTCATATGCAAAACGACAGAAATTCACTACCAAATGATAGAAGCCAATGTTCAAACCAAAGAAGGTTAACAACTTAGGGTGTCTCCATATAATGGGAATATAGTGGCAACACAGAATCCTATTTTAAAAGATATTAAACATTATATTAAAATGTTTCCATTATACCCATATAATATTACAAAAGTAAGTAGATAGATGAAGAAAAGAAGGAGAAGAGAAAAGGAAATGAACACAAACGGGGAGAAAAGAAAGGAAAGGAAAAGAAGGGGAAAAAGGAGCGGAACTGAGAAGGAAGGAAAGAAGGAAGCAAACAACTGACCAATGGGAAGGAAATAAGCAGTGCGGTCGGTGTTTATAATGGAATTGTTAGATTATATGTATTTTATTTTTTATACTTTTTTCTCTTTCTAAATAATGCAAAACACCATTCCAAAAATAGTTAAATAATTAATTCTAGACAACAATCGCTTACGACCCCTTTACCAAATAAAGTCTGGAGTTTCTGTTGTTTGTATTTTGTCTTTTTCCATCTAAATATCACAGCTTTATACGTATGAAAAAAACTCAAAATTGAACTTAACTTTCTTCAGGCCAGGCGCGGTGGCTCACGCGTGTAATCCCAGCACTTTGAGAGGCCGAGGCGGGCGGATCACGAGGTCAGGAGATTGAGACCATCCTGGCTAACACGGTGAAACCTCCTCTCTACTAAAACAAAAAAAGCAGCCGGGCGTGATGGCGGGCGCCTGTAGTCCCAGCTACTCGGGAGGCTGAGGCGGGAGAATGGCGGGAACCCGGGGGGCGGAGCTTGCACTGAGCCGAGATGGCGCCACTGCACTCCCGCCTGGGCGACCGAGCGAGACTCCGTCTCAAAAAAAAAAATTAATTAATTAATTAAGTTTCTTCACTTTTATTGACCAAGAAAGTTAAGCTTCGTTTTTTTTTCATATTTTAAAAAACTCTATATCTCCTTACCGTCTCTACCTCCTCTTCATGCCCACCAACCAATTTAACATTCTGCTGTGTATATTTCTATACCTTTTATCATTCTAATACAAACCTCTACAATCATTTATGAAATATAAAGGATTCTTTGCTTTGTTTTTATGTTTTTATGCAGCATGCTTCTCTCACTTTTGTGGACATTATTCCAGGTCAAAAGATAATAGATTTAACTCATTAATTTTAATAATCACCCAAAAAAATGAATTTAATGGCTGTTACTACAGGTGGGGAATTCTTATAGCCTGGGAGCTACACCATCAACACAGGAAAGTCACCGTATTGTGATGCTTTCCATGTTCCATTGTATGAATGAACCGCAGTGGTTTCAATAATTTCCCTATTCACAGATATTTAACTTGCTTTCAATGTTTTCCCTTTTGTTTCGCCCCTACACCCAGCACTGTAAACATCCTTTTACATATATATTTATATTATTGTATCTTCCTTATCTCATTTTACAGTGGCCTTATGTTATTTACTTACTCAGAAACACCAGTTAATGATATTTTTAAGAAATATAATGTTCAGAGTATACCAGTGCTATCAAGAATGTGCTATGGGAGTCCACAGGGAGTAACTAAAATAAATGTACAGTTTTTGAGGTTATTAGGTTCCTATCTATAAATGGTGCTTGAGTGGCAATTTATTTTCAATCAAAATAGAGAAAGTATTAAATCCAAAGCAGACAGCATCCATCCAGGTACAACAAAGACAGGACCAATAAACTGACCCTGAGCAGAATGAGAAAGTGGTAGTAGGTACAAAGCTCAAATGGGTAAATACAGTATTTTCAATATATATACTATTTAGAGTTAAAATGGTCTTTATTTATACTGTGGTATGTGAATTGAGGAATAGTGTGGAAATAGTATTTAACCCTATCAAAAAAGTATCTGTGATCTATTATTTTAACAGTTCATTCCGTGATTTTAAACAAGACTATCAAAGAAAATGAGCGAGATTGATGCATTTTCCCTACTAAGTGCCAAGCACTTAATGAGATCTTTTACTTTCATATTTTATATTTAATTATTATCAATTTTATTCTTTTTTTCTTTTTTTTTGAGATGGAGTCTCCTTCTGTCACCCAGGCTGGAGTGCAGTGGCACGATCTCAGCTCACTGCATGCTCTGCCTCCCAGGTTCACGCCATTCTCCCGCCTCAGCCTCCCAAGTAGCAAGGACTACAGGCACCTGCCACCACGCCCTGCTAATTTTTTGTATTTTTAGTAGATATGGGGTTTCACTGTGTTAGCTAGGATGGTCTCAATCTCCTGACCACATGATCCACCCGCCTTGGCCTCCCAAAGTGCTGGGATTACAGGCTTGATCACCGTGCCTGGCCTATCAATTTTATTCTTATGATACTGCTGCCATAATCATCACCAGCTTACTGATAAGGAAACAGGATCACAAAGGTTTAAAAATGGCTTACAAAATGACAGAGTTGAGATTTAAAGTTAGCTCATAATTGCAATGCCCCGTCCTTCAAACTTTATGTACTGAGAAAATTTTTCAAACCCTTGGGCAAGACAGGTAAGAAAAATTCCCTAGTAAAAGCAGTAAGATTGCACATAGCATTGTGGATGGTCACACCTATCCATTCATTCCTTGGGAAGCATGACTGCATGGTTTTATGTTTCTTTTTCCCTAAACTTTATTTTAAGTTCAGGGGTACATGTGCAGGTTTGTTACATAGCTAAACTTGTGTTATGGGGGTTTGTTGTACAGATTATTTCATCACTCACGTATTAAGCCCAGTACCCATTGGTTACTTTTCCTGATCCTCTCTCTCCTCCCACCCTCCACCCTCTATAGGCCCCAGTGTGTGCTGTTCCCCTCTATGTGTCCATGTGTTCTCATCTTTTAGCTCCCACTTACGAGTGAGAATATGAGGTATTTGGATTTATGTTCATGCATTAGTTTGCTAAGGATAATGGCCTCCAGCTCCTTCCATGTCCCTGCAAAGGAGGTGATCTTGCTCTTTTTTATGGCTACATAGTATTCCATAGTATAATGTACCACATGTTCTTTATCTAGTCTATCATTGGCAGGCATTTAGGTTGATTCCATGTCTTTGCTGTTGTGAATAGTGCTGCGGTGAACATACATGTGTGTGTGTCTTTATAAGAGAACAATTTATATTTTGGAGGTATATACCCAGTAATGGGATTACTGGATCGAATGGTATTTCTGTTTTTAAATCTTTAAGGAATCACCATAGTGTCTTACACAATGGTTGAATGAATTTACCCTCCCAACAGTGTATAAGCATTCTCTTTTCTTTGCAACCTGGCCAGCATCTGTTATTATCTGACTTTGTGACAAAAGCCATTCTGACTGGTGTGGGAATGACTGCATCTTATGTATAAATCTCATTGCCTCTTTCATAGTCCACGACACATGGCAGGCATTCAATTGATCTGTCTGGAGCTTAATTAATATTTATCAGTAAAGCCTCAGAATTCCTGGGAATCTGTACCCCATTCTCACCACTGGAATGATCACAGTAAGGATTTTCCCACATAAAGAAGATTCATTTTATTTCTTCATTTAATAAACACATACGTATGTACAACTGTGGAAACCTAGACCAGAACCAGCCGCAACTGCAAATGAAGACTGAGCCAGGTGAGGTAGCTTCTCAAACCACAGGCAGCAGGATTTTAAGACATGTTCCCCCAGGCTATTAAAAAAAATCTAACACCTTGGGGAAAACTTACTGATATTTAGACAAAAATAAATACACTGCAGGAGTTGGGTAGATGGGACTTCAGCTTTTCTCATTTTTCATGGGGAGAGAAACATTCATACTTTTTAAGACTATATAAATCTCTAAAAGTCAGAAATGTCCTTAAAGTATTCAAACTGCTCATCAAATCTCTGTAGAGAAAACCCCTGACATTTTTGATGGATATATTCTGAGACCTCTGCAATCATCACATTCAATAATGCCCCAAAGCACCTCATTTTACTCACGAAATACAATAAATTATGGCAGGAGAGAGCTATTAACAGTGGGAGGTCAACTACATTCAATGACTAGCCATGCATAAAATTCAAACCTAAGCCTCAGCCAGACTGTAAAGGCCTTCCTTGACATGAACTTCCCAGTATAGTATCTTCTGTGTAAGTAAAAATGTGAACGTTAAACCCAAGATGGGAACAAGTCTACTAAGTTCACTTCTTCCCTTCCCCCAAGCAACTGTTATTTCTCCAGTTCCAGGAGCTGTTTATATTGTAATTCTTCAGCATTTAACACAGTTTTTGGTATAGGGGAGACAAACAATACTTGTTTGTTGAACTGACTAGAGATAGCAATGGTTTTAAAAAATAAATTAGACAGAGCTTCTAATTCCATAAATATCTGCATACTTTTGAAATGTCCTAGGAAAAGAAATCATTTTAGAATAGTGTTTCTCAATAGTTTCACCATAAGAGCCTAATAGATAGAGAGAGGAGAACATGCATGCTTAGTAACTTCTTTTAGTTTGATTGGATGTTTTGTTTTATTGGGAGAAAGGAGGTACAGACTTTTTTTAATGAGGAATTAGGTTTAAGAGTCTGCTTAAGCCGGGTACGGTGGTTCATGCCTGTAATCCCAGAACTTTGGGAGGCTGAGGCGGGCAGAACACGAGGTCAGGAGATCGGGACCATCCCAGCTAACACGGTGACACCCCATCTCTACTAAAAATACAAAAAATTAGCCGGGCGTGGTGGGGGGCGCCTGTAGTCCCAGCTACTCGGGAGGCTGAGGCAGGAGAATGGCGTGAGCCCGGGAGGCGGAGCTTTCAGTGAGCCGATATTGCACCACTGCACTCCAGCCTGGGTGACAGAGCGAGACTCTGTCTCAAAAAAAAAAAAAAAAAAAAAACGAGTCTGCTTAAATTTGTTCATGTAAATTCCTATAAAAATTATAATCTACTTTATAATATATCCATGCTTGTTTTAATATAACAAGTCTATTTTAAATTCTTTGCAAGTTAAATTATTTAATAATCCCTCACATAAAAACATTTTTAGTTATGATTGACCCTTTAGATGTATAGAAGATGTAAACTATTTCTACAGTGGGATGGACACTCATGATATGATATTACTAATTATCTGGGGTAGAAGTTGCGTGTCTAAAAAATATTTTTTTCAACTTTACTGAGGCATAATTGACAAATTAAAATTCGACATGTTGAAGATATACAGTGTAACGATTTGACATAAGAATACAATGTGAAATGATTACCACAATCAAATCAATTAATGTATCAATTCCATCACATAGTGACTGTTTGTGTGTGTGTGTGTGTGTGTGTGTATGTCTGTGTATAGGGGGTGTAAGGACACAAACAACATTAAAAGTGCAGCATTCACAGCTGAAATCTAGAGGAGTAATGGATGCCTTCAACCAAGATGTTGGCCATCAGCCCAGCGGCTACATTAGGTAAGCACTGTGTTTGGTTTGGCCATTGTGGTTGGCTGGCACACAGCTTTCATATTTTAAGGGGCAATCGGTTTGAAAGGTCAATGTAACTAAGCCACTGTTGAGGCTGGACATAGTACAAGAGCTTAGCACCTATGGTCTGATGTTAACTTTACACTTTTATGTTGCCTGGTCCCTGGGAGTATTTAAGTTTGAAATTTCTGGTTTAGAATCTCCCACCAATGAACGCATTTCATGCATATACTTTTACAGGCTGAAGTATGTTCACCGAGCTTTTCTAGGTAAGGCATTCCTCCTCATAACAGAGGATAGAACAAAATAAAAGATACGGTAGTTAAACAGCATATATGATAGTGTTGGAATCAGTACAAGTTATAAATGCTGTCCAATAGCTCAGTATGTAAGTGATAGCTAATAACAATGTTAGAGGGATCTTATAAGACTATACAACATAAATAACTTTTATAATGTAAATTTATTTGCATCTTAAATTTAGGTAGCAGGAATTCAGGAAGAAAATAAATAATCCAAAAGCACAATAAATAATCCAAAATGAAAGGAAAATCTCATAATGATAGAATATTTCAGTTAGAGAAGTCAATGATGTGTTTAAAAATGTTTTAAACATTTCAAAAACAAGTATTTCATGGAGAAGAATTTTGAGATATGAATGATTGGATATGTGCTGAGTTAATACTTTTCGTAGGAATTGGTAGAAATTTAGTAAAAACTGAAATAAAAAAAGATACACAGAGAGAATATATTACCTCATGTAAAGAAAAAAATTCAGAGTTTTGCACTTTCAGGCATGGCTTGATCAAGAAACTAAGTGAATGTCATCAAAACCAAGCCTTGTTTCTACTTATCTCTGTTATCTGCTTTTCTCTCTATTGGTCTCATTCTTAAACATAATTTTTCCCCTCATGATGATAAGATGTCTAGTAAAAGCTTCAAGGTTTACATTTCAAAACCCAAGTTCAGGGATGAAGAGAGTAATCTCTCCTCCAAAAGTCTCACAGTTGGTTTTGATAAGTTCTGATTGAATCTTTTACCCATTCCTAGAATAAACATTGAGACCCGAGAATGTGATGTTTTGATGGGCCAAGCCTGAGTCACATATGCACCCAGAAGCTGGTAGCAAAGTCAACTGAGTTTGGTTACTACATTGGCTGAAAGATGAAGAAAATTAGTATCCCAAAGGGAATACTTTACAGTATTAGTAATAGAAGAAAAGAAGGAGGCTGGGCAGAAAAATAAAACAGTATTCACTATTGGTATTATTAAATTTTAAAAATTCTTCAATGTCAAGACAAGAAGTTATGATTTTGTTCCACTTTTAATGGTAATCAGGGAGAGGATAGGTACTATAATAAAATGTGAATTAAAGAGAATAAATCAAATAGCAACTGGAAGATTGAATCACAGTGGGATTCATTGGACATTTTCTTTGGCATTTTTTGTCACTTTCCACAAATAAAAGAAGATGGGAAATTACAGGGAATAAATACTGTATGAAAGGATATCATTGACATATCACTCCTGACAGGGCTAAGCTAAAGGTTATGGAGATAAGTAAGTCTGGAATAAAATATTATTAAACTACTTTGTCTTATTTAGTTTTGATTTAAAAGTACACCAGGAAATACGATTTATCTTTTGTCTGGAAGTAATAAATCAAATAATTTTTAATCGGATGAAAGAGGAAAAAAAATGGGAGACTCAGAGGAGTGAGACAGTTATTTGTCAAAATGTGAACTTAAGCAATAATTCTGCAAATTATCTTTCCCCAGTCAGCTGTTTTCATTACATAGTGTTTGGTTGAAAAACAAAGCAAATTTGTGTTGTTAAAAGTAGGCATTATGATAGCAGAAAGTAATGGTGAGATAGAACAATTGTAGCAAGTAGAAAAGAAACTTAGCTTTGTACTCAAACAACTTCTTAAACGGAAAGGCTTAGAGGGAAATGGAAAAATAACTCCTGCCAACTTTATGTCTAACAGAGATTGACTATTTTTCTTTGAGGTTCTTATCATGTAAGGAGCTCAGAAATACCTTCAATGCATGAGTTAATAAAAAAGGATGAGAAGCCACCCTAAGGAAAAAATAGGTACAACAATACTGCTGAATGCTAAATTTCAGCATACTGTCTAGAGGACTTTAAGAATTTCTTATTACTCATAACTTTTAACTTACATTTTGAAGGCATTAATGACTTTTCCATGTACTGCATCTGCCTTAAACAAGTCTTTGATTCTATCACAGGTTTATGAATTCCCTGATGCCCCCAACTGAGCTCTTTCATCATCTGCCTCAACTGAATATCAGCACAGAAAAGACTTTATATTCAAACATGACCCCCTACTGGGAGAAAATATATTATAGACTTAGAAATCTTGTGTTAATCTTTTATGGAAATATTGAGGGTATTTTTTTTGTTGCATTATCAAGTGCTAAACTTCTAGATGATGAAAAACATATTGACAACAATAACTGTTGAATCCTAATACGCACCAGCTAAAGTGATAACAGGAAAACCAAGAATCCAAAGGAATGTCCCAGAGGCAAAAGGAAGCGGTTGTTACCAAAAGGAAAACACAATGTAAGCGTCCCAAGTAAACAACAAGGTAGGAGTAGGGTGAGGGCAATAACCAACCACATGAAGGTCATTGGGTTTTGACAAAAGCAGTTCAACGGAGTTTGAGACAAAAGCTAGACTTTAACAAGATGAGGGTGAATGGAAATGAAGAACTGGAGACATGTTTGTAGAGAGAACTAGCTCTAGAAGTTACACTTTAAATAAAGGCTAGAGAAATAGGACAGATGCAGAAAAGATAGGTGTGATCAAGGGAAGGATATATTTTGTTTTTGTTGACGTTTTGTCATTTATTATTGCTTTTCTAGATGGAGGAGGTGAAAGCCTTTTGGATTTGGATGGAAATGATCCAGGAGATAGAGGGAAGGTTCAGAAGAGAGGAAAGATAACCAGTGTAGGAAAGTGGTTGCAGAGGTTGTAACAGGTGGAAGAAAAAAGATGAGCACAATGCAGGGAAGGTTAGAAGACTTTGTGGTGGAAAAATACAGGAGAAAATGGAAGATGGTTTGCTTTTCTCATGCATTTAAAGAAAGGTGATAAGCTGCGTGTGAGGAATATAGAAGAGGGAAAACAAAAGAAGTTAAAGATAGCTATACATCTTCAGATGGTAACATCCCTATAAATAAAAATAAGAAACCAAGACGTATTCTTGTAGAAAACATAATGATCTACCTCTTCATATTTTTAGTTGGCAGTGCCTGAGTGACTTCCAGTTAAGCTAGCCAGTCAGCTCTAGAAATGAGATATGACATTGCAAGAGAATTATCAAGACTAGAAATCCAGATTTGTGACTATCCAGGCAAAGATAATAGTTGAAGCCATAGCATTTGATGATGCAGACAAAGAAGAACATAAGGAAAGAGTAGAAAAGGTGAGCAAGAACACAGACTTGGGAAATGTCTATACTTAGGGAAGAGAAGCAAAAATTTGACTCAAAGGAGACAGACCAGAGGACGTTGAAAGCTAAGGGGAAGTTTCCTTTAGAATAGTGACACAACAGCAAACCGCAAACTCTTTTTATTATTATCATATTTTAAGTTTTAGGGTACATGTGCACAATGTGCAGGTTTGTCACAGATGTATAATGTGCCACGTTGGTGTGCTGCACCCATTAACTCGTCATTTAACATTGGGTATATCTCCTAATGCTATCCCTCCCCCATCCCCCCACCCCACAACAGGCCCCGGTGTGTGATGTTCCCCTTCCTGTGTCCATGTGTTCTCATTGTTCAATTTCCCACCTATGAGTGAGAATATGCGGTGTTTGGTTTTTTGTCCTTGCGATAGTTTGCTGAGAATGATGGTTTCCAGCTTTATCCATGTCCCTACAAAGGACATAAACTCATCATTTTTCATGGCTGCATAGTATTCCATGGTGTATATGTGCCACATTTTCTTAATCCAGTCTATCATTGTTGGACATTTCGGTTGGTTCCAAGTCTTTGCTATTGTGAATAGTGCCACAATAAACATATGTGTGCATGTGTCCTTATAGCAGCATGATTTATAATCCTTTGGGTATATACCCAGTAATGGGATGGCTGGGTCAAATGGTATTTCTGGTTCTAGATCCCTGAGGAATCGCCACACTGACTTCCACAATGGTTGAACTAGTTTACAGTCCCACCAACAGTGTAAAAGTGTTCCTATTTCTCCACATCCTCTCCAGCACCTGTTGTTTCCTGACTCTTTAATTATCACCATTCTAACTGGTGTGAGATGGTATCTCATTGTGGTTTTGATTTGCATTTCTCTGATGTCCAGTGATCATGAGCATTTTTTCATGTGTCTTTTGGCTGCATAAATGTCTTCTTTTGAAAAGCATCTGTTCATATCCTTTGCCCACTTTTTGATGGGGTTGTTTGTTTTTTTCTTATAAATTTGTCTGAGTTCATTGTAGATTCTGGATATTAGCCCTTTGTCAGATGAGTAGATTGCAAAAATTTTCTCCCATTCTGTAGGTTGCCTGTTCACTCTGATGATAGTTTCTTTTGCTGTGCAGAAGCTCTTTAATTAGATCCCATTTATCAATTTTGGCTTTTGTTGCCATTGTTTTTGGTGTTTTAGAGATGAAGTCCTTGCCCATGCCTATGTCCTGAATGGTATTGCCTAGGTTTTCGTCTAGGGTTTTTATGGTTTTAGGTCTAACATTTAAGTCTTTAATCCATCTTGAATTGATTTTTGTATAAGGTGTAAGGAAGGGATCCAGTTTCAGCTTTCTACGTATGACTAGCCAGTTTTCCCAGAACCATTTATTAAATAGGGAATCCTTTCCCCATTGCTTGTTTTTCTCAGGTTTGTCAAAGATCAGACAGTTGTAGATACGTGGCATTATTTCTGAGGGCTCTGTTCTGTTCCATTGTTCTATATCTCTGTTTTGGTACCAGTACCATGCTGTTTTGGTTACTGTAGCCTTGTAGTATAGTTTGAAGTCAAGTAGCATGATGCCTCCAGCTTTGTTCTTTTGGTTAGGATTGACTTAGCAATGCGGGCTCTTTTTTGGTTCCATATGAACTTTAAAGTAGTTTTTTCCAATTCTGTGAAGAAAGTCATTGGTAGCTTGATAGGGAAGGCATTGAATCTATAAATTGCCCTGGGCAGTATGGCCATTTTCACGATATTGATTCTTCCTATCCATGAGCATGGAATGTTCTTCCATTTGTTTGTATCCTCTTTTATTTCATTGAGCAGTGGTTTGTAGTTCTCCTTGAAGAGGTCCTTCACATCCCTTGTAAGCTGGATTCCTAAGTATTTTATTCTCTTTGAAGCAATTGTGAATGGGGGTTCCCTCACGATTTGGCTCTCTGTTAGTCTGTTATTGGTGTATAAGAATGCTTGTGATTTTTGTACATTGATTTTGTATCCTGAGACTTTGCTGAAGTTGCTTATCAGCTTAAGGAGATTTTGGGCTGAGATGATGGGGTTTTCTAGATACACAGTCATGTCATCTGCAAACAGGGACAATTTGACTTCCTCTTTTCCTAATTGAATGCCCTTTATTTCCTTCTCCTGCCTGATTGCCCTGGCCAGAACTTCCAACACTATGTTGAATAGTAGTGGTGAGAGAGGGCATCCCTGTCTTGTGCCAGTTTTCAAAGGGAATGCTTCCAGTTTTTGCCCAACCAGTATGATATTGGCTGTGGGTTTGTCATAGATAGCTCTTATTATTTTGAGATACGTACTATCAATACCTAATTTACTGAGAGTTTTTAGCATGAAGGGTTGTAGAACTTTGTCAAAGGCCTTTTCTGCATCATTCTAAAGAAATGTATAACAAGTAAAGTCCAGTGGATTTAGCAAGTGGACTGTGAGTTCAAGAAAGATTTTTCAGTACACAGACAAGGCTAATATGCCCAGACTCCATGGATTAGGCAATAAATGAGAGGAGTAACAACTGTAAACTTCTTTTGAAAAGTTTGGCCCTCAATGGAATGGAACAGTTAGCATAGCAGTTTGAGAAAAGAAACAGAATCAAATAATTTTTAAGAAATTGGAATGAAAAACTCTACTATGTGTATCAGGAGAAGTGTCCAGTGGAAAAAGATAAAATAAAAACAATAGTAACCTTAAAAAAGAACAAGATCATGCCATTTGCAACAGTATGGGTGAACATGGAGAACATCATGCTAAGTGAAATAAGCCAGGCCCAGAAAGGAAAATACTGCATAGTCTCACTTATATATAGAATCTTAAAAAAAAAAAAAAGCCAATTACATAAAAAAGAGAATGAAACAGTGGTTATCAGGGCTGACAGATGTGCGCAGGGTATGGGAGAAATGAGAGATGTAAGTCAAAGGGTACAAAGCTGCAGAAATATAGGATAAATACATCTAAAGATCTAATGTATAACACGAGGATTATAATTATAATATTGTATACTGAAAATTTGCTAAGAGAGTCGCTTTTAGTGGCTCTTACCACATACACACAAGGGTAACTATGCAAGATGACAGATATGTTAATGTACTTGACTATAGTCAAAATTTTACTATTTGTAATTATATCAAAACATCATGTTGTGTACCTGAGTATTGACAATTTTAAAAAAGAGAAGGCCCTAGTAAGAATGAGATCTTTGATGGACTGAAGCCTTCCGTCCATTCCTACAAGACATGGGTTGGCTCCATCTTCACCTGCAATCTCATCTCATGGCCCTGCCCCCTCATTAGATGCCCCATTAATGCCCCTGAACTCATCAAGTCAGTGTCAGATTCAGGATACAGTCTACGTTGTCCTTGGCCTGGATGCTCCTCACACCTAGAGCCTCATTCAAATGTGCTCTTCTTCAAAAGATCTTTTCTGATCACATTCGCTGAAGCAGCCTGCCCAGAAATCATATTCTATCACAGTACCATGTATTTCCTTGATATAACTTATCAAAATAGGAAATATCATGCTTTCTTCTTTGTTATCTCTAAGCTGCACATTGGGGAGGAAGCATCTACTTCATTCAGCAATATAATGTCCCTACTTGACATTTTAATATGCGATAAATCAATATTTATAAGACAAATAAATAAAGGTAGAGAAATGAGAATTACACAACACAGGAGGAAGTTCCCTTTAGAAATAAAGAGCGACATGTTCTATCTGTGAGATGGTTGGTAATGAGTAGAGTTAAGAAAAATTTTGCAGTACAGAGGAACAATTTTGAAGTAACTCAGTTTATTAAGATATGAGGGAAGGTTATCTGCTGAAACAATACCCCCAGTATCACCACGGCACTAACATTTCGGAGGCACTTATGATTTACTAGATAAAATATTCAGGGCTTTACGGCAGTATCCCACTTAATCCTCACAACAGCCTCATGGGGTAAGCCATAGTTGACCACATTTTACAAATAGGCAACTAAGACTTAGGGAGGAAAAGAAATATAGCTATGGTCACATAGTGGGGAAGAGGCCAAGTCAGGACTAAAACCCAGGCTTGCCCTAAATCTCACACTTTTATCTTTGTTGTTGGATTATCAGGTGTAAGGGACACCAGGTTGGACTTTGAAATATAAGACAGTAGAAAACTTGGGCATAGCTGCACACGAGTGTGTATTTGGAGTCCAGTTAAGGTGAATGAGAGCTTTTGAGTGGCTCTTAGGAATTAGTACTGTGTCACGTTAGTGAATCAGGGTTATGTTTCCCTGAATCCCTTTCTCTGCATAGTTCTGGCCACAAACAATTTGTGTGAATTGGGTAGGGGGAGAAGAGCATCATCTTTATTCTTTGTCATCTGAAAGTCAGAGCAGGGCACCAGTTGTCCCAAGTTGTCCCTGACCTATGGGTCCTGTTGGTTTGGGAAGCTGCTGAGCCCTCATGCCCCTGCACATGCTGGATTTCCTCCTCCACATTTCTCCAAATCCTAAGTCACCAAGTACTACCTCTGGGGCATCTACCCAGCATGGGGCTTCTCCAGCCATTCTGTCTCCTTCTCTAGCATCTCCACCTCCTAGGCCAGTGAATATTTAGTTCTATGACACAGGAAACCAGCATCGCTTGCAGGTGGCCTGGATCATCAAAGTTGGAGGTTTGGTGGTGCTTTGAGATGGCCATGGATTCCAGCCTCTCTCATTGGTTGGTTCCAGTTTGTTCATGCTCACTCTTGTTCTTTTTTCATTGTCCCTTCCTCACCAACCGCCTACCCTGCTGACTTCAGCCTCAGCACAAGTACAGAAGCAACCAGCATAGCCGATCTGTTTAGCTAGCCCCACAACTGCATTCATCAAAGCCTCATGAGAAATGTCTAATTTTATATCACTGTGTTTTTTTTCTAAAATTGAGCCCTCAGGGGCAAAAGAGGCCTAGTTCATGTAAGACAGTGTGACTATGAAATGGAGCCCACCGACACTTGTGCTACTATCCAACAGTGATTTTAAAATACAAAGCTGGGCATGGTGGCTCAAGCCTGTAATCCCAGCACTTTGGCAGGCTGAGGCAGGCGGATCACCTTAGTTCAGGAGTTGGAGAATAGCCTGGCCAACACGGTGAAACCCCATCTCTACTAAAAATACAAAATTAGCCAGGTGTGGTGGCACATGCCTGTCATCCCAGCTACTTGGGAGGCTGAGGCAGGAGAATTGATGAATCAGGGAAGCGGAGGTTGCAGTGAGCGGAGATTGTGCCATTGCACTCCAACCTGGGCAAAAAAGAGCAAAACTCCATCTCAAAATAATAATAATATTAATAATAATACAAATAATGAATAAGGACACAGAAAATTTCTGTGAGGGGATTGGAAATACAAATGTAGTTAAGCACAAGTGAGTTAAGGAATTCTGTGTACATCTCTTTGTAGCCCTTTGGATGTGAGCTCCCTTGGGTATATGTGTCACCTCTGAGAAGCCCACCCTGACTCTCTGAGCTGGGTTATATGTTTCTGCTGTGGTCCATGTTAGGACCCTGTGCTCATCTTTATGGAAATCCTCATATGCTAAACTCAGGCTGCATACTTATTTTTCTGTTTCTGTATCTTACACATTATTCTTCTCTAGCACCTAGATCAGTACTTCTAAAGGGAGGGAGTGAAGAAGGGATTTCTGTTTTATTCATTTCACAGTGCTTCCATATTACCTTGTAAAGTACTATGCACCTAGTAGGTACTCATACAGTTTTGTAATAAATTAGACATATCCAGAAATTAAATTAACAACAAGATTTTGTTTCATATATTACAGCTGTTTGCTTTATATGTTATTACTTTTCACATGATACTCTGCTCACAGTACCCTTTTTAAAAGTCTTTGGTTATTTTATAAACTTTCTTCTTAAATGTTTTCTAATTCTCATTGAACACCAAAGTCAATTATGTGTAACTCATTTAATTAACTTGGCAATGAAAATGCAGTGAATAAACAGTCAGCAGAAAAAAATAAATATGCTATAAAAGAAGGATTTACATTTATATTTTGTACAAAGTAAATATAATAAACATTGTATAGATAAAATGGAATGTATGGCACGCAAGACATCTGCAAGTTTCACTAGTGCATCAAGTAAAATTAGAAAATCATCCATTATAGCAAACTAATTGTACTTATGTATATGCTGTGTATATAATCACAGGAGTCCAAAGTGTGAAAATATTATAATTCTAGTTTAATGATATGAATTTATGACCACCTTATATGTGATTTTTCTAGTAGAATTAAACATAAACTAGTAGTCTAGGTGAGACCTCAATGCTATTCAGTTATCTTTCTACATAAATGTATTAAGTACATATCATCCTGAATTTAACTACTTATTGTTAAATATGTAATATTTTATTTTCCATCCACAAATTGAAAATGCATTGTTCGCTCTTTTCCCTGATTTAAATCTAGATATCACAAGTGATAGATTCTTAATATTAGGAGTAATCATATAACAAAAGGTGCAACTTGTGACACTAGATTGAATTGACCTACTGAGGTAACTTGGAAGAAAAAACACCTGAAATTATGCAGATGGAAACACACACACACACACACACACACACACACACACACACACACACACGAGAATATGGAGAATATATACATGAATACCTATATGATTTGCAAGATGGGGCCCAAAAAAAGCATCCAAATAAAACCTGACATCTGTGTAGAGGGGACGGATAGAAACGTCTCAGGTTGATTCCCTAGAGAACTACCTGCAGGTTTTCTGTGGCCTGCCTTATGTAATTGGGGAAATAATTCCTTGCTCTGCCTGTAGAATTTGTTCCTAGCTGGTGACCTAAACATAGTGCTCTCCAAGTGGAGTACATTATTTTTCTGGAAAAGATCTACTGAGTCAGTAATGGAGCTGTGGAGAGTAAAGTGAGCCAAAGTAACTCCAAACCTGCAAAAGAGATTCAGAGAAAAAATAAAGGGAGCTCCAACCAGGAGCAAAAGTCTTTTTTGCCCAAGTTTAAGAAGTCTTTTTTCATAGGAAAAAAGACTTCTTACTTGGGCAATTACAAGAATCTTGAATAGACCTGCCTACTGCAGAGTCAATGTCCATGAAGACAACCCTGCCAATGATTAGACTTTCTACTTACACAGAGAACACAGTAGCCTTTCCTTTTAGTAATGTAGTCTTTTAGCTAAATAGACCTCCATACTTGGAAAGAAAACTTCGACTAGTTATCCACAAAAATAGACATAAATAATAAGCCAAAAATGACCAAATATTTGAAGCATGAAATTGAAAGATGATAATGAATACAGAGGACAGTAAGTATAAGAGGAAATAGGTGCAATGAAAGAGACAGAAGAAAATGTAAGATTCTAACTAGTGTCTTTAGTGGTATCAACATCATGTTGTCCACCTAAAAAACATAGGTTAACATGAAATTAAAGAATTCAGAGAAATAGAAATAGTTCTTGAAAATTAAATATATTGTTTGTAGGACATTTCTGCTTCCAGTTATAATAATGTAGCTTGTAGCATTTTGATTTTCCCGATGAAAACTATCAAGGAAGTGGTATAAAGTATAGAAATGACTCTGAAAGCACTGAAGAGCTGGTAAGGCAGCCAGCACATGGGGGCCAAACCCTGGAGAGAAGGGGCTCTCACTGAGTTGAGCCCAGCTTTCTACACGCTGCTTTTCTCTTTGGGGAATTTATGTTCTGTGGCTGAAAAACAGAACAATGCACATCTTCTAAGAGGCAAGAAATGATTGAAAATGCTGCCAGGAACTCTAGGGCAGAAGACAAAAACTAGAGTTTAGAGACATGAGGGTAACCAAGGACTTATTAAAGAGAGAAGAGGGCACAAAGAAGTTAGTCAAATAGTGAACACATATTTTTATACTGAGGCATTTGCTAATTTTTAAGCCACACAGAGAAAGAAGTTAAGAAATCATGTAGAAAGTGGCCATGGTAGACTTTTTGGCAGTACCATAATATTGTACAAAAAAAATTGTAATTAATTATCCACCAAGGAGGAGAATCCTACTAAATACTCCAGGCTCACATTTGGAACATCTAGAGGATTACACGCTCAGATTAAAAGTAAGACTTACAAACACTGCCATACAGTTTAAAAATTTCCCAATTCTTACTGGACTCAGGCAATCCATTCTCTTGCTGCCTTCTGGAGAATAAAGTGAATTCTCTCTCTTGAGGAAGAAAAAAAGTCATTCATATTCTTGATAATTTTTATACCCAATATCTGGCATTTAAGAAACACCAGGCATACTAACTGAATAAGTAAAAACATACATATGCTTATTTTCACAAATAAATAAATGAATGAATGGATAACATATACACACATATATGCAGAAAGAGATACCAAGAGTGAACACAAATAGAAATACAGATGATACAGATATTGTAGTGATCAGACTTTAATTAAAACTCACTGTCATTATTTCAAGAAAATGGATGAGGAGAATATAGGAATTCACGGAGAATTAAGAATCTGTATTAAAAAATCCGAGTGGAAATTGAGAAATAAACATCATAATATCTGAAATTAATAGATCATAAATTAGTTTAACTGCAGGTAGCTGATAAAAGGAATATAAGAACTAAAAATAACTCATCAGAAAATATTCAGAACTAACTTGGAGAGCAGAAAAGACAGAAGATACATACATACAAGAATGTAAGCCGGAGGAGCCAAGATGGCCGAATAGGAACAGCTCCGCTCTACAGCTCCCAGCGTGAGCGACGCAGAAGACGGGTGATTTCTGCATTTCCATCTGAGGTACCGGGTTCATCTCACTAGGGAGTGCCAGACAGTGGGCGCAGGCCAGTGGGTGCGCGCACCGTGCGCGAGCCGAAGCAGGGCGAGGCATTGCCTCACTCCGGAAGTGCAAGGGGTCAGGGAGTTCCCTTTCCGAGTCAAAGAAAGGGGTGACGGACTCACCTGGAAAATCGGGTCACTCCCACCCGAATACTGCGCTTTTCCGACCGGCTTAAAAATCCTCGCACCAGGAGACTATCTCCCGCACCTGGCTCGGAGGGTCCTACCCCAGGGAGTCTCGCTGATTGCTAGCACAGCAGTCTGAGATCAAACTGCAAGGCGGCAGCGAGGCTGGGGGAGGGGCGCCCGCCATTGCCCAGGCTTGCTGAGGTAAACAAAGCAGCCAGGAAGCTCCAACTGGGTGGAGCCCACCACAGCTCAAGGAGGCCTGCCTGCCTCTGTAGGCTCCACCTCTGGGGGCAGGGCACAGACAAACAAAAAGACAGCAGTAACCTCTGCAGACTTAAATGTCCCTGTCTGACAGCTTTGAAGAGAGCAGTGGTTCTCCCAGCACGCAGCAGGAGATCTGAGAACGGGCAGACTGCCTCCTCAAGTGGGTCCCTGACCCCAGACCCCCCAGCAGCCTAATAGGGAGGCACCCCCCAGCAGGAGCACACTGACACCTCACACGGCAGGGTACTCCAACAGACCTGCAGCTGAGGGTCCTGTCTGTTAGAAAGAAAACTAACAAACAGAAAGGACATCCACACCAAAAACCCATCTGTACATCACCATCATCAAAGACCAAAAGTAGATAAAACCACAAAGATAGGGAAAAAACAGAACAGAAAAACTGGAAACTCTAAAAAGCAGAGTGCCTCTCCTCCTCCAAAGGAACGCAGTTCCTCAACAGCAACAGAACAAAGCTGGATGGAGAATGACTTTGACAAGCTGAGAGAAGAAGGCTTCAGACGACCAAATTACTCTGAGCTACAGGAGGACATTCAAACCAAAGGCAAAGAAGTTGAAAGCTTTCAAAAAAATTTCGAAGAATGACTAACTAGAATAACCAATACAGAGAAGTGCTTAAAGGAGCTGATGGAGCTGAAAACCAAGCCTCGAGAACTACGTGAAGAATGCAGAAGCCTCAGGAGCCAATGCGATCACCTGGAAGAAAGTGTATCAGCAATGGAAGATGAAATGAATGAAATGAAGTGAGAAGGGAAGTTTAGAGAAAAAAGAATAAAAAGAAACGAGCAAAGCCTCCAAGAAATATGGGACTATGTGAAAAGACCAAATCTATGTCTGATTGGTGTACCTGAAAGTGATGGGGAGAATGGTACCAAGTTGGAAAACACTCTGCAGGATATTATCCAGGAGAATGTCCCCAATCTAGCAAGGCAGGCCAACGTTCAGATTCAGGAAATACAGAGAACGCCACAAAGATACTCCTCGAGAAGAGCAACTCCAAGACACATAATTGTCAGATTCACCAAAGTTGAAATGAAGGAAAAAATGTTAAGGGCAGCCAGAGAGAAAGGTCGGGTTACCCTCAAAGGGAAGCCCATCAGACTAACATTGGATCTCTCGGCAGAAACCCTACAAGCCAGAAGAGAGTGGGGGCCAATATTCAACATTCTTAAAGAAAAGAATTTTCAACCCAGAATTTCATATCCAGCCAAACTAAGCTTCATAAGTGAAGGAGAAATAAAATACTTTACAGACAAGCAAATGCTGAGAGATTTTGTCACCACCAGGCCTGCCCTAAAAGAGCTCCTGAAGGAAGCGCTAAACATGGAAAGGAACAACCTATACCAGCCACTGCAAAATCATGCCAAAATGTAAAGACCGTCGAGACTAGGAAGAAACTGCATCAACTAACGAGCAAAATAACCAGCTAACATCATAATGACAGGATCAAATTCACACATAACAATATTAACTTTAAATGTAAATGGATTAAATGCTCCAATTACAAGACACAGACTGGCAAATTGGATAAAGAGTCAAGACCCATCACTGTGCTGTATTCAGGAAACCCATCTCACGTGCAGAGACACACATAGTCTCAAAATAAAAGGATGGAGGAAGATCTACCAAGCAAATGGAAAACAAAAAAAGGCAGGGGTTGCAATCCTAGTCTCTGATAAACAGATTTTAAACCAACAAAGATCAAAAGAGACAAGGCCATTACATAATCGTAAAGGGATCAATTCAACAAGCAGAGCTAACTATCCTAAATATATATGCACCCAATACAGGAACACCCAGATTCATAAAGCAAGTCCTGAGTGACCTACAAAGACACTTAGACTCCCACACATTAATAATGGGAGACTTTAACACCCCACTGTCAACATTAGACAGATCAATGAGACAGAAAGTCAACAAGGAAACCCAGGAATTGAACTCAGCTCTGCACCAAGCGGACCTAATAGACATCTACAGAACTCTCCACCCCAAATCAACAGAATATTCATTTTTTTCAGCACCACACCACACCTATTCCAAAATTGACCACATACTTGGAAGTAAAGCTCTCCTCAGCAAATGTAAAAGAACAGAAATTACAACAAACTATCTCTCAGACCACAGTGCAATCAAACTAGAACTCAGGATTAAGAATCTCACTCAAAACCACTCAACTACATGGAAACTGAACAACCTGCTCCTGAATGACTACTGGGTACATAACGAAATGAAGGCAGAAATAAAGATGTTCTTTGAAACCAACGAGAACAAAGACACAACGTACCAGAATCTCTGGGACGCATTCAAAGCAGTGTGTAGAGGGAAATTTATAACACTAAATGCCCACAAGAGAAAGCAGGAAAGATCCAAAATTGACACCCTAACATCACAATTAAAAGAACTAGAAAAGCAAGAGCAAACACATTCAAAAGCTAGCAGAAGGCAAGAAATAACTAAAATCAGAGCAGAACTGAAGGAAATAGAGACACAAAAAACCCTTCAAAAAATTAATGAATCCAGGAGCTGGTTTTTTGAAAGGATCAACAAAATTGATAGACTGCTAGCAAGACTAATAAAGAAAAAAAGAGAGAAGAATCAAATAGACGCAATAAAAAATGATAAGGGGGATATCACCACCGATCCCACAGAAATACAAACTACCATCAGAGAATACTGCAAACACCTCTACGCAAATAAACTAGAAAATCTAGAAGAAATGGATAAATTCCTCGACACATACACTCTCCCAAGACTAAACCAGGAAGAAATTGAATCTCTGAATAGACCAATAACAGGATCTGAAATTGTGGCAATAATCAATAGCTTACCAACCAAAAAGAGTCCAGGACCAGATGGATTCACAGGCAAATTCTACCAGAGGTACAAGGAGGAACTGGTACCATTCCTTCTGAAACTATTCCAATCAATAGAAAAAGAGGGAATCCTCCCTAACTCATTTGATGAGGCCAGCATCATTCTGATACCAAAGCCTGGCAGAGACACAACCAAAAAAGAGAATTTTAGACCAATATCCTTGATGAACATTGATGCAAAAATCCTCTATTAAATACTGGCAAAACGAATCCAGCAGCACATCAAAAAGCTTATCCACCATGATCAAGTGGGCTTCATCCCTGGGATGCAAGGCTGGTTCAATATAAGCAAATCAATAAATGTAATCCAGCATATAAACAGAGCCAAAGACAAAAACCACATGATTATCTCAATAGATGCAGAAAAAGCCTTTGACAAAATTCAACAACCCTTCATGCTAAAAACTCTCAATAAATTAGGTATTGATGGGACGTATTTCAAAATAATAAGAGCTATCTATGACAAACCCACAGCCAATATCATACTGAATGGGCAAAAACTGGAAGCATTCCCTTTGAAAACTGGCACAAGACAGGGATGCCCTCTCTCACCACTCCTATTCAACATAGTGTTGGAAGTTCTGGCCAGGGCAATTAGGCAGGAGAAGGAAATAAAGGGTATTCAATTAGGAAAAGAGGAAGTCAAATTGTCCCTGTTTGCAGATGACATGACTGTATATCTAGAAAACCCCATTGTGTCAGCCCAAAATCTCCTTAAGCTGATAAGCAACTTCAGCAAAGTCTCAGGATACAAAATCAATGTACAAAAATCACAAGCATTCTTATACACCAACAACGGACAAACAGAAAGCCAAATCATGAGTGAACTCCCATTCACAATTGCTTCAAAGAGAATAAAATGCCTAGGAATCCAACTTACAAGGGATGAGAAGGACCTCTTCAAGGAGAACTACAAACCACTGCTCAGTGAAATAAAAGAGGATACAAACAAATGGAAGAACATTCCATGCACATGGGTAGGAAGAATCAATATCGTGAAAATGGCCATACTGCCCAAGGTAATTTACAGATTCAATGCCATCCCCATCAAGCTACCAATGCCTTTCTTCACAGAATTGGAAAAAACTACTTTAAAGTTCATATGGAACCAAAAAAGAGCCCGCATCACCAAGTCAATCCTAAGCCAAAAAAACAAAGCTGGAGGCATCACACTACCTGACTTCAAACTATACTACAAGGCTACAGTAACCAAAACAGCATGGTACTGGTACCAAAACAGAGATATAGATCAATGGAACAGAACAGAGCCCTCAGAAATAACGCCGCATATCTACAACTGTCTGATCTTTGACAAACCTGAGAAAAACAAGCAATGGGGAAAGGATTCCCTATTTAATAAATGGTGCTGGGAAAACTGGCTAGCCATACGTAGAAAGCTGAAACTGGAACCCTTCCTTACACCTTATACGAAAATCAATTCAAGATGGATTAAAGACTTAAACGTTAGACCTAAAACCATAAAAACCCTAGAAGAAAACCTAGGCATTACCATTCAGGACATAGGCATGGGCAAGGACATGTCTAAAACACCAAAAGCAATGGCAACAAAAGCCAAAATTGACAAATGGGATCTAATTAAACTAAAGAGCTTCTGCACAGCAAAAGAAACTACCATCAGAGTGAACAGGCAAACTACAACATGGGAGAAAATTTTCGCAACCTACTCATCTGACAAAGGGCTAACGTCCAGAATCTACAATGAACTCAAACAAATTTACAAGAAAAAAACAAACAACCCCATCAAAAAGTAGGCAAAGGTCATGAACAGACACTTCTCAAAAGAAGACATTTATGCAGCCAAAAAACACATGAAAAAATGCTCATCATCACTGGCCATCAGAGAAATGCAAATCAAAACCACAATGAGATACCATCTCACACCAGTTAGAATGGCAATCATTAAAAAGTCAGGAAACAACAGGTGCTGGAGAGGATGTGGAGAAATAGGAACACTTTTACACTGTTGGTAGGACTGTAAACTAGTTCAACCATTGTGGAAGTCAGTGTGGCGATTCCTCAGGGATCTAGAACTGGTAATACCATTTGACGCAGCCATCCCATTACTGGGTATATACCCAAAGGACTATAAATCATGCTGCTATAAAGACACATGCACACGTATGTTTATTGCAGCATTATTCACAATAGCAAAGACTTGGAACCAACCGAAATGTCCAACAATGATAGACTGGATTAAGAAAATGTGGCACATATACACCATGGAATACTATGCAGCCATAAAAAATGATGAGTTCATGTCCTTTGTAGGGACATGGATGAAATTGGAAATCATCATTCTCAGTAAACTATTGCAAGAACAAAAAACCAAACACCGCATATTCTCACTCATAGGTGGGAATTGAACAATGAGATCACATGGACACAGGAAGGGGAATATCACACTCTGGGGACTGTTGTGGGGTGGGGGGAGGCGGGAGGGATAACACTGGGAGATATACCTAATGCTAGATGACGAGTTAGTGGGTGCAGCACACCAGCATGGCACATGTATACATATGTAACTAACCTGCACAATGTGCACGTGTACCCTAAAACTTAAAGTATAATTAAAAAAAAAATAGAATGTAAGAGACTTGATGAAGATATGATGAGATATGACGAAGATATTTAACATATCCATAATTTGAGTCTTGGAAATCGCAAAGGAAAAAGAATGGCAAAAGCAATCCTTCATATGATGATGCCTATGATTTTCCAAAATGATGAAAGATATCAATCTGCAGATTCAAGAAGTGCTAGGAACCTAAACAGAATTTGCTTTCTAGGAATAGAAAGTAAGTGACAAATAGGCATGTCTAATGTATTAGTACTCTTTAAAATTAAAGGTAAAGATAAATTCTTAAATAGAGGTAAAGGAAAACACACCTATTATCTTTTAAGAAGGAACATTAGACTGAGTGTTGGCCAGGCGCAGTGGATCACACCTATAATCCCAGCACTTTGGGAGGCCGAGACGGGCAGATCACCAGGTCAGCAGATCAAGACCTTCCTGGCTAACACAGTGAAACCCTGTCTCTACTAAAAATACAAAAAAATTAGCTTGGTGTGGTGGTGGGCGCCTGTAGTCCCAGCTACTCCGGAGGCTGAGGCAGGAGAATGGCATGAACCTGGGAGGCAGAGCTTGCAGTGAGCCGAGATTGCACCACTGCACTCCAGCCTGGGCAACAGAGTGAGACTCCATCTCAAAAAAAAAAAAAAAAGATAAAAAGGACTGAGTGTTGACATCTCAACATAAAAAAATAAAAGCCAGAGGATAATGAAATATTACCTTTAATTGAAAGCAAATACTTGCTATCCCAAACACTCAAATTCAGTGAAATAACATTTCCTGGCAAACGAAAACTAAGAAAACTTTTCCTTATTAATCATATTCCAAAGATAAAAAATGAAGTATTTCAGGGAAAAGAACATTGTTTTCTAGAGAAAACTAGAAATAGAGGAAAGAATAAATAGAAATTGGGAAGATAATTATGTGAGTAAATCTAATTGCAAATTTACTCTACAAAATACTAATAATGTCTACTGGCGTTTAAAGTATATGTAGAAGTAAAATACATGATGACAATAACAGGAACAGCAGACGGATGTTAAATGGAATTGTCTTAAAAATGAGCACTAGTTTATACTAAAATATATTAATTCAAGAATGAATTTTTTAATATCTTGAAAGCCAATGAAAGAAGAGTAAGCAAATGTATAAGTAAAAACATAATAGAAGACAATGAAAAAAATAAAAACACTTCATAAAAAAGAAGGCCAAAAAAAGAAAATAAACATTAAGGGACTGAAACTGAATAATATCTGTATATAATAGACTAAGTACTGCAAACAAAACACAGATTTTCTTACTAGAACAATAAAATCACAAAAACAAACTTTGTGCCTAAGAAAATATACACTTCAAGTATGAGGGCACAAGAGGCTAAAGTAATAGAATGTAAAATGATGTATACTATGCAATGGCAACATGGAAACAGCAAGCTGATTTACTTATATTAATATAAATCCAGTTAACCTTAAGTTCCAAAGCAGTAGTAGAGATGAAAAAGCACATTTCATTCATTGTGTAATAGACAGTGTATTTGTTTTCTATTATTATATAACAAGTTATCACAAATACAGCAGCTTAAAACAATACACATATATTTTCTCTCAGTTTCCATAGAGTAAGAGCCCAGAAATGGCTTAGCTGGGTTCTTTGCTCTGAGGTCCCACCACGTTGCAATTAATGTCTTGGTTGGACTACATTCTCATTTCATCAATAAGATTGATGAAGAAAAGTGATAGTTTTTGACTGTCTGGAAATGTTATTTTACTGAATATGGGTTTCTGGGTTGACAGATACTGTATTCCATTGAAAGTGCCATTTCGTTGTCCTCTGGCTAGGTAAGAATCTACTCATCTAGATTGTTGACAGAGTTTATTTCCTTGTGGCTGTATGACAGAAGGCTCGGCTTCCTACATGCTATTAGGTGGAGGTTGCCCTCAGGTCTTGCCTCCTTCATGGGCAGTTGACAGCATGGCTGTTTGCTTCTTTAAGGCCATCAAGAGAACTTTCCCTGTGTGGCTAAAACAGATTCTTATAAAACAATGTAATCATGGGGTGTGTGATGGTTAATACTGCCTGTCAACTTGATTGGATTGAAGGTTGCAATATTGATCCTGGGTGTGTCTGTGAGGGTGCTACCAAAGGAGATTAACATTTGAGTCAACAGACTGGGAAAGGCAGACCCACCCTTAATCTAGGTGGGCACAATCTAATTAGCTGCCAGTGTGGCTAGAATATAAGCAGGAAGAAAAATGTGAAAAAGAGAGACTGGCCTAACCTCCCAGCCTACATCTTTCTCCCGTGTTGGATGTTTCCTGCCCTCAAACAGCAGACTCCAAGTTCTTCACTTTTGAGACTGGGACTGGCTCTCCTTGCTCCTCAAGCTTGCTGTCTCCTATTGTGGGACCTTGTGATTGTGTAAGTTAATACTTAATAAACTCTCCTTTATATTTGTGTGTGTGTGTGTGTGTGTGTGTGTGTGTGTGTGTATTAGCTCTGTCCCTCTAGGGAATCCTGACTAATACAGGGTGACCATCTTTGCTGTACTTTTGGGCTAGAAGCAAGTCATGAGTTCCTCTTTGTCTTAGTTTGTTTTCTGATGCTCCAACAGAATACCCAAAACTGGGTCACTGATTAAAAAAAAGAAATGTGTTCCTTACAGTTCTGGAGGCTGGGAAGTCCACAGTCAAGTGACCAAATCTGGTGAGGGGCTTCTTGCTGGACCCTCTACAGAGTGTCAAGGAGGCACAGGGCATCACATGCTAAGGGGGCTGAGTGTAGTAGCTCAGGTCTTTCTCCTCCTATAAAACCACTAATACCCCACCCTCATGAACTCGCCGAATCCTTAGGATTACCTCCCAAAGTTCCCACCTCTTAATACTGTTACAATGGGGATTAAGTTTCGACATGAGTTTCTGAGGGGACAAACATTCGAACAGTACACCTTACAGAAGGTGGATTATACAGGGCATCATGCTAGGGGATGGATAAGGATATTTTTTCAAATGGATATGAATTGTTAAATTTAGACTTGCCAGCTTGTAAAATAATCCTCAAAGAATATAAAAGCATTGAAAATAAATATTGTCTCTGAATATTAAGTTAAATAATAATAACATGCAACATTATTATAATGTGGAGAAGGTGGTAAAAAGCATAAGAGGATAATGAGGACAAAGAGGCAGAGGGGAAAAGAAGGTCCCTAAATTCTTGAAAAAAGCACATGTCTAAAGAACAAATGGATCACAGAAAAATAAAAAAGTGTAAATTAGAAAATATTCTGCACTGAATTATCTTGAAAATGCAACATATCCAAGTTGTGAAATACAGGGACAATCCTTCTTTGAGGGATATTTACCACCCTAAATGCATACATTATGGAGAAAAGGCTGAGTATTAATCAGCTTAGTTTCCATCTTGAGAAAGTATAAAAAGAATAGTAAACAAACACATAAAAGGTATAACAAAGGAAATAATAATGGTAAGGGTGGAAATTCATAAAATAGAAAACCATAATACAATAAAAAATAGACAAAATTTTTTCTTGAAAAATAATGAAGTTCATAAACTACTAGTCAAAATTACCAAAAAAAAAAAAAAAACAGAGAAAAAGACGTGTGCAAAAATGTAATGGTGTCATTTTCATTGAAATGGTTTCTAATTTTCTTTCCAAGTGCTGTTGGGTATTTTTCTTTTTAAGGAAAACGTGATCACTTTTATGTTTCACACTTGAATTTATAAAGTGCTGGTAAATTATTTTTAATGATTTGAGTGCATGTTTTAAACCTCTAAGACCAGAGCATAGTCATAGCATTTCTTTTAAATTATGCACTAACAAAATGCTATATAACTTGTCTTCTGTCCAAGATCTCCTGGACATTGTAAGGGATTTAACCAAAATCTTGCTCTTCCTTCCATAATCTTACTCTGTGAAATAGAGGAATCTGTGTGCCTTAGATTTAGAAGTGTGTTCTTTAATAGAGTGTACAGGGCTAAAAGAGTATTTAAGTTAATATGCAGCTTTCCCCATCTGTATTGAAATTGTAGAGTTGAGTTTTGTTAAGAGTGCAATTGCAAATCTTATCTGTATAGGAAAATAACTAAATGTCATTTTCCATCTCTTTGTCTTAGTTTACTGCTTCCATGTGCAATCTAAGCATTCTTTGCTGGGACAACTAAATGTATCTTTATTAGGGACCTCCAGTCCAAATATAAGAAACTGTCATGTTTCATGGGAAAATAATTTTAAAATCCATTTAAAGTGAAACTTTATCACACAAATAGTACACTTATTTTCTAACCAAATACTTGATAGGTTATGCTACTCCAGTGTAGGTGGCCATTCCTAATTTGTTTGTGCCTGAAGGTGGACTTGATTCAAATGGTTTACGTATTTAGTAGGTAAGAAATATGTTACAGTACCCCACCTTTAAATTATTTATTAGCCCTAATTGTGCTTGGTTTCAGACAAAATTAACCCGTTTCTCCTGTGTATCTCTGAAGTGGCAGATAAGGGGAAGCATCAGACTGATACCAATGTTAGAGAATGTTCTTACGTGTTCCTACTTTGCAGTTATCTATTCCATTTGACATAGTAGGAGGTACATTCTCTTTCTACTCTGATGCATGGAGAAGGATGTTTTTGGACATTATCAACTGAGATAGGTGGGAAACCTACCTCTCATTTGTGGCTTAGGGAACAATCATCATTTCAGAACTATGATGCTTTTCTTCTCAAAGCTTGTGTTAAGTATATAGTAAGCAGATTCATTCATGATAATTGTCCTTGACTATTGACCTGAAAAGACTAATGGGATGCCTTTTACTTCCCTAATTTTAAGAACTGGTGATTGATGTCAAATCCATTAATTTATTTAAACCCTTCTTAACCTTTGTTTTATAATCTGTTCTCAGGTTTATAACTCCATGTTTACCATCATTTGCAAAAAGTTACCAAAAATCCGTAAATAAATATGGAATACATTCATAAGTACATACTTTCTTTTGGTAAAATGATATTTTAACAGTCTAGGACATTAATAGAACTGTTCTCATTCTTTGTACTGCATTAATTGGTCATTAACTGGTCATCCAATTACTATTTTTGCTTTCAGTCCAAAATAGTTAGACCCTTGTATATAGAAGTGGTATTTTGGTTTTTAATCGGATTTGGTTTCATCAGAAGAAGCAAGAATGGGCCTGATGTCTTTAAAAGCATAGCTGACAATGGTAACTTCTCAAGTTGTGAAATAAAAATAAGACATAATGGAAAAAAAAAAGAATATAGAGTCCTATGACAGGAATAAGTTTGTGGCAACTAAAAGACACCCCAAGAATGACTTGGGGTTCTAATGATATTCTCTTTCCTGATCTGGGTGGTGGTTGTATAAGTGTGTGATTTTAACTTGATAAAAATATTTTGAGCTAGACACTAAATTTTTTTTATGTTTTTTATATATATGCTGTGCTTCAATAAAATTACGTAAAACTGTAATAAAATAATAAACACAATGAATAAAGTAATAAAAATCATTACAATTGAAAAAAGTGACATATCAATGATTATATTGTTTTTAAATGTCCCAGTTGATTACTCTAAACTAACATAAACCTTTAAATTTAAAAAGTTAAATAAAATGAAAATGCCTAGAAAAGTATCAAATATCCCCCCCTCCCACAATAAGAAATTGAAATCCTTTCAAAAAATTTAACTGACAATAAAATCACAAAAGTCATCACGTCTGTAATCTCAGATCTTTGGGAGGCTGAGGGAGGCAGATCACAAGGTCAAGAGATCAAGACCATCCTGGCCAACATGGTGAAACCCCGTCTCTACTAAAAACACAAAAATTAGCTGGGTGTGGTGGTGCATGCCTGTAAACCCAGCTACTCGTGAGGCTGAGGCAGGAGAATCACTCGAACCCGGGAGGCAGAGGCCGCAGTGAGCCAAGATTGTGCCACTACACTCCAGCCTGGCAACAGAGTGAGACTCCGTCTCAAAAAAAAAAAAGTCATCAGGTCCAGGTTTATAGCGAAATTTTATGAAATCTCCAAAATTTGGTACATGCTTCAAAAAATAAGAAGGAAAAGCCAACCCCTCTTTGATTTATTTTGTTCATCCTGGAACACTTTGAAAGCAAAATTAAACAAAGAAAATAAACATATATAGACCAAACTCACTTGTAAAGATTCAAGTAACTTTTTTTTTTTTTTGACACATGGTCTCACTGTGTTGCCCAGGTTGGAGTGCAGTGGCGAGATTCAACCTCCTGGGCTCAAGTGATCCTCCCACCTCAGCCTCCTGAGTAGCTGGGACTACAAGCAGGCCTGGCTAATTTTTCTATTTTTTGTAGCGACAGGGTTTTGCCATATTTCCCAGGGTGGTCTTGAACTCCTGGGATCAAGTGATCCTCCTGCCTTGGCATCCCAAAATGCTGGGATTAAAGGTGTGAGCCACTGTGCCCGGCCCTCAAGTAAATCTTAAAAATTTATTTGTGCTAAAGGAAGTCTAAAACTCTCATACTGAAAAAAGTCAACTGGATTTAAGACAAGATAAGTTAGTAAAAATGCCTACACTAAAAATTTATCTAGAACCAATTCTAAGAATACTGAGAAATATTTTATCAATATTGAATATTGAATAATTTATTAATTCTAAGAATACTGAGAAAATTGTAGAATTTATGGGAAGATAAAATGCAAGTTAACCTACAAAAGTAAATATATATATCCTTCAGGATTGAATGCCTATAAGAACATTAAGAAATATTGTTATTAATCTAGAATTCAGTTCTTAGGTATACTGGCGATCAAGTGTGAGTCTAAAATAAATGTATTTTTAGAAATTCGATCATTCAGGAAGTTTATCTTTTTAAAAATAATATTTGAGGCTGGGTGCGGTGGCTCACACCTGTAATCCCAGCGATTTGGGAGGCCAAGGTGGGCGGATCATGAGGTCAGGAGATCGAGACCATCCTGGCTAACACGGTGAAACCCCATCTCTACTAAAAATACAAAAAATTAGCTGGGCGTGGTGGCGGGCGCCTGTAGTCCCAGTTATTCGGGAGGCTGAGGCAGGAGAATGGCATGAACCCGGGAGGCGGAGCTTGCAGTGAGCCGAGATGGAGCCACTGCACTCCAGCCTGGGCGACAGAGCGAGACTCCGTCTCAAAAAAAAAATAATAAAAATAATAATAATAATATTTGAGCCTCTAGTGAGAGGAATCCTGGAAAGAGTAGGTAAATAAATATTCATGCAATACCAAATATATATGTGTATATTCCAGGTTGTCAGCTTTACAGCAGATGTAGGGGAAAAAAAAACAGTTTAAATTAGAAGGGGAAATCAGTCTGAAAGATTTCATCAGACAAATGAAAACATTAATATTCTAGCAGATCATATGTATCACTATGTAGGTGTTTCTTCAACAAGATTAAATAAAATTGGAAGCCATTGCTAAAAACAAAACGCATCCACAAACAAAAAAACAAAAAACAAAATGAAACAGAAAACACCAAGATAGTCATGGTCCTAAGATGAA
The DNA here is from genome assembly GCF_000001405.40 of Homo sapiens. Lineage (NCBI taxonomy): Eukaryota > Metazoa > Chordata > Mammalia > Primates > Hominidae > Homo > Homo sapiens. Next base: position 6,477,380 of record NC_000003.12, on the reverse strand, counting down.
ACAAACCAAACTGTTACATGACAGATTAAGAAGACTCATTTCATACTTATTTTGTGTCCTAGGATCACTTTTCAATTTCCGCAGGTACTATTGTACTTCTTGTTAGGAATAACATTCAAAAAACAATAATACTCTTAGCATTGCTAATGTACTTGAGTTTTTAGAATCAGCTTAGAGCAAAGTGTCAAATGATTATTTATAATTACAGAAGAGAGATAAGGAAAAATTTATCATTTCCTTGTTTCAGATGTCGGGAAGTTGACAGAAAGTGTTTAAATTTGAATCTTCAAGAAATAATTCTAACTGTTGAAGTATAGTACTTATGCTTATAAATAGAATAAACTACTACTAACAATAGCAATAATAATAAAATAATAAATAATAACAGTGTGGATGAGAGAAGGGAGATGGGAAATAAGCTAAGTTTATTAAATCTCTTATCTTTTCCAGCAGGGCAATAGCATATATTGAAAACTGTGAATACATCAAATGACCAGAAGTTTCTGTACATTCTTTATTGTCACGGTAACCAGCATTGGAAATAAATAATCCTTTCTGGGGAATAGGAATGAAATGAGCTTGGAGGGAATATGTTACTTCTACTTTTATAATCTTCAATATTGCTTACATCTCCTATTTTACACATCTCCAAATGAAGTTAATAAAAACAAATAAATAATTATAATCTGAATTTATCTACTTACTATTTTCCGCCTGATGTTTAAATCCTCTCTAAGATATTTGAAGCACTAGAATACCTCTATCTAAAGGAGTGACAGGTAACTATATGCCTTCTGAGACAGACACAGAACTATATTTTTCTGTATGTCTGATAAAGGGTCTTCTTTTCTTTCTTTTCTTTTTTGCACAGCCATATCTTATTCTTCACGTCTTCCACGTACAGTATGTTGTTGTTAGCATCTTTCACGTTTTCTGTTAGGCTCTGCCTCCCTGATTCTTTCCTTTCAGAATATTCATATTTTACTTCCAAGTGTGGGCATCTCTTGTTATATTTTTTCCCTTTTTAGCTGAGGAAATTAAATACAAAATGGCTGAGAGAGCAAAGCTTCAGTTTATTGGTTAACAGCTGTGACTGTCAAGTTAGACTGGTCTTGTTAAAATGCCACCTCTGTTTACCTTGCTGAGCCCATTTCTTTACCAGCCTAATTGGTCCTAGTTGATCCTAAATTGGTCCTAATTTTGCATGACAGGTATCTCATAACTCTTGCTATGATGCTGTAAGGTAAATAGTTAATAGGTAAAGTATGTGTCTGAAATTGCAGAGGGAATAATTCTTTTCTTTTGGATATTATATCCAATAAGATATAGAATATCATATATATTGGATATAAGATATAAATCCTATACATATATATAATCCAACATGTATACCCAATATACTGGATAATATATTCAATAGGCATTTTTCATTATTTTTCCTAATCTAGAGGACATGGGTTCAACATCTGAAAACAATAACCGTGACATAGTGACTAACCATACAAGATGCTCAGTGAATATGTCCCAAAAGAGAAAAACTCAATATTTATTTGATCTACTTTCCACTTTCTTTTCCTGTGCTTCCTCTTTTCACCCCAGGCTTAGGGAAATGGAGGAAAGAACTGCTTTTTGTGATTAGGCTGCTTTTCTTTCGAACAGGTTCAGTGGATCCAGGAAACTCTCTTTGCATTGGAAGGGACCTCAGAGGGTTCTCTAGGAAATTTCTAGTTGATGGATGAGAAAGCTGAGGCTTTCCTCATCACATGCCATCCACAGGACACCACTCAAAGCTGCCATATCTATTCCCCATTTTCCATATTTATTCAGCTTCTAATATAGCCACTGTCTAAAATATTAATTCAAATTATTAAAAAATAAAACAAAATGAGGACTTTTGTAGCAAAAATTATCACAATTTGAATACGAATTTGTGGTTTTAATTTTTTACTCACCCTTTTGAAAAACTGATGAAAGATCAAGACTCCCTTCCTACAGAAGAAACTCAAACACATATACATACAATTTTGCTTACAGTTTCAGGGAGTTCATGAAATCCTTTGAGCTCATCTCTAGACCTCAGGTTAAAAACCCACGACCTACAAATCTTCTAAAAGCAAGTGTTGGTGTGTATTCACGTTTAGCATCTATCAGATAAAAACATCTAATGCAGATGTTTTTATCTGTATTAAAATGAAGATAAATACTTCATTTATCCTGAATGGCACAAAGGGTTTTATAATATCTAGTTAATGGACAGAAACCTCAAGCTGGCTTGATCTAAGGGGAGAAGCACATTAGAAATGCATCAGTTGATGTGAATGGCCTTGTGGATCTCAACAGAAAAAAACAGAATGGTGAATGCAAACCGTTTCGGTTTAATACCATCATGTACGTTTTGGTCCCATGTATATCTCGGCCTTTGGGTCTCATTTATCTCAGCAGACTTAAAATATCCTTCTGCTCTCACATGATAGCTTGTCAATAATTATTAAATAACTTGCAGACAGTTTTAGAAAAATGCCAGTGAGATTCAGAAATGATACGGAACTTTGCTCCCTACCTTAGAAATTTTGGAAAATTAAAGTAAAGCCAACTTGTTAGTGCTTTTTTTTTTCCTTTATCATTATTTTAGTTTGATTGGCTTTAGAAGAGTCAGGGAAAACATAAATGTGTTCACAATATTTGGACAACATGTAACTTGTAGGCAGATTGCTAGCTAGAACTGTTGATTTGGGTTACTGTGAGCCTGACTGATGGGAAGGAGGAGATGGGTTGAATATTCCTTGATGGATGGTAACTGAAAGATAAAGTGTGTGTTTTAAGTATGGTAAATTATTTTCAAAACTTTCCTTGGCTTCCTATAAAGATAGAATAGCTGAAAGTAGACAGATGAATTAAATGACTCTCTAACATTTTCATATTAGAGACCAAACCTGCTAACTGACTTATCATAGAGACAGGTCAAAAGAAAGCCATGTGTAATTCAATTTCACATTGTTGCAATGTGTGAATTTATATGCATATCAAAACATGGACCTCATATGAAAATCTAGCAAGGTATGGTTTACCAACCATCCAAACAATAATGCCTTTAGTAACTGTTCTTCAAGCATTTATTCATCTCATCTCAGTGAATGATGGTCAAGTAAATAACAAAATACATTGTATTGATTAATTTCCAAAGTGCTTTTATTCCCATGATCCCATCTGATCTTCACATCAATCCTATAGAATTAGTAGTAAAAGTTATATTATTCTTTCCAGAAATAGACTAGAAGTACTACCCTAGTTTATGTTGAAACATCCTAAAGATTCATTTCTTTGTGGCTTTAGGTTGTATTAAATAGAATTATAAATCATTTCATAACACATTTATGTTTAGGGACAAAAGATGATTTTTAATATTTAAAATAGAACTAAAGATGTTTTAGTGAACATATTTATTTCAGGGAGAATGAAAAACAATTTTTGCTAGTTTTATTTCAAGGAAATGAAAACCTAAACCCTACTTAGTAAGTAGATTGCTCTACAGAATGAAATAGTACTAAGCATTAGAACAGGCATGCCAAATACTAGGCAGGCATGCTGACACTATATGCCCCTCATTCAAGGCAGACATTCCTAACCAATCAAAGCACTCTTTTTTGCAGAGCTCAGATTTAGCCCTGGTCCTTTGCAATACAGGCAACCACCATGAGTGGATGAGTCTTCAAGAGAGATTAAACTAACTGGTCATTCCTTAACTAACAGAAAGTTTGTACGTTCAGTTCTTATTTTGTATAAGCCACCTCCACCCTGGAGAGAAGAAAGTTTTCTTTTAGAAATTGACATAAATAATGGTTTTGTAAATGCTGACATTATAATGGACAATGAAATTGACTAATTGACTAAAACAAAATAAACTACATGGATTTTTTTCTTTGAGCGTGTGTTTTGTAATTGAAGTGCAGCAAGACAATGGAGCATAAACGTGGACAAAGAAGATAAGTTTGTGTTTGTCTGCATGTCTCGCCACCCTATTTGCATAAAGCATTTGTAATTACTATGAGGTTTCCATAACATACTAAGCAACTAACATTGGCTTAACAGGATATCTTTTCTTTGCTAGATTCATCTGGAGGGCTATCACAAATTATGAAGGTGCTCAATTTTTGCCATAACAGAGATAAGGATAGAACAGCTGAGGGTAGACATATGAATTAAATCACTCTCCGATATTTTCATATTAGGGACCAAACCTACCAAATGCAAACTGAATGCTGACACCTATTGTCACAAAACAAATAAAACAAAACAAAAAAGAACAGAAAAAAAAAAAAAAAAGGAAGAAACGTAGCATCAGATCACATACTGAGATCTGTGAGCAGCCGATCACATACTTTTTCTTTTTCTCCAACAGCTTTAGTCATAATGTTAGGGATAAGCTAGACAAAGGCTGTATTTTTATTGTACCTTTAAAAAATGTCAAAGAAAGGTTTCTTGCTAACAAGTGCTTTTAAGCACATGTGAGAATGTTTCATAAAGATGGCTAATCTGATAAGCTAATTGGTTTTATTTAATGAGATGTATTAGGGAATTGGAATTCCTGGGATCGAGTTTTTTTTCTGTCTTTTCACGGAACTTTACCCATATTTCGAAAAACTATCGTACTTCTTGAGTTTTTATATCTTCTGTGCAAGACAGTAAGCACCAGGAAGGAAAAGACAATATGAAGTTTCAACAGTTTGATTAATTTTGACATATAGTTAAATCTCTAAGCATGTTAGTTATATGAAAAATAAAATCTTTAGGCTGGGCGTGATGGCTCACGTCTGTAATCCTAGCACTTTTGGGAGGCCGAGGCGTGTGGATCACCTGAGGTCAGGAGTTAGAGATCAGCCTGGCCAAAATGGTGAAACCCAGTCTCTACTAAAAATACAAAAATCAGCGGGGAGTTGTGGTGCGCACCTGTAATCTCAGCTACTCGGGAGGCTGAGACAGGAGAATCACTTGAACCCGGGAGGCAGCGGTTGCAGGGAGCTGAGATAGAGCCATTGCACTCCAGCCTGTGTGACAGGAGTGAAACTCCATCTCAAAAAAACAAAAAAATCTTTAATGACAACTTTCTAGCAGGCAGATACATTTGTTGTTTTTGTTTTCTCCTCCATCAGGGAATGCTGCATCACTTAAGCAGAGTGTTGAGCCTAGAGAAAGAACTTTAGATATTTTTGATGATTGATTAATGTAATAATTTAAAAAGTAATGATGAAATAATCTTTATTTATTGGAAGTTGAAATGTGCAATGTAAATTCATACTCTGGGCTAATGGGAAGGGATTTTTTACTTTCTCTTCCACTGAACTGTAGAGCTGTATTTTCTTGGGATATTATTAAAATAGAAGACGCCGCATCTCCTGTCACAACAAGATGGATTATTGTAGGATTTACTTGTCGGGCTGTGAAATGACCCTCAGCATTAAGGCAGCCCAAGCGCTGATTTTCGAAGCGGCCTCATTGCCTTCAATGCGGGATGTGATGAATCGCTGCTTGATATGTCAGTGTTTTTTTTTTTTTTCCTAAAATGCTATTCTGTCTTTCAAAATGCACACATATTCACACATGCTCAGAGAGTAATGTGTACAAGAAGAAGTTTGATAAACATGGAGAGAACAAATGTGGGAAAATGGACCAATCAGATGACTACAGAAAAATTGCAAGTAAACTGGCAGGTTAGTGAAAGCAAAATCAAACTAAATGAAAACAAGTGCAAGGAATCAGATGACCCACATTAAAAATTAAGTGTCACTCTTCCTAAATGTACTCAATTCTAATCTTAGCTGTGGTTTCTGCTTGGCTTTTCTTGAGAGCACCTATATGAAAGTTAATTGCTAAACTTCTTCACAGAGACAACCAGATTTGTGCAGAAACACAAAAACTGTAGCAACCTTCATTTTTGTTATTAGCAGCCTATAGCAAAATAAACAAAGAAAATCAGCTATTTAAAAAAAAAATCAACCATGATACTGACTTCAAATGCATAAAGCAGGGATGGAGATGCTAATTTGTATGTGTGCCAGAATGCTATTTTCATTGACTATGGACACGTTAATTTATGAATGCCACATACAAATGTAGGATGTTTATTAGAGTCAGTTAGTAATGCATCCAAGTATTTGTCATGATAGTTTTAACAAACATATGTTGGAACTGGACAGGAACTGTGAACAAAGACAGAAAGAAATAAGTGGGAGGAAAAGTGATAAGAATAATGGCCTCATTTGGGCGTGGTGGCTCACACCTGTAATCCTAGCACTGTGGGAGGCCGGGGCGGGCACGTCACCTGAGGTCAGGAGTTCGAGACCAGCCTGGCCAATATGGTGAAACCCCATCTCTACTAAAAGTACAAAAATTAACTGGATTTGGTGGTGTGCCTGTAATCCCAGCTACTTGGGAGGCTGAGGTAGGGGAATCACTTGAACCCAGGAGGCAGAGTTTGCAGTGAGCTGAGATCGCACCACTGCACTCCAGCCTGGGAGACAGAGCAAGACACCATCTCAAAAGGAAAAAAAAAAAGGATAATGGCCTCTACAAATTAAAGAACTTTGAAGGATAACTCTTAAGACTCCCTTACCTGGGTCCAGTCAGGAAGCTTGTTAAAAAGAATGGTGTGGTGTGTTGGAAAATATCCTGGACCTTGGGCAAGAAAATCTGGTTTGTTGGCTAACTATTTAGAAATTGTGCAACCATTCACGATTGCTTCTCTTATCCATTTTATAGGAATAGTTTAGGTTCAAGCAAAATAATATATAAGTAAGATACTTACAAGTGATAGGGCATATGACAAAAGTAAGAGATAAGAATAGTGTGTAGTAGGCCGGGCAAAGTGGCTCACGCCTGTAATCCTAGCACTTTGGGAGGCCAAGGCAGGTAGATCACCTGAGGTCAGGAGTTCAAGACCAGCCTGGCCAACACAGTGAAACCGTGTCTCTACTAAAAGTACAAAAATTAGGCGGGTGTGGTGGCATGCGGCTGTAGTACCAGCTACTTGGGAGGCTGAGGCAGGAGAATTGCTTAAACCTGGGAGGCGGTAGTTGCAGTGAGCTAAGATAGCACCACTCCACTCCAGCCTGGGTGACAGAGTGAGACTCTGTCTCAAAAAAAAAAAAAAAAAAAAAAATAGTGTGTAGCAGTTAAGAACATGAAGTCTGGGACCATTCTTTCTCATCCATTCCAAGCTTACACCATAATATAAAAGTGATAAAGCTAGTTATTTAATCTCTCAATGCCTTAACTTTCTCATTTGTCATGTTTTTATGCAGATTATAATCAGTACAAATAACGATTACATGAAATAATTCATGTAAAACGCAAAGAAGCATATTTAGTATAAGCACTCAATAAATCTTAGTTATTACTCATTTTGCTATATACTGCTAATAACTAGAGGTGATTACTTTTTTTTGTTTCTACACCAATCCAATCTTCTCTGTGATAAACAGTGAAGGGGTTTGACAATTAACTTTCAAATGTGTGCTCTTTATAAAAGTCAACCAGATAATATAGCTAAGATTAGAATTAATGACATTTAGAAAGAGTAGCACGAGATTTTTAATGTGAATTATTTGATTCATTGTTCTCTTTTTTTGTGTGGTATCTGTTTTGTTTGATTCTGATTTAAACTAACATTCCAATTCACTTATTATCTTTTTGTCCTGGTTGAAGAACCACTTCAGTGGGAAACACCATAATTGAGCAGTAATTAGCTCAAGCAACAAATAGTGCAAAGAGAAGTTATGATTGCATCTTTGTCCTTTATTTGGGCTTAGGAGGGAGACAAAGAAAAAGGAGGAGAGAAGATGCATGTACATGATGGAGAGCTTCAGATGCGAGCCTGTAACTGTGTTGTTCATCTGTATGCCCACGTCTTAGTCCATTTTGTGCTGCCATAAAAGAATATCTGAAACTAGGTACTTTATAAAGAACAGAAATGCATTAATATTACTCGCAGTCTGGAGGTTAGGTAGTCCAAAATCAAGGTGTTAGCATTTAGTGTCTGGTGAAGGCCTTGTTGCTGTGTCCTCACATAGCAGAAGTGGGAGGGCAAGATAGCAAACTAGCAGAACGTTACCTGAAGCTTTTTTTTATAAGGGTCTTAATTTTGTTAACAAGGAAGGAGCCTTCATGGCCAGATCACCTTTTAAAGGTCTCACCTCTTAATACTATCACATTGGCAACACCTGTATTTTGGAGGGGACATATTCCAACCACAGCAGTTGCCTTCTTGCGAATTGTTCTCTCAGATCTCCCTTTAACAAAATTGACTTTACACTTTGGGTGTCTGCTATTGATGCTTTAGGGAAGGACGGCAGATTAGGCGGGGGTGGGGGAAGAAGGTTGCCAGTCTTGGATAATAAGAACCCACGTGCAGCCATAAATCTGATTTTAGCCTGCCGCTCTGTGATCCGTTGATCCTGGAGTCACTTAAGTAGAGTCAGCATTGTGCTCTATGGTGATAGGCACAGAGACTTGCAAACATACACACATGTGCACCCATACACAGCCGCGTGCACTCACACGCTCACATACATGAACACACATAGTCACATGGGCCTGGAGCTGATTCAGCAATAAGTCCTTTCCATTCCATAAGATGGGTTTGAATATTATGAAACAAATAAAATCAGTTTATCCCTGTTCTATTCTGATATTTTGACATTTATTTAGCTGTAAGCCAGATAACCTCTTTATTCCAAAAAAACCACTAGTATGTTGGGAAATTTTATATAAATATTGTCATTACATTTAACGTTAATACTCTTTAATTTCCATTTTCTCCTTTTTTTTTTTTTTTTCACATGCAGTACTATTCACCAGTGCCAGACACCAGAAGTGCAGGACACTAAGCAGAGGAAATTAAAACACCTTCCTAAGGGAATAGTTTATAATAATGAGAGTCAGTTTGAATCTCAGTCAAGCCACTGTGGTTTAGAGAATAACAATGAAGGTATTCAGTGCATTTTTAAAAATCAAAGTGCTAAATAATTTTTTAAAGTTTCCATTTTCTCATGCAGTATAATCAGTGGACTATGAATGACTGATTTATCCATCCATCAGCAAGCCTCAGTTGTATCACAAACAGAGAAAACCAAGTGGGAATAGAGCTTTCTTACTCAAGCGTTCATGTATTTATACTTAAAAACGGTACTTTTTTCTTCTTCACATTTTATAGTTAGGTGTTTTGAAAGGAGAATTTAAATAAAACATTCTTAAAATGTAAGTCGTATTAGACTTTGAGCTTACCCAGCCTGGCTCCAAAAGTTTTCCATTGGTTATAAAAAGCAGCAGATAAAATAGTGTTAGTTGATCTGTCCAAGTGCAGATATTTCTACTCTAGCTCTGAATTTAATAGCATTCATTAAAGGCAAATGCAGATTAAAAAATTCAAGGATGTTATTTCTTCTGTTTATAAGAGGCCATTTTCTCTTTATAAACTTATACCAAATAGTAAGAGCTAACATTTATTCAACACTTAGTAAATGCCAAGCACTTTACATGCATTATCTCACTAAAATCCCAGTGAGAGAGAAACTATTATCCTCATTTTACAGACCAGGAAAGTAAAAGTATATGAGTTTAAGTAACTAGCCAAACAGCTTACAAAACTTGTAAAGCAGGATTTGAACCCAGTTTCTCAGATGTCAGAGCTCAAGCCCCTAACCATTATCCTATACTATCTCCTATCCCATAAATGAGTTTGCTACTTTTATTTATTTTAAAAAATGAAATAAACGATTCTAAATTGTGTCATGACATTGTTTCCTTCCTTTCTTCCTCTGTCCCTTCTTACCATCCCTTTTCCTCCCTGTCTTTATGTCTCCCTTTTTTAAATCTTCCTTTCCTTCATTCCTTTTTCCTTTTCCCATTTCTTTTCTTCCTCCCTCCCTCCCTTTTCCTTTCTTTCCTTCCTTCATTCTCTTTTCTGCCTTCCTTCATCCTTCTCTTCCTCCCTCCCTCCCCTCCTTCATTTTATTCTTCTATCCCTTCCTTCCTTCCTTCCATTTTTCATTCTTCCTCTCCCTTCATTCTGCCTTCTCTCCTTTCCTAAATTTTTTCTCCCTTCTTTTACTGTTTTATTTCTTCTTTCCTTCCTTTGATTCATCCTTCTCTCTTTTCTTCCTTCTTGTCTTCCTTTCTTTTTTCCTACCTCCTTCACTTTTTCCCTCTCCCCTTTTGTTCTTTTTTCTTTTCTTTCCTCTTTCCTCTTTTTCTTGCTAGCAAATGCAAGAGACAGTGTAGCAGAGAGAGCACAAGGGTATAATCTCTGAAATCAGATGGTCTGGTATTAAAACCAAGTCCAACCCTAAATAGTTGTGTGGTCTTGAACAAGCTCCTTAAACTCTGTAAGCAATGTTTCTCCATTTAGAAAATGACATTATCCCCTGATGTTGTTATGAAAATTGGATAAGTCCATGCATATGAGCTCTTTATCACACTGCCTGGCACATGGGAAGTCCTCAGAAAATTTCAGTACTTATAGCGCTCTCTGGATTTAGAACCTCACTCAAAGATCAGAATAGACATGAAGAGAATGGCTTAAACAACACACTCCTGTGGGAAAAGACACAGATCTCAAAGGAAAGAAACATTTTTGAGAAAGTGTACATCTGAAATTTTGTTTCATGTTTAGATAAAATCTGATAAGAATAAAAAGAAACTTTACAAGTTATAAAGAAAAATAAGTTAAAATTTGGTAGACATTCAAGAAATTTCTGGTACCCAAAGTAAAATGTCTTCCATATAGTCTGTGATTTTTCATTATCCAAGCCCAGCATCTTCTGAATTGGAAATGTTGTGGGGACAGTATTATACAGAAACAATAATCAAGAGAGGTCAAGTGACACATGCAAAAGTAATAGGCAGAGATATTACTTGAGCTGTGTAAAATTTGGCTGGATGCTTAAATAGGAAGATGAGGAGTTTCCAGGGAGCTAGGTTTTGACTGCTGGTTGACTAATGTCTGCAATCTCTCTGCATCTTTCCGGAAACTCTACACCTGTTTGTATTCCCTGAGAAAGGCATGTGAGTTCATTTCTATATCCTTTCGCTCATTCTGTTCTTTTTGCTTTGAGAGGTGTTCTCATTCCACAATATGTAACTTCTTCGTTTCTCAAATGACAGTTAAGATGTTCCCTTTCGCTGTATTACAATCCATTCATACTTTCCTACTGCAGGAAGTTAGTCATTCTTTCATCTGTGTTCCCAGAAAATCCTATACCAATCCCTATTGATTGTCTCCATGAATGACAAAAGGATAAAAACTATTTTCCCCATTTTTACTTCCCTAGTGTTTGTCTGTCTGCTGAATAAATGAATCATAGGATGAATGAATGGAGAAATGAATGAAAAGTAAGAGGATATAGAACACCAATTATGCCCATAATTAAGTCCTAGATTCTCTATTCCATTTAGGACTCAAGATACCTAGTCTTATAGTTCTTTTTCCTGTAGATGGGGATAAGGAGAATGGCAAGATCTCTAATGATTTTCAAGTCATCTCATTAACATTTTCCTTATATTCTCCTTAGAAGCCTCCACTGCATGAGATTTAGGTACAGTCTACAAATAGAACATCTCCTTATACAATAAAACTTGGCCCCTGTTAAAGACTTGATTCTTTAGAGCTATTGAAGATTTTTAAGAAAGATCTAGAATGTACTACTATCTTACAAACATCTGCTTATGGTCCTTAATGAAAACCTCTAAACTAATTCCATTTAAACTGTACAAATTCTATGTTGTCATACTCCCATAACGTGTTCTAAAACACAGCATTGTTAATGAGCATAAAGTATTTATCAGTCCACATAATTGTTTCACACAACTATTATATTCCTCAGAAAATTCATATGTAGAAAACCAAATGAACTGAAACTTCATTGTCCTCACACCTGACATCAAAGTAATAAAATTCCTTGATGTGGAGCAAAAAATCCTTGAATTGATCATAAGAATTTGATTCTTCACTTTCATTTCTCAATTGTTTTCTCTAGATCACCAAATACTATGGGTTATTAATATAAATTTGATTGGCAACAACAAAAAATCAGAAAATACTAGAGATTTATGCTTTTTCAAACATAGAGTCTCTCACACCTCTTAGTTATCTAACATTTATTCTATATTTATAGGTCTTTACATGTAAACCTGCTCTTGCACTCAAAATATATCATCCTTGGTTTGCTTTTAGAGGATCATTGGAATCTGTGTCTGGCTGAGTAGCCATTTCTACATCAGTTAACAATTTAGCTATCACTGTCTTTTTATTTGAAAACATTACCTTTTTCTTCAGCCAATTAAGTGTGGTCTAATGCTTCTAACCCTAGTAATAAAGTTCACTCTCACTGCTGTGTAGGATATAAAGAATATAATTGGCAAGTCTTCTTTCTGCCAGATTTTTTTTTTTTGATTAGTTGGAATCTAAGCTTATCATGCTTTATTCTCTCTTACTGGTTCTTTTTCCAGAGCCATCAGTTAGAATTCTCTTATCTCTATGGTCTCCTGAGTTGCTAATTTCTCATCTCTGAAGTTTCTGTAGATCCAAAGTGTTTGGCCATTAAGTAATATATACTAGCTTCAGGAGGTTTTCTCCTTGGTTAGACTCATATTCTGCACGCAAATTGATGCTAAGGGCAGCTGCTTGATTCATCTCATCAAACATAAATTCAGCATCCAAATGTCCTTTTGCCCTAGTTTCTCTACATAAATAATTCTTCTTATGTCTTAATTGAAAATTAAAGTGGGTTTTCATGATTGGTTCTCATTTTTGAATGTCAAGGTTATTAAACATGCTATTGAGTTCAAATCTATTTTTCCTCATTAGTGTACCAATGAGAGGCCGATTTAGTGCTTCCTTAAACAATCTATTTATTGATTTTGAAATAATATTATAATATTCTGGAAATTTTAAGCCAGATTTTGAAAATGTAATTATATAAATACATCCAAAATGTGTGTGTGTGTGCGTGCTGTGTGTATGTGTGTGTGTGATGGTTCATTTTTAAAGAATTTTATATTTTGTTATTCTTGAACTTTTTCACATACAGATTGATTTCCCATAAGCTCTTGTTAAAATGGCCTCAGTTTAATTTTTTGTGCTCTGCTCAAAACAGTATTAATGAAATGAATCAATGTCCAAAGTATGCTACCTGGTAAGTTGGTGAGGATCCCAGAAATGAAATTAGGAGACCTACATTTCAGTCTTAGTCAATATTTTGTGTTGTTTCTCATTAAAAGGAATGTATTTCAAAGAAGGAAATTCTAGACCAGTTGTTCTTAAAGGGTAGTCCAGCTCCCTGTGAGAGTCCCCAAGACACTTGCAGAAGGGCCAGGAGCTCAAGATTATTTTTATGATTGTACTAAGTTGTTCTTTGCCTTGTTCACTCTCACTGTCTCATGAGTGTATAGTGGAAGGTGCATGTACAGAAAGAGAACATATAGAGGCTGCATAACTTGTGATGACATCACCACTGATAGCTAGAGGAATGTGTTTGCGTATTCTTACATTTATTCTATTTAATTTCTAATGCAGAAGTAAGAGTTCCACTCTGGCATAGCAGCGTGAGGATTTCCTTCTACCTGTTCTTCAGAGAAACTGGTGAAAATTATGGAACAACAACAAGAACAAAACACCAGTCGAAGCCTTTGGGACTAGTTCTAAAGAAAAACAGCAAATGAAGAAATATCTGTTCAAGAAAATCTATGAAAATTCAATAAGAAAATTCAATAAGAAAAGTATGAATCTGTGGTATCTGAACCAAGACTACTTCCTCCCTCCACCTTTCTACCCCCTCTATTCAGAGAGATGGAAACTTCACTCTTGACTGCTGCAACCAAAAATATAGGGCTCCCTTTCTTCACAGTCCTCATCCAGAGGGTTTTCTTCCTGAAAGGAGCAAGACTTCAGCATTTCTCATCCTACCTTCAGGTGCCTTCTGCTGAGGCTAAGTCCCAGATGATTTTGAACAATTAGGGAATCCCTTTTTCTACCCTATCTCCACTAATGGAATGGAGGCTCTATCTTGGACACAGCAGCACTGAGAATATGGAAGCCCTGCTAGCCGTTTCCCTGGCTCCTGAGGCAGTGGTTCCATATTAGGAGAGGCAAGCTGAGAAGACCTTACTTAGGCTTTTGCACGCCCCCCCGGCATCCCTTTCTTACTGCCATCATTCACATTACTCAGCTCCTAAGTGGAAGTGTCACTCAGAAAGAAACTTGTCATTGTCCCCACTCTCATCTCCAGAGCCCTGACTCAGACATTTTTGCCAGGAATGAGAAACAAGCCTTAAAATAGGGTAGTTCCCAATCTCTTCCCAGAGGAACTGACTTTGTTTGAAACAGATTGTGGAAAAGTTTAAAAGTAGGGACACTCTCAGGAATAGTAGAGTTAGGGTAATAGGCAAGTAAGAAGACATATGTGGATATAATTAATGTACAGACAACACCGTAGACCAGCTAGTTTGCAGGAGAGAACTGCAGAAGAAGACAGCTTGGAGAAACCCTCCTGGCAACAGAAAACAAAAATAAAAAACATTGAACATAGAAACTACATGAAGAAGCCACAATTTGATTGGATTGGTTTGTAGAGGAATTTATGTCCAGGACGTTGTTGATAATAATAGAGCAATCCCAGATTGTTAATGGAGTTTAATAACTGTGTGTGTGTAGGGAACATGGGAAGAGAGCCTTATAAGTCCCAGTGTGGCCATGGCATACCCTAAACTGCTCCCCCCTAGATTTTACTAAACTAAAGTAATCCAGCCAGTCACTAAAGAAATAAACAAGCGGCCGGGTACAGTGGCTCACTCCTGTAATCCCAGCACTTTAGGAGGCTGAGGCGGGCGGATCATGAGGTCAGGAGATCGAGACCATCCTGGCTAACACGGTGAAACCCCATCTCTACTAAAAATACAAAAAATTAGCCAGGCATGGTGGCGGGCACCTGTAGTCCCAGCTACTGGGGAGGCTGAGGCAGGAGAATGGCGTGAACCCGCGAGGCAGAGCTTGCAGTGAGCCGAGATGGAGCCACTGCACTCCAGCCTGGGTGACAGAGCAAGACTCTGTCTCAAAAAAAAAAAAAAAAAAAAGAAAGAAAGAAACAAGCAAATAACAATAACAAACTCTGGTTTGGGAAGAAGCAATATCCAGAGTTGGTTGCTATATTATCTGGAATGTTCAGTTTTCCACAAAAACTTACAAGGCATGTGAAAAAATAGGTAAGTATGACTTACACCCAGGAAAAGAAGCAGGAAACAGAGACTGCCTATGAGAATAACCAGATGTTAAGCTTAACAGAAAACTATTTCAAAGTAGCCACTGTAAATATGTTCATACAGATGAAGGAAAGCATGATCAAAGAAATAAATATATAACAATACTGTACCAAAGAGAGAATGTTATAACAGACAGATAGAAATTATTACATTTTTTAAAGGACCAAATGGAAATTCTGGAGTTAAAAAGTGAAATAACTGAAATAAGAAATTCACTAGAGGGCTCAACAGTAGATATACAGTGGCAGAAAAAAAGTATTAGTGAACTCAAAATTAGAGCAATTGAGATTATGCAAGTCATAGAACAGAGAGAAAAAACAATTAAGAAACAATGAAGACAAGAAAGCAGTGGGAAAACATATTGAAAGTGCTTAAAGAAAAACAGACAACAATGAATCCTATCTTTTAAAATTGAAGGGCAATACAAAAAAACTGTCTTTTAAAATTGAAGGGCAAGACAAAATAGAGACAGAGAGAGAGAGAATTTGCTCCCAGCACACCAGCCTTACAAAAAGTATTTAAGAAATTTCTTCATGCTGAAACCAAGTGACCTCAGATAGTAATTTGAGTCTACATAAACAGAGAAAGAGCATTAAGTAAAGGTAATTATGTAATTATAACAGATATTATAAATACATACTTTTATTTTTTCTCTTAATTGACTTAAAAAGCAATTGTACAAATTATATATATATATACACACACACACATATCATATATATATATACATGCACACACATATATATATATATATATACACACACAATGTAGTATATTGTTGGGCCTATAACATATAAAAATGTAAAATATGAAATACATTTGCTAATAACAGCACCAAGTAGGTGGGCAGAGTCAAAACTATAAGAGGTTAATGAAATAATAACAGATGGTAAAGTGATAATTACAAAAATATATTGCTGGATTTGTAACTTTAATATGTAAAATAATAATACCACAGAAAAGGAAAAAGGGCAATTGTTAGAATAGAAATAATATTTCTGTAAATCACTGGAATTTAGCTAGTATAAATCTGGTTTATTCTGATAAGTTGAGATGTATAGGGTAAACCTTAGAGTAATCATTTAAAAATATATCCAAAAATATGGTAAAAAATCATTAAGAGAATTAATATTAAATATTAAAGAGATTTAATATAAAACAGTAAAGGAAGAATGCAGGAACAAAAAGGATAGGAGATATATAGAAAATAAAAAATAATATTATAAACATAAACCCAAACATATCAGTAATAACTTAAATGTGAGTGGATTACCAATTCAACTAAAAGGCAGAGACTGTCAGACTGGACAAAAAATATGATCCAACTACATGTTGTCTACAGGAGACAAAGCTTAAAAGACACAAATATATTGAAAGAGAAAGGATGGGAAAAAATATGTGTAATGCAAACAGAAAACACAAAAAAGCCAAAAAACAACTCACTAGAGATAAAGAGGGATGTTTTATAACAAAAGGGTCAATTGATTATGAAATCATGACAATTATAAACATACATGTACCTAATTACGGAGTGTCAAAATACATGAAGCAAAACTGACAGATATAAACGAAGAAATAGATAATTCAACAATAATATTTGGAGACTTCAACAACCCGCTGTCAACAGTGGATAAAGTAAATAGACAATTAAGACATAAAATACTGGAACAACACTACAATCCAACTAGACCTAATGGGCATCTATATGTTACAGCGGGTAGCCAGTCAGCTATAAGCAGGGCAGGGGAGGGCTCCCCCGCAATACACACACATCAGGAATGTCAGGCAACTATCAGGTGAGGATCAGGCAGTTGTTAACTGTCTCTCTAAAATAATAATTGGTCACAGCCAGTACCAGGGAAAGGCAGTCTCTTAATAGATAGAAAACATCCGAAACTGGTGATCAGCAGCTTCCCAATAAAATCTCAGGAGTTGGGTGAGCAGCTTCCCATTAAGATCTCAGGAGTTGATCTCAAGCATGCACATGCGGACAGCCCACCCCAAGGGAAGAATGAGGGGAAAAGTAACACAAGACCCCAGAAGTATGCCGAGACATAAAACCCCAAGTCAAAAGGTCAAACCACACACTTGATCTCTCAAGTCACCCTCTTGGCCCTATTCCCAGTGTACTTTCCTTCTTTTCATTTCTGCTCTAAAGCTTTTTAATAAACTTTCGCTCCTGCTCTAAAACTTGCCTTGGTCTCTCCTTCTGCCTTATGCCCCTCAGTCAAGTTCTTTCTTCTAAGGAGGTAAGAGTTGAGGTTGCTGCAGACCGATATGGATTCCCTGCCATAACGTATTGAATACTTCAACCTAGAAGAATAAAACATACAGTCAACCCTCCATATCTGTGGGTTCTGCATTAGCAGATTCAACTAATCACTGGCTGAAAATATTTTTAAAAAAGTATGGTTACATCTGTATTGAATATTTACAGATTTTTCTTCCTGTTATTATTTCCTAAACAATACAATATAGCAATTTATATAGCATTTATGTTGTATTCGCTATTATATGTAATCTGGAAATGATTTTAGGTATATATGAAGATGTGCATAGGTTATATGCAAATATTATGTCATTTTATATAAGGGACTTGAGCATCAGCAGATTTGGGTATCTGCAGGGAGTCCTGAAACCAATTTCCCCCAGAAACTGAGGGATGATTGAGCATTATTTCCCAGTGCATATGGCACATCCAAGATAAACCATATGCTAGACCACAAAACAAACCTCAAAATATTTAAAATAATAGAACAATACAAAGTATGTTCCCTGGCAGTAGAATAAAATTAGAAATCAACACAGGAAAAAAATAGGGAATTTCATAAGTATGAGAAAATTAAACCACACACTCTTAAATAACTAATGGATGAAAGAATAAGTCAAAAGGGAGATAAGAAAATACTTTGAGATGAATGAAAATGATGGTATAACATGCCAAAACATGATATGCAGCTAAAGCAGTGTTCAGTGGAGGAATTTATAGCTGTAAATGTCTATTATAAGAAAGAAGAAACATTTCAAATCAATAGCCTCAGCTGCCACTTTAAAGCACTGTTAAAGAAGATCAAACTAAACCTAAAGCAACAGAAATAAAGGAAATAATAAAACAAAGTGGATGATGATGAGAGAGATAATAGAAAAACAATAGAGAAGATGAGTAAAACCAAAATCTGGTTATTTGAAAAATCAATACAATTGGCAAAGCTTTAGCTAGAGTTATCAAGAAAAAAAGAGCAAGACTCAAATTGCTAGAATCTGAAATGAAAGGGGGGAACATTACCACTATTTTTACAGAAATAAAATAGGATTATAAAGGAACACTGAACAACTGTACTTCAACAAGATAACTTAGATGAAATAGACAAATTCCTAGAAAGACACATTACTGACACTGACTCAGAAGTCATAGTCAATATGAATAAAACCATAATTAGTGAGGTGATTGAATCAGCAGTCAAAAAACTACCCACAAAGAATAGTCCAATCCCAGATGTCTTCATCACTGAATTCTACCAAACATTTAAAGATAAACCAATACTGATTACCACAAATTTGTCTGAATAACAGAAGAGGAGGGGACACTTGCTGACAATCATGAGCAGCTTTGGAAAAGAGTCTGGCAGTCCCTGAAATAATTAATTACAGAGTTTTCATATGGCCCAACAGTTATAATCCTAGGTACATATCCAAGGTAATTAAAACATGTCTATACAAAAGCTTATATACAAATGTTTACAGCAGCATTTAAAAACAACTCAAATGTCCATCAATAGGCAAATGGATAAACAAAAGGTGGCATATCCATACAGTGGAATATTATTTAGCCATAAAATGACTGGAGTGCTGACACATGCTTCAGGATGAATAAACCTTGAAAACATAATGCTTAAGTGAAAGAAGCCAGTCACCAAAAGACACATATTATACAATTCCCATCATGTGAAAACCTGGAATAGGGAAATCTACAGAGGCATAAATTAGATTAGTGGTTGATTAGGGCTGGGAGTGAGGCGATGGTGGTGGTAGTGATAAAGGGATACAGGGGTCATAGCTAAAGGATATGGGGTTTCTTTTTGAGACAATACAAATGTTCTAGAACTAACTAGGCTGTTGGTTTTCCATGTTTGTGAGAAAAAAATTGAATTTTACATCTTACATTGGTGTATTGTTTGGTATGTGAATTATATGTCAATGAAGCTGCCAAAATTGCCTAATGCAGTAAATACTTACAGACATTATCTTTATAAGCAAAGGCCCTTCAGGGTCTTCAATAATTTTTAAGAATGCAAAGGGGTTCTGCAGGCAAAATGTTTGAGAACTGCTGACCTAGTGAACCCTGTAAGACTTGGCCTGAGTTCTGTATAACACTTGATCATCTCAAGTATTTAAACTGGCATTGTTAGAAACATGAAGCAATGGCAATTAATACAAATAATTTCCAAAAGTAGAGGTTAAGTCTATTACTTCTGCGTATTTCAGGGAATACTGACAATACTGTTCAATGGAGTTGAAAGTCATAGGTTCTGGAATGGATCTGCCATTAACACGCTTTCTGATTAAACAATGACTTTTCTTCTCTGAATTTCATCTTCCTCTTAAACAATAAGAAAACTGCACTCAAAGCCCTCTAATATCTTTTTCAGTTGTCAAGTACTAAAGAAATTATTGTTTTAAATTGACATGGACTTCGAAAATTAATATCTCCACATTTTCCCTTAATCTGCACGTAACACGCAAAGATCTAATAATATTAACTTTTTTGTTCTATGATTTACTTTTTAATTACTCATAATTGATCCCAAATTTAATTCACATAATGAAGATAAAATTTCTAGCTCTATATCCAACAAATTATTTTTGAATATAATTAAGTAAAAAGGTCATGGTAATTACAACTAAAATCTAATTTCAGTCACTGAAGAAGGAAAAATTCATATTCATTCAGAAAATAGTGACTCATCTAGTGTTTTCTAAGCTGTTCATGTCAGATTAGGCCCTTCAAAATCGAGTGAAGGAACTTGCCTTTTATGCATGTAAAATTAAACTCTGGATAGTTAAAAGGAAGTAGACCATGGCATAAAATTACAGGGCTAATTCTAGAAAGGTTATGATTGAAATGTTTTCCATTTATTTTGTGTTGATTTAAATGTGTTCATAATTTGAAATGTATTCATGAAAACATATCATTTATCCACCCCAACAACTTTTTAAAACAGGCATAAAAAATGCTCCTTTATCCATTATCTATAGCTGAAGATACAGAGATTAAAGAAATAGCCTATGATGGATAAATAGTAGGTGAACTCAGACTAGACTTGATTTTCCTGAAATTAAGTTTTATTCTTTCTCTACCACCTACAATACAGTTATCTTTGGTGCTAAAAATTAAATTTTTATACATTATGTATATTTGAAATCATAGCTACTAGAGACTCTGCCATCAAGGACTTACATGTTAAGTTATTGCACGTGAGATAAAGATGATTAACTGAAGGTTTTGGGTTAAATCTATAATTTAGCAAACTGATTTGATTTTTATTTATTCTTATGTTATAGGTTGAATTGTGTCTCCCAAAAGATGTTGAAGTCCTAACTCCCAGGACGTGGGAATGTGACCTTATTTGGAAATGAAGTCTTTGCAAATGATCAAATTAGGTTGGGGCCATTAGGGTCGGCCCTAATTCAATATGACTGCTCTTATACAAAGGGGAAATTTGGACACAGAGACAGGGTTACAGAGAGGCGGCCATGTAAACACACAGTGAGTACACAATCTACAAATGAAAGAATGCCCAGGCCCCCAGGAGAGAGCAGCATGGAACAGATTCACCCTTAAAGCTCTCAGAAGGAACCAACCTTGCTGACACCTTGTGTTAAGACCTCTAGCCTCTAGAACTGTGAGACAACACATTTTTGTTGTTTAAGTCACTCTATAGTATTTTATTACTGCAGCTTCAGGAAACCAATACCTCTTACTACTAATTTTTTCTTTTAAAAAACCTTTAAGTAGAGCCATTTTATCTTGTTTATAATTGTCAAGAAAAGATAAATAATCTAAGTGAATTATATATACATTTATTTTTCTAGGTGCTTTCTTGATCCAACTTAAAGAACTATTGCAATGTTAGTCATAAAAGCATAGTATAGGCCACTTAAGGATCACTAGTTGTTCTTTTAAAATAAATTTTGTGGTGAAAAGTATTTGGGAGAAGCTGAATTTCAGTGTAGACACTAATGTGTATTTGCATTTTTGAAGACTTTGATATGTCTGGACGTCAAATTATTTTGTTTATAATCTATACATCATGGTGGCTGGGCGTGGGGGCTCATGCCTATAATCCCAGCACTTCGGGAGGCCGAGGTGGTTGGATCATGAGGTCAGGAGTTCAAGACAAGCCTGGGTGAAACCCTGTCTCTACTAAAAATACAAAAATTAGTCGAGCATGGTGGTGGGCACCTGTAATCCCAGCTACTTGGGAGGCTGAGACAGAGAATTGCTTGAACCCGGGAGGCAGAGGTTGCAGTGAGCCGAGATCGCGCCACTACACTCCAGCCTGTGTGACAGAGTGAGACTCCATCTCAAAAAAAAAAAAAAAAAAAAATTATATGTATCATGGTTACAAGGCCTGGCATGATCTGGCCTTTGTCCATTATTCTTGCCACTCTTTCCCTTGCTAAAGTAGCAAGGAATTTTATTAATGGGACTTTGGCTGTCTTAGTTTTGGCCAAAATACCCAAGGGCGAGTACATCCACGTCCTGAAGTGAGCTGCAAGACAATACATGTGAGACCTGCCAGAGTCCAGTTTTGTCAACCTGCCTCTCAGCATTAGTGGTCATAGTCAAAACCCATGCAGGAGTGTGGTGTTAAGGACTTGAGGCTTAAGTTTTTCTTAGAGTAGTTTACTGGAATGCTGAGAGCTTTACCTCTTTTCCGAAATAAGGCAGGGGAGATAAGTGCTTCCAGAGCAATCAAAGACTGGTTAAAACTGCAACAGCCACTAGATCTCTGAATTGGATGTAGAACTATTAGAACTGAGAAATGCTGAGAAGATAACCATGCCACTCTGAGATGTCCAAGCCTGAGTCAGTTCACAGCTACGAAAGGGAGGGAAGGCTAACTTTAAAACGCTAACCTGACTTTACTTAGAAGTTCCGATTATTGCACCAGGCTGGATGTTTTCGTGACTGAAATGAGACTGTTCTCGTGACTCAGAGGAACAGAAAAAGCTTTGGGTCCTGTCTAAGAGTTAAAATCAGGGACAATGAAAAGAATCACACAGAAATAACAGTTTGAAGAACCTGGGGAAAGTGGGTTTATGCCTGAAAACTGCAGAGTCCAGTTTGTTCCGTAGATGGTTGCCTTTGTGGAGGAAGTGTTGTTTTCTTAAATGGTATTTCATCATGAAAGGTACAGACTCCACCAGGCTGGATTTCTTTCAATTCTTTCAGTTTCTAAAATGCACCAAACTGCTTTAGGTCTCAGGGTCACTGCTTATGTTCAGGCTCTGCCTGGAGTGCTCCATCTTTTTCTCCTCTACTCGGTTGTCTAGTCAGCCTCTACTTGGTCTTCCCTTCTCAACCTCACTCTCAGTCTCTGGGGGAAGACTTTAGAGATCCTGCCCTTTTCCCAATATATCTCAGATTATCATGTTATTCATGCTCATAGTGCTCTGTGTATTTCCTTCATAGTATTTATCAGGTATTTATAGTTCTGTCCGAAAGTTTTCGAGGACATTTTATTGTAGGTACAATACACCAAGAGTAACATGTTAAATAAGAAACATGCTAAGGTGGGTACAGTGGCTCAAAGGTGTAATCACAGCATTTTGGGAGGCTGAGGTGGGTAGATCACTTGAGACCAGGAGTTCCAGACCAGCCTGACCAACATGGTGAAATTCTGTCTCTACTAAAAATATAAAACTTAGCCTGGCTACTCAGGAGGTTGGGGCAGGAGAATCGCTTGAACCCAGAAGGCAGAAGTTGCAGTGAGCTGAGATTGTGCCACTGCACTCCAGCGTGGGTGACAGAGTGAGACTGTGTCTCAAAACAAACAAACAAACAAACAAACAAACAAACAAACATGCTAGTAGTTAATCACTGTTAATGTATATTAGCCCACATTCACTCTGTAATAAAGTTGTCATTGTCAATAAATGGGCTCTCATACACACTACTTGTTTATTAATGATTAGAAATTACATTTTGCAGCTGATTCTAGAACTGACCAAAATACACTGATGCCACTATATATACATGAGAGGAGTCATAAGTATTTTTGTAAGAACCAGTCCAGGCTGAGATATCTGGCCTTCGTAAGGACTGAGGCCAGCTGGCCAATGAATGTTGCATGTTTGGTTGGGCTCCTCTCCACTAAAACCAGGGTAGGGTAGTGATTCCCCATTGAATAGATCAGCTCAGATAATCTTTAATGCTATAGTATTTCATAACCAGAAGGAACTAAGCAAATGAGGAGCCCTCTGACTAAGCAGATTCACTGAGAGATATATGTTTTTCTGGCATGCAAGATTGTGTCCCTGAAATCACTTCTATCAAATGTCTCTCTTGATTCATTTCTACTGCAGACAAAAGATGGTGAGATAGAATAGGGATAGTGGTACACAGGCAGTTTTGTTTTGTTTGGTTGGGTTTACTATATATATATATATTTAGTAACTCTTTTTTCTCTCAACAATACTCCATCACATTTTTATAGCAATTGTCTATCTATTATTTGTCTTCTCCAACAGGATAAATTTCTGTCCTGGCTGGATTCTCATGTTTGTCTCAATCATTGCTATGTCACTGTGATGATTAATTTTATGTGTCAGCTCAGCTAGGCTATGGTACCCAGTTCCTTTGTCAAACACGAGTCTAGATTTTGCTGTGAAAGCACTTTTTAGATATGGTTAACATTTAACTCAGACTTTGAGTAAAGTAGATTACCCTCCATAATGTGGGCTGGCCTCATCCAATCAGTTGAAGGTCTTAAGAGAAAAGATTGAGATTCCCTGAAATGGAAGAAATTCAGTCTCCAGACTATCTTTAGACTTGATCTGTAACATCAACTCTTCTTTTGATCTATAGCCCACAACTTGCCCTACAGATTCAAACTTTCCAGCCCTCATAATCCTAAGAGACAAAACCTTAAAACAACTTCTTTCTCCCTTCATAGATCTACTATTTGTTGTTTCTCTGGAGAGCCTTGACTAATGCAGTTACCATATACAAGCCTAGCATAGAATCGATACCCTTGGAATGAGTAAATTACCCAAATGAATGGAACAGAGGGCCCACTTCTGTTTCTCTTGGTTTTGGTCATCCAGATTTCTAAAGGAAAGCATTTTTAGATGACAGATTTGCTCTTTATCAATAATCCATAAGTAAGTCTATAACAAACTTGGATAACAAATGGTATTGTTTAGAATAGTTACGGTAGGACCTCACATAGAAAAAGAACAGTCTGGGCCGGGTGTGGTGGCTCACGCCTGTAATCCCAGTACTTTGGGAGTTTGAGGCAGGTGGATCACT
Organism: Homo sapiens; assembly: GCF_000001405.40. Lineage (NCBI taxonomy): Eukaryota > Metazoa > Chordata > Mammalia > Primates > Hominidae > Homo > Homo sapiens. Next base: position 6,452,536 of record NC_000003.12, on the reverse strand, counting down.
TGAGCTCGGGAGTTCCAGACCAGCCTGACCAACATGGAGAAACCCTGTCTCTACTAAAAATACAAAATTAGCCAGGTATGGTGCCTGTAGTCCCAGCTACTCGGGAGGCTGAGGCAGAAGAATCGCTTGAACTTGGGAGGCAGAGGTTGTGGTGAGCTGAGATCACGCCATTGCACTACAGCCTGGGCAACAAGAGTGAAACTCCATCCCCCTAGCTCCCCAAAAAAATAAAAAAAAAAATCTGTCTAAGAGACACTTTATCTACTCCTAGTATTCCACCAGAGACTGTGAATATCAAGACAGTAGTTTAATGCTTCAAATTTGGCTGCCACTAAGATCTACTATAAGGATTTCTTCCTCTTGTTCATTGTTTTTTCTCTCTTATTGTTGAATACATATTCAATAATATGTATTCTGTCTACCCCCGCGACTCTAATATACAGCATACATTTACACTTTTTGCCCACAAGATAAAGGGTACAAAAGACGCACAGATTTGGGAATAGCAAATTTATCACGAAATGTCTTAAATCTTCAGGATACTTTTAGTTTGGCTTAGTTTCAAAGGGTAAATATGACTCAAAGTTGTTGTGTCAGAACTTTGACACAGTTTAAAAGCATCAACTTCAATACTTCTGAATGTAAATATTGGTAAATTCCTATTTCATCTCCAGCCTGGATGGTTCTAAACTATATAACTTCCATGATCCCATAAATATAAAGTATAAATCATTTTTAGGGTATAATTCCGGACACAGAAAGATACTAAAAGAAAACATAACTTGCTACCACATATTCTCTAAGTGGTGTGGCTAGCTACACAAAAATGCACTAAAGTCAATCATAGCCAAATAACATTTATTAGTACTGAATGAAAAGGAAATATCATATTCTAGTTTGTGACCTTTGAAACATAACAAAATAAGCACCTACCAATGAATATTTCCCCATTTACAGATACCGTCTTATGTAGGTAAGTGTTTTCCAAAGTTAAGTTTTCTTAATTTCAAAGGTTGGAATTCCACTTGAGAAACCAATGAAATAGGCTGACATGTTTTCTTTACACCCTCCACAAATTGGATACAATCTTTCCTTTATAATGGTATATTTGGTTTTGGAAAAAGAAAAATGTTACCTGGCTTTAATCATACTGAATGACAGTCATCTAGTAATTTTTTAAGAAGTGATTTTTGTTTATAAAATAATGAGACTAGTTTTCTAAGATAGTGTCTGAACCACATGGATGGAGTTCCTCAGTAGAAATGCTCAGTATCCCAAAGAATAAAGTAATCATAATATTGATTTGCAAGTTTGCTATAGATAGTGTACATTAAAATTATGAAGGGACGACCTTTTAACAACAACACTTTTCTCATTCTAAATTTCTAAATATTTTCATAGTTAGTTCCTCTATTGTATTCTGACTTCAGTTGAGGAGAATACTGCTTAGTATAACTTTTTTTGAGCCTGGAAGGTCCAATTTAACTTTGAGATACTGAAAACAGATGATGAGAGTCGAGGAAGACACTTATCAGAAAGAGATGCAGACCTCTTTCCTTCCCATGTAGTTATAACTGCAGTGAAGTATCCTAAACACTCAATTTCTTTAATTGAATAACTCTTATCTCAGCAATATTTCTTGCCCTGGAACTATGAATATGTCCAAAATGCTTTATAATGTAACATCTTTTGGAGAGGTAAGAAATGATTCCTTTAACATGATTGGTAAAGATGAATTTTAGGACTCTATCCCCAGCATCATAAACCTTTCAGGAAATCTGATTGGAACCTTGATATAATAGTATTATCTGATTCCAATAAACCCAGTCCTCAAAAGAGTGAACATGTGAAATATCTGAAAATAGATACTGCCCTTTCTGGGCCTATTTGACTTTTCAATCAATGACAAAACTGAAACAGACTTTTACTGGAAAACCTTTTTTTTTTTTTTTAAATCCTGTCCACTATTTTGATTTTAAAACATTAACCGGTTTGCCATATAGTAAACCGGAACAGCACATTGCCTTATTAAGCTGGTGGTACAGTACTGAGTAATTAACTAGGAAGCATCCTATATACTTTTCTAAATTATGACTGACAATCCAAGCACAAATTTACATGTAATTATGCAAACTGATATTTAATTCCGCATCAGAAAATCAAAAAACCTTGGTTAAAATTTATGCTTTGTAATTTATCACCAATGTGAGTTTAGGAGAATTTACATTTTCCCTCTGAGCATTAGTCTCCTTATATGTATATAGTGATAATACGGTTATTCCAAAACAAGGTTTCTCATGCTTGGCACTATTGACATTTTTGGACAGATAATTTCTTGGTTGTGGGGAGCTGTCCTGCACATTGTAGGATGATGAGTAACATCCCCGGTCTCTACCCACTAGATGCCAGTAGAATTCTCCCACATTTGTGATGATTAAAAAAAAGTCTCTGGATTTTACCAACTATCCCTTGGGGAAATAATTGCCCCTGGTTAAGAACCATTATTTTTTTGAGACGGAGTTTCACTCTTGTTGCCCAGGCTGAAGTACAGTGGTGGAATCTCGGCTCACTGCGACCTCCACCTCCCAGGTGCAAGCAATTCTCCTGCCTCAGCCTCCCAAGTAGCTGGGATTATAGACATGTGTAATCACACTCACGTAATTTTTTTTTTTTTAATAGAGATGGGGTTTCACCATGTTGGCCAGGCTGGTCTTGAACTGACCTCAGGTGATGTACCCGCCTTAGCCTCCCAAAGTGCTGGGATTACAGGCAAGAGCCACCACGCCTGGCTGAGAACCACTATTGTAAGGAATTGTTGTGATGGCTTGTTTAAATGCTTACTCACCAATGAGAGTCACTGTGTACTAGGCCCTGAGAAAGCATGGTGAGCCTACACAGACAGGCCTCTGCCATGGTGGAATCTAGAGCCCAGGAAATTAAAGTTGGTAACAAAAACACAAACATCCAGTCCATGCTTGGCATACAGTGCACACTCAGTAACAATTTGCTAAAACATTTGTGACTTCTGATAATAAAGCAGTGCACCTGGAATTTGCATAGTGATTTATTCTGTTAAACTGATATCACTGGAGGCCATTGCTTTCGACTGAGTTTCTGCACTAGGCGCCAAGAGATCAGACCAAACAAAAAGGGAATCACGTATGCTAAATGACATACAATCAAACTGAAAATTTAAGGAAACTGACACATCCCCAAACAAACCACTTTTTCCTGAAAACAGATTCCAGTCTACTTGAGTCAGCATATTAAGGAAGTCCCTCTGCTTTAACCCTTATCAAAAAAGTAACCTAAAGTAACCTGATGTTAACCAAACAGCTATTCCCCTAATTCTTCTGTTTCCTTGTTTCCACCCATCAAATTTCCATGTTCTGTTATTGTCCAGTGGGAACTCTCATTCTCTTTTGTAGAATGGAGGCTACTCCAAAATTCATATATCATGAATAAAAGTCAATTAAATATATAACTAAATTTGCTGTAATTTTGGCTTTTCACAATAGGGAAGGAAAAAATGAACTATGTTTAACAGATTATTTGATACCTACTGTTACATGAGGCCCAGTAACAAACACTAAATGAGGATGCATAGAATAGATGAAGAAAATTTTCCTTCGTTCTGTAAGTAGCATATCATCTCCTAGGGCACTAAGGTAAGTACACAACTATTTATAATTCAAGGTAGCATGTGGTAAATCCCACATGAGATCTTCAATCAAAGTGCCAGGAGAGTTCAAAGGTAAAAGAACTGACATCTAGTTAGGGCAACACAGGAAATGATAGCTACAAATTCAGAGACTCTTTACAGAATTATTTTTCCCTGAGTTACAAGTGGAGTGCTCAGTTTTTCTTGTTTGGGTTTCAGGCCTTTCCCATGACACAAATTGCAGGCAAACTGCCTTTGAATCTTCCATAATTTCTAATCTAAAATAATGAATTAAAGGCTATTTCAAAACATGAAATCAGGTTAACTTAAAATAGTTCATGTGATTTAAACATGTTCTGCTTTTCTCACACGGGAGAACAATTTACAAAATGAACTAGCTGTAGATCATATTCCTGGAATAGATAAAAAATATATATTTTTTCCTTTTACGTAGCATTCTTTCATGGAACCACTTCTCCTTCCCCACCTGTGGTTTATATGGAGCTAATATTATGGCTGGGTCCACGAGCTAGATGTATGATTCCAGCGTGGTCCCTCAAAATATTGTACTTTCCTGACCTTGGTAGTGACAGAGGCAGAAGGCAGACAGACACTAGGCAGACAAGGGTAGGTACCTGGTGGGAACCCTATCTTCAAGTCAAAAGTAGCCTGAAACCTGTGGCTCAAAGTGAGAACTTCTATTTCTGTTTGCCTGCTCTCTCCCAACTGGTTCTTTCTGAGTAATGTCATTTTACCAATCAAATGTTGCCTTTTCCAAAACTACCTATGGCCCACCCTGCCCCCCGTCCTGTGCCTATAAAAATCCCAGAGTCGGCTGGTGGAGGAGAGAAGTGGATAGATATCAGGGAGAGGCAACTTGACTTTGGAGGAGACAGGCAGAGAGGTGCTTCAGGGGAGAGCGACCTGCCCTTCCCGTCCCCTTCCCAGCTCCCCTCTCTGCTGAGAGCCACTTTCATTGCTCAATAAAATTTCTGCATTCACCATCTTTCAATTCATCTATGTGACCTCCTTCTTGGGCACCAGACAAGAATTTGGGACCCACCAAGTGCGGGTGCCCAAAAAAGCTGTCACACTGGCCCTCTGCCCTTGCTGGCAGAGGGCAGCCACATCACAGGACGAGGCAAAGGGTCCACTGAGCTGATAACACACCACTATCTGTGGATCACAGCACTAAGAGATCACTGTAACACACCCTCTGAGTCCTTGGGGTCACAGACACCTCCACCTGGACACTGCTGTAGGGCCCTGCACGGAGTTTGCTCTTGCCACTCTAAAGAAGCCAGCTGGTTCCTGCACTGGCTTGCCTACATGCTCCCTCTGCAAGGGGTGGAGAGTGGCAGAGCCGAATAAATGGAGTTTGCTCCTACCAGCTCAGAAGTGCTCAGCCAGTTCCTGCACTTGTTCACCCGCATGCTTCCTCCTGTGAGGGGCTGAGCATGGCATGCTGAGTAAACAGGGCACCCCTGTCACGAGTCCTGTGAAGGGGTCAAGAAAATATCCTGCATCAGTAGTGAGTTTAGAAGAGCATATAATCCCCAGGAAGGATACAGTAAGAGTTGACTCTGTGACATTTGCTAGAAGTTTCATGGGAATTTTTCCTTTTCCTGGAGTTGGAATATGTGTCTGGAGAGGTCAGCTGGAAATAAAACCAACAGAGTGGAAAGCAGGGGAAAGAACTGCAGAAAAATTAGCCTCCTAAAAATACACAGATGGTACAGATCTTGGATCCAGCATTGTTTGAATGGAAATTACTCTTTGAACTGTCTAGCCATAGGCAGTAATGCATTCCCATTTTGCTGTGACTTGAGTTTCTATATTTTGTAACTGAAAGAGTTTCAATTAATAAATATCCTAATTGTACTAGACATTTGTGTAAATAGGCCACTTTTCAACATAGTACGATGTCATGATTTTGATGAGATGCTAAATAAAAAAAATTAGAGTGAATATCCATGACACGCAGTAAATCTTTGTTGAATGAAAGAACAAGTGCCAATTGTGGATGAAAGGGTAAAAATGAAGTAAAATAAGCCACAAGCTTCTCCAGAATTTTAGATCTCAATGAACAGAAATCTTCGGAAAGTACATGCCCCAGAATACCACAATGTAAGAATCACAGACATTTGTTTCCTCTGGTTTGTTCCTTTTAGACTGTGTGGTTCAGTTAATACATTTGCATAATATTTTCTACATCCTGCATGATAATGATAATGACACTTGAACTGAAATGACCACATTAGTTCTTCCTCAGCTTTTCTCATTTAAGATTCTTCACAGGAAAAACAACCCTAGGCTTTTTAGGAACCGATTTATCATCCTCTCTTACATGTCAATAGGTTATCCTTGCTGAAAAAGGTCTTTCGATTGTTCTTTTCATTTGAATCCAAATTAAGTCCAATAGCTTTTCCTGGTGATAGGCTACTTACAATTTCACTACAAGTCTGCAAAATACAAACCATGTATTTGTAGTTTTGGAAATGTCTCTGTTTTTACATGCTGGCTTTACATGGTAAAAGGCCAAGAAATAGCCAAAAAATGCTGCCAAATCTCACCCTACCCTACATCTGTGGAATAGATTCCATTCTGATGACAATCAATCAATCATTTATGGAACTCTTACTGTTTTGTGCTGGAGGACATGGCAAGATAGGGAGTAAAAAGATAGCATAATGCATTGCTCTTGTCCTCAAAGGTATTGAAAGTAACTGAAAGAGCAGAAATTTAGATATAATTTGGCATTAGAATTGTCTGATTAATTGCATTTTGTTACTGCTGTATCTCAAAGCTAGTAACTAATGAGCATATTAAACAACAGAGAAACTGCCTTTCTCAAGCCTTAGAAGGAATAATGAAAAATTTCTGCATTTGGCATTCAAAATGCTGCAATATAGTATGGCTAATTGAATAATGTAGAATGTTGCTTTTGTTTTTTTTCTCCATTCGTCTTTTACTGACATCCATTCATTTCTTTTATTTATTTAATGCATGCATTAAGCAGGTAAGCATGTGAAATGTTCCAGGTGCTGTGATAGGTTCTGAAGATATAATCAAGAACAAGCCCAGAAAGTTGCACTCAGAGAGATACAATTTGATTGGGACAAAACCATAGACACAACTAATTATATTACAAAGTGTTATAGGCAACCATAGGGGGTATATGACAGATGCACCTAACAGTAATAATTTAAGCATACCTTGAGAATGACTCAACTGTCTAAGAAGTATGTTTATTCAGAGTCCAGAGCCAGGGAATCTAAGAATTGCCAACCCAGAGATTCACTCTTTATCTATGAAAGACATCTGAATCCCTGTCTCATTTCTTGGAGCACAGGACTTTCAAGGAACCAAGGCCCTTTGTTCTGGGTTAAATGGAGATTGTTAAGTGGAGGGTGCTGAGTGAAAATGCTATAGAAACTGCATGCTTTTTGTGAATGGCAGCAATTCTCCTGTCCAGCCTTCTGCCACTGGACTGCCACTGTATATAAATCCTCACTAAACCCTATTTGTCACTGGCTGGCTACAGGTCTTTTTTTCAGCTTCCTGAACATAGTGCCATCCCTACTGGAGTCAATAGGGGTCTGGCACAACAGAGGGGTCTTCACAAATGCCAAAGATGGAGCTACCAGTTCCATTGAAGATGGGGTGGTGGGGCAGAGGAGGAAGTGCCCCAAGTAAGGCATTAAATAAGAATTTATATCTGTCAAGCTCTGAAATTTTGACAGATGTGCAGTGTGAATCATAACAGAAGTTCAGAGAAAAGAGAGGCCACAGCCTGCTGGATGGGTGAGATAGCATTTGAGGCAGCCTTCAAAGAGGAGTGCAATGTAGGCCTGAGAGACAGGAGAAGGGGAATTTCAGGCAAGGAGATCAGAAGAGTCAGGAAAGAACAGGGCCTTTTAGAGGCCTTCTGTTTGCCTGGCACATAGATTTTGTGAAGTAAAGTAGCAGCCGCTGAGAAGAAAGGGTGCACTAGGCTAGTCTGTGGAGGGCATTCAATGTCTCTTGAAAGAGCCCTCAAGGGCCATGGGGAGCTTTGAAAAGTTTTCAAGAAGTAGAGGGACGTGGGCAGATCTGTGTTTTACATTGATCACTTTAGCAACCTTTGGAAAAAATGTAGAAGCGAAAACTTCAGTGGGAAGACAAGCCTGTTGAAATGCTCCAGAAAAAAAAGCTGATGACAACTTGGACTGGAGAGAAAGGGTTGAAAGGAAGAGACGCATTTAGGGGACATGATGATAGGAGGCTGGGACTTGGGGACTGACCGACTACAGCAAGGATGGAAAGAGCTCCATGATTTCTAACTTTGGCAAATGCATGGACAATTTTGCATTCAGGAGAGATGGAGTACCATGCAGGAAGTATCTCTGGGGGAGGGAAAGAGGGGCGGTAGAAGGCTGCTGTTCTGCTAATGGGACAAGCACAAAGGGACTCTATAGTGTACCTAGTTTAATTTTGCATCTCAGATAATTTGGCCTGAAAATTCATGTTAATTTCCTTCATCTTCTCTCCTCTATTTTGCTATAGCATCTGCTCACACCACCTTAGTTATGAGGCTTTGTTTCAGACAACACCCCTCACTCATATCAAACTTGCACTCACTTAGGTTGCTTTAGAATGGATTTCAGAGTCCACAGAATACCCTCTGCATCTGGCTCTATCCCCTTGCCCTCCCTTTCTCACACTTCCTCCCTCCTGGTAGTAAAACCAAAATGGATCCCTTCGTCGAGCACAGAAAAGTGCAAACACCTTCTGGTTCCCTGAGTATCTTAGCTTCTTGCTCAGCAAGTTTGTTAATAATTTCTTTCTCTGCACAAATGCAGTTCTCTTCCAGAAAAAAGACTGTGGCATATAATTTATTTTTTCATCTGGTAGCTCATGAGGGTGATACAGGAAGGAACAGCGCCACTCAAAGCCATAATCTATAGACAGTTACACCACTGAGAATCCCAAGCTCCATTTCTTAAAAAGCCTCATAAAGCTTTATGGGGCATTAAGTAGACTGATAGGTCAGAGGCATAAGTCTAGTTTTAACCATTTCAGGCTGTAGATGAAATGTGAAAAATTTTATATTTTCAAAGGGCTCCACTTAATTTTTCTTCCATTTTGTGATCAAATATTTTTTTTTTTTTACTACATCTGTACGCCTGTCTATTGATGTACGCAGGGGCTGAAAAGTGGTGTTAAGTTCCCATAACCAGCCTTTAAACATCTATTGAAGGATAATACCCCAACCTGTCTAGGGCTGTATGGTTTAATATGGTGGCCAATGGTCACATATGTGTTTTAAATTTAAATTAATGAAAGTGAAATGAAGTTTAAAGTTGAGTTCCTCAGTCACACTGGTGACATTTCAAATGCTCAGTTTCACACGTGGTGGGTGGCTACCATATTGGACGTGCAGATACGTAACATTTCCAACAGCTCAAAAAGTTCTGCTCTAGGGCCTTGAACCCTTTTTGATTAGGTCATTTTGGTGTTATATGACATTTTATCCTTCAATGATATTAAAGCTAGAATAAGCTGAATATTTATTATGTGTCAGGCAGGATTCTAAGCATATTATACATATTAACTCCTTTAATTGTGGTAAGACATGTTATAAATGGGGGTCATGGAAGCCATTTATCCCATTTATCCCACATGTTATCACATTTTATAGATGGGGTCACAGAAGCCTAGAAAGGTGAGATAACTTGAAATAGTATTATAGAAGCCACAAAACATATAGATGTAAACAGGATGGGGGTGCAGAATGATACAACCTTGCAGAGTATAAGACAAGCCTGCTGTAGTTACAGAAATAGTCAGTGAAATTAGGCTGGCATCCAAATTGGTCTTGTCTGAGGCCACTGATTTCCTTGATGCCATATTGTCCTCAAACTATTACTTAAGTCACGATGTTCTTAGAGTCCCTTATGATATTAATAAGTGTTTCTCACCAAAAGGGTTCCCTAGTTATGTTTGGGAAACACCAGGTTAAACAAAGCACCTTAAAAACCTGCAGGACTCCACAGAGGCTTTGACATACTCATTGTTATTGCGAATCTCCAAGACTGGAACAGATTACAGTGACCCCTATTTATTTGATCACAGCCTCCCTTTAAAATAGAACTTCTCTCACAAACTACTGTTTTGGACAGTATCCTCTATGAACACAAACATTCTGTGATAAGAAAAATGACAGTTGTTTTCAGTCTCATTCTAATTATTGGGATGATTAAAAGTCAACCTTTATAAAGCAGTCTTTTTAGAATGAAAAAGAGGATATCTTAGCTGCTTGGAGCAGTGATTCTCAAACTTTAGCATTCATATACATCCCCTGGTGAAATGCAGATTGTAATTCAGTAGGCTGGAGAATGTGCATTTCTAACAAGCTGGACAGCGATGCCAACACTGTTCATACATGAACCACATGGGCAGTTTGGAGTGGAAGAGTTTAGAGCAGTGGTGAACAAACTATAAAGGGCTCACAGGCCACCTCTGGCCCATCACCAGTTTTGGAATGGGCCTCAAGCTACGAAGGGTTTTTACATTTTTAAGTGATTGGAAAAAAAATCTAAAGAATAATCATATCTTGTGCCACAGGAAATTCATATTTCAGGGTTCATAAATGGTTCATAAATAGAAGTTTATTGGAGCACAGCCATGTCCATTGATTTATCTATCATCTGTGGATGCTTTTGAGCTGTAACAGCAGAGTTGACTAGGTGAGACAAAGACCCTGCAGTGCAGGCTACAAAGCCTAAGATATTCTCTATCTGGCCCGTGACAGAAAAAGGTCTGCTGACCCCTGGGGAAGAATATAAACTCTGGAGCCATACTGCCTGGTTTCAGATCCTACTCTGCCTCTTACCAGTTAAGTGATGTTGAGCATGTGCATAACCTTTCTATGCCTCAGGGTTCCCTTCTCTGAAAGAGCAATAACAATAGTACCTACCTCATTAGGTTCTTGTGTACACGTATATATATATAATCACATAAACTATTGTATGTATGAGTCTATATATATATATATATAAATCCTATAGAGAGAGAAAGAATAGCACCTAAAACATCATTAAAAACTTTATAAATATTAGCTAAGAAACTCAGTAGTTGGTAAGATTAGTTCACTGATAACACAATGAAACTATTCTAATATTGATGGTAATACTTTGTAGGATTATAGAGCTGGACACATTTTTCTCTGTCTCACTATACATGTTTAGGCATCATTTCATCCAAGTAAATATAATGAGCAGAAGCTAAGAGTCCTATTTCACAATTTTGAGATAGTCCTTTAGTTCTTTAGTTTGGATAGTGTGATATCTGTCTCTCATTTGCTGAACTCTCAAAATTCAAAGCAGAATCTCAAACTCCTGAAAACTGGCTGGCTCGAAAGTACATGACCCTCTATTTTATAATGTGACGCTCTTTACTATCCAAACTTGAAAAAGTCAACTGAGTGAAGAAAATTACAACACCTTCCAAAAAATATGACATAGCCCACAGCCTACCTGAGTACATTTTTCATCACTCAGCTAAAATTTATACACTTCCTTGCCCCCAACATCCTCAATGAGAAGATTTAAGATTATTTGATAACCAGCAAGTATTTATGGCCACCTGGAGGAGAACATAAAATTCCTCCTCCATTCGAGGACTGCCTGTGTGAAGTTACTTTAGGTCAGAGAGGTCATTAATCTACCCAGGGCTTAAATAAATGAGGATCATGCCTGGGGCCAAATATACCTACAATATTTTACCATTTAATCACAAAAAGACTTTCACAGACAAAAAAATTATACTACAGTATGAGTTTTCATGGTCTACTCATCTAATCCCAAAGTGAGAAGCACTGTGTTGACATACGCATTATGATATAGAAAAGACCTATTTTTATAAACTGGACACACCATCACACAATTTGCACCTTTATAACATATTTGTGTTTGTATTTTAAGTGTCAGAATGTTGTTTAATTATCCTAGCTGATTAAACAACCCTATATTGTATGACTTTTGTAATTTTTTATTATAAGATATTTGATATTGAGTCTTCAAGCAGAAGCACAACTCCCAATATTAATACTGTGTATTAGTCAGGGTTCTCCAGACAGATAAAACCAGTAGGATATATGAAAGCAGATTTATTAGGGGGAACTTGCTCACAGGAGGATTACAGAGGACGAGAATTTCCACAATAGGCCAACTGCAAGCTGAGAAACCAGAAAAGTTAGCAGCATGGCTGAAAACCAGCAGCATGGCTCATTCCAAGCCTGAAGACTTGGGGAAGTCAACAGTGCAGCGCCCAGTTATGGCCCAGAGCCCTGCAGGCTGCTAGTGCCAATCCCAAGGTCAAAAAGCTGAAGAGCCTGGAGCCTGATGTCCAGGGGCAAGAGGAGAAAAAGTGTCCTACTTTGGAAGGAAGATAGTACACAGGGCCAAATCCTCCTTCTTCTACCAGCTTGTCTCATTTGTCCCCAGCTAACTGAATGGTGCCCACCCACATTGAGCGCAGGTCTTCCTTTCTCAGTCCACTGACTCACAAGTCAGTCTCCTCTGGAAACACCCCCACAGATACATCCAGGAACAATGCATCCTGAACCATCTAGGCATCCCTCAATCCAGTCAAGTTGACACCTAAAATCAACCATCACTTATTTTCTTTATACAATAAAATTATTTTATGATGTGTTGCCTAAGAGTTAATTACATGAAAACAAGGCAATTCCTACCTTGGAAAAAAATTAAGTTTTTAAATGAACTGTAAGATTCTCCTTAGACAAATATAAGAATATAGTTGGCTGATCACAGAGTACACCTGAAAAATATGAAGAAAATATGCTGACTATGAAAAATATCTTCTCCCCTCTAATTTGTTATTCATTTGAATAAACATAGCATACCAAGCTCATAAGATGCCTATGATGTGAGGGTACCTACTTGAAATATATAAATAACATAAAATAGGAAAAAGTAAAAGAGATATTTTTGAGGCACGTACTTAGCTGCAGGTGATTTAAACAAATTATCAGTATATCTTGAACAACAAGCCAATAATATATTTATATGGTAAAATCATTTAGATGTGACATAAATTACTCTCAATGGCATTATCTAGTCTGTATGAAATCACAATACTACGAAACATCTCAGACCTTTAATTATGCTTGTTGACACTAAAACTGCACTTGCTTGTTCTGCCATGGAGACTGCAGGGAGAAGCAAATGAACGGATGGACAGAAATCTCTATTCTGTGCTCTACTGGCTGCTGTTCGGTGAACGGTAGTACGCTAGTAAAGTGCTCAGAGGACTTCTGCCACCATCTGCTCTTAATAAAAATAAATGAGGCTCTGAAGAAAGCGGAAGCTTTTGTAGTTCTTTGTGGAACCCTTTGATAGTACAAAAGCAAGCGGATGGGTTGCTCTAAGACGGCCCCTTGCAGGTTGTGACAGCGCCACTATCTTGGTGGTCCTTGTCTCCTATTCCCAGGTCTCTAAGTAGCACTTTTCTGTTTCCTGGCTATTTATCATGAGAAATTATCATGCTTGGACAACCTTTATTGCCTCTCAGGCCCATTGTTCCATGGCAAGTCATGAAATTAAATTAGTGCTACTCAGTTTAGTGAGCGGGGACTTTATGATTCTCTTATGTTTGGGGAAATAAATGTTTATGAAGCTCCTCTTATAGTCCATGAACATGCAGCACATGTCATTAATAGTGATCGTCTTGTGCCTCTGGTACAACATACTGATTGCAGAACTCACTCCCCCTACTTCCACCCCAGGTAGAAACCAGAAACAGAAAGAAAGGTAAGAAATGGAAATTTCCCCGTGGCAGAAATGTACGGCAGCAGATGCAAACTTCCTTCTTCAGAGGGAAGTCTGGAATTGCCATTATATACAGTGTATTAGAGTCTCCTTAAGTTTTAACAAATGAGTGGGAAAATACAATTGGGGTAAAAAGCATTTCTCCAAATTAAAATGGTGAAAGTCCTCATGCCAGAGTATTCTGGGAAATTTCTGTTTTAGAGCTGCTGCTTTCAAATGTTCTATGTCCCAGGAGCCATCCTTGGAGGTTAATGAATAGTTTCAAGGATGCTTTAATGGGGATACAAAGGTAGAAACTTCTGCTGTTCAGCAGGGATTATAATCCCTCGATTAGCATTCGCCTCTTTCCATTCTGGAAGAAAAAGTACGGAATTAGTATAAAAGCAGAATAAAGGGGTAGAAGTTACAGGAAGATAGTTTTCAACTCAATATGTGGAAGAACTTTTCAGATTTTCTCAAAAATGCATGAGGTGGTTAAGTTCCCTTCACTAGATGTAATCAAATATAGAGTCAACATTCACTTGCAGGGAAGTTATAAAAGGGTTCATATCTTTTGTGGTCTTTCCAAAACAAGATTGTTTGAATTCCATATTAAAATATACATCTCTCTCTTTGCCCCTAACACATGCGCACATATAGTGGTGGATTGATAAGCTCTCTAAAATTGGAATGTGGTAAAAACAAAGTCTGAATGAACTGTGCTAGTTGGTGTCTCAGTAAATTGGGACAATATTGACTCTGAGTTTGGTCTCCAGTTGCATTCAGAGTACAAGAAATAACAAGCAGCCCTTCGTGGTTAGGAAGCTATGTAGTCCTCTTTGTCCATTCACGCAGTAAGCATGCATTCAGGCCCACAATATGTGATGCACTGGGAAAGGTACTGAGTATACAGATGTGAATAAAAACTCAAGTTCTTATTCTATCAATCTATCATCTATCATCTATCTATCTATCTATCTATCTATCTATCTATCTATCTATCTATCTGCTTATGTCTCTATGTATTCAATTATCTGTGGTCTCTCAGTTGTCTAAATATATCTGCCTCTGCAGTATCTGTTCATATCTACATCTATGTACCAATAGCTGGAGCTGTGGAATCTGAAATAGGATAGTCAACACACAGAGGAATCCTGTCTTACTACCTGAGATAAGTCATCCTAAAGCCAAAGGTGACTTGTGGGAAAAAAACAACCTGAGATAGTCCAAGAGAAATATAGTATGTTCCCTGAGGGTAACGGATGTGGAGTTCACGCCTCCCCTGCACATGTGGAGTGACACATCTTATTAATGTTTACACCATTGTAAGTAGTGTTCTTGGTCATAGCTAACAATCGTGACAGAATTGATTGAGTACAAAGAAATTTTTGTAGCTGGCTTTCATTTGTTATCATGCAGAGAAGAAACAACTGAGGACTGAAAAGCAGTGGGAAACAGTACCCTCACATTTTGATGTGTTCTAGTATCACCTTTATTGCGGGCAGAAGAGAGGGAATTGAGAAAAATGAGGAACTGTAGGCGGGCAAGTGGAAAATTGCAGAGTTCCAGTACAAAGTGGAGATTGGAAAGAATTCTAGCAAAAGAGAAAATGCAACATTTCCCCACCCCCAAGTTACTAAAAGAGATTTTCACACTTTCTCCCTTTTTTGTTGTCCTTTGTAGGAAGGCAAATAGAAAGAAGATGAGATAGAGAAAAAGGGGGTAGGGAATGAGAAGGAAGATGGAAGACAGAGGGAAGCAGTGAAGATACTTAAGAGTAGACAGAGCCTCCCTAAGCCCCTGTCTTCTAAACTTTCCATCCAGCCTAAAACCCCTTAGTCACCTGGCAGTTATGTAACCCCCAATCCCAAAATCCCGGGAACCTTCAAATTACCCTTGGGGGAGGCTTGGGATTAGATGCTGAGGACAGAGGATTAGTGTCACACTCAGGGGTAGGTTTGTATACCAACTTGTCCCCAGCGGGAACCCAGATTCATAGGACCTATGCCTCCTTGCAGGGAGTAAAGAAACCTTACCTGACTTTCAAAATCAACCAGTCGCAGGGCTTACTGGATTCCTAACATAAAGAAACAAAATTTGTTTCATATTCAATGGTGCTGGGCCACTCTATTACTATGTAGATGTGTTAGTTTCAAACACAGAAGCCAATATATAAAAGCCTATATTTTATATGATTACAACCCAGGTGTATGTGTTTTATCTTATACTTATGATGCTTTTAAAATATAGAGTAATTTCTCTTGCAAGGAATATAATAATTAACAAGCTTCTGCATCATATACTAATCATTTAAAAAGTAAAAAGGAACTAAGCTCCAACTCTTTCATGTCTCAAATAAGTTATCTTGAATAGGTCATCTAGTTTTCCAATATCTGAGATTTTTCATACACAAAATGAGGATAATGCTAACTCCCTCTGGAAATGAAAGAGATTATGATGAGCCATTAACAGGAATCTAAAATATATTTTGCCAAGCCCTACAACAGTAGTTAAAAGCTTGGGTTTAGAAGCCAAGTCATAAGGTGGAATAACTAGTAATGTATTTAATCTCCCTAGGTTAGTTTCTTTATCTCTAAAAAGTTGGTCAATAGTACCTAAGTTATAGACTTATTATGAAGAGTAGATGAGGCAAATCCCAAAAATGCCCAGCGCAATGCCTACCTTGCCATAAAAAAAACATAATGAATGGATACAATCACTGATGAGATTCTCTGAGTTAAGCTCTCCTGTTAATTTCAGTTAACTTTTATTATGTTTAAACAAAAGTTAGAAATACTTGGAAAAAATCAATCCCCAGAAACATTTAGGATAACATGTTTCCTACAGCATGGATATATGTAATTGAAATAGCTGAGATAGCAAAGCACAAAAATTGAAAATACATTCTTGGCAGGCTTTGAGTTAGGGCCTAATTATAAGTTCTCAATATGGCACCAAGGCCTGGAAGGAAGATGAAGAAAAAGAAGCTCTGCATATGCTTGATAGCAGACTTCTCCCTCAAAATCCCTCAGCCATCCCAAAGCTTGTATTCATTTGTAAATAGTTAAATATTAGTATATAGGAAAGGCGTAATCCTGGTAAAGTTTGGCATTTCAGAAATCATCCAGCTGTAAAGACTCCAACAAAGGTGACATGTTGATTACTTTCCCATTATGCTACCAAACAAAAAGTAAAGTATGTTGTTTAATGAATATTCTTTGAACTAAATACAGATTCATTCTCATTTGCTGATGCATAATGATTGAGTGATGCACTAGATTTTCTACCTTAAGTCCACAGGGATTATCCGTATCATTAGATCACTAGAATCTAGACACACACAAACATATTTCCTACATATATGTTTCTTAAGGAAATACTTGGCTATGAACTCAGAATTAATTAGAGAAGACTGCTTATTAATGATAGCTAAGAAAATGCAATTTTCATTCAGTCATTTGACATCATCAGTAGATATTACACATTAATATTTAAGAACATTAGCCTGAAACTTTAAAAGACATGAGCTGAAACCCAGGTTTTTGAACTAGCTGCATAAGCCTAGTCAAGTCATGTAAAATCTAAATCTCATGTATCCTCTAACATGAGAATGATAAAACTCACATCATAAGCTTCTTGTGAATATCAAGGTAAATTATATAAGCCATATGCCCAGTACAGCTCTGGCACAGAGAAACCAATTAGTGAACAATTACTACAGTTCTTAATGTCTCTTGCCAATGAAAACATTATTTCTCCAACTTGGCTTTTTAAAAACTTTGTAATATAAAAAATACTTAAGAACTGTAAGACCACTTTTCCCTTTATGATTTTGTAACACATTGTATACATTCTGACTACCTAAAAGAATTGTGAAGGTGACTATCTGCCTTAGGTCAGAGCAAAATAAATGGATAAAGATTAAATGTTAAGCACGTGAATGGATATTAAGAGCTCTACAAGACAACATGAGAGAGGAATACAGACAGAAGGACAAACTCTTCCACTTTTACATAAATGGGATTAAGAGATCACATCTCAGAATGTGTAGGACGAGAAACCACTGATGTGAGATGACAAGGCTATTGCTTTTAGTTGAGAACTTTCTCAGGGTAGAGGGTGGGGTCCATGTGGGCATTTCTCCTTTTTATATCTGAAGAAGACTCTTTCTCCTTTAAACAACTAATCATGATTCATCGATTCTGGGAGCTACCAAAGCCACAGAGGGCATCAATTTCTAAAGATCCTTCTTGGTTAGAAGAAGCTCTAACAATATTGGCTCAAAAAAAACTAATTTACGATGAACAAAAGAATGTTTGAATGAATAGCACATGAGTCCTAATCAAATATACATTACAAGAAACCCATTGGAATGAGCATGCCCTTTTGTAAGAAGCTTAAATAATGTAATTTGGAATGTATGGGACTAAGAGCTGATCCACGTACATGTGGAACTACAGGTTATACGGTTTGGCTCTGTGTCCCCACCCAAATATCATCTTGAATTGTAATCCCCACATGTCAGTGGAGGGGCCTGGTGGGAAGTGATTGGATCATGGGGGTAGACTTCTCCTTTGCTGTTCTCATGATAGTGAATGAGTTCTCATGAGATCTAGTTGTTTGAAAGTGCGTGTGGCACTTCCTGCTTCACCTTCTCTCTCTCTCTCCTGCTTCCATGTAAGACATGCCTTGCTTCCCCTTCACCTTTCTCCATGATTGTAAGTTTCCTGAGGCCTCCCCAGCCATGTGGAACTGTGAATCAATTAAACCTCAGGTAGTTCTTTATAGCAACGTGAAAATGGACTAATATGACAGGCAATAAAATTAAGAAAAAAAATTACTTATGACAACAAAATAAAATGATGACGAAAAACGACAGGATTCTCAATCATTTTGACCTACAACTTGGAGAGGGCAATTTAACACTCACACCCACAACCGCACACACTGTATGACTGGTTGGAAGTTCTAACCATGGAGGAAGAGCTTCGCAAGACAGGGATTTCTGTGTGTTAGCCTCAAGTCCTCCGGCTATTCCTAGCTGTTCCTGATTACAACTTGTTGTTGTTTTACAGGTCACTGCTACTTTAAGTACAGATCCATCAATCACTTGTTACTGGTCTTTGTCAGGAAGAAGAACCAACGAGAAGATAAACTAGCTATATTACTAAGGATGTTACTTAGTTCAATTGACATTTTTTTCTAATGTAGGAAGGAATGCACTGATTTGTATTTTGTCCTGATTTGTTATTTGTTAGTGGAGCAGTAATGGTTAGGGGAACCACACTTTGAGTCGCAATGCACTAGATTGTTTTGGCAGAAGTCAAAGAAGAAAGTAATGTGGATTTTGAGTAAATGTTCCAGAAAGTAACGGAGATTTCAGGAATGGTACAAACCAGACAGTAAGGAATAGAACAAGTTTAACTTTTAGCCTCTTTTTACCCTCAAAAATGCAATTCAAAAAGAATCTGCCACTAAGAGCACAAACACAGAAATTGTATACTGATTATTTACCACATGCCAGGTACTATGGTAGGCAATATACATGCAGAATTTGTTTGGGAAACACATCCATTTGTCCCCAAATAAATTAGAGATCCAGGGAATGTGCTTTGGAAAATGCTGACTAACATCTTATGTTTTGGATAATCTTGATTTCTTTAAATAAAATGAATCACATCATCTTCCACCCTCTTCATTGTTCCATGTCTTCCCTATTCCAACATTCAAATTCATGCAATTCACTTGTTCACCAAAAGACTTATGGAGGAATGACTGTGTGCCAGGTTAATTGCATGCTAAGCACTGCATATATAAAAAATGGATGAGTTATCACTACTCTCAATGAATGCAAAATTTAGTAGGAAATGTCCATTCATGAAAGACAAGTTCATTTAAAAAGCGGTCCCTTTGAAGATGTAATTGATCTGAATATACTTTTATATCTGACCCCTGTATTAGAATCCTTTAATTAGCAATGACAGAAACATACATGTTAAGCAAAAAGGACATTTATTGGTTTATACAATTCATTGGCCAGCGGTGGTCTAGCCTTAGCTAAGGCAGAACTCAATGATATAAACAATGTCCTCAAAGCAATTTTTCTCTTCACATTCCTTATTTCTATTTTTCCTTTCTTTCTTTCTTTTTTTTTTTGAGACAGAGTTTCATTCTTGTCACCCAGGCTGGAGTGCAATGATGCGATCTTGGCTCACTGCAACCTCTGCCTCCCAGGTTCAAGCGATTCTGCTGGCTCAGCCTCCTGAGTATCTGGGATTATAGGCGCCTGCCACCACATCTGGATAATTTTTGTATTTTTAGTAGAGACAGGATTTTACCATGTTGGCCAGGCTCCTGACCTCAAGTGATCCACCCACTTTGGCCTCCCAAAGTGCTGGGATTACAGGTATGAGTCTGGAACTCCGGAACTCAAGTGATCCGCCCACTTTGGCCTCCCAAAGTGCTGGGATTACAGGCGTGAGCCACCATGCCCAGCCTACATTCCTTATTTCTAATTGGCTTATTTCCCCAACAGTTTTTTTTTTTAACATTTCTTTAAAATGAATGCTAGATACCTATGTTCCCAACATGCAAACCCAACCATAAAGGGACTTTCTTTGTTCTAGAGTTCATATACAATCTCAGGAAAGGGTCTAATTAGGCTTATTTGGTTCATAAGCCCATCTCTGTTTCATCACTGTGGATAGGGATGTGGGGACTCTCACAGGTCAACCTAAGTTGTATGTACACTCATTTGGTGGCAGAGTGTGAAGAGGGGACAGTGAGAATTAGGAATAGAGATGAAAATTAGCAGTAACACCAGGAAGATGAAATTATAAGTCCTTGAAGTCACCAGAGAAGGGGAGACCATACTTCATGGACTTAATTTATTGATTTAAGTTTATTAAAAATAAATGGGATTTTATTTCCCATTTATTATTTTGGGAAAATAATAAAATATTATTATTATATATATAAAATATACAGGTATGTATTCTTGGATATCTTATTTGTTGCAAAATTATATTTAACATTATACATATTAGCATTCCAAGGAATTTATGTTAAATGGCCACCAATCTAACCCAGTCTTCTCCATTCACAGATAAATAAGTGAAGTAAGTCCCTTCAGAATATATATTTTTCGATAACTTTTAGCATCTCAGAAGTTGCATTTTACAATTGATACCGTGCCACGGTTTCTTGGTATTTTTCTTTCCTAGTGGCACATAAAATAACGGCACATCTACATTCAGTGATATCTTTGGCAAGATAAAAGTCACTAAATATCTTGCCCGAGTTCCCACTAAGAATACAGCTAAGTGACAGAGCCTGGGGTTTGTGACAGGGGATTTGTGACCTCCATCTGGTGCTTCTTCCATCTTAACACTGTGGTAATCAATGCCATTCCATCAGATATATACTTGTTGACAGACGCTAGGTTCTTCCTAAAAGCAAATGCTAAGAGTATTGCCCTGTAAGGCCTGCAATCCCATGCCTTAGGTCTATCAGCTATAGGTATGTTTTTGTTCTTAGAGGTTGTAAGTGACGTGATTTTTTGTCTGTGTGTTTGTTCTTAAACCCTATTAACTGACTACCATTGTGCCTACCTGAATTCTCAAGAATACATCCTAATGCCTTCCACTGGCAACTTCTTTGTATTCTTTTAGCCAATTTCTTTTGGAAACTACTGCATTTTCTTCTCCAGAAATGATTAACTGCTTAAATATAATGCTGTTGTGTTCTGTACTGTTGACTGTCAGTATAATCTTTGGTACCTTTTGACAAGTTTTCAAGGGAGCCTCAACTTGGGTGTTACACGTCCAAATGGATCCAATCAATATCTAAATTGCTGGAGTGACAAATGAACATAGAAACTTGTTTGTGAATCAACATGATAATTAATGACAATCAATGGGACACTTCAGTCAAGTAAATCTCAAGAATATAGCTTTTACTAATAAGCATTTGTCAAATTATATTGCTCAGTAAACTAACTTGCTTTAGGGAGTTATTAGCAACCCAGTTTTAACAAAAACCATTGTCAAAAGAAAGCAAACATAAAATATAGCTTCCCAGGAATTCAAGGAAATGGTGCCTGCTTCGAAGTCATAACTACAGAATTACTGACAGAACCATTAATTCATGTCCATTCTTCATAAATAACATTTATCAGCTCGGGGGAAAAAAATAATCCCTTTGCCTTGCTCTTTTCTGTTACCAAAAACACTCTAAATACCAGCCTTACAGGTTTTGCAGTATGCATCTTTATAGCCTACAGAGTTTAGAATTAGGAACATAAAAATACTTCGAAACTAAGATGGTACAGAAACAAACTGCATGTGATAAAATGAATTGACTCTAATTGGATTTAATTAAAAATCAGCAACACACTGAAGTGAAATAATCCATGAATTGTTTACGATTTTTTTTTATCATGAAAGACACTCATGTGGTTTAAGTCATCTATTTTGTTTCTGATGGATATTCATCATAAGATGGAATTCCAGCTATTTGATCAAAGTCCCTTTTTGAAAAAATTTTTCACATTTATGATAGATTTTCCAGTTAGTACTTTAAGGAATAATTTGTTTTTCACATCCCAATCCTGTTACCACAGGATTTTAAATTTGAATAATTTGATTTAATAAAATGTATCTTGACTAATATTAGACATCAGGAAAAAAACTCTCTGAGTCCAAATGTACTTTTCAAACTTTTTACAAAGCAAAGCAGTGACTGGCAGTTACTATCCTAATTATTAAAAAACAATAAAAGTTTCCTTTTGGTTCCATTGTTATCTATCCAAGAGTTTGTATTTTTCATGCAAAATAGCAATTTAGTTATTATGCTTAAGTGGCCCTATATATAAAATAAACATACTCTCAAGAGCAAAATATTTGACAGGAATTCTGGTCACAAGATAGAATGTTCACTATGGGTCAGAGAATTTACATACAGAATAATTTTCCAGGTTTACAATAACCCATAGAGGTTAATAATTTTATCCTATTTAGAAATAAAGCTCAATAAAGAAAGGTAACCAATTTAAAACAAGCAAAAACTAAAAAGCAGTAAAATAACCATTTAAAAATATATAGAGCTAAAAACAGCTTTCATTGAATTTTCTATAAGCCATCATGAGGTTCAAGGGAGTAACACTGTTCCTTGCCCAGGTTCTAAAACCTTTGAGAAATAAGAAAAAAGAGTCAAAATGATCTATATGGATTAAACTATTGTTAGAGAAGCTGGTCTGTATCTGCAGGCAAATGACGTCCTGCTCAATGATAAAAAATACGTGATACTTACAAGCAGCATACCCACATGAAAAAAGAAAGGAAAGAAGGGACCAGGATATGCATACCTACTTTCTTATTTCAAGGTCACCATTCAGATAGATATTGTTCCTCCATCTCTAGGGCCTAATATGTGAGAGTGCAAAGCAAGGCCAGGAGTTGTTGTTATTGGAACATTTCACCGGAAGAAACTAGGAGAATTGGGGAGAAAGCATGTTAGGTACTGTGTCAAGCTTTTACAGGCATTCTCTAACTCAATCCTCACCAAAGCTCTATGATGTGCTATTAATATTATCTCCATGTATACATCAGTAAAAGGAGGTTTAGAGAGGTTAAATAATTTGCCCCATGTCAGATGAGTAGCTAGTATCCAGAATCTACAAAGAACTCAAACAAATTTACAAGATAAAAACAAACAACCCCATCAAAAAGTGGGAGAAGGACATGAACAGACACTTCTCAAAAGAAGACATTTATGCAGCCAAAAAACACATGAAAAAATGCTCACCATCACTGCCCATCAGAGAAATGCAAATCAAAACCACAATGAGATATCATCTCACACCAGTTAGAATGGCAGTCATTAAAAAGTCAGGAAACAACAGGTGCTGGAGAGGATGTGGAGAAATAGGAACACTTTTACACTGTTGGTGGGACTGTAAACTAGTTCAACCATTGTGGAAGTCAGTGTGGCGATTCCTCAGGGATCTAGAACTGGTAATACCATTTGACGCAGCCATCCCATTACTGGGTATATACCCAAAGGACTATAAATCATGCTGCTATAAAGACACATGCACACGTATGTTTATTGCAGCTCTATTCACAATAGCAAAGACTTGGAACCAACCCAAATGTCCAACAATGATAGACTGGATTAAGAAAATGTGGCACATATACACCATGGAATACTATGCAGCCATAAAAAATGATGAGTTCATGTCCTTTGTAGGGACATGGATGAAATTAGAAATCATCATTCTCAGTAAACTATCACAAGAACAAAAAACCAAACACCACATATTCTCACTCATAGGTGGGAATGGAACAATGAGAACACATGGACACAGGAAGGGGAACATCACACTCTGGGGACTGTTGTGGGGTAGGGGAAGTGGGGAGGGATAGCTTTAGGAGATATACCTAATGCTAAATGAGGAGTTAATGGGTGCAGCACACCAGCATGGTACATGTATACATATGTAACTAACCTGCCCATTGTGCACATGTACCCTAAAACTTAAAGTATAATAATAATAAAATAAAAAATAAATAAATAAAAAAATAAAAAATATAAAAATAAATAAATAAAAAATAAAATAAAAAAATAATAATTTGCCCCAGATCATTCTGCTAGAAAACAATTAAGCTAGAATTTCAGTTCAGTATCCAAAGCCTGAGCCTTTTAGTATACAACTAGTATCCATCCTTCCACGTATCTATCGTTATGTATGTAATCAATACTCTAGAATATAGAGATGGATGTGAAAATAGGTTCTCTTATATTTGAATATTCATAGCATGATTACTAATGGCAGGGTGCTGAACACAATATCCCAAAGTCTCCTGCCTTGGCACACTGAGTATTTTTGAGCTGAAGACGACAGGAGGGCCACAGAAGCAAGGTCTCTATGACCTTCTCCCATCTCCTGTCACCCACCCTTATCAGTCTCCTAAATCGAGTCCATAGAAACTAGAATCCCTGTCCCCCAAAGCAAGCAATAAAACCTAGAATGGTCACTTTCTGACTTTTCTTTGTGAAGTGTAGGAGTGAAAAACTATGGTATATGTCCTTGTCCATCATAGGGGCCACAGCAGACACTTATAGCAAGACAGGTTAACAGAAAAAAAAGTAACAAATGTATGCAATCGAAATTTTACATGACTCAGGAGATCAGAACTAAAGACTCAAAACTGCAGGAAAACTGTCTATTTATATGCTTGGGTTAGATGAAGAATGGACAGCTCTGTAGAAATGTGATTGGACAAAGGTATGATTTACTAGTAATAAATAGACTGAGGGGAAAACCCAGCAGGGGCTGTCTGCTCGGATTCTTCTTGGCCTCTCTGTGCAGCGTTATTCCCTCCTGCATATGAAGCAGGACCCCTTTGGAATGAGGATCTTCCAAAAAAAAAAAAAAAAGGGAGAATATCAGAGAATGACTTTTCTCCGTTTTATGGCTTGCTTTGGGGAAGAAGAGTTCTAGTTTCTATGAACTACCTTGGGGGAGAATTCTGTTTTCTACCAATCACTTTAAGAGGAGAACGATGGGCAGGTGACAGGAGGACAGAAGAAAGTCACAAAGACTTTGCTTTTGATGTCCTTCCAGTCTCCAGTTCAAAGTACTCAGCATGTAAGTTGCCAGACTTCAGAGTATCATGTTTTGAGCTAGACAGAAGCATGGTCATAATGGAATTTGGTGATCTACCTAGCCCTGAAAGACTTGTCTAAGAGTTCTTTCTTCTTTTGGCTTCGCATTTATTATTAATCTTGGCTCATACTCTGAAAAGTCGATTTAAACTTGTAGAAAATGAACACATTGAAAATAACTTTTATCTAAGAAAAAATAAAATGCTTTTTATCTAGCAGAAAGGCAAAGAAAATATTTGAATGGTTAAACTGGAGAAGTGGCCTTAAAATCCCGAGTTAGAGATTGGTTAGTAGCTTCTCACTGGTGAAGTTTAAGTGTTGTTTCTCTAGGATCTGACTGCTCACACTGAGTTGGGTTTGGTTGGCTTACGTAAGAACTCAGGGTGTTAGAGCCACCTGAGTCTAACTGGGAGGCTCTTCTAAAACCACCTGTTTTTACAGTCATATTTTAGCATTCTGTCTTTCATTAATTCTAAATGCTTTGGTCTCTTTGTCAGAGGTGTTTGAACCAGAGTCACTCCATCTTGAATAGGGGTGGGTAAAGTAAGGCAGAGACTTACTGGGCTGCATTCTAAGGAGGTTAGGCATTCTTAGTCACAGGATGAGATAGGAGGTCAGCACAAGGTACACGTCACAGAGACATTACTGATAAAAGTATGTGGTAAACAAGCCAGATAAAACCCACCAAAACCAAGATGGTGATGAAAGTGACCTCTGATTATCCTCACTACTCATTATATGCTAATTGTAATACATTAGCATGCTAAAAGACACTCCCACCAGTGCCAGGACAGTTTACAAATGCCATGGCAATGTCAGCAAATTATCCCATACGGTTTAAAATGGGGAGGAACCTTCAGTTCCAGGAATTGCCCACTCCTTTCCTGGAAAACTCATGAATAATCCACCCATTTTTTAGCATATTATCAAGAAATAACCATAAAAATAGCCAACCAGAAGCCCATGGGGCTGCTCTGCCTATGGAGTAGCTATTCTTTATTCCTTTACTTTCCTAATAAATTTGCTGTCACTTTATGGACTCACCCCAAATTCTTTTTTGTGTGAGGTCCAAGAACTCTCTCTTGGATCTGGAACAGGACCCCTTTCCAGTAACATCTTGAATCCCCATTGGAACTAGCTTTATCATTCTACTGATTCCTCTTTTAATGAGTTTTAAAATCTTTAACAAGTACTCACATTATATCTATATAAGAACTATGTGTTTCAATTTTTTGAAAATTATACATTGTCATTAACTTTCTGAGTATCAGTTTCCTCATTTATAAAGTAGGAATGGTAATAACTTCCTTAGATTCTCTGAGATTATTAAATGAGAAAAGTCACTGATCCAGTTGTAGGTGTTACACAACACAATGTTCCCAGACCAAACTAAGGGTCAGGCTGCTTATTCTCATGGCCCAATAGCAAGATGCAAGATGAATGGGGAGGAAGAGAGTTTTTATTTCTGTAGCCGGTTACAGGGAGAAGGCCTGGAAAATATTGCCAGACTAAAAATTATAAAGTCTTCCAGAGCTTATATACCTTCTGATATGGTTTGGCTGTGTCCCCACTCAAATCTCAACTTGCGTTGTAATTCCCACAATTTCCATGTGTTGTGGGAGAAACCTGGTGGGAGGTGATTGAATTATGGGGGCGGGTCATTCCTGTGCTGTTCTTGCATAGTGAATGACTCTCACAAGATCTGATGGTTTTAAGAATGGGAGTTTCCCTGCACAAGCTCTCTCTTTGCCTGCTGCCACCCTTGTAAGACGTGGCTTGCTCTTCCTTGCCTTCCACCATGATTGTGAGCTCCCCCACCAGACACGTGGAACCATAAGTCCATTAAACCTCTTTCTTTTGTAAACTACCCAGTCTTAGATATGTCTCTATCAGCAGCTTGAAAATGGACTAATACAGTAAATTGGTACCAGGAGTGAGGTGCTGCTGAAAAGATATTCAATAATGCGGAAGTGACTTTGTAACTGGGTAACAGGCAGGGGTTGGAATAGTCTGGAGGGCTCAGAAGAGGACGGGAAAATGTGGAAAAGTTTGGAACTTCCTAGAGACTTGTTGAATGGCTTTGCCCAAAATGCTGATAGCAACATGGACAATAATAAAGTCCATGCTGAAGTGGTCTCAGATGGAAATGAGGAACTTGTTGGGAACTAGAGCAAAGGTTATGTTTTAGCAAACAGACTGGTGGCATTTTGCCCCTGCCTTAGAGATTTATGGAACTTTGAACTTGAGAAGGGAAAATTTAGGGTCTGGCAGAAGAAATTTCTAAGCAGCAAAGCATTCAAGAGGTGGCTTGGGTACTGTTAAAGGCATTCAGTTTTATAAGGGAAGCAGTACATAAAAGTCTGGAAAATTTGCAGCCTGACAATGCAATAGAAAAGAAAATCCCATTTTCTAAGGAAAAATTCAAACCAGCTGTAGAAATTTGCATAAATAACGAGGAGCTGAATGTTAATCCCCAAGGCAATAGGAAAAATGTCTCCTGGGCATGTCAGAGGTCTTCCCAGCAGCCCCTCCCATCACAGGCCCAGATACCTAGAAAGAAAGAATGGAATCATGGGCTGGGCCCAGGGTTCCCACACTGTGTGCAGTCTAAGGACTTGATGCCTTGCATCCAAGCCACTTCAGCCATGACTAAAAGGGGCCAAGGTACAGCTCAGGCCATGACTTCAGAGGGGGAAAGCCCCAACCCTTGGCAGCTTCCATGTGGTGTTGAGCCTGTGGGTACACAGTAGTCAAGAATTGAGGTTTGGGAACCTCCATCTAGGTTTCAGAGGATGAATGGAAATGTCCAGATATCCAGGCAGAAGTTTGCTGCAGGGGCAGGGCTCTCATGGAGAATTTCTGCCAGGGCAGTGCGGAAGGGAAATATGTGGTCTGAGCCCTCACATGGAGTCCCTACTGGGGCATACCTAGTGGAGCTGTGAGAAGAGGGCCACTGTTCTCCAGACCCCAGAATGGTAGATCCACCAACAACTTGCACTGTGTGCCTGGAAAAACCACAGACACTCAACATCAGCCCATGAAAGCAGCCAGGAGGGAGCCTGTACTCTGCAAAGCCACAGGGGTAGAGTTGCTAAAGACCATGGGATCCCACCTCTTTCATCAGTGTGACCCAGATGTGAGACAGAGTGAAAGGAGATCATTTTGGAGCTTTAGGATTTGACCGCCCTGCTAGATTTTAGACTTGAATGGGGCTTGTAGCCACTGTTTTGGCCAATTTCTCCCATTTGGAATGGCTGTATTTGCCCATTGCGTATACCCCCATTGTATCTAGGAAGTAACTAACTTGCTTTTGATTTTACAGGCTCATAGAAAGAAGGCACTTGCCTAGTCTCAGATGAGACTTTTACTGTGGACTTTTGAGTTAATGCTGAAATGAGTTAAGACTTTGGGGGAACTGTTGGGAAGGCATGATTGGTTTTGAAATGTGAAGATAAGAGATTTGGGAGGGGCCAAGGGTGGAATGATATGATTTGGCTATGTCCCCACCCAAATCTCATCCTGAATTGTAACTCCCACAATTCTGACATGTTGTGGGAGGAACCCAGTGGTGGCTGAATTATGGGGGTGAGTCTTTCCCATGCTATTCTTGTGATAGTGAATGAGTCTCATGAGATCTGATGGTTTTAAAAATGGGAGTTTTGGCAGGGTGTGGTGGCTCATGTCTCTAATCCCAGCACTTTGGGAGGCCAATACAGGTGGATCACTTGAGGTCAGGAGTTTGAGACCAGCCTGTCTAACATGGTGAAACCCAGTCTCTACTAAAAATACAAAAATTAGCCACATGTCATGGTGGGCACCTGTAATCCCAGCTACTCGGGAGACTGAGGCAGGAGAATTGCTTGAACCTGGGAGGCAGAGGTTGCAGTGAGCTGAGATCACACCATTGCACTCCAGCCTGGGTGACAGAGAGAGACTTAGTCTCAAAAAAAAAAACAAAACAACAACAAAAAAACAACTGTGTTGGGGGGAGGCAGTTTCCCTGCACAAGCTCTTTCTTTGGCTGCTGCCATCCATGTAAGACATGACTTGCTCCTTTTTGCCTTCCACCATGATTGTGAGGCCCCCCTAGCCATGTGGAACCATTAAACCTCTTTCTTTTGTAAATTGCCCAGTCTCAGGTATGTTTTTATCAGCAGTGTTGAAAACAGACTAATACGTCTTCTAAGTTATATGTCTATGTATAAGTATGCATTGATCTAAAGACATAAGTGATTAACTTCTTTTAATCTATAACTAAGATCTGAGTTCTGACGACCTTCCTCTGGAATCTGTAAGTTTACTTAATCTGAATGGGTTGAGGTCCTGGGGTCACTACTTTTATCTTGTCTCCTCCTAAGTCATAGAGGTTTGTGGAGTTCCTTCAGACCCCCAATAAACTTGTTTGTAGAGGCCTGGGGAGTTTCTTCAGACCCCCAATAATCCTAAATGGGTCTTCTTAAGAATTCCTTCATGATCCAGTCATACTTCAAGTCCCAGGAAAGGCCTAAGCAGACTCTTGGTGGGCTTTTATTATATTCCAGCCTTTGTATAAGGTCACTGGCTCTTTCAGCTTTGAATATTTAACTCAACCACTCAGTCAGGGCTGAAATAGTTGTTATGAAGGCCTGTGTTAATGAGAACTGGCCTGCCACAACAACACAAATTATAGTATTACAAGCAAAAATGAGGATTGTAGTTGTAGTTGTTGCTGTTGATTTTGTTATTTTTCCAGTGGGAATTTCCAATCTACCAAAAATGTGTTAAGACAGGTTATTTCAAATGCTCTGTAATAAAAGATCATTTAAAAATAAAATCTACCATATCTTTCAAAGGCAATTTTGTACAATACAATACAAAGAAATTAATAAGAAAATGGAATAAGAACAAAGACACACAAACAGGTTCTTTTTTATCATTATAATTATTAGATGTAAAATTACTGTCAATGTGCTTAATGTCTCTAAACCTTTAGTGTCAAATTTGTAACTTCTCTTGCTGTAGACCAGTAACAGACAACATGGGGACTGGCACTGGCTTACAGACTTCACCAAATAACAATGACGCAGTGTTTCTAAAGAAAAAATAATTAGCTTCATAGCTTTAACCTCTATCTGCTGCAAACACTGACTCAATGTGATGGCATCATATTATTTTCTCTGAATTTCAGTACTGGCAGGGACAGGAACTTTGGAAGCCTATGATGAGAGGAAGTTAGCTCACATATCAGCAGCAACATATTCTTTAGTTTGAAACTACAAAGAAAGAGTAAAAAGGAAGATGGTTTACATATGTGAAAGCAAAGATAAACAGTTTTGCTCTTTTAAAGTCGTACAGGTCTGAATGACAAGCACACCTCTTTCCCCTGGAGGATAAAGCCCTTGAAGGCCACAAATGCTTGCAAGAGCAAATGTAAAATTTTTCCTGTTTTATATCTCCTTTCAACTTTGAATCTTAAGAGGACATTAATCTTGAGCCACTTTCTGTTTGCACTGCTTTCTTTGTCATGCAGATGCTACACTGGCCGGCTTTACCTTTTCTTAATTAATGGTAGGAGAGCAAAATTTTCATCCATTCTAATGCTACTAGCTTGTCATTCATTTTTTGTTCATTTCTTTCTTTCTAAGGAGAAAATTCTCCTCCTTTAAGCAACATTTTTAGTTAATATGTTAATAGTCACCAGCCTTTAAACTTGCTGCGATTGTACACTGGGTTTGTGAAAAAAGTTTTGCTCCTTAACAAAGACCTGAACTTTGGTTACAATTCTAACATGAAGCTCTTTGGCTAATACAATGATCCAGACCTTTAATGGACCCTCTAGAGAAAAGCAAGATTTAACACAGCATTCCATGGGTTAGGCGACTCTATTAACTTATGTTTTAGACATGGAACAAGGAAGACTAAGGTATTTGAGGTGATTTGGGAACTACGCAATGACTGAGCAATAACCTCAATTTTGCATCTTGGTCTACATGGTCTACATTCACTATCTGGCCTTTTAAGCAAAAGTCGTTCATGCTTGCTGTATATCATAAACTCTAAGAGAGGGGAAGCTTCAAAATAAATACTAATGACAGCTTAAGAAACACGAATTAGTGCTAACTTTAAAAAAGACACCTTGTAAAAATAAATACAATAGGAACAGGGTAAGTCATTGAAAGCCAAGAACTGGACAGAGGAAAAAAACTGCACTACAGAAAAAAAAATAAATTAGAAAAGACTGAAGAAACATAAAGTGGAAAAATAAGAGTTTATTCTTTAACAAAAATTTTTGAACATGCTTGTTTCATCAGTTACTTTTTAAAATTTAAGATTAAAATTTCTTTAGGGAAAAATGTAGTATCTTTTAGTTTAAATTTTACATGATCCTCAGCTTGAAAGCCCTCAATAAAATGTAATACATATATACTCCATAGATTGTTTCTTAGAGAACCTTAATACAAGCTTTGTATTATCCGTGTTTCTTGATTCTCTGAGAACTAAGTTATGAAGATGGTGTAAAGTGCCAAAAGATAGGGATAACCATGCAGTAAAGACTTCCAAGATAAAACATCTGACCAATCTGAGCCAAATAGCAGAGTCTGGGGACACCCTGCTGAACAGTCCTTATCTAAGCTTGCTATATTCAGTTGAATTATTGTACTTTGTGTTGCACAGACAAAAATCCTCTACTTTCCAATCACAGATGAGCTCATTTGCATATATACATAACACCAAAAAATATATATATATATAATATAAACTGTGAACAGTACTGTGTCAAAGAAGTTCAGATGGCTTTTAGAGCATGGAACACAGTTGTCTGACCTTTTTAGCAGCTTAGGCTAGTTTCCCCAGTGAAAAGCAATGTCAGCTGTAATTGATACAATGAACAGGAGTTCATTAGGTGAAGCTGGTTCTGCCATACCAATGACTTCCAAACCTAAGTAAGAAATGTTGTCTTTGCTCCTGGATTTCAGATCTACTTGGTGAATTCCCTGCCAGACTTTCCTTTCAGTACATTAAACTCCTAAGTCCAAAGTGACCCTTCAGAAATGAAATGTAACTCCCACCTTGCTCTCCCTTTATCGTCATACCTCCTTTCATCACTTACAGAGACAGGTCCCAAACTTTGCCCCACATTGCAGTCACCTGGGAAGCTTTTAATATTTTTAATGTCCTGATTACTCTCCATACTGATTAAATCAGAATATCTGAGGGTGACCAAACATCTGCAGTATTCAAAGACCATCGGGTGATTACAACATGCAGCAACATTTAGGAACCGTTGACTATGTCTATGATGCAAGTAAAAATTACTCGTATGGGCATTCAAGTACTACACTTGGCAACTCTTAGTTATCTTTGAAGACCTATACACTAAACAACCTATATATGAGATAAATTGTACTATTTACTTTTTTTGAAGATGCCTGATGACATTGTGATGGTTAAGCTGATTTATCCATGTAAGGTAGGCTCTCCTATCATTTGCAACTATTGGCAACCTGTCTCTAAGGATTACTTTCTCCAGAAAGCTGCGCCACGGTCTAGATGAGACTATTCCCTCTAGAAACCTCACAGAGCAGTTTGCATTTCCTTTAGAGATGTATATTATACACTGTCTTTAATTCAGTGTAACAGTTTTCCATTCAACACACACCTATTGAATACTTCTTGCCTGTCACTTGGCTAACCATTAGAGGAAATCACAATTACTATGACTTCAAGAAGCATATGGTCATCCTAGGTTACAAACTCAGGCCTTGGGTCCTTCTTGTCTTTATTTACTCTGCAATACCGAGCCCAATGCCTCTTTGAAGTAGACATTAAATAAATATTTATTGACGTTAAGAAAAAAGCGAAAACTCTAAATTTAAAGAAAGTAATGTCGCACAGTGAGAGCATGGATATTGTTCTTCAAGAGAAAAATAATAATTTTCATCAGCAAAGTAAAATGTGATATGTAAGCCTGAAGACTGGTAACCTCAGCTTTGGGATTCTAGAGTCAATGAAAATATTTCAGGATCTCTTAGTAAATAAATATTTTGCCTTCGGAGCCAAGGTACCCATTACCCTCCTAATATCTGATATAAAACATAAGAAATGTCCAGTTATTCATTAACTTATTCAGCTAACAATTATTAAGGATGTGCTCTCTTTCAGATAGTAACTAAGCTAGAAACAGTGGTGAGATATGGTAGTCATTAGGAAGTTACTCATGCATTTATTTGTTTCAACCAGTATTTATTGAGTATTTACAATGTGCCAGGTGCTATTCTAGGCACTGAGGATACTGCAATGAATGAATATTGTGCTGATATTGCAATGAATGAAACAGACCAAAATACCCATTTTGAGACATGATTACAAGTTACTTTTGAACCATACCAGAAGTATTTTTTTTCTAATTTAATCACAACCAATTGGAAAGTGTAATGATATTAATTAAATTTAAATTTACCAACTCCTCCTGATTCTATTAATAATTCTAGATTTGAATTCTACATAAGAGAGGGTCAGCAAAGGAGAACTCAAGAATAGCTTCATGAGCCACTCATTGTTCTTCCATTTTCAAATGAGCAATACACACGCATGCCTTGTACATAAGAATATGTTTCCCCAGGCAGTGCATTCTGTGCCCCTTCAGGCAGAAACAATCTATTTATTTGGATGTTCCTCATCTGTCAAGTCAAAGGCAGAAAATGAGAAGATGACTTGCAAAAATACCAAGTCAGCAAGTTTTCTAAATTTTCTGTTATTCTGCTGGAAGCAAAACATATTTCAGCACTGTCCAGAGACTATCTGAACAGTTGGATTGCATGATGTTTGGGGTCCTTTCTGTATTAAAAGTCCATGACTTATGTTTGTTATTACAGAGTATTTCATAGCATGCATTATTATTGTTATTATTCATCTATGGGATAAATATTAGCTACTAAGAGGCTTTCAGCAAAAAGCAAAAGAAAATCCAGCTAAAAGTATCTTAATAAATAAGAAAAATTAGTATTTCAGAAAGGAGATCAGAGACAGTTATGAAGGCTGGACAGTTCAGCAGGTCAACCATAACACAACTTCTGACCCCCCTTCTGACCTCTCTGCCCAAATGTGCCCTCAGTCCCTATGGTCATGAGCCATCTGCAGTGGCTCCAGGTATCACACAATAACATTCAATTGCAGGAAGAACAAAGAATGTACCACCTCTTAAAGTTCCTCTTTAAGAGTGAAGACCACTTTCCTAGTCATCCTGAATCCATATTCCCTCTTTTGTTTTGGCCAGAAGGGCACCAGGAGTCCATGTTTAAGTCAGTCACTGGCAGAGGAATGAAGTTACCAGGATTGGTTTAGAGTGTGAATTAAGATACAGCCCTAAGACTTATAATTCCTGGAAAGCTGACTTCAGTATACTTTTTAGGTATTAGCAAAAATATGAGAAAATCTGTTCCTAGGTAGGCAACGTTACCTTCAATTGAATAACATGGTAGAAGATAGGTATAGATACAAAGTTGGCCATTCCTCTCAAGAGAGCTGGCTTTCAGGGTTGGCAGCGCCCCCTTGGAGGGGGTGGGAAGTAAAAAACTACTGGAGTCTGGGCCCTCAGTGATTCTGATTTAAGAAAGCTGGACCACAGACCAGACATCAGAATTTCTTTTTTTTCTTTTCTTTTTTTTTTTTGAGATGGAGTCTTGCTCTGTTGCCCATGCTGGAGTGCAGTGGCGTCATCTTGGCTCACTGCAACCTCTGCCTCCCAGGTTAAAGCAATTTTCCTGTCTCAGCCTCCTGAGTAGCTGGGATTACAGGCACCTGCCACCACCCCCAGCTAATTTTTGTATTTTTAGTAGAGAAGGGATTTCACCATATTGGTCAGGGTGGTCTCAAACTCCTGACCTCAGGTGATCCACTCACCTCAACCTCCCAAAATGCTGGGATTACAGGTGTGAGCCACCTCGCCTGGCTGGACATCTTGATTCCTAAAAGCTTCCAGGTGATTCCAACATGAGCAGCAATGGAGAAGCCCTGCCCCATAGCATTTTTAATGTTTTATTGATGACGCAATACTGTAGGTCTGGGGCCCGCTCTTAGAACTGCAAGGCCGTAATACTGTGGGCTTCCAACTCCATGGTTCCATCATAGCAATTACTATAGTACATAGCAATTACTATAGTATATATAATTAGGCTGGTACATGGCTGACTTCTCATCTGAATATGAGCATTTTACAAAGAACTGGAAAATTGCCCCCCCCCGCCCCCACAGTAGGTATTTCATATTCTAGAATTCACATTGTTGAATACTACAGAGAGCTTTTTTCTGAGTGGTCATATGTGGCAGATGGACTACATTAGAAAATGGAACTTTGAGGCTCACAGATGAGAAACTCCAGAATAGCCATAATAGCTAATTTAATTTGACTGCCTGAAGGTATTTGGTGGGAGACAATTGGCTACGTTTAGAGACTGTGGTATTACTTGCAAGGCCAATGTTAGTGTTCATATGCAGGTCTTACCTTGGCTTTGAAGACAGGCTGCCAAAAGTGATTAGCTGAGAGCTAACAGTTAGAGCCAAATCTGGACACTGACAGCTGCCTCTTCTCCCTCTGGCACCTTTGCAGAAGGTAAGTTTTTTATCTTAATTTTAATGTTTGAAGGCATAGTGCTAGTCTGCATGAGACCCAGGAGGGCCAATGAAAAGCTATGTTATATTAGGATGGCCATGATAGTCCTTGTCTAGCTAAAAAGAGTCTTGGAATCTTGGCTTTTAAGCATAAAGATGCAGCTCCTTTTTGTACAAAAGCATAAAATTGTAGTCCACAGCACAGAGGAGGCAAGGAGAATGCAGCCATTAGAGACACCTGTGAGTGGCAGTGAATTATTCTCCTACACTACAAATGCTGATCATTCAAATAAGCTGGATCCTCGCTGCTTGCCTTTTTCTTGCTCATAGCAATGTCATAAAGAATGGGATATCCATAGAATTCATTCTCACGGGAGTGTCAAGGGATGAGATGCTGTCCCAGTATATAATATTGCCACCTGTACAATAGGCTGTTCCTGAACAGCACTCAGCTGACATAAACAAATCTTGAAGCAGGGTGTGTGCAGAAATGAATAAACACTTGAATGTACAAATGTCTCCAGTTCTGTGGTTCTCATTTCAAGCTGTGTTTGCCTTGGTAACTGGAGACTTTTTTTTAAGCTTCACTTTCAAATGCCTCTGGGCTAAAACTGAGCAAAAGTGAAATGACAAACCACAAAAGAATATTCATTAAAAAAAAATTTTTTTTTAGACGCAGAGATCTCACTATGTTGCCTAGGCTGGACTTGAACTTTTAGGCTCACGTGATAATCCAGCCTCAGCCTCCCAAGGAGCTGGGACTACAGGTGTGCACTGCTGAACCATCCTCAAAAATGTTTATTTTTAATGGTGAGATATTTTCCAAGGGTAACTGATAATATTCATCAGCCTTGACTCCTGTGAAACCAGCAAGCCTTCTGTTCTTTGAAGACCTGGAGTGATTCTCCATCCATGGTCCTACTTCAGTCCATTGCTCACTCTATCGTCTTTCCTGACCGTAGCTGCCCCTTCATCCACCTACATTTTATATGATGCCGTGATGAGCAGAAGTCAAAGTGCAGCAGTACGGACTAGAGAGAATTATGGCCAGAGAGACTGTAGAACAGAGTGTTTAAAGACATTATTGTTGGAGCCATTCTTTCTGGATTCAATTTCAAGTTTTAATCCCCATTAGCTGTGTTACTTAAACTTTCTATGGCCCAGTTTTCCCATGTTTAAAATGTGCCTAATAATGGTGCCTATTGCAGAGGGCTGTGTCTATTATAATAACTACGATGTTTTTTAAGGACCAAATGTTTTTAGTCGAAAAATGCCAAGTATTTTAAAAAACCTCTTTTATTCCCCTGTGCAATACTTCTCTCAGATCAAATCAGCAGGCGACATACATGCTGCTCAAAACACAGCTCCAAAGAGGATCCGGAAAGCATACTGTACAGAACTGCTTTCATGTCTATTCTATACACACAGTCGGCAATATCTCTCAACCATGGAGCCCAGTACATGCAAAGTTTTTAAAAGAATGCCTGGTACATAGTAAATGGTACATAGCATTAAAATTTTTTATATCATAATGTTTACTTCTGGGTGGTAGGATTTGGTGATTAATTTTTTTCTCTTCTTTTTACTCTTTTTTTTGCTCTTTCCAATTAAACAATGAATTGATATTTTTATAATATAAAAAAATTACATATGAAAAAATATTATCTGCATCAGTTAGCTATTGCTGTCTAACAAACTGCCCCACAATTCAGTGACTTTTTAAAATCAGGTATTATTACAGCTTATGGATGTGTGGATCAACTAATAGCAAAACACACTCATGCATCTGTTTTGAGCAGCGTGTGGGTTGGCTGAGGGTTCTGCTTGAGCCTTGTCTTGGTTGTGGGACAGCTCTGCTCCACATGTTTCTAATTCTTCTCTGGACCAGTGGAACAGCCCAGGCATGTTCTCCCTATAGCAACGGCAGAAGCGCAAGAGAACAAATACATGCAAAAACCCTGGAAGCCTAGGCTCAGATGGGATACAAAGTTCCCCTCATACTGTTGTTCCAACCAAGTCACACAGTTGAAATCAGTCAGAAGCTGGGGATACATATCTTGCCTTTAATGTGGCAGAAACTACAAAGAAATATAGCAAAGGTCATGGGTTGTATACATGGGAGAGAGGAAAATTGGAATGAGGACCACTAATAAAATCTATACCACTTTCTTTCTGTGCTCTAAGAACTAGTTCCAGTTTAATACTCTCATATCACAGTGACAAGAACCATGATTCCTGAAGACAAACACACCTGGTTTCCAATCCTAACTCAACTATTTACTAATTATGTGACCTTGGTAAGTTGCTTCTCCTTTCAGAATCTGTTTCCTATTTGTAAAGTGGAAATAAAAGTAGTCCTAGAATAATTAAATGTTTTATAATTAAATTAGACAATCAATATAAATCTCTTAGTAGCATACCCCACGCATCGTAGCACTCAAATATTGGTTGATGATCTTAGTGTTGTTTAACATCATCATCTTCCATAAATGCTGTCATAAGCTTGTCAAACAGAAGTGATCTCTCTCTGCTGAAGTCCTTTACTCCCATAATCACCTCTACTGGTCATTTGATGTGCATCACATACAGCTTGGTACCATGGGTACTGTGGTAATTTATGGGCCTTTCTTACTGTGCTGTAAACTGGATGGGGATGGACACATTTTCTGTATCTTTGCATCCCAAAGTACTCTGCTAGTCTTCACCACAGTTAGAATTCCAAGAATAGCTTATATTTTTACAGTTCTTTGTAGTTAATATGGTGTTTTCTAATTTGATTTTCTTGATGTAAGGTAGCAAGGACAGAGTTTATAGATAAGAAAACTTGAGATTTAGAGACTTTGAAACTTGCCTGAGATCACATGATATGTGGCATAAACTTCACTCAATTTCTTATCTTTGATTTTTAGCTAGTAAACTTTTATTGTAATTACCTACTATATATTTAGTGCAGGGAAAAAATGAGGTGAAGTCAACAACTATGCCAAAAGAAATTTTCAATAGCCAACACAAAAGAGTGCCATAAAATCCAACCTGGGGTGAGTTATCCTGATAATTTTTTTCTGAGAATATTTTTAAAAAGATAAGAAAAACAACAATCAAGGCTTATTTTTTTTCCTGCTTTTCCTTCTTTTCCTTTTTTTACCTTATGCATAAATCACATAATGTACACATATTTTTATAAAAAGTAAAGTGATGGTTTTGTGCCTAAAGGCTATAGTTGTCAACTCAGAATAGAAATGCAGGACATATTTTTTAAATGCTGTTTAAATTACAGGTGTTGTATATTTAAAGTATACAATCATGCAACCTAAGGTAGGCAGAGAAGAGAGGAAAGCAAAAGCTTAAGCTCCAAATCTGAAAGGTTAGCCCCTCATCCATAGTCATTTTTTATTATCAATGAGTTGAAAATGTTCTCTCTCCAGAGAGAGAATAATGTTCCTAGTGGGGGAGTTTCCTTATTTCCTTCCAGTGATTTCATGTTTACAACAGCATTCACTGTTAGCTACACATATGTAGCTAAACACATATGTGTCCAACTGCTTGCTCCTGGCTACAGAACTATTCTGAACTATACACACATTCCCTCAAAAATATTTGTATTTATGCTTGGGGCATGTGATTGACATCTGCAGAAACCTAAACGTTAAGATTTTAAACTCAGTAAAACTGTTTCTACATTTATAAATATTAGTATAAACACGAATCACTCTGATAATTAATTTAAAAAATAATGGAAATAATTTGGATAGATGTATTTCTGTGTTTAAGGACCTGTTCAGTGGGGCAATGTCTACATGAATAAAATGAATTAACAAGTATCCTCTTCTATACAAACATGCCAAAAAGCTGATAAAACTTCCATTTAGTTCCAGAATTACAGAAAGAAAGAGAAAGAGAAAGGGTAAAATTCTGTTACCGAAACACCAGGGGTTTGGTATAGGTCCTGGGGCTCACCGCACAGAATGCCAATGACTGAGACACCAAGTATTGCCAAGAGAGAAGGATTTAATTGGGTGCTGCAGCTGAGGAATTAGAAGCTCAGTCTCAAATCTGTCTCCCCCACTGACTAAAGCTAGGGCTTTATATAGCAGAGGAGAAATGTAACAATGTGTAAGAAAGCAGGAACTAGGGAGGGGCAAGGAAGCAATCATGAGAATGAGGGGTCCTATCTGGTGCAGTGATCTGGTGAGTTTCCCTTCTTTGATAGTTTTTTGAGAGACCTGAAGGTTCTTTCCTGAGGAAGGAGCTCAGATGAAACAAATATAAGTTTCAACCTTTAGGACCAGAAAGGTTCATTTCTGTGTTTATCAAAATGAACACTCTATGGGACTTTTGGGTAGGTTTCAATTCTTTATAGCTAATAATCTAATTTATGAAATAGCATCCCCTTTTAGATTATGAATCACTCTTACACCAAGGGAAGAGCCATCTTCCTTTTTTTTTCAAGGGGGCTTTACTATACTTGATTAAGGGAGCACCCCAGAAAATTACTGAAGAAACCTAAGCATGGTACAAACTAAACTCTACAATCTTAATCTAGGTCCTTGCTCAGTATCATAGATGATCCTGGCTGACAATTACCCAATTTGCTTTCTGTGAAGTTACCTGGTCTTTCCCCTACAGGAGTGACTGCCAGCCTATAGGCCACAAATTCCTGGTGGCTTATGGAGTTACGTCATATAGCTGGTGAATCCATTTGCATACCAACTAAGATCTGTCAGAAAAATAAGGTGTATATTCTGCTTATATAAATATATTTGAATGATAATTAATTAAAATTTTCTTTTAGGATAATTATTTTCAAAGGTATCTATGAAATGATTTGATATTATCAAGTGATCTGGAGGTTGTAGTCCAAAAGTTTGAAAGAAAATTGCTCCAGGCCTCACTACCTCTTGCTTTAACCAACTTCTAATCTATGAAGAACTGAGTTAGAGTGATGGTCCTGCATTGCCAAGTGAATTTGGTTCTATGTTTCTTAATCAAATGATTGTATTCTTCAATCATATTTTTCCTCGATTTTTTTCAGCAAAGATTTCCTTTTTTCCCCAGCAAGGGAGTAGTAGGAACTTGCTACTTACCACATTATCCCAGTGGTATCTTGAAATTTTAATAATGTGGCCTCAGGGATGAAGAAATTTCATAATACACTTCATTCATCTTCAAAAGCACTTTTCACTTATATAATTTTCATTACTCAAAACTCGACAATTTTCATACGATATTACATTAGTTAAAGAACAGAGATATCTATTTCACCCTTTAAAATTTTATTGGGCATTCATTGTTATAGAGCATTGCTCATAATTTTTTTTAGGCTTCCCAAGTTTATTATGCTCTAGACACATACAAAGAAGTATTTTCTTGGCATGTTTGTCAAGAGATTTTGTAAAACCATGTAACAGATAGTACTTTTATCAAAGCAAAAAATTAACATTTATCCAAAACACCACCATGAATTAATAATTTTCCTTGAAACTTATAGGTGATGATGGCTATAAACTCAGGGATTGTATAGAAATACCTAATAATGGTAACAACAACAATAATAGTAACTACCATTTATTGAGAAACTACTATGTTCCCAACAGTATATTAATAACATAACCATCATTATCTAATCTAATCCTCATTAATATAATGAGATTTATGTTGTTAATATTATCATTCCTGTGATGATTAATCTTATGTGTCAGCTTGGCTAGGCGGTGATGCTCAAATGTTTGGTCAACTAATCTAGATGTTGCTGTGAGGGTATTGTTTTGATGTGATTAACATTTAAATAAGTACACTTTGAGTAAGCAGGTTACCCTTCATTATATGAATGCATATCATCCAATCAGTTGAGAAGCCCCCTCCCACAAAAAAGAGGTAATTCCGCTTCCAGACTGTCTTTGGACTGAAGCTGAAGCATTAACTCTTCCTGAGTCTCCAGTCTGCTGGTCTGCCCTGCAAATTTTGAACTTGCCAGCCTCAACAATTGCCAACTGCATGAGACAATTTCTTAAAATAAATATCTCTGTGATGGCCAGTGATGATGAGCATTTTTTCATGTGTCTGTTGGCTGCATAAATGTCTTCGTTTGAGAAGTGTCTGTTCATATCCTTCGCCCACTAGTTGATGTGGTTGTTTTTTTCTTGTAAATTTGTTTCAGTTCTTTGTAGATTCTGGATATTAGCCCTTTGTCAGATGAGTAGATTGCAAAAATTTTCTCCCATTCTGTAGGTTGCCTCTTCACTCTGATGGTAGTTTCTTTTGCTATGCAGAAGCTTTTTAGTTTAATTAGACCCCATTTGTCAATTTTGGCTTCTGTTGCCATTGCTTTTTGTGTTTTAGACATGAAGTCCTTGCCCATGCCTATGTCCTGAATGGTATTGCCTATGTTTACTTCTAGGGTTTTTATGGTTTTAAGTCTAACATTTAAGTCTTTAATCCATCTTGAATTAATTTTTGTATGAGGTGTAAGGAAGGGATCCAGTTTCAGCTTTCTACATATGGCTAGCCAGTTTTCCCAGCACCATTTGTTAAATAGGGAATCCTTTCGCCATTGCTTGTTTTTGTCAGGTTTGTCAAAGATCAGATGATTGTTGATGTGTGGTATTATTTCTGAGGGCTCTATTCTGTTCCATTGGTCTATATCTCTGGCTTGGTAACAGTACCACACTGTTTTGGTTACTGTAGCCTTTTAGTACAGTTTGAAGTCAGGTAACATGACGCCTCCAGCTTTGTTCTTTTGGCTTAGGATTGACTTGGCAATGCAGGCTCTTTTTTGGTTCCATATGAACTTTAAAGTAGTTTTTTCCAATTCTGTGAAGAAAGTCATTGGTAGCTTGATGCAGATGGCATTGAAACTATAAATTACCTTGGGCACTGTGGCCATTTTCATGATATTGATTCTTCCTATCCATGAGCATGGAATGTTTTTCCATTTGTGTTTGTCCACTTTTATTTCATTGAGCAGTGGTTTGTAGTTCTCCTTGAAGAGGTCCTTCACATCCCTCGTAAGCTGGATTCCTAGGTATTTTATTCTCTTTGAAGCAAGATTTGACAGAGGTCCCTCTGAACTGACTGAAAAGTTTTCACCACAAGCAGATTGAGGAACTAAGTAGAAATTATGTTGGGGTATGAAAGAATAAGGTTAATATCTCTTGCAGAAAAAAAATAAAATAAATATCTCTCTCTCTACAAAAATACATCCTATTGGTTCTGCTTCTCTGGAGAACTCAAATACAGTCTCCGTTTTGTACATGTTTTACTAAGACGCTAAAGCTAAAAATGTCAGCAAGGACATCCGACCAGTGAGTGGCACACCCAAGATGTGCACAGATCTCTTAGACTCCACAGGCTGGAGTCTCTATGCTTCTTCCCAGCACAGATCTAATTGCAAGTGACTACAAAGTCCTTGTAACTCTTCTTCTTCCACTTAAAGCTAAGGAGACTGAGGAGAGTTGGGGTTACCCAGACAAGAATGACTTTAGGAACAGTAATGACTTTAGGTTTTTATGATTGTTAAGTTTTGAGATAATCTTTGGATGTTCACTTTACTAACATCTCCAGGATTTTATATAGGACCAGTCAGCTATTCAAAGGGGAAGTCACACAGATCACCATCCCACAAGAATAACTCTTGACCTTTCAAAAAAGCTTTACTCCTCCAAAAGTTCTAAGAGGATTAAGTCTATTTGCCAAAATTATGCTTAGACAATATTTTTAATGCTTTAAGCTTGGACATAATTGAGTTGTCTAAAACTGCACTGCATTTCCTTCTACTGCCTGGATACCTCTGGTGATTTTTGCTAATCAGTCCTATGACTTTTGGATTAACTAAATGGTTTAGACAAAAAGTTGATAAAATAAGAGGAAGAAAGTATAATTACAAATTAGATAAACAATTTCAAAAATTTACATACCATGTATGCCACTTCCTCCCTATGGACACAGCTGGATGATCTCAGCGTATGAAATAGAAGCCATCTTTGTAACAATTTTTATATACTACAGGTGTTATTCAAAGAAGACTTCCTAGATATGTTAGAAAATGATATATTTCTATCTGTTCACCATAAAAAGACAGTAGGTTATTCTTTTTACATTGTAGTAAAAAAGTTTTAAAATAATAATTTTATATGTCAAAGAAGAACTGCTTATGTGGCATGAACAAGAAAGAAAGGTTCAATGACCCAGTGAA
Source organism: Homo sapiens (assembly GCF_000001405.40). Taxonomy (NCBI): domain Eukaryota; kingdom Metazoa; phylum Chordata; class Mammalia; order Primates; family Hominidae; genus Homo; species Homo sapiens. The sequence goes on along the minus strand of NC_000003.12, from coordinate 6,408,615 downwards.
GCATTTGGTCTACTTGCCATCAAGTAATTAATCAGATTGATATATTCTCCTTGAAATAATTAGTTTATAAGTTGCTCAAATTAAACTGTTGTACTGATGTTGCAAATGAAACTTTTTGGCATAGAAGTGAAGACTGTCCAAATGATGGATTCTTCACTTTCAAGCAAGTACTTTCTGAAATTTTAAAGCAGAAAAAGGAAAGTGACAACTTCAGAAACATTTAAAAGTAGCTACATCTGATTATTTTGAAAGTTCTGTTGTCACTTAACAAATTATGTATCTTTCATGTCTCCCAAAGCACTACTGGTGATAAAGATATTCTATATCTATTTTAGATTCAGAAAAATAAATAAAAAAGATGATTTCTGAATAACAGACAGTTGTTTCCCTACTGTTTTAAATTAAAAGTGAAGAAAACATAATCTTTCATCTTCCAGATTTGTAAAGAATACAAATACATATAGACAAAAGTGTCTTAATATAAAATACCTTTTACAAAGTTATTTATTCTAAAACATAGCAATGTTTTGGTTGTGCTGACTTTTTCTAGTACATGAACAAATGTAAAAATGTAATATATAAAACAGTGTAATTTTTGAATAAATATTTCTTTGTAGTTGTAGCACAAAGCAATTGCTACAATGAAACTTTTTGTAAATTGTCAGTTTATGTAACTAAACACGAAAGATATTTTCTCATTTTATTTAATTGTACAGGAAAACATTTTTCTTTAGGGCAAGCAATGACATTTTCTGTAGTTTCAAGTTCTAGATTTACAAGTGCATTAAAGGAAAAAAAAACCATGTTTTTCAGAGGACACAGCTCTGTTAATATATCTATTATGTAATAATAATAATAATCATGATAACAATATAATGAAGTTAATTTTTATTGAGTGGTAATTTTTATTGAGTAGTGTTCTAAATGCCACATATATATTAATACAAGAGTTCTATGAAGTAGCTTCTTTTTAAAAAATTAATAGCATTTAATTAAATTCTATTAAAAACTTTATCTGTTTCATAGAACAGTTTGTATTTACAGAAAAACTGAGCAGACAGTAGAGAGAGTTCCCATATGCCAACCCCCACATTCACTTTACCATTAACATCTTGCATTAATGTGGTGTGTTTGTTAAAACTAATGTGTTAATAATGATACATCATTATAAACTAAAACTTGTGGTTTACACTAAGGCTCACTCTTTGTGTTATATAGTTTTATGGGTTTTGACAAATGCGTAATGCTATGTTTGTACATTGCAGAGCCATATAGAATCATTTAATTGTTCTAAAAATTCCCTGCACTTTTTCCACTAATTCTCCCTCCCATAAACTCCTTTTACAGAGTGCTGACTGGTGCGTTTACAAGCCTTTAGCTAGACACAGAGTGCTGATTGGTGCATTTACAGTCCTTTAGCTAGACACAGAGCACTGATTGGTGCGTTTTTACAGAGGGATGATTGCTGTGTTTACAATCCTTTAGCTAGACACAAAGTGCTGATTTGTGCATTTTTACAGAGTGCTGATTGGTGCATTTACAATCCTTTAGTTAGACACAGAGTGCTGATTGGTGCATTTAAAATCCTCTAGCTAGACAGAAAAGTTCTCCAAATCCCCACTCGACCCAGGAAGTCCAGCTGGCTTCACCTCTCACTATGTCGATGTGATGAATTACATGAATTGATTTGCAAATGTTGAACCATTTTTGCATGCCTGAAATAAATTTATCTTGGTCATGGTGTATAATTATTTTTATTCACTGTTGAATATAGTTGCTAATAAATTTTGAAGATTTTTTGCATCTCTGTTCATGAAGGATATTGGTATGCAGTTTTCTTTTCTTGTAAGGTCTTAATATAGTTTTGGCTTTAGAGGAATGTACCTTCACAGAATGATTTAGGAAGTATTCCCTATGATCCTGTCTTCTAAAAAAAGTGGAGAGAGTTGGTACCATTATTTTTTTCTGACATATTTAATAGAATTTACCAGTGAAACCATCTAGGCCAAGTGCTCTTTTGGGGGTTGTTTTCTACTGATAAAATTTATTTAATAAATATAGGCCTCTTTAGAGAATCTATTTTTTGTGTGTATCACAGTTTTTGTCTTTCAGGAAACTGGCCTATTTAATGTAAGTTATTTTATTTGTGGGCATATAGTAGCTTATAATATTTCTTTTTTAATCAATTTAATCATTTAATGTTTATTAGATCAGTAGTGATGATCTCCCATTCATTTTTAAGACTATTAATGTTCTGTCTCTCTCTCTCTCTCTTTCCCTTTCTTCCTTTTCCTTCCTCTCCACCCCCACTCTGGATTAGGGTTTTTTAATTTTATTGGTCTTTTCAAAAAACAAAATTTTCAAAAAATTTGATTAATTTTTCTATTGATTCCTTGTTTTCAATTTAATGATTTCTACTCTAATTTTTAGTAGGTCTTTTCTTCTGCTTGCTTTGGTCCTAAATTTGCTCTTCTTCTCTAATTTCCTAATGTGAAAGATTAGGTTATTTATTTTAATATTTCTTGTTTTCTAATATATGTATTCAATGCTATAAATTTGCCTCTAAGTGCTTCTTTTCCTGTACCTCACAGATTTTGATACAGTATATTTATATTTTTATTTAACTAACAATATCTCTTTAATTTGTCTTGCAAATTCTTTGTTCCATGTGTTATTTTAAAGTGTATTGTTGAACCAAAAAACATATTGGATTTTTCAACTAGTTTAATTTTACTGTGGTCTTTCTAAATCATAAGTTGTATAATTTCTATCATTTTGAATTTGTTAAGATGTATTTTATGATGCAGTATGTTGTCTATTTTGGTGAATATGTGAACTTGAGAAGAATATGTATTCTGCTCTTATTGGGTGAAATACTCTACAAACATTAATTAGATACACTTTATTTCTATGTATTGTTCAGTTCAACTATGTCTTAATGATTTTCTGTCTGTTGGAATTCTCAGTTACTGATAGATATATGTTGAATTCTGCAGCAATAATAGTGAATTTGTCTATTTCTTTTTGTAGTCCCATATAATAGAGAATAAACTTCTCTATTATTATGTAATGCCTCTCATTATCCTTGATGATTTTCCTTGCTCTGAAGCCTGTAGTGCCTGAAATTAATATAGCTACTCCAGTTTTCTTTTGATTAGTGTTAACATGACTTATCTTGTCATCCCTTTACTTTTAATGTATCTGTGTCTTTATACTAAACTAGATTTCTTCTAGATAACATATCATTGGTCTTATGTTTTTACTTTTTTTAATCCACTTTGACTTTCTCTGTCTTTCATTTGATATTTTTAGTCCATTCACACTTAAAGTGATTATTGATATAGTTAGGTAAATATCTACCATGCTTGTATCTGTTTTTTATCCATTACACTTATTTCATGTTATTGCTATTTTATAACTATTCCTCTTTTTTCTGCCTTCTCTCTTCATAAAATTTTATGAAATTATGTTAGCAACATCTGCAGACTTTTTCATTGTTTTTAGTGGATGCTCTAGGTTTTTACATATACATTTAAAACTAATCTAAGTCCACTTTCAAGTAATACTATACCACTTCATAGGTAGTACATGTACTTTATAACATAGTATTCTCAAATTTCCTCTCCCATTTCTTAAACTATTACTGTAATTCATTCTACTTATCTATATGGTATGATCTCCCAAAGCATTCTTGCTATTTTTACCTAAAATAAGCAGTCATGTATTAGATCAATTAAGAAAAACAACATAAAAGGTATCATTCTACCTTCACTTATTCCTTCTCCACTGTTCTTCCTTTTTAAAATGCAGATCCTATTTTATGACAACACTATTTTTTTTGCTCTGAGCTACTTTTTTTGAAAAACTTTTTGCAAGGCAGGTCTACTGGCAACATATTTTCTTAACTTTTGTGAGTCTGAAGGAGTCTCTATTTCTTATTTACTTTTGAAGCATAATTTTACTATATGTAGAATTCTAGTTTGTTGATTTTCTTTCTTTCAACTCTGTAGATATTTCACTTCATTTTCTTCTTGCCTGCATTATTACTGGTGACAAGTCCAGTGTAATTTTTATCCACTTCTTCTATAGGTAAAGATTTTTGTCTTGTTTCTCAATTATTATTTCTCAATTCTTTTGACTTTTGTCTCATTTTCTGCAATGTGAATATAATATGGTTACATGTAGATGTTTTGATGTTTATGCTGATTGGTGTTCTCTGAGCTTCCTGGATGTAACTGTGGGTTGTTATCTGTAATTAATTTTGAATAATACTCAACCACTATTACTGCGAATACTCCTGTTCCTCTCTGCTTCCTCTTTCTGGTATTATCATTATGTGTATATTACAACTTTTTTTTTTTTCCACAGGTCTCAGATACTTTTATTCTTTTCATTTTTTTCTTATTTCATTTTGTAGAAATAATTTTGTAGAAGTAGAGTTTATATTGACATATCTTCAAGCTCACTGATTCTTTTTTTGGCCATGCCCATTCTATTGACCAGCTCATCAAAGGTATTCTTTATTCCTGTTACAGGGTTTTTGGTTTCTAGCATTTCTTTTTTTTCTTTCTTTTTTTTTTTTTTTTTGAGATGGATGGAGTCTCACTCTGTCGCCCAGGCTGGAGTGCAGTGGCCCAATCTCGACTCACTGCAAGCTCTGCCTCCAGGGTTCATGCCATTCTCCTGCCTCAGCCTCCCAAGTAGCTGGGACTACAGGCGCCCGTCACCAAGCCCTGCTAATTTTTTGTATTTTTAGTAGAGACAGGGTTTCACCATGTTAGCCAGGATGGTCTCAATCTCCAGACCTCGTGATCCACCCGCCTCAGCCTCCCAAAGTGCTGGGATTACAGGTGTGAGCCACTGTGCCTGGCCTCTAGCATTTCTTTTTGATGCTTTCTTAGTTTTCATCTTTCTGCCTATATTAGTCACCTGTCCTAGTGTGCTGTCTACTTTCTATTAGAACGCTTAACATATTGACCATAGTTATTTTAAAATCTCTGTCTGATAATTTCAAAATCAGTACCATGTTTGAGTCTAGTTCTGATGTTTGCTTTGTCTATTCAGACTGTGTTCCTTTTTGTTGTTGTTTGTTTGTTTATTTATTTTTTGAGATGGAGTCTCACACTGTCACCCAGGCTGAAGTGCTGTGGCATGATCTTGGCTCACTGCAAGCTCTGCCTCCCAGGTTCACACCATTCTCCTGCCTCAGCCTCCCAACTAGCTGGGACTAAAGGCACCCACCACCACGCCTGGCTAATTTTTTCTATTTTTAGTAGAGACGGGGTTTCACTGTGTTAGCCAGGATGGTCTAGATCGGCCTCCCAAAGTGCTGGGATTACAGGCGTGAGCCATTGCACCCCGCCCAGACTGTGTTTTTTATTTTAATCTGGTTAACAGGAGTTAGGATATGTTTAATATTTCCTATAGCTGTAAGTGCCAGCAGCTTCAGGTTCCTTATTGTTTTCACCCCTGTTCTTTTTATTGTCCTTAATTATTTCTTCTTTTTTGTGCTTTTGGGGTTAATTTTTTAATGGATACATACTTCATCAGGGTGGAAGTATTGGAGGGTGCCCTGCCAGCAAAGATCATCTACCCACTCTAAGAGGGAATTAAGAGTGGCAGTTTGGGGATAGCACCAAGAGATATCAGCTGTGATGGCTTGAAGAAACAGTGTAAACCGGCAGTGTAAACAAGAGTAGGGCATTTATAAGCAGTTGAGAACGGAGAATAGGAGTATGACTAGACAGAAAATAGTAGGGATGACAAGTTTTTTTTGGGCTTGGCCTAAGTGGTGGGGGTGACTTCATAAAGCCCTGTTGCAAAAAGTAGGGTAAGGACGAACAGACCTAATAGAATGAAGGGATGTATTAGGCTCATAAGGGTTATTACTGTTCTTCAGAAATATGAGTGAGCTTAAGGGAAGTAGGGGAGAGTACTTGCGACTTCCAGGAGGAAGAGGAGGGATTAGGCTGGCTGTCCGATGGACACAGCTTTATTCTGGAACAGTGAACCCAGTGGGGAGGATCCTGCAGGCAGACGGCAGTTGGGGTACTATAGATGACTAAGTAGGGTCTGGTCCATCGAGGTTGTAGAGTTTCAGGGGTCAGATTCTTAACAAGAACTGATCATCCAGCTAGGGTGTCTTAATATGGCTGGGGATCTGGAGTAGGCAAGAGAAGATTAGCAGCCTGGCGAATTTCCTGTCTAGCCTGTTGGAGGACTGGAAGATAGTCTCTCAAGAGGGCTGGTGTCTGGGATGAGGTTGGGGCCAAGCAAGAAATTGCGTCCATATAAATGGACTGTACCCTGTAGCATCTCGTGGACAGGCTCTAATTCTGAGAAGGGCAAGAGGTAAAAGTACTGTCCAATCCTTTTTAAGTTGGAGGCTGAGCTTGGTGAGGTGTGTCTTTAAAAGACCATTAGTCCGTTCTACCTTTCCTGAAGATTGAGGATGGTAAGGGATATGAAGTTTCCACTGAATACCAAGAGCCTGAGAAACTGCTTGGTGATTTGACTAGTAAAGGCTGGTCCGTTATCAGACTGTATAGAGGTGGGAAGGCTGAACTGAGGAATTATGTCTGACAGAAGGGAAGAAATGACTGCAGTGGCCTTCTCAGACCCTGTAGGAAAGGACTCTACCTATCCAGTGAAAGTGTCTACCTAGACTAAGAGGTATTTTAGTTATCTGACTTGGGGCATGTTGAGTAAAGCTAATTTGCCAGTCCTGGGTTGGGGCAAATCCTCGAGCTTGGTGTGTAGGGAAGGGAGGGGAGCCTGAATAATCCCTGGGGAGTAGTAGAATAGCAGATGGAACACTGAGAAGTTATTTCCTTGAGGATAGATTTCCACAATGGAAAGGAAATGAGAGGTTCTAAGAGGCGGGCTAGTGGCTTGTACTATAGCGTAGCCTGCCTTTGCTGGTGTGTGGCAATTAGGCCTGGTGGAACCGCCATCAATAAATCAAGCATGATCAGGGTGAGGAACAGGAAAGAAGGAAATATGGGAAAATGGGGTGAATGTCAGGTGGATCAGAGAGATACAGTCATGGGGGTCAGGTGTGGTATCAGGAATAATGTGGCAGGCCAGATTGAAGTCCGGGCCAGGAACAAAGGTAATCGTGGGACCTAAGAAAGAGTGAGTTCAGCTGAAGGAGCGGGGGAGCAGAAAGTATATGCATCAGGTATGAGGAAGAAAATAGATTTTGGAAGTTATGAGAAATGTAGGGAGTGAGTTGAGAATAGTTTGTGATTTTTAGGGCCTCTAAAAGTATTAAAGCAGAGGCAGCCACTGCACGCAGACATGAGGGCTAGGCTAAAACAGTAAGGTCAAGTTGTTTGCACAGAAAGGCTACAGGGTGCAGTCCTGGCTTTTGTGTAAGAATTCTGACCACACTAACCATGCCTAGGAAGGAAAGAAGTTGTTGTTTTGTAAGGGATTGAGGTTTGGGAGATTAGTCGGACCCGATCAGCAGGGAAAGCACGTGTGTTTTTATGAGAATTATGCCCAGATAGGTAACAGATGAGGATGAAATTTGAGCTTGACTGAAGTAATGGGGGCTGTCTGTGAAGCCTTGCGGCAGTACGGCCCAGGTTATTTGCTGAGCCTAATGGGTGTCAGGGTCAGTCTAAGTGAAAGTGAAGAGAGGCTGGGATGAAGGGTGCAAAGGAATAGTAAAGAAAGCACGTTTGAGATCCAGAACGGAATAGTGGGTTGTAGAGGGAGGTATTGATGATAGGACAGTATATGGGTTTGGCACCATGGGGTGGATAGGCAAAACAATTTGGATGATAAGGCACAGATCCTGAACTAACCTGTAAGACTTGTCTGGTTCTAGGACAGGTAAAATGGGGGAATTGTAAGGAGAGTTTATAGGCTTTAAAAGACCATGCTGTAGCAGGCTAGTGATAATAGGCTTTAATCCTTTTAAAGCGTGCTGTGGGATGGGATCTTGGCATTGAGCGGGGTAAGGGTGATTAGGTTTTAATGAGATGGTAAGGGGTGCGTGATCAGTCACCAAGGGGGGAGTAGAGGTATCTTATACTTGTGGGTTAAGGTCGGGGGATACAAGAGGAGGACGCAAAGGAGGCTTTGGATTGGGAAGAAGGGCGGCAATGAGATGCAGCTGTAGTCCAGGAATAGTCAGGGAAGCAGATAATTTAGTTAAAGTGTCTCAGCCTAATAAGGGAACTGGGCAGGTGGGGATAACTAAAAAGGAGTGCTTAAAAGAGCATTGTCTAAGTTGCCACTAGAGTTGGGGAGTTTTAAGAGGTTTAGAAGCCTGGCCGCCAATACCCACAACAGTTATGGAGGCAAGGGAAACAGGCCCTTGAAAAGAAGGTAATGTGGAGTGGGTAGCCTCCGTATTGGCTAAGAAGGGGACGGACGTACCCTCCCTGTGAGAATTACCTAAAGCTCGGCATCTGTGATGGTCTATGGGGCTTCTGAGGCAATCGGGCAGTGTCAGTCTTCAGCTGCTAAGCCGAGAAGATCTGGGAAGGAGTCAGAGAGCCCTGGGCCAGAGTTCCAGGGGCTCTGGGAATGGCTGCCAGGTGAGTTGAACAGTCTGATTTTCAGTGGGGTGCCACACAGATGGGATATGGCTTAGGAGGAATCCTGGGCTGTGGGCATTCCTTGGCCCAGTGGCCAGATTTCCAGCACTTGTAGCAAGCTCCTGGGGGAGGAGGTTCTGGAGGAACCCCTGGCAGCTGCAGTTGAGGCGTTTGGAGTTCTTGTGTGCTGGAGATGTGGCTGGGGTTTGTCTCACAGTGGAGGCAAGTTATTGCAACTCAGGAATACATTGCTACTTGGCTGCCTCTACTCTATTATTGTACACCTTGAAGGTGAGGTTAATTAAGTCCTGTTGTGGGGTTTGAGGGCTGGAATTTAATTTTTGGAGTTTTATTTAATGTCGGGAGCAGATTGGGTAATAAAATGTATATTGAGAATAAGACGGCCTTTTGACCTTTTAGGGTCTAGGGCTGTAAAGCGTCTCAGGGTTGTTGCCAAACAAGTCATGAACTGGGCTGGGTTTTTCATATTTGATGAAAGAGCCTAAATGCTCACTGATTTGGGATAAGGAAAAAGGAGCATTAACCTTGACTATGCCTTTAGCTTCAGCCATCTTTTTAAGAGGAAATTGCTGGGCAGGTGGGGGAGGGCTAGTCACGGAATGAAACTGTAAACCGTACCAGGTGTGAGGAGGGGAGGTGATAAAAATATTATAGGGTGGAGGAGCGGAGGCTGAGGAAGAATTGGGACCTAGCTCAGCCTGGCGAGGAGCAGCCTGGGGAGGAGGGGAGATTTCAGATTGGTCTATAGAAAAGGAAGATTAGAAAGAGTTAGCGATGCTTGGGGTTGGGACTGAGGGGACAGGCAGGAGGGAAGAAGGAAGATTTGGGACAAGTTGCATTGGGCACAGAGACTAGGAAGGGACCGATGTGTAAAAGAATGCCTGGATGTCAGGCACCTCAGACTGTTTGCCTGTTTTATGACAAGAATTATTTAGATCTTGCAGGATGGAAAAATTGAAAGTGCCATTTTCTGGCTATTTGGAACTACTGTTGAGTTTGTATTGGGGTCAAGCAGCATTGCAGAAGAAAATAAGGCATTTAGGTTTTAGGTCAGATGTGAGTTGAAGAGCTTTTAAGTTTTTGAGAACACAGGCTAAGGGAGAAAAAGGAGGAATGGAGGGTGGAAGGTTGCCCATAGTGAAGGAAGCAAGCTCAGAGAAAAGAGAGTAGAGACACGGAGGGAAGGGGTTTGGGGGTTCTTACCCTCCTGAAAAGTGGGAAAGGGGTTGAGGCATGGAAACAAGGGGTTGGGGCGCAGAGATAAGAGGTCAGGGCATGGAAATAAGGGATGGGGCACAGAGATAAGAGGTCAGGGCACAGAAATAAGGGATTGGGGCACAGAGATAAGAGGTCGGGGCACGGAATTAAGGGATCGAGGCACAGAGATAGGAGGTTGGGGTACTTGCCCTTCCCCTACAAAAGCGGGACTTGCCGCTAAGAGTGAATTAGAAGGGGTTGGGGGTTTCTTGCCCCCCAGAAAGGTGGAGAAGGGGTAGAGACACGGAGAGAAGGGGTTTGGGTACTTGCCCCTCCCCCAGAAAAGCAGGACTTGCCGCTAAGGGTGAAGGACCAAGCCAGGTGTCCCTGCATGGTCTGACACCTCTGAAACATGGGTGAATAATCAGAGGCGTCCCTGAAATGATGAAACACCAAGGGAAGGCTGCCTTCCCAGTCCATGACCGGCGCCAGAGTTTTGGGTCCACGGATAAAATGTGTCTCCTTTGTCTCTACCAGAAAATGAAAGGAATTGAAATTAAAAGAAGGGAGAGATTGAAGTGTGGCGCCAAGATTGAAAGGAGAAAGAGGTTGAGGGATAGTGAGGGAGGTTGGAGAAGTGAGTAAAAAGAGGCCGCTTACCGGATTTGAAATTGGTGTGATGTTTCTTGGGCTGGTTGGTCTGAGGACCTGAGGTCGTAGGTGGATCTTTCTCACCGAGCAAAGAGCAGGAGGACAAGGGATTGATCTCCCAAGGGAGGTGCCCTGATCCGAGTCATGGCACCAAATTTCATGCGTGTCCCTGTGAAGAGATCACCAAACAGGCTTTGTGTGAGCAATAAAAGCTTTTAATCATCTGAGTGCAGGCGGGCTGAGTTCAAAAAGAGAGAGAGGGAAGATATCTCCCAGCGAAGGGAGATAGGGGTGGGGCTGTTTTATAAGATTTGGGTAGGTAAAGGAAAATTACAGTCAAAGGGGGTTTGTTCTCTGGCGGGCAGGAGTGGGGGTCGCAAGGTGCTCAGTGGGGTAGCTTTTTAGCCAGGATGAGCCAGGAAAAGGACTTTCACAAGGTAATAGGCAAGGACAGGCAATTTTCACTTCTTTTGTGGTGTAATGTCATCAGTTAAGGCGGGGCAGGGCATATTCACTTCTTTTGTGATTCTTCAGTTACTTCAGGCCATCTGGGTGTATACGTGCAAGTCACAGGAGATGTGATGGCTTGGCTTGGGCTCAGAGGCCTGACAGTTATTAAGTAGTAATAACAAATGGCCTATTGATGTGTTGATAGCAAGGTGCTTGGGAGGGGGGATCATTCTTTAATCTATAATGTTTCTTCAGGTATCAGAGTGCTCGTTTGCCGTAATACCTCAATTCTCTGACGGATCTAAGAAAAGTAGTTGATTTTCAGTTTGTTCAGCTTTTCATTTGTGTGGATGGTACTGATTACTTTGAAGCATTTTATATGAGAGAACTGAAAATACAAGCCTTAGCAGATGTTATCTTCATCCCTGCTTTTCAGATAAGGAAACTGAGCAAAAGAGGTCTTCAAGCATGTCCACGATTACATGCTTACTAAGTAAAAGAGTGATATCCAACCCTACGTAGTCCTATACAAGAGATCACTTTTTAAACCATTGTATAGACTTCTTTTCTTATAAAAGGGGTACATTGTGTTGTATGGTGGATTGTGGTATTTTTATCGTGATTATATTGGAAACTACATTTCCTGGAATGAACTTTGCTAGGTATGATCCAAGTTAGAAATAGCCAAAAGTGAAGTTGGATAAGATTATGTTACACTCTGAAGACTGTCATTGGTTAAGGGCTATAGGAGACAAATGCAGAATTACAGGCAGTTTCCAGCATGTCTTCCCTCTTCCTCACTCTGCATGTAGCTCCTCTTCCTGCTGCTGGTCCTACTCATCAACAGCAACTGCCTTGCTCCCCACTGGAGAGACTATAGCCAAAGAGTGAGCAGCCTTTCATAGACTTACACCATCCTTTTTCTTGGAACTCTTCCAAAAGCTAGACACACACAGCTTCCAAATTTTCCTGCAAGCTCTGATTTGTTCAGACGCTTCAAGCCTGGATAGTGATTTATCTCTGATCCTTCAACTCCTGCATTTGGACTTTGGATTCTCTAATTTCTCTGACAATAATGCAAAGCTGAATTTCTATAATTAATTCCTTATTCCACTGCACTCACAGTAGTTTTGTTTTTCTGATTGAAATGTGACCATTTATTGGTACAAAAAAGCAGTTAAGTTTTGCAAACCTTAAAGCTGGGACCTGGAATTATCTATTTAATTTGACTAAACATTTAAAGGCATGAAGCACCTCATTGCTAGAGGAAAAGGAGATACTGGTAGCCCGTAGTATAAACTGACAAAATAATTTATTATATCATCATCTATAATCAAGTTATTTAAAAAGGCAAAGTACTTATTGTCATAGACTATTTTAGTAAAGATTAGAATTATAATGGGGTTGGTTTTATATGCCTAAGTGTTTCACAGAAACTAGGGAAATGAAATGATGTGCTTAGAAATTTACATACCCAGTTTAGGGATCAGATAAGGGAACAAAACATCTGTACTTTCTGTCAACTAAAATTTGATTCTGTAGATGGCTAAATTATAGTGCACCTTGAATCCATAACTTCACAGACTCTCTAATGTCAGGACAGTCAGCAGAAAGGAGTGGGATTCTGAAAATTGGGATGAAGATGTTGAGCAGATTCTGATGAAACTGAGGAACTTGGACTCCTAAATCCAACCAACCTTCTTTGCCAGCAGAAGTAGCCCTTTTACCCCTGTCTGAGGAGGTAGATCTCACTTTACCTGAAGAATGTTTTTTCATGAGTTTGTTGCACTGTGGGGGATAGCCGAACTTTTTTAAATTTCACTCCCACTTCCCACATACTACCTCTCATTGAATGTACACCTAAAATCATATCCAACTCCTAGAAGTTCCTAAGGGATCAGTTACACATTGTGACCCTTAAGAAAATGCTGTATGTTATGTGTCCAAAGGAATTGCAAGATGTTACCAATTCGTAGCAACATAAACCTGGAGAGTATTAATTGGAATGATATCTGAGGATGTGGGATCAAGGTGAAAGGAATCAAATGCTTCATTGGACTAAGTGTTTTAATATCCTTACACTAAAATGAGATTTTGTGTTCCTGTGATGTGTCATCTTAAGTGGCTGGGAGTGGGCTCTGTCTGTAGTGGGGTCCCAGGTGCTTACACTGAAATAAACTGAAATGCCAGAACTTCTTTACTATACAAAGATTTACACTACTTGAAATGCTCAATTGGATTTATTGGGCAAGACTTTCTCACCCATCCTCTACTCATGTCTCTCCAGAGGGTCTGCAGATGCTTCCTTCACCCAGGAGTTGAGATTTACATAGATGAGGGGAGTACAGCATCCTGTAGTGGTTATTCCTTATTGTCCAGAAATGGTAGGGTGAACTGCTGCCATGATTTCTACAGAAATAGAAGGTTTCTGGGCCCAAGTGGTAACACAACTGCCCAAGACTAAGTGGTCATGGTTACCATAATGGACAGTGGAGTCCATACCTTCATCAGACTGGTTTGACCCACAGAGACCTCTGGATTGGCTAAGTGAACAGTGATGGCCCCAGGACTGAAACGGGTGAGTGGGGGAGGGGGGCGCTCAGCCTATGCTGATTCAGCAAAATTCCCAGGTAAAACACTTGGCAGTGAAGATTATCTTTGCATTTGGGCTCCTTCATGTTCAAATCAACATGCCAGCCCTCAGGTTCATCAAATGCTTTACTGGTTTTATCTGTATCCAGCAAAGATGTTCCTTCTCTGACAGGTTTCCTCTTCTCTCACTTGTGTCCCCATAATCTATAGGTACCAAACCTTCTTTCTCCCCTTACTCACTTAGCAATACCTTGTTCCTAAATTAAGACATAATTTTAAAATTTATATGAAAATAAAAGTATCGAAAACAGCCAAAAGAATCTTAAGAAGGACAAAGCTAACACAATCTGGGATGATATTCAGGATTTCTGACTATGCTGCTATTTCTGAAGGCCAGCAGATACTTTTCTGCCATGATGTGAAATTTGTCTTGCCATGATGTGAAATTTGTCTTGCCGTCAGAGACGCTGGGGTTTATAATCTCCAGGAAGGCTAATATCAGTGTAAAGTCAAACCTTAAAGTTTTTCAGAGTCCTGCGCCACTCCCCTCACTTCAGTAAAGCGATTTTTTAAATTACTTATTCATGTTTTCTCAGGCCATCCTAGTTTAAGGCATAGTTAGGTACATCCTCATTTGGTTTTAGATTTCAGTGTTGTAAAATTTCTCTAGTTTTAGTGGTGAATGTGTTGGATCAGAGATTTATACAAACCCATCAGAATCACATTAAACCATTTCCATTATTGGTCACAACAATCATTTCCCATAAACAGGTAGACTGTGTTCTATATTTCTGTCATCCTTAGCAACACAGAGTAACCAAAACTCTATAACCATCAACTTCGGTGACAACGTAGGTTATTTTCTTATACATCTGCACATAGAAGTATAAAAGATACTGGTAAAAATTACCCTAATTTAAAATTATTTGGTTTGACAATAAAAGAAAAAGCTAGATTACAGACATATGGAATGAATGTTGATGAGTTTACCTTCACATCTGTATAAACATATTGATGCTACTATATTCTAATTGTGCTTTACATTTGTCATAACAAAAATGATGCAAATGTCTAATAAACTCTATGATTTATAGTGCCCATGGAAAAATAGAAAGGAGAAAAACAATTACCTAAAAAATAAAAAGTTGTTTTGTGCTGGAATCACAATAAAAATTATGACTGTGGGTCTGTCCTGTGACAAACCTTTTAGGACTCCAATAGGTATTTAAATAGCTCAATAAATAGGATAATCAGCATCGGATTTAAGAGCATGAATCAATAAGAAGCACTGGGATTAATCATTTATACTTAGTTATACTACCCTTTTTTTGCATATTTGTGTCTCAACATAACAACTTCAATCTGAACGAAGTGATAGACAAATAATGCAAGCCAGAGTTTCGAGAGAGTCTGTATATCTAATCAATTTAGGTAATTAGTAAATGAAAAATAATTAACACTAGTTGTTGGGTGTTATGCAAACCAAATAATAAACCAGTTCAATTTACAGCTGGGCATCAAGGAAAAAACCCAAATTAGAATACAGATTAAGCTTAAATTATACAAGATAGTGATCAGAAAAGCATGATTCTGGACAAATCATTAATACTCAGTTCCATAACTGTAAGAGAGGATGGTGGGCGTGAGACTAGTTGTATCCTTATTAGTGAGGACCCTGGGTTGCAAGCGAAATAATAAATCAGACTTTCATTGCTTGAGTAACAAGAGGGAGTTAATTACTTCTTGAACAGAAACATTCAAGAGTTCAGCTACTTTCAAACCCATCTGGCTCCAGAGTTTTGAATAATTTCATGCAGAATCTGCTCCATCCCTCTGTCGTGGTTTCTAGACCCTCCAAATATTATCCTATTCTGTTCCCAATTCTAGTAAAAATTCTGCTTCCAATTGGTCCCAAAAAAGACATGAGATTGTTTGCCATTGAATATCCTTTGAGTCATCAGCTAATATCTGCACCAGTTTCAGTAGCCAGGGAAGCCAAATATTCTAATGACCTTTATTCTTTAAATCCCTGGCGATGGATAGGGCAAGGATTTGCTCACGTACTGACTGGGAGTAATGAGCAGATGAATGAATTACAGGGAAAAAGTGGTGCCCTTAGTGTATGCAAGGCAACGTCCTAAAGGCTAACACAGCTAGAGTTCACTGCTATCTTGAATAAATCTTCCAGGTTTTACATCCGACACTTACATTCTCTTTATTCTGAAACCCTTGCCTCCCTTCCCAGCAGTTGAGAACTAAGGAAAACAGAGAATGGGGATGACACTACCAGAATGACTTTTATGTAATATCGGACTTCCTTGGATCACCATGGACATATGGATAATGCTGCCTATTTAGTCTGTCAGGTTTCTTCCAAGGAATAAACCAGGCAGCATTACATGGGCCATCCAAGTCCTTACATAATTACTCCCATTTTTTAGTGAAGTACTAAGAATTTCAGAATCTCAACCCATAAACTTAACACCAGTTCCATTCCATAACACAGGTTAACAAAATATATATCTTCTATGCGTGCTAAACAATCCATAATACACCTAAAAAAGTAGAGAAGCATCTAGGAGAGCAGTGGCTGGGAAGATATATTAGGCTTCAATCTACTAGATTTATAATAAACAGGTGATCTACTCCCATTATTTGAAGACTGGCATTCTTGAGGGTGCAATTTTTATTATTCCTGTTAGTTCTTATTTTACCCAAGTGGCTTTTAATGAAGAGAGGGGAAGGAGGCAATTGTGTCCTTTGAGAGGATGTTTGGCTCTGTCTGGAGATATTTTTGGCTGTCATAACTAGAGGAGAAACTGCTACTGGCATCTAGTGGGCAGAAGCCATGGATGCTGCTAAACATTCTGCAGAGTACAGGACATCCGCACACAACAAGGAATTATCCCACCCCAAATGTCAAAAGTGCCAAAATGGAAAGATCATGCTTATCTTTTTCTTTTAACTTTTCAGATACTAGTATCATCATTCTAATCTGTTTTTTCTTTTACTCAGCAATAATTACCGATCTCATCAATGGGAAATGTTCCACGGTACTGTTCACTACTCGGAAGAGAATGTGTGAGCCCTTAACAAAATTGACTAAAGAGTCTTTTTATTTTAAAATACTGGCAAGTGGAAAGAAATAGTCCCGATTTCTGAAATATAAGGGAAGGTTTGATGCACAGAAGTTAACATGGAATTAAAGGGATACTATATTAATTGGAAAAATCCATCAGCTCTTGGATAATTTATAATGGATCATTTTCTGTCTACATGGAATGGAAATTGCTTATGGGGAGGTGCTTACACAGAGGGCTTGGATGGGGCAATTAAATGTTTTTTTATTGTTAATTCCCAAAATTTCTGATCTCCCAGTATTTCAGACAGATTATGGTCAGCATATACAGGTTATTCCTCTGAGAGTAAATTTTTAAGAGCTGCAAAATCTGCCACTTCAGATTAACTCTACCATTGACTTTCCCCTTTTGAAGAAAGATAAAGAAAACTTATTCATTAAAAAGAAAAAATGCTTTAATAATTTACCTTTCAATACCTAAAAATGAAAAGGGATAATTCCAAGGAAATTTCAACTAACTTCATAAGTCCCAGTGTCCACATGGCTCACCATATAGTTTTGGTAGTGGTTCTCCAAACCTTTCCATCAGCATTCCTTCTACCCAGCCCCTCAAGCAAAACCTTTGCATTCACTGAGACATTTTTGTAAGAAGTAAAGTTGCATTAAAAAAACTAAAATTTTGATTTTTTGCATATTTTTTAAGTAATGGGACTATGGATTAAGGAAATACTTTTACCACTATTGTGTAGCTGTGAAGTGCTGAATGGACTTCTGATGGTTGAAAGAGTATATTAACTGAACTTATTTCCAGGAGCCTATCTAGCTGGGATGTGACTAAGAACTCTCTTTGTTTCCCTTCAGTAGTTTTTGTTCTTTTGCAAATATTTTAAATGCATTAGTTTTCCTAGGTATTTTATGCATAATTAATGTTTAATTCTGAACATAAATTTAATATCCAGCTATACTGTACAGTGAAGAAAATATTACCTTTAGAAGGCAGTGAGTACAAAATTTAAGTCGATAAATGTGTCACTTACAAAAGTGTTTCTCCAGATACAAAAAAAATAATTACAGCACAAGTTTGTTTTGACCAACTTCACTTAACCAGAATGCCTAGAAAGCCAAGGTTTATCCTCCTCAGGAATTTTAGCAATGAGGGAAAACATGCCTCCCTGTAAGACATCTATTTGATTGTTCAAAACTTGATGTGATTACTTCAAAATATATTTATTTTACATATTTTAGAAGCGACCAATTACCCAAAATAGGGGAGGAAAGGTATATGAACCTTTTTACAAATCAAACCAAAAAATTTGAAGGATTAAAACAAATTACAAACAAACTGGTTATTTTATTAGCATATTATTATAGTGCTAGAGGCCAGAGGCTTCTCAATAGAGGTTGGAGGTCTCAGTAATCTCAGTATCTAATGCAGAGTAAAATAAACACCATATCTGAATCCAACTAACAGTCTGAGCAAATCCTATGGCATTAGGATCATAAGGAACTATCTTACCCTCTACAGGCTGAGGGGTCCAATGTAGCCCTTGCTCATATGCAACTCTGACAGTATTGCAGTTACACTGCTGAGAACCTTGATGTGTTTGGCTTAAAAATACTATCTGCTAGGTTGAATATTAAAATGATAATGCAGACTACAAAAATGCAATCAAACTGGGCTGAGCAAGTACTGGCTTTTGTTGGCTATTTCTGCAAAATAATAGTCCTGAATGGTGAGTCTGTCTCTAATGAGACTGGCAACTATTTTCGGCCCTAAACTTGATATAATTGTTCACATTTACATTTCCAGACCCTCCAGTTAGTTGCTCACGCTTAACATAAATCATATTCTTTATCTTTGAGTATGAAAGTATAGTGAGTGGTCAGTCCAACTATACTCTTAGAAAATGTAAATATCATGGAATGTAAATATTTAGCTATAATATTATAATTTCTCAAGAACAAAACTGAAAACTTGGAAAAATTGAAACTCTTCATAGAGTAACTGAATTGATGGAATTTAGTTTTCTTTTTTCCAGCTCTTCATTAATATAATTTGTTTAATAACATTTTTTAAGAGATAAATTGATATGGTATTTATTTGTATGTATTATTTTTGAAAAGTAATTGAAAGAACTTGGAATAAAGAATGCTAAAATGTCAATGCACTCTTTATTGATCAAGGAATGGAGGACCAATCAAGATAATGGAATTGAATTGTTGTACATTGATTAAAACAGTATCAATTTGAAAAGAGGTTAATCAAGAATTAGTTGCATTTCACTTTGAAAGATTTTGGTAAAATGTACTCATTGCAGGTATCACCAATATTGAAAAAATATATCATACATGGTAAAGGCAGTTGGCTTTACTATCAAAGATGTTAGCTTCCTTTACATAATGTAAAGGTGCCCCTGTCTGTCTGGAGACATTTCTCAGCGACCTTTGTTTTCTGTTGTGACCATGTGACTTTTTCTTGCCATGGTCTATGAGAAAAATGATGTGTCTCATTTCTTTGTCAATAGGATTAAAAAACGTGGGGGATTGGTCACAGTGGTGGGAAAAACTATAGGGAAAGGACACAAACCTTCTGAAAGGTAGGAAGGTTCTGCGGAGCCCTGGGGGAGAATAGCTGAAGGCAACTATTCTATAACCCTGAGGCAGAGGGCAAGGAGTAGGTACAAGGCAGTGTGAAGGAATTTATCTTAAATAGGCTTGTTTACTTATGTTGACCAGGAACTGACCTTTGATCATCTCCATGCATGACATTCCCTGAAAGGGGAAAAATAATTGTTAATTACCTACAGGTTGTGTTGGCCCCAGGTTTTTGGCATTGTGCCTGCACTGAATAAAAGCAAGGAGCTCTAGCTTCTCAGGGCTGCTCTCTGGCCTCTAGAGACAGGCAGTAACCTAGCTGCTTTTACACTACATACCTGTGTCTGAGTACTCATTTCGGCCAGAATCTGCGGGACAGACCTGGCAAAAAAACAAAACAAAACAAACAAACAAAACAAAACATGTGCCTCCTCCACTCATCTCCTTCCTTTTCTGGTTGCATATTGCCATTCAGGGTGATCCTGAAAGCAACATGAGCCGGTGAGCATGCTGTGGTGTATGGACAGCAGCCTTCCTGCTCATTCAGGGTGATCCTGAAAGCAACATGAGCCGGTGAGCGTGCTGTGGTGTATGGACAGCAGCCTTCCTGCTCATTCAGGGTGATCCTGAAAGCAACATGAGCCGGTGAGCGTGCTGTGGTGCATGGACAGCAGCCTTCCTGCTCATTCAGGGTGATCCTGAAAGCAACATGAGCCGGTGAGCGTGCTGTGGTGCATGGACAGCAGCCTTCCTGCTCATTCAGGGTGATCCTGAAAGCAACATGAGCCGGTGAGCGTGCTGTGGTGCATGGACAGCAGCCTTCCTGCTCATTCAGGGTGATCCTGAAAGCAACATGAGCCGGTGAGCATGCTGTGGTGTATGGACAGCAGCCTTCCTGCTCATTCAGGGTGATCCTGAAAGCAACATGAGCCGGTGAGCGTGCTGTGGTGTATGGACAGCAGCCTTCCTGCCGCTACCGCCATGTCAGTTAGACTTTATGTGAGTAGGAAGTAAATCTCAGATGTTTTAATCTACTGTAACCTAATATTTCTCTGTTATAACACATGGTGTAACCACAAATGAGAGTATACTATCTTACTTTCTAATACTATCCAACGTTTTCCTGCTTCTCAGATCCTTAATCCACGATGGATATACATTAAAATACTGCCAATGCCAGCATAGAATAAAAGCAGATTCTCGGCTGGGCGCGGTGGCTCATGCCTGTAATCCCAGTACTTTGGGAGGCCGAGGTGGGCAGATCATGAGGTCAGGAGATCAAGACCAGCCTGCCCAACATGGTGAAACCCCATCTTTACTAAAAATACAAAAAATTAGTCGGGCATGGTGGCAGGCACCTGTAGTCCCAGCTACTCGGGAGGCTGAGGCAGGAGAATGGTGTGAATCCGGGAGGTGGAGCTTGCAGTGAGCCAAGATCACGCCACTGCACTCCAGCCTGGGTGACAGAGTGAGACTCTGCCTCAAAAAAAAAAAAAAAAAAAAAAGAAAAAAAGAAAAATAAAAGAAAGCAGATTCTCTCTGTAAACTTCATGGTGGACAACTTCCTCAGAATAGAGAAATATTTTACTGATTTAAATATTATCTGGGGAAAAAGGCATAAATTTTTGGATAATTTCCCTAGATAATTAGGTAAAAACTCAGGCAACTTCTAAGCAGAACCAACTTAAATAAGAATCAACAGCAGAGTGGAATCTAAATCATTTGTTAAAGAATAAGTGAGGGCCTGGCATGGTGGCTTACACCTGTGATCCCAGCTCTTTGGGAGGCTGAGGCAGGCAGATCACCTGAGGTCAGGAGTTCAAGACCAGCCTCACAAACATGGTGAAACCCCGTCTCTACTAAAAATACAAAAACTTGCTGGGGGTGGTGATGGGCACTCGTAATCCCAGCTACTCAGGAAGCTCAGGCAGGAGAATCACTTGAACCCAGGAGGCAGAGATTGCAGTGAGCCGAGATCACACCACTGCCCTCCAGCCTGGGTGACAGAGCAAGACTCTGTCTGAAAAAAAAAAAAAAAAAAAAAGTGAATGAGCACATAGAAAGGGTAGGATCATGCTACAGATGCCTTCTTTAGATGTTGAATGAGCTTGCTTTCATGTTAGTTTATTAAATACACTTTTATTATAATCTTTAAAGCCATAATATTACCTTATTTATTTTAAAAAAGCATTTCCAGAAAGTTCCTATTTGAGAAAGTGCTCAATGGGAGACACTACTGTCACTGCATCCTCACCTCCCTGAATCTGTAACTTTGCTTTTGCAGATGTGATAGAATGAAGCCCAAAATTGTTTATTCACACTGCTTAATTGTAAAAAATCAAATCTCATATTAGATGACCTTATAAATAATTAGAGATAGACAATATAAGGTATTCTGTATCAAAATGCTTACTCCTTCAAAAGGCCATGCACAGAGTAGACATCACCAAATTTCCTGATGTGTTATTATTTCATATTGTAAAGAGCATAAGAGAAATGTTATTTATTGGAATGCATCTGATAATCCCATAAAAGGAGAAGAAACAGGAGAAATAAAGTGAAAGTTAAGAAAATGTTACTTTTAATTAGGAAGCCATTAAACCCGTCTTGCTGATTAAAAAACTAAGTAGACAAATAGAATAAAAGTGCTGGTCTATGCCCATTCGCTAGAGAGTGAAACAATTACCAGTGGATTAATTTGGTTTCTAAGGAAAACATAAAATACACATTCCAGTTGTATTTAATTGATTTGGGGTAAAAACAAACACTATCCTATTAACAAAAAGATAAAATTTTTTCACTGTTCAACAAGGAGCAACTCAGCATTATTGATTTTGTCACTGCATTCCTCATCCTTCCACTGCGTGCAGTTGACCCGCTGTAAGCACACAACAATGATTGTGGTATTTGAAATGGAGTTCTCAGCGGGGTAATCCTTCTCTTCTCCTACTGTGAAAAAACGGGTAACTGTGGAAAATAATAAAAAATAAAGCCGATGGTACCAGGCAGCCACCATTCTGTCTGTTCAAGTTTGGCATCATATTGCTTTGATTCATAGCATAGGAGGTCACTCTTTTTAAAAAAAAAAAAAAAAAAAAAGAAAATATTCAGAACTTACGTATCTTATTACTGGGAAAAAGGGTGAAAGACAAAAATAAGAAATGGTAATTTAGTTTTCAGAGTATTGACATGAAGAGATGATCCTAAACATATTCATATTGCCAAACTGGTGACATCTGCAGAACAACAAAAAAGAACAATTTTGCAATGGCGTCTGAGGACAATGATGATGAGTGAATATACAAGGGAGGAAGCAAAAAATAGAGACATCCACAGACTGACACCTGCAGTATTAATAGTGAGTTATACTCCTCTCACCCTGGAACTCACTGCATAGAGCTGCCCACATATGAAGTAGCTTAATAAAAAACAACTGCAATTCAAGTGTTTACCCCCGTAATTTTTATTTGAGGTGCAAATTTGAAAAGACAGCTTGATTTGTTATGCTTGTCATGTATTGACATGATGTCATCGGTCCTTATTAACAGTCACATAGACCTTAAGTTGTATTTGAGCTTCAGTTTCCATAGAAATGACTGTGTATCTCTTTCAATACTCTTCTCCTCTGGATGCCATGAAGTGAATTTTATAACTTACATTAGTGCTTCTCAAACCAACTGTGGTCCAGGATTTTTTTAATCTTATTTCCAGGCTATCACACCTTCTGCAAGTCACCATTACCCAACTCATACCACATATGACTCATGATGCAAACTGGTCTATATACTCTGTTTAATGACTCAAATCAATTAATTATAATATGTGTTTGGATGTTGCAGCAGTGTCACATGGCTTGAAAGTTTCTAAAAACTAGTCTTTATTTTTGTGTTTACCTTATTATGGTTCAGAAACAGTCTCCTTACTTCCTCCAGTCTACAAATTGTATTTGGATTAGCACTGTATTGCATGACTTATATGTTAACCCAAATCACACACAAAAAATAGAAAACTAATGTAAAATCATTAAAACCACACACATTCATAATATTCAAACTTTGCTGAAAACTTATCTGGCATTTTGAAAATGACAAGATACTAGACAAAAGTTACATTTGTATAAACAGTTAAGGTCTAGAAACTTACAGAGAATTCAGAACAAATAAGTGATGGTTGCTTAAAATACTCTTCACAAGAACAAATACTGGATTTTTTAAATTCTTACAAATATTTTTTACCTTTGTCCTGGAAAGTCTTTAACTTGCTTAGAGACAAGTTGATCCAGAATGACATTTTGTCTAAGGTTAATATTTTTCACTACTGAGACAAACCTTTTGGAATAACCTGCCAATATTCCATGACTTTTGACGTTCTTCACTCTTGGTGGTGGAAAAAGGAACCATTTTCAGCCTGTTCTCACTTTGAGGATTATTCCCTCCAACCTTTTCAAATAGTTCTTTTCCTGGCTTGGGGTAGTTTTGTCATGTGCATGTGCAATCAGTACTAAGTTGGAGACTAGTCTGGGACCTTCTGTCTATATCCAGAGTTCTCACTCTCTCTCCTCTCTAGTATTCTATCTTGCAAGTTCTAGACACTGTGGCCCCTGAAGATTCCCATCTCGGTGTCTTCACCTCATGGAGACTGCTAGACACTGCCTGGATTCCCGTTTCCCATACTGCATCCTGTAAACTGTAGCCAGGCAGTAAGTTAGGGCAGTCGTGGAGCTCAGCTCTTTCATTTTCCATCACTTTGGGGTCACTGACCTTCATTGCATGATATCTAAAGTATCAAAACTTGTTTACTATATCTTGTTGATTTTTCAGTGGTTTTAGGCAGGATATATCTTTTTGCTATTATTCTATCTTGGTCAGAAAAAGATCCATCTTTCTTTATTTCTCCTGGAGGATATTTTATATTCTATCTAAAATATTATCAATTTTATCTAACTTTTCATTTTTACACCCATCAAGTTGTAGTTAATATTTAGTAAAAATTTTTGTTAAACTTACTCCGTAACCATAAATTCATTGCCTTTTTTCTCAATGATACTAAATATGAATAATGTTTTATGAATATTCCATACATATTTGAGGAAAATATATGTTTTTATATACAGTGATAGATGGATCTATGATAACCATGTGAGAAATTTCTTTGTTAATCAATCTAGCCTTGACAATAATATTCCAAATTTTATAACCAATCCTGTTTAAAAACATATGTAGCTTAAAGAAATTTTCAAGCTGGATAGTTAGTAAAACTAGGTCTTTCTTGAGATATCCATTGCATAATGCCTACAGCATAATATAAAATACTGAACAATGCACACACATATACATACTTTGTGTATTTTGTAGCTATGCAAGGTTTTAAAAATTCTTTAAGGATTTTTTCCACATATGATTATGGAGAGTGTACTTTTAGTTCACTTGATCCTTTAAGTTTTAAATCCTAAATTTTCTGAGGGGAACTATTTTATCTTTATCCACACCAATCTGACTTCTGCCTCTACCATTGAAACACTGCTAGAACATCACTTCTGCCTACACTATTGAAACTACTCTTGCTATAATAAAATCACAAATAAATGTCATATTGTCCAACTCAATGGATTTCATTTCTTTATCTCATTTAATCTTTCAGCAACATTTGATATGTTTGATTACTAATTCCTTCATGGAATACCCCTTCGTTTTTCTTCCATGACATTTCTCATGTTTACCACAAAAGAAGAAAGCTTCTTTTCTTCTTCTTCTTCTTTTTAAATTCATAGACTTTATTTTTTTAGAGAAGTTTCAGATTTCCAGAAAAAAAATTGGATAGTAATGAAATTTTCCTATACCTACTCTCCTGCACACAATATTTCCTGTTACTAACATCTTGCATTGGTATGCAACATTTGCTACAATCGATGGACCAATATTGACATACTATTATTAACTAAAGTCCATAGCTTACATTAGGGCTCACTCTTTCTGTCCTGCAGGTCTATGTACAAAGTTTTGACAAATGTATAATGTCATTTATTTACTATTACGGTATTATACAGAGTAATTTCATTGTGCTAAAAATCTCCTGTGATCCACCTATTTCATCTCTCCCTGCATTTCTCTGAACCCATGACAATCAATGATCTTTTTACTTTCTCTAGACTGTTGCCATTTTCAAAACGTCATATACTTGGGATCATAGAGTAGGTAGACTTTTCAGAATAATCTCCATCTAAGTAAATTCACTGTATTCCAAAATGCTCTGTGGAGAAACTTGGAAGTCATACTTATCTCTCTCTCACCGCCTACAGAAAATGCCTTACCATTCTTACCTAGGACATCTCCACAATATTTGTTGAATCTCTTTACTTATGCCACTCTTTGGCATAGTCCAAATGACTGGAACATCTCACTTGTACTAATACAACATTGTTCCAATGGTCTTAAAAGTCTCCCTAACATACTTCATAAAACTGTCTCCCTAATACACTCCCTACCGAATATCCAGGACAACTTTTTAAAAGTGAAAAATAGATCTCACCATTTTCTTCTCAAAATACTTACATCCCCCACCCTGCACTTAAAATAAAATGTGAAACCTACAACATGATCTACAAGCTTCTGCATAACGTAGCTTCTTTCATCCACTCATGTCTCACCCCTCACCAACTTTTACTTCATCTTCAGCAATCTAATTCTGCCATTCTTCTTTCTCTCTCTTTTTTTTTTTGGAAGGTCAATCTTTTTCCTGACGTGGGCCTTTCCCTAGGCTGATTGTTCTATCTGGAATATTCTACCCTATTCCAATAAAGATCATTTCTTCAGAGAAAAGTAAAATTAGCTCCCCAAATTAAATTAGGCTATTCTGGTATCTTCTCTAATCGTACCATGTACTATTACTTCATAGCACTTACCGCATTTTTCAAATTTCTTAATTGATTCTTGAACTATATCCATCTGATACATATTTAAATAATTCCAAAGAAAATGTCTTCTTCTGAAGAAGACTTCTTAGCTTTGTGACCCTAGTACCATTTCCTTTCTTCAGAGACTACCTTTTTCTACCTCTTCCTTGATGCCATTCCAGAGACACTCTACATATATGTGAGCATGTGTGTGTGTGTGTTTGTATTAACATCGGTCTTTTCATCTGTACTTGAAGTTCCATAGGGTCACAGCCAAGTTTGCTTTGCTCAACTTTAAATTCTTTATGTGCCTAGTATAATGTGAAGTAAGCCCTCCATAAAGAGCCATGTGTGTTCATGAAACCTTTCCGAATGAATCTCTCAGCAGAGAAAAGAAGAACAAGAATTACAAGAGTCCTCCCCTTATCCATGGGGCATATGCTCCAAGATCCCCAGTGGATTCCTGAAACTGAGGATAGAGATGAACTCTATGTACACTATGTAGGTTGATCTGATAACTGTGACAGCTGCTAAATGACTAATTGGGGAGTAGCATACACAGCATGGACACACTGCACAAAAGGATGATTCAGGCTTGGGTAGGATGGATCAGGATGGCACAAGATTTCATCTCATCATGCTACTCAGAAAGGTGCATGTTTTAAAATTTATGAATTTTTTATTTCTGAAATTTCCCATTTAATAGTTTCAGACCATGGTTTACCATAACTGACCACAGGTAACTGAAACCTTCGAAAGCAAAACTCCAGATATGGGGGCACTACTGTAATGAAATCAGGGTAGCATGGAAGGAGTACGTTTTAGGCCAAGGAAACATTAGGGACTCCATAAAAACTGCAAGTGAGCAAGTGTTTGGAGAATGGCAAACACCTATTGGTCTACAGCCAAGGCTATTGAGAGGAGTATTAAGAGAGAGGCTGAGAGGCAAGCTGAAGAGAGACCTTGAATGACTTAGGATCAAATGGAAGTGAAATTATGCTACAACTGAGTTTAAATGGGTCCCAATTAATCAGTTATCTATTCATTATAATGCCTGTTGTATGGCATGTTAGGTGTAATGAAATTCCAAATGGAAATGGAAAATAAAGAAAACTAGGTCAGTGAGAATTCCTCAAGATTTAAAAAAATGATAATAAAAGAAAATTGTATCTTCCTGAGAAGCAGCATGCTAACATTTACAGATCCAATATTCCCAGTGATGGTGTAAAGCAGAAATGACACCGTACAATTACCTATGAACCATGTCAGTATAGTTGATGTAAAGAAACAGGATATAATTAATTTGCTTATCCATGGAAATTAACTGAAAGTAAGTGGTGAAAATTATATAGAGAACCAATTCAAAATTCGTTTTTATGTGAGAACACAAACATGTAGAAAAAGGCTGAAAAGATTAATTTTCTTTCCTTTCTACTTGTTCTGGTTGACAAAAGAGACATATGCAGGATCAAAGGCCAAATAACCAAGGTCAGCCATCCATCCAGTGGCTGGGGTGGATTTAGCAGCCTTATCGGATAATGATCTCTGTGCATTGCTTTTCTCATTCATTTGCTAAATTTTAGCAAGGCAACATTTTTCAGCATTCTTGAGATCCAGCCACTTTTTTGTACCCACCATCAATTCTCCAGCTGAGACTACTTTTATGCCATAATTGGGACAAATGGAGTCCCTAATTGCTTTCCCTCTCTCATTTCCAGTGACCTTTCTAAAGTGAAAATCCGATCCTCTCACTCTCTGCCTTAAAACCCTTCATAGCTCTTTCTATCAGCCTTGGGATATGGTTCAAATTCTCTGGTTGACTTTAGAATCCTTTTTGAGATCTGGCCTCTACTTATCTCTCTAGCCTCCTCTCTTGTTTCTTCCTCGTTTCCCATTTCTGCTCCAGCCAGCCTGCTGAACACCCAGTAGGTCTGCTCCCATAATGTTTCCTCTACTAGACACCATGTGTTCCCCATTTCTCCTGCTTGAGGATTCAGCTTAGACAGAGGCCTTCCCTGAATCTCAGTGTCTAGCCTGGTGTTCCTCCTCTGTGCTTCCAAGACGTCCATCAATATCTATTCATCTGTCTCTTTGGACTTTTGACTATTCCATCAAGAGCTCCCAAGGATAGCTATTCTCCCTTATATATCTTTTGAGTCAGAGGATTTCACCTAATTCCTGACAGCCAGTTTCTTATCCATTCAACAATAACATAATAATTCTAGCAGCTGCTATAAATTGAGTACTTATGCCAGTACTTTGCCAAATATTTTATATTCTTTTCCTAATTTAATTTTCAAAGTAGCTTTATAAAATAAATATGATCTCTTTTTTTTTAGAAGAGAAAACTTGAGTTCAGAGAATTTTTAACTTTTCCAGCACCAGATGACTAATATTGGTTAAAACTGGACACAACTTATATCTGTTGCATTCAGAATTCTATTCTTTTAGATGGTGCTATACCTCCTTTCAACATAGCTAGATAGATAAAATGAAAAGATGCTCAGGCCAGGCACGGTGGCTCACTCCTGCAATCCTAGCATTTTGGGAGCCTGAAGCAGGCTGATTGCTTGACCCCAGGAGTCTGAGACCAGCCTGGGCAACATGGAGACACCCTGTCTCTACAAAAAATTCAAAAATTTGCCAGGCGTAGTGGTATGTGCCCGTACTTCCAGCTACTTGTGGGGCTGAGGCAGGAGGATTGCTTGAGCCTGGGAGGTTGAGGCTGCAGTGAGCTGTGACAGTGCCACTGCACTCCGCTGAGCCCTACTGATACAACCGAGAATCAAGCAAAGTTGAAGATCTGAGAAAATATGACCTGTCAGCCTAAATGTGCAATTTTGACTAAGTTTGAGGTACCAAAATCATCCCATAAAAGGTCCTATAAGGTACTTACATTATCATCTCTTTCTTGGCAGTGTTCAAACAATATGTGAGTGATCCAATTAGCAATTTTCTGAATTTTTTTTTATGTTGAAGCACTTTAACACCATAGTTCTTCAAATTCTTAAAAAATACAAAAGGAAAATGTTCTCTGTGCTCTGTTTTGCTATCCTTTTTATGTTGAGAAATTAGCACCAAAATTAGTGAATTGATAATGCAGGTCCTTGAGAATTGATTTGCCAAAATATGCTATAAATCAGTAAACAAATTAATACATGCATGAAGACAATTTTATTTCAGAAGATGATTACATTTATCTCTATCTCAGAATTCATGTAAATTATACCTATTTAATACACCTATTTTTCACCTAGACTCATTATTTTCTATTACTCTCTACCTTGATATTGATTATTACTGTGCTTTTATGCTATTTTTATAATTTTCTATATTAATTGTTAGGCCCTCTAACCATGTATTTCACAATATTAACTTGAGGCTTAGAGGTCATTTCTATTCTATGAATCTAGGCCGATTTATTTTTTAAATCTACCAATTAAAAGGAAAACCTCTATCATTCTGAAAATATCAATTTAGGGAAGAGAATATGTAAAGTAAATGTTTGGGGGAAAACCACATCCTAAAAAACTTTTCAAAGTTTAGAGAAAACTTTCCCTAATGACAGAAGGATTTTTGAGTCCTAAAACAATGGGATTTTAAGAGGTAGAAAATAGCTTACCAAAGTCTATTAATTATCAATCATTATTAAATAGTAATAATAACAAATAATTATTAATCACGCTAAACCTTCTCTTCAAGAAGCTAAAAAAATTGAAATTGTTTTAAATTTCAGGTTAGGTTTCATAATTCTTCTCATTCTTCTGTTGTCTCTCTCTTCTCTTTCATATCCCCAGAACTTCCATTTGATTTCTCTTCATAAGAATCATTATAGGAGATATGGAAGAAGGAAGACAACCTTCCAATCTATTTCAGGACTTTTTTTTTTTTTTTTTTTTTTTTGGTTTTAAGGAGAAGAAAGTTTAATAGGCAAGAAAGAAGAAAGAAGAAAATGGCTCCCCTATACAGAGAGAGGAGAGCTCTGAATGGAGAAAATCCCATATGTAATGGAAAAGCAGTTGGCTATATTGGGAGGCTGGAGCAGGTGGTGTCTAATTTGCACAAGGCCCAGGGGATTGGTTTGACCAGGTGTGTCATTCACATAGCCAGCGAAAAACATGGCCCTCCCACCCTGGTCTTTTAATATGCAAATACAGGTCACCATGATGTCCTGCACACGTGGAGTCATCTGGAGGTGACCATGATACCTGGCACATGTGTTGACAAGCAGAAGAGGGCAGGAATCACCATGTTGGATGGACCCAGTTTCTAATCACCTGCATTTGCATATAAAAGCTTGCTGGCCTGGCTTTTCAAGCCACGTTCCTGTTCGAAAAGAAAAGTTTCAGGGGTTGCTTTTTATTAAAGGAAAATTCTGCCGAGAACCTTTACTCTTTCTAGCTGCCTAAAAATTATTTTTGAATAATTCCTGTATTATTCCCATTCAAGAGAAGTAAACCTAACTGCTGTTATGGGGTGTTGGACAAAGATTCTTTCTGGCTGCTTCTGCTGAAAAGAGGCATCAGGACAGATATTTTGAATCCTGTGAATGAATTTTTAGTGCCAAAGGCAAAATAATTTGGCAAAGGCTTTATTCCAGAAATAATAACAAAAATAATATCAATAATAATACCTATCATTTGGTAAGTTCTTTCTGTAAGCCAGTTACTGTTAAAAGTTTTATGTACATTATTACATTTAGTTCTCTCACCTGCATGTAAAACATGAAAGATAAGTGCTATAAAAATTATCCCCATTTGCCAAATGAGGAAACTAAATATCTTGTGCAAGCTCACAGAGCCAGCAAAGGGTGGAGATGGGTTTCAAAACCCTGTTAACAGACTCCAAATCTGCTCTCAACCAAGGCCAAATGGCGAGGATTTCTTACCTAGTATGCTAAGAAGAATTGTTGTGCTAAGATTGTCTTTTATTTTTCAAATATTTTAGATGGCTCTACACATTTAAAAAATGCTGCATCAAGAATCTGAATGAAGCCTACATTTAAAAGTGTTTAATGCCAATGCATTAAAAATTAAGCTACCTGCTTATTGATTTAAAGTCCGATTCTACTAGGAGAATAATGTCTGATATTTTTACCATGCCCTAACTAGGGCCTTACTAGGGCAAGACAAATGAAGTTCCTTGGGCACAAAATGCAAGGAGACACTCACTCTTAGTGTAGTGCAAAGACAGGGTCCTCACCGAAGAATGAGAACTTCCTTAAATTTTGGTCCCCAGGCACCTCACTTCTTACTTTGTTCCTAAAAATTTTTTTCTTTTTTTTTTCTTTGAGAAGGATTCTGGTTCTGTTGCCCACGGTGGAGTGCAGTGGCATGATTTTGGCTCACTGCAACCTCCACCTCCTGGGTTCAAGCAATTCTCCTGCCTCAGCTCCCCGAGTAGCTGGGATTACAGGTGCCCACCACCATGCCCGGCTAATTTTTATATTTTTAGTGGAAACAGAATTTCAATATGTTGGCCAGGCTAGTCTTAAACTCCTGACATCAAGGGATCTACCCCCATCGGCCTCCCAAAGTCCGGAGATTACAGGTGTGAGCCACTGCACCCAGCCTGTTCCTAATAATTTTAATGTAAAATCTGAATTTGACTCCCTTGGCTTAAAGGCACCAAAAGAACTTTGGGACCACTGACCAATGGAAAATAGTTTGTTTACTAATGACTTGCTCTCTTTTGTTTCCCTTCATAATTATTTGCATATGCAGAAAAATCTCTGAGTCTTCACCAAAACATTTCATTTTCTAGAATGTTTTCTGACAAAGAAAAATCATGATTATCTTGGTATTGAGTGACTGGTAGATCATATACACATTAATTAGACAAATGGGCTATTAACTGTCCTAGGACTTGCTGTGTTTCACATACAATGCTAAGTAATGATATATATTCACTAAATTTCCTTCATAAAATAAAATTCTATGACACTAATAAACTTGGGATGAGTTTGGAGGGCATAGTGTTTGATAACGTTTTTAAGTTTACAAAGCATCTTCAGGAGGAATGATCCTCTAGAGATATCTTTAAGATTAAACGGTTATTGTTGCAGTTTTCCAAATTAGATTAAATGAGATCATGGGGCTTACACAGTGCAACTGTGTAGCTGAATCAGGTTCCAACAGAGGTTGTCTTTCTTCAAGTCCTTTTAGTTGGTCTTAAAATCATTAATTAAGTAATTTAAACATTTTCTTTTCTCAGAATTTCAAACTAATTAAATAAATGTGCCTACCTGGAAAATTCTGCTTCTTCAAAACTTTTTGTATTCTATAGGTTTCCTGGATTTTAATCAATATAATAAAATGATTTGGATAGGTGGATATCTGTCCCTGTAAATTGTGCCAGCATCACTAGCCTGGCCAGATCATTCACAAAGTACAAAGCATGTCTTTGTATTGTTATGTAAATCTCCCATATGCTCATCATCTGTTAGGGTGAGGGTTTTGAACCAGTTGGGAAAGAGATACCAGAGTCAGAGCCAAATACCTGCTTTGATGCAGGTGATACTGGTTGGGAAAACATGGCTTGAAACTGCGGCCAAACTATAATTCCTATTGATCAGTGCACCCAATTTCTATTAATTTAATGCACCCTATTTTTCATGCTTCCTTGTATCTCTGCCTTTTGGTAGTACCTTCCCACACTTACTCTGGACTTGGACATGAAACTTGCTTTGGCAAATGGGACAGAATCAAACTTCCTGCAAACAAAGGCTTAAAAATAATGCTTCTACAGTTCTGTTTATTTATTTATTTTTACAATCCTTGCCATCACTGTGAGGAAATGCTTTTACTAGCTTGCTGGAACAATGTGAGAAACATAAGGAGAATGAGTGATCTCTGCCTAAGAATCCTAGACTCCTCAGCCCCATCCAACCCTCTAATTGACCTCAGATATGTGAAGGAGCCCAGCTGAGATCAGCCAAAGCTTGCCCAGATCAGCAGAAGGAGTCAGCTAGTAGGCAGTTGTTATTTTAAGTAACAGTAATAAAAAGAATGCTTAACATTGGGGGTAGTTTGTTATGTAGCAATAGTTAACTGATACACTATTCTTTTTTCTGAATTAAGCACACCCCTCAATTATAGTTAGAGAAGCTAGAAAACTCCATAGTCAAATTCTTCTTCTCGTCAAAGAGTATCCAGAAAAGTTCATCACATGGAAGGAAGAAAGAAGAAAGAATAGAATATTTTATAGCCCATTGTTGGCAATCCTAAAGAGATAGTCATAGGTAAGTCAGGGCTCATATAAGTATCAGCCATTACTGCATTAACCCCAGTTAGTAGAGGAATGTAGCTTAATGGATGCCACACTCTGAACTAAACTCTAAGGCAGAAAATTTGTCTTACTCTGGGGAATGTCAAAGAGGGTGGAGAGAAATGAATGGCAGATATAGAGGGTGGATGTACCATTTTTACCAGGGTTGATTTTCCTGGGACTACAAACACAGAAGAGCAAGTGAAATTTCTATTTCATGAACTATCATCAATTTGGAAGACAGCAAGAATATTCCATCTCTCCATTTGACCTCAACCAAAATATCAATTTATTGAGTGCTTTCTATATGCAAAGCACTGTGCTGGAAGTGCAGCAGATAGTCTGGCATTTGCTCATTGTATCACATACAAATTAGGCTTTACAATGACACAGAATGGAAATTAAAATCCCTATTTACACATGAGAAGAAAATAAGTCTCAACAGATTTTTAATACCTGATCCACGGCCACTGAGGTAGTATATGCAAGAACCAGATCTGCAACATGTGCTCTTTATGTTAGGGTTTAACCTTCTGTCTTATATTGTACTATCTAAGTATAATTTATAGGCCCGTGTACTCAAAGATCTTGTAATGTGATGTGTGTGTCTGTGTGTGTGTGCACGTGCACATGTGTGTATATTTCTGAGCTAGGTGCTGTAGGAACACATCCTTCTTGGTTTGAAAGAGGTTTTTTTGGAGAAAGCAAGAGATAGGCTGAGAGCTCTAAGATCAAGCTAGAAACTATTAGCGCATACATACATGTACTTCCCATTGTCTATCTCAAGTCCCCATTGTGTGATGACCACAAAGTTATCTGCTACTCATTGCCCTTTTATTACATAGTTTCTAGCCTGGTCATTAAGTTACTACCCAAAGGTCTTCACCCTAAGGTGACTCCCTCTTTCTTCAAGTTATTTTCTCATCGAAATTTCCACTGCTTGCTTTCTTAAAATTATCTGAATGAATAACCTGCCGGTTTATAAACCAAACTTGCACATTTTCTCTTGCCTTTCCTTTTTGTTCAAAACAAAGCATTCAGACTGCTGATGAAGAGAGTTTGCCAGAAGGCCAGTGACCTGCATTTTTTGAGTAGAAAAGCAATCACAATTTGCCAAAGGCACAAAAAAGTTAGTGATTTATGTTTTATATCATGACAGAGGCGCTGCTTCCTATGCCGTATTTTAAGTTGTTCTGTCTAAAGTGCTGGACATGCCACACAAAGTCAATGAAGCAATGAAAATAAAGGTAAGAAAATGAGCAATTTTTTTTTATAGATGTCATTAGGGCCACATAGAACCCTGGAACAGACTAAATAATTCTGAGTAGGAATGCAACCCTAGGCAGTCATGCAGATTGTGCAAAACCCCGTCAATGCATTTTTCTTAGTTTAATATCCTTCAAAGATCTAAAAGGCTTCAACATTACATCCTTGGTATTTCTTGACAATATCATCAGCTGTTAGTGAAAGAAAAACAATTAGAAGGAAAATACAAGCTTAAGGCTCTTATCTGGCATCTTCATATCTTAAGAGTTAAAAGTATTTTAATATTTCTGAATGTTACATTGTTATAGTTATATTTAATACATGAATTGATGTCACACGACACTCACGTTTTTATCAAATCCTCCAATTTAAATTAAATTCCTTTAATTTACATCTCATTTTTTAAATTATACTTTAAGTTCTAGGGTACATGTACACAATGTGCAGGTTTGTTACATATGTATACATGTGCCATGTTGGTGTGCTGCACCCATTAACTTGTCATTTACATTAGATATATCTCCTAATGCTATCTTTCCCCCCTCCCCCTACCCCACAACAGGCCCCGGTGTATGATGTTCCCCTTCCTGTGTCCAAGTGTTCTCATTGTTTAATTCCCACCTATGAGTGAGAACATGCAGTGTTTGGTTTTTTGTCTTTGCGATAGCTTGCTGAGAATGATGGTTTCCAGCTTCATCCATGCCCCTACAAAGGACATGAACTCATCATTTTTTATGGCTGCATAGTATTCCATGGTGTATACGTGCCACATTTTCTTAATCCAGTCTATCATTGTTGAACATTTGGGTTGGTTCCAAGTCTTTGCTATTGTGAGTAGTGCTGCAATAAACATATGTGTGCATGTGTCTTTATAGCAGCATGATTTATATTCCTCTGGGTGTATACCCAGTAATGGGATAGCTGGGTCAAATGATATTTCTAGTTCTAGATTCCTGAGGTATCGCCACACTATCTTGCTTATGAAGCTTATACAGTAGAATTCAGAAAACTGGTGCCATTCATTCAAATCACTTTCGATTTAGGATTAGGAGCAGATTCTGCACCTGATTCCAAATCTTGTTTTACAATCAATGTAAATATAAATAGCATCTGAGACAAAACAGAGAAATTCTTTCCATATAAGATTTGTCTTGGGTTTCAATGACAGCATATCATTCCATAATATTCTTTTATTTATGCATTTATGTAGATATTTTAAATTAATTTAAATAATATTTTGCATACTGAAACTGGGATTACAAAGAATTCAGAGAGCAGCCCAGCACTGTGGGTTCAGTCGTACATATCTGAAACAACTGAATCAATATAATTTTTTATTATACAAACAAAATAAATGTTACCAAGACATATGTATTAGACATACTTGTGAACTCATGGATTTCTTTGTCTGGTCCGTATCACACAGAGGCATGAATCTGTACCTCACTCACTTTATTGGACACTATAAAAATGTCAGTATTGAATATGTGCTTGACCAGATTAAAGCCAAGTCATTTGAAAAACAATTTGTTAAGGAAAATGAAGCCAATTATTGATTATCCAAGGTTATGTGAAATAGGGAGAATATGAATTATCTGATTAACCTATTACCTAATGGATTTGATAAATGTCTTCACTTTCAAGCAGATGTTTGATAAGTTTCTTTTAAACACAGCCATTTTAAGTTACATATATACGTATACGTAATTAAATTTAATTTTAATTATATATGTGTATGTAATTAAATTTAATTTTAATTATATATCCATATGGATATATAATTTAAATAACATTTTAATTATATATCCATATGGATATATAATTTAAATAACATTTTAATTATATATCCATATGCATATATAATTTAAATAACACTTTAATTGTTATCTGTAACATTTAACTTCTGTTATCAGAACAAATTCAGCTTCCCTTATAAGAGACCTGGCAGACATTCTAATATCTCCACATTTCCTTAAGAAAATAGAGTTAGGGAAAACATATTTGGCAAATTGTTTTTCTTATAAACATTTGTAAAATGTTTATCTGAAAAAAAACCTAAAAACCATTGACCAATTTATACTATGCCAAGATGAATAACATGGAAATCCTTACTTTCAAAGTCAAATTGAGTTGGTGTGATGTCAATTTTATAGCAAAATAAATTTGTCTTTAAAAATGCTATATTTTCTAGTTTGAATTCCTGTGAGCCAATTTGAAAAATCCACATATTGACAATATTATATGACTTTCAAAAACTCATATTAACTATGATGAAATGTTTAAGAGAGGAAGAATATACTATCATGTGCTGCATAATGTTTTGGTCAAAGGCAGGCCACATATACAATGGTCTCATAAGATTATAATGGACCTGACACGTTCCTCTCACCTACTGACATCATAGCTGTTATAATGTCATAGTGGAAGGCATTACTCATGTTGTGGGTGATGATGCTGTATAAACAAATGTACTGCACTGCCAGTCATATAAAAGTCTAGCATATACAAGTACGTACAGTACATAATGCTCGATAATGACAATAAATGACTGTTACTTGCTTATATATTTGCTATGCCATGATTTTTATCATTAGAGTATACTCGACTTATAGAAAAGAAAGTAAGCTGTAAATACAGCCTCAGGCAGGTCCTTCAGAAGGTTTTCCAGAAGAAGGCATTGTTATCCTAGAGATGACAGCTCCATGCATGTTATTACCTCTGAAGACCGTCCAGTGTGACAAGATGTAGAGGTGGAAGACAGTGGTATTGGGGATTCTGACTCTGTGTCGGCCTATGTTATTGTGTATATTTGTGTCTTAGTTTTTACCAAAAAAGTTTTAAAAGCCAAAAAATAAAATAAAAATTAGGAATAGAAAAAAACTTATAGATTGAGGATATAATAAAGAAAATATGTTTGTACAGCTGTATAATGTGTTTGTGGCTTAAGCTAAATGTTATTACAAAGGGGTCAAAAAGTTAAAAAAATTTAACAGTTTATAACATAAAAAAGATACAACAAACTAAGGTTAGTTTATGATTGAAGAATGACATTTTTAAGTAAATTTAATGTCATGTATGATATTTATAAAGTCTACAGTAGTGCACAGTAATGTCCTAGGCCTTCACATTCACTCACCACTCACTCACTGACTCACCCAAGACAGTTTCCAGTCCTGCAAGCTCCGTTCATGGTAAGTGACTTAGACAGGTGTGATATTTTTTATCTTTTATACCAGCAGGTCCTCAACTTTTTTGGCACCAGGAACTGGTTTAGTGGAAGATAATTTTTCCACGGGCCAGAGTGGAGGGATGGTTTTGGGATGACTCAAGCAGATAACATTTATTGTGCACTTTATTTCTATTATTATTACATTGTAATATATAATGAAATTATTATATAACTCATCATAATGTAGAGTCAGTGGGAGCCTTGAACTTGTTGTCTTGTAACTAGACTGTCCCATCTGGGGGTGATGAGAGACAGTGACGGATCATCAGGCTTTAGATTCTCTTAAGGAGCGTGCAACCTAGATCCTTCAAAAGCACAGTTCACAATAGGGTTCACGCTCCTGTGAGAATCTAATGCCACCACTGATCTGACAGGATGAAGAGCTCAGGTAGTAATGCAGGTGGTGAGTAGTGGCTGTAAATACAGATTAAGCTTCCCTTGCTCACCCACGGCTCACCTCCTGGTGTGAAGCCCAGTTTCTAACAGGCCATGGACTGGTATCAGTCTGTGGCCCAGAGTTTAGAGAACCCTATTTTATACCATATTTTTACTGTACGTTTCCTATGTTTAGATCTGGTTAGAAACACAAGTACTTAACTATTTGTTACAAGTGCCTACAGTATTCAATCCAATAATATGCTTCTTACAAGCAACAGGCTGTCTCATAGAACTTATGTGTGTATTAGGCTGTACTATCTAGGTTTGCGTACGCACATTCTACAAAGTTCACACGACAATAAACTCACATAATGTCTCATTTCTCAGATGTATCCCATCATTAAGTGACACATGCCTGTGTAGTGTAAACTTTAAATTGGCTTTACATTTTAATTCTCAGAAGTACTTCAATCAAACTGTATCTACAAAAGCCAGTTAAGGTGGAGACTTGGGTGAGCAGTTAACCAGATAATTCTTTTACCAGTGAGGAACTTCATTTTTATTTCTTAACAAAATAAT
Organism: Homo sapiens; assembly: GCF_000001405.40. Lineage (NCBI taxonomy): Eukaryota > Metazoa > Chordata > Mammalia > Primates > Hominidae > Homo > Homo sapiens. The sequence goes on along the minus strand of NC_000003.12, from coordinate 6,369,871 downwards.
ACACTTTGGGGGCTTTTCATGTGAGCTAATTTGATGTGCTAATCTTTGCTCAGTTTTCATTTCTCCCTACCTCTGCTGAACTTTTTTCATAGAGATGTGTAAAATCTCTAGCTATATGAAACAAAATTAGTTATTCATATGCATGTTTCTTGGGGAGTGTGTGTGTGTGTGTGTGTGTGTTATTTGTAATTTGAGTCCATGTATGCAAAAAATGCGATAAAAATGGATCAAATTTTCTTGAATTTTATTCATATTCTTGCTAAGAAAAAATCAGTCATGTTTCAACAAAGCCTCATGTTTTTCTAATCTCATCTGTGACCAGCAAGAATCCAAATTTCTTTGTGTTACTTTCATTAGTGAGCATTTTATTTATTTTCACAATAAAAGTGCTCAAGGGATTTCGGTTACACTGAAAAAATGCAAAAGTGTTAAATGCTTAGCAGCTCCAGAATAACTAATGAATGAATTTAGGATACTTGCAAATTTTGATTTATAATTAGCGCATGTTTTTTAAAACATCACATTAATGTGATCTCAGAAGGAACTCCATGGGGAATATTTCACAAATGTACACAACAGACAGGGCCATTCCTTACTCAAAAATCAGAACTGATAACAGTCATCTCAGATGACATGAGCTATTTCAATATTATCTTTTATTGAAGTGAGAGTGTGAGACCATGTTGTTGCTTTTCTCTTCCATTGATCATAGTCAGATATGTGGGTTGGTTCATTTCATATAATGCTTTTAAGTGCTCAGACCACGTCATTGGCTTCTATGTAGAATGCAAATAAACAATGAACCTGCATCTTTTACACTAAAAGTGGGAGGAGACTTATTTACTATGTGAAGCTCATCCATGTGTACATTGATTCATCTGTCCATCCCTCTTCAATAACTATATGCTGAGTTTCTACTCAGTGCCCGGTAATATGTAGGCCATGGACATGAAATGGTTGATAAGACAGACAGGGCTTCTGTCTTCTGTTCTGAAGGACCGTACAGTTGTGTGGGTTGAACTTTGTTAAACAAATGACACCAAACCAGTTACCACAGACAAACTTCCTATGTTTCTGTATGCAGCCAAATCCCCCACTTGTGCTTAAGCTTCCATTTGCTTTTGCTTAGTTAAGGACATCACCCTAGCAACTCTCTCCATCTGAGGATGTCATTGAAGCAATTATTTATTTATTTTGAGACAGAGTCTTGCTCTGTCACCAAGGCTGGAGTGCAGTGGTGCAATCTTAGCTCACTACAACCTCCACCTCCCAGGTTCAAGCCATTCTCTTGCCTCAGCCTCCCGAGTAGCTGGGATTACAGGAGTGTGCCACCATGCCCAGCTCATTTTTGTATGTTTAGTGGAGATGGGGTTTCACCATGTTGGCCAGGCTGTTCTCAAACTCCTGACCTCAAGTGATCCGCCCACCTTGGCCTCTCAAAGTGTGGGGATTATAGGCGTGAGACCCCGGGCCCAGCCAGCAATTCTTATCTTTTTCTCCTAAATCATTATTTGTTTTCTTCCTTTGAGGATCATTCTCATCAGCAAACAGCTGATTGTTACTTCATCGATCACATTTTTTCCCATGATCCTACTTTCCCGTTAGCTGCTGCTCCATTTCTTGGCTAGCTGGTACAGCAGAAATCCCGTAACGGTTGTCTAAACACACTGTTTCTAATTCCTTTCTATTCACCATGCATTCATCCCACCACAACTTTTACTAGCGATGATCTTAATGACCTCCATGATTCTAACTGTGATAGTCAATGTTCAGTTATCTCACTGGACGTACAGACTATCAATTCCTTCTCCTTCATACACTTTCTTGATTGGGCTTAAGGACATTAAAGCCTGGTTTTTCTCTTACTTCACTGGTTACTCATTCCCAGTGCAGCCTGGCATTCCTCTTTATGTCTCATACATCTTAATATTGGAGGACTTTAGGCTTACCGTTTGCATGTCTTTTCTTTTCTTTCTATACTCACTCTTTTATGTTTCTCATGACTTAGTTTGTAACAGTATGCAAATGACTCCAAAATCTACATCTATATCTTCATCTCCCACCAACACCAGGTATATAAATTTATCTCCACTCTTGAATCTCTGCTTACAATGTAAAATAAACATATCCAAAACTGAACTTCTAATATTCCCCCTCAAAACGTGATCCACCTACCTCCTTCCCCATCATAGTTTAAGGTGACAATCCTTCCAACTGCCCAGGCTTAAGACATTGCAGTCATTTTCAACTCTGTTTTTCTTATTCCCACCTCTAATTTATTTGGAAATCACGCTCTCTTCAAAACAGATAAAAAATCCAACTACCTCTTCTCATTTATTTTTCTAAATCCCTTGTCTGAACCTTAAAACTTGTCTCCCTATTCCTACTCTGACACTCTCCCCTCAGTTTATTCTTGTCCAAAACCTTGTAACCATTCACCACTTCATCCAGGATAAAGCCAGAGTCCTTAAAATAACCCGGAGGGCCTTATGTGATCTGTCTGTTTCTTATCTTTCTGATAATATCTCCTATTATCCTACAACAATGCACTCTTTCCAGACATACTGCCTTTAACGTTCCTGGAAAATATTAGATACACTCTTTTGCCTTAACACCTTTGCACTGAATATTCCTTATGTCTGGAACACCCTTTTCAAAAGGGACACAAGTTTCCTCAAAACCTGTGTCTCTTTCTAAAACCTACCAATCTGTAAAATTACTGCCTTAATCTGTATATGCTGCTATAACAAATGCCATAGACTACGTGGTTTAAAAAAATTTATTTCTCACATTTCCACAGGCTGGAAGATCTAAAATCAAGGTATGAACAGATTCAGCATCTCGTGGGGACCCACATTCTGCTTCATAATTGGTACCTTCTTTTTGCATGCTCACAGGGTAGAAAGAGCCAATGAGCTTCCTTGTGTCTGTTTTATAAGGACGCTAATCCCATTCATACAGGCTCCATCTTCAAAATCAAATCATTTGCCAGAGGCCTACATGATAATACCATCACTTTGATAATTAGGTTTCAACATATGAATTTTAGGACACAAACATTCAGGCCATAGCAATTACTGACTGTCTCTACCTATTAAAATGTAAGCGACATAATCAGATTTGCATTTTCAAATAATCCCTTTGACTACTGTTCCTGATCTACAATCAGGGGATATAATAACTCTCTAATTTTGTGGGTGGCGATAGACATCCCAATTCTTCCTAAATATTTGTTTCTTATGCAACTCTTGCTTTTATTTAAAATTTTTTTTGTGTGTACATTATTTGGATTCACTAAAACTTTTGACATAGTTAAGATAACTTCATTTTGTTTTTTGCTATGAGCATTCTACAAATATATGAACGCATTTTTTCACCCCATCTATGCCTATCTATTCCCTACTACCAAAATTAGGATACCATGAAAGGCAACTTAAATTCTGAGCCCTTACAACTTAGCATTAAATAGAATAAAGTTACAGCACTCAATAGGAATTACATGGGCTGGGGAATGGGAGTGGAAATGTGGGAATGGAATGATGGAAAGATAAGCTGAAGAGAAGTAAAGGTAAATCTTGCCACATTGGCACCAGCTAACAGGTAGGGATTTTATAGTCTAAAGTCTTTGGTTTGTAAGCTTGGAATTGATACTTCTTAACTTTGTGATCTCTGAAAATCTATAAGCCATTTCTGAATCCTAATTTCCTGGGAATGAAATAGGGATAAGATCACCAACTTCACAGAGTTGTTGTCTTCCTAGGATAAAATGAGATTACAATGTGCAAAGCATCTAGTTATTGCTGGCATTTGATAGGCATTAATAAGAGGGAATTCTTGTTATTATTGTCTTTATTAGCAATTTTCTGGGGAGCAGGTTGAGCTAGTAATGTTGTGATTCAGTACTCTTCAATCATTTCTCTATTAGTCATTGTTATTACATAACAAGCAACTATAAAATCTCCTTGGCATATAACTGTCTGCATTTATTTCTTGCTCACACAAATGCAGTTTGGATGAGATGTTTCTGCTTCAGACTGTGGAGGCTGGGATGGCTGGGATTCAAAAAGCAATCAGCTATAAAGGCGAAGCTCCAGAGGTCTCTTGTCCCTTCTCCAGCTTGGTGAGCCACCTGGGCATGACTTTCTGTGGCAATGAAGGAAATAAAGAATGAATGACCAAACATACAAGCATATTTCAAACATCTATTTGCAGAATGACTACTAACATCCCATTGGCTAAAGCAAGCCATACAGCCACATGAAAAACATGGGACAGGAAAGCGTGCTCTGCCTTTTGTGGGGACTAGAAAGTTAGATGGCCAAGCACATCAGTGAGGGGGAAGGAGAGAAAGTGGAAGCAATACTTAAATTTTCCACAGTATCCTAGACTCAAAAGACAAAAGATTGCAATAAAAGTTCAAATGCTGCTCCCTTGCATCCACACATGAGAAGCAAAATGGAACTCGATATATGATGATAAGATCAAATGAACAATATACTTTAATATTCTTTTTAAAAACAATTTCAACTTTTATTTTAGATTCAGAGAGTACATGTACAGGTTTGCTAGATGAGTATATTGCGTGATACTGAGTTTGGGATATGAATGATCCCGTCACCCAGGTAGTGAGCATAGTATCCAATAGTTAGTTTTTTAGGATTAAAACTCCCAAAAACTAATTCGTATTTCTAGTTTTAATCCTAAAAAACCTAACTATTGCTCCCCTCCATACCTCTCCCTTCTATTCATTCCTAGTGGCTATTGTCCTCATCTTTAAGTCCATGAGTAACCAATGTTTAGCTCCCACTTATAAGTGAGAACATATGGTATTTGGTTTTATGTTCCTCTGTTAATTTACTTAGGATAATGGCCTCGAGCTGCATCAATGTTGCTGCAAAAGACAAGATTTTGTTCCTTTTCATGGCCGTGTAGTAGTCCAATGTATGTATATACCACATTTTCTTATTCCAATCCACCATTGATGGGCACCTAAGTTGATTCCATATCTTTGCTATTGTGGATAATGCAGCGATGAGCAAACAAGCGCATGTGTCTTTTTGTTAGAGTGATGTGTTTTCTTTCAGGTATATACCCAGTAATGGGATTGCTGAGTCAAATGGTAGTTTTATTTTACCTTCTTTTTTTTTAATCTTCCTTTAAGTTCCAGGATACAAGTGCAGAATGTGTAGGTTTGTTACATAGGTATACGTGTGGCATGGTGGTTTGCTGCACCTATCAACCTGTCATTTAGGTTTTAAGCTCCGCATACATTAGTTATTGTCCTAATGCTATTCTTCCCCTCACCCCTCACCCTCTGGCTGGCCCCTGGTGTATGTTGTTCTCCTCCCTGTGTTCATGTGATCTCATTGTTCAACTCCCACTTATGAGTGAGAACATGCGGTGTTTGGTTTTCTGTTCTTGTGTTAGTTTGCTGAGGATGATGCCTTCCAGCTTTATCCATGTCCCTGCAAAGGACATAATCTCATTTGTTTTTATGTATGCATAGTATTCCATGGTGTATATGTACCACATTTTCTTTATCCAGTCTATCTTCAATGGGCATTTGGGTTGGTTCCATGTCTTAGCTATTGTAAATAGTACTGCAATAAATATACGTGTGGGTGTGTCTTCATAGTAGAATGATTTATATTCCTTTGGGTATATACCCCCTAATGGGATTGCTGAGTCAAATTGTATTTCTGGTTCTAGATCCTTGAGGAAATGTTACACTGTCTTCCACAGTGGCTGAACTAATTTACATTCCCACCAACAGTGGAAAACCATTCCTATTCCTCCACAGCCTTACCAGCATCTATTGCTTCTTGACTTTTTAATAATCGCCATTCTGGCTGGCATGAGATGGTATCTCATTGTGGTTTTGATTTGCATTTCTCTAATGATCAATGATTTTGAGCTTTTTTTCATATGTTTCTTGGCCACATAAATGTCTTCTTTTGAGAAGTGTCTGTACACATCATTTTTCCACTTTTTGATGGGGCTGTTTGTTTTTTTCTTGTAAATTTGTTTAAGTTCCTTGTATATTCTGGATATTAGACCTTTGTCAGGTGTGTAGATTACAAAATTTTTCTCCCATTCTGTAGGTTGCCTGTTCACTCTAATGACAGTTTTTTTTTTTGTTTTTGTTTTTGGTTTTTGTTTGTTTTGTTTTGTTTTGTTTTGTTTTGTTTTTTTGCTGTGCAGAAGCTCTTTAGTTTAACTACAACTCAGTTGTCAATTTGGGCTTTTGCTGCAATTGCTTTTGGTGTTTTTGTCATGAAGTCTTTGCCCATGGCTATGTCCTGAATGGTATTGCCTAGGTTTTCCTCTAGGGTTTTTATGGTTTTGGGTTTCACATTTAAGTCTTTAATCTATCTTGAGTTAATTTTTGTATAAGGTGTAAGGAATAGGCCCAGTTTCGGTTTTCTGTATATGGCTAACCAGTTTTCCCAGCACCATTTATTAAATAGGGAATCCTTTTCCTATTGCTTGTTTTGTCCGGTTTGTCAAAGATCAGATGGTCGTAGATGTGTGATGTTATGTCTGAGGTCTCTGCTCTGTTCTATTGATCTATATGTCTCTTTAGTTACCAGTACCATGCTGTTTTGGTTATTGTAGCCTTGTAGTATAGTTTGAAGGCAGGTAGCATGATGATTCCAGCTTTGTTCTTTTTGCTTGGGATTGTTTTGGCTATATGGACTCTTTTTTTGGTTCCATATGAAATTTAAAGTAGTTTTTTCCAATTCCGTGAAGAATGTCAATGGTAGTTTGGTGGGAATAGCATTGAATCTATAAATTGCTTTGAGCAGTATGGCCCCTGTTGTATTTATTCTTCCTATCCATGATAATAAGCAACTTCAGCCAAGTCTCAGGATATAAAATCAATGTGCACAAATCACAAGCACTCCTATATACCAACAATAGACAAGCAGAGAGCCAAATCATGAATGAACTCGCATTCACAATTGCTACAAAGAGAATAAAATACCTAGGAATACAGTAACAAGGGATGTGAAGGACCTCTTCAAGGAGAATGACAAACCACTGCTCAAGGAAATAAGAGGGGACAGAAACACATATTTTAAGTTCTTTGAGAAATCTCCAAACTGCTTTCCACATTGGCTGAACTAATTTACATCCCCCCAACAGTGTAAAAGTGTTCTCTTTTCTCCATAGTCTCACCAGCACCTGTTGTTTTTTTTACTTTTTAATGGTAATGTAACCATTCTGACTAGTGTGAGAGGGTATCTCACTGTGGTTTTGATTTGCGTTTCTCTGATGATTAGTGCTGACGAGCATTTTTCATATGTTTATTGGCCACTTGTATGTTTTCTTTTGCGAAGTATCTGTTCATGTCTTTTGCCTATTTTTTAATGGAGTTATTTGTTTTTTGCTTCTTGACTTAAGTTCCTTATAGATTCTGGATATTACAGCTTTATCGGAGGCATAGTTTGCAGACATTTTCTCCCATTCTGTAGACTGTTTACTCTGTTGATATTTTCTCTTGCTGTGCAGAAGCTCTTTAGTTTAATTAGGTCCCACTTGTCAATTTTGGTTTTTGTTGCAATTGCTCTTGAGAACTTATTCAGAAATTCTTTTTCAAGGCTGATGTTCAGGATGGTGTTTCCTAGATTTTCTTCCAGAATTTTTATAGTTTGAGGTCTTACACTTAAATCTTTAATCTATCTTGAGTTAGTTTTTGTGTGTGGTGAAAAGTATAAGCATCCAGGTTCATTCTTCTGTATGTGGTTAGCCAGCTATCCCATTTGCATTTATTGAATAGGGATTCCTTTCCCCATTTCTTATTTTTATTAACTGGCCCAAGATCAGATGGCTATAGGTGTGCCACTTTATTTCTAGGTTCTCTATTCTATTCCATTAGTCTATGTGTCTGTTTTGTGCCATGCTGTTTGATTACTGTAGCCTTATAGTATTGTTTGAAGTCAGGCAATGTGATGCCTCCGACTTCATTCTTTTTGCTTATGATTGCTTTGGCTATTTTTGAGCTCCTTTTTGGTAAAATATCAATTTTAAAATAGCTTTTTCTAACTGTGAAAAATCATGTTGGTAGATTGATAAGAATAGCATTGAATCTGTAGATTTCTTTGGGCACTATGGCCATTTTTATATCAGTTCTTTCAATACACGAGGATGAAATGTTATTACATTTGTTTATGTAATCTATGATTCCTTTCAGCAATGTTTCATAGGTATCCTTGTAGAGAACTTTAATCTCCTTGGTTAAATGTGTTCCTTGGAGGCTGGGCATGATGGATCACACCTGTAATCCCCGCACTTTGAGATACTGAGACAGGCAGATCACCTGAGGTCAGGAGTCTGAGACAAGCCTGGCCAACATGGTGAAACCCCATCTCTACTAAAAATACAAACATTAGCTGAGCGTGATGGCAGGTGCCTGTAATCCCACTACTCGGGAGACTGAGGCAGGAGAATAGCTTAAACCCAGGAGGCAGAGGTTGGAGTGAGCCAAGATCGTGCCACTGCACTCCAGCCTGGGCGAGAGAGCAAGACTCCATCTCAAAAAAAAAAAAAAAAAAAAAAAAAAAAAAGTGTTCTTTGGTATTTTTTGTTGTTGTTGCTTTGTAAATGGGATTGTGTTCGTGATTTCGCTCTCAACATGAACATTATTGGTGTATAAAAATGCCGCCTTTTTTTGTGTATTGACTTTGTATCCTCAAACTTCACTGAAGTTGTTTATCATTTCCAGGAGCCTTTTGGCAGAATTTTTAGGGTTTTCTAGCTATAGAATTATATCATCTGTGAATAGAAACAGTTTGACATTTTCTTTTCCTGTTTTGTTGCCTTTTATTTCTTTCTCTTGCCTGATTGCTCTGGCTAGAACTTCCTCTTACTATTCATAATTATAAGTCCTTAAACAGTTTACCATATAAAAGCAAGATTGAATATGGTAATAAAAGTAGCTCATGGGACTATTTCTATTGCTAGAAGTATTTCTTTGGAATGCAAAATAAAACATAAACAAGTAGGGTATTTTATTACTTATTGAGTTATTCACCTAATATATATTTATTGAACATATTTCTATGTGCCAGGAAGCAGGTTGCATTAGTAGCTAATGATTTGTTACCAGGAGTTTGAAGTGATAAATGAAAAATGGAGAAGTAGGGGAATTTTGGAATGTAGAGATAAGAATAATAAAAAGTAAAAACTAAATAATGACACTAGAAATGTACTGGAAGGGGAAGCAATTACTTCTGCTGAGATGTGTGCATACATGCTAGAGAAATCAGTTTTTAAAAATCTATAACTGTTTATAGAAAATGAATAAGACATGAAAGAGACTCTGAAATTTATTTGATTTAATGTCAAAATCTGATATTGCAACATAATTTCTTGATATATATTTCCAAGTAATCAATTAGATTAGGACTTTAGTTTTTGTAAATAAAAACATAATCTGATCTATGAGAAATGAGCTCGTTTTAATGTAAGGCTGGAAAGGCAAAAGAATCAGAACAGGACTCAAATGGTAACCAATGATAAAAGATTTGCATAAGTCATCTGATTCAGTACAGCTATTATCTCAAAGTCATTATTTTCTGCCTGTCAGTCATAATTTTACTTGGTTGGATAATCACACACAAGTCCATGTTTTATACGAACATTTTTCATTTTGTCTAATGAGGAACTGTAGAAGAAATTCATTTTTGTCCAATGAAAAGTGCTTAGAAAAACATTATAACTTTGTTTTTATAAGGTCAATCTTAGTAAAAAGAAACAGACTACTGTATATTTGATTTAGCGTTATTTCACCATTAGAAATTAACCAAGACATTATAGATTAGGCTCTATGCTAAGAATGATTTCCCATTTTCCTCAAACTTGTTAGGTTTTTTTTTTTTATTCTGATGTATAGTCTCATGTATGGTGAATTTTTAGCTAGGAGATAAAATACTGAAGCTGTGAACACATTTTTCTTTTCTTTTTTAGTTCTCTGCAATCTTTTTTGGTCTTAAAAATAAATAAAAATTCTTGAGTTTAATTTAAACATGTGTGATGGTAGCTAATAATGCTTTCTATAAAGAGAAGAACGGTTCTTAGCTTCCAAAGTGCAATAGCATGGTTAAATTATATGAATGTCTTGGGGAAAAAAGTCTGAGAATAATTGCATTGAAGACTTAAATATAATTCTGAAATTCCCGAGTATGTTCTTCAAAATTTAAACACTTCAATATTTGATCATAAAATTTATTCATTTCTTTTTTTTTTTTTTTTTTTTGGAGACCGAGTCTTGCTCTGTCACCTTGGCTGGAGTGCAGTGGCACGATTTCAGCTCACTGCAACCTCCGCCTCCCAGATTCAAGCAATTCTCCTGCCTCAGCCTCCCAAGTAGCTGGGATAACAGATGCCCACCACCATGCCTGGCTAATTTTTATATTTTTAGTAGAGACAGAGTTTCACCGTGTTAGCCATCAGGAGATGGAAACGATCTCCTGACCTCATGATCTGCCCACTGTGGCCTCTAAACAGATTTTTATCAATCAAATCTTATTTTCCCAGTGACCTATACAATCATTTTAGAGTTTTCTTTGGCTTAGTTTGAATTCATCTATCATTGGCAGTGGTTCTCAACATTTTGGTTGAAAATATTTCTCCCCTGTCATTCTGCTATTCAATGGTGATGTTTAGTTGTTAAGCTATTCATGATAAAATGTAAACTTACTAGAAATTATGAACTCCTTTGGAACAAAAGTCTTCATACATGTAAATGTTTCCTTGACAATTCAGAATGACTCTGAATTCCCTGTTAGCCTAATTATTTGGAATGAATCATTACCTTCTATGGTCACTAATCTCCATGTGGTCACATTTATTAATATATTTTATTCCTATTTAAAGTGCTTTTTTTTTGTTTGTTTACTGGTCGTATTCTCTGCTTTAGTACCTTTTAATAGTCCCACTTCTCAGTTGCAATCCCGAAGCTGGCTCACCCTGAAATAATGAAAACAGCAACTTATTAAAAAGACATTGGCTAACTCACAGACATATTAGGAAGGCTAGACAACTATGCGTACAATAAACAGCTAGAAAAATCACCCTAGATTTTATACCAGATCATATCTGCTGAGAAAATTGTTGTTACTACAAAAATAGCAGGTGGGAGGGTCAGGAAGAGAAGAAGGAGAAAGGACAGGAGGTGGAGGAGGAAGAGTGGCAGGTAGGAGGTGGAGGAGAAAGGTGGGGAGGAGAGATGTTTTCTTATCATTTTCTTTTTGGCTTTCCACATCTCATGTCAAAACTCTCTGCAACCTAGCTGCAAGCCAGGCTGGGAAAGCACGTATGCAGAATTCTCAACTGTTATTGCCATAACTGCAACTTAATGTTCACAAAATTTCATAAATTGGATAATTTTTCATACACAGAAAAGGATGCTGGGAGGCCAAAATGAATACCACCTGCATGCTACAGCTCTTTAGTACTATTTCATAAGCTGTGGAATGCTCATATGAGTTTATATTATAGTAAATTTACATATGAAGTTATAACAGAATGATAAAACAGTAGAAACAACAAAAATGTAGAACAGGAAGGGAAATGCAGCCTGTTATACCCCAACTTGTAGATTTATAATGCCCATAAGCATCAAAAAAGTACCCTAAAGTTTCCATAGCCAAGAAAATTTGAAATAAAATTAAACCCAAAATGTTCTAAACGTACTTGACTTTGGAATTCTTTTCTTTTTTCTTTTTCTTTTTCTTTTTTTTTTTTGGAGACAGAGTCTTGCTCTGTTGCCCAGGCTAGAGTACAGTGACACAATCTCAGCTCCATGCAGTCTCCGGGTCTCAGGTCCAAAGGATTCTTCTGCCTCAGCCTCCTGAGTAGCTGGAATTACACGCACTCACCACCACACCCAGCTAATTTTTGTATTTTTAGTACAGACAGGGTTTCACCATGTTGGCCAGAATGGTCTTGATCTCCTGACCTCATGATCCACCAGCCTCAGCCTCCCAAAGTGTGGAATTCTTATTTTTTTTTTTAACACTGCTCCTATAGTAGACACTGCTAGATGTATATCCAATAACTTGTTCTACCCCCAATATTCTTTTTTTAATTTTAATTTGCAAAAGATGGTAACCTTAATTTGTGGAAGTTGGTACCCACCATCTTCCACATGACCTTGTTCCAATGAGGACAACTATCCCCAGATTCGAGCATATGTCCTACCTGACTAAGATGATCATGGTGGTCCTTGGCCACTGATCTGTTTTGCTTGGGCATGTGATACATTTCCATCCAATGAGATGTGAATGAAAGCTTGCTGGGAGTTTCTGGGAAGGTTTTTTTTTTTTAATAACAGATAATTACAAGTAAGAATTGGACTCTATTCCTATGAACTATGTCATATTTAGATGTGATGTCTTTAATTGTTGTTGCCATCTTACAACCCCAACATAGGGCCAGCCTGAGGACCAAATCTATATAAAAATGAATGCATACCCATGAACAGCAAAGAAGTAGTGTCAACATCTGCATTATTTCTCATTATGTAAAAGAATATATTTGTTTTTCCCCAAGCTTTTCAGAAACATCCTAAATGAAATTGTATATCATGTAGAATATGTTATTCAGGATTTCCTTCAGAAACGATGAATATAAAATTGTCTGAAGTTCTAAGCCTTGGTTTTGGATACCAACTTCCCGGTAATTTTTTTTCCTATGTATTACCAAACAAAATATTCTCCTTCTTGCATCATACTTGATAGTCTACATTTATTTGAATGTATAGTTGTAGCTGACTAATCAGGCAAATAATATCATTTTTGAAATCTATGTTTAAGTCTCCCTTCTTGGCACAAATGTACACAAAACATCACATATGGCACCCTTTCTTTACTCAAGCCCTTTGGCACCATACTCAGCATGACAGAGATAATATTGTTTAAATCTTGAACCAATATCTTATCATGCTGTTTGAGCATTCCCTGGTAGAGATGAGAGGAAAGCTTCTTTGCATGAAGGCAAAGAACTTGTACACATTATCTGGCACTTTACTAGCACATTGTAAATGCTGTCTCAACATATATTACCTTTACTTTGTTCTAGTATTGAATGGTAAACTCTTCATTGTCTTGAAGCCCAATAAATTGTTTGAAAAGTAATTGTGGTTTGCAAAAAAAAAAAAAAAAAAAAAAAAAAAAAAAAGCAAGTGCTGCATTTGTAAAACCACTACTTAAAGGATGAAGAAATAAAGGAATTGATTGTTTGCAACAACATAGTAATCAGCAGATATGGAGTCTATTGAGACATAAGAACATCCCCCCAGCTCTCCATTCCCAAACACAGCCTGCCACACTGTCCTTCCCTCTGCCCGCAGCTTCTCCTCGGAGTGGCATAACCCTCAGCTTAGTAACGGTGTGACAGATTTCTGCATAGCTGAACACTAGTTAGGTTGTGAAGGTGGAGAAATTAGCCAAGGAAGTGAGAACAGGGAAAGAGAACAAGAATGCAGCAGGGACTAAAGCCCCCTCCCCTCCCTTACTCTCTCTCATTCTCACTCTAGCTCTTTCTCTCAAATATTTCTGCAACTCAAATTTTCTTCTAACATCCATGAAGATGAATCGGTAGACAGAAGGGAAGGGTGAGGAATTCAGCTACAAAAACAGAAGTTACAACAAATTTATCTCTAGCGAGCTTTAGCTATTTTCTTTCAGTAGGTTTTTGCTATGTGTTCAGTGTTCATAACATTCTGAATTCAATTTCTCTTTTTTTTCTAAGTGCTATAATTTGAATATTTGTCCCCTCCAACACTCATGTTGAAATTTAATCTCCAGTGTTGCAGTATTGAGAGGTGGGAGTAAGTGGGTCATGAAGGTTCTCCCTTTTTGGATGGATTAATTTATTTATGGATTCATGAATTTATGAATTATTGGGCTGTCATGGAAGGGGAACTCGTGGCTTTGTTAAAAAAGGAAGAGAGACCTGAGCTAACACTCTCAGTCCTCTTGCCATGTGATGTCCTGTGCTGCCTTGGGACTATGCAAAGGTCCCCACCAGCAAGAAGGCTTTCTATCACATGATGCAGCCTCTCAACCTTGGACTTCTCCGCCTCCATCACCATAAGAAATAAATTCTCCTTAAAAATAAATTACCCAGTTTCAGGCATTCTCTTATAAGCAACAGAAAATGGACCAAGACACTGTTTCTAAATTATAAGTACAAATAGCTTAACCCTAAATCCATTCAGTATCGCATATTTTTTTTCCTTATAGTATATGAGTTTATCTGTACATTTCTTTACTCCTTTGTACTATTCTCAGACTTCCACTAATTCATATTTCCTTGTTATACCACCAAAGTTTTCATTGCAGCACTTAATTCCACTTCAGTAGTTATTGTAGAGACATATGATATGTGAGCACATATTTTATATTTTATTTATGATATGTCATTCAACAAATTTATACTGAGGTTTCAATCTTTGAGATATTGAAGTGTGAAGAGAGTTTGTGAATTTGGTATTTTGTTCTTTGTCGTTTCATCTTATTCTTTCTTTCTTCCATAAAATTCACCCCTTCATTTTACAAATATTTACATTGTACAAAGAAAGCATTAAACATGCTTTCTTTCTTTCCAACTTTGGAAGTTTCTTTGAGCAACTAGAGTGATGACAAAGTACAGATCTGTCCATACTCAGCTGCTGCTCAGAACCCTTGTCACATTCCTCAGAATTCCAGATACAATGCTTAAGAGTCATTTGATAAGATAATAGGATAGGATGTTGCCAACCTGAATAGGCACTCAGGATTTAATTTATTTCAGGGACCGATTCTTTACTGAATCTTTACTAGATCTACTAGGCTGAGAATGTGCTAGCAATTCTCAACACTTGCCTTCAACTAAAGTCCTCTTCTACCTCTTTCCCAACAACAACAACCAGAAAAGATGAGTTGCTGTTTGTTGTGGGCTGCTTTATAAGATGGTCCCTAGTCATCCCCAAAGTCAGGTATTCACACAGATGCTTGCGTGTGGGCTGGCCCCAGTGACTCACCTCTCATAAACAGAATACAGCAAAAGTGACAGGAGGCTACATCTGAAAGTAAATTACAACCTCTCTTCCTCTCTCATTTGCTCACTTTGATAGAATCCAGCTGCCTTCATGGGCACTACCCCATGAGAAGCCCACATAGTAAGGAACTTAGAGCCAACAGCCTGCAATGAACTGAATCCTGTCAATAGCCATGTGCGTGAGCCTAGCAGTAGATCCACTCGGATGGAGGTTAAAGAGGACCCCAGCCACACTTGATATCTTGACTGTGGCCTTGTGAGAGACTTCGATCCAGAGAACCCAGTTAAACTGTGCCTGCGCTCCTGATGCAAAGACAGTAAAAATGTTGTTTTAAGCCACTAAATGATCAAATACAGACTACAGATAATATATATAATCACATTAATACTTTCATAGGAATATAATTTGTATATAATTATTTAGCGGACTACATTTAAAAAAAATTTGAAGGCCTCTTTGTTGTTAGATCGAGGGGATGTTGGGGCATCTTTAGAACCATAAGACAGAGTGCCTGACACATACCAGCTGCTTATCATGTTTAAGGAGATAGTTTCTTAAAACTTTTTTCCCGAAGCTTGAAACTTCACTAAATGTGTAAGATACATTCTCAAAGAATTAGCTGTATATACAACTAAACTTGCCAGAGCATTATCAGCTTTAAGAAGATAGAATAGTAGATAAGAGTTTGAGATCAAGTCAGACGGATAGGAGTCTCAGTTACTCTTTTTTTGAATCTGCTTCCACATCTGCTAAATGATAGTATTTTAATAATTACCTCATTGGGTTTTGGGGAGGATTAAGTGAGATGAAGAATAACATTGTGTCTTGCACAAAAGAAATATCTAAATGCTAACAATTATTACTGAGATTTTAAAGAAGTTTAATATACATGATCTCAGTTATTAAAAAAATTATTTGACATTGTTTTATCTGATTTTATTTTATAAACAAAGAGCAATTAGGTTGCTCATCCACTGGCACAAGGCTAGCCATAGCCATGTTGCCTGAGAATCACTTTAGAGTTGAACTGGTTTAGTTAAATGAGATAATGAATAAATAGGGCTTACCTGGCCCCTGGTGTGTACTCAGTAAGCATTAGCTGGTATCATTGGGGGTGTCAAGACAAGAATCTAGACTTCATGACTCCAAGTATAATATCCTTTCTATAGCATAAGGCCCATTTCCACTCATTCTTTCGTTATTCTGATTTTCCAGATGCTAACTCAACTAATGACAATAAAAAAACTAAGACACAAAAATAAAGGCAAGAACCACGGATGCAAAGAGGAGGTTTTCTTTCCAGAGATGTCTGCAGACACTTCAGTAAAATGCAGTGTGAAAACATCCAAGCTTCAATTCCTTATTAACTAAGAGTCTCCCAGAAGGGATAGATATCTTAGCTATCTTAGAAATCTCTTTAGTTTTTTTCTATCTATTTGTTTTTATTACTAGAAAAATGTTGTATTTACTGGGAATAAATAAGTCTTTGGAGACTTTACAAACGAAGAGGACTTAATAAATAAAGACAGACTTGATGGATCAAAAAAACCCAGGGATTCTATTCAGTATATGCATTGGTGGGTGGATTATAATCTGTTACTGGAGAAAATGCTATATAATAATTTTAAAGCCCTGTGTTAATTTTTTTAAATAAAAATTCAGGCTGGGCGCAGTGGCTCACACCTGTAATCCCAGCACTTTGGGAAGCCAAGGTGGGTGGATCTCTTGAGGTCAGGAGGTCGAGACCAGCCTGGCCAACATGATGAAACCCCGTCTCTATTAGAAATACAAAAATTAGCTGGGTGTGGTGGCACACTCCTGTAGTCCCAGCTACTCAGGAAGCTGAGGCAGGAGAATTGCTTGAACCCGGGAGGTGGAGGTTGCAGTGAGCCGAGATCACACCACTGTGCTCCAACCTTTGCAGCAGAGCGAGACTCTGTCTCAAAAATGAAATGAAATGAAATGAAATAAAGTACAACAGACATACTTGGGAATGAAAACAACTGTTGCACTCCAGCCTTTATAAATATTTTGTGGTTGAAAACAAAATATGAATCAATTAATAAAATAAATACTGTTTGTACATCTAATGTTACTTGGAAGTCATCATGGTAAAAATGTCATTAAAATGCTATTCAAATCTAAAACTCATTATACTTTTCAATTACTTACAATAGCCAAATCCCTTACTCCTTTCTTGTTTCTTCTACCCCAGAGAAAAACTTCCCACATCCCACATCAAAGGCTATGTATGTCATCATTAAGATTAAAGGTAGGATGGGGATTTAGTTCTCAAGAACACCAAAGCACCTCTTTATATCATGTATGGGTTATTCTACATAAATTTTATCTGATATTAACGAAAAGAAAACTACCCAACACTTATCTACTAAAAACTAAAGACAATATGTCAGGGACTATTCTGAACTTTTTAGAGGTAGTATCTGATGTATTTCTCATAGAAGTTCTGTGAGGCAGACATTATTGTTCAGTGTGCATATGAAGAAATCAAGGCACATGGAGATTAAGTCACTGGCTTAGGAGCACATGACAAATACATGGTGGAGTCAGGATTTGAATGGGAGGCTATCTGAACCTCAGAGTCCATGTTCCTTACCTGTCACAGGAGTGGCAGAAAATGATGGTTATTGGCAAAGTATCAATTTGTGGGAAGAAAATCACATTTAACAAATAAGCAGCATTTTCTATTATAAATTTTTTCCCCAGGTGTTTAAACATCTGAATGTAAAAGAATTCAAGTATTGGTAGAGTGTTGGGGGAGGTACTTGTCATAAGCAGCAACACCATGACTAAGAAGGTGACATTATCTTTCCCACTGAAAACCAGAGCACAGGAGCAGTGGCAGAGACTGTGTGCACAGGAGACAAGCATGGGTGACAACATAGTTTTCTGGGTAATCAGAGCTCTCCAGCTTCACCCTTCTCTGCTCAGCCCTCACGAAGCTTTGGCAAGGCACAGAATAAAAAGACATTTTCTTTGAAAGAAGATGACGAATTGTGTCAGACTTTGTGAATTAAGGCATTCTGTAACGAAGCCAGAGCCTACACTGCAAAGACTTTGGTGTAGATCAGGAAAGAATAAAGGCTTGATTATAGTTTCTGTTTTCTTTCAACTACCAGTCACACATTTCTTAGTGTATCTTTTTTTCTTATGTTATTCTTGGTAGTTGATAATAAACCTGACATCCAGATATACTAACTTATTGCTTCAATGTGTTCTTTATATTCAGACTTTTGTTTATTTTCTTCGAGGGGCAATGAGCATTAAACTGAGAAGGACCCTTTTAGGCAACGATCTCTACATCTAAGGAAATATAATAAATATTTTTGCAGTTTGCAAAGTAAATATTTAAAATATTTACTATTCTAAAGAATTAAACACACAGAGATAATTTCCATTAGAACCAAACACATTTACTATATATTTATATTTATTTTATTTTGGCAAGAACACTTAACATGAGATCTACCCTCTTAACAAATTTTTAAGGTATATTATAGTACTTATGTTTTTAATCAACAAATGTATATTTTACACATATTGTGTTCTATGCCTGTTTTGGGGGTTCTGGGGACAGTTAAGAATAACTTGGATACTTTTTAAGCTTATATTCTAATAAGTAGAAACAGATTATTAAATGAGTGTGCACTAATCAATTATAATGTAAACTAATCAATAATGAGGCTTCATCAAGATTGAGGTAACTACCCCAAGGAATTTGCTAGACAATAGTTTATTATCCCAACTTGCTTCGATAAAAATATCCTATATCACCATTTATTTGGACTTCATATGAAAATAGAATGGCCTTTATGAGGCTTCATTATTTATTATTTTACATTTTTATTGATTCATTAATTTATCAATAATAATAGTGAAAGTGCTATTAAAAATCATTCCAAGAAAAAAAATCATCCCGACTTGACTTTTTATTTCTTCCTAAGAAACATGCCTTCTAATTGTAACTTGTGTATTTCTAAAGTCCATTCTATTTCCATATTAAGTCCAAATAAATGGTGATATAGGATATTTGTATTGGAGCAACTTGGGATAATAAACTAATTGTCCAGCATGTTCCCTAGGGTAATTACCTCACTCTTGATGTCAATGATTCCATTGGCATAAAGAGTGCTCTGAATGTCATTCAACTCTCAAACTGACATGTGTGAAATATTTGGCAGTAGAGAATGGGAATTGAGGCTAAGACAAGCAAGTAGTCTAAATCCAGAAATCAGATTCTTAGATGTTTGAAAACCAGTAATACTAAGTATGCCAGATCCTTACTGAAACTTTCCCTGATGTAATTAACCCATTTTAATGTGATCAAATTTTTACATTTTTGAGTGCCTCTGTTATCTCAATGGCATAATTAAAAAGAGGTTGAAAATAAACATACTGGCATTGCAGACATGCAATGCGTTATTATTGTTGTTCCCTCTTCTTGAATATGTTTCTCCCAAGCATGAAAGCACCTCACAACCTATATAGCATTGCACAATATACATTAGGTGATTGATTAGTGGCTGCCACAATTAAGATGGCTTGTGAATACATGCAACGTCAAGACACATTATTGAATGAAAGGGTTCAGAAAACAGAGTTTACACAATCTGTATGTTGTTGCATAAGGTCTAATTTGGTTGGTTTGATGCAGTAATAGGTGGGAAAAAGTATGTATCCCTCTAAAGCAAGCTGCAGTCTGTGGTGGGATGGAGCCTGGATGAGATCATAAAGGCCCATTGCAAAAATAAACAAACAAAATCTCCAACTTTGTACTACTAATACAGTAGGAACTCAGAAAAGAACCAGAAGTAGAGGGCAGAAGGGAGGAGAAAAGTCATGCAGTGGGTTCTGAAGACGGCGAATTAGGTTGCTACTAGGGGTTGTCTGCATCAAAGACACCAAAGAAAGTAGTTTCATTAGAGTCCTCAGTAACCAAATAAAAGACTGAGACAGCATGGTGGCAGAGAGCCTGGCCTCTTAAGCCAGATCGCTTGGACTTGAATTCTGGTTCTGCCACTTACCATTATTGCAAGCTAAGTTGCTTGGCAAATTACTTAACCACTGCATGCCTCAATACCTAGAGTTGTTAAGAAAAAAATGGGGATATTGATAAGAGTGCCTATTTCATAGGGCTTTTTTATAGATTAAATGAGATAGTCTCTGCCATACTCTTAGAACAGTAACTCATATATAAGATATATATGAGTTATATATGTATAGGACTAAAAAGATGGCAGATTAAGAATGTTTGATGAGGTATACTGAATTTCAATCTCAAGTCCTGAATTTTAAGGTCAGGATGGAGCTTGGTTCTTTTTGAAATCGACATTCTCTCTGCTCAAAGAAACAAAGGAACAATCTAGTACTGTCACAATATTACTAGGAATAATCTTGATGAGAAGGACTTTTTTTAAAGTCCAGTTACTATATCACGAGCTTAAGGATCAGGAAACCCAGACAGGAATACTGAGTGGGTGTGATCTATATTGAGCCATGAGGTTACTGGCAGGGAATTGTTGACTGCAGTAGAACTGGTCCGAGGTTGGCCAAGACGCAACAGTTAAGTGGCTTCAGCTGTAGTAATTTGCAAGTAGAAGGGTCCAGAACTGGGCAGAGCACTGTACTCTTCAGAAGAAAACAGTTCTTTATTCATGGCTCTCAGCTACTAGTACAACGATGGCATATTTGCAGACAGAGGGATGGCTTCCTCAGGTGCTTTGCAACTTACGAAGCCAGAAGGTAGGTCTAATCTTATCTTGGTGGCATCTACCCACTTCTCCTTATCCTTCATGCCAATTCATGTCCTGTACAAAACCTTCCCTGTGAGTTCTCTCACAAAACAATGAGCACTTGTGTCTTGTAGCATACGTTTGGCAGTTCAACTTTTTGTCTTGTCATCTTATTAGCAATAATATATTATTTTTGCTGAAGTTTAGAGTTTGACTATGTATTTCAAACACTTGTAAAGAAAGCTATTTCTTAACCTTATTATTTACTGAATGTGATGGTTAATTTTATATGTCAACATGACTGGGCTAAGACAGCTGGTGAAACATTATTTTTAGGTTGGTCTAAAAGGGTGTTTCTTGAGATTAGTATTTGAATCTGTAGACAGAGTAAGGAAGATCCACCCTTACCAGTGTAAATGGGCGTTATCCAATCTGTTGAGAGCCTGAATACAACAATAATGTGGAGAAAAGGTAAATTCTTTCTCTTCTGGAGCTGGGACATCCATCTTCTCTTGTTCTCTGACAGAGTTCCTGCCTCACGGGCTTTCAGACTCCGGGACTTACACCAGCACCTCCCAATCCCAGTTTTCAGGCCTTCAGCCTGGGACTGGGAGCTACACCATTGGCTCCCCTGGTCCTCAGGATTTCAGACCCAGACTGAATAACGCCATTGGCTTTCCTGGGTCTCCAGCTTGCAGGCCACAGATCATGGGACTTCTTGGACTTCATAACCAAGAGACCCAATTCCCAAAATAAATCCTCTAGTCTGCCTGCCTATCTATCTATCACCTATCCATCCATCCACCATATTTGTTCTTCTTCTCTGGAGAACCTTGATTAATACACTTTCTCAGTTGTGGAGGACTCTTCATTTAAATTACAATCAATTCATTGAGGACAGGTCTCTGCAATAGATATCTTTGTATCTGTGTACCTAGCCCCCACCACTGACCACCATAGGGTCTAACACAGTGCTAATGAGAGACTAGCCCTGAATTAATCACAACTAAATATATATGTGTATATATATATATATATATATATATATATATACACACACACACACACACACACTATAAATCACAACTAAATTGAATTGTAAATTAATCCCAAATGAAAACATATATGTGTGCGTGTGTGTATACATACATACGTATATACATATGCATATGCATACACACATACATTTTTCCAGTTAGGGACAAACTAAATTGTGTTACCAGTGCATATCTTGATCTCCTGTGACTCATAGCCAAGTGGGATTTGCTAGACAGAATGAGATTTTTTTTTTTGTGACAAGTTCTAATCTCAGATTCCCCCACTCTAACACCTCTATTTTAAGTCTTTGTTACTGTTTTGAAGTTTCCGAGTTAAAACTGATTGCACTATTACAGAAAAAGAAAGCCAGAGGAGCTTTTTTTGGTTTTTATTTTTAAATTTGTGTCTTGCTTGAAGGCCTAGGAAATGGCCCTGCAACACCAACCCGGGCTTTCTCAATTGATTGATCAGAGCTTTAGCTGATTTCCTTTTCTGGCGTGAATCTCATTCTATCCCAAGATACCAGTATATTCATCCCTTTCTAATTTTGCAGGTCATTACACAGCAGCCTTCAGAGAATTACCAGGTATCCACAAGACACCTCAGGAGATCTACACATTCCCAGTGGAAGATCATCGCTCATGTCGTAACTCAGGTTCTGAAGTCACAACAAAGGTAAGGGATAAACAAAATCCTAGTTCAGTTAAATAATTAGCTTTTATTAACAAATGATTTATTGAAGACTGTAGTTTGGAATTATACAAGTGTTTATGTAAAACTATTCTTTAAAAACATACATGAAAATATAACTACCCAGGATTTGACTTTATTCCAGGCAATTCAGTGCCAAAAACATTTACTAAATTGCTACTTTGCACTTGAACTTTTGTTTTTTGTTTCCTTATTTTGAATGTTGAAACCCTAAATATTCTAGTTATGCAGTGTTGTTTGCAGGATAAGAGTGAAATATAAGTCCATGAGATTGGACCAATTCAAAAATTGAGTACACCATGGATGATATTTTAATGTTTAGAGTAAAGGCTTTAATTATTCTTTTTTTTTGTGAGCAAGTTTATATTCTATTATTCTTTTTATTTTATTTTATTTTTATTATACTTTAAGTTTTAGGGTATATGTGCACAATGTATACATGTGCCATGCTGGTGTGCTGCACCCATTAACTCGTCATTGAGCATTAGGTATATCTCCTAATGCTATTCCTCTCCCCTCCCCCCACTCCACAACGGTCCCCAGAGTGTGATGTTCCCCTTCCTGTGTCCATGTGTTCCCATTGTTCAATTCCCACCTATAAGTGAGAACATGCGGTGTTTGGTTTCTCGTCCTTGCAATAGTTTACTGAGAATGATGATTTCCAGTTTCATCCATGTCCCTACAAAGGACATGAACTCATCATTTTTTATGGATGCATAGTATTCCATGGTGTATATGTGCCACATTTTCTTAATCCAGTCTATCATTGTTGGACATTTGGGTTGATTCCAAGTCTTTGCTATTGTGAAGAGTGATGCAATAAACATACGTGTGCATGTGTCTTTATAGCAGCATGATTTATAGTCCTTTGGGTATATACCCAGTAATGGGATGGCTGGGTCAAATGGTATTTCTAGTTCTAGATCCCTGAGGAACCGCCACACTGACTTCCACAATGGTTGAACTAGTTAACAGTCCCACCAACAGTGTGAAAGTGTTCCTATTTCTCCACATCCTCTCCAGAACCTGTTGTTTCCTGACTTTTTAATGATTGCCATTCTAACTAGTGTGAGATGGTAGCTCATTGTGGTTTTGATTTGCATTTCTCTGATGGCCAATGATGGTGAGCATTTTTTCATGTGTTTTTTGGCTGCATAAATGTCTCCTTTTGAGAAGTGTCTGTTCATGTCCTTCACCCACTTGTTGATGGGGTTGTTTTTTTCTTGTAAATTTCTTTGAGTTCATTGTAGATTCTGGATATTAGCCCTTTGTCAGATGAGTAGGTTGTGAAAATTTTCTCCCATTTTGTAGGTTGCCTGTACACTCTGATGGTAGTTTCTTTTGCTGTGCAGAAGCTCTTTAGTTTAATTAGATCCCATTTGTCAATTCTGGCTTTTGTTACCATTGCTTTTGGTGTTTTAGACATGAAGTCCTTGCCCATGCCTATGTCCTGAATGGTAATGCCTAGGTTTTCTTCTAGGGTTTTTATGGTTTTAGGTCTAACGTTTAAGTCTTTAATTCATCTTGAATTAATTTTTGTATAAGGTGTAAGGAAGGGATCCAGTTTCAGCTTTCTACATATGGCTAGCCAGTTTCCCTAGCACCATTTATTAAATAGGGAATCCTTTCCCCATTGCTTGTTTTTCTCAGGTTTGTCAAAGATCAGATAGTTGTAGATATGCGGCGTTATTTCTGAGGGCTCTGTTCTGTTCCATTGATCTATATCTCTGTTTTGGTACTAGTACCATGCTGTTTTGGTTACTGTAGCCTGTAGTATAGTTTGAAGTCAGGTAGCATGATGCCTCCCACTCTGTTCTTTTGGCTTAGGATTGACTTGGTGATGCAGGCTCTTTTTTGGTTCCATATGAACTTCAAAGTAGTTTTTTCCAATTCTGTGAAGAAAGTCATTGGTAGCTTGATGGGGAGGGCATTGAATCTATAAATTACCTTGGGCAGTATGGCCATTTTCAATATATTGATTCTTCCTACCCATGAGCATGAAATTTTCTTCCATTTCTTTGTATCCTCTTTTACTTCATTGAGCAGTGGTTTGTAGTTCTCCTTGAAGAGGTCCTTCATGTCCCTTGTAAGTTGGATTCCTAGTATTTTATTCTCTTTGAAGCAATTGTGAATGGGAGTTCACTCATGATTTGGCTCTCTGTTTGTCTGTTATTGGTGTATAAGAATGCTTGTGATTTTTGTACATTGATTTTGTATCCTGAGACTTTGCTGAAGTTGCTTATCAGCTTAAGGAGATTTTGGGCTGAGACAATGGGGCTTTCTAGATATACAATCATGTCATCTGCAAACAGGGACAATTTGACTTCCTCTTTTCCTAATTGAATACCCTTTATTTCCTTCTCCTGCCTAATTGCCCTGGCCAGAACTTCTAACACTGTGTTGAATAGGAGTGGTGAGAGAAGGCATCCCTGTCTTGTGCCAGTTTTCAAAGGGAATGCTTCCAGTTTTTGCCCATTCAGTATGATATTGGCTGTGGGTTTGTCATAGATAGCCCTTATTATTTTGAGATACATCCCATCAATACCAAATTTATTGAGAGTTTTTAGCATGAAGGGTTGTTGAATTTTGTCAAAGGCCTTTTCTGCATCTATTGAGATAATCATGTGTTTTTTGTCTTTGGTTCTGTTTATATGCTGGATTACATTTATTGATTTGTGTATATTGAACCAGCCTTGCATCCCAGGGATGAAGCCCACTTGATCATGGTGGATAAGCTTTTTGATGTGCTGCTGAATTCAGTTTGACAGTATTTTATTGAGGATTTTTGCATCAGTGTTCATCAAGGATATTGGTCTAAAATTCTCTTTTTTGGTTGTGTCTCTGCCCGGCTTTGGTATCAGGATGATGCTGGCCTCATAAAATGAGTTAGGGAGGATTCCCTGTTTTTCTATTGATTGGAATAGTTTCAGAAGGAATGGTACCAGTTCCTCCTTATACCTCTGGTAGAATTCGGCTGTGAATCTATCTGGTCCTGGACTCTTTTTGGTTGGTAAGCTATTGATTATTGCCACAATTTCAGAGCCTGTTATTGGTCTATTCAGAGATTCAACTTCTTCCTGGTTTAGTCTTGGGAGAGTGTATGTGTTGAGGAATTTATCTATTTCTTCTAGATTTTCTAGTTTATTTGCATAGAGGTGTTTGTAGTATTCTCTGATGGTAGTTTGTATTACTGTGGGATTGGTGGTGATATCCCCTTTATCATTTTTTATTGTGTCTATTTGATTCTTCTCTCTTTTCTTCTTTTTCTTGCTAGCGGTCTGTCAATTTTGTTGGTCCTTTCAAAAAACCAGCTCCTGGATTCATTAATTTTTTGAAGGGTTTTTTCTGTCTCTATTTCCTTCAGTTCTGCTCTGATTTTAGTTATTTCTTGCGTTCTGCTAGCTTTTGAATGTGTTTGCTCTTGCTTTTCTAGTTCTTTTAATTGTGATGTTAGGGTGTCAATTTTGGATCTTTCCTGCTTTCTCTTGTGGGCATTTAGTGGTATAAATTTCCCGCTGCACACTGCTTTGTGTCCCAGAGATTCTGGTATGTTGTGTCTTTGTTCTCGTTGGTTTCAAAGAACATCTTTATTTCTGCCTTCATTTTGTTATGTACCCAGTAGTCATTCAGGAGCAGGTTGTTCAGTTTCCATGTAGTTGAGCAGTTTTGAGTGAGTTTCTTAATCCTGAGTTCTAGTTTGATTGTACTGTGGTCTGAGAGACAGTTTGTTATAATTTCTGTTCTTTTACATTTGCTGAGGAGAGCTTTACTTCCAACTATGTGGTCAATTTTGGAATAGGTGTGGTGTGGTGCTGAAAAAATGTATATTCTGTTGATTTGGGGTGGAGAGTTCTGTAGATGTCTATTAGGTCTGCCTGGTGCAGAGCTGAGTTCAATTCCTGGGTATCCTTGTTAACTTTCTGTCTTGTTGATCTGTCTGATGTTGACAGTGGGGTGTTAAAATCTCCCATTATTATTGTGTGGGAGTCTAAGTCTCTTTGCAGGTCACTCAGGACTTGCTTTATGAATCTGGGTGCTCCTGTATTGGGTGCATGTATATTTGGGATAGTTAGCTCTTCTTGTTGAATTGATCCCTTTACCATTAGGTAATGGCCTTCTTTGTGTCTTTTGATCTTTGTTGGTTTAAAGTCTGTTTTATCAGAGACTAGGATTGCAACCCCTGTCTTTTTTTGTTTTCCATTTGCTTGGTAGATCTTCCTCCATCCTTTTATTTTGAGCCTATCTGTGTCTCTGCATGTGAGATGAGTTTCCTGAATACAGCACACTGATGGGTCTTGACTCTTTATCCAGTTTGCCAGTCTGTGTCTTGTAATTGGAGCATTTAGTCCATTTACATTTAAAGTTAATATTGTTATGTGTGAATTTGATCCTGTCATTATGATGTTAGCTGGTTATTTTGCTCGTTAGTTGATGCAGTTTCTTCCTAGTCTCGATATTCTTTACATTTTGGCATGATTTTGCAGTGGCTGGTACCAGTTGTTCCTTTCCATGTTTAGTGCTTCCTTCAGGAGCTCTTTTAGGGCAGGCCTGGTGGTGATGAAATCTCTCAGCATTTGCTTCTCTGTAAACTATTTTATTTCTCCTTCACTTATGAAGCTTAGTTTGGCTGGATATGAAATTCTGGGTTGAAAATTCTTTTCTTTAAGAATGTTGAATATTGGCCCCTACTCTCTTCTGGCTTGTAGAGTTTCTGCCGAGAGATCTGCTGTTAGTCTGATGGGCTTCCCTTTGAGGGTAACCCGACCTTTCTCTCTGGCTTCCCTTAACATTTTTTCCTTCATTTCAACTTTGGTGAATCTGACAATTATGTGTCTTGGAGTTGCTCTTCTTGAGGAGTATCTTTGTGGCGTTCTCTGTATTTCCTGAATCTGAATGTTGGCCTGCCTTGCTAGATTGGGGAAGTTCTCCTGGATAATATCCTGCAGAGTGTTTTCCAACTTGGTTCCATTCTCCCCATCACTTTCAGGTACACCAATCAGACGTAGATTTGGTCTTTTCACATAGTCCCATATTTCTTGGAGGCTTTGTTTGTTTCTTTTTATTCTTTTTTCTCTAAACTTCCCTTCTCACTTCATTTCATTCATTTCATCTTCCATCACTGATACCCTTTCTTCCAGTTGATCACATCGGCTCCTGAGGCTTCTGCATTCTTCACGTAGTTCTCGAGCCTTGGCTTTCAGCTCCATCAGCTCCTTTAAGCACTTCTCTGTATTGGTTATTCTAGTTGTACATTTCTCTAAATTTTTTTCAAAGTTTTTAACTTCTTTTCCTTTGGTTTGAATTTACTCCTGTAGCTCGGAGTAGTTTGATCATCTGAAGCCTTCCTCTCTCAACTCGTCAAAGTCGTTCTCCATCCAGTTTTGTTCCATTGCTGGTGAGGAGCTGCGTTCCTTTGGAGGAGGAGAGGCACTCTGCTTTTTAGAGTTTCCAGTTTTTCTGCTCTGTTTTTTCCCCATCTTTGTGGTTTTATCTACTTTTGATCTTTGATGATGGTGATGTACAGATGGGTTTTTGGTGTGGATGTCCTTTCTGTTTGTTAGTTTTCCTTCTATCAGACAGGACCCTTAGCTGCAGGTCTGTAGGAGTTTGCTAGAGGTCCACTGCAGACCCTGTTTGCCTGGGTATCAGCAGTGGTGGCTGCAGAACAGCGGATTTTCATGAACCAGGAATGCTGCTGTCTGATTGTTCCTCTGGAAGTTTTGTCTCAGAGGAGTACCCAGCCATGTGAGGTATCAGTCTGCCCCTACTGGGGGGTGCCTCCCAGTTAGGCTGCTCTGGGGTCAGGGGTCCACTTGAGGAGGCAGTCTGCCCATTCTCAGATCTCTAGCTGCATGCTGGGAGAACCGCTGCTCTCTTCAAAGCTGTCAGACAGGGACATTTAAGTCTGCAGAGGTTACTGCTGTCTTTTTGTTTGTCTGTGCCCTGTCCCCAGAGGTGGAGCCTACAGAGGCAGGCAGGCCTCCTTGAGCTGTGGTGGGCTCCACCCAGTTCGAGCTTCCTGGCTGCTTTGTTTAACTAATCAAGCCTGGGCAATGGCGGGCGCCCCTCCCCCAGCCTCGCTGACGCCTTGCAGTTTGATCTCAGACTGCTGTGCTAGCAATCAGTGATACTCCGTGGGTGTAGGACCCTCCGAGCCAGGTGTGGGATATAGTCTCGTGGTGCGCCGTTTTTTAAGCCCGCCGGAAAAGCGCAGTATTCGGGTGGGAGTGACCCGATTTTCCAGGTGCGTCCGTCACCCCTTTCTTTGACTAGGAATGGGAACTCCCTGACCCCTCGTGCTTCCCGAGTGAGGCAATGCCTCGCCCTGCTTCGGCTCGCGCACGGTGCGTGCACCCACTGACCTGCGCCCACTGTCTGGCACTCCCTAGTGAGATTAACCCGGCACCTCAGATGGAAATGCAGAAATCACCTGTCTTCTGCGTCACTCACGCTGGGAGCTGTAGACCGGAGCTGTTCCTATTCGGCCATCTTGGCTGCCCCCCCTAATAATTCTTTTATCAGCAAAAGACACAGGACAAAAAATAAGTATCAATTAAGGGATTTTGATAATTGGTGACATTTTATCTAAAGCAGCCTTTTTTTTTTTTTTTTTTGAGACGGAGTCTCGTTCTGTCGCCCAGGCGGGAGTGCTGTGGCGCGATCTCCGCTCACTGCAAGCTCCGCCTTCCGGGTTCACGCCATTCTCCTGCCTCAGCCTCCGGAGTAGCTGGGACTACAGGCGCCCGCCACTGCGCCCGGCTAATTTTTTGTATTTTTAGTAGAGACGGGGTTTCACCGTGGTCTCGATCTCCTGACCTCGTGATCCGCCCGTCTCGGCCTCCCAAAGTGCTGGGATTACAGGCGTGAGCCACCGCGCCTGGCCATAAAGCAGCCTTTTGTGCATTAATACTACTGGCCAGTTACCTGGCCTGAGGCCCTATAATGACGAGTACTAGAGGTCTATTTTAACAACTTTAACTGTAATCCCTTGCTTTTGAGCATGGTATGAGAACATGAACGAAAGTTTGGGACAGTTCAGGATTAGAATCCCAGTGTTTCTACTTATTCAGTGTTATCTTAAAGGCAGATTATTCAGATATCCGTTTCTGCTTCTCATTTGTAAAATGGCAAGCACCTGTATTTCTCTTTTGGGATTATCGTGATGTTTAGCATAATATTTGTAAAGGAACTAGCATGATGTGTAGTACATGACAGTTTAGAAATTTTGTTACTTCTTTTAGTTAATGCCAAACACTTACGGCTACTTATAAATCTTCTCATGCATGATTTCATCTTTGTACATTTTTCTTGATCTCCTTTCATTCTCATTTACTTTCCAACTTTCACAGTGCAAGAGATGTAGTCTGGTCTACATAGACAGATTTAAGTTTTAAATTCCTAGCATTGCCTGCATTCTTGTCTTTTTGAACATGTGGCTTAAAAGGACGTGGGAAAATAAAGAGATCCAGGTGTATACAAATTAGACATCCTTGTCTTTGGAGTCAGATGGATTTGTATTTAAATCCTAGCTTCACTTTTTACTAGCTGATTCGTCTTGGTTAAACCTCTATACTAAGCCTTAACTCTCTCAAGTTGAAAATAGGAAATAAATGAAGAAAAAAAGAATAAATAAATATAGTTAATCTATCACATGAAATAATATTCAGCAATTAAAAGAATAAACTGAATAACATACATATGGATATATATCAGTAAATATATACACACATATATAAGTATATACACACAACACATAACACATATATTTGTACATAGTACAGAATGTATAGCTTATTTACATAATGTCCATATATTTTTTATATTCTCATTTTAAATGTATCTCAAAATAACATTGAATGAAAAATTCAAGATATAACTAGCAAATATGGTTTGCTAAAATTTACACGAAACCTCTATAAAAAAACAACACTAGTTATTTACAACTACATATATGTATTACAAGCATTAAAAAGTGAATATTTTTAAAGTATAAGAGATTTTAAAGTATTAAAATTTTATGAGCTCCCAGGAGATTGAGGCGGGAGGATTACTTGAGCCAGGAGTTCAAGATCAGCCCGGGCAACACAGCGAGACTCTGTCTCTATAAAACATTTAGAAAAAATTAACTGGGGGCTGTGGCATCTGTTTGTAGTCCCAGCTACTGAGGCAATTGGATCCTTTGAGTCCAGGCATTCAAGACCAGCCTGGGCAATGCAATGAGATCTTGTCTCAAAACAAAACAAAACAAAAACTGAAAATTTTTGCTCCTGAGGAGAGTGGTGAAAAGGGAACAAGGGGATTATTAAAAGGAATTTCGATATATGCCAACATTTTATTTTTAAAAATGCAAGCAAATAATAAAACATGCTATAGGATGTCAATTCTGGGTATTGGGTTATACATGTTTTCTTTAATATTCTTCATATTGTCTCAATTTTTTTTAAATTATAAGAACTAATTTTAATATGGTCTGAGAGAATTAATATAAAGTGGTTAGTAAAGTACAGTTTACTAACTTTAACTTACTTCTTTGGTAAGAAGTAACTCACTTCTTCGTTAAAAGTAAGGGCCTACTGTGAGGGCCTACCGAAGTGAGCATGCTGGGGAATCCTCCTGGGGCAAAGGAAGCAAGGATGCAAGGAATTGCAGAGGCACCACTACCAGACATCTATCTTTCTTGATGCAGGCATTGTCGCCTGGCAAGAGACTCCCAAGAATGGTCTCAGATAATGAAGGGCTAAGCGGGATATCAAGAACACAGTCCTAGAATTTGGGGCCTGAACAGCTTAGTAGCTGGAGGTTTTCCCAGATGGCTTCAGTAAATATCTGCCATTGCCATCTAACTTTGAGTCGGAGGTGTATACAGGAAATATCTCAGTAAAAACCTGCAGGCTGCAACACCGGAAGACAGATGTTGTAGCCCCAATCCAATGGTAGATATTGTGGCTGAGAACAAATCTCCCAAGTGCATTTAAGTCTCAACTTTCTCTTGGGGGACTGTTTTTGATCCTGCTCAATTCAGAGGGCTGCAGTACAGAACACATGAAATAACAAAATGTTAGAAAATTCTCCATAAAGTATGATGTACTTGAAGGCCTGATACTACTTGGGTTAAAACCACAGGCACTCGGACCTTGTGAGGTTTGGGTCCAAACTTCGATTCTCACTCTCAGCTGTGTTACGTTGAACAAGTTCCTAACGTCTATAAGCTGCAATCTCCTCATAGGTGAAATGGAGATCATAATAACTCTCACCTCCATACTGTTAGGACATGAAAAAAGATAATACATCCACACCTTCATTATGACACATATAGAAAGATCCAGGTCGGGCGCAGTGGCTCACGCCTGTAATCCCAGCACTTTGGGAGGCCGAGGCGGATGGACAGGAGTTTGAGATCAGCCTGGCCAACATGGTGAAACCCCATCTCTACTAAAAATACAAAAATTAGCCGGGAGTGGTGGCGGGCAACTACAATCCTACCTACACGGGAGGCTGAGGCAGGAGAATCACTTGAATCCGGGAGGCGGAGGTTGCAGTGAGCCGAGATCGCGCCACTGCACTCCAGCCTTGGTGACGGAGTGAGACTTTGTCTCAAAAAAAAAGGAAAAGTCCATAAAAGTTTATTTTCGGTATTGTTGTATTTATTGTTAGTATCATTGAAATGAAATCATTAATTAGGAATCAGAGACTTGGCTTATCATTGACCCCTATAAAATTTTGTTATTTTTTAATCATATGCCAAACCTACCTATATAAAAGTATATAATTTCTTCCCTTCATTGTTCTTCTTGCTGTTGTTCTCCTCTTCCCCCTCCTCCTTCTTTTTTATCTTCTTCCTCCTACTTTCCCTTCTTGAAATGAAAAACATTTAGGAAAAACCCTGAACTAGGCACTAAAAGACCACAACATGTGGACATACCAATACTTCACCTGAGCCAGAACATCACAGATGACACCGCTTAACAAGAAAAACAAAAGCAAA
Source organism: Homo sapiens (assembly GCF_000001405.40). NCBI lineage: Eukaryota > Metazoa > Chordata > Mammalia > Primates > Hominidae > Homo > Homo sapiens. Next base: position 6,337,338 of record NC_000003.12, on the reverse strand, counting down.
GACTTAAAAAAAAGACTTAGAGTTATTTACTGCATGCTTGTAAAAGTAAATCTACGGCTGAAATTTAAGTTATTTCCTAAGCACCTACATGATTTGGCCATTTCTTGCCATCACCTACACTATTATATTTTTTGGTTTGTCATAAACATGATACAATTTTTACTGGAATAACTGGGTTTTTCAAGACACTATATCCCTCTTCCAAAAATACAAAATATTATTATAAGCAGAAAATAACAGGAAAATAAACACAATGAAATAATGTGATTAAATTATCATTAGATACCATTTCCTGCATCTGATTCTGAGCCTGAGGCCTCTTTCTTCTTTCAAAAAATACAGGATTATCAAATACCACCAAATTAACTCTTTTTTGATATAATTAGAATGATGATTCACTGAAAGATTCAAAGTAATTTAGTATTATATCCACATATTATCTAACACTACTATTTATATATTTCAAGGCCAATTTCCCATTTGAAATTACTGCTCTCATCCAACACACAGAGTATTTGCTCTTCTATATCCTTTGTCATTTTCTGCGCAGGTCCTGACACTTAGAATGGTCTTGGCAATCTTTTTCACTTAAAGAACAAGGGGCCGATATCTCTAATATACATAAAATTTTAAAAATTGGAAAAGTGGACAAAAGACGTACAATTAATGAAGAAAGATATGAAAATGGTTTTTAAACATATAAAAATATTCTCAAATTACCTTATGAGAGGATAGATACAAATTAAAATGATACTGAAATACGATTTCATATCTATCATATATGCAAAAATTGACAAACTCCTGTAATTGCATAGGACTTTTGCAAATGTCTGTATACATTTATAAATTTCTAGCAGCCTCTTATGTGACTTGGAAGTATCATTAACCATGGTTAAATAAACCGTTTTCTGCTGCTACTCTTCCGGCAGCAAAACTGTTCTCAAACTTTGGTGTGTATGAGAATCACTGGAGAAATTGGTACAGCTGCAGAGGCCAGGCTATATCAGACTTCCACAAACCCAAGACTCTATATTCTCAATTAGCTCTTCACGTGATTCTTAGACACCATTATTTGAGAACCATTGCCATAGACCTTAGAATTTTTCTATGAAACAACTTAAACAGAAACACCTAAAATTTCAGATACCTGCTTGAGGACATTGATATGATATTCCAATTTGAAAGTGCTCCATGTTTCTCTCTCCCTCTGTTTTTCTTTCTCTCTTTTATGTGTTAAATATATATGCCAATCTTAGAGGCTACTTTTCATTCTACAATTTCTGCTACTGTACAGGAATTTGGCTTTCCTGCAACTCTTCAAATGGAACTTTATATATTGTACATATACTACTATAAGACAGCCCATTTTAAGCATAACTCTATATTTGGTGAAAATCTACCTGAATTTTTAAAACAATGATAATAAGCAAAACAATCATTTTTAACCTAGTGGTATGTATAGATATGCATACACATGCAAGCACACTTACATGTCTTTTTGAGCTAAAATATAACACTTTTAGAAACAGATACACTGTTATACAACTTTGCATCAGCCAAAGGACCTAGCAATTGTCTAGCCTATGGTCAACATTAGATAGCTGTAGATATAGAAATGTGTATATGTATGTGTGTGTGTGTGTGTGTGTGTGTATATATAAAAAACATGTATTTATAAAATATGTCTATCTATATATTTATACATGTAAATGTGTATATATAAAAATATAAATAAACATATTTTAATAAATGATCCCTGAATCTCCAGGGATCATTTTTTAAAATATGTCTAAAATACCTCAGAGGCTTCCATTTAGACTCAAACTCAATGTTCCTCAAAATGCAGTAATAAAAACATTTACAGCCCAAATGCTTGACAAAAATTCCAATTCCTGTGTTCCACCCTAGTCCTGCTAAATGAGAATCTTTCTAACTGAGGCCTGAAAATTTACAATTCTATCAAGCTTTTCCCCATTACAGATAAGCTCCTGGAGAGCAGGCATTTTTGTCTCTTATTTACTACTGTCTTCTCAATGTCCAAAACATTCTTGGCACATAGAAGAGCAAGCACTTGATAAATATTTGTTAAATGTATGAGTGAAGTAAACTGCCAAGATCATTAGGAGATTCTGATTTGCACCATTATTTGCAATTATGATTCAGTCCTTCAACCTAAATGGAAGGGGCTTTCCCATACTTGACCCCACCCTGCCACACGCACACACACACACTTATACCAGCAGGTTTCAAAAATAAGAAAGTATAGAATTCATCCCATAACAGAAGATGTGGAGGCAGAATATCCAGTCAGCTTCTCAGCCTGTGGTTTCACTGGAACTCTCCATGTTTCTGAAATTGTTTTCCCTGAGTTACTGAAGTGAAGTTGAACATTTATTTTCATTCCCAGCATATTGCTCTTCAATAACTCAGACACTAGACCTATCACTATGGAAAAGCAGTTCTTAAGTATGGGACATTTTGCCTCCAAAATAACATTTGGCAATGTCTGGACTCATTTCTGATTGCCAAAACGGGCCTGGTCCGGGAAGGAGGTGTGCTGCTGGCATCTAGTATGTAAAGGCCAAGAATGCTACAATGGACAGGACAACCTAAAACACAAATTGCGTGTCTGTAATAAAATGTCAGTAGTGCTGCTGTTGAGAAATTTGGCTACAGAATAATAGCCACATAATGGCTACATACTTGGTCCTCAAATAGGACTAAGTTTAGTTAAAATTGTTTATTTAATAATAGCTCCACTGTATCCAGTTCTCTGCATTTTCATAACCACTTTCCCTATCCAAGACACTGTCATATTTCATCTGAACTGTTACTAGTTCATCTTCCATGGCTAACCATAACTCAACACATATTCCTCCACAGTTGACAATAAAACTTCATGCTTTTAATTGACTTTAGAATAAAATTCAAGCTTTTAACCGTGAACTATAATCCTTTTTGTAATTTGACTAATACTTATATCACCAAATTTATACAGGGCCACTTTCTCCACGTTCACTATTCTCTATCCACAGTGACCTTTAGGAATTAACAGAGTATGTCAAAGCCTTTCCTGATTCAAAGCATGCACTTTTTCTCTAGAAAAACCTTCCACTCCCACTTTTGCATGACTAATTTATAGTCAACTATCCAGTATTAGCTTAATGGACCCAAAGAGTTTTCTCTAACTACTGAATCCAAAGTGACTGCCTCTATCTATTAGTTAACACAAATTGGTTTTGTATATAATTATGCTTTTACTTATGTCATTTTAATGACATAAGTAAATTTTTAAAAATTCAATGTGAGTTTCATAAGAAAAAACACTGCTATATCCTTTTTACCACTGTATCTCCTACATGCAGCACAGTGCTTGGCTTGTAGTAATAAAAAATTATTTAATGAGGGAAAGACTTACTCAAATAGTACACGTATTCAAAATGAAACAGAAGAGTTAAATAATGCTTCTCAGACCAAAAAACAAAACAAAACAAAAAACAAAAGCAAAAAATACAGACTGTTCATTGGGAAAATGACTAAAGCAACTCACTTTCAAAGAAGCAAAATTAACACCTCCTAACGTGATTCCACTTTGGAAATCTAGATCACTGCTCAACAGTGCAAAGGCTGAAAATTGCAACTCAAAACAAATAAAATTATTGGAAGTAGTCCCATTTTTAATTAAACATCATCTCTCCACCTGGATATGCTTCATACTGTTTAGTTTGCTAATTATGTTGTCTGAAGAGTAGAGCAAGGCATTCATACTGAATGATTTATTGATTCAAACAATGTAAACTCCATGTTTTTGAAGACACTTTGAATATGCTTGAGACAAAAGAGATAATTGGCCTGCCCAAAGCATTTTTGTTTCATTTGTTCTTTACTCTCACATATATATATGCACACAAAAGAAATCGTTTTGTTTCATTTCTATTGATAAGTCCAATATGTAAGCTGAATTATGTTATTTGTGCCTTGGAAAGAAACAATATTCAGACCACTAAAGAAATATTGTTTTACACAACTAATGAAAAAAATATATATATATAAAACTAACATATAAAAAATTTTCTGCCCCGTACCTAATAGTGATAAATACTGCTTTACTACATTCCAAATTGTCAACTGGTACTCAATAATAGAGATAAAATACATTATGTATTTAAAATTGTTGATATATAATACGTAATGAGTTTAAAATGAATTCATTTTTGCCCTTTATTAAGAAAAAATGATTTATTTTTGAATGTGTAAGTGTACTAGTCCATTTTCACACTGCTGATAGACACACCTGAGACTGGGCAATTTACAAAATAAAGAGATTTATGGGACTTACAGTTCCACGTGGCTGGGGAGGCGTTACAAACATGGTGGAATGTGAAAGGCACATCTCACACGGCGCCAGACAGGAGAAGAGAGATTGTGTGGGGAAGCTCCCCTTTTTAAAACCATCAGATCTTGTGAGACTTATTCACTATCATGAGAACAGTATGGGAAAGACTTGCCCCATGATTCAATTACCTCCCACTGGGTTCCTTCCACAACACATGGGAATTGTAGGAGTTACAATTCAAGATGAGATTTGGGTGGAGACACAGCCAAACTATATCATTCCACCTCTGACTCCTCTCAAATCTCATGTCCTCACATTTCAAAACCAGTCATGCCTTCCCAACAGTCCTCCAAAGTCTTAACTCATTTCAGCATTAACTCAAAAGTTCACAGCACAAAGTATCATCTGAAACAAGGCATGCGCCTTCCGCCTATGAGTCTGTAAAATCAAAAAGCAAGTTAGTTACTTCCTAGATAGAGTGGGGGTAAAGGCATTGGGTAAATACAGTCATTGCCAATGGGAGAAATTGGACAAAACAAAGGGGCCACAGGCCCCATGCAGGTCTAAAATCCAGCAGGGCAGTCAAATATTAAAGCTCCAAAAGGATCTGCTTTGATTCTATGTCTCACATCCAGGTCATGCTGATGCAAGAGGTAGGTTCCCATAGTCTTCGGGCATCTCGACCCCTGTGGCTTTGCAGGGTACAGCCTCACTCCCAGCTGCCTTCACGGGGTGGTGTTGAGTGTCTGTAGCTTTTCCAGGCACATGGTGCAAGCTGTCAGTGGATCTATCATTCTAGGGTCTGGAGGACAGTGGCCCTCTTCTCATACCTCCACTAGGTGGTGACCCAGTAAGGACTCTGTGTGGGGGCTCCTAGCCCACATTGTCCTCCTGTACTGCCCTAGCAGAGGTTCTCTATGAGAGCCCCACCCCTGCATCAAACTTCTGCTTGGGTATCCAGGCGTTTCCATTCATCTTCTGACATCTAGGCAGAGGTTCTCAAACCTCAATTCTTGACTTCTGTGCACCTGCAGGCTCAACACCATGTGGAAGCTGCCACGGGTTGGGGCTTGCACCCACTGAAGCCACGGCCTGAGCTCTATGTTGGCCCCTTTCAGCCATGGCTATAGCAGCTGAGACACAGGTTGCCAAGTCCCTAGGCTGCACACAGCACGGAGACCCTGGGCTCAGCCCATAAAACCACTTTTACCTCCTAGGCCTCTGGGCCTTTGATGGGAGGGGCTGCTGGAAAGACCTCTGGCATGCCCTGGAGACATTTTCCCCATTTTCTTAGGGATTAACATTCGGCTCCTCATGACTTATGCAAATTTCTGTAGTTGTCTAGGATTTCTTCTCAAAAAATGGGATTTTCTTTTTTTCTTTTTTCTTTTTTTTTGAGATGGAGTCTCGCTCTGTTGTCCAAGCTGGAGTGCAAGTGGTGCAATCTCAGCTCACTGCAACTTCCGCCTCCCCGGTTCAAGCAATTCTCCCTGCCTCAGTTTCCCGAGTAGCTGGGATTATAGGCACCCGCCACTGCGCCTGGCTAATTTTTTGTATTTTTTTTTTTAGTAGAGACGGGGTTTTCCCATGTTGGCCAGGCTGGTCTTGAACTCCTGACCTCAGGTGATGTGCTCACCTCAGCCTCCCAAAGTGCTGGGATTACAGGCGTGAGCCACCATGCCCTGCTGGGATTTTCTTTTCTATCACATTGTCAGGCTGCAAATTTTCCAAAGCTTTATGCTGCTTCTGTTATAAAAATGAATGCCTTTAACAGCACCCAAGTCACCTCTTGAATGCTTTGCTGCTTAGAAATTTATTTCACCAGATACCCTAAATCATCTCTCCAAGTTCAAAGTTCCACAAATCTCTAGGGCAGGGGAAAAATGCTTAGTGTCTTTGCTAAAACATAACAAGAGTCACCTTTTGCTACTGTTCCCAACAAGTTCCTCATTTCCATCTGAGACCATCTCAGCCTGGACTTTATGGTCCATATCACTATCAGCATTTTGGATAAAGTCATTCAACAAGTCTATGGGGAGTTCCAAACTTTCCCACATTTTCCTGTCTTTTTCTGAGCCCTCCAAACTGTTGCAGCCCCTGCCTGCTACCCAGTTCCAAAGTTGCTTCCACATTTTCGGGTATCTTTTCAGCAGTACCCCACTGCTGGTACCAATTTACCGTAGTAGTCTGTTTTCACTCTGCTGATAAAGACATATCTGAGACTGGGCAATTTACAAAAGAAAGATGTTTATTGGACTTACAGTTCCACAGGGCTGTGGAGGCCTCACAATCATGGAGGAAGGTGAAAGGTGAATCTCACATGGTGGCAGAGAGGAGAGCTTATACGGGGAAACTCCCCTTTTTAAAACCATCAGATCTCGTGAGACTTATTCACCATCACAAGAACAGCATGGGAAAGACCCGCCCCCATGATTCAATTACCTTCCACTGGGTTCCTCCCACGATACATGGGAATTGTGGGAGTTACAATTCAAGATGAGATTTGGGTGGGAACACAGCCAAACTATATCAGTAAGTAAGCACATATTTTTAAGGAGGAGCACGGAAAGAAAACCACTTCAGTTGTGCTTGTTACTTCCTGTTTAATGAAAATGATTATATTTGAACTTATGGAAATAAAGTTGTAGCCATTCTAATAGGTGTGAATTCAAAAACTAATGAGACATGTGCACTTGTACTGGAAGCTGCAGAAGGGCTGGGAGATGGTGGGAGGAAGTTATTAATTCGTATCCTTTCATGCCTTCCTTCCTGGTAATCTTTAACTGAGACCATTTTTCATGCTATCTTCTTTGTTTTCTGTTTCTTTTTCTCCTGCTAGAAAAATTTTGACTGGGACACACTGATTTAAATAATCCCTAGGGATTCCTGGAATGTGGATTGAAAACATGTGATTCTTATATGTCTTATCAATTTCTTCAATGGTGAGCAAGTCATAAATCTTTTCCTTGTAAATTGTCTGACTGGTTCTCTTCTTCTTATAGATTTGCAAAACACTGGTTCACATACATATACACAACTGAAAAGAACATCATTATAATATATTCAGCATTATTTATAAAGTATATTGTAACTTTTATAATATATAAAATGTCCATAGTACACAACTTCTCTTCAATTCAGATGGTTTGTAAAAAGCTGACAATTATATATTCCTTTCATCGTAACATATTCATCATTAGATATAATATAATTTTACAATATATTATATAAAATATATAAAAGTATATATTATATAGTATTTAATATCTAATACAAATATAATATATAATTATAATATATAATAAAAGTATATATTATATAGTATATATGTGTATATATTATATATTATACAATTTTTATCATATAATATATATTATATTATATACATAATATAATAGTTACATTGTATTATATATAATAAATATGTTATAATAATGAAAGATTACATTATATATATTAGATATAATTTTAACCTTTTCACAATCCATCCGAATTGAAGAGAACTTGTATACTATGGACATTTTAGTAAGTACAAAATTCCTCCCTCTAATAAGCAAATAATATTCTTTATTTCCATTGACTGTTCCATTGTAAAGTATATCACTAAAATAATACAGGGACTATGTTAAATTCAGGGATACTTATTTTTCTGATAATTAATAGTTAAATATGTTTCTATCTCCTATTTTATAAAAATTTACTTTTCTTTTTTTACTTTTATTTGCTAGAGGATGAAGTTAATTCTCTACATTATTTTTACAACCAATGTGGAGCAAAATATTTTTTCTATCAGTAAAATAAATAACTAAGAACAGTTCTTCAAGCAATGCCCATAATTCTACAAATGATCTTACCAAGCATCAGTGCACCTAAGTGAAATTATGTTATTTTCACTATCAGAGATATTTTTTGCTACTGTTCTTGACACAGTTAAAAATGTTGTGGAATACTTTCCTTTTACACTCTTGTATTAAAAACAAAGAAGCAATACACTTCCAGGGAGGAAAATACTTGGAAGTAAAAATAATATTTATAATTCACAATGTGTGAATGAGTACATGGAGATTTCTAGGCAATTAAGTAATATACTATAATTTTGCTTACTATACCATGAAAGTACCAGTTAATGCATAGAATATGTGCCAGTTGGCATCATTTCCCATTTGGCTCCTTTACAATTCAAACACGATTTTCTATGTAATCCTCCTTAATATACCTACCTAAGTCTTTTTTTTGGGGGGGAAGGTCTAATATAACACAACAGTTATATTCCTATGTGGCTACTATTCACTAGAATTTACATTTTTATTCCTTCATTAACAAAATGGGTTCCCTGGGAATTTAATAACATTCCAGTCAAAGTATAGTGAATATTTTTTATATCATCAAATGTACTTGTACAATATAATAAGATCATTTTCTAAAAGCCATCCAATGGCCAACATATAGAATTCCACAATTTGTTGTGCATTTATAAACTTTGTGTTATTGTAAATAATGTGATTAAAATCCTTAAAATTTGCAAGTTTTGTAAGTAAAATATGATGCTTCATTGTAATGTTTATTTTAATTTCCTCCATTTCTAGAGTAGATTTTTTCTTTCATTTTGCATACATATATATATATATTTATTTATTTATTTTCACAAGATTAAGTAAAGCCGTCATTATTTGAATTAATTAAGGCAGCCAAGAATCAGGCAGTGTGTTTTAGAGATTTCATCATCGCTATTGTTCCTTGCATTAACTCCATAAGGTAGACAATTTGCTTTGCAGTCGATATGGAGTCCCAGGCTCACAGGGACTTTGTACTCTACCATGTTATTCAAAGTTAATAAATGGTGGAGCCAGTTCCATTACTCAGACATCTCTGCTCCATATTTTTAATAAGGTGCTGATAGTTTTATCATTAACTTGTTGGAGCTGTTTACAGCGTAAGCATTTTAATTCATTGCCTGCATACATATAGTGTTTTTAAAATTATTTATTTTGAGATAATCACCACCTTTGTCTTCTTACATTTTCAAATCTTTTCTGTGTGCCTTAACAAAATTTTGTTGGAGGTTGCAGTGAGCCGAGATGGCGCCATTGCACTCCAGTGTGGGCAATAGAGCAAGACTCCATCTTCAGAAAAAAAAAAAAAAAGTGTAGCTTTCTTTGTATAGGCCCTTTACATTTCTGTTATGCTTATCTTTAAAGATTTTAAATTTTGTTTTTACTCTGGATGAGATCCGTTACTGTCATTTTCTTTTCAAACTAGTTATTGTTATCTACAAAGTTATAAATTATTTTATAAGCAGGTAATTATTGGAGTTTTAATTAGGTCTAATAGTTTCATAACACTTTTATGTACTGAATAAATGAGATTAATTTCTAGAGAAAGCCTGATGCCAACTGTGAATAATATTACCAGAAAACAGTATATTCTAGAAACAATAATCTCTCTATTTTATGCCCCATTATCTTTACCAATGAAGTTGTGCCAACGCTTTCACTAAAACTTTGAAGGTTGAGATAATAAAACACAAGTTTTTCATATTTTTGATAACATTTCTCATTAGCTATCCAGTTTAAAAAAAGTGATCTAAAATTATTTTTTGTGTATGTAGATATGACTAGAAAATTTGAACACAAATGTTTAAGAAATAATTAAATTTCAAGCAGGACTAGAAGGAGTTAAAGGGTAAAAATGGATTAGAAGCTATCTGGCCAAGATGAATCAAGTCATTGCTCCGAGAACTTAGAAATGAGAGCTCTGACTTGGACTCAGTAACTGCTTCAAATTGGGTTCCCTGGGAAGCAGACAGAGATGGAGAGTAACATGAAAAAAGTTTATTAGGAAGTAGGATTGGCAAAGAAAAGTTGAGCTACAAAGCAGTTACAAAGAGCTCGGGTGATCTCCTGGAGAGCACTGAGGCTGGGATGGGCCCTCGAGGTTATTCAGCTGTCAGAAGCGGGTATGTTTTTACATTCCTGTATGGAAGAGTCACCAGATCCAGGCTGTCCCCAGAAAAGAGCGTGGCTGTGTGTGAGGCAGCTTTCATCAGCTGAAGGACATTTTTAGACAGGCTGACAGCTGAGGCCTTTACCACCAGCAGGTGCAACAGCTATAGGGAGTTAAGTGCTTCAAACCTGAAGAGGGGATCTGGGCACGGCATCCACTAGTGTAATTTCAGGGACTCCTGGAAAGTCAAATCGGTACTGGAAGAATGAGTCAGACAAATGCCTAGATGGTAGAGGTAGATTCCTGAAGATCAGGAATCAAACATAATTTCCTAGAAAATTCTGGAATAAATTATTGAGTAGGCATTTCTTAAGTACTTTAAGCTGGTCAGATAGCTTAAGTTATGACAAATAAGACACTTGGGCTTACAAACTATGGTAAAAACTCAACATAAAGTAAATGTTATTTTTATTTGAAAAATAAAATGTAATCATTATGGAAAAAATATATATCCAAGACAGCAGACAGCTAGTGTGCTAAGTGTTGCTTGTCTAGATTGCATATATATGCACATATATGCATACAAATGTACGTATAGTATACATGTGTGTTTGTGTGCACATGCACGTGCACACATATCAGCCAGGCATTTGATTAAAGTTTTTTGCTTTGTTTCCGGTTGGCTAAACAAAACCTGGATCAGGCTCTAGGTTGATGTGCAACCTAAATGTGATGATTAAAGTCAGTTTGTCATGATAGAAGAGTAAAGTCTTATGGCAGAATTTTATCTTATGCTTTGCCCCATTCAACCATTTTAGTAATACTTTGAATGATGCTAGTTTACTTCAAATAGACCTTGAGTCTACATGCAGCAAGTATAGTGTTAGGTTATCTATATGCATTATATAGTCTAAGAACATACTTGACATAATCATAAAATTTACAGGTGATTCAAACCAGAGATATCAACTGGTTATTATCATAGTTCATATCAGAAAAAATGAAGCATAATGATTATAAATCTTAAAATTTGGTTCCAAAAGGAGATTCATAACAAAAGGTAAAGTTGATATGCACAAGAGAAACACACGGAGAAAACAAATTAGTTCAATAGTGTTGTATAAAACTGCTAAAATTTATGTTAAGTGCAACAAATTGTCCCACAGATAAGACAATTACTGTACACTGAGAGGGTCTTACACATAGAAAGCCAAAATCGTAATTAAGCCACACACTTTAGGACCAAACTCTACCTGCTCAATTCTGCATTGAATTAATATTTATTATCTTTTTTGCTTAATCTAGTTTGGACTGGTTGATTGTAGCTTGTAGTAAATCTTCTCCATCTGGAATTTGAAAGAATAAGACTTTTTTCATATAACCCTAAAAGTCAGGACAAAAATTAATTACTAGCATTTCAAAAGAGAAGCATTGGGATTTCATGCAATAAAGAAGCTTGTCTAAAATTAAAGTTACTTGATTCAGAATGCTTGGCCCAATGAGATAATATGTTCTAGGTCACGCAGAGTGTTCAGATGTTAGAAAATTTGGAGGCAACTTAGGCATCAGATGGAAAAATATACCAGATAACCTCTGACATCCCATCCAACTCTAAAGAGCTCAAATTGCGATTAATAATTTTGTAATCAAACAATCATTCTGCCATTTAAAAAGATTATTTCATATACGGCCAGTCAAAGAGCTATTCTGTAATAAGCCTGTAAAGTGTCTCTTCAAAATAAAGTGAATGTCAGAGCTCAGTGTTAAAAAAATGCATAATCACCACTTAAACAATTTTGTTTGCTTTAAGAAGATTCATTGTAGATATGTGATTACATTCTCAAAAATTTGCACGGGTTTAAATAAAATGAAACCTACAAAAAAGCATAAAATCTCAGAGGATTGGAGACATGATGGGGACAAGAATTTTCTGCGCCACCAGTGTCCTTAAATAGCTGCCAATTTGGAGCAAAAAAGCTTTTCAAAATCTAATTTGGATCATACACACCAGATTGTCTATAAAAATCATACGATAAACATTCCCCTTTAGCAAAGAACTTTGAGAACATAAAGACCACTTTTCCCAATTGGAAAGTATCGGAGAACTGAATGTAAATCATAAGTTAATGATGAATATTCACATTCCCGACAGCACCAGCAGGTCTCCCTTCAGAACAAATGAATCAGGACATTCAAAAAATTTGAATCAAATTTTCTAGATAAATGAAAAGTCCACTTTTTCTCAGGAGAGTCTGGTGGTATTAAGGGGAATCATGTTGAATATATTTTATTTTATATTATTTATTCAAATATCTTTAAAATATTGATTTTTCTAGTGTAATGTTAAAATATGGTCATTCTAAAAAGCTTTTAAAATAACACCTTAAAAACATTAAACATTAACAAATAAATGGAAAAAGAGACTAAAAGTTATCTATGAGCAGATAGATAACTGCTGTTTGTTTACATTATGGTATATTTGAAATCTTCAATAAATTATTTTATAGATGTGAGATGTTATGAGATATCTCCACATAATTTTTTTCTTAATTTTTAATCAACATTATTTCAAAAGTACTCTCCAATGTCATTAAATATTGACCACAATTTTGGTGCCAGTATATAGTTTTATTTTTTCATCTCTAGTTCAGTTTGGAGAAAATCACAGATATCTCTAGCCATCTGGTGAAAAAAAATGGACTCTCTCCTCCCAAAAAAATATAAAGGCACATGAAAAGTGAATAATATTTCTGGAATGCAGGAATCCCCTAAGGGTAATACACCCCAGGTTGAGAAGCACTGGTTCAAAAGAGACTAGTCCTCCTTAATGTTCTGATTTGTAGTTAGGACAACATGGAATCTCATAGGCTCCTAAGCTCTAATAAGGTAAATTAATAATCAATTCAAGAAATTCATTTAATTTTCCTTGCACATACTACATGTTCAGTGTATCATAACTTTTCATTTTTGTTTTCATCATTATTTTAAACATTTCTTTTTGCCTAATATTCCTAAAGCACACTCAAAATTTGTGAACATGTGAATATTTCTGGAGAGTCCGTCATAGCTGGCCATCAAAAAGAAGAAATTCATGTTCTAAAATAGGTATTTTTCTATACTAGAAAATACTTGAAGGACATTTATGGAATTCAGGCTTTGCTCTCACAGTGATCTTGTTCAGTTCCCCATGTTCTCTACATGAAATTGTATTGTTTATCAAGTACAATTTGTTTTTTTGAGACAGAGTCTCGCTCTGTAGCCCAGGCTGGAGTGCAGTGGCGCAATCTTGGCTCCTTGCAAGCTCCACCTCCCGGGTTCATGCCATTCTCCTGCCTCAGCCTCCCGAGTAGCTGGGACTACAGCCGCCCGCCACCACGCCCGGCTAATTTTTTGTATTTTGTTTAGTAGAAACGGGGTTTCACCGTGTTAGCCAGTATGGTCTCAATCTCCTGACCTCGTGATCCGCCGGTCTCGGCCTCCCAAAGTGCTGGGATTACAGGCGTGAGCCACCACGATTGGCCAAACCTAGACAGTTTAATAGTGTTTATGAATATGCATTAAGCCAGTTAAGAAAATAACTTTATATTCTTAGAGTAAACAAGATTAGGGAAAGCTTTATTTGGCATTGGGTGAAATGTAAACTGAATTTATCTGCTTACTCTTTTCACTTTACTTCAAGTATCTCCACTGAAAAAGATTTTGAAGGCTGTGTAGAATAGAGGCTAACTGTAAATACATTAGTTTTGAGGAAGACCTGGGATCAAACCCCAACTCCTCTATTGGCTACTGGTAGACCCTATCTGAGCCTTTGTTTTTTCGTCTGTAAAATGAGCATGGCGATGTCCTTCACGGGATAGTTCTACAATTAGGTACTGATAATATATGCATTACATTGAACAGTGTCTAGCATATTAAAAACATGCAATAAGTAAAATTAATAGTGGAAAAACAAAGACAATGAAGCTCAAAAATTTATCTCAGTGACTCCAGTAACAAGTGTGGCATAACAAGCGTGTGAATGGCTATAGTGTATTTTAACCTTAAAGTAGATTCCAACGACTATGCCTTACTTGTCCGTAGTCTCCAGGCATAGTGAGCATTCATCACATACCTGTAATCACCACTTCCTTTCCTTTTATTTCTTTTATTTTACTTCAAAAGAAGGGACTGGGGTACCCTATACATATTTTACCTGATTATGCTCTAGTTTTTCTCTTTAGCTATTGCCTTAGATTGTTTTTAGCCTGGGGAAGGAATGGGCTGATTATAGAGTGTTGGAAGCAGAAATATGTTAGGGAAGTAGGCACGTTTCTCTGGGAATCTCTCTTAACGATGTGTTCCTTAATACAGATGCTCTAAATTTAGTCTAGAGGAAATTGTGCAATTAATGCCAGATTGCATAGGTGACCAGTTTACTTGTAAATCCTGTATCCTCCTGACATGACAGAGTACTGTTCAACAATTCAACCTTAAAAGCAGATTTCTAACAGGAGCAGACAACAAATAAACATGCCTTCTATGACTGAACTGCATTTGCTAATGCAATCGATCATTCCTTCCGTGGTACCATATCCTTTTAAACCATGGTTTTTTCTAGGATTGCCTCTTTACTCCTAGGGCTGACATCTATGGCTTCTGTTTGTCAGTTTACTCAGTCGTTCATCATCTAGCTATTGAGACACTAGCTCAGGGTCTGGCATATACGGTAATGCCCCTTTTATGCTCTGTTTTGCTTTCCTAGGTTTCACTTACCCCCAGTCGACCACAGCCCAGAAATCTTAAATGGAAAATCCAGAAATAGAAATTGACAAGTTTTACATTGCATGCCCTTCTGAGTAATGTGATGAAATCTCATGCCATCCCACCTATCCCATGGAAGATATGAATCATCTCTTTGTCCAGAGTCTCCATGCTAACACTTCCCACCCACTAGTTATTTAGTAGTCTTGGTTATGAGATCGACTGTGGTGGCATTGCAGTGACTGTTTTCAAGTCACCCTTATTTAACTTAATAATGACCCTAAAGTGCCAGAGTAGTAATGCTGGCATACTGTTATAATTGTTCTATTTTATAAGTAGTCTCCATTCAGGGTAAGATTTTTTTTTCTTTTTCTTTTTCTTTTTTTTTTTTTTTGAGACAATGTCTCACTCTGTCACCCAGGCTGGGGTGCAGTGGTGTGATCTCGGCTCACTGCAACCTCAGCCTCCCAGGTTCAAGCAATTCTCCTGCCTCAGCCTCTTAGTAACTGGGACTACAGGTACATGCCACCCGCCCTGCTAATTTTTTTTTTTTTTTTTTTGTATTTTTAGTAGAGACGGGGTTTCACCATCTTGACCAGGTTGGTTTGGAACTCCTGACCTTGTGATCCTTCCACCTCAGCCTCCCAAAGAGCTGGCATTACAGGCATGAGCCACTGCGCCCAGCCCATTCAGTGTAAGAATTTGAAGACAACATTTGTATGATCTTCAACACTTTCATGATCTGCATTACACTTACAACAATTGTAAATATAAAGTTCTAAGTTATTCAAAGAGAAATCAAAATGCCAAAGCTGGCAGTAATTTTAGAGATGACCTACTCCAGACCTGCCATGTTAAGAGGCAAAGAATAGATTTAAATATATTAACCTATGTATCAAATAGATCACACATTTAGGAGCAGATAGAACTAGAACTCCAGCATCTACTAGCCTCCTTCCCTTTTTATAAACCCATTGCATTCTCTAAATGTTTTCATTATTTGAAAAGTAGAAAGTACAGTTTTAATATCACTTGTCCATCAGAGTTTGCTTTATCAGACATTTTAACAGATGCAGTAATCACACAATAAATGTGTTCACATATAAATATATAGGATATCTGTAAGCTGTGTATTCACAATATCAATACATCTATAATTCTTTCTGTTTAAATATCTCCATAAAACATCAATTCATACGCAGTTATAGGAATATTACAAGAATATGGTAAAAGTTTTGGTATTCAGTCTGTGCAGAGCTCTCATTAGTCACTGTAAAATAGCCAGTACAAAACTGATCAGTGGAAAGCACATTGTTTTGTACAGGAAATGATTTTTGTCATCATCTTTAATGCTATCTGGGAAAGCTATCTGATTACTCTATGCCTTATTTTTATTTTATTTTTTATTTTATTTTATTATACTTTAAGTTTTAGGGTACATGTGCACAATGTGCAGGTTAGTTACATATGTATAAATGTGTCATGCTGGTGTGCTGCACCCATTAACTTGTCATTTAGCATTAGGTATATCTCCTAATGCTATCCCTCCCTGCTCCCCCCACCCCACAACAGTCCCCAGAGTGTGATGTTCCCCTTCCTGTGTCCATGTGTTCTCATTGTTCCATTCCCACCTATGAGTGAGAACATGCGGTGTTTGGTTTTTTGTCCTTGCGATAGTTTACTGAGAATGATGATTTCCAATTTCATCCATGTCCCTACAAAGGACATGAACTCATCATTTTTTATGGCTGCATAGTATTCCATGGTGTATATGTGCCACATTTTCTTAATCCAGTCTATCATTGTTGGACATTTGGGTTGGTTCCAAGTCTTTGCTATTGTGAATAGTGCCGCAATAAACATACGTGTGCATGTGTCTTTATAGCAGCATGATTTATAGTCCTTTGGGTATATACTCAGTAATGGGATGGCTGGGTCAAATGGTATTTCTAGTTCTAGATCCCTGAGGAATCGCCACACTGATTTCCACAATGGTTGAACTAGTTTACAGTCCCACCAACAGTGTAAAAGTGTTCCTATTTCTCCACATCCTCTTCAGCATCTGTTGTTTCCTGACTTTTTAATGATTGCCAATCTAACTGGTGTGAGATGGTATCTCATTGTGGTTTTGATTTGCATTTCTCTGATGGCCAGTGATGGTGAGCATTTTTTCATGTGTTTTTTGGCTGCATAAATGTCTCCTTTTGAGAAGTGTCTGTTCATGTCCTTCGCCCACTTGTTGATGGGGTTGTTTTTTTCTTGTAAGTTTCTTTGAGTTCATTGTAGATTCTGGATATTAGCCCTTTGTCAGATGAGTAGGTTGCGAAAATTTTCTCCCATTTTGTAGGTTGCCTGTTCACTCTGATGGTAGTTTCTTTTGCTGTGCAGAAGCTCTTTAGTTTAATTAGATTCCATTTGTCAATTTTGGCTTTTGTTGCCATTGCTTTTGGTGTTTTAGACATGAAGTCCTTGCCCATGCCTATGTCCTGAATGGTATTGCCTAGGTTTTCTTCTAGGGTTTTTATGGTTTTAGGTCTAACATTTAAGTCTTTAATCCATCTTGAATTAATTTTTGTATAAGGTGTAAGGAAGGGATCCAGTTTCAGCTTTCTACATATGGCTAGCCAGTTTTCCTAGCACCATTTATTAAATAGGGAATCCTTTCCCCATTGCTTGTTTTTCTCAGGTTTGTCAAAGATCAGACAGTTGTAGATATGCGGCGTTATTTCTGAGGGCTCTGTTCTGTTCCATTGATCTATATCTCTGTTTTGGTACCAGTACCATGCTGTTTTGGTTACTATAGCCTTGTAGTATAGTTTGAAGTCAGGTAGCGTGATGCCTCCAGCTTTGTTCTTTTGGCTTAGGATTGACTTGGTGATGCAGGCTCTTTTTTGGTTCCATATGAACTTTAAAGTAGTTTTTTCCAATTCTGTGAAGAAAGTCATTGGTAGCTTGATGGGGATGGCATTGAATCTATAAATTACCTTGGGCAGTATGGCCATTTTCACGATATTGATTCTTCCTACCCATGAGCATGGAATGTTCTTCCATTTGTTTGTATCCTCTTTTATTTCATTGAGCAGTGGTTTGTAGTTCTCCTTGAAGAGCTCCTTCACGTCCCTTGTACGTTGGATTCCTAGGTATTTTATTCTCTTTGAAGCAATTGTGAATGGGAGTTCACTCATGATTTGGCTCTCTGTTTGTCTGTTATTGGTGTATAAGAATGCTTGTGATTTTTGTACATTGATTTTGTATCCTGAGACTTTGCTGAAGTTGCTTATCAGCTTAAGGAGATTTTGGGGTGAGACAATGGGGTTTTCTAGATATACAATCATGTCATCTGCAAACAGGGACAATTTGACTTCCTCTTTTCCTAATTGAATACCTTTTATTTCCTTCTCCTGCCTAATTGCCCTGGCCAGAACTTCCAACACTGTGTTGAATAGGAGTGGTTAGAGAGGGCATCCCTGTCTTGCGCCAGTTTTCAAAGGGATTACATTTATTGATTTGCGTATGTTGAACCAGCCTTGCATCCCAGGGATGAAGCCCACTTGATCATGGTGGATAAGCTTTTTGATGTGCTGCTGGATTCGGTTTGCCAGTATTTTATTGAGGATTTTTGCATCAATGTTCATAAAAATTTAATGAATCCAAGAGCTGGTTTTTGCCCATTCAGTATGATATTGGCTGTGGGTTTGTCATAGATAGCTCTTATTATTTTGAGATACGTCCCATCAATACCTAATTTATTGAGAGTTTTTAGCATGAAGGGTTGTTGAATTTTGTCAAAGGCCTTTTCTGCATCTATTGAGATAATCATGTGGTTTTTGTCTTTGGTTCTGTTTATATGCTGGATTACATTTATTGATTTGTGTATATTGAACCAGCCTTGCATCCCAGGGATGAAGCCCACTTGATCATGGTGGATAAGCTTTTTGATGTGCTGCTGGATTCGGTTTGCCAGTATTTTATTGAGGATTTTTGCATCAATGTTCATAAAAAATTAATGAATCCAAGAGCTGGTTTTTTGAAAGGATCAACAAAATTGATAGACCGCTAGCAAGACTAATAAAGAAAAAAAGAGAGAAGAATCAAATAGACGCAATAAAAAATGATAAAAGGGATATCACCACCGATCCCACAGAAATACAAACTACCATCAGAGAATACTACAAACACCTCTATGCAAATAAACTAGAAAATCTAGAAGAAATGGATAAATTCGTTGACACATACACCCTCCCAAGAGTAAACCAGGAAGAAGTTGAATCTCTGAATAGACCAATAACAGGCTCTGAAATTGTGGCAATAATCAATAGCTTACCAACCAAAAAGAGTCCAGGACCAGATGTATTCACCACCGAATTCTACCAGAGGTACAAGGAGGAACTGGTACCATTCCTTCTGAAACTATTCCAATCAATAGAAAAAGAGGGAATCCTCCCTAGCTCATTTTATGAGGCCAGCATCATCCTGATACCAAAGCCGGGCAGAGACGCAACCAAAAAAGAGAATTTTAGACCAATAGCTGTGCCTTATTTTTATCATAATGATAATCTTAGTTAACATTTCTCAGAACTCATTATAGGACAAACAGTATTAATGTTGTGAAATTAATGTTTAAAACTGGTAAATGTCTGAAAATATTGAGTCTATTAATCATTTCCACAATCTTTGGGTATAGGTATTATTACCATTTTTATTGTAGAGACAGGGAAACTGAGGACCAGACAAAAGTTACACAGCTAAGAAGTCTCAGAATTGAGATTTGAACTTGGGCAGTGGATCTTCAAATCTTATAATTTTTAACCACTACACTGTTTTAATGACTACGTCTAGATTCCTATATTATATCTGAGAAATGGGAATATTGAGAATGAGTTTTATTTAGAGAAAACATAGCTACTCTTGGATTCTGAAAAATGAAGTAATGTACCTGCTTTTAGTTTATGTCATACTAATGGGAGAAATTTATTTGAGGAATACATAGAAGTATAGGAAAGACCTTGAAAATTTAATGAACACAATTTTCAATATAAAGTGATTCAAGTGATAAAATATGGTGCACCAATCTCATGGCAGGCAGTAGGAGAAGGTGGAAAAACGTAAAACCAACTGTTTAGGGTGGTTATGCACTTCCCCCAGGAAAGTGTCAGGGATTTGAGATTTCGAGGCCTGCAGTCTTGGGGTCTAAAGTTTCTCCACTACTTAACCCTTGTGATTTGGGATACCTTCATTTATAAAATAGAAATATTGTAATCCATTTCACAACATGGCAGTGGACACTAAACAAAATAACATGTGAAAAACACATTGCAAACTCTAGAGTGAAATGTACATGCTTTGTATGATTAATTTTTCTATTGGTAATTAATTCTTTAAAACTTACAGGAAAGTAATGTCAATATGGAGCAAAAGAGAAGGAAAAATTGCCTAATGAACTGGCATTAATTATGCATATAAAGTATGAATATTAAAACACATTTTTAAGCAATAATGTATGTGTAAATAATATATACCTATAAGCATAGCAAAATGAATCACCATATTCACATCATCAAATTGTAAAAAAATTGTTTTCTTTTAGTGGTGATAACAGAGGGACATTAGAGTGGTGGGGAGACACGCTTTTACATAAATATAAATATAATTGTAGATATAATTATGCATACATACATGCACACACATATACACATGCACATACATATCTAAACCCACTACAGATACATAAAATTATGAGTGACTTTAATTGTTTTGTTATTCTGTATTTTTTAAAATTTTTATTTGAAAGGAAGAATGGTAAAATGTTATATAAAGATCTACCTATAAAGAATTGAATTACACAGTCTTAGGTAAGAAGAAATTATGAAGCCTTTGAAAGCCTAAATAGAGGGCCGGTGCGGTGGCTCTTGCCTGTAATCCCAGCCTTTTGGACTGCTGAGGCGGGTGGATCACCTGAGGTCTGGAATTCGAGACCCCCCTGACCAACATGGAGAAACCCCGTCTCTACTAAAAAAATACAAAATTAGCTGGGTATGTTGGTGCATGCCTGTAATCCTAGCTACTTGGGAGGCTGAGACAAGAGAATCGCTTGAACCCGGGAGGGGGAGGTTGCGGTGAGCCGAGATCCTGCCATTGCACTCCAGCCTGGGGCAACAAGCACTAAATTCCACCAAAAAATAAAGAAAGCCTTCATAGATGGAATAAGAGAAATCACTGAAATCACTGACAAACTATGATGGCATGTTTCACAAATAGAAACTGTGCAGTGTTGGAGAAAGCTCTGTATACACTTGTAAAAAATAATAGCCAACATTTATTGAACATTCCCCAGTGCACAGTCACAAACACAGACATAATCCTCCCAATAACCTTATGATTAACTATTTATATTTCCAGGTGAAGAATCTAAGGATGAGAGCAGTTAATTAACTCATGAAGGTGACCCAACCAGTCAGTGGCAAAACTTAGATTTGTACTCAGGTCTCTGGCAGACTCCAAAGACCTTGGTTTACAATGTTTTTAATGTTATAATGCTATTGACTGGTGAAAGCACTAAATACATAAAAGCACAACTTTTGAAGAAAAGGGAAAAATAATAATAAGGCTCTGAAGGCAAGGCAGGGCCCCTGAAATAAACGTGCTCACCACTGTATGTCATAAAGAGTTTGCAGCATTTATGCAAGCTTATGGCAGGCCATTTCGAAGACAAGGGACAGAGCAAAGTCCTTGAAACAATGCCGATCAACTATATGAGGACTCCTGAAATGCTAGGTAATGGAAATCATTCCTGGTGCTGAACTCCAACGATAAAGCCTTTGCAGAGATTTGCTTTACTTTATGACAGTCACTAAGAGAATGGCTACATGTGGCAAATAGAGCAATGGAAAAAAAAAAAGCACACACTTTTTTTTTTTTTTGTTACACTTTGAGGAAATATGCCAAGCATAAAAGAGGTAGACAGAAAAACTATGAGGATTATAAAGGAAAGTGAAGAATGCAGCAGAGGACTGTGAACAGTAAGTAAGCTGGGGAATAAGGCACTAGTAAGAGCTGCAAGAGTATTTCAGCAACCAAATTACTCATGAAAAGAAGGCAAGGTAAAATAAGGAGTTGAGTCTTTTAAAGAAAAGGAGTAACCCTTTCCTGGAACAAGTGGGCAAAAAATAAAGGAGAGGCCAGCAAAATAAGTTGACATTATTTATGTCTCTGGTGCAAAAGTTTAAAATAGAAAGAAATATATTTTAAAAACCTTCATGCAATGTATCTCATGCACACTAATCTTTAAAAAAAAAGTCTCCCATGAAAGAGCTTGCAGAAAAAAAAAATGTGTTAAGGAGCAAAGGTATTGTGAAAAGCTCAGCTATCATTACAATATAGGAGGTAGAAACTGTCACAGCTTGAAAGACTATTGGTGTGAATAACAGACATGTCCCTTAGCACTAAAAAACAAAATTGCATCCTGTTTTTCTATTGAAAGAACTCATGTTCTCCTGTGGGAAAAAAAAATGTCTGCCTTTCATAAAGTCAAATGTCTGTCACCTATTAGTTCTATTAAATTATCTTTTTGGGCCAGTTAGCTCAGTTCTTAAGAGTGTCATTTATAGTGAGGTAGTGTCAAAGATAAGGAGGACAAAGAAGCTGGTTCCCCTGGGTCTACTCTGGAAAGAGACTCTACAAGTGAATTTGGCATTACTGAATAGCTGCAGTCTAATATATCAGTTGAAACAAAGCATAAAACATGAAATAATTGGGCAGCAATTGAGGGAAAAAAGTTACAGAGATAAACTATGATGGTACTAGGCTGGTATATATATATATCTTATATAATGAAAAGAGATGAATTAGAGATGAGACAGAGGAGAGGAAGGACAACTACTGTTTGACAGGGAGGGAGGAAGATCAATTATGAAAAAGGGAAATTCTATATATCTATGTATTGCCATAATGAGTATCAGGAATCTAATCATGAAAGAGAAGAAAAATATGAGTTAAAGAATATAGAACAAGGACTATAGAAGTTGAAATATAAAACTCATTAATTTAAACATAATAAGGTACACCTTTCTGTGCACTGTCCACATCTATCCTGGACTCGTGATTGCACAGTAAATATTGACTAACAAAAGCACATGGAAATGTTATTGAACTGAACAAAAAAATGTCTTCAGACTACTGGGAAAATGTGAATACTTCTATTAAATAGGTTGGGTGGATTATATGAACTTCAAGGTACTCAATTCAAAGGAGGTTTGTGATTGGGGCTGATGTATTCATCCCAATTCACCTCTGCCTGGATCCAGAGAAAGTGACTGGTTCCCTTTGGGGTTGAAGTGTAGGCTTCTGAAATCTGGGTAAAATGGCATAATCCATGGTGCTTTTGGGGGCAGCC
Organism: Homo sapiens; assembly: GCF_000001405.40. Taxonomy (NCBI): domain Eukaryota; kingdom Metazoa; phylum Chordata; class Mammalia; order Primates; family Hominidae; genus Homo; species Homo sapiens. The sequence continues at coordinate 6,313,927 of NC_000003.12, read as the reverse complement.
ACAATAGAATAAGAGGGAAAAAAAATGTACTCAATTGCTGTCACTTAGTTCTAGAGCACAGAGAACTGCAAAGGATAAGAAAGCAAATGGTAACCACTGAATCACACCGCATGATCCTTCATGCCCTGCCACAGCCCAACCCTTCCTGCAAGTTGAAGCCTCATGTCCCACATAGCCCATGGCCTTTTGATGTTGTATAAGGGCTCTAATATGGAGAACATCCAGAAAACTCAAAGGCCCCTAGGTAAAAAGAAGGCAATGATTGAAGAGAGCAAGGAAGCAGAGAAGAATTGGGAGAGCCAGAGTACAGTGGGTTGAATTGTGACCCCCAAAAGATGTTCAAATCCTAGTCACTATTACCTGTGAATGTGACCTTATTTGGAAATAGAGTCTTTGCATATGTAATCAAGTTAAGGTGAGGTCATACTGGATTTGGGTGGGCCCTAAAGCTAATGACTGGTGTCCAAAGAAGAGAAAAAAGAGGGAGATTTGGATACAGAGACCTAGAGGGAAAAGAAGGCCTTAGATGATAGAGGTGGTGAGTGGAGTGATGCAGCTACAAGTCAAGGAATGTCAATGGTTAGCCAAGAGCTAGGAGCTAGGAAGAGGCAAGGAAGGACACTTCCCTAGAGCCTCCAGAGGGAACATGGCCCTACTGCCATCTTTATTTCAGACCTCTGGCCTTCCAAACTGTCAGAGAATAAATTTCCATTGTTTTAAGCAACACTGTCTCTGGTACATTGTTATTGCAGCCCTAGAAATTAACACAGAGGGAGCTAGAGGGAAGGAGGACAGTCTCACTCTATAAACACAAAAACACAAATTCCTTCTCTTTCAAGCAACCCTCAATCTATCTCTTCTGCAAAGGAATTCATACATTGTCTCAGTGTCACCTTTACAACAAAATCAGTAGTATCCACATCAAGAAGATGTTTGTAAAAGGTTTAGTCCTTTCAAATGTTTAAAAACAATTTTTGACATTAAGATCTGCCAACTATGTATGCAGTAGACAAATGTACTAATATACTAACATTTATCAGATATTATAAACAAAAATAGCAATTAATAGATGAAAGAGAATATTTTAGCTACTACTATTATATTTATTAATAATATATTGTCATTTTCTAAGCTGATATTATATGACAAATTATTAGTAATAACTTTTCAGTGAGATAAATCAGAGAGCCTATACTTTATAATTTTTTGCAAATGTTTTCTCTAGCACTTTGTCTTAAAGCTTTGAAAAGCCCCAGTTCAAATTCAGTGTGTTTCAGGTAATGGTGCTAATGATTGTCAGAATCAAAAAACTGTGTTATAGAGATATATGGGTCCATTATTGGAAGGGGTTTTATTGACTGTCCTCACTAAATCATAAGACTCTTTATTCAGTCTCAACTACCAACTAATATAAAGTTCTGATTGAAAAAATAGGCTAGTAAATTTCATCTCCTTTTCTGTCTATATGAATTGCATTTTGAAACCAGTCAGAAACTGTATATATTTGTGTTTAATCAAAGTGATCAAAATCCACTGGAACTTCTCCTTTAAAGGATACTGAAACACTTTAGAAAATCCATTTCTGAGCATGTGTCCAGATATGAGAGGTTTTGTAGGTGATACACTTAGTATTTTTCAAAGCAAACTCACATAATATTGGGAATATTTCCACACATCTGTTTTAAAATGCTTTCTCCATTCCGTGATTTGTCTTGTAAAGGTAGTAATTTTTCTCACTCACTGTTAGAACATCATTTACCTTGAAGATGCATATTAAGTGTGATAACGACACAGTAGAGATAACTTCCTTTATGGGAGAAATGAATACACCTTTACAAGTTGTGCTCTTGGAGATATGTACAGGAAACAGGACGGATCGCTTCCAATAACAAGATCAAAAAAGTGAAATGCCAAACACTTTTATTCTAGTATAAACAAATATGTGAATATATACGTGTGTATATATTTACATGTTTTATATGTATATGTGTATGTGTGTGTGTGTATATATATATATTAAAATATATACACATACATTTTTAGAGACAGAGAGAGAGAGAGAAGAAAGATCCTGGCTTAGAATTAATGCTCCTACCAAACCTCAGCAGTACCTAGCAATTTCATGGAATCCTCACAACAGTTTGTGAGAACTAAGGACTGTTATTACCCTCATTTATAAGGGAGGAAACTCAATTATAAGGGTTGTTAAATTGATTAAATAACTTGCTATGGGTTATATTGATACCAGTTGTCAGGGCTTGGTATTGAAATCAGAAGTGTCTGACTCCAAAACGAATGCTGTGATTCCATCTCTATTCGGGATTTCAGGTTTTAATGGGTTTTGGGATAAGGAGGTAAAGAACTCAAGCTTACTGAGGTTCCTGACTCCAAAACGAATGCTGTGATTCCATCTCCATTCTGGATTTCAGGTTTTAATGGGTTTTGGGATAAGGAGGTAAAGAACTCAAACTTACTGAGGTTCCTGACTCCAAAACGAATGTTGTGATTCCATCTCTATTCGGGATTTCAGGTTTTAATGGGTTTCGGGATAAGGAGATAAAGAACTCAAGCTTCCTGAGTTTCCTGTGAATACAGTGTCTCAAATGGGGTAAAATAAGGGGATGTAGAGTGATTAAGACTGGTCAGAGGCTGATAATAAAATTTGTAATAGTCTATTATAAAATTTTGCTGGAATTTCAATTCATGATCTCTTTATATAAACAGTTAAAATGGACACCATTACATAGGAAAAGTGAGGGTAAAAAAGACAGAACATCCTCATGCTATTGTGCGAGGCACTGCTTTGAGACTTATGCAATACTCGGAGTGAATCTTCACAATGTATGTCAAAGCTTTATGAACTAGAGCAAAATAATAGTTCGGGGAAAAAGATTAAGTGCGGTCAACTCACTTTTTTTCCTTTTAGAACTCACATGTCCCGATTCAGTGACCTCTAGCCTGCTCTTTGGACATCTATGAGCACGTACAAGGAAAATGCTTATGGCATCTACTGATAAAATAGCCTTCTTCCATTGATTTGGTTCCTTATAACATGTGGTGTATTATGAGCATGAACAGTATATTTAAGCCACAATAAGAAAATTTTTGTTTAAGGAAAGAAAACGGACAATGTTTCTTATGTATGATTCTCTGTACTGGTTTCTAGAAAAACAGATGATAAAATGAAAAATGGCGAGAGAGGTTTTGTTGGAAAATTGGACTGAATTCTAAGAAGAAGATAAGAAAAAAATACCATGGGTTGTGAAAAGATATTATCATCCATAGCACAATTTAAGTGCAGAAAAATTATGAAAGCCAACAGCATAGAGAGGTCTTGAGGAAGAGGAGTAAGAACTAGAGGTCAAGTGATGCACAAAGCCAGGGCTGTGAAGGAAAGAGACAAAAGCCAGCTGTGCAGAGCCAGGAGTCTTGAAGGAGAAACTGAACGCAAAGATGAGGAAAGCAGGTTAAGAGGAGACATGGGAAACACATATGAAAAATCTTGTAGTTCTGATGGGTTGCCTTTGATTAGTTTGAGCCAGGTTTATGTGGCGCACCTGAACTTGCTTTAGACTCTGGCTTCTGACTAAAAGGGAGGAAAAAAAAATTAGAAGACACCTTCACAGATATTCACTTTCTACTTCCTTTATCTTCTATTTTTAAATGAAAATATTTTGACTAGGAACAGAAAATGCATTTGAAAAAGGGGCCATGCGATATGACTCAATGCTCCTTCTGGTACAATAAAATTAATTTCTCTGTGGAGTACCTACCATGCGCCAGGGACTGTCTTAAGTAACTTTAATAAAATTATTTTTAAAGTAGTTTCAACTTTTATTTTATATTCAGGAGGTACATGCACAGGCTTGTTACATAGCTTTACTGTGGGAGGCTGATGTTTGGAGTATGTACAATTGATGCCATCACCAAGGTAGTGAGCATAGTACCCAATATTTAGTTTTTCAACCCTGTCCCCTTCCCTCCCTTTCTCCTCTAATGGTCCCCACTGTCTACTGCTGCCATTTTTATGTCCATAAGTATACAGTGTTTAGCTCTCACTTAGACATAAGAACATGCACTATTTGGTGTTCTGTTCCTGTGTGAATTTGCTTAGAAGAAAGTCCTCAAACTGCATCCAAGTTGCTGCAAAAGACATTACTTTGTTCTTTTTTATGGAAGCATAGTATTCCATGGTATATATGTACTACATTTTCTTAATCCAATCCACCATGGATGGGCACTTAGATTGATTTCATGTCTTTGCTGTTATTAATAGTGTTGTGCTGAACATATAAGTGCGTGTATCTTTTTGGTAGAATGATTGTTTTCTTTTGGATATATATCCAGTAATGGGATTGCTGGGTCAAATGGTAGTTCTGTTTTAAGTGCTTTGAGAAATCTCCAAACTGCTCTCAGCAGTGACTGAACTAATTTACATTCCCACCAACAGGGTGTAAGTAAGTATTCCCTTTTTTCCACAGCCTTGCCAGCAGCTGTTATTTTTTGACTTTTTAATAATAGTCATTCTGACTAGTGTGAGATGTCATCTCATTGTGGTTTTGATTTACATTTCTCTGATGATTAGTGATGTTGAGGATTTTTTTTCATGTTTGTTGGCCACTTGTACGTCCTCTTTTGAGAAGTGTCTGTTCATGTCCTTTGCCTACATTTTAATGGGATTATTTGTTGTTTGCATGTTAAATCCTTTAAGTTCCTTATAGATTCTGGATACTAGACCTTTGTTGGATGCACAGTTTGTGAATATTTTCTCCTATTCTGTAGATTTTCTGTTTACTCTGTTGATCATTTCTTTTGCTGTGCAGAAGCTCTATAGTTTAATTAGGTCCTGCTTGTCAATTTTTGTTTTGTTGCAATTACTTTTGAGGACTTAGTCACAAAATTTTTCCCAAGGCTGATACCCAGAATGGTGTTTCCTGGATTTTCTTCTAGGGTTCTTATAGCATAAAGTCTTAAATTTAAACCTTTAATCAATCTTGAGCTAATTTTTTTATATGGCAAAAGGCAATTTTACCAGTTTTAGTTTTCTGCATGTATCTAACCTGCTATTCCAGCACCATTCATAGAAAAGGGAATCTTTTTTCCATTGCTTATTTTTATCAACTTGTTGAAGATCAGATAGCTACAGGTATATGGTTTTATTTCTAAGTTCTCTATTCTGTTCTCTTGCTTTATGTGTCTGCTTGTGTACCAGTACCATGCTATTTTGGTTACTGTAGCCTTATACTTTGAAGTCAGATAATGTGATGCCTCCAGCTTTATTCATTTTGCTTAGGATTTCTTTGACTGTTCGGGCTCTTTCATTGGTTCCATATAAAATTCAGAATAGTTTTTTTCCTAATTCTGTGAAAAATGACATTGGTTTGATAGGAATAGCATTGAATCTGTAGATTTCTTTGGGCAATATGGGCATTCTAATGGTATTGATTCTTCCAATTCATGAGCATGGAATTTTTTTCCATATGCTTGTATCATTCTGATTTATTTCAGGAATGTTTCATAGCACTCCTTGTAGAGATATTTCACCTCCTTGGTTACATGTATTTCTAAGTATTTGTGTGTGTGTGTGTGTGTGTGTGTGGCTGTTGTAATGAGACTCCATTTTTGATTTGGCTCTCAGCTTGAACGTTATTAGTATATAGAAATGCTACTGAATTGTGTACATTAATTTTGTACCTTGAAACTGTCCTGAAGTCATTTATCAGTTGCAGGAGACTTTTGACAGAAATTTTAGAGTTTTCTAGGTATACAATGACATTGTCAATGAAGAGAGATAGTTTGATTTCTTCTTTTCCCATTTGGATACCTTTTATTTCTTTCTCTTGCCTGATTGCACAGGTTAGGGCTTCCAATACTATGTTAAATAGGAGTGGTAAGAGAAGGAATCCTTGTCTGTGCCAGTTTTCAAGGGAAATGCTTCCAACATTTGCCCATTGAATATGATGTTAACTGTGGGTTTGACATAAATGGTTTTTCTTTTTTAGTTATATTCCTCCAATGGCTAGTTTCTTGAGGGTTTTTTATCATGAAGGGATGTTGGATTTTACTGAAAGATTTCTCTGTATCTATTGAGATGATCATTTCTTTTGGTTTTGTTTTTTGTAGGGAGACCCCCTGAAACTATTGCTACGGAATAAAAGAGGAAATGCTCCTGATTATTGTAAATACAAAACTGCATGCGGGATTGTGTAAAGACAATGCCGGGATGGGCTGCCAGAATGAGCCAACAGCGCGTGATGTGCTTCCCCCTGCAGAGAGCCTATGAATGGATGTGCAGTCAGGGAGGTTTCACATCACCAAGATTCCTATCCCAGAAAAGCAGATGTTCATAGCTCTGGGAATGGAATGCGACCCTTGTGGAGAGTCTATAAATGGATGCATGAGGGTCGCCTGTCCATATGGATAAGATAGGGCTATAAACACCCTTATCTTGCCATGGCTCTTCTAGGCCTCTTTAGGATTAAGGCATACACCCTTCTGAGAATTTCTGGTCTAACTGGTTGTCTAACTTCATGTCCTGTTTCTATTGATTGTTTGTAACCAGCTTTTGCTGCCACTCTTACTGCTGATTAATATCTTGCTAATCATAAGTTATGGAAAGACTGTGTTTCTGTTTTAAGGCTCTGTTAGAAATTGCTGATGCACACACTATATTGTAAATTCTTATCTCTATATACTGTACTTCTGCATACAGATGTTATGTTAAAGAATTACTTCATCCCCATGTGACAATCTCACCTCATAATCAAATGACCCTAAATCCCTCACTAACCTACCCCCGCCCTCACTAAACTTAATAATAAATGCTGGTACATCCTGTGCATTGGCGGCATCACAGGACCAGAAGGCAGTGACCCCCCCTGGACCCAGCTTTCACTATCTCGTGTGTGTCTTTTATTTCTTGACCTGCTGATCTGCCTGGGAGCAAAGAAAGAGCCCTGTTGCATTGCAGGCTGCTGGCCAGATCCCGCAATAGTTTTTAATTCTTTCTATGTGGCGAATCACATTTATTTATTTGCATATGGTTGAACCAACCTTGCATCCCAGGAATTAAGCTAACTTAATCATGATGGATTTTTGATGTGATGCTGAATTCAGTTTGCTAGTATTTTGTTCAGGATGTTTGCATCTTTATTCATATTTTCATCTGGAATATTGACTTGTAGCTTTCTTTTTTCATTGTGTCTTTGCCAGGTTTTTGTGTCAGAGTGATGCTGGCTTCAGAGAATGAGTTAGGGAGGAGTCCATCCTCGTTGATTTTTTAAGATAGTTTTGATAGGATTGGTACCAGCTCTTCTGGTACATCTGGTAGAATTCAGCTGTGACTCCCTCTAGCCTGGAGCTTTTTATAACTGATAGGTTTTTTTTTTTTTTATTACTGGTTCAATTTCAGAACTCTATATTTGACCTCTTAAGAGTTTCAATTTCTTCCTGATGCTATCTTGGGAGATTGTGTGTTTTCAGGAATTTATCCATTTCCTCTAGATTTTCTAGTCTGAGTGCACAGAGGTGTTAACTAATAGTCTCAGAGAGTCTTTTGTATTTCTGAAGGATCACTATAATCTCACCCTTTTTGTTTTTGATTGTGCTTATTTGAATCTTCTCTCCTTTATTTTTTCTTAAAGATTGTGTCATGTTGTGTCTCTGTTCTTGTTTATGTCAAAGTTTTAAAAAGTTGATTCCTTCACTGTTTACCCCAAATCATTCAGGAGTCAGTTGTATAATTTCCATGTAATTTCATTGACTTGAGAGATCTTCTTGATATTGATTTGTATTTTTATTCTACTGTGGTCTGATAGCATGGCTGATGTGATTTTGATACTTTTGAACTTACTGAGACTTGCTTTGTGGCAGAGCATGTGGTTAATCTTGGAGTATGGTCCATGTACAGATGAGAAGGATGCATATTCTATGGTTGAGGGGTATTCTGTAGATGTGTATTAGATACAATGGGTCAAGTGTCAAATTTACATCCAGAATATTTTTGTTAGTATTCTGCCTCAATGATCTGTCTAATGTTGTCAGTGGGGTGTTGAAGTTCCTCACTATTATTGTGTGGCTACCTATGTCTTTTTGCAGGTTGAGAATTACTTGTTTTATGAATCTGGATGCTCCATTGTTAGGTGTGTATACATTTAGCATAGTTAAGTCTTCTTTTTGAATTGAACCTTTTATCATTATATAATGCCCTTCTTTGTTCTTTTCTACTGTTGTTGATTTAAAGTCTATTTTATCTGCTACAAGAATAACAACTCCTACTTTTTTTTGTTTTCCATTTGTGTGGCAGACCTTTCTCCAATCCTTTACTTTGATCCTGTGGGTGTTGTTATGTGTGAGTTGAGTCTCTGGAATATAGCAGATGGATTTGTCTTAAATTTTCATACCATTTGCTACTCTATGCCTTTTAAGTGGAGTGTTTAGACCATTGACATTCAAGGTTAATATTGATATGTTAGGTTTTGATCCTATTATGAAATTCTTAGCTGATTACTTCATTGTTTCTATTGTGTGGGTGTTTTATAGGGTCTGTGGGCTATGTACTCAAATGTGTTTTTGTGATTCTAGATATTGTCCTTTCATTTCCACATTCAGAGCACCCTTAGAGATCTCTTGTAAGGGAGGTCTAGTGGTAACAAATTCCCTTAGTGCTTGCTTGTCTGGAAAAATGTTATTTCTCCTTCACTTATGAGCCTTAGTTTGGGGAATATAAAATTCTTGGTTTGAATTTCTCTTCTTTAAAATGCTGAAAATAGCCCTCTAATGTCTCCTGTCTTGTAACATCTCTGTTGAGAAATCTGCTGTTAGGTTGATGGAGTTCCTTTTGTACATGATCTGACCTTATCTCCAGCTTCCTTTTCATTTTTTAATTTTTTTAAATTTTATTCTCCAGCTTCCTTTAAGATTTTTTTCTGTAGCATTGATCTTGGAGAATCTGAAGACTATATGCCTTGGTGATGTTCATTTTCTATTGTATCTGGCAGGTGTTCTCTGGATTTCTTCTATCTAGATTTGTACCTCTCTGGCAGGATTAGGAGAATTTTCTTGAATTATTCCCATATATATTTTTCATGTTGTTTACTTTTTCTCTTTCTCTCTCAGAAACACCAATGATGCATAAGTTTGGTCATGTTGCATAATCCCATATCTTTCAAAGGCTTTGTTCATTTTTAAAAAGGTTTTTTTTTTTCTGACTTAGTTCAAAAGACCATTTTCAGGCTGTGATATTCTTCTGTTTGGTTCAGTTTATTGATAAAGCTTTCAATTGTATGTTGAAACTTTTAAGTGAGTTTTTCAATTCCAGAAACTCTGACTTGTTTCTTTTAAAGATGTTTATCTCGTCCTTCATTTTCTTTATTACTTTAGTTTATTCGTGTTGATTTTCCATCTTGGGTTGGATCTCATTGAGCTTCCTTGTAATCCATGTTTTGAATTATTTATCTGTCATTTCTTAGTTTCCATTTTGGCTAGGGAATGCTCCTGGAGAACTAGTGTGATTCTTTAGTGGCATCACTATATTCAGAATTTTTATGATGGCAGATTATTGTACTGGTTTCTTCTTATCTGGAGATGATGGCACTTTTAACTTTTGTAATTATTTTTATACAGGTAGGATTTTTTTTCTTTCTTACCCTGTGATATTACTTATTTTCTTTCCCTTTCTTTTCCCCACTTCTTAGGGTATGTGACTGTACAGAATATTGGGTAGAGTCTTTTGCCTTCCCTTCTATAGCCATTTCTGTAGGCAGGTTTTATATTGGGCTGCGTGGTTCAACCTATATGCCAGCGGTTGACACTTATGAGTAAGAGCTGGCTTCAGCCAACGTGGCTGGGTATATACTTCATCCTAGTTTACTGGGAGAAGCTCTTTGGTGCCTTGGGCACCAGTCTGATCCATAGATTGCACAGTGATCTGAGTTACCTGCTCAGCCCTGCCGGGGGGCAGGGCAGTTCAGGGAGCAAGATGGGCAGGGCCAGATTGAGCAGGCCCGCATAGAGGTCCCCTAATGCCAGACACAAGCCCCAGCACCAAGGCAGAATCTAGCAGGTGGCCATCAAGCACCTGGTAGTGTGCCTAGCCACAGAGTTGAGGAATCTCTTGGCCTCAAGTTCTCTGCATGGGGAATGGAGGCAACCTAGACTCCTAACTCAGGGGAGGGAGTGCTCCAGATGCCTGGAGATCTGTCTGTGTGTGGAGTGTAGAGGGCCCTGATGCACCACAATCTCCACACATGGAGGGTGAGGTTATTCAGTCTGCAAATCCATGCAAATGTGTGCTTTGAATTATTTTTATACAGGTAAATACACCTGAACTTGGGGCAGGGAAGGCGGCACTTTACCACAGTATGCAAAGGAAGGATGGGCCAGCTCAGGCTGCTGATTCAAGCAAGTGGTCACACTAAATGCCTAGAGATCTGCCTGGACATGGAGCAGAGAGGATGCTGCTTCATTATAATGTCTGTGCGGGAAGGATGGGTTAGCTTCAGCTGCCAATCCAGGGAGGACCCTAGAGTCTGGGCTCTTAGATTCCCGTTTTGAGAGGGTCTAGTAGATCTAGGTTTGAACCTTTTGTCCACCATTACCGTCCTATGAACTTGGCCAACAAACTAACTACTCTAAGCCTTGGTATCTACCTCCTTTATAAAATGGGGACATCAACAATAGCTAGGCATAGAGGGTGATGATATACAGCTTAATGAGGAAATGTAAATAAAGAACTTAGCAAGGTACCATAGTACATGAAAACAACTTAAAAAGTTATTAGCTAAAATTATTAATATAAACTTTGTATTTTAGGTCTTCCAGAGGGGCTGATATTTTAGCTGAGTCTAAAGGATTGCAAGGTATTCAACTAATGAATAAAGGGAAAGGAATGGGCATTCTGAGAAGAGGAAATACCAAGTTTAAAGCTTAAAGGCATGAATACCATAGGGGTCTTGTGCTTTGTGGCTGGAACATAGACGAGGGTAGTCACAGGAGATAAACTTGTAAAGCTGGTTGGTAGCCATCTTGTAAATCCCTCGTATGACACGCCAAGCTGTGTTGACTAGAGTACAGTGACTGTCATAATTTCTGACAAAAATCATTTGGGGTAACTATTAAGTATGTAGATAACTAGAATTTATTCCTATAAATTGTGATATTTTAGGTCTGGACTAGAGCCCACGAATGTGTTTTGCAAAAGTATTTTGAAGATTTTCATCTTCAGAAAAATGTTAAAAACATTAGATTTCAACTAGATATGTATTTTATATATAATATATAAATATATAAATATAATATAAAATATATAAAATATATTTATAGAATATTATTTTATCAAATATAAGAATTATATAATAGAATGTATGTGTGCATAGTCTATAAACAAATTAGAATATTTCTGTATTCTATAAATAAAAATTATATTCATGATTCTATATATAAATATGTAACATTAATATATATTACCATATATTATAGACTACATACAAATAAAATGTTTATATATTTGATATGTAAATAATACTTTGAGCAATAAAATACATGCATATTATTAATATGACTTAGGAAAATTTATATTTTATATATTGCATATATAAAAACAAAATTAGGTTCATATACTATTTTTTGTTTTTGTTTTTGTCTTTACCAAGGATGAGAGAGGGAAGGATTCCAACTTTGTATTGTATATGTAAACATCTTAGGAATAGAGAGACAGTGCAACATCACCAAAACAAGGATAATGTCTGATCATTGAGTGATTTGCCAAACGTTTGCTGAAAAGCCTTTCTGAATGTTTGAGTATTCCTAATACCACCCAACGAGTCACCTAAAGGATATATTATTGGTCAAACAAAAGAGAATATTCCTTGATGTTTTGTCAAAAAAGTCTTTAAATCAGATGGTACCTTATCTTTTGAACTTAATTATGCATTTCTTCAAGGAAATGGACAATCTGCATCTCTTTCATGATACACTGTAGCTAATTTTCACTAATGAATAAATATTATTTAATAGATCAGGTAGGGAGGAAAGAAAGCATGTTGTTAGAATTGTCATAAGTTAACTCAACATCTCTAGGGCTGCTGAGAGTTTTTCCAGCCACTATGCCAAAGAGTATGCAACATCTGCAGCCTTACAAATTAAATGGGAAACATCAGTTCAATGCGTAAGAATTAGAAACAACATCATGGGGAAAAACAAAAACACAAAACAAAAACGAAACAAAATATTTTAAAAAGTGACAACCCTCAAAACCGTAGAAGCTATCAGATACTAAAATACTAGAAGTCATCAGCATTAGTTCTCCTTCAAAGAACTGAATAAAAACATCAAAGACATGTGCAGAGATGTTTTTGTGCTCAGTTAAGAAAACATTATTTTTCAGACACAGTAATCTTATGCAATTTCATTATATAAGAAAACAGCTTTAAAAACAAAATTTCTTAAACAAACCACAGTAGTAAAACATAGCCAAGATAAGGTATGAGCTGCCCAGAGGTGTCTTGTATGTAAGTGGTCAGCACTGCTATGCAAGGGTACCTATAAAGGAGTAGGGTCAAGAAAATTTCTTGAATTTGTTCAGAGAAATGAACTTTTAACATCATCCACAGAGAAACATACAACAATTGGAAAGCTTTGGTGAAAGATAGAAAAGAAATCTTGCTTAATAGTCTGCTAAAAAAAAAATACTCTTACAAAATAAAGCACCTCTTTTACCTGACAAAGTCTCTTACTTGCCTAACATTATCAAGTACGGTAAATTAGCTTTCTAACTCCCCTATTATTACTCCTTCTAGAGACCAAGCTGTGGTTTTAAAAGGTAATAGGAGAAAAAAAATTATAACTGTCAGTCTACCTGCAAAAAATTTCAATATGACTTTAAATAAAAGCAAATGTCAAAGACACTTAAACTTTCCCTTGTTCAAAATCTTAACCTAGGAGAAGGAATGTATGTATCAGCTCTTTCATAAAAACAAGGAGGGGTTTCATGTCACTTTATAAAAGATCTCTCTTTCCCTAGAAAAAAGTCATCATTATGAAACCTGGGAAAACAAATAAATGATTAAATGAAAAGTCAGATAAAGAGGAATTAACAACTATATTTAAGTATCATTTCAACTAAAAATATATTTAAAAGATTAAAAAAATTAAAAACATAACTGAGTTCTAGAATTCTCTAATTCAAATTAAAAATGTAAAATATAACAACAGATTTGGGGTTGGGAACAAAAGTTCGAGCAATAAAGCGTGTTATATAATGTAACATAAAAAGCCAGAGAGAAGTCCATTCTGGTTTTGATATGCAACTATGACATTACAAAAACTAAATAAATGAAAGATCTTGTCAATTAATTTTGACACCATTTAGTGTTGGACAAATGAAAACAATATTAAATGCGCTTCGTAAGGTCTCTTGAAATGCAACCATGAACTGAGGCTGTGAATTGCTGAACATGTTTATTTAAATTGGTAAAATATTCATTACCAGATATATATAAAAATATTGCAGAACCTTAGAAACTATACAGCTAACTAATAGATACTTAGGACTACTTTAATATTTATTCCATAAAAACCTAAATACACAATAGTCAGATAACATAAGTTATGTGAAATGTCAAAGCAAGAAACAATTTTGACAACAGAAGATATGTTGGGGAAAAATGTAGTAAAGAATGATAAGGAAGCCAAAAATGTTTCTTTTGATAATAGGCATATTCAATCTTATGCCAATGAGTATATTAATCCAATACTTATGCCATCAAGTTCTAAAAAATTTATGCCAGGTGCATTTGGACATTTTTCACAAGGTAAATAATAAAACAAAACCTGCTTCTTGTGGTCTACTTTGTAAAGCATCACTTAATTTCTTAACCTCTTTCCTGCTGTGGTCTGTCTCTGGGTGCTTAGTGCCTAAGCCGGTAGGTGTATGGTAGGTAGAAAGACACTCTATAAACCCATGCCTAGCAACTGCATAACAGCTCAATTGGTTAATGATTTCAAACAGGATAGACCATTGATATGGACCATATTTTATTAACACTTCAGGCAACAATGTAATTATTACTTGCAATCATTTACTGTTTTAACTTTTCTAAACCAGCTATATTTACCTTTTGGTGGTGTACAAAAATAATTTGATATATGCAAAAAATGCTAACCATTTAAATAGAACATTTTTAGGTGAAGAGCTGATTCCCATTGGTTATAAATAGACATAGAGAAACAAAGAATTCAACATGTAAGTATAAAATAGGCTATAAAGTTTTACTTCTTTTCAAAAATGTTTGACAAATTATCTTATTTTTCCACAATTGGTTATTATTCAAGGGAAATATGTACAGTATGTTTAATGTAGCTGACCACACACTAATCAGATATTATAGTATATTATGTACTAATAATATACTATAGTATACTCTATACTAATAATAAACTATAGTGTAATTTGTTTTAAAGTTTATGGAAAATTTTACATCTCTAGTGTAAAAGATGTCTGTCTTTTGTTGACCTCATATTTGACATTGTAAAGGAGAAATGAGATTGAGAAAGAAAGAATTTTTTTGAATATATATTCTAGTTTTACTCTGCTGAATGAATAAGCCATAGATATAAGCAAACAATAATTAGCTGATTGAAACTTGAAGGAATTGCTGACTTTTTAAAAATGAAAATGTGCTCTTTTAAATTTTTTACTTGAAAAAAAGTGTATTTTAAAGAGACTTATTAAAACAAAGCTTTTAATTGTTTATGGTCAATAAAATATCTTTTGTGCATCATGACAATGTTTTTGATGGTTAAGGAGACAGAATGACAAAAAAGCAATACTCACATTATAGTGCTAATACTTTCTTTACATTTTTAGACTGAGTGTGTGTATATGTGTGTGTTTTTCTCTCTTTCTTTCCCTCTCTGTCAGTCTGTCAGGAGAGGTAGAGGAGGGCAGATACCAATGACCTACTTGAAAACTTTCCCTATTTCTGGTCATGTCTGAGAGGATATTCCATTTAAACAAAATGATCCAAAGGACAGGTAGAGTTTATAATCTCAGTTAACCTTATGGAAAGAAATTAACCAGAATATATAAGCTTAAAAGTTAGATTGTGTTTCTATACGTTAACAATGAATGATCTAAAAAATAAATTAAGAAACAATTTTATTTTAAAAAGTATCTAAAAGAATTAGTTAGAAATAAATGTAACCCAGGAGGTGAAAGTCTTGTACACTGAAAACTACAAATTATTGATGAAAGAAATTAAAGGAGACACATATAAATGGAAGACATCTCTTGTTTGTATATTGGAAGACTTAATAATGTTAAAATGTCCATACTACCCAAAGCTATCTACAGATTTAATGTTATCCTCATTGAATCCCAATGGCATTTGTAAGAGAGATAGATAAAAATCCTGAAAATTTTATGAAACTACAAAAGATACAATTGAGAAAGAAGAGCAAAGCTGGAGGCATCATAGTTCCTGATTTCAAATTAAACAGTACTGTGCTGGCATAAAGACAGATATAAACTATTGGAACAGAATAGAGAGCCCAGAATAGTCAACTGATCTTTGAAGAAGTTGCCAAGGATACATAAGGGGGATACAATAGTCTTCTCAGCAAATGGTGTTGGGAAAAACTGGATATTCACATGCAAAGGAATGACATTGGATCCTTAACCTATGCCATACAGAAAAATGAACTTAAGATGGATGAAAGTCTAAATATAAGACATGAAACTGTAAATCTCCTAGGAGAAAACATAGGACAAAATCTCCTTGAAATTGGTCTTCGCAAAGGTTTCCTGGATTTGGTACCAGGCACAGGAAGAAAAGCAAAATAGACAAGAGAAACTATATCAAATTATAAAACTTCTGCACACCAAGGGGAACAATCAACAGAATTGGAAAAGACAACCTATGAAATAAGAGATAAAATTTGCAAGCCATACATTTGATAAGGGATTAATTTTTAAAGTATATAAGGAACTTGTACAACTCAGGTGCAAAACACAAATGAACTGATTAATTTAAAAAAATGGGCAAGGGACTGAGAAATTTATTCAAAGAAGACACAAATGGCCAACAGGTACATGAAGACATGCTCAATATCATTAATTATGAGGGAAATGTAAATGAAAAACTGTGAGAGTTTACTTCATACCTGTTAGGATGTCTATTGTCAGAAAAACAAAAGACAAGTGTTAGTGAGAATATGGAGAATTTAGAAATCTTAAGCACCGTTGGTGGGAATGTAATATAGTGCAGCAGCCATGGAAAACAGTATAGAGTTTCCTCAAAAAATTGAAAATAGGACTACCATATGATACAGCTATTCTACTTCTGGGTATACATCTAAAAGAATTGAAATCAGGATCTCAAAGAGATATATCTGCACCCTCATGTTCATTGCAGTGTTATTCATAATAGCCAAGATATGGAAACAACATATGTTCATTAACAGATATATGAATTAAAAACTGTGATATATATATTTATATATACACACACATGTACATACACAATGGAATATAATTCAGCCTCAGAAAAGAAGAAAATTCTAACATTTGAGACAACATAGATTAATCTGGGGGACATTCTAACTGAAATAAGCTAGTTACAGAAGAACAAACGCTACATAATTCCATTTATGTAAGGTATCTAAAATAGTTAAACTTATAAAGTCAGAGAATATCATTGTGGTTACCAGGGGCTGGGAGTAGGAGAAATGAGAAATTTTTTTTCAATAAGCATAAAGTTAAACTTCTGTTAAGTGTTCTTGTCTTAAAGTATAAAACAAACAAAAAACAACAAAGGTACACAAAAACACTTCAGAGAGTGTTGAATATGTCGATTGTCTTGATTGTGGTGATGGTATCATAGGTATTTGCATATGTCTAAATTCATCAAATTGTAAACACTAAATATGTGCAATTCTTTGTATATCAATTATACCTAATATAGCTGTTAAAAAACTATTTACAACTCATTTTTTTCTAGTTGTTTTGTAGTTAGATTTCAAGACCAAATCCTACAAGTTCACTAAAAATTATCCATGCCAAATATCTCTAACTCATTTTAGATGAACAAATGCAATATCTCCACCAATTAAATGTCCTCTCTGATTTTCATAATATAATATAGATTCCTGATTTTAATTATTTATTGGCATGTCAGTTTTATCATGGCCAAAGTATTTGTGTATTATCATCATCACCCATAAATAGGAATGTGTGTGTCTCCTTTACATTAGCCGTTAAAACTATATATTTCATGAACTGCAATATTAAGAAATATAATTCCCAGAGAATTCTATTTCAAAAGCTGCAAATAATACAATGTATTGCAACCTCATAAACAGAAAGAATCCCATTTTCTAGCCAGTGATATTCACAGTAACATGTTTTATCTACCTGTGTCAACTCTTTTCATCTACCTGTGTCGTATGCCACATTGAGGGAAGAAGTGGAGAGAGGGGCCTAAGAGATTTAAAACATAGTCAAATATTGTTTGCATGGCTTTAGTAACTACTTAAGTATTTGCACAATTACAAAGTTTGGGGGAGGATCATAAAAAATTACTTAATGGGTACAATATACATTATTTGAGTG
This sequence comes from Homo sapiens, assembly GCF_000001405.40. NCBI lineage: Eukaryota > Metazoa > Chordata > Mammalia > Primates > Hominidae > Homo > Homo sapiens. The sequence goes on along the minus strand of NC_000003.12, from coordinate 6,296,319 downwards.
GTGGATGTCCTAAACTCTAACTTCACATTTGTATATGTAATAAAATTACACTGGTATGCTATGCACTTATGCAAATAATTAAAAAACTAAAATTAAAAAACTGAAATTGTGAATAGACAGAAAGAAAAAGTAAGCATACTTTCTTAAAAAAACACAGTGAATAACATAAAGTTAGTATTCAATAAAAGCAGATGCATTCAGTTCTTGTATTTGAGTGAGTGAATAAAACATTCAATTCCCCTAAGGTATTGGATCAAAATACTTTGTGATGACTTAATAAGGTTTTTTTGAAAGGTAGGGTGGTGGCTGAGGTCTTAGAAAAGCAAAGGCATACTCATGTATTTAAAATCATGAGTAAAACCAATGAAGTTTTTTTATTCAAAGAAATAATGGGTAGTAGTTACTTCTTCCTGTAAAAAGTTGAATTCCATGAATGGAAATGTTTGAAATGAAAAGTCTTACATCTGCCCTATTTAATTTGTGTAATCATTTTGAATGTATACATTCCAACTGAACTTTCTATAAATTTTAGTCATATAATAGTCATTTAAAAATTATCCTAAAGTATGAAATTTCTATAAAATTTCCTCTAATGATTATTTTTAGCTTAAAAAAATCAGTATCTTTGAGAAAACAATGGCAATATATTTTTTAAAACCATTAAGGTGTTTATTAATATCACTTTCAATTGTGCACAGTATTATCTTTCCAGCGAAGTCATAAGCTTCCTCTGGTCTTCTTAATATTACCATTCTACTATAAAATTTCTTTTTTATTAATTTTTTTATTTTGAGACGGAGTATCACTGTGTCACCCAGTGCTGGAGTGCAGTGGTGCAATCTCGGCTCACTGCAAGCTCCGCCTCCCGGGTTCACGCCATTCTCCTGCCTCAGCCTCCCGAGTAGCTGGGACTACAGGCGCCCGCCACCACGCCTGGCTAATTTTTTGTATTTTTAGTAGAGACGGGGTTTCACCGTGTTAGCCAGGACGGTTTCGATCTCCTGACCTCATGATCCACCCGTCTCGGCCTCCCAAAGTGCTGGGAGTACAGGCTTGAGCCACCGCGCCCAACTACAATATTTCTTAATGTCTACCACATATCTTGAGCATTACTGAACTATAAGCTTTACGTTCATTGATACCTGTGAGCTAAATGAAGACAGTTTACATAGCTATCCCTTGTACCAAATTTTTCAGGACAAATGCCATAATTTCATATAATTATCTGCAATGCGCTGAATATAAAACTAAATTGGATTTAATTTTTTTAACATATGAAGCTCTTTCAAATAAATACCTGACAAGGGAAGAATGTGTGTGCATATGCATGTATTTTAACCTACACATCATAATTTTTGGTTTACAATGTAAAATCATTGCAAGAACCTCTCATGTTAGTAAGATTTCCAATTACAATTTAAATGCTTACATTCCTGTAGCGTATTTTTTGTATAATAAATTTTATTTTATTTTTCATATTATGGAAACCTTCATTTGCTTTGTAGAAATGGGGGAGGATGATAAAAAATTACTTAATGGGTACAATATACATTATTTGAATGGTGGAAAATACAGATAATCTCCCCCCAAAAAAGGAGAATAATAATGAGTTATAATGTCATCACCCACAGAGTATTTTAATCTTGGTTCAGTTTCCTTAAACTCTTAAGCACTTCATTTTGACCTTCTTTTTATTTCCCACTGTCCCTATGGTTGATGTTGGCTCCATTCCACTTGTCTTATATCTGACAATGTGATCTTTGTCGCTTGACTCTATTTCTTTAATCCTCCTGCTCTTATGTCCTTGAGCTGGTCTTCAAAAGGCAAATCACATTTTTCACTCTTCCTGAAAGACTGAAGACCTTTCACTTTTCTGAGCCTGTTTCCACAATAAGCAGAGGAACCTTGTCTCAAAACCATCTCCAGTCCGTTTTCTATGAAGCCGTTCTGCATACACCTCACTTGGATAGAAATGATTTTCATGGAACTTGAAGTAGAGGCTCATTTCCCTCTCAGCGTTCAACTTGGCTTTGATTATAGAAACCTGGCCCCCACTGGAGGACAAAGACTTCTCACTGCCACACACATTAAGTGATTTTCACTACTCCCTGAGATTAAGCTCAGCATTATCCTGGCAAGTTGTAGTGCTATTCTGCAGTCCCTCAATAGCACTTTCCCTTAAAAGACCTGTGCTGGTTCTCTGCTTGCACTCTCTGGCTCAAAGCACTGTTATTGATTAGTTTGTACCATTCAAAGTTTTAAATGGTGTTTTATAACCCATGTTGCAAAGAACACAAAATCAGACATAAAGCTTATATACTGTTCAAAAACATAAACACAGTCATTTATTCCAGAAACTCATAAAAGCCATTAATATGTGTGTGTGTTTACTTTAAAACATGTGAATTACACATTAAGTAATTTTTCTTTCATTGGAAATCTCATGGTAGAAATCTCAAGTTAAGAAAAGGCAGTATACGTTAATTCAATTTTTAAAGTGTTGAAAAAAACTGTGATATTTAGGTCTGCAAAGCATTGTAAAAGGCATTTGCATTCATTTGTAATGCTACAAGTGCCTTTTGGTCTCTTTGATGAAGCCAATTTGGGAAGCTATGGGTGAAAAGCAGAACGACAGTTAAAGCCAGCCACTTGGAAGTCAATGTGGGATTTTCATTCAGTGTTATCAACTCAGAATGAATTAAATAGGCAAAGGATTAGGGAACTTTGAACGATTTCTGCCCTGGTTCTAGTATTAATCAGGTGAAAAATTTGGTTGAGTTTCAACATTGCTATGAGCTTCTCCTATTATATAGTGAGTGAGATTCACCAAATGATCTCCAAATACCCTTCCAGCCTTAGAACTCTATCAATCTGTGTTTTTTGTTTCACTCCCAGGAAACAAAGCAAACAATTGATTATTATAAACTTTAATTTCAGCTAGAAAAAAAGGTTTATGGGATATGAGGCTCTTTTGCTCCATGGAAACTATGCGGCCTGGGGTAAACTAAGATAGTTTCTTCAAGTGTCTGTGTCTTCAGAGGTGAAACAGTAATAATTTCATGGGTCCTACCAACCTCAGAGTGTTTTTAGTTTTCCAGTGAGAGAAAATAGGTGTAAAGACACTGCTAATTTTAAATACAACACAAACACATATATTTGTCTTCCCTTGACTTACTACTTGATATGATTTGGCTCTGTGTCCCCACCCAAACCCCATCTTGAATTGTACTCCCATAATTCCCACATGTTGTGGGAGGGACCCAGTGGGAGATAATTGAATCATGGGGGTGATTTCCCCCATACTGTTCTTGTGGTAATGAATAAGTCTCATGAGATCTGATGGTTTTATAAGAGGTTTCCACTTTTGCCTCTAATTCTCTCTTGCCACTGTCATGTAACAAGTGCCTTTCACCTTCCACCATGATTGTGAGGCTTCCCCAGCCACATGGAATTGTGAGCCCATTAAACATATTTTTCTTCCCAGTCTTGGGTATGCCTTTATCAGCAGTGTGAAAATGGACTAATACACTAACTTGGTACCAGTAGAGTGGGGTGCTGCTGAAGAAGTACCTGAAAATGTGGAAGCAACTTTGGAACTGGGTAACAGGCAGAAGTTGGAACAGTTTGGAGGGCTCAAAGAAGACAAGAAAATGTGGGAAGATTTGGAACTCCCTCGAGACTTGTTGAATGGCTTTGACCAAAATGCTGATAATTATATGAACAATGAAATCCAGGCTGCGGTGGTCTCAGATGGAGATAAGAAACTTGTTGGGAACTGGAGTGAAGGTGAGTTTCATTATGTTTTAGCAAAGAGACTGGTGGCATTTTGCCCCTGCCCTAGAGATTTGTGGAACTTTGAACTTGAGAGCAATGACTTAGGGTATCTGGCAGACGAAATTTCTAAGCAGCGAAGCATTCTAGGTGTGAGTTGGGTGCCATTAAAGGCATTCAGTTTTAAAAAAGAAACAGACCATAAAAGTTTGGAATATTTGCAACCTGACAATGTGATGATAGAAAAGAAAATCCCATTTTCTGAGGAGAAATTCAAGCCTGCTGCAGAAATTTGCATAAGTAACAGGAAGCCAAATGTGAATCACCAAGACAATGGGGAAAATGTCTCCAGGGCATGTCAGAGATTTTTGCAACAGCCCCTCCTATCACAAGCCTGGAGGTTTAGGAGGAAAAAAATGGTCCTTCCTCTGTATGCAGTCTAGGGACTTGGTGCCCTGTGTCCCAGCTGCTGCAGTCATGACTAAAAGGGGCAAAGGTACAGCTTGGGCTGTTGCTTCAGATGGTGGAAGCCCCAGCCTTGGCAGCTTCCATATGGTGTTGAGCCTACGGGTACATAGAAGTCAAGAATTGAGATTTGGGAACCACTGCCTAGATTTCAGAGGATGTATGGAAATGCCTGGATGCCCAGGCAGAAGTTTGCTGCAGGGGTGGGGCCCTCATGGAGAACCTCTGCAAGGGCAGTGTGGAAGGGAAATGTGGGGTCAGAGCCACCACATAGGGTCCCTACTGGGACACCACCTAGTGGAGCTGTGAGAAGGGGGCCACTGTCCTCCAGACCCCAGAATGATAGATCCACTTACAGCTTGTACCATATGCCTGGAAAAGCCACAGACACTTGGTGCCAGCCCATAAAAGCAGCCAGGAAGGGGGCTATACCCTCAATGCCACAGGGGCAGAGCTGCTCAAGGCCATGGGAACCCACCTCTTGCATCAGCATGACCTGAATGTGAGACATGGAGTCAAAGGGGATCATTTTAGAGCTTTAAGATTTGACTGCCCTGCTGGACTTCAGACTTGCATGGAGCCTGTATCCCCGTTGTTTTGGCCAATTTCTCCCATTTTGAATGGCTGTATTTATCCAATGCCTGTACCTTCTTTGTAACTAGGAAGTAAATAACTTGCTTTTGATATTACAGACTCATAGGCAGAAAGGATTTGCCTTGTGTCAGATAAAACTTTGGACTGTGGGCTTTGCGTTAATGCTGAAATGAGTTAAAATTGGGGGACTGTTGGGAAGGCATGATTGGTTTTAAAATGTGAGAGCATGAGATTTGGCAGGGCCCAGGGGCAGAATGATATGGTTTAGCTCTATGTCCCCACCCAAATCTCATCGTGAATTCTACTCTCATAATTCCCACATGTTGTGGGAGGGTCCTGGTGGGAGATAATTGAATCATAGGGAGGATTTCCCCCATACTGTTCTTGTGGTAGTGAGTAAGTCTCACAAGATCTGATGGTTTTATGAGAGGTTTCTACTTGCACTTCTTTCTTGTTCTCTATTGCCCCCACCATGTAAGAAGTGCCTTTCACCTTCCACCATGATTGTGAGGCTGCTCCAGCCACATGGAACTGTGAGTCCGTTAAACTTATTTTTCTTCTCAGTCTCAGGTATGTCTTTATTAGCAGTGTGAAAATGGATTAATACATTACTTACATAATGTAATGGGATAAAGTATTTAAGTACTAAGGAAGTATATGTGTTTTGTGTGTGTGTGTGTGTGTGTGTGTGTGTGTTATTCTGACTTCTGACATATACCTTACTCCATTACATAAACTCTTTACCTAGTGTTATATTTAATTTGCGTAGGTCTTATATCTGCACTACATTGTTATTCCAAGGCATTGAGCAGTTTCTTGAGTTAGAGGTAATATGTTCAGTTTAGTCATCTTTAAAATTCCCACTATCTCAACTCTTGTAGGTACTTCAGACCCAGTTTCAATGCCAAGCTTGGACTGCAGCCAGCCTACACGCTTACTGTTATCAAAGATCATGTTATTAGCCTGGGCATTGCTGTACAGCAAATGTAAGGCTGAATTTGATGAAAACTACAATTGCCTGCTCCTTCTCCAGTCTCAGAGCATGTCTCTTTATTAACCCTTTTTTAAAAACAGTTCTAGTAACCTATTATTGAAATACAATAAACTGCATATTTAAAGTATACAACTTAATAAGCTTTGACATATGTATAAACCCATTAAACCATCACCATAATCAAGATAATATTACTAATTGATCCTGATGAATCTTAAGGGAATTCCTCTCCCTGTGTTCCCAGCTGGATAATTGTCTCCCCAGAGAGAGATGAAGTTGTGCTGTAGCATTACAAAACCCCAGATCTCAGTGGTTTATTTTTTGCTCACGCTATGTCTATTTTGGGAGGCTGGGCACTGTTCTGCATCCCTACTATCCCCATTTTGGGATCTAGAATATCAAAACAGTAACCCCCTGGAACATTGCAAGTAACAATGGATGGAAAAACAAGAAGAAAATGTGGAAAATAAGCACTGACTTTTTAAATTTCCACCTTCCACCTGCAAATAAAAACTATCTCCAGTGCTCACATTTCATTGCCGAAGAAATCATAAAAGTATGACTGAATTCAATGCAGTAGAGAAATACAATCTCACCAATGTTTCCAGAGAGAGAACAAAACGTTTATGTAAAGCCCCATTGCCTACCTACAACTATATTTTAATAGCTCACACTTTAGGAAATATATTTAAAAAGGAGATAGCTTCTTGCTGTGAATGACTCCATTTGGCCTGTAATTTATTTATTTATTTTTTCAACTTTTATTTTAGATTCAGGAAGGACATGTGCAAGTTTGTTTCAAAGGTCTATTAAGTTATGCTGAAATTTGATGTACAAATAAATCTGTCACTCAGGTAGTGAACATAGCACCCAAGAGATGGTTTTTCAACTCTTATTGCCCTCCCTCTCTCCTGCTTTTGTATTCCCGTTTCTATTGTTCCCATATTTATGTACATGTGTACCCAATGTTCAGTGAGAACAGGCAGTATTTGGTTGTCTGTTTTTGTTTCAGTTTGCTTGGTATAATTGTTGCCAGCAGCATTCATGTTGCTGCAAAGGACATGATTTGCTTCCTTTTTATGGCTGCATAGTATTCAGTGATATATATATACCACATTCTCTTGATCCAACCCTCTCCTGATGGACACCTAGGTTGATTACACATCTTTGTTCTTGTACATAACACTGTGATGAACATAAGCATGCATGTGTTCTTTTGGTAGAACGATTTATCTTCATTTCAGTATCTAATCACTAATAGAATGGCGGGTCAAATGGTAGTTCAACTCTTAATTCTTTGAGCCATGGCTGAACTACTGTCCTCAGTGGCTGAACTAATTTACCTTTCAACAAACAGGGTATAAGTGCTCATTTTCTCCACAGGCTTGTCAACATCTGTTACTTTTTAAACTTTTTAACAGAAGCCATTTTGACTAGTGTGAGATGGTATTATGGTTTTGATTTGCATTTCTTTGATGACTAGTGATGATGAACATTTTTCATGTTTTTTGGCCACTTGTATGTCTTCTTTTGAGAAGTATCTCTTCATGTCCTTTACCTATTTGTAATGGGGTTGTTATTTTGCTTGTTGATTTGTTGAAGTTCCTTAGAGATTCTGGATATTACACCTTTGTTGGATGCAGTTTGTGAACATTTTCTCCCTTCTGTAGGTTGTCTAAGTCCTTGAAAGTTTCTCTTGCTGTGAAGAACCCCTTTAGTTTAATTAGTTCCCACTTGTCAATTTTTGTTTCTGTTGCCATTGTTTTTGAGTACTTAGCCATGAATTCTTTGCCACAGTTGATATTGAGAAGGGTATTTGCTAGGTTTTCTTCTAGAATTGTTATAGTTTAACATCTTATATGTAAGTCTTTAACCCATCTTGAGTTAATTTTTGTATACAGTATAAAGAAGTAGTCCAGTTTCAATCTTCTGCATATGGCTACCCAGTTACCCAGCATCATTTATTGAATATTTTCATCAACTTTGTCAAAGTTCAGATGATTGGAGGTTTGTGCCTTTATTTCTGGGTTTTCTATTCTGTCGTATTGGCCTATGTGTTGTTCGTGTACCAGTACTATGCTGTTTTGGTTTTTGTAGTCTTATAGTTTGAAGTTGGCTAATGTGATGCCTCTAGCTTTGTTCTTTTTGCTTACGTTTGCTTTGGCTATTTGGGCTCTTTTTTGTTCTCTATGAATTTTTTGATAGTTTTTTCCAGTTCTGTGAAAAATGACATTGGTAGTTTGATAGAAATAGGATTGAATCTGTAGATTGATTTGGCAGTATGGTCATTTTAATAATATGGATTCTTCTAATCCATTAGCATAAAGTGTTTAATCATAAAATAAATGTTTTTTCTTCATTTCTTTGTGTCACCTACAATTGTTTTCAGCAGTATTTTGTAGTACTCCTTTTAGAAATCTTTCACCTCCATGGTTACATGTATTTCTTGGTATTTTATTCTTTTTCTGGCTATAGTTAATGGGATTGCATTCTTCATTTGGCTCTCAGCTTGAACATATTGGTGTATAAAAATCCTACTGATTTTTGTGCATTAATTTTTGTATCCTCAAACTTTATTGAAGTTGTTTATCAGTTCTATTAATAGAAACCTTTTGGCAGTTTTTAGAGTTTTCTTTATATAGAATCATATTGTCAGAAAAGAGAGATACTTTGATTTATTTTTCTATTTGGATGCCTTTTGTTTATTTCTATTGCCCGATTACTCATATGGGACTTCCAGTACTGTGTTAAATAGGAGTGGTGAGAGTGGATATTCTTGTCTTTTTCTACTTCTCAAGGAGAATGGTTCCAGCCTTTGCGCATTCAGTATAATGTTGGCTGTGGGCTTGACATAGACGGCACTTGTTATTTTTAGATATGTGCCTTCAATGCCTTGAGAGTTTCTTGAGGGTTTTTAACATGAAGAAATGTTGGATTTTATAGAATCTTTTTCTGCATCTATTGAGATGATGATGTGGCTTTGTTTTTAATTCTGTTTATGTCGTGAATCACATTTGTTGATTTGCACATGTTGAGCCAACATTGTATCCCAGGAATAAAGCAGAATTGATCATGGTAAATTAGCTTTTGATGTGCTCCTGAATTTGGTTTGCTAGTATTTTGTTAAGAATTTTTGCATCTAGGCTTATCAAGGATATTGGCCTGAACTTTTCTTTTCCGTTGTGTCTCTGCCAGATTTTTGAATGAGGATAATGCTTGCTTCATAGAATGAGTCAGGGAGGAGTCCCTCCTCCTCAATTTTTTGGAATAGTTTCAGTAGTATTAGAAGCAGCTCTTTTTTATATAGTCTGGTAGAACTTGGCTGTGAATTCATGTAGTCTGGGGCATTAATGGTTGGTAGGTTTTTGTTATTGATTCAATTTCTGAACTTGTTATTGGCCTGTTTTGGTTTTCAATTTTCTCCTAGTTAAATCTTGGGAGGTTGTGTGGTTCCAGGTATTTATCTATTTCCTCTAGATTTCCTAATCTGTGTGTATAAAGATGTTCATAATAGTCTCTGAGGATCTTTTGTATCTATGTGTGATTAGTTGTAGTGTCATTTTTTTCATTCCAGGTTGTGCTTATTTGGATCTTCTCTCTTTTTTTGTTAATCTAGCTAGAAGCCTAACAATCTTGTTTATAGTTCCAAGGAACTAACTTTTGGTTTAGTTGATCTTTTGTGTAGATTTTTGAGTCTCAATTTTGTTCACTTCTCCTGATTTCGGTTATTTCTTTTCTTCTGCTAGTTTTTCTTCTGCTTAGTTTGTTCTTGTTTTTCTAGTTCCTCCAGGTGCAATGTTAGATTGTTAATTTGAGATCTTTCTAACTTCCTGATGTAAATGTTGGGTGCTATAAATTTTCCTCTTAACCTTGCCTTAGTTACATTCCAAAGATTTTGGTATGTTGTGTCTCAATTTTCATTAATTTCAAAGAACTTTTAAATTTTTGCCTAATTTTATTTTTTACCCAAGTCATTTAGAAGCATGTCATTTAATTTCCATGTAACTATGTGAACCCTGGAGATATTCCTGGTATTGATTTCTATTTTATTGAACTGTGGTCCAAGAAGGTGCTTGGTATGATCTTGATTTTTTTAAATTTGTTGTGACTCGCTTATGGCCAAGCATGTGGTCAATTTAGATTATGTTCTGTGTGCAGATGAGAAGAATGTATATTCTGTGGTTGTTAGTTTCAGTATTCTGTACATGTTTATTAGGTCCAATTGGTCAAGTATCAAGTTTAAGTTCAGAATTCTTTTTGTTAGTTTTCTGCCTTGATGATCTCTCTAACACTGTTAGTGGGGTATTGAGGTCTCCCATTATTATTGTGTGGCTATCTAAGTCTTTTTGTAGGTCTAGAAGAATTTGTTTTTGAATCTAGGTGCTCCAGGGTTGGGTGTATACATATTTAGGATAATTAAATTGTCTCGTTGAATTGAACCCATTGACATTATGTAATGCCCTCCTTTGTCCTTTTTTACTTTTATTGCTTTAATGTCTATTTTATCTGATATAAGAATAGCCACCCCTTCTCTCTTTTGTTTTCCATTTGCAAGATGGGTCTTTCTTCATCCTTTAACTTTGAGCTTGTGTGTGTTGTTACATGTGAGCTGGGTCTCTTTAAGATAGCCGACAGTTGGGTCTGAATTTTTCTTTTAACTTGCCACTCTATGCCTTTTTAGTGGGGCATTTAGGCCATTTACATTGAAGGTTTATATTGATATGTGAAACTTTGATCCTATTGTCATGTTGTTATCTGGTTATCTGGTTATCTTGTAACTTGATTGTGTAGTTCCTTTATAGTGTCTGTGGGCTATGTACTTAAGTGTGTTTTTGTGGTGGCAGGTATTGTTCTTTCATTTCCATGTGTAAGCACTCCCTTAAGGGCCTCTTGCAATGGTGTTCTAGTAGTAATGAGTTCCCTTAGCCATTCCTTCTCCAAAAAGGATTTTATTTCTTCTTCGCTTATGAAACCTATGAGAAATATTGGCCAGACATTAATTAAATTCCTGGTTGGAATTTTTTAAATTATGCTAAAAATAGGTCCTATCTCTTCTGGCTTGTAAAGTTTCTGCTGAGAGGTCTACTGCTAGCCTGATGGGATTCCCTTTTTAAGTGACCTGAACCTTTTCTTTACTTGCCTTTACTTTTTTTTTCATGTTGACCTTGGGAAAGACTGATGATTATAAATCTTGGGAATGGTTGTATTGTATAGTACCTAGCAGGGATTCTCTAAATTTATTAAATTTACATGTCTACCTCTCTAGTGAGATTGAGAAAATTTTTGTAGACTATAGCCTCAAATATGTTTTGCAAAGTGCTTCCTCTCTCCTTCTCTCTCAGGCCTGCCAATGAGTCATAGGTTTGGTCTCTACATAATTCTGTATCTCTCAGAGGCTTCGTTCATTAAAAACATTTTTTTTTTATTTTTGCCTGACCGAGTTGATTAGAAGGACTTGTCTTTGAGCTCTGAGATTTTTGCTCAGCTTGATCTATTCTGTTGTTAATGTTTCCAACTATGACTTGAAATTTCTATAGTGAATTTTTCAATTTAAGAAGTTCTTTCTTAACATGGCTGTGTCGCCTTTCAGCTCTTGGGTTGTTTTACAGGCTTCCTTGAATTGGGTTTCAACTGTCTCCGGGATCTTATTGAGCTTCCTTGCCATCCAGATTCTGTATACTATGTCTGTCACTTTAACTGTTTTAATTTGTTTAAGAGCCATTGCTGGGGAGCTAGTGTGATCATTCGAAAGTAAGGAGACACCCTGGTTTTTGAGTTGCCAGAGTTATCTTGCCCTGATTCTTTCTCATCTGAAAGGGCTGGGATGTTGCTTTATCTTTTTGAATTTGCTGTTACTTGGATGCAAATTTTTGTTTTTATATTAAATTGAGTATAGTTGATTGGCTTCATTTCTGAGTGTTTTCAGTGAGTTAAGGCTATGTTTGGAATCTTCATTTGTGGCTACATTCCTGCATTAGGTTTCACAGGCAATGTATACAGGAAGGATCTTGGTGGTGGTGTAATTCAAGCTGTGATCCAGTGGATGGTGCTTAAAAGTAATGGCTGGCACATAGATTCTCGCTCAGCTCCAAAGTTCTGCATTTCAGTGCATACTCAGCATTGCTCTGCATTTGGGGAGATAATAGGGTGCAACGACCCCCTTGCCAGGTCCATTCCCAGGCCTTATGGGATCACCCTCCAATTGCTGGCACTACCTCTGTGTTTCCTTAGCCCCAAGGGTGTACTAGCCAGCTGTGTTCCCCTCCCTGAGACCAGCCCAAGCTGAAATGTAGATTGCCAGGAGACCTGCAGCACTCCAGAGGCATGCTGGTCCTCTATGCTTAGCAGAATCAGAGCAGATTGTGGTATGTCTGCAGGCCATCTGTTGATGCAGTAATTCAAGGGGAGGGAATCTCCAGGAGGGACGGCGTTGCCATGGGCATGTAGCTGGTGTGGCACCCACAGCCCATGGTTTTTGTTTTGCTGAGCAGACAGCTGTGGGGACTACTTAACTAACTCTCCCTTGACCAGGTCTCCTTCTGGTGGCTGCCCCAGAATCTGGTCTGACCTGCTAGTTTTTTCCAAGCCTTCTGCACCCAGATTGCTGAGTTATTAGGTGTTCCAGGCTGTGGTGCTCCCTTAGGGACAGGTTGTGGCTAGCAGGCAGGTCACATTCTTCCTAGACTGGCCTTGTAGAGGGAGGCATACCCAGCTACCACACCAGTCCATAAACTTGCATCTCACTCTTCTCAGTGTTCTGAGAGTAGGGACTCTTCCTCCTCTCAAGTGCCAGACACAGATTTCAGCTCAGCACTCCTGAGCTCTAACCCTTGGTGTTAGGACTGGGCTGTCAGCTTTTGTCCCCTGGATCCTCAGAGTCAGTCTGTGCTATAAGGGCTGATGTGCTCTCGGGATACCAGCAAAGTACTCAGGCTGGGCAGTCGATGCTGTACTGTCTATATGTTCTTGCAGGAGTGTTCAGGCAGGAGCCTTAGACAGGTGGGTACACAGAGCCAATGTGTCCCAGTCTTGCAGGAAAGACAGCCCTACTCTCTCCTGGCCCAGAGTTAGTGGTTAGAGTCAGTTCAAGGAAGATGGAGAGCCTTAGGGGATGGGCACTCATGGCCACATTTTGCTACAACAGCCCCATGTGCAAAACTCCCTGGGCTACGTGCAGGTTCCAGCTCCATCTCTGCCTACTCTCTGGGTATAGATCCTGCTGCCAATTCAAATGTCTATGGAAGTCATGGGATCTCCTGCAGTGAAGATCCCCGAGGTCTAAAAGAGAATAAGTTGCCCTGCCATCGCTTCACTCAGCCTTCCTTAAGAGCTGCTTAGGATCAGGAGCCAGTTCTGGTGCTCAGCGACCCCGTGCAGGGCTCCCAGCTTCCTTCCTCTTTAGCCTCAGAGTCTGTGTCACTTCTCTGTTGGCTCTCAGAGTTTTCTCTTACAACATCTGTTCACAATATGTTAGTTTACTCAATATTTTTGTCTCTCTTAGTGGAAGAGGTGCTTCCTGGCTGCATCTAGTCAGCCATCTTGTGCTGAATCTGGTCTGTAATTTAAATCTCTGAGCTTTCAAGAGTCAAGAAGGCACGACTGTCTTTGTGGAAAAAAGAAGAAAAGATACAGGGCAAAATAAATAATTGATGTATTAATGCATTCTCCAGTCACACATGCGTACTCCAAGGGGAGAATATGATTTGACTTTTAATGTCATATAAACAACTAATGATCATAACAATGTCACTGCAAGAGGACTTATTTTTATCTTACGTTTTTACATTGGTATTTATTACCATAGGTAAAAAACCTAACATATGAGTCTCTGTAAACACATAGACCACTGAAAATATGCTTTTGTTTATTATTGCATTGGCAACAAAAATATATTTTGAGCATCAACTCAATAATAGATCTTTTCTAGAAACTAAAGTTTAGTTCTAGAAACTAAACCAAGCAGATGAGATTCACTACCTTCATGGAGGCTTCAGCTGCCAGATGAGATTCACTACCTTCGTGGAGGCTTCAGGTGCAAGAAAGAGAAAATACAATAAATGCATAAAATGCCTGATACCTTAAATGATGAAAGAGCAATACAAATATAAAGCTATAAAAGAACAAATGTAAGAAAATTAATTAGGAAATGAGCTGTTCAGGAAATTCAAAGTATTTCTAATTCTGGCTAATATTGCACATTAACATTCCTTCGGCAGATATTGCTAATTATTCCCGGATATCTACTTCCTAAATTTTGCCAGGGCCTGTGGCTACCAGTTAGAAACCACTTTCCTTCGCAGCTAGGTGTGCTAGGTGGCTATGCTTTGTCCAGTGGCACATGGGTGACATGTGAGCAATTTCTGCATTGAGTTCTTAAAATCCTGCTGCTTGCCTCCAACCCACTCTCTTTTCTTTTCCTGCTTTTTCAAAATTGTTATAGATGGAGCAGTCCTTAGACCTGAAGAGACAACAAAATTCAGGGCCACTTGGCATCCACCAACTTCTCACCTCTGCATCATGTGAGACAAACAAACTTCTTTCTTATTTAAGTGTCTGTATTTGGAAATGTCTTTGTTAAAGCAGATTTGCAGCACACTAGCACACCTGCTGCCCCAGATTAATTATTATCAGTTCCCCATTTCATGCTTGAAAGTGTCCTGGATTAGACAACAAATGACATAATCACTATAGCTCTAAACACACAAGTGGTTATTACTATATCATGCACTCATTCTCCAACCTTGAGAAATATTTTGCTCCATAAGCATTATTATTCAACTATGCTATTTGTTATAAGAAGCATTCCCATATGTGAACACACTGAAGGGCAGAGAGTGATGTCTTTTTATGTTTTGAAAGTGAGTCCAGACAAACTCTACAAAGCCTTTGAAAATAAAGACAGGACAATAAAGCAGCTCAGCACAATCTTTATTCTTGAAAAACATGGCTTTCAGAGTTATGAAAAACATGGCTTTCAGAGTTATATTGCCATCTTAGAGTTGCAGTGGCTTTCAACTTGACGATTGCCTGCCTACTAAAAATTTTAAGAAAATCCAGTGACTCCATGGGGTCAGCAAGATCCTAGCCCAGAGTTAAAAGCAAGAGCAAGAAATGAGACCAACCACGGTCTTGGAGAAGGGTAGGACTTTTAAGAATTAGATTGCATTTGAGAATTAAAGTAACTTAGCACTTTAAACATTTCTTGAAGATCTTGGGTGGAAGGCAAAAATCATATGACACAACACTGCAAATCAGAACTGGAGACAAATGTTGAAAACGATTAAGGACCGTGGTCCTGTTCTTGCTTAGGAACATGTGGGCAAGACTACCATTCCTCCCTTCTCTCCAACAAGCAACACTTCACCACCACCTGCCTTGTGCCCATCAAGACTAACCTTATGCCTTTTATTCTTGTTTTCATCAAGCACTGGGAATCCCATATAAATCTTCAGTTTCATTTTCAATTTCTTTCCATGCATTCTCTTTTCTTTGTCCTTCTACTGCCAATGTCCAGCTCCCAAAAGCTTTATCAGTGTGCTGGAACTGAGGGTCATGTATGAGCAAAACCTCCTACATTCTCAGTCTCTGTGCTGAGTGTTAATTTTACCTTCTTGCTGACACCTGATTTCCATTTAAGAATGCTGCTTCCTTACAGTTCTCTCAGTTGGTGACTTTTTTTTCCATATTCTTATTTATACCTAGAGGTGTGTAAGGGTTCTCTTTTATATTTATGATTGTTTTCAGATATCTCCTTCCTTTTTTCCTAAAAAAATCCTCAGATTGGAAGTTTTAACCATTAGACTACATTAACCATTACCCAACCTTTTCTGGGTTATTTCATATTTTAACTCCCTGGAGATTTTATCACCCAATTTAAAATTACTTCTAAATTCTCTAAAATTACTTCTCTAAATTCTTGGTAAATTAAATATATCTGTGAGTGATTCTTCTAATTCCTTGGTCTCTCAATTCTTTTACTTCCTTTGCTCCAGAGATGTTGGTCCAAGATTTTGTTCCAATGCATAGTAATTCACTCTCACTGGTATTTCCTGGGTCTTAATACTAATAAATGTATCCCTCCATAATATAATTTAGCTACCCCATTCAACAAGTAACATCTATCTTTGTAATATGCCTAATACAGGATTTCTTTAACTACAACTGCAGTCCTTTGAGCCTACCAACTTTTTAGTCTTTTTCATTCTCCTCATGTCCTTCTTCCTACTTTAATGAGCTTCATTATATTCTATGATTAATTATTATAATATTTCCTTTGTATACATGCTCAATTTCCTTCTACCTCACTCTACTTGTTACTCTTAGCTTGTACAGCTTCAATCTTGATTAAATCAGATTTTCTACTTATTTGGCACAGAGAAATTATTTGAAAGAACACACAATGTATTACATGGTCTTACATTTTCATGACCACTATCTTAGTTTGGTTAAGCTGTTCTAACAAAATACTATAAACTAGGTGGCTTAAAATTAACAAAAATGTATGTCTTACAGTTCTGAAGACTGGAAAGTCCAAGATCAAGGCCAACTCAGAGTCTGATGAGGAACTCCTTTCTGGCTCATAGACAATGCTTCCTTGCTGTTTCCTTACATGGTGGATGGGTCTAGCTAGCTCTCTGGGGTATCTTTTACCTCAGGCACTCATTCTATTTGTGAAGGTTCCACCTTCATAACCGAATTACTGCCCTATCTCTTAATACCGTCACCTTAGGGTTTAGGATTGCAACATATAAGTCTGGGGGGACATAAGCATTTAGACCATAGCAACAAATAGTATCAGATAGTCCCTTAGTGCTTTCCCAAAGTAAGCACACTATGGTCCCAAGAGCCAAATCTAATCCATTGTTTGATTTTCTTTTTAAGTTTTGTTAAAACATAGCCACACCCATTTGTATATGTATCTATGGCTGCTTTTGCTGTTATGCAGGGCTGAGTAGTTGTGAAAAAAACCAGATGGGCACAAAGCATAAAATAAAATATTTATATTTATTATCTGATCCTTCACAGAAAGTTTGCTGACCTCTTTTCTTATTTATTCAGTCTCTCATTCTCCTGGAGGACAATTTTTAGCCTTGTGTATCTTCTTCTTAACTTTCCCACCATACTTTCTGAATTCTCACTTTCAACTGATGCTTTTGATTCAATTTTATTTAGTAAAAAAGAAGCAGTAAACATGGAAGATCTACATTACCACCATTTCTCTTTCTGCCTACTACTATGTATGTTAGTTTAATTGACACTTTTTGTTTCAATTGACAATTTTCTATTTGTTATTACAGAGAAACATGCATGCTGGCATTTGCTCTAAATCCACTTTCCTCTAGTCTACTCAAGATTGTCACTCTAGCAAATTAATTATTTACTCTACTGAGTTATCCATTTTCCCATCTTTACTGGATCATTCACTTTAGCATACAAACATGCTGCAAATTATTTCATGTTCAAAATTTCTTCATCTGACTTTCATCTAGTAACCTGCTTTCCAGTCCTTGTTACAGAAAACCTTCTCAAAAGGGCTGTCACCATCTCTATATTCTCTTCTTGAGCTCATTTCTCTCAGACTTCTCCCATTCTCAGTCAATGGGAACTCAACTGAGTGAGAATGAAAATTTTCTTATCGGGATTACTCAGGACCTCCATCTGCTAAATCCAGTGGTCAATTTTAAGTTTTTCTTATACCTGATCTACTAGCAGCATATAATAGAGTGAGTCCCTCCATTTTTCTGCAAAGTCTTTCTTAAGCAGGCTTCTAGAACACCATACTCTCTGATGACTTTCTTCTTACTTGACCAGCCACTTCTCTTCCTCTCCCTGACTGCTCCACTTTAATGCGACTCAAACATACTTCACAGAGCTCCGTACTCTCTCTTTGGGTCACCTCATCCACTCTCATAGCTTTTGGTACCATCTCTACCTGATAACTCCCAGACCGCTCATCTGAAGTCCAGATAGAGACAACCAACTATCTAAAGGTTTAAAGGAAACTTCAAATGTTGCATGTCCAAAATCAAACCCCTGACACTCATCTACCAAAATGTGATTCTGCCAAGAATCTTACCTATCCTAGACAGTGGCATCTCCTCCCACCTGGTTTCTGTGGCCATAAAGGCTTCATTCATCTGGGTCCTTTTATATCTTATTCTTTCTTATGGCAGAAGCTAAGTCCTTACAGTGGACTGCAAGGTTCTAGGATTTGACTCTGATCCCCTCTGTAAGTCACCTCTAACTATTTTTCCCTTGCTCTATTTGTCCCAACTCTATAGCTCTTGATTTGAACTTCTAGGAATGTTTTGACCTCAGGGCCATACTTATTTCTCCTTCCTATATCCTACTGACACTTCATAACTGGTATTTCTGCTTTATTTTTCTTCTTATTTTTAACACATTCTGGTGTAGTTTGTTTTAATAATATATTTTTCTCCCTCCACCCACTAGAATGTAAACTTTATAAAATAAGAATTTTAACATTTTGTTTTTGTCATTTTTTTCAGTGAATTATCTCCTGCACTTGGAATAGTCTCTGTAGAAAGCTTTCATGCCATATTTCTTAAATTAAAAAATGCATTAACATTCATTAAAGACTGCAAAAGTCAGCAGGCATAAAAAAATGATGGAGGAGAGAGAATAAGATGGTTTTCTCAAAAAGACATCCTTTCTGGTCTGACCCTGAAATGCTAGTAAATACAATTAGTCACAAGGTTGTGTGTGCATATTTACTAATTTATATTCTGTTTAATAAAGTATAAGCTGTCAGTTCTGAAAGCTTTTGTTATGGGACCGGAAGTGGAAAATCGGCTGCCTTGCATATTTTCCTTCTTGTGAGTCGAGTTTGGGAGAAATCCCTTATGGTTACACTGAATATGTTCTATTAGGTTGACTTGGCTTACAGAGTAGTTTACAGGCTTTTAATTCGCATTCACTATGTCTAATCCAACATATGTCTAAGCTATAAAATGTTCCATTTTTCCCCAGGAAAAAAATGGATTATCGATCATGCATCTGCTTGGGATGGTCCAGGTTGCCTTTGAAAAAATCATGTAAGTAAAGCCCTCACTATCACAGGAAGAGTCAAATGATACAAAACAACAGCTTCTATCAATCTGTGGTATGAAGGTGTTCATTGAAATAATCAATCTCTGAACACTATTTTAGTGGATGGACAAGAGACACAGCCCAAGAGTTTACAAGATTGCCATTTTAGTGCAATTGATTCATTCACTTACTGAATTCATTTCCACTCAATTCTCCAACTAAAATTTTTTGTGCGTCTACTACATGCCAATCCACTGTATAAGGAATTGTGGAATTAATAGGATATATATATCCTATTGCTTCTGTCCCTCTGGAGAACCCTGACTAACACACTATAGAAACCAAAAATTCCTGTCTTCCTATTCCACCCATCTGATGCCCATCCACACAATGCCAGAAAACAATTCTCTGGTTTTGAGGCTTTCGGACTTGGACTAAGCCGTGCTACTGGCTTCTCTCTTTCCCCAGCTTGCAGGCAGCTTATCGTGGGACTTTGCCTTGTAATCATGTGATGGGATGTGGTAATAAATAAGACTTCATAATGAGTCACCATTATTATGGAGTTTAAATTCTATTAGATGAAAATATAATATGCTAACAAAAAGAAAATGTCAAATAGCAATTGTAATTTTGATGTACATAAAATGGTGATGTGATTGATTGGAGAGCTACTATAGAGTGTTTCAGTGAGTCCTCATAACGATGAGTTCTAATGACAAGATGAGGCCTAAATGATCAGGAGAGAAATAAGAAGGTATTGGAAAGGATTATTCCTAGCAAAAGGAACCATCAGTCCCTTTGGACTAGGTACTAAGACTTCCAAGCAGGAATAAATACTAAATGTACAGGTGTGTACATTTATGACCAAATAATAGATTAGCCACTACAAATCTCCTCCTAAAGAAAACTTCATTAAATATATATTAATAAAGCAGACAATTACTATAGAAACATGGGCAATGCAGGCCAATAGAAAGTAGTTAAACAAAAACCATATATATTACCACCACCAAAAGATAAGTTACAATGTTCTTTTTTTTTTTTTTTTTTGAGATGGAGTCTCACTCTATTGCCCAGGCTGGAGTGCAGTGGTACAATCTCAGCTCACTGCAAGCTCTGCCTCCTGGGGTCATGCCATTCTCCTGCCTCAGCCTCACGAGTAGTTGGGACTACAGGTGCCCGCCACCACGCCCGGCTAATTTTTTGTATTTTTAGTAGAGACAGGGTTTCACTGTGTTAGCCAGGATGGTCTCGATCTCCTGACCACATGATCTGCCTGCCTCGGCCTCTCAAAGTGCTGGAATTACAGGCGTGAGCCACCACGCCCAGCCAAGTTACAATTTTCTATGAATATGTAATGTGTGCATTTTTATTTATATAATGTGATGAGCATACCTTATTAAATGTATTGTCTCTCTCTCTCTTTTTTTTTTCTTTTTGAGACAGGCTCTTGTTCTGTTGTCCAGGCTCGAGTGCAGTGGTCTGATCATGGGTAAAGCCCTAAGGCCTCTTCCTGCCTCGGCCGCCTGAGTAGCAGGGACTACAGGCATGCACCACCAAGCCTGGCTATTTTTATTTTTGTAGACACGGGTTCTCAGTATGTTGTCCAGCCTGGTCTCAAATGTTATCCAGCCTGGTCTTGAATTCCTAGGCTCAAGTGATCCATCCCCCTTGGCCTCCCAAAGATCTGGGATTACAGGCATGAGCCACTGTGCCTGGCCATATTATATGGATTCTCTAAGAGGAAAACTCCCATTAACCAGATTCCAAGTTCGGTGTTTATGATTATGACGGACTTAGCCAGTAATTCTGGAATTCTGACAGTGGTCTACCAACTTGTATCCTACAATCATGGCAATATTTTTCAATTTTGATTTAATTTAATTTTTGTTCATATTAAACACTTACCTTATGCAAATGTCATAACTATATGTGATTATTAATATTAGGTGTCCAATTTGACTGGATTGAGCGATGCCTGGATAGCTGGTGAAGTAGTTTGTGGGGGTGTCTCTGAGGATGTTCCCAGTGGACACTGACTTTTGAATCAGTGGACTAGAAGAGAAATACCCACGCTCAGTGTGAGTGGACACCATCCAACCAGCTTCCAGTGTGACTGGAACAAAGCAGGCAGAAGAAGGGGAGTAATTAAATTGCCTGCTGAGTCTGCTTGCTTTTTTCTTCCCATGCCATGCCAGATGCTTGGCTTGCTTTCCTCCTGCCCTTGGACATTAGACTCCAAGTACTTTGGCCTTTGGACTCTGGGACTAGCATCAGCAACCTCCCAGGGGCTCTCAGGCCTTCAGCCTCAGGGTAAGGACCGCACTGTCAGCTTCCCTAGTTTTGAAACTTTTGGACTCGGACGGAGCTATGCTACCAGCTTCCTTCTTTCCCCATTTTGCAGATGGCTTATTGTGGGACTTTGCCTTGTAATCAGGTGAACCAATTCTTCCTAATAAACCCCCTTATATAAATGAGAATTTGTACAAAAACTAAAACATGATACTCATATTTAAGACGTAGTGCATCTAATTTTCATATCTATAGTGCACAATGTAAAAAGATGCACATGCCGTCATTACCAAAGCTATTAGGATATTGTCTTCAGCCATTTGAAACTTTCTTTTTTAAACAAAAATTTCAAACTTATTCTAGGCTAATGCTTAGGTCAGCTGGAAACAAACTACATAAAAACTCAGGGTAGAGATTCATCTAACATGGATTCTCCCTTTGCAGGTTCTCTCATTTCAGCAAGTAGAAAGCAAAAGAAACTTGTTTGAACTGCTTTGTTGTTGTTGTTGTTGCCATTGTTGTTATTTGCTTAATGGGAATTCTTTAGCAAAAGATCTAATCAGTTATTCGTACTGATTGGTTAATTGGAATGCATTTAACCAAGTGCAAAACATCTGGTCAATTTGACTCTATTATTTAAGCTGCCAATTTTATTTTAAAGAAAGAAAACTGATAGCCACACTTGCATCATTACAGCCCCAAATTCCTAAATGGTTTGAATTACTCCCTTTCCTCTTTTGGTGAGAATGTCTGGTAGACTTAGCAACCAGCATAAGTATTCAAGTTCAATTATCTAAATAGAAATGGTACCCCAAATTTGTGTACTTCAAACTAAAACAAAGCCAGCAAGGACAAGAAAACATGTTGCTAAAAATAGTTGACTCTGTTCTGATCTCTCAAAGCAGATGGACCGGACCATGGTAAGGGTGGGGAGAGCAACCTAGGCAACAGGCTTGCTCCATGATTGCTTTAATCCCAGCCCAGCTAACACATTACCTCAGAAGAAAGAGCCTCTTTCTCTGCCCATTCTAAGACTTATTTCACATAGTCATTCTGACTAGTGAACACCGAACAATGCAATTTGCAATTACATGAAGTATTAACCACATTGATCTCACTAGTATCGGTGGGAGAAGTGCCCAGACATTCTCAAATGCATGCTTGAACTGATCATCAAAAATCTCTACTTCCTTTGTTACAGCATTTTTTAAAAAGCTTAAATGTGAATGTAAAAATGCATTTTTGTCAGTTTCACACTTCATTATTTCACTCTGGACAAGAGTAATACCAGTAGCTGCAAGTAATTTTACATGGTTAATCTCCCCTGTTACCTTCATTTGATAGAAGATGGTACCTAGGCTTGGAGGGGCTAAGTAAGTAACTTGTGCAAGGTTAGAGAGCTACTAGCTGATGGAACTGAATTCAAGCTTGTGTCATCCAACTCCACAGCAAGTGTGATTAGCTGCTGTATTAGAATGTTCATGAGAATAGAGATCTGAAAACACCAGTAATAATTTCAAGAGTGTGACGATGCTTAGAAATATATTTCATTAATTTACATTAAATAATTAGAGGTTAAGCATTCATTATCCAAAAAGCTTGGGACTAAAAGTGTTTTAGATTTTGGACGTTTTCTGGTTTTGGAATATTTTCGTGTACATAATGAGATATCTTGGGGATGAAACGCAAACGTGAATTCATTTATGATGTTTCATATATACCATATACACACAGCATGAAGGTAATTTTATACAATATTTTAAATAATTTTGGGCATGAAACAAAGTTTGTGTACATTAAATCATCAGAAAGCAAAGGTGTTGCTAAGCTGCCAACGTGGACGATTGGTTGTTTAAAATCATCAGAAAGCAAAGGTGTCGCTAAGCTGCCAATGTGGACGATTGGTTGTTTAGCATCACCATCATTCCTGACTTGCAATTTGTATGCTCCTGATGAGCAATCATTTTCTTACATTTATTCACATATAAGTACTTAACAGCAAAAATATGACATACTGTTATTATGGCAAAAAATGTGTTCAAGGTGACTAAGCAGTACATTAGCATCACCAGAATACCTGTATCAGCTGTTAAACAATAGCAACAATAAATGGGAGGCTGGAGCCAAGATGGCCGAATAGGAACAGCTCCAGTCTACAGCTCCCAGCATGAGGGACGCAGAAGACGGGTGATTTCTGCATTTCCATCTGAGGTACCAGGTTCATCTCACTAGGGAGTGCCAGACAGTGGGCGCAGGACAGGGGGTGCAGCGCACCGTGCGTGAGCTGAAGCAGGGCTAGGCATTGCCTCACTCGGGAAGCGCAAGGGGTCAGGGGAGTTCCCTTTCCTAGTCAAAGAAAGGGGTGACAGACGGCACCTGGAAAATCGGGTCACTCCCACCCTAATACTGTGCTTTTCTGACAGGCTTAAAAAACAGCACACCAGGAGATTATATCCCACACCTGGCTCGGAGGGTCCTACGCCCACGGAGTCTCGCTGATTGCTAGCACAGCAGTCTGAGATCAAACTGCAAGGCGGCAGCGAGGCTGGGGGAGGGGCGCCTGCCATTGCCCAGGCTTGATTAGGTAAACAAAGCAGCCTGGAAGCTCGAACTGGGTGGAGCCCATCACAGCTCAAGGAGGCCTGCCTGCTTCTGTAGGCTCCACCTCTGGCGACAGGGCACAGACAAGCAAAAAGCAGTAACCTCTGCAGACTTAAATGTCCCTGACAGCTTTGAAGAGAGCAGTGGTTCTCCCAGCACGCAGCTGGAGATCTGAGAATGGGCAGACTGCCTCCCCTAGTGGGTCCCTGACCCCTGACCCCCGAGCAGCCTAACTAGGAGGCACCCCCCAGTAGGGGCAGACTGACACCTCACATGGCCGGGTACTCCTCTGAGACAAAACTTCCAGAGGAACGATCAGACAGCAGCATTCCCGGTTCACGAAAATCTGCTGTTCTGCAGCCACCACTGCCGGTGCCCAGGCAAACAGGTTCTGGAGTGGACCTCTAGCAAACTCCAACAGACCTGCAGCTGAGAGTCCTGTCTGTTTGTTAGAAGGAAAACTAACAAACAGAAAGGACATCCACACCAAAAACCCATCTGTACATCACCATCATCAAAAGTAGATAAAACCACAAAGATGGGGAAAAAACAGAGCAGAAAAACTGGAAACTCTAAAAAGCAGAGTGCCTCTCCTACTCCAAAGGAACGCAGCTCCTCACCAGCAACGGAACAAAGCTGGATGGAGAATGACTTTGACGAGTTGAGAGAAGAAGGCTTCAGATGATCAAACTACTCCGAGCTACAGGAGGAAATTCAAACCAAAGGCAAAGAAGCTGAAAACTTTGAAAAAAATTTAGAAGAATGTATAACTAGAATAACCAACACAGAGAAGTGCTTAAAGGAGCTGATGGAGCTGAAAGCCAAGCCTCGAGAACTACGTGAAGAATGCAGAAGCCTCAGGAGCCGATGCGATCAACTGGAAGAAAGGGTATCAGTGATGGAAGATGAAATGAATGAAATGAAGTGAGAAGGGAAGTTTAGAGAAAAAAGAATAAAAAGAAATGAACAAAGCCTCCAAGAAATATGGGACTATGTGAAAAGACCAAATCTATGTCTGATTGGTGTACCTGAAAGTGAAGGGGAGAATGGAACCAAGTTGGAAAACACTCTGCAGGATATTATCCAGGAGAACTTCCCCAATCTAGCAAGGCAGGCCAACGTTCAGATTCAGGAAATACAGAGAACGCCACAAAGATACTCCTCGAGAAGAGCAACTCCAAGACACATAATTGTCAGATTCACCAAAGTTGAAATGAAGGAAAAAATGTTAAGGGCAGCCAGAGAGAAAGGTCGAGTTACCCACAAAGGGAAGCCCATCAGACTAACAGCGGATCTCTTGGCAGAAACTCTACAAGCCAGAAGAGACTGGGGGCCAATATTCAACATTCTTAAAGAAAAGAATTTTCAACCCAGAATTTCATATCCAGCCAAACTAAGCTTCATAAGTGAAAGAGAAATAAAATACTTTAAGGACAAGCAAATGCTGAGAGATTTCATCACCACCAGGCCTGCCCTAAAAGAGCTCCTGAAGGAAGCACTAAACATGGAAAGGAACAACCGGTACCAGCCACTGCAAAATCATGCCAAATTGTAAAGACCATCGAGGCTAGGAGGAAACTGCATCAACTAACAAGCAAAATAACCAGCTAACATCATAATGACAGGATCAAATTTACACATAACAATATTAACTTTAAATGGACTAAATGCTCCAATTAAAAGACACAGACTGGCAAATTGGATAAAGAGTCAAGAGCCATCAGTGGGCTGTGTTCAGGAAACCCATCTCATGTGCAGAGACACACATAGGCTCAAAATAAAAGGATGGAGGAAGATCTCCCAAGCAAATGGAAAACAAAAAAAGGCAGGGGTCGCAATCCTACTCTCTGATAAAACAGACTTTAAACCAACAAAGATCAAAAGAGACAAAGAAAGCCATTACATAATGGTAAAGGGATCAATTCAACAAGAAGAGCTAACTATCCTAAATATATATGCACCCAATACAGGAGCACCCAGATTCATAAAGCAAGTCCTGAGTGACCTGCAAAGAGACTTAGACTCCCACACAATAATAATGGGAGACTTTAACACCCCACTGTCAACATTAGACAGATCAACGAGACAGAAAGTTAACAAGGATACCCAGGAATTGAACTCAGCTCTGCATCAGGCGGACCTAATAGACATCTACAGAACTCTCCATCCCAAATCAACAGAATATACATTTTTTCAGCACCACACCACACCTATTCCAAAATTGACCGCATAGTTGGAAGTAAAGCTCTCCTCAGCAAATGTAAAAGAACACAAATTAAACTGTCTCACAGACCACAGTGCAATCAAACTAGAACTCAGGATTAAGAAACTCGCTCAAAACCGCTCAACTACATGGAAACTGAACAACCTGCTCCTGAAAGACTACTGGGTGCATAACGAAATGAAGGCAGAAATAAAGATGTTCTTTGAAACCAACGAGAACAAAGACACAACATACCAGAATCTCTGGGACACATTCAAAG
Organism: Homo sapiens; assembly: GCF_000001405.40. Classification (NCBI taxonomy): domain Eukaryota; kingdom Metazoa; phylum Chordata; class Mammalia; order Primates; family Hominidae; genus Homo; species Homo sapiens. Next base: position 6,270,069 of record NC_000003.12, on the reverse strand, counting down.
CAGTGTGTAGAGGGAAATTTATAGCACTAAATGCCCACAAGAGAAAGCAGGAAAGATCCAAAATTGACACGCTAACATCACAATTAAAAGAACTAGAAAAGCAAGAGCAAACACATTCAAAAGCTAGCCCAAGGCAAGAAATAAATCAGAGCAGAACTGAAGGAAATAGAGACACAAAAAACCCTTCAAGGAATTAATGAATCCAGGAGCTGGTTTTTTGAAAGGATCAACAAAATAGATCGAGAGCAAGACTAATAAAGAAGAAAAGAGAGAAGAATCAAATAGACACAATACAAAATGATAAAGGGGATATCACCACCGATCCCACAGAAATACAAACTACCATCAGAGAATACTACAAACACCTCTACGCAAATAAACTAGAAAATCTAGAAGAAATGGTTAAATTCCTGGACACGTACACTCTCCCAAGACTAAACCAGGAAGAAGTTGAATCTCTGAAGAGACCAATAACAGGATCTGAAATTGTGGCAATAATCAATAGCTTACCAACCAAAAAGAGTCCAGGACCAGATGGATTCACAACCGAATTCTACCAGAGGTACAAGGAGGAACTGGTACCATTCCTTCTGAAACTATTCCAATCAATAGAAAAAGAGGGAATCCTCCCTAACTCACTTTATGAGGCCAGCATCATCCTGATACCAAAGCCGGGCAGAGACACAACCAAAAAAGAGAATTTTAGACCAATATCCTTGATGAACATTGATGCAAAAATCCTCAATTAAATACTGGCAAACCGAATCCAGCAGCACATCAAAAAGCTTATCCACCATGATCAAGTGGGCTTCATCCCTGGGATGCAAGCCTGGTTCAACATATGCAAATCAATAAACGTAATCCATCATATAAACAGAACCAAAGACAAAAACCACATGATTATCTCAATAGATGCAGAAAAGGCCTTTGACAAAATTCAACAGCCCTTCCTGCTAAAAACTCTCAATAAATTAAGTATTGATGGGACGTATCTCAAAATAATAAGAGCTATCTATGACAGACCCACAGCCAATATCATACTGAATGGGCAAAAACTGGAAGCATTCCCTTTGAAAACTGGCACAAGACAGGGATGCCCTCTCTCACCACTCCTACTCAACATAGTGTTAGAAGTTCTGGCCAGGGCTATTAGGCAGGAGAAGGAAATAAAGGATATTCAATTAGGAAAAGAGGAAGTCAAATTGTCCCTGTTTGCAGATGACATGACCGTATATCTAGAAAACCCCATTGTCTCAGCCCAAAATCTCCTTAAGCTGATAAGCAACTTCAGCAAAGTCTCAGGATACAAAATCAATGTACAAAAATCACAAGCATTCTTATACACCAATAACAGACTAACAGAGAGCCAAATCATGAGTGAACTCCCATTCACAATTGCTTCAAAGAGAATAAGATACCTAGGAATCCAACTTACAAGGGATGTGAAGGACCTCTTCAAGGAGAACTACAAACCACTGCTCAATGAAGTAAAAGAGGATACAAACAAATGGAAGAACATTCCATGCTCATGGGTAGGAAGAATCAATATACTGAAAATGGCCATACTGCCCAAGGTAATTTATAGATTCAATGCCATCCCCATCAGGCTACCAATGACTTTCTTCACAGAATTGGAAAAAACTACTTTAAAGTTCATATGGAACCAAAAAAGAGCCCGCATCGCCAAGTCAATCCTAAGCCAAAAGAACAAAGCTGGAGGCATCACACTACCTGACTTCAAACTATACTACAAGGCTACAGTAACCAAAACAGCATGGTACTGGTACCAAAACAGAGATATAGATCAATGGAACAGAACAGAGCCCTCAGAAATAATGCCACATATCTACCACTATCTGATCTTTGACAAACCTGAGAAAAACAAGCAATGGGGAAAGGATTCCCTATTTAATAAATGGTGCTGGGAAAACTGGCTAGCCCTATGTAGAAAGCTGAAACTGGATCCCTTCCTTACACCTTATACAAAAATTAATTCAAGATGGATTAAAGACTTAAATGTTAGACCTAAAACCATAAAAACCGTAAAAACCCTAGAAGAAAACCTAGGCATTACCATTCAGGACATAGGCATAGGCAAGGACTTCATGTCTAAAACACCAAAAGCAATGGCAACAAAAGCCAAAATTGACAAATGGGATCTAATTAAACTAAAGAGCTTCTGCACAGCAAAAGAAACTACCATCAGAGTGAACAGGCAACCTACAAAATGGGAGAAAATTTTCACAACCTACTCATCTGACAAAGGGCTAATATCCAGAATCTACAATGAACTCAAACAAATTTACAAGAAACAAACAACCCCATCAAAAAGTGGGCAAAGGTCATGAACAGACACTTCTCAAAAGAAGACATTTATGTAGCCAAAAAACATGAAAAAATGCTCACCATCACTGGCCATCAGAGAAATGCAAATCAAAACCACAATGAGATACCATCGCACTCCAGTTAGAACGGCAATCATTAAAAAGTCAGGAAACAACAGGTGCTGAAGAGGATGTGGAGAAATAGGAACACTTTTACACTGTTGGTGGGACTGTAAACTAGTTCAGCCATTGTGGAAGTCAGTGTGGCGATTCCTCAGGGATCTAGAACTAGAAATACCATTTGACCCAGCCATCCCATTACTGAGTATATACCCAAAGGACTATAAATCATGCTGCTATAAAGACACATGCAGACGTATGTTTACTGTGGCACTATTCACAATAGCAAAGACTTGAACCAACCCAAATGTCCAACAATGATAGACTGGATTAAGAAAATGTGGCACATATACACCATGGAATACTATGCAGCCATAAAAAATGATGAGTTCATGTCCTTTGTAGGGACATGGATGAAATTGGAAATCATCATTCTCAGTAAACTATCACAAGAACAAAAAACCAAACACCTCATGTTCTCACTCATAGGTGGGAATGGAACAATGAGAACACATGGACACAGGAAGGGGAACATCACACTCTGGGGACGGTTGTGGGGTGGGGGGAGGGATAGCTTTAGGAGATATACCTAATGCTACGTGATGAGTTAATGGGTGCAGCACACCAGCATGGCACATGTATACATATGTAACTGACCTGCACATTGTGCACATGTACCCTTAAACTTAAAGTTTAATAATAATAAAATAAAAACAGTAAATGATGGCAGGCTTTTTTCTCCACTTACAGTGTTTTTTTTTTTTTAATTTAAAAGGTTACTGTATACTTTATTAATATTATTTTTTTTTAGATGGGAAAACATCAGAAATAGCTGAGGGACCAGAAGGTGTATCACATAGGGATGAGGAGGCATTCTGCTGGATGGCTTTTTAAAATGCTTCTTCCAGACTCATCTGTCTTAGTAACAACAGTTTTGTCTTAGAAGACTCTCTGATTTTATAAACTGACATGACTTCTTATTCTGTTACAACTCCATGCTGCTCTAATCCTTCAACAGGTCCATCACACATTTTTCCTATGTTGTCTACAGGCACTTTTTCTGCAGTGTTAATAAAGTCATTTTTATCATTGCTATTATTACGATCATCTAGATTCAAAAGCATATTGGCTATGTCACCATCAGTGAATGAATGAACAACTGAAGTCTCATTATCAATGTTAAACAAGTTCTTCAATATTCACTTCTTCCAGCTTACTGATGGACTCTGAAGGTGTATTTTGTGCTTTTGTAAGGAGGTTAGACATCAGTTTTTTTCGTCACGTGATGTATGGAATTCTTCAAAGTTACTACCTCGTTCATCATCACTGAACATAGTCACAAGGCAGAGGTTGTGCCAGACATGCACAACTGTGTCCTCAGTCACTGTGTTCCAAGCACTGGCAATGGTATATGTGGCATCCTTCATGCTAAAGTCCTTTTGAAAACCTTCCAGACCCATGTCTCTGTTCACTGCTGCTAGCGTGGTATTCAAGAAAATACTTTTATGTTTACTTTTCATTGATCTAAGGAGATCCTGGTCACATGACTTAATAGTCACGTTTGAGGAAAAGTATATGACATAAACATTTGTTTTAATGAGAATTTCAGCTGGAAGAGGAGCAGAATAGTTGTCAAGGGAGAACAAAATATTGCAGTCATCATTCAGTCCACCTTCCCTGCAGTGAACATGAGCCACTGCTACAAAGTATTTGTGAAACCAATCAGAAAAGATATCCCTGATAATATTTGTCTATGTGTTAGCATAAAAAATGGACTGGCAACACGCTTACTACTTGAAAACAGTGAGGCTGCAAGCTTTTGTCTATCACAGCAAGTTTATGTTTATGTCTGTCTGCTGCATTCGCACATCCCAGCATAGTTATTCTCTCCTTGACATCCATAATTCTTATTGGGACTGTCTCATCTGCTAAACTTGGTATCTTTCTGAAGCAATAATGCCAAAACAGTGATGTTTCATCAGCATTATAGAGTTGTTCTGGCATCAGATTTCATCAACAATGACTTTGGTAAACTTGTCAATGAAATTCTTCACTGATTCATGATCAGCAGATACTTTATCAACAAAAATCTTTAAAAAATAATGCCACATATTTTCCTAAATTTTCTGCAATCGGCCTGTTGAATATTTAGGTTGCTTTCAATTTTCAGTTCATTGTTATATATCTTTGTCTGTTTCATGATCAGCATGCTCTTAAGTGGCACGTGTTCACCGTGACTCTGACATTTCAATACACAATTGAGATCTTCATTTTTAGCTATACAGAGTATTTTAAAAAATGTTTTTTAACTTATGTTCATCACTTTCAGCATAAAACTTCAACGGTTTGTCCTTCTCTTTCTTCAGGTCATGTACAATAGCCACTCCAACACCATACTCTACTGTAAGGCATTTCAGATTGATACTGCTGTCCAGTTGTTCTCCAACAGCTTGACTTTCTGTCCTATAGATAGACATAAATGTTTCCCCTTTTTAAAATCCCTGTTACTAATTAATAGGGGTATCTGCAGGTCTGTTGACCTTTTCAACAATATCTTTTATCACAGAGAACAAGCAAAACAAAATGAGTAATGCACACAGATCTTGTCCCCATGTAGGGCATTGTGGGGAACCTACCACTAGTGTGTCTGGCCTGCACACATGCCATTTTAATATCCTTTGTGGATGTATTTCCATGGGGAAATCTGGGCTGATGTGGCATAGATATATCACAGATGAAGGTGTTTTTTTTCCCTTGGGGAAACTGAACAAGCTGCGCCATTGCCTGCATTTTGACTGCGAGGTCAGGGGTAGAATTTTCCATTTGTGGCATCATGCCAGGATTCAAAAAGTTTCAGATTTTGGAGCATTTCAGGTTTCAGATTTTTGGATTAGGGATTCTCAACCTGTATAGTCATCATATGCTTTTATCAGTTATCAAATGAAATTGTGAAGTCTATTCTATTTTGAACTACTTTATGTTATACCTGTCTTCCCCAGTCTTGATAAGCTCCTTGCACATGTTTCCATTAGCAAGGCCAGGTGACCTGTTCCTCCTCGATCTTGAGCTCTGCAAAGTCAAAGAATTTTTTCTTTTTCTTGTGTCTCCAGTAACTGTCACAGTCTTGGAAGCATAGTCGTAGAGTCTTAAATGCAGTGAAATAATGGGTGCTGAATAAATTTTGCTACTTACACTCAGAAGAATAAACAAGATGACCTTTGAGTATCTCCCAACTTTGTTATTTCTTAACACAGGTCTTCATAGAAAACTTACCGTTTCTAACAGCTATTTAAAACACTGAAATGTCTTACTAGAGTAATACATTCAGATATTTAGGAAAGTTCATTAGTCAACTTTAATATAGCTGAAAATGACTATTTCTCAGCATGATTCAGCAATTTTCATATGTTGGTATAGCAATGGGGTTGGCAAAATTAAATACATATATTAATTTCCTAATGATAGGATAACTATTCTTAGGCAAATAACAGGGTTTTTAAATGTTCACCTGACACAGGGTCTGAGAGCACAGAAACCCTTCACATAGTTCTGTTTGTGTGTGTGTGTGTCCAAAAACAGAAGAACATGGCGCTGGAATCAAACTTTTTATTTGAAAGCTAAGTCCACCAACTTCCAGATATAGAAACTTGGCACATTTTGGAAGCCATTTGCCTTAGTTTTCCGTAAGATGCTTGTGGGGATCAAATGAATTAAGCTATGTAAAGCACTTAGCACAATGTCTGGCACAAAGACCTTAATATAATTTGTCTAACTTCATGTCATTTTAAAATTCAGAATATCAATAATTATGAGAATTATCCCTTTTTACATTTGCTTTAGAACTACAACATGAAAAGACAACTACACAACAATGGCACTTTTGTCTCAAAATGTGTTTTCTGACTACAGCTTTATGTCTGAGTTCAATGAAAGGGAAGGTGAGGGGATCTACCACCTGTCAAGCATTGTCCCTGTTTGTGTGAACTTATCTAATCCTCAAATAATCTTCATAAATGAGGCTTAGAGAAATTAATTTATTCAGAGTCATCCAGCTTGTCAGTGGCTAAGTTCAGATTTAAACGCAGGTCTCTCTCATTTATTAAACAATTCTCTAGAGCAATGTGTTTCATTAGGTGGGCTGAAGAGCTTTTAGGGACACTGGAGTTATTGCAACAGGTTATTTAATCTACACGTGCAAAAAGTACTGTCTGCAAACTGAAGTGCTGCTATGTTTCATACAGACATGAAACAGAATTTTAGCATGCTGTTAAGAATAAATACAAACATAGTATTTTAATAAATTCATAAAATCTTGTTCTTATGTGGCACTCAACTAACAGATCATAAAAATAAAACTGTCATCATGTAGAGAGATCCATGAAATTTTTCATTTAGAGAAAGTTATAAGGCTCTGCTACAGATCTTCCTGTAAGACATGGAGGAGAACTACATAACTAGAGGGAACAGAGTCACAGTTTATATCATAGAGAAGACTTATAATGGACCTAGAAGAAAGGTGAGGCTCAATATAGTAAGTGTCTACCATCATGGATTTTTATTGAATGAATAAATGAATGCATATGTAGATTCACATATAGAAACAGAAATGGTCAGTTTGTTTAAAGTTGTGGAACCTGCCTAAGAACACTTAGGATGACTTCATTAGCAAGGAAACTATAATTTATCTCCCCTTTTCCTGCTCATGAGAAGATCTAAAATAGCTTTCCCCAGAAATGTCCATTCCAGGAAGGTGAGAATTTGTATTTCTTCATGGAAAGTTTTGTGTGGTCAAGTAAGTTGGCAAATGCTGTACTCTATAGCCATCTTTTGGAGATTTGCCAGGCACATAAGTAAATTCCAGGCTCTGAGAAATCTTATGGTTAAAAAAAAAGAAAACTCAGAAATTCTCTAACCTGTTTTATCACAGAAGCCCATTCTCCTGTAACACCTATTAGCCTTCTGCAGAACTAGTTATCCAAAGTGCATAATTTGGTAAACAATCTTCTACATCATTCTTATCCATCAAGGTGCCAGTCAGTTCCCTTTTGATACTTCATGTGATTAGGCTATTAGTCTTTCTAGTATTTAAAGATGAGGGGGGCTATTAGATAGTCTTTCTAGTATTTAAATTTGAGGAGGTAAACTCTCTCACAGAAAGGAAACATGCAATTTCTAAAATGGGTCTATACATTTCAGAAGCTAGAAAAGCAAGACCCCTGGTCTTTGTGATGAGAGCTTATGAGTATCCAGTCAGTGGCACTTCATCTCACTAAGTGCCCTTTCTCTGTGTGTTCAGTTGTGTGCTAAGGTTCACCTTCCCCAGGGGAAGATAGCTCTGGGGATTGTTAGCAGGTCACACAGCTGAGTCAACTGCAAAGCTGCTAGGAGGAATGTAATGCTTTTGCAGGTTGGGGAAGAAAATAAACAAAACAACTACTCCTGGGAAACCCTATGACCCGATATAATCGGTAGCAGGTGCCACAAACTTTCCACTATGGAACCTCTCTTTCCACAGCTGCTAGTCTCTGAAAGCCTTGCAGCTGGTGCCACTTAACAGAGACAGGGAGGCTTTGAGATCTTTCCAGGACCTACTGAGGTGTTGAGAGCAAAGATGTCTGTTTCCAGAGGGTGATCAAAGTGATACCTTCCAAATCCATTTAAAGAAGGTATGACATCCAGGTGTATGGCCTGATCCCAGGATTCCCTAAGAACATAAAAAGCTGAAGGAAAGCCACAAGCTGATATGCTCGGATCTTATCCATAAACCCTCAAACTTTTGCTTATTGGAAACTACATTCTCTGGACTAAGTCAGCTCTGTTGAGAGGTAGAAAGTGAGGAGCATAATGTTCTCTCCTTTGCCCCTCAGTGAACTTACAGCTTATTTTGGTAAGATAATGTGGATGCACTTTAAATAGATAAATTATTATGCAAAGCAATTCATCACTAGCATCTGGCAAATGGAATGGGTGCAACTGCCAGAGGAGGATAGTCCAGGTGGGGAGAATAGTTTTGAGCAAAAACTGGAAGGAAGAAATACATCAGCTCAGTGGAGAAAGAAGAGTTTGGATGTAGAGAAGTTTGAAGGGGAGACATGATATGAAAATGGATCTTGGATATCAGGCTAAAGAGTGCAGTGTAGGCATTAATATTTAATAAACAAAAAATGAGCTAGCTCCATCTATCTCTAATGTTACACCCTCTTCCCCTAAAAGCATAATCTCATTGCTCTGTTCATACCCAACAATACGCTATTACCCACATACATCATGTTTTCTCATGCTTTTGTCTGTCAACACTATTCTCACTCTTTAGAATGACGATTCTAACTTTGCCTCTTGCTGACTACACCCTATGGTTTAGGTAACTCAAATATTCCAGGTGAACTGTTATTCAATACAACTGAGGTCATATAGCACCAATGCTCAGATTCCCAGAGTATTTAGCTCTGCCTATGTGATCATTAGCCATCAGCCCCCTCTCAGCATCTTTCCTGCTATTTCTAAGAGTTCTCATGAGACGTGTTCGCATCACAATTTATTTTTTATTTTAATCTGTTGCCCACAGGCCAAGTACTCTTTGGAGGACTGTCTCTCCTGCTGGTGACTGAGCCATCATTCAGCAGTGACCATGCTAAGCTCTCAAAGGGCCAGAGCTCATGAACTAGGAATAGCAGGGTTGGGGACAGGTGGTGTGGGAGAACAGGCATTGTGCTAGTTTTTTCTCACCCAAGTTTTCTTTGAGAAACTGAACTTAAAATTATTAAGCCATACAACAAATTTCTCGGCTTTCATAACTGAAAAGTTCATTCAGTCGTGGCTGGATTCAAGACCTTGCATGATGTCACTGGGACCTGAACTTAGTCACTCCTTCTATGTCCTGGCTTTGAGTTTCATTTGTCTGCTTCAGGCTCAGGCACATGTACAGCTGCATCACCAGCCACAGAAGAGCTTCTCTTTCACAGGCATGTCAAAAAAATGTACCGAGATGACCTCTGCTTTACCTGCCTTGTTTCACATTCCCAACCCTGAACCAAAAGCAATAGAAATGGAACATACTGACCAAATAGGATTGTATCTTGTTTTACCGATGCACCAAGGGTGAATAAATCCTGCCCCTCCTTGTGAAATGAGAAAACCCTGCTTCCTAATAATAAAAGAGAAACTTGGCGAATATTACCACAAAATTAATAAGTAGATGTGAACGAAATAAACATATTTCACTCCACAGTATAATTCTTTGACATATTTTGAGACGGCTATCGGGGCCAGCAAACAGAAGTTGCCTTGCAAAGCTGTCTTTTGTGGAGGAGATTTACATCTGTAGAGAATTTGCCTTAATGCAGCCAGTCCTTCTCTTGTCCAAATCCAGGAAAGATTAAATAAGAGTCTGACACCTTTAAAGGTATGAAAGAAAATTTACCATCCATTCTCTCTGAGGGCTGCTACTTGTGAGGTTTCTTCTACATAAGACAATCTTTGCTAGCTAAAATTAACTCATGATGAATTAAAGATTTAAACATAAAACCTCAAACTGTAAGAATCCTGGAAGAAAATATAGAAAATACCATTCTGGATGTCAGCCTTGGGAAAGAATTTATGGTAAGTCTTCCAAAAAATGGTAATAA